>NC_000001.11:226083649-227321006 GCF_000001405.40 Homo sapiens
ACCTTACGGGCCCTTCTCCGCCAGCCCTGGCTGGGTCACCCCCACGACCCGGGACTCCCCCGCCGTTCCCTCCCGGGCTGCCTGCAGTGAGGTCCGCTCCTGAGGCCTCAGCCTCGCCGGGGGTAGGGCCCTCTCCCGCCGTCGCCGCAGCTCCTTTCCGTCCCGGGGCCTGGGGGGCACCGTCCCACGGGTGAGGGCCGCCTCCAGCGCCTGGCCCAGCCATGCGAACGCCTGGAGCCCGCGAGCTGCAGCTGCGGCCCTGAAGGTGCCGCATATCCTGCCGAGTGGGTGAAGCGTGGCACTTTGGAAAACAAATCGGGTTAGTGCTCAGCAGCCTCCGGGCCGATGGGTGGGGATGTCATACTATGAACTGAGAGCCCGCGAGCTGGAAAAAACAGTGCCAGTCCTGCCCGCGCGTCGCGGGACTCAGTAATTCCCGGCTCCGCAGCGCTCGAGCCTGTTCTCCGCAGCTTCATACCCTCTGCCCCGCGAAAGTGACCTCAGGGGCCGGGCGTGTTGGCTCACGCCTGTAATCCAGCACTTTGGGAGGTCAAGGCGGGCGGCTCAGTTGAGGCCAGGAGTTCGAGACCAGCCTGGCCAACAGGGCGAAAACCCATCTCTACTAAAAATACAAAAATTAGCCAGACGTGGTGGCGCACACCTGTAACCCCCAGCTACTCAGGAGGCTGAGGCAGGAAAATCACTTGAACCCGGGAGGCGGAGGTTGCAGTGAGCCGAGATCACACCACTGCACTCCAGCGTGGGTGACAGAGCGAGACTCCGTCTCAAAAAAGAAAGAAAGAAAAAGAAAAGAAAAAAGTGAGGCCGGGCACAGTGGCTCACGCCTATAATCCCAGCAATTTGGGAGGCCTAGGCAGGTGGATCACGAGGTCAGAAGTTCAAGACGAGCCTGGCCAAGATGGTGAAACCCCGTCTCTACTAAAAATTCAAAAATTAGCCGGGCATGGCTGGGCGCAGTGGTTCACACCTGTAATCCTAGCACTTCAGGAGGCCAAGGCAGGTGGATCACTTGAGGTCAGGAGTTCGAGACCAGCCTGGCCAACATGGTGAAAACCCATCTCACTAAAAATACAAAAATTAGCCGGGCTTGGTGGCAGGCGCCTATAATCCCAGCTACTTGGGAGGCTGAGGGAAGAGAATCACTTGAACCGTGGAGGCAGAGGTTGCAGTGAGCCGAGATCTCACCACTGCACTCCAGCCTGGGCGACAAAGCGAGACCCTGTCTCAAACAAAACAAAATAATAAAATAAAATAAAAATTAGCCAGGTGTGGTGGTGTGTGTCTGTAGTCCTAGCTACTTGGGTGGCTGAGCTGGGAGGATCACCTGCTCAAGAGTTTGAGGCTACAGTGAGCTGAGATCACACCACTGCACTCCAACCTGGGTGACAGAGCGAGATCCTGCCTTAAAAACAAACAAGGGCTGGGCACAGTGGCTCACCCCTGTGATCCCAGCACTTTTGGAGGCCAAGGTGGGCGGATCACCTGAGGTCAGGAGTTCAAGACCAGCCTGGCCACCATGGTGAAAACCCGTCTCTACTAAAAATACAAAAATTAGCCAGGCGTGGTGGCAGGTGCCTGTAATCTTAGCTACTTGGCAGGCTGAGGCAGGAGAATTGCTTGAACTGGGGAGGCAGAGGTTGCAGTGAGCCGAGATCGCACCATTGCACCCCAGTCTGGGCAAAAAGAGTGAAACTCTATCTCAGAAAAAAAAAGAAAAGAAAAGAAAGAAAAAAGAAAAAGAAGGCTAGGCGCGGTGGCTCACGCCTGTAATCCCAGCACTTTGGGAGGCCGAGGCGGGCGGATCACGAGGTCAGGAGATCAAGACCATCCTGGCAAACAAGGTGAAACCCCGTCTCTACTAAAAATACAAAAAATTAGCCGGGCGTGGTGGCGGGCACCTGTAGTCCCAGCTACTCCGGAGGCTGAGGCAGGAGAATGGCCTGAACGCGGGAGGCGGAGCTTGCAGTGAGCCGAGATTGCGCCACTGCACTCCAGCCTGGGCAACAGAGCAAAACTCCGTCTCAAAAAAAAAAAAGAAAAGAAAAGAAAAAGAAAAACAACAAAAAAATCAGTTTGTTCCATGGGCAGTAGGCCATTGCTGCTCATCTTTTGATCAGAAGCAGTACTGAGTGGAGTATTAGGATGGTGAGGAAGGCATTCTGTTAATCCATGCATGGTGGTGCTGGCAGAAACAAGATGAACAGGCAAAGCAAATCCAGAATATGTGTATAATGTCCTTTCCATGATGGAAAAAGTCCAGTGTAATCAATTTGCCATTAGATGGCTGGCTGGGTCCCCCAAGGAGCCACAGTGGGCTCAGTGTTGGTCTCTGCTATTGGCAGATTAGGCAGTTAGTAGATGACTTACTCAGCCTTGGTGAGGGGAAGTCCATGTTGTTGAGCTCGCGCATAGCCTCCAATCTTGCCACACAGCCTCTTTGTTACATAGGTCCATTGGGCAAGCAATGGTAGCTGGAAAAAGAGACAGCCCGACCTCCAGAGAACATGCTTTGTTCCGCTGATAGTCAAGAGCCTCCTTTGCAGTGATACCCTTTGGTGTGCATTCACATGGGACCCAAATATCTTTATATTCTGGGCCTGTTTGGAAGATCTGTCCACATACTTCTTCCCCAGACCTGCTTGTCACCAATCCTCCTTCCATGTTCTTGCCAGTGAATCTATGTAGATCCCTCCATCTGGCTGTCTCTCCATCCAGGCAAAGTAGACAAACAAATGTGCCTCTTGAAGTTCTGCCCCCAAGGAAGATTTTCTTTCACCACTTGTCCTTCAGGGACACCCTGGAGCGGGGCTGGTGGGCTCCAGCTGTCCACTCTCTGTTGTGCAGGAGCCATCTGTAAACCAAGTCTGGATTTTTTTCCTCCTCAGTCAACTGACACAGGAACTTTTTTTTTTTTTGAGACGGAGTCTTGCTCTGTCGCCCAGGCTGGAGTACAATGGCGTGATCTCGGGCTCACTGCAACCTAAGCCTCCTGAGTTCAAGTGAGTCTCATGCCTCAGCCTCCCGAGCAGATGGGATTACAGGCCACAACGGGCTAATTTTTGTATTTTTAGTAGAGACGGGGTTTCACCATGTTGCCCAGGCTGATCTCAAACTCCTCATCTCAGGTGATCCGCCCACCTCGGCCTCCCAAAGTGCTGGAATTACAGGCATGAACCACGGTGCCCGGCTGACACAAGGAACTTTCTATGAGGTCCTAGGAATGAAGGAAAACAGGCAATAAGGCAAGAATCGCTGTCGAAGGAGTCTGCGCCACCTGCTCGCACAGCTCACTTGTGCCTTCTGAGCCTGCTGGAGCCCAGTGTACATATGCCGTCTCCGCGTGATTAGAGATTGCTGCTGCACGTGCCCAATCCCGTGGCGGGGTGAGTAAGACAACATGCAGTGCACATGCGGCCGCTTCACGACCCATAACTAGGTGTTCTGTTTCTACCAGGGACCAGAAGCAAGCCAGAAGAACAGTTATCTGTGAAACAGGCTGTGCATCTGTTCCCAAACCCTAGAGGCCTGTGCTGTGATTCTCTTACTGGTGCTTCCCAGGGCCTCCATATAGCATCCCCATTGCCACAGACACTCGGATATTGTTGGGTCTGTGGATGATAAGGGCCAAAAGAAAGAGCAGCTTGCACTGCACCCTGAACTTGCTACAGAGCCTTCTCTAGTCCTCACTCAGATTTATTTATTTATTTTTTAAATTAAATTTAATTTTTTTTGTTGTTGTTGAGACGGAGTCTCGCTCTGTCACCCAGGCTGGAGTGCAGTGGCGCGATCTCGGCTCACTGCAAGATCCGCCTCCCGGGTTCATACCATTCTCCTGCCTCAGCCTCCCGGGTAGCTGGGACTACAGGCGCCCACCACCGCGCCCGGCTAATTTTTTCTATTTTTAGTAGAGACGGGGTTTCACCGTGGTCTCGATATCCTGACCTCGTGATCCACTCTCCTCGGCCTCCCAAAGTGCTGGGATTACAGGCATGAGCCACCACTCCTGGCCTCAGATTTATTTACTTAAGGTATTTCTTTAAATTGACTCACTATTTTTTACCTAAATAAATTCAGCCTCATCCTAAGCAATGATATCTCCGGTGAGGTGGTTATATTTTTTCTTACATAGGTGATAAGTAAAATAAATACTTCAGATTTAAAATTGGGTGGGTGCAGTAGCTCATGCCTGTAATCCCAACACTTTGGGAGGCCGAGGTGGGTGCCTGTAGTCTCAGCTACTCGGGAGGCTGAAGCAGGAGAATCACTTGAACCCGAGTGAGCCGGAGATCGTGCCATTGCACTCCAGCCTGGGTGACAGAGCAAGACTCTGTCTCAAAAAAAAAAAAAAAAAGAAATAGAATAAAATAAATAAAAGGCAATAAGCCGGGCACCATGGCTCATGGCTGTAATTCCAACACTTTGGGAAGCTAAGGCAGGCAGATCTCTTGAGGTCAGGAGTTCGAGAACAGCCTGGCTAACATGGTGAAACCCTGCCTCTACTAAAAATACGAAATTAGCTGGGTGTGGTGGTGTGCGCCTGTGATCCCAGCAACTGGGGAGGCTGACGCAGAGAATCACTTGAGCCTGGGAGGTGGAGGTTGCAATAAGCTGAGATTGTGCCACTGCACTCCAGCCTGGGCAACAGAGTGAGACTCCATCTCAAAAAATAAATAAAATATAATAAAAATAAAAGGCAATAAATGTCTGCTTATCAATTGCTCATAGGAGGTTTGCTTTTAGAACCCATGCCCCAGGCTACGGGAAAGCCACGCGTCCATACAGAAAGGCCGTGTGTAGGTGTTTTAGCCACAAGACCAACTAAAGTCCCAGCCAACAACCTGCAATGACCAAACAGGTCACTGAGAGAGCCCTCAGATGATCTCAGCACCCAGGCTTTGAGATGCTTGAGCTGATACTGAGCAGGGCAGAGATAAGGTGTCTCCATCAAATGTTACAAAAATAGTAGATCTGTGAGCAAAATAAATGTGGTCAACATTTTTTCTTTTTTAATTTTTTAAAATCACAACCCTGCTCACCTATGTTGTCAATATTTAACACTAACAATTTTGAGATGTTTTATTATGCAGCAATAGACCACTGGTACAGGAGCCCTCTTCTCTCCCTAGATTCTCTCTTCTTGGCCTTACTGCTTGTCCCCACTTCTCTGTCCCCAGAAGCACTCGGCATAATCTCTTCAATGACACCAGCTCTGAGAAAACTAAAGCCAAAAGCCAAAAAATAAAATGTAGTAAGCTGCTAGTTATGCCTCAAAATATCTTCTCCCCTCCTTCCTAATAATTGAGGTTTTGTTTGTTTGTTTGTTTTTGAGACGGAGGCGCACTTTGTCACCCAGGCTGGAGTGCAGTGGTGCGATCTCAGCTCACTGCAACCTCTGCGTCCCGGGTTCAAGCGATTCAAGTGATTCTCCTGCCTTAGCCTCCCGAGTAGCTGGGATTACAGGTGCCCGCCACCATGCCTGGCTAATTTTTGTATTTTTTCTATTTTTAGTAGAGACGGGGTTTCACCATGTTGGTCAGGCTGGTGTTGAACTCCTGACCTTGTGATCCACCCGCCTCAGCCTCCCAAAGTGCTGGGATTACAGGCGTGAGCCACTGCGCCTGGCCACATACTTGACTTTTAAATAAGCACACATTACTCTAGAGAGAGAGCGCATTTCTAACTAGATGTATCTATATGATGCATCCATATGATGCAATTCCAGACAATGGAATGTAAGTGTGAGTGATGTGTGTCATTTCCAAGCCTTGGCCATAAAATATGAAGCACATGCTTTTCTAAATTCTTTACCTTTTCCATAGGCTGGAACACAAACGGGGTGGTGTTCCAGCTGCAACCATGCAGATGAAGACTATACCCTAGGAGATGGAGGAACAACAGACAAGAAAGAAACCTGGGTTCCTGAATAACCACGTGGAGCCAAGCAGCTTACTTATCTCAAGCCACTGTTGCCCACCTCCAGATTGGTTCGTGAGATAGAAATAAGCTTCTATCCTTTTTGCATGACTGCATTTTGGGGTCTGTGTTATAGCAGCTTAATCTCTATCTGAATTATATTGGATTTAAGTGTCTGAAGCCCAATGACTTAACCTTTCCTGAGGCAAAGGCACAGAAGAGCCTATTTTCCAAAAATGGGAAAACGAAGACATAGGAAGGAAAAACCCAACAAATGGTCAGGAAATTATACTGCTATAGGCTCTTCTCGGATGAGTGTCTAGTCCTAATGAGGGGGCTGTGGGAATTCAAAGACGGAGAAACTGCCTTCAGATAGAGCTAGTAGGGAAGACCCCTGCAGACAGTGACATTAAATTGAAGGTAGAATTTGGATAGATGGACATGGGGAGGGCAATTCAAACAAAGGGAACTTGAGCAACAGGGTGGAGGTAGAAAGGTGCCAGATCTTTTGGGAGATGCAGAAGTGATATCACACAGTTTAAAGCCAGAGTTAAATATAAACCGATACTTAGAAGCTTAAATTCAACATGGCAAATTCACAGGTTTAGTTTCCTAAAAGATTTTTCATGTTTTTATTACAGAACTGTCTGCAAACAAATCTTTACTTGATGAGAAGTTTAAATATAATTAAATCTAGAATATTACATGAATATTTTATTGCTTTATTAAGTCCTTCAAACAACACATTTATTTATTTATTTATTTATTTATTTATTTATTATTTTTTTTGAGACAGAGTCTCACTCTGTTGCCTAGGCTGGAGTACAGTGGCACGATCTCAGCTCACTGCATCCTCCACCTCCCAGGTTCAAGCGATTCTCCTGCCTCAGCCTCCTAAGTGGCTGGGATTACAGGAGTCCACCACCACACCCAGCTAATTTTCAAACAACACAGTTTTTAGAGGTATAATTAACCTCTTTAGAATATTACCTCACAACAGAATAAACAAATCAAAAACTTCAGATATTCTTTCTAAAGACCCCCTTAGTCAGTAATATCTATAATCACATGACAATGAGTGACACCATGTGATAGTGGCCCGAAGGCTCAATGATGCTGGCCATGCAACTCACTTACTTACCCTCCTCTGGCAACAGATTTTCTTTTCTTTTCTTGTTTTTTCTTTCTTTCTTTTTTTTTTTTTTTTGAGATGGAGTCTCGCTCTGTCATCCACGCTGGAGTGCAGTGGCACGATCTCAGCTCACTGCAACCTCTGCCTCCTGGGTTAAAGCGATTTTCCTGCTTCAGCTTCCTGGGTAGCTAGAACTACAGGTGCCCGCCACCACGCCAGACTAATGTTCGTATTTTTAGTAGAGACAGGGTTTTACCGTGTTGGCCAGGCTGGTCTCAAACTCCTGAGCTCAGGTGATCTGCCCACCTCAGCCTCCCAAAGTGCTGGGATTAAAGGCATGAGCCACCATGCCCGGCCTGGCAACAGATCTTCTACCCACAAGGAAGGGCATGTCCTCCAGGGCTGGATCCTTGAGGGACTCGTTCCCCAGGCCACAGTGACGGGCCAGAGATGGGCATGTGATCCCAGCAGGACCATTCAGAATTCTCCCTTAGAATTGATGCACAGAGGTAGGAAGAGAGGTTTTTCGGATTACTTCACTCCTTGGACTATTAAGCGGGGGTTGCCTCATGGAGGAACAGAGCCTGCTGGCAAAGATGAGCAGCAACAAAAGACGGACAGAGACTTAACTGTGTGGAGTCCCCTTTCAGGGTCCCTGCAGCTCTTCCTCCAACCCAAAGACCTAGTCCGAGGATCCTCTCCCATTACCAAGCCAGTAAATTTCCCTTTGAGTGGGATTTCTGTCACTTACAACCAACAGGCCTAACACAAGAGTGAACTGTAAGGGAGACCTCTAAGGCCAGCCACTTAATGCCATATCTCATCAAGATGCCCTTGATTGTAAAACATACCATCATTTTATGTACCATGAGGAAAGGGGAAAATGCTGTAAGTAAGCTATGACAAGCCACTGATTATGAGATGCATCCCAGTTTCAGAAGCATGAAAATATGGGAAAAATGTGCTTCCTAGGCCTGATGAAATATTGCAGCTGTGTGCCCTTGGGTGAGTTACTTAATCTCTATGTTCCTTGGTGTCCTCGTCTTTAAAGTGAGGATGACAATGCCCACCTGACAGGATTGTTGTGAGGATTTAGCCTATCTACACACAAATGTTCTTAGTAACATTATTCATAATAGCCAAAAATTGGAAACAAGGCTGGGCACAGTGGCTCATGTCTGTAATCCCAGCACTTTGGAAGGCCAAAGTGGGCAGATCCCTTGAGCCCAGGAGTTCAAGACCAGCCTGAGCAACATGGGAAAACCACCATCTCTACAAAAAATATAAAAAAGTCAGCCAGGCATGGTGGCACATGCCTGTAGTCCCAGCTACTTAGGAGGCTAAGGCAGGAGGATCACGTGAGTCCCGGAGGTTGAGGCTGCGTTGAGCCATGATCACATCACTGCACTCCAGCCTGGGCAATAGAATGAGATCCTGTCTCAAAAAAAAAAAGGAAACAACCTAACTGTCCATCAACTGGCGAATGGATAGAGAGAATGTGGTACATCCACACAATGAAATACTACTGAGCAATGATAAAGAACAAACTACTGATACATGCTATGCCATGGATAAGTCTTGCAAATGCTACGTGGAGAGAGAAGCCAGACCCAAAACAATGCATACTGTATGCTTCCATGTATTTATTTATTTATTTTATTTAGTGGGTTTTTTTTTCTTTTTTTGTGACAGAGTCTTGCTCTGTCACCCAGGCTGGAGTGCAGTGGTACAATCTCAGCTCAGTGCAACCTCTGCCTCCCGGGTTCAAGTGATTCTCCTACCTCAGACTCCTGAGTAGCTGGGATTACAAGCACGCGCCACCATGCCTGGCTAATTTTTTTGTATTTTTAGTAGAGATGGGGTTTCAACATGTTGCCCAGGCTGGTCTGGAACTCCTGACCTCAAGTGACCCACCCACCTCGGGCTCCCAAAGTGCTAGGAATACAGGTGTGAGCCACCGTGCCTGGCCTGTTATGATTCCATTTTATGAAATGTCCAGAAAAGACAAATTTAGAGACAGAAAATAGATTATGGAGCTGGGCACTGCAGCTCACACCTCTAATCTCAGGACTTTGGGAGGGTGAGGTGGGAGGATTGCTTGAGGCCAGGAGTTCAAGACCAGCCTGGGCAACATAGTGAGACCCCATCTCTGCAAAAAAGAAACTAGATTAAAGGTTGCCTGGAGAAGGGGGAGAATGGGGATTAACAGTAAATGGGACTGCAGTCTTTTATTGGAGTCATGGAAATGTTCTAAAATGGATTTATGGTGAGGGTTACACAACTTGGTAAATTTACTAACAATTCACTGAATTGTACACTTGAAATGAGTAAGTTATACAATATGTAAGATATACATCAATAGTGGTATTAAAAATAGATGTACAATGCCTAGATGAGCTGCTTAATATGGTGTGTGCTTAAGAAATCGTGACTCACTTCAGAGCTGCTCTGGCTTAGATTCCTAAATCCATAAAACTTCCCTTTCCTGGTCTCCTGAACGGGTGAGTTTTCTTTCCTTTTACATCCTGCACCAGGACCTCTGTGGAGGGTATCAAGAAGAAGCCCTGCTTCTAGAAATTATTAGTCAGTTAAGCTGTCAGGATCTTACAAGGAGACAGCAGAAGAGAGCGCCTCTGTCTACAGGGAGCAGAGGTAGGGGATTTCAGAAGGCTGGGAAACCTCGCCCTTCAGTTCATCCTCCACCCACCACCACCATCACACACACAAACTAGGAGCCTATTGACCTACCGCTTCCCAGATCTGTCCTGGGGTCAGGAAAAGGCCGCAGAATCATAAAGAAATGAAGCTGATTTCACTTCCTGGATCACCAGTTTTGTTCCCTCAGCACGACTCCCTGAGAGTCTTCTCTCCAGCCTAACCATGCACTTTTCCAAGCGTCGAGATGCTTAGAAACTTCCAAAAATACTTGACCACAGTGCCAGAAAGACATTTCTAATAAAACTTGCCAGCAAAGGGCTGGGAAGACCCCAAGTGTCTCTTGTCAGGGAAGCTTTATAGACTTAGCTCCTGGGAGCCAGCTGGGCCCTGGCTTGCTAGACCACCCTGCAAGGGCTTGGCCTCTCTCCCCAGCCCCTGCCAGGCCTGCTGGAAGTAGTGGCTGGAAAGAAATGGGGGCTTTGGGGTCAGGGAGCCTGTGTTCCAACTCCGGCTCCCCTTGCACTGGCTGTGTGGCTTTAGGCATGTGACTGAACCCCAAGAGCCACAGTTCATTCAGCAATAAAATGAGAGCTTCTGTCACCACTGCCTCTCCAGAGGCTGCTGTCGATTAATGGAATGTCATGGGTGATTGCATCGGGAATGGGGGGCGTCCAGTAAAGGCAGCTTCCTGCCCTAGGCTTCTTCCTGGTGCCCACTGGAACTGCAATTGGACCTGGCTGCCTCCGATTTACCGAGGCTCCATTTTATTTATTTATTTTTAAACTTATTTTAAAAGTAGAGATGGAGGCGGGTCTCCCTATGTTGCCCAGTCTGGTCTTGAACTCTTGGCCTCAAGCTATCCTCCTGCCTTGGCCTCCCAGGTGCTGACATTTTAGGTGTAAGCTACCGTTCCAGGCTGAATTTACTTTCTTTGAGACTGTGGCAGATGCGCTTGAAGCCAGCAGCAAAAGCAATGCCCATGGAGTGGTTTGGGCTGAAACTGTTCAGCCATTCATAGCTCAGCACCGTCTTGGTCTTCCATTACCAGTGGAAGGGTCCAGGGCTCCTGAGAGGCAGCTTGGCCCCATGCAATGGCTTCCTCCACTTCCACAATCCCCTCACCTGGCAGGGAGATAGTGAGCAAGCAAGAAGGGGATTAGCCTCCTGCCTGGGCAGGACCGTGGGGCACAAGGCAAGCTCCAGGCAGGGTTCTTCAGGACAGAGAGGGCAGCACAAACACCAGGCCCTGGCTTGAATATGTGTTTCACCACTTGCTGGCCAGCAACCCTGGGCAGTTCTCTTAACCTCTCCAAGTCTCAGTTATTTGGTCTGTAAAATGGGTATGATTACACCTGTCTCCCAGGGCTGCTGGGGAATGACAGTGTGTAAAGCCTAAGCACAGTGCTAGGTGCATCCCTGGCACCTGCCATAGTTAAGGGTGGGGGGCAGGGCTGGTGGGAAAACAGGATGGGGGAGAGAAAGAGAAGCAGAAGAGGAAAATGCTGGGGAAGGAGAATGCCCTGGGTTTTACAGGGTTCTGCAGTTTAGGGTCATTCTTCTACCCTCTCCCACCTTTGCTCAGGGCTTGGGCACATGCTCTTCCTTCTCCTCCTGTACACTCCTGCCCGCTATCCAGCAAGGCCTCTCCACCCTGAGGAAGCATCAGTTTAAAAACCACCTCTTCAGCTGGGCCTGATGGTGCATACCTGTTAGTCCCAGCTACTCAGGAGGCTGATGTGGGAGGATCACTTGAGCCCAGGAATTGGAGGCTGCAGTGAGCCGTGATCATGCCACTGCACTCCAGCCTGAGCAACAGAAGGAGACCCCATCTCTAAAAAACCACAAGAAAAACAAAACCCCACCTCCTTGAAGAGATCTTCCCTAGCAACCCCCACTCACCTCTAGAATAGATCCCTTCCACCCTGTTTTTCCTTCAGTGTGAGATTTCTAGATTTATTTGTCTGATTATTTGCCCCCAAGACCATCAGCTCCAGGAGGGCAAGGACTGTGTTCACTTTGCTCACTTCTGTATACAGCACCCAGCATCATGCCTGGCACAGAGTTTGGGAAGGGGACGATGATGATCCCTTGTCTGCACCTCAGAGAGGCAGCAGGGACTGTGGGCAGGGACCTCCAGGCCATAAGGAGCTGGAGGGAGTCCTAGAGGGTGGAGGGAGCGAAAGCAGGCCAGAGAGGCAAAGGGGCAGGAGACATGTGAGGGCATTCTAGGTGTGGGGAATGGCTTATGCCACTGTCCAGGTGCATGAACCTATCAGGGAGTTGGGGAAGACAAAACTCTTGGTAGTGGCTGTAGCAGAGCAATGGTGAAGGAGCCAGTCTGCCGCAGCCACTCTTCAGGACTTTGCTTTCCTGGGGCCAGGTTGCAAACAACCTTGAAGCTTGACCAGGGTATGTGGACCTTATCCTAATTTTTATGGGTTTTGTTTGTTTGTTTAATCAGAGACAGGGTCTCTCTATGTTGCCCTGTTTAGTTTCCAACTCCTAGACTCAAGAGTCCTCCTGCCTCAGCTCCCCAAAGTGCTGGGATTACAGGCATGAGCAGCCTGGCCTATTGGAGGTGGTGTGTGTTTGTTTGTTTGTTTGAGACAGAGTCTAGCTCTGTCGTCCAGGCTGGAGTGCAATGGCACCCTCTCAGCTCACTGCAACCTCTGCCTCCTGGGTTCAAGCAATTCTCCTGCCTCAGCCTCCTGAGTAGCTGGGACTACAGGTGCACACCACCACGCCCAGCTAATTTTTGTATTTTTAGTGGAGATGAGGTTTCATCATGTTGGCCAGGCTGGTCTTGAGCTCCTGACCTCAAGTGATCCGCTCGCCCCCGCCGCGGCCTCCCAAAGTGCTGGGATTACAGGTATGAGCCACTTTGCTTGGCCCCTATCCTAGGTTTTTAAGTAGGGAAGTAACATGATCAAGCTTGTCTTGCTCAGAGCTCCCCTCGGAGGAAAGGCTGGAGGAGGTGACTGAAGCTGTTGCCTTGAGGACCCAGTCTGGTCTCCAGCCTCAGTGCTTCAAGGACAGGGTCCTTGCTGTATAGAGCTACTGGTGATTCAGACACAATCCACCTTGTGTTGCCTGCGGCTGACCTCCACTGGCAGGTGCCCTCTCCCTCTACAGTGGAGGTGTATGCGCTCAGGCAATGCAGGCTCAGCCCAGCTGTGGTCCCCCTGGAGGCAGTGAGCCCTTTGAGAGGTCTGAGCCAGGGGTGGTGGTTCACACCTGTCATCCCAGCAGTTTGGAAGGCTGAGGCTGGAGGATTGCTTGAGGCCAGAAGTTTGAGACCAGCCTAGGGAACATAGCAAACCTATCTCTACAAAAAAAAAAAAAAAAAAAATTAGTCAGATGTGGTGGTGTGTTCCTGTAGTCCTACCTACTCAGGAGGCGGAGGTGGGAGGATTACTTGAGCCCAGGAGTCCGAGGCTGCAGTAAGCTAAGGTTGCATCATTGCACTCCAGCCTGGGCAACACAGCAAGACCCTGTCTCTAAGTAAATAAATAAATACATTTTTTTAAATTAAAAAAAAAAGAGAGGGAAATCCAAGCCAAATCCTCCAGGGGTCAAAGTCCTGCTGTCCTCCCCTGCTCTGCTCAACCCCAGCCTACCTCTGTGTGGGGTGGGGGTGTCGGGGGAACCCATGCCGCTGAGCAAGGAGCTCCCTCAGCTGGTCTATTAGTCAGGTGAGGCTAGGTTCTACCGCAGTAAATCAGCCCCAAACTTCAATGACTTCACACAACAAAGTATATTTCTCAATCATGTTATACGCTCAGTGCAGTGGAGAAAAGAGGATGGAAGGGCAGGGCTCTGTTCCACCTAGGGTCTCAGGGATCCAGGTTGCTAGAAGAGCCACCATCTAGACAATCACCAGTCACCATGGCATGGGAAGAGAGGGCATGGAGAACTTACACCTTTTGATCCAGTAGTGACACATGTAAACCAAAAAGTGACTGAGGCAGGTCTCAATTGATTAGAAGCTTATTTAACCATGATTGAGGATGCAAAAAAACCAACAAAACAAAAACAAGTCACAGAAGCATCTACAACCTGTGATTTTTCCAAGGAAGGTTTCAGGAACTTCAGTATTTGAAGGGGAAAGAGCAAGCAGAAGAGGAAAAAAAAAAAAAAAAAAACGGGGTAAGGGGGCTGGGCGTGGTGGCTCACGCCTGTAATCCCAGCACTTTGGGAGATCCAGGCAGGTGGAGCACCTGAGGCAAGGAGTTCGAGACCAGCCTGGCCAACATGGTGCAAACCTGTCTCTACTACAAATACAAAAATTAGCCAGGCATGGTGATGCATGCCTGTAATCCCAGCTATTTGTGAGGCTGAGGCATGAGAATCACTTGAACCCAGGAGGTGGAGGTTGCAGTAAGCCGAGATCGCTCCACTGCGCTCCTAGAAGGGTAGACAATGAGGCAAATGGATACAATCTTAGGTTCCTATTAGCCTTAGTGAATGTACCTTTTACATGTGAAACAGAGGACCAAGTCAATTATGCAAAGTCTTGGGGTAGGAGGAGGGATGATTTCTAGTCTTGTCCTTATCCTGTCCCTGTGAAGATAAGCT
Source organism: Homo sapiens (assembly GCF_000001405.40). Taxonomy (NCBI): domain Eukaryota; kingdom Metazoa; phylum Chordata; class Mammalia; order Primates; family Hominidae; genus Homo; species Homo sapiens. Next base: position 226,097,949 of record NC_000001.11, read on the forward strand.
GATAATTGACATTGTCAGGGTGAAGTTTAACAGAACTTGATTTTAGAACTAGCTTATAGGGGAATGTGTATTCTGAAAGGTTTAGGGGCCCACAGGGAATTTCCTTGTGAACAATTTGGGAAATATGTAGCCTTCTATTGTTGTGGGAACCTGGCTTACGAATGAGGCTATGACACAGGATTGTGAAACTACCGCTATCTGTTTGGGAACAAAAGGAAGGCAGTTTTTCTGTGACTCAGTTCCCAAACTTAACTTTCCCTTTGGCATAGTGAGTTTGGGGTCCCAAGACTCTGTTTGCTTTCACATATAGGTCACACTTCCGATTATAGCCAATTGGCCAGCACTAGCCCACTGGCCAGCAGCCAGGGTTCTGGAAAGGTAGAAGAGCCCACGGGTACTCAGTGGGCAGTGACTGTCTGTTCAGCCAAGTGCAAGCCAGGTTGGAGAGCAGGTTGGCTCCTGCCTGGACATAGGAAGATGGATGACAAAGGATGCCCAGAAAGGTGTGGGCTCCTTCCCAGTTACCTCCAGCCTCCATCTGCTCTCTGATTCCTAGAGCACAGCTCAGAGAACATCAGTTCCACTTTCCCCCAGCTTACCCAAAATATAGCCCCTACCCATTCTGGCCTCAGCACAACGCTGCCTGATTTCTCTCCACTCTTTCTCCCCTCCCCTCCCCCTGCCCTCCCCATCTCCCCATACCTCCCAGCTCCAACCACACGAGGCTCCCCCTGCTCTGTAATATATACTTTATTTCCTTTACCCCTCCGGGAATGTTCTACCCCTCTCTGCTCACTAGAATCCCACCCATTCTTCCAAATCTAGCTCACTTATCACCTGGTCCATGAAGATTCTTCCCACAGAATATCCTCTGCTTCCTCTCACCTCACAGTCTCCTACAGATGAAATGCCCAGCCCACAGCTCCCCACTGAAGGGGCAGCCCCAGGCAGACCATGTGATCCCATTCCCTATCCCAGCCACAGTGAGGTGGATCCACACGGCCACTCTGTTGCCTGGGCAGTGGCCTATGAGGTGGGGCCTGGTGGGAAGGATGAGATGAGCTAGGTCTATCAAACTCTCTTTAGATAACTTTTTTTTTCTGGAGATAGGGTTTTGCTGTATCACCCAAGTTGGAGTGCTGTAGTGCAGTCAGGGCTCACTGCAGCCTTGAACTCCTGGGCTCAGGCAATCCTACCACTTCAGCCTCCAAAGAAGCTGGAACTATAGGCATGTGCTACCATGCCTGGCTAATTTTTTTAACTTTTTATAGAGACGGCGGGATCTTGCTTATGTTGCCCAGGCTGGTCTGGAACTCCTGGCCTCAAGCAACCTTCCCACCCCAGACTCCCAAAGTGCTGGGATTACAAGTGTAAGCCACTGTGCCAGCCAGCCAGTGTTTTCTTGCTGTGTCCTCAAAGAGAGAAAGGAACTAGTGAGCTCTCTGGGCCTTTCTTATAAGGTCACTAATCCCAGTCATGAGGACTTCACCCTCATCTCATCACTTCTCAAAGGGCCCACCTCATAATACCATCATTTGGGGATTAATCACCTCCTTTGAGAATGAAAGTTAAAAAAAAATTGGGGGTTAAAATTTCCACATACAAGCCAGTCATGGTGGCTCATGCCTATAACCCCAGCACTTTGGGAGGTGAGGTGGGAGGATTGCTTAAGCCCAGGGGTTCCAGACCAGCCTGGGCAACACAGGGAAACCCCATCTCTATAAAAAGTTTTAAAACTAGCCAGCTGTGGTGGCATGCCTGCAGTCCCAGCTACTTGTGAGGCTGAGGTGGGAGGATCACTTGAGTCTGAGAGGTTGAGGCTACAATAAGCCATGACCACATCACTGCACTCCAGCTTGGGTGACAGAGTGAAACCCCATCTCAAAGGAAAAAAAAATTTTTTCAACATATGGATTTGTAGGGGTGGCACAAACATTTAGACCATAGCACATCCAACTCTGTAATTCCTACCTCTGGGCTTTTTATGTAAGAGACAGACACACATAACTGGATTCAAGTTGACTTCATTTCACATAAGCAGTGTCTTCTTAAAGAACAACTTGTCAAATACAATTTTCATTCACTGACTTCCACACTGAGGGAGGATACTGGGTCCTAAACAATGTTTTCCTAAAATATTCTGTGCAAACCAGATTTTAACCAATGTAGTCATTGTTCTCCACTGACTTACTTTATGAATATTAATGATGACTTTTATATTCAGCGTTCACTTCGTGGTGACACCTAGCTAGTGTTTAGTTTTTCAAAAATTTCACTCCTTGGACCATTGGGTAATAACCAGCAAACAACAGGTAAGAGTCCCAAACTGCTGCTTGAAAGAGAAAAATCCCTTTGGAAGACCACGGTAATAACTACTACTAATGTGTGGGGGTTTTGTTTGTTTTTTGTTTTTGTTTTTGTTTTTGTTTTCAGAGGGAGTCTCGCTCTGTCGCCCAGGCTAGAGTGCAGTGGCACCATTTCGGCTCATTGCAACCTCCACCTCCCGGGTTCAAGCGACCCCAGACTCCCGAGTGGCTGCGATTACAAGCACCCGCCACCGCGCCCGGCTGCACTCTAGCCTGGGCAACAGTGCAAGAGTCCGTCTCAAAAAAAAAAAAAAAAGAGTAATAGACTGTATTTCCCGAAGTATATTCATGGCCTTGGATGTTGTTAACAAGCATTAAGATTTTAAAAGGGCCCGAGGTCAAACCATTTAGGAAGAATGCCTAATTCCCACAGTTAAGGCTCGGTGGGTGGGCGCATGCGCACAGGATCCTCGCCGTCAGGCACCTGCGGAACACACTTGGAAATCGCTTTTTCCGGAGGCCCAATTTCATTTCATTATACACCACACCACACTGTGCTGGGCTGTGGAGGAAGAACGGGAAGCAGTTTTGGTCCAGTCCTCCAGGACCTAGTTTTAGGAAGAGGGTGGCAAGGCAAAAAAAAAAAAGAAAAAAAGAAAAAAGAAAGCACAAATCCAATTACAGTTATGAGTTTATGACAAAGTTTCTATAAATGACGGACCGCATACAGACAGGGCCCCATAAGATTATGATGGAGCTGAAAAATTCCTATGGCCTAGTGATGTCATAGCCTTCTTAAGTCTTAGCGCAACCAATGCATTACTCACGTGTTTATGGTGACGCTGGTGTAAACAAACCTACTGCACTGCCAGTCATATAAAAGTATAGCAGAGGGGTCCCCAACCCGTGGATCAGTACTGGTCCATGGTCTGTTAGGAACCGGGCGGCACAGCAGGAGTTGAGCGGCGGGCCAGCCCCCAAAGAAAGCTTCATCAGTACTTACAGCCACTCCCCAACACTGGTTTTGCTGCCTGAGCTCCGCCTCCTGTCAGATCAGCAGAAGCATTAGATTTTCCTAGAATCGGAAACCTATTGTGAACTGCATATGCCAGGGATCTAGGTTGTGCACTCCTAATGAGAATCTAATGCCTCATCTGTCACTGTCTCCCATCACCCCCAGATGGGATGTCTAGTTGCAGGAAAACAAGCTCAGGGCTCCCACTGATTCTACATTATGGTGAATTGTATAATTACTTCATTATATATTACAATATAATAATAATAGAAATAAAGTGCACAACAAATGTAATGCACTTGAATCATCCTGAAACCATCCCTCCCCCTTACCCCAGTCTGTGGAAAAACTGTCTTCCACGAAACCAGAACCTGCTGTCAAAAAGGTTGGAGACCTCTGGTACAGCACATATAATTATGTACAGTACATAATACTTGATAATGACAACAAATGACGATGTTACTGGCTTATATGTTTACTATGCTATATTTTTTATTGTTATTTTAGAGTATAGACCTTCTACTTATAAAAAGAAAAACACATTAACTGTAAAACAGCCTTGGGCAGGTCCTTCGGGAGGAATCCAGAAGGCATTGTTATCATAGGAGATGCCAGCTCCCTGCATGTTATTGCCCTGGAAGACCTTCCAGTGGGACAAGATGTGGAGGTGGAAGATGGTGATGTTGATGGTCCTGACCCTGTGAAGGCCTAGGCTACTGTGTGTGTTTGTGTTTTAACAAAAGAGTTTAAAAACTAAAAAAAGCCGGGCATGGTGGCTCACACCTATAGTCCCAGCACTTTGGGAGGCTGAGGCGGGCAGACCACCTGAGGTCAGGAGTTCGAGACCAGCCTGACCAACATGATGAAACCCCGTCTCTACTAAAAATACAAAAATTAGCCGGGCAAGGTGACGCACGTCTGTAGTCCCAGCTACTTGGGAGGCTGAGGCAGGAGAATCACTTGAACCCGGGAGGTGGAAGTTACAGTGAGCCGAGATTGCACCGCCGCACTCCAGCCTGGGTGACAAGAGTGAGACTGTCTCAAAAAACAAAACAAAACAAAACAAAAAAAAGTAGTACATTATAAAAATAGAAAAAAGTGTATAGAATAAGGATATAAAGAAAGAAAATGTTTTTATACAGCTCTACAATGTATTTGTGTTTGACGCTAAGTGTTATTACAAGAGTCCAAAAGTTTAAATTTTTTTTAAGGGTCTCGCTGTGTCACCCAGGCTGGAGTGCAGTGGAGCAATCTTGGCTCACTGCAACCTCTGCCTCCCAGGTTCAAGTGATCCCCTAACCTCAGCCTCTCAAGTAGCTGAGACTATAGGTGTGCTTCACCACCCCAGCTAATTTTTGTATCTTTAGTAAAGGTGGGTTTTGTTTGTTTTGAGACAGAGTCTTGCTGTGTCACCCTGTCACCCGGGCACAATCACTGCTCACTGCAGCCTCAACCTCGTGGGCTCAATCGATCCTCTTGCCTCAGCCACCTGAGTAGCTGGGACTACAGGTGTACACCATCATGACCAGCTAATTTTGTTATTTTTTGTAGAGATGGGGTTTCACTATGTTGCTCAGGCTGATCTCAACCTCCTGGGCTCAAGTGATCTGCCTGCCTCGGCCTCCCAAAATGCTAGGATTACAGGCATGAGCCACTGTGCCTTGCCTAAGAAAATTTTAAGTCATTTTAGTGTACACTGTGTACAGTGTTATAACATCTACAGTAGTGTACAGTAATGTCCCAGGCCTTCACAGGCACTCACCACTCACTCACTGAGTCTCCCAGAGCAGCCTCCAGCCTTGCAAGCTCCATTCATGGTAAGTGCCCTATACAAGTGTACCATTTCGTTTTGCATTGTTGTTGTTGTTGTTGTTGTTTTAGAGGTGGCGTCTCACTATGTTGTCCAGACTGGAAAGCAGTTGCTATTTACAGGCACGATCATCACCCACTACAGCTTCAAACTCCTGAACTCAATCAGTTCTCCCACCTGTCTCCCTAATAGCTGGAACTACAGGCATAGGCCACTGCACCCGGCCGGGGATACCATTTTTTTCTCTTTTTTTAAATTTTTTTTTTTTTTTTTTTGAGACGGAGTCTCGCTCTGTCGCCCAGGCTGGAGTGCAATGGCGTGATCTCAGCTCACTGCAAGCTCCACCTCCCGGGTTCACGCCATTCTCCTGCCTCAGCCTCCTGAGTAGCTGGGACTACAGGAGCCTGCCACCTTGCCCGGCTAATTTTTTGTATTTTCAGTAGAGACGGGGTTTCACCGTGTTAGTCAGGATGGTCTCGATCTCCTGACCTCTTGATCCACCCGCCTTGGCCTCCCAAAGTGCTGGGATTACAGGCGTGAGCCACAGCGCCCGGCCTCTTTTTTAAATTTTTAATTTAATTTTTTTTGAGATGAAGTCTCGCTCTGCCACCCAGGCTGGAGTGCAGTGGTGTGATCTCAGCTCACTGCAACCTCCGTCTCCTGGGTTCAAGCAATTCTCCTGCCTCAGCCTCCTGAGTAGCTGGGACTACAGGTGCATGCCACCACACCCAGCTAATTTTTTTATTTTTAATAGAGATGGAGTTTCACCATGTTGGGCAGGCTGGTCTCGAACTCCTGACCTCAAGTGACTCACCCGCCTTGGCTTCCCAAAGTGCTGGGTTTACAGGTGTGAGCCATCATGCCTGGCCCATATTTTTTCTCTTTTATACCATATTTTCACCATACTTTTTCTCTGTTTAGATACACAAATACCTTTGTGTTACCAGTATTCAGCACAGTAACATGCTGTACAGGTTTGTAGCCCAGGAGCAATAGCCTACGCCGTGTAGCCCAGGTGTGTAGTAGCCTCTACCATCTAGGATTGTGTCAAGGACACTCTAGGATGTTAGCACAGAGACAAAATCACCTAATGACACATTTCTCAGAATATATCCCTGTTATTAAGTGATGCATGACTGTACTCAACACTGCTAGAAAGGCGAGTCCAGAGCAGGACTCATCAGAATGCAGCTGTCTTAGCTGAGAGAACTCAGTAACCTGCACAGCCCCACAAACCATGGATAAGAGGGAGGCTAGGGCCCGAGTTCACCTGTGTCCCAAGGAGAGACAGACTCTGTGGGGGTTGGCAAGAAGAGGAACTGGTCCTGGATGTGGGAAGGAAAGGGAGCCAGTGCTGCCCAGGCCCTGGAGCATACAAGAAGCAAAGGAGATGGCATATGCCTTCACTGGGAGCTGTTTTCCTTCAGTCTTATAATAAAAAGAAGAGTTCTGATGGTGGGATAGGTAAGGGGATAACTGCAAATGGGGAACACCGATTCAGAGGCAAATCCAAAGTACCAAATTGAAGCAATCAGAAGAGAACTTCCACAAGTTCCCACCACTGCCTCACGCACCGCCCTGCATCTGGGCCCAAGAATTCTGCTCTCCCTGTTGTACCTATGAGTGAACCCTCAACCCCCCGGCCAAGACTCCAGCTGTCCCTGTGCATGCCACCCAGCTCCCTCCCACTCAGGACTTCCGCTCCAGCCACTCTGGCCTCTCCGAGTCATCCCCATCAGCAGGACGCATGCTGCTATTCCTCCCAGCTATACAAGAGCCCTTCCTGTCACACCTCCTACTCCAGTCACCCCTCCCTTCTTCCTTTACAGCAAAACTCTGCTGATGAGTCCATTCCTGCGGATGAGTCCATTTCTGCTCTCTCCTGGACCTATTCCCATCAGGCTTGGCCCTCGCTGTTCCTCCAAAACTGCTCTTGCCAGCGTCACCATTGCTGAACTTGGTGTTCATCCCTTGTCCTCATTACTTGATCTTGCAGCAACATCCATCTGACCAGATGGCTCCCTTCATCCTGGTAACGCCCTCTTCCAGGAGCTTCCAGGACAACACACGTACCTGGTTTTCCTCCTACCTCTCAGACTGTTCCATCCCAGGCTTTTCTGCTGGTTCTTCCCCATATCACTGGCTTCTGCGTAAAGCAGTGCCCCAGAGTGCAATCTGTGAACTCCTCTTCTCTAGCCATACTCCCTCCCAAGATTGACGCTATCTAACAGAAATTTAATGTGAACCACATGTGTAATGCAAAATCATCTAGTAGCCACTTTTTTTTTTTTTTTTTTTTGAGATGGGGTCCCACTCTGTTGCCCAAGCTGGAGTACAGTGGCATGATCTTGGCTTGTTGCAACTCTCACCTCCCAGGTTCAAGCGATTTTCCACCTCAGCCTCCTGAGTAGCTGGCACTGCAGGCATGTACCACCACGCCCAGCTAATTTTTGTATTTCAGTAGAGACAGGGTTTCACCATGTTGGCCAGGCTGATCTCGAACTCCTGGACTCAAGCCATCCACCTGCCTTGGCCTCCCAAAGTGCTGGGATTACAGGCATGAGCCACCACACCCAGCCGCATTTTTTAAAAAGTAATAAGAAGGCCAGGCTCGGTGGGCTCACGCCTGTAATCCCAGCACTTTGGGAGGCCAAGGCAGGGGGATGGCTTGAGTCCAGGAGTTCGAGACCAGCCCGGCCAACATGGTGAAAGCCTGTCTCTACTAAAAATACAAAAAATTAGCTGGGCGTGGTGGTGAGTGCCTGTAATCCCAGCTACTCGAGAGGCTGAGGCACAAGAATCACTTGAACCCAGGAGGCAGAGGTTGCAGTGAGCCGAGATCACGCCACTGCACTCCAGCCTGGGCGACAGAGTGAGACTGTCTCAAAAAAAAAAAAAAAAGTAATAAGAAACGGTAAAATTATTATTATTATTTTGAGATGGAGTCTCACTCTGTCACCTAGGATGGAGTGCAGTGGCATGATCTCGGCTCACTGCAACCTCTGCCTCCCGAGTTCAAGTGATTCTCCTTCCTCAGCCTCCCAAGTGGCTGGGACTACAGGGATGCGCCACCACGCCCAGCTAATTTTTGTATTTTTAGTAGAGACGGGGTTTCAGCATGTTGGCCAGGCTGGTCTGAAACTCCTGACCTCAGGTGATCCACTGCCTTAGCCTCCCAAAGTTCTGGGATTACAGGCATAAGCCACCATGCCCAGCCAGTGAAATTAATTTTAATAACATTTTATTTATCCCAATGTAGCCAATTAGTATCATTTAAACATGTAATCAATAAAAAACTATTAATGAAATATTTTAGTTTTTGTACTAAATATTTGAAATCCATTGTATATTTTTCACTTAAAGCTCACCTCAATTTGGATGCTAAATTTTCATCAGAAAATCTTGATAGGTATTTAGATTTCATAAACTTGGCTGCTGAAAAAGTAGATTTATATACTTGAGTTGTTCCAAACATACTTAAAACATTTTCAATAACTGAATCAGATATCGGTTTTCAAATTTAAGTTAATTAAAATTAAAAATTTAGTTCTAGGCGGCCGGGCGTGGTGGCTCACGCTTGTAATCCCAGCACTTTGGGAGGCGAGGCAGGCAGATCACAAGGTCAAGAGATTGAGACCATCCTGGTGAACATGGTGAAACCCCGTCTCTACTAAAAATACAAAAAAAAAAAATTAGCCAGGAGTGGTGGTGGGCGCCCATAGTCCCAGCTACTCGGGAGGTTAAGGCAGAAGAATTGCTTGAACCCTGGAGGCAGAGGTTGCAGTGAGCCGAGATCGCGCCACTGCACTCCAGCCTGGCGACAGAGCAAGACTCCGCTGCAAAAAAAAAAAAAAATTTAGTTCTAGGCTGGACATGGTGGCTTATTCCTGTAATCCCAGTGTTTTGGGAGGCCGAGGTGGGAGGTTTGCTTGAAGCCAGGAGTTCAAGACCAGCCTAGGCAACAGAGGGAGATCTCATCTCCACTAAAAAATAATAATAATAATAATAATAGTAATAAAATAATTAGTCACAGTGGTGTGTGCCCCTATTCCCAGTTGTTCAGGAGGCTGAGGTGGGTGGATTGCTTGAGCCCAGGAATTCCAGGCTACTGTGATTGTGCCACTGCACTCCAGCCTGGGCAACAGACCAAGACCCAATCTCTTAAAAAAAAGTTAGTTCTTCAGTCACATAATTTGCACTAATTTCTTTTTTTCTTTTTCTTTTTCTTTTTGAGACAAAGTCTCAGTCTGTCGCCCAGGCTGGTCTCGACCTCCTGACCTCGTGATCCACCTGCCTCGGCCTCCCAAAGTGCTAGGATTACAGGCGTGAGCCACTATGCCCAGCCATAATTTGCACTAATTTCATGTGTTGGAGAGCCACATGTGGCTAGTGGCTGCTGTATTGCACAGTACAGAGCTAGACAGTCTCAGAAAACTGTGGCTTTAAATACCAGCAGGTCTGTGCTGGTGGCTCCCCAGTATTTATCCCCAGCCTGCACATTTCCTCTGCATCAGACCTGCCTAACCAGTGTCTACTTAACCCTCCACACAGATGTATCTACTAGGTGTCTGAAACCTAACCCGTTCAAAACTGGGCTTCTAAGAGTCCCACCCCCACCCACCAAACTAGCAAGGCCAGTTTTCTCCATCTTGATTAGTGACAACCCTTTCTTCCTGTTGCTCAGGCCAAAACCTTGAGATTTTCCCTGATTCCTCTCTCTTCTTTCTCTCTCCCACTTCATATTTGGCCTGCTGATAAATCCTGTCAGCCTTTAAAATATTTCCAGAATCCCACCCCTTCTCTTCACTTTCTCAGCCACCATCCTAGGCAGCCTCTAGGGTAATCATCTCTCCTGGGATTACCCCAAGAGCCTGCTGACTGGTCTCTTGTTTCTGCCCTTACTTCTACAATCTCCCCACCCCGCAGGGTGCTGCTTTCAAAGTCAGAGGTGTCCCTCTTCTGCTCAGAAAGAACCCTGCAGTGGCTCTCATCTGTAAGCCCAAGTCCTTACAATGGCCCACTGTCTCTTTCCAAGATCTGATCCCCCTGTCTTACCTCTCCAGCCCTAGCTTCTTATTTTCATTTTCAAAGACAGGGTCTAACTCTGCTGTCCAGGCTGGAGTACAGTGGCATGCTCATAGCTCACTGCAGCTCAAACTCCTGGGTTTGAGCCATTCTCCCACCTCAGCCTCTGAAGTGGCTGGAAATACAGGCACCACCATCATGCCTAATTTTCTTTTCTTCTTTCTTTCTTTTTTTTTTTTGAGGCAGAGTCTCACTCTGTTGCCCAGGCTGGAGTGCAGTGGCACAATCTCAGCTCACTCAACCTCCACTTCCCAGGTTCAAGCGATTCTCATGCCTCAGCCTCCTACATAGCTGGGATTACAGGCACGTGCCACCACACCCAGCTAATTTTTGTGTGTATATATATATTTTATGAGATGTAGTTCCACTCTTGTTGCCCAGGCTGGAGTGCAATTGCATGATCTCGGTTCATTGCAAACTTCGCATCCCGGGTTCAAGCGATTCTCCTGCCTCAGCCTCCTGAGTAGCTGGGATTACAGATGTGTGCCACCATGCCCAGCTAATTTTTGTATTTTTAGTAGAGACAGGGTTTCACCATGTTGGCCCGGCTGGTCTCAAACTCTTGATCTCAGGGGATCCACCCGCCTCAGCTCCCAAAGTGCTGGGACCCCCCACCGGCCTAATTTTTGTATTTTTAGTAAAGCTAAAAATACATGTTGGCCAGGCTGGTCTCCAACTCCTGGCCTCAAGTGATCCACCAGCTTCAGCCTCCCAAAGTGCTACCATTACAGGCGTAAGCCACCCTACCGGCCAGCCTGGCTAATTTTCCAAAAAAAAAAAAAAAAAAAGTATAGAGATGGGGAGGGGATGGGCTGGCTTGCGATGTTGCCCAAGCTGGTCCTGAACCCCTGGCCTCAAGTGATCCTTCCACCTTGGCCTCTCAAAGTGCTGGGATTAAAAGGCATGAGCCACTGAGGTAGGCCCCTGGCTTCCACTAGGCACCTCCTCTTCACTCTGCTCCATCCACTCTGGCCTCCCTGCTCTTCCGGGAACACAGCAGGCCGCCGGATATCTGTGTGGGTGGCTTGCTTGGTTCCCTCTGGCCTTTACTCAAAAATCACTGTAGCCTTCTCAGTGAGGCCTTTCCAGGCACCCTATCCAACACTTAACTTCTCCTACACACACATTTCATATCCTTCTTCCCTGTGGTTATTTTTTCCCCTTAGCTTGATCACTATTTAACATATTTTACATTTTACTTTGGTTGCTCTGTCTCTCCCATTACAATACAAACTCTAGGAGCGCAGGGATTTTTGTGTTTGTTTTTGCTCCGTATCCCCAGTTCCTAGAATAGTGCCTAGAATAGGACCTATTAGGCGCTCAATAACTATTTTAAATGAATGAATGGATGGCTTCCAGGTAGGGAGAACAGTTGGAACAAATGCAGCTGTTCCCTTCAGAAGCCTGAAGCCTGAGCTGGGGCGTCCGGACCGCTCCATGGGGTATGCGGTCTCCATGGGGTATGCGGTCGAGCTGGGCACTGACACTTCCCTACTTTGGAACTGTGCTATGGGCAAGATGGGAGCAGGCGCTGAATCCGTGGCGCATGGGGAAAGCGGCGGTCGGAGTGGGGCTTCCTGGCCTGTCACCTCCTCCTGAGCTGCTGCGAGGAGAGGCGCGTTGGCCTCCTGGGCCACAGCTGCCTCCCTGCCCAGGGAATCCCGGGAGATGCGAATATCGAAGAACTCTGAAAATCAAATCGCATTTCTAAACGCCAGGTGGAGATTTGTTTTGAGGTTCCTAAATGACAGATGTCCCGGCGGAGGAGCGCAGAGGAGGGCGGGCCAGTTGCGTCGGGAGAGGAGGAGCCGCAGGCTGGGAGGCGCGCGCGTCACTCGCGGGCAGGGGCTGGCTGGCCGGGCGCGCGGCCGGGCGGGGGCTGCTCCGGGGAGCGCGGGGGCGGGGGCGTGCGCGTGGCCGGGCGTGCGCGCGACCACCCGGGGCGTCCAGGCTGCCCGCGCGCGCCCAAGCCCTGCTTAAAAAAGGGAGCCCCGAGCCCGCGCCCTCCGCCCGGTGCGTCCCGCGGGACGTTCCAAGAGCAGTGCGGAGAGCGCGTGGGCCGCGGCGGAGGCCGGGCTGGGGGGCGGGTTCGCGGCAGTTCCCCCCGGCTCCCCGGCAGTTCCCCCCGGCTCCTCTGCCGCCTGGCCCGGGAGCTGCCCTTTATTTATTTATTTCAGTGGGCAAAGCGGGGTCATTTGTGTTGAGGACGCAAATCTTTCCAGGAAGTTTGTGCCTATTAATATTTCAGTTCCTGGCAGCCGCCTCGAGTGCGGGGCGGGGGAGTTCAGTGCTGCGGGGGAGGGAGGCGCCTGCAGCTGCCCTGGCCCACTGGCCTCGGCTGGCCGCTTGCGGCGAGGCCGAGGGGCAGCCCCTGGGCCTCCTGGGCGCCCCCCGACCCCCGCCACCACTGGGGAAGGCAGGGCCGGCGCGGACCCCCAGAGGCGCGCGGATCCCCAGAGGCAAGCCGACCTGCTTCCGGAGCCACGCGCGGGGCGAAAGAGGCGGCCCCGGATGCTGCGACCAGAGCGAGGGCGCCAGCTCGGGGCTTCCCGGAGCGGGGGCGGAGGAGGCAGCAGCCCGGAGAGGCTGCTTAGCCACCAGATGTCCGCGGGTGGCCCGCGCGGCGCGGGCGGAGGAAGGAAGGGCGGCTCTAGGGGCGTCCTGGCTAGTCGTCCGCGACCGCGCTCTCGGGTAGCCGGGGATGGCGGGGCCTGGGGCCCGGGGCCTTGCTGACCTTGCTCCAGCCACACAGCCGGAGGGAGCTGCAGCAGAAACTTGCCATTTTAAAGCTCGGCTACCCCTCACCACCACCTGGCAAGATTGTCATCATCTCCAATCTACAGAAGCGGAAGCCGGAGCTAAATAGCCTGCTAGAGGTCACGGTGCTGCTGCCCAACGGCGGGAGCCCGGATTTCTGACATGTCTTGCAAGAAAGAGTCCCTTGGAAGCAAATGCAATTATATTCTTCTGTGGTATCAACCAACAGAATCCCCCCACTAAGGGGAACTCAAGATACCGATGGAACTCTAGGCTGGAGCGGCGGGAGTTTGCCAGATACTCGTAATCTTCGTTCCCCAGCATAAGTGCCTGCTCACTCTTTCCAGCCAGTCACATCTGGAACACCCATCATTTTCCCAAAGAAACTATTTTTAACACCCCCAGGTGCATATTTAGATAAAGGCATTTGAAGCAGTTGACATAGCCACCTCTGGAGTGTGGGCTCCTGACAAGGACACTTCAAATGCTAACTGTCCCCAGGGGATAAATTTAAGTCGTCAAGCACACAGGGACATCACACTGTCTCTTCCTCAGTATTCTAACGTCATTGGTAGACCCTATGGCCGCCTTCCTGCGCAGGATTATCAGCCCACTGCTCAGGGACTCTGTCCAGCTCTGCATGGAAGTCACTGGCACCAGGTCATTAGCACCAGGGCCAAGACTTGGAAACCTCTGGGCAAAGGGAGGGTTTGTCTCATAAACCTTCTCACTCCAGGGTCCTCCTCCCCTTTGTAGCTCCTTCCCCATTCTACCTTTCACTGGCACACCTGTTCCTTTCACTGGCACACCTGTTCCTCCCAGGTGGCCAATGGGCCCGTAGGGAGGATATGACAGATTCTGGCATTTTAAGGTAGGACTCGCTGAGTCCCCAAGGGAGTGTGAGCAGAGCTGGCTATAGCATCTGCCTCCCTGAGATGCCAGGCTTGGTGATGCAGTGGAGGAATCTCAGCTCCCATGGCCGCAGGCAGCAGGAGACGCGTTTTGGAGGCTTAAGTCCTTGAGCATGGCTGGTCCTATGAGCCTTCCCAGCTCGGAGCCATACCCAAAGTGCCCTGCTTCTGTTTGCATTCACGCCCACGAGGGTTCAGTGAGGGAGGTCCATGAAATAAATGCCCTCTCCTCGGCTTGGGTGGGCCAGGCCCTGCCAGCTGCCTTCACTTTTGGCTGCAGAAAGCCTGCCAGGCTGCAGTGTGCAAAGGCCTGGAACAATGACTGGTAGCATCAGCTATTTTAATGCAGAGTTAGGCACACAATCCTTGCTAAATATAAATACAAAGGAAAACCCCAAAGTAGCTAAGCCTATTTTAATACCTTTTATTTTTCTCATTCCTGGTTCTTTTGTCTTCTCCTTGCTACTTGAGAGCTGCGGTTCACACAGGGCCCACCCTGAGTGTTGTCAGGGCTCCCACCCATGTCCTGGTCACACAGCCCAATCTTGATCATTGGCAGAAATGGAGTCAGAGGAAAGAGATCCAACAACTATTTCTTTGTTGTTTTAATGCAATTTACATTAAATCAAAAGTGAATGATGGCACCACTTCTGAGACTTGGTTGCTGAAAAGGAGCCTAGGGTTAGTGTAGCCTCTTCCCATCCCTCCCCTCTTCCAACTCTACACAGTCCCTCCATGGGGAGAAGGGATGTTTGCAAATCACCAACCTAAGAAATGGCCAGCAAATGAAGGATGCCGTCCTCCCAGTGGGAGATAACAAATCCAAATGCCACTGGGCTCCTGGAGGTGTCACCACTTACCTTTCAGAAAAGAAACAAGAGCAACAGACACCTCTGGGGATGTCTACCTAAACTGGAACCAGTGACCCCTCTTTTCTCTAGGAAATGATCTTCACCCATGTGGGGTCAAGTAGCTTCCACGTACTATGTTATTACAATTTTTCTCTGCCCACTCCACCTCCTCCACAGATGATAGGATCAGGGGTGGAACCTGGCCAGTCAGAGCCTCGTCCCTGGAAATTGGAACAGGGAGAAAGAGAGGGAAGGAGAGAGACAAAGTCTAACATCTGGGACCCCTCAGTGAGTTTCTGTTGACTCTCTTTTTTTCCAGAGTGTGGGTCACACTTTCCTTTTTCTTTGCATGTCTTGCAATTTTTTGTTGACAAATGGACATTTTAGATAATATGGCCAAACACGGTGGCTCACACCTGTAATTTCAGCACTTTGGGAGGTCGAGGTGGTAGGATCCTTTGAGGCCAGGAGTTTGAGACCAGCCTGGGCAACACAGTGAGACCCTGTCTCTACAAAAAATACAAAAATTAGCTGGTGTGCCTGTAGTCCCAGCTACTCAGAGGCCGAGAAGTTGCAGTGAGCCAAGATTGTGCCACTGCACTCCAGCCTTGGTGATAGAGCAAGACCATGTCTCAGTAAATAAATAAATAAAATAAGGCCGGGCACAGTGGTTCATGCCTGTAATGCCAGCACTTTGGGAGGCTGAGGCAGGCAGATCACCTGAGGTCAGAAGTTCAAGACCAGCCTAGCCAACATGGTGAAACCCCATCTCTACAAAACTACAAAAATTAGCCAGGCATGGTGGTGCATGCCTGTAATCCCAGCTACTCGGGAGGTGGAGGCCGGAGAATCCCTTGAACCCGGGAGGTGGAGGTTGCAGTGAGCCGAGATCGCACCATTGCACTCCAGCCTGGGCAACAGAGTGAGACTCCATCTCAAAAAAAATTAAAATAACATAAAAATAAATAAGTAAATAAATAAAATATATTGTAACAACTGTGGATTCCAGTTCCCTTTCCCAGCATTGTTGTTGCCGTCTTGTTTGTTCATTTAGTGGCTGGCTTGGACTGATTCTTTGGAGTCTGCCTTCTCCTCACAGTGTGCAGCTGCTGCTATTTCTGCTGCTTTTCTTTTTTAAGAAAACAAGTTTTATTTTTATAATTAGAACGTTCTAATGAAAATATTATTGTAATATTAGTAACCTTTATTCCGGGCGCTGATCTGCTCAGTAGTTTTCCTGCTTGTTTTTATTTATTTATTTTATTTTTTAAGACAGAGTCTCACTCTGTCACCTGTCACCCAGGCTGGAGTGCAGTGGTGCAATCTTGGCTCACTACAAACTCCGCCTCCATCCCCACCCCACTGGGCTCAAGCGATTCTCCCACCTCAGCCTCCCGAGTAGCTGGGATTACAGGTGTGCACCACCATACCCAACTAATTTTTGTGTTTTTAGTAGAGACAGGGTTTCGCCGTGTTGCC
The DNA here is from genome assembly GCF_000001405.40 of Homo sapiens. NCBI lineage: Eukaryota > Metazoa > Chordata > Mammalia > Primates > Hominidae > Homo > Homo sapiens. The sequence continues at coordinate 226,114,163 of NC_000001.11, forward strand.
CAGGTTGTTCTCCAACTCCTGACCTTAAATGATCCATCTGCCTCAGCCTCCCAAAGTGCGGGGATTACAGGTGTGAGCCACTGCGCCCAGCCTGCTTGTTTTTATTTTTAAGCCTGACTTTCTTTTTATTTATTTATTTATTTTTTTTTTTTTTTTATTGATCATTCTTGGGTGTTTCTCGCAGAGGGGGATTTGGCAGGGTCACAGGACAATAGTGGAGGGAAGGTCAGCAGATAAACAAGTGAACAAAGGTCTCTGGTTTTCCTAGGCAGAGGACCCTGCGGCCTTCCGCAGTGTTTGTGTCCCTGGGTACTTGAGATTAGGGAGTGGTGATGACTCTTAACGAGCATGCTGCCTTCAAGCATCTGTTTAACAAAGCACATCTTGCACCGCCCTTAATCCATTTAACCCTGAGTGGACACAGCACATGTTTCAGAGAGCACAGGGTTGGGGGTAAGGTCACAGATCAACAGGATCCCAAGGCAGAAGAATTTTTCTTAGTACAGAACAAAATGAAAAGTCTCCCATGTCTACCTCTTTCTACACAGACACAGCAACCATCCGATTTCTCAATCTTTTCCCCACCTTTGCCCCCTTTCTGTTCCACAAAACTGCCATTGTCATCATGGCCCGTTCTCAATGAGCTGTTGGGTACACCTCCCAGACGGGGTGGTGGCCGGGCAGAGGGGCTCCTCACTTCCCAGTAGGGGCGGCCGGGCAGAGGCGCCCCTCACCTCCCGGATGGGGCGGCTGGCCGGGCGGGGGGCTGACCCCCCCACCTCCCTCCCGGACGGGGCGGCTGGCCGGGTGGGGGGCTGACCCCCCCCACCTCCCTCCCGGTCGGGGCGGCCGGCCAGGCAGAGGGGCTCCTCACTTCCCAGTAGGGCGGCCGGGCAGAGGCGCCCCTCACCTCCCGGAGGGGGCGGCTGGCCAGGCAGGGGGCTGACCCCCCCACCTCCCTCCCGGACGGGGTGGCTGCCGGGCGGAGACGCTCCTCACTTCCCAGACGGGGTGGCTGCCGGGCGGAGGGGCTCCCCACTTCTCAGACGGGGCGGCTGCTGGGCGGAGGGGCTCCTCACTTCTCAGACAGGGCGGTTGCCAGGCAGAGGGTCTCCTCACTTCTCAGACGGGGCGGCCGGGCAGAGACGCTCCTCACATCCCGGACGGGGCGACAGGGCAGAGGCGCTCCCCACATCTCAGACAATGGGCGGCCGGGCAGAGACGCTCCTCACTTCCTACATGGGATGGCGGCCGGGAAGAGGCGCTCCTCACTTCCTAGATGAGATGGCGGCTGGGCAGAGACGCTCCTCACTTTCCAGACTGGGCAGCCAGGCAGAGGGGCTCCTCACATCCCAGACGATGGGCGGCCAGGCAGAGACGCTCCTCACTTCCCAGACGGGGTGGCGGCCAGGCAGAGGCTGCAATCTCAGCACTTTGGGAGGCCAAGGCAGGCGGCTGGGAGGTAGATGTTGTAGCGAGCCGAGATCACGCCACTGCACTCCAGCCTGGGCACCATTGAGCACTGAGTGAAGGAGACTCCGTCTGCAATCCTGGCACCTCGGGAGGCCGAGGCTGGCGGATCACTCGCGGTTAGGAGCTGGAGACCAGCCCGGCCAACACAGCGAAACCCAAAAAATACGAAAACCAGTCAGGCGTGGCGGTGCGCGCCTGAGGCACTCGGCAGGCTGAGGCAGGAGAATCAGGCAGGGAGGTTGCAGTGAGCCGAGATGGCAGCAGTACAGTCCAGCTTCGGCTCGGCATCAGAGGGAGACAGTGGAAAGAGGGGAGGGGGAGGGGGAGGTGGAGGGAGAGGGAGAGTTAAGCCTGACTTTCTAAGGGTTGTCCCTGGAAGCCAGTGATTGGTCAGAGGTTGTGAGAAACAATTTGAGCCAGTAAAGCTTCCACTGTTTGCTAATGGATCTGTGTGTAGATTGTGAGGAACATATTCAAAGTCCAGACAACTTTACAAGTCTGATGCTGCTTTTGCTTTCCCCCAGGCCCTTTCCTGTCTCCTCTGCAGTGTGCCAGTCACGATGTTCTCCTCCGCATGTGTGGGTAGCTAGGGCCCTCTCTGGTCTCTCTTGAGTGTGATGCAAACTTTCGCATGCCTGCAGCCTTCCAGACCACTGAGGGTGTGAGGCCGCTTACCCACTAATCCCTCCTTCTCAGAGGAGGGTCAGGGTGAGCCGTGTTCGGGCCCTTAGTGCCACAGTCAAGAAGGATGCCTGGGCCGGGCGCAGTGGCTCATGCCCGTAATCCCAGAACTTTGGGATGCTGAGGCAGGTGGATCACCTGAGGTCAGCAGTTCTAGACCAGCCTGGCCAACATGGTGAAACCCCGTCTCTACTAAAAATACAAAAATTAGCCAGATGTGGTGGCGGGTGCCTGTAATCCCAGCTACTCGGGAGGCTGAGGCAGGAGAATCGCTTGAACCCAGGAGGCAGAGGATGCGGTGAGCTGAGATTGTGCCATTGCACTCCAGCTGGGCGACAAGAGTGAAACTCCGTCTCAAAACAAAAAGGATGCCAGGACCTCAGGCACAGCCCAGAAGCACATGCTCCCCTGCTGAGGTGCTGCAGGGAAAATGGGGGTCTTTCTGCTCCCATAGAAAGATGACTTCTGCTCCCAGGCCAATTCTACATGGCCTTCTCCCTTCTCTTCCCCTTCACAAATATATTCAACGGTCCACAGGCAGGGGCCTTGGGGAAAGAGATAACAAAGACAAGGTTCTCAATGACAAGAAACTCGGGCTAGCCTTAAGTGATTAACTCTCTCTTTTTTTTTTTTCTTTTTTTTTTTTTTGAAATGGAGTCAGTCAGGCTGGAGTGCAGTGGTGCAATCTTGGCTCACTACAACCTCCATCTGCTGGCTTCAAGCCATTCTCCTGCCTCAGCTTCCCGACTAGCTTGGATTACAGGTGCCTGCCACCACGCCTGACTAATTTTTGTTTTTTAGTAGAGACGAAGTTTCACCATGTTGGTCAGGCTGGTCTTGAACTCCTGACCTCAAGCCTTCCACCTGCCTCGGCTTCCCAAAGGGCTGGGATTACAGGCATGAGCTACCACGCCCGGCCCGTGATTAACTTTTAGACAATATCCTGAGTGCCCCAACCAGTGTTAACTGGGAGCTAAGGGGAGAGTGCTGGTAGACAGATACTGTGCTCTGAGGGATGAGCACCCCAGCTTCCCCCATGCACCCGCAATTCAGGATGTTGTGAGTGATGTTCTTTCCTTTGCATGCCTCACTTTTTTTGTTTGTTTGTTTGTTTGAGACAGGTTCTCTCTATGTCGCCCAGGCTGGAGTGTGCAGTGGTTATTCATGGGTATGATCATAGCGCACTGCAGCCTCCATCTCCTGGGCTTAGGCGATCCTCCCACCTCAGCCTCCCGAGTAGCTGGGACTATAGATGTATACCACTGCACACGGCTGTATGCCTCAGTTTTTATGAATATTTTATTTATTTACTTGTTGGGTAACATTCATGTAGCTCAACATTCTGAAGGGGCCAAAGGGTATTGAGGGACAACTCCCCTCCCTTCCCCAGCCCCCAGCAACCTGGCTTCTGTGCAGCCCTGTGTTCCAGCTGTAAGGTTTAGGCTCCCAGGTATGCAGCAAACATTTCCCTGCCAGTGGGATAATGAAGCTGCCTGTCAGGAGCACCTCCAGCCCCAGCCCTGGAGATGAGACTGCCTTATAGCGCTCTAGCTTGATGGGCGCAGATGACAGTGACAGCCAAGGCCAGAGGAGGGCAGGACCAGAGTGGGTCTAGGGACGTGGGAACCTGGGAGAGGCTAGGAGCAAAGCAAGGAGTGTCCTGGCTTGGGCCTCATCCTCCAGAGTCCCAAAGGCCTGCTCACTCAGCCCTCAGGGTGACCAGAGACCTCAAGTATTGCAAAGTCTCCACAGCGGGTCTCTCTGACTGCCCTCACCACGCAACTCCTGAGGGCTGGACTCTATCCTGTAGGAGGTGGGGTGGGGTCCACTCTTTCCCTTTGGATGGGGGCAAATGGCAATTGTATTCCAGATGACAAAAGGGCTGTTGATATTTGGGGGAACCAGGTCGGGAAGGGGAGTTGGGGGAGGATTCTCCTGATGATCTGTTCCAGCAGAGGCATGTCACTTCTTGAGGGACAGTGGCAGCTGTCAGCTAAAAGTTTTATTAAAGAAGCCCCTGACACTAACAGAGAGGTGATGAAGAATGATGGTGATGAATGTGGGTGCGGTGAACTGTTCGTTTTCTCATGGTGCCATCCCCACATGAGGCTCCTGCCTCAGGCGGCCTCTGTCTAGATTCATCTAGGCAATTAAGATTGCTGTGGGTGGCGGGGGTGGTGGTGTCTGTCTCCCCTCCCACCTTGGCCTGCTGCTCATGGTGTGGAGGAGGGGAGGAGATGGGAAGAGGGAGGAAGGGAAGGGTGAAGGAGGGGGAATCAGCTTTTTCTTAATGAGCAAATTCTTGAGGCTGGGGACCTTGACTGCTGGGGACCCTGGGCTACTTTGATGGGTATGAGGTGGGGTACAGGGTAGGGAGGATCCTTAGACCTTCCTGGTGTGAATGGGCATTTTCTGGAGCTGGGAGTCTATTTCTAAGGGAGGAGAGGAAGGGTCTGGATGAAGCATAGCCAGTTCCCCCGGGCTGACGCCTGACTGCAGGGAGGTGTGCACCCCCTTCCAGACATGTCCAGAGCAGGCCCTCATAGGATGGGGGAAGCCCTGCGAGGAGGTCACACAGGGCAAGTTGGAGAGCCAGAACAAGGATGGGGCCTCATGACTCAAGAGGCTTAGAGAGCTCTTTCTCCCTTTGTGGTGTATCTGTCCCTGTCCCAGACAGGAGTCCTCAGTGACCCTCAATATTCAATCAGCCAAGCCACAGGCAGCAGGCCCTTGGACATCACTGGACAACAGGGAGGAGCCCCAGGTGGGTGAAGGAAGGTGGAAGAGAGACAAAGGGCCTTCCAGGAGGAGGGTCTGGCCTATCTCCACAGTCCCCAGAGCCCCAGGCTATCTTTCTGCTGTGGCCAGAGGACGTTCCACTGGAACCCTTCACAACCTACAGCCAAGACTCACAGTGGAGGTCTCTGGGCAAGTCCCCCTTGGTCCCATTTTATAGATAAGGAAACAGTCTCAGAGAGGCTGGGTGACTTGCCTTGCTTAGGTCACACAGCTAGTAAATGGTGAAGTCAGAGTGTCCCCCCCAACCCCCCAATATGAGGAAGTAAGAATCACTCTCCGTGAACCCCAGAAAAATATGTCTTTATGTTTCCGCCCTCACCCCTACTGGAGAGCCTGATTCGAAACAAGTGTCAGGAACTGTGGGTAGGACAAATGAATGAAGAATAAACAGAAAAGGATGGCGGCAATCCACTGCACGAGGTGCATTCTGCCTGTGCACAGAGGATGAAGCCTGTCTCTCTTGAATGGGCTGTAAGCCCTCTCAAGCTGCAGGGATGCGGTGGTGGGAAGGACAGCCCCAGAGCTGTAATGAAGGCAGCTGGGTGGTTCCCACCTGAAGCCCCAGGTCTGGCTCCCCTCCCCATAGGCTTCTCAGGATTCCACCCTCACTGTGTGCCAGGGCAGGCCTGAGCATCACCCTAGGGGAGGCCAGGGCTGCTGGGGAGGGGCAGCTTTCCAACCTCAATGGGAATGAAGAGGGCACCATCAAACCAGCACTGGCTTCCGCCTCTTCTGCAGGTGAGAGGGTGGAAAGCCTGTGCTCGTTCCACCAGCTTTTTGGATTTAATGAAAAATTCACAACGTTCAGGAGATTGATTTTTGGGCTTTTTGTTTGTTTTGTTTTGTTTTTTGTTGTTTGCTTTTTTGAGACAGGGTCTCACTCTGTCACCCAGGCTGGAGTACAGTGGTGCGACCTTGGCTCACTGCAACCTCTGCTCACTGGTTCAAGTGATTCTCTTGCCTCAGCCTCCCAAGTAGCTGGGACTACAGGCGTACATCACTACGCCTGGCTAATGTTTGTATTTTTAGTAGAGACGGGGTTTCACTGTCTTGGCCAGGCTGGTCTCGAACTCCTGGCCTCAAATGATCCACCCACCTCTGCCTCTCAAAGTGCTGGGATTACAAGTGTGAGCCACTGTGCCCCGCCAACGTTCAGGAGATTTAAAAGCAGCAAGTGAGCAATGGTATTTACTAATGGGTCCCTCCCCAGAACCAAGGGGCCCCAGGAAGGCCGAGGCTTGAGTGGCCAGGGTGAGCTGAGGCTGGTGGGCCAAGATATGGCCCAGAATTCCCGTGCAGTTCTGGAGCCTGAGTGGCCATTTCCTCCATCCCTCTGTGTCCAGAGAGATGCCCTACTGAGTTTGGCAATGCTGTGGTTGAGCGAGGGTGGGAGTCCCCAAGCCAGGTGGGACAAGCAAAGTCAGAATCTTCACAAGGAGAACCCACTCCTGGTAGAGCTACAGCCTGGGAGGCCGTGCCTGGCACACCTTGGGTGCCTGGCCAGTGAGGGTGCTCCCTGCATGGCCTCCCGGTCTCTTCCAGTCGAGCCTAGTGGAGCAAAGGATCTCCCCTAGGAGATGGGGCACAAGAGAGGAAACAGGTAGGAAGGGGCCCAGCTTCAGCATCCTCTGGCCAAGGAAGGGTAGAATCCTCCTGGACTCCCTGCTGGAGTGGATGCAGAGGGAATGGGAGGGAACCAGGCTCAGAGGCCCGTTAGAGAACGTCCTAGGCGCCCATCAGGTGAGCCGGCAGCATGCTCCAGCTGAACCACAGGCCCATCCTTGGCCCTGGAACCATTTTTACCACGGAAGTACTTATTTTACAGTAAGACTCATTTCCAAATCCGCTGGCCTGTTACAAATATTCATTCACAGGTGATTTGCCTACAATTTACTCAATGAGAAAAATCCCGTTGCAAATAATTTCGTAAGTGGAGGAATCCCTTTTCAAGCAGATTATCAGCTTCTGCTTGTTGGGATGGATCTCCTTTTACCGAGCACGCTTAAAGGAAGGGCTGTACATCATTTTCCAGGCTCGTATTGAGCAGTGACAAGATCACAGCTTTGGTGGGTGGTGCACTTGGAAATGAGGGGCCCTGCCTCCCACCTTCCTTTAAAATACAGTCGTAAGGCAGTTAGTAGGACGTCGTCAGTGCCCTTGCTAAGAGAGTTCCCACGCGGGGCCTCAGGGGCGGCGGGGCCGCCTTCCCCCACGGCCAGCCTAGGGAGCTTGGGAATCGCGACCCAATGCACAGACGGGCAGTGCTCGCTCTCTCTTCACAGGCGGGAAACCGAGGCACAACGACGGCTAGCACCTGCCCCGAGGTCACACGGCGACCCAACTCGGTTCTCTGGCCGGCGGCCTTGTTGGTTCCGGTCTGGGAAAGGGACCCCGCAATCGTCCCTCCGGCCGCCAGCAGCGCCAGGCCCCCCCCCGCAGGGGCCGGGGGTGGCGGGCCCGCCGCTGACCTCCCCCGCCCGGCCTGGGTCCCGCGCTCCGCGGGGTGACAGCAGCCGGGCGCCCTCTGGTGGCCGCCGCGCGCAGCAGGCGGGAGCGCGGAGCGTCGGGGCCTGCAACCGGGCGGGGATGACGGGGGCCGGGGACCCTGCACTTTGGGACGACCTGGCCTGGTGGCCGCGCTTCCTTCGCTACAAAAAGGAAGCACATCTTGGAAACACCGAACTTCTGTGACACCAGTAGTTACACCTGGCCTCTGAATCGGGCGAGCAGCGCCCTCGCGCCCCCAGCGCTGAGCAGGGGCGGGCGGGGAGCGGAAACGGTGGCTGTGGTTGTTGCCGCGCGGCTGGGCGCCTGGGGAGCCCGCGGAGGGGCGCGGCCGCCAGACCCCGCCCGGCCCGGAGGTGAGGAGACCTCAGCCCCGGACGCCGAGGCCCCGCCCCGCCGGCGATGCACCCCCCGCCCACCTCCGCGCCCCTTTGTTCCGCGACCGCAGTCCCGCCGAGAGCCGCACTGAAGAGCCCCAGCCTGGCCGTCCCGCGGTTTCCCGCCGCCTCACCAGTCTCGGGCGGGAGGGGCCCCGGCGCTGGCGTGGCCGCGGCTCCCACAACGCAGCCAGGACTGCACTCGGGGCTGCTGGGGCCCGCGTGCGTCCCGGGCGGCTCCACGCGTCGGGGTCGCCCCCGCGCCTCCCACCCCCGGCCTCTCGGGGCCGCCGGCTCGCGCGCCTTCCAGGCGAAGGCCAGAGGCCGCAGTGAGGGGCACCGAGTGGCGGGCTCCTCCGCACCACCCCCGGGCTTTATAATAAAAGTCGCCGTTGTTTAAGAGCCAGGTCGGAGGCGCCGCTTTCTGGGCGGTGAAAGCCGAAGCGAGAGCGGGCAATTCGCTGCGGCGGCGGCCGCTTCCTGGGCGTCGGTCCAGTGCCCCGGCCCGGCCTGGGAGACCCGCACCAACCCCGGGAGGGAGGACGGGGCGCGGGCGCAGCCTAGGGGCCGAAGCACTGCACGCACGGCCGGCGCGGGGGCAGAGGGGAGACAGGGAAGCCTGAGCTCCGCGCTGCTGAAGGCTCCGGGGATGGGTGGGCGGCGGTGAGGTAGTCTTGCCCGGGCCCTGCCCGCGTGGGCGCTTTCTGAGTCTCTGTCGCGTGACGGAGGCGGGACCTAGGCTGTGTCTCCTGCGGGGCGAAAGCACGGAAGAGATCCGAGGGCATTTCTTGAGCCTGGCAGGAGGCCAGGGGTTTTACAGGGCAGGAAGGAACCTGGAGGAACCGAGGAGCCACGTTGTTGGTTGGAAAGAAGGGTGGCCAGGTGGGGAGGAGTCTGGCAAAGGGTCCCAGACAGCAGGAAGGGCACCTGTGAAGCCGCCCTGCCGAGTGTGTGGTAGAGGCGGGGTGAAATGAGCACTGCTCATAAAAGTGACTGTTGTGATTTTTTATGAGATGGAGTCTCGCTCTGTCGCCCAGGCTGGAGTGCAGGGGAGCAACCTCGGCTCACTGCAACCTCCGCCTCCCGGGTTCACGCCATTCTCCTGCCTCGGCCTCCCCAGTAGCTAAGATTACAAGGCGCCCGCCACCACGCCCGGCTAATTTTTTTGTAGTTTTAGTAGAGACGGGGTTTTGCCATGTTGGCCAGGCTGGTCTCAAACTCCTGAGCTCAAGTGATCCGCCCCTCTCGGCCTCCCAAAGTGCTGGGATTACATGCGTGAGCCCCCAGCCTAAAAGTGACTGTTTACTACAATAAGTACAAATAATAGGTGACCAGCACTTGTCTGCTGAGGCCCTGGGGCTGGGTGTGTTTAGGGGACCCCTCTCCTCTCCAGGCCCTCCCCAAGCCTGCCCACTGATGGGGAAGCTGCAGGGCTATCCCTCCAAGGGGAGGCCCTGCCAGGCCAGGGAAGGTCCAAGTGGGTGCTCACCAAGCTTCCTAGGTTCCCAGTTTTCTTGAAACCATCTTCCCAGCACAGTCATCTCCCGTGGTTGCCTTTAGCAAGTCACATCCCCTGACTCTTTAACATCTCGGTCCTGGCAGTTTCTTGGTATGGCACCATCTCCCTATGTGGACCACAGGTTATCTATCACACTGACCCGCTGTCCCTCACACACAGTCACTCACCTGTGACACTTGGAAAGGACTAGCTCCACAGGCCTGGCCAGGGCCCAAAGGGAGGTGGCCAGCAATCGAAATCAACCCTGATGACTAAGTAGAAAAGGAGTCCTTGGGAGTATTGTGGGGAGCTCAGGGAGCTGACCAGGAGTCTGGATGGCCACAGCCACAGCCGGGGACAGTCTTGGGAGGTGACTGTGGTCACCACCACTACTGGGCTGCAGCATCGCTGAATGCAGCCCCTGCCACAACTCCACAGGCATTGGCTGTAATGATGGGCGGGGGTGCTGGGCACCACAGCGGGGAGGGAGGGCTCCTGTCCCTGCATCTTTGCCTGGGTTAGCCAGATGCCCAGGAAGGGAGAAGGAATGCTGCCCCCTTTAGCCTTTGAGGTGGGAGGAGGGGCCCTGGCTCCCATGACAGCTCACAAAATGGGGATTGCCCCTTACTAGGAGCGGTGTGCGGATGCTGATCAGCCCACCGAATGCTCACCACTGAGGGGCTGCAGCGGCCAGGTGTGAGGGGAAGAGACTGCAGAGAGGTGACAAGGCCGTCAAAGGAGAGGAGCCACCACTGGGGAGCCTGGTGGCTCAGGAAGGCAGCTGGTGTGGGTGTGGGAGAGTCGGATCAGAAGGCCAGCACTGCTCATCATGGAGCACCTGGGAGAGCAGCAGCGACTCAGCTCCTGGCACCAGGTGAGGCAGGAAAATAGGGTCTGGAGGCAGGGAACATAAGGCTCATTCACACTTCAGCTATAACCGGAAATATCCTCTCCATAGGGCATATCAGGTAAATGACTTTGTAACTTTACTTCATCCTCTCTGTTTATATAGGGCATACCCGAAGTAACCAATGAATCCTCTAGGGGGTATTTAAACTCCCCCAAATTCTGTAACAGGGCCTTTTGAATCCTACACTCAGGCCCATTCCCACACAGTGGAGTGTACTTTCATTTTCAATAAAATCTTCATTCCTTCCTTGCTTTGTTTGTGTGTCTCTTCCAATTCTTTGTTCAAGATGCCAAGAACCTGGACACTCTCCACCTTTAACACAGGGGTTGTTTAATTTACCTTTTGCCTTAGAAATATAAAAAGATACACAGTAAAGGTGTGTAAAAGGAAAGGCCTCTTTCACCCTTACCCCACCCCCATCCCTCCCTAAAGGTCCCTGTGATTAGCTTGGTGTGTGTCCAGCCCTCCCTCTGCATTTCACACGGATATGCGAACAGTGGATCAGGCTTGGGTTTGTTTCTTCCAATAAACGGCATCATGCGGTATGTATTGTTCTTTAATGTGCTTTTGGAGACGTTTCCAATCCAGCAAACCCTTTTATCCATTTCATAATATTCCGTAGAATGCATGCTCCCCATCTTGAGGGAAGTTTGGGTTGTTTCATTCTGCTTTGTTAGGACGAATGCCTGCTTTTGTGCACACAGTTGAGTATGGGGCTGGGATTTGAGGGGAAGAGGCTCTGTTTGAGTCCCTGTTGATGTGAGGTGAAGGTGTGTTGGTCCGGCACTAAGCAGGCAGTGGACAATACATGCTGAGCTGGGTTGGGAGTGGACTCTTGGGATTCGGGACTCAAAAATAATGTACGGCCAGGTAAATTGCTGGTTTTGCTTCTGGGTCACAGGAAGGGCTGCGGTCCCCGCAGACCCAGATGCGTCCACTAGATGGCGCCAAAGCCAGTAAGGTGAGGCGCTTGTGACAGAAGCCCCGACTTGCTGCAGGAGTCTGGGCCCAGGGTCTGACTCCTGAGCTCCTAGGAGATGGATGAATATTCTTCCTGCACCGCCAGCTGCCTCGCTTAAACGTGGGGAGGCTGAAGAGGGTGCAAAGCTGGGTGAACATGAGTGATTAGACAGGATGTGCCCTGGCCAAGACAGGGAGCTGAAATTCAGTCTGTGGAACAGGCTGTGATGGCCCAGAGGAAATCCATAGGTGGGAGGAAAACTATGGACCCTGTGCTCCATATTGCCAGGACCTGCAGAGGAACTAGCTCCTGCAGAAGATGCAGGATTTGGACGGGAAGATTGGGCAAGGGTTCTGTCTACTGGGCACTGAAGGTTTGATGGGGACACTGGGATGGTCCCTGCCACCAAAGCAGCTCAAGCTCAGGCAGAGGAAATAGAAACTGGACAAATGCAGTATTTCTTATGGGCACTGCTCTAAGGAGTAATTTGGAATCCAGTAGGGTGATGTAAGTGAAGGTGCTTTGAAACCTCCCAAAGCTCTCGCCCAGGTAAGGAGGTTTGTGGTCCTTGTCACCATTTACCCAGGAAAGCTTCAAAGCAGCAGCGGCGGCGGCGGCGGCGGCGGCGGCAGCAGAATTTCCCTCCTTCCCTCCTGTTACTCTCCCAGCCTCCTCTCCCTCCTATCACTCTCCTAAGTTCAGAGCTGACCCCACTCCTCTGCTACCCATGGTGGTAGCCAGGCCTGTGCCTCTCCTAGCATCAGAAGCTGCCCCAGGCTCCCAGGACTGGAGCTCAGATCTGATTTTGAAAAACTGAATGAATGGGTGAGAGCGGTGGCTTATGCCTGTACTCCCAGCATTTTGGAAGATTGAGGTGGGTGAATTGCTTGAGCTCAGGAGTTCAAGACCAGCCTGGGCAACATGGTGAAACCCTGTCTTTACAAAAAAATACAAAAATTAGCTGGACATGGTGGCACACACCTGTAGTCCCAGCTACCTGGGAGGCTGAGGTAGGAGGATTGCTTGAACCACGGGAGACAGAGGTCGCAGTGAGCCAAGATTGTGCCACTTTACTCCAGCCTGGATGACAGAGCGAGATTGTCTCAAAAAAAAAAAAAAAAAGAAAAAAGAAAAAAAAAAAGCCGGGCACGGTGGCTTATGCCTGTAATCCCAGGACTTTGGGAGGCCAAGGCGGGTGGGTCACGAGGTCACGAGATCGAGACCATCCTGGCTAACACAGTGAAACCCCGTCTCTACTAAAAATACAAAAAATTAGCTGGGCGTGGTGGCGGGCACCTGTAGTCCCAGCTGCTCGGGAGGCTGAGGCAGAAGAATGGCATGAACCTGGGAGGTGGAGGTTGCAGTGAGCTGAGATCGCGCCACTGCACTCCAGCCTGGGCGACAGAGCAAGAATCCGTCTAAAAAAAAAAGAGAGAGTCCCAGTGCTAAAACTGAGAGTCCTGGGCAAACTGGAACAATTGATCACACAATAAAGTGGGGGTTCTTGGGCTGGGTATGGAGGCTCATGCTTATAATCTCAGTGCTTTGGGAGGCCAAGGTGGAAGGATTGCTTGAGCCCAGGGCTTCAAGACCAGCCTGGACAACATAGCAAGACCCTATCTCTACAAAAGAAAAAACAAGCACACACTTGTAGTCCCAGCTACTTGGGAGGCTGAGGCAGGAGGACTGCTTAAGGCCAGGAGGTGGAGGTTGCAATGGGCTATGATGGCACCTCTGCACTCCAGCCTCAGTGACAGAGCAAAACCTCATTTTGAAAACACACACATGAGGGGCGCTGGGAATAGCCGCTCATGTCGGCTGACGGAGCGGTGTGGGGCCGCATGCGAAGCTGCCTCCGCGCCTTCCCCGAGCGGCTGGCCGCCTGCGGGGCCGAGTAAGGACTTCTGCGCGCGGGAGTTCGAGGCCCTGCGGAGCTGCTTCGCCGCCGCGGCCAAGAAGACGCTGGAGGGAGGCTGTTAGGAGGGACTCTGAGCTTCACACCTGTCTGCTGCCGTGGTTGCAGAGCCCTAGTCCTGATGGCCCCCGGTGGCATACATTGAATGCCTAGGGCAGAAAGGAAGTGGGAATGGCGAAGATGTGACGTGCCTCGGTGTTAGATACTGTTTCTTCTTAACAAGTTGAGGCGTGGGTAGAGCAGGAACTGGTTTTCCAGCATTGTGTCCGTAAACCTGAGTCAGAATAAGATGTAACAGAAGCCAGATAAAGACTCTGTCAAATCCTGCAAAAAAAAAAAAAAGAAAAAAAAGAAAACACACACACACACACATGCACACAATGCATAAAGTGTTTCTGAAACTTTGGTGTGCATGAGAGACACCTGGGGACTTACAAAAACACAGATGGCTGGCCCCACCCTAGAGTTTCTAATTTAGTAGGTCCAGGGTGGGGTCCGGTAATTTGCATTTCTAACAAGTTTCCTGATACTGCTGCTGTTGCTCTTGGTTGGGGCCCAAACTTCCAGAACAACTGGTCTGAATGAAGGGCTGGGTCCGGGACCTGCAAGTCCCACTGTGCTGCTTGCCCCGGTACCTCCTCCTAAGTCTGGCCCAGCAGGAAACGGAGCGCGGGTCAAAGTCCTCTCACAGTCAACCAGGAGAAACCTGTGTCTTCCTGGCAGGGTGGCTGGGTGCTATGGAAACAAGGCTCAGCCCAGAAGTGCCCAGCCTCCTTCCCAGAAGCAACTTCAGCCTCTAGGGGAGGAGTGAAGTGAACAAACAAACGGAAGGGCAGAGCTCAGTTCCTGGATGGAAGCGGCACCTGCATGGAAGCGCCCTCAGCAACCTCAGGGCCCAGACTTCCGGGAAAGTCTCACAGGGCCCCTGGCTTGAGTTTTGGAGCTGGAAGGGAACTTTGCAATCTTGGTTCAACTTTTTGTTTTATTTTCTGAGATGAATCCTCGCTCTGTTGCCCAGGGTGGGGTGCAGTGGCGCAATCTCGGCTCACTGCAACCTCCGCCTCCCGGGTTCCAGCGATGCTCCTGCCTCAGCCTCCTGAGTAGCTGGGATCACAGGTGCCTGCCACCACGGTTGGCTAAATTTTGTATTTTTAGTAGAGATGGGGGTTTCACCATGTTGGCCAGGCTGGTCTCGAACTCCTTACCTCAGGTGATCCGCCCACCTCTGCCTTCCAAAGTGCTGGGATTACAGGCATGAGCCACCGTGCCCGGCCCAGTACATCTTTTAACTGGGCTGTGAATGACACGACTTGCTAAGACCTGCCCACTAAGAATGAGCTGCAGCCAGCACAATGTTGTCCGCTTCCAGCCACTTTCCTAGATACTCCTCCATTCCTCAGATTCCAGCCCCCACCCCAGCCTGGAACGCCCACAGTGCTTTTATCACAGCTCTTAACTCCACTTGGTTCCCCAAAGCTATGAGCCCACATACCACCTCCCAGGGCTACAACACTTTGGGTTTCTCAGACACTGTCAACACTAAGCAGCATGAACTGCAGGACACACAGGACAGCTGGAGAGGGGCAGTGAGTCACTGTGTCATAGTCCTGCCCAAATTCCAATGTTGAAATTGCAGAAGCCTGGGGCCCACCCTAGAGAATCTGATTCAGCAGGTTGGAGGGGGGGCCCAGGCACTGATATTTTCAAGAGCCCTGGGTGATGTGGATGCCGATAGCACTGGCTGCATGCTGAGAAACACTGCCGATAGCATCATCTTCCACAGAAGGCCACCCAGGAAGAGATGATGAGGTGACAGAACTTCATCACCCAACTCAAGAAGGCTTGGGAGGAAGGGGTAATTTATTGGTTCTAAGCCCAGACCATGGACAAAACAGAGTGCTATGGTTCAAATGTCCCCAGCAATGTTCATGTTGAAATGTAATTGCCGTTGTGATGGTGGCATTGGCAGGTGGGGCCTTTGCAAGGTAATTAGGTTATGAGGGCTCTGCCCTCAGGAATGGATCCATGCCATCATCTCTGGAGTGGGTTCTTGATAAAAAGGATGATTCTGGACCACTTCCCTCTCATGTCTCACATGCTTACCTCTGCCTTCCATCCTTCTGCCATGGTGGGGCCCTCACAAGATGCTGGTGCCATGCTCTTGGACTTTCCAGCCTCCAGGACTGTGGGAAATCAATTTCTTTTCCACCCAGTCTGTGGAATTCTTTTTAAAATTTTTTATACTATTATTACTATTATTATTTGAGATGGAATCTTGCTCTGTCAGTCACCCAGACTGGAGTGCAGTGGTGCAATCTCCGCTCACTGCAACCTCCGCCTCCTGGGTTCAAGCAATTCTCCTGCCTCAGCCTCCCAAGTAGCTGGGATCACAGGTGTGCGCCACCATGCTCTGCTAATTTTTGTATTTTTAGTAGAGACGGGGTTTCACCACGTTGCCCAGGCTGGTCTCCAACTCCTGGGCTTAAGTGATCTGCCAACCTCAGCCTCCCAAAGTGCGTGAGCCACCGTGTCTGGCCCACTCTGTGGAATTCTGTATGGCAGCAGGAAATGGACTAAAAAGCAGTACAGAGATGTCACTCGGCTTCATGCACAATGGGAACTGAGGCCTGGGTTCTCCGGTCTCTCCAGGCTAATTTCCCCACCCAGCTGGGAACAATCACCCACAGGGTCCATCTTCCACCAGAGGAACTCACTCGCTGCCAAATTTAAAAACCCTGGGAGACAGCCAATTGGGTTAGGTGCTTCTTCCTGGACCAGTGAACTGTGATCAGGTGAGTGGGCCCCACATGGGCCAGCTCTGGGTCAGTACCACTCAGGGTCTAAGGCAGGGAAGGGTGGTGGAGAAGGGGTAAAGCCTCACCAGTTTTATTGTTTTTTAAAAACAGTTGGCCAGGCACAGTGGCTCACACCTGTAATCCCAGCACTTTGGGAGGCCGAGGTGGGTGGATCATGAGGTCAGGAGTTCAAGATCAGCCTGGCCAACATAGGGAAACCCTGTCTCTACTAAAAATACAAAAATTAGCTGGGCGTGGTAGCACGCGGCTGTATTCCCAGCTACTCGGGGGGCTGAGGCAGGAGAATTGCATAAGCCTGGGAGGTGGAGGTAGCAATGAGCCAAGATCTTGCCACTGCACTCTGGCCTGGGCAACAGAGTGAGACTCCGTCTCAAAAAAAAAAAAAAAATTAACACATAAAACTTGTATATATTTATAGTGTACAACATGATGTTTTGATATATGTATACACTGTGGAATGACTAAATCAAGATAGTTAACATATCCATTCCATCTCCAGAACTTGTTCCTTCTAACTGAAACTTTGTATCCTGTGACCAACATTTCCCCACTGCCCCTAAACTCCCTTACCAGATTATTGGTTTCCTTCTGTGGAGGCTGCTCTCTACCACTAAGAGTCTGGGCTGGAGACTCGGTGTGGTAGCTAGTCTCTAAGGTGACCCCATAATTCTTGTCTCCTGGTATTCACATTCCTATGTAGTGCCTCCTACATTGAGCAGGGATGACCTGTGTAATGAATAGGATATTGCAGAAGTGACAGAGTGTGTCTTCCAAGGCTAGACCATAAAAGACGTTGCCGCTGCTTCCTGGCTTTCTTGGACCACTGGCTGTGGGGGAAGCCAGCTGCCATATTGTGAGGACACTCAAGCAGCGCTATGCAGCAGGGCTGGGACCAGGGTGAGGTGAGTGAGGCACTTGCCTCAGGCACAAAATGTAACAGGATGCCAAAAAAGTCAGTAATCAAGATAGATAATGCAATATTTTAAAAATGAAAATGAAAACAAATCTATGATGAAAAAATATTGAAACTTTACTTAAAGATGGTCTCAATAACAGTACCATGTTGAGCTGTATTGGAGCCTGACCAATAGGAAAAATCAGTGATGCTGGTCCTGAAAGCAGGTATAGGAACCCACCAGGAGTTTGGGAGGTCATGGTCCCAGGACTGAAGACTTACTCCCTTAAGAGGTGACTGGACATGGAGAAGAATGCACACGTGTTCTCCTGGCTCCAGTAAGAAGGCAAACCCGGGGCCAGGTGCGGTGGCTCATGTCTGTAATCCCAGCACTTTGGGAGGCCAAGGGAGGTGGATCACCTGAGGTCAGGAGTTCCAGACCAGCCTGGGCAACATGGTGAAATCCCGGTCTCTTCTAAAAATACAAAAATTAGCCGGGCATGGCGGCACATGCCTGTAGTCCCACCTACTCGGGAGGCTGAGGCAGGAGAATCGCTTGAACCCAGGAGGCGGAGGTTGCAGTGAGCTGAGATTGCGCCACTGCACTCCAGCCTGGGTGGCAGCGCAAGACTCTGTCTCAAAAAAAAAAAAAAAAAGGCAAATCCAGTAGTGCCTCAGACCTAGGGGTTCAGCTGTGGGCCCTGTGTAGCAGGATAAGAAGGGTGCTGAGTGGAGGGGTCCACCTAGCTCAGTTTTCTTGCAGCTAAACCTCAGCAGGCCAGTTCCAGGGCCATGATGACCATGATCACCATCATGCATCGTGACGACCACGCCTGTCGAATGCTTATCATCAGGTCCTCTGCCCGGCACCTTCCATGCATTCACTCTCCACTCTTCAGAACAACTTTTGAGATAGGTTCTGTTATCAACACCATTTCACAGATGAGGAAACAGAAGTTTAGAGAGCTAAGTCACTTGCCCAAGTTTTCAGAGTGAGTTATGGAGTCAGGATTTGACCTCAGGCAGTTTGACTCTGGAAACCTTCATCTTAATTTCAGTTGGAGATCTGGAGCCAGACAGCCCTGAAATTGACTCTCAGGTCTGCCAATTATTTGCTCTCTATAATCTATATTGGGTAAATGGCTTGACCTCTTTAAGGCTCAGTGTCCCGCTCTGTAAAAAGGGGATTAAAAGTGAAAGCGTGTTGAAAGCACTTAGCACTGCAGTTGGTAGGAAGTAAATGCTCAATGTGCGCCTCTGTGATTATTCCAGAGGGTGGAAATGAACATAAGACAATAGCCCCCTGCCCCGTCACCCCGCATTGACAGCTCCCTTCAGTCTCCCTTCACTGGCCTGGCTGACCACCTGCCCTCACTTTGCAGGGACTGCTTGGCCCCTACTCCCAACGTATCCTCATGCAGTGAAGCTTAGAAACCCAGAAAGAGGGCTGGGCGTGGTGGCTCACGCCTGTAATCCCAGCACTTTGGGAGGCCAAGGTGGGTGGATCACGAGGTCAGGAGTTTGAGACCAGTCTGGCCAATAGGGTGAAACCCCGTTTCTACTAAAAATACAAAAATTAGCCTAGCGAGGCCCCAGGAGGCAGGAGTTGCAGTGAGCCGAGATCACATCACTGCACGCCAGCCTGGGCAACAGAGCGAGACTCTGTCTCAAACAAAACAAAACAAAAAAACCTAGAAAGAACTATGGGATTCTGGGGAGAGACTGGGTGGAGTTGGGGTATAGGGACAGGAGAGTGAGCCAGCTGGGGAAGGGCATGGCCCTGGGGCAGGAAGGTCCCCCGGGGAGACTCCTGTGGGGCCTCCAGAAAGCAAATTTGATCCTGTTTGCTCACATAGCTGAGCCTCAGGAAAGCTTCCTGAGCATGCAGCCCACCGACACCAATCCCGGGTCTCCTTCCAGTTCCACCCGCAGGCTGCCGCCCTGGCAGCTCCCAGGGCCTCCCTAGGTGGGAATGGAGACCAAGGAACAAAGGCCAGGCTGGGACACTGCCTAGGACACTGGCTTGAGGGGATGGAAGAGCCACCTGTGCACCTTCTTTCCTTGCCACCGTCTTCAAATTCATGCTTACAGAACAGCTGTGTGGGCGTGAGCTGAGGGCCACTGACCCTGCGTGCCACCAGTGTGCAGGCTGCTGTGAGCGGGCAATGCTGTTCCGGGCAGCCTCTGCCGGTGCCTCTGCCCACGCAGCACCCTTCAGCTCTTCCAGTGCCACCAAATGAACCCATCACAACCTTCCCCAGCCTGGCAAGTTTTCTGGAAAGACTTGTTCCTCTGTTCTCTTAGTGGCCCTCCACCTCCTCCCTTCCTGGGAAGGGCTGGTGTTCACTGTATTATTAATGTCCTGTTGCTATGACAGGAACCGCATGAGACACACACGAAAGACGGCCCTGCCTTCCAGGGCTCGCTAGATCCTTGGTTCCTGTCGTGGAAGAGAGGGGCAGGTAAGAGCCAGTGTGGTCCAAGGTCAGGGCTATGGTGAGAAGCTGTGTGAGGACAGGGGCCCTGTGCTGTGTGCAGAGGGGGTCCCTGGACCTCTGAGGAGGGAGGACAGAGTCCTGAAGGTCAAGTTAGTAGGAAGGGCAAGGCCCAGAAGGGTGACTGATTAATTTGGGGCCATGTCCTGGAGGCAAATGGGGAGCAGGGAGGGGGCCTGGGAGGAGGAGGTGGAGCTGAAGCTGCGTTTTGGAGTGACCTCTGCTTAAAAGTATGGCTTTTGTCTAGAATTTTTTGGGGACTGAAGAGTTTTAAGCTGGGGAGGGACATTAGATCTGCCTTTTGGAAAGCTCCCTGGCTGTGCTGCAGAGACTGGATGGATGAGAAGGCTGGGCAGCAACTCAGCAGAGAACTAGTGAGAGCCTGGGGAGGGAGAGGAGCTGGCTTGAGTCTTTGGGAAGTGGAAGCAATAGGACTTGGGCGCTGATGAGGAGGGAGGATGGAAAGAGGACACCACTCACAAACACAGGGATCCAGGAGGGTGGATTTGGGGACAGTTTTGGACAAAGTTGAGATGCCAGTGGGACTCCACGGTAGAATCCAGGACAGCTCAGCGTAACCTGGCCATCTCGGTTCCCATCATGAATAAGGGGAGCAGCCTCCATTACGTTTCCAGATACATCACACAGCCCTCCCTCCAGCACCGACAGGAGATTCCCCTTCCCTTCCCCATGTGTCTTCTCCCAGGTGACACCAAACCCACTCAGCGTACAGGGTGAGACCCACTCTGACAGGGTGAGGCCCACTCAGTGTGCAGGGTGAGACCCACTCAGTGTGCAGGGTGAGACCCACTCTGACAGGGTGAGGCCCACTCAGTGTGCAGGGTGAGACCCACTCAGTGTGCAGGGTGAGGCCCGCTCAGTGTGCAGGGTGAGGCCCACTCAGTGGACAGGGTGAGACTGTGTACAGGTGTGGTGGCCACGGTCTCAGGCAGAGGATCCCAAAGGACTTTTGAACACTGCTTAGGACACCAGGTGGGGTGACTTTCAGCAAAAACGGTGGCCCAGCAGCACCCCAAACATTGCCATGCCAGACAGGTCCTGTCACCTGTCAGCTGTCTCCAAAATGTATACTGCATTCGACTCCCGTGTCTTCACTGCTCCAGCCTAGTTCAAGCCACCAGAGCCCCACCTGGACCACTGCCCTCACCTCCTAACTCATCTCCCTACATCTACTTCTGCTTCCCCACTCTCTGTACAGCAACCAGAGAAATGTTTTCAAATAGAAGCCAGATCATGCCCTTCCTGGGCTTCATGCCTCCCCCACGGTCCCCACCACACCTGCAAAGGAATGATGTGCCCCACCTCTTTCTCCGATCTCATCCCCTGCTATTCCCCCCGCCTCTCACTTCGCGCTTCACTGGCCGTTGTCCTCCACACACACAAACGTCTTCCTACCTCAGGGCCTCTGCACTGGCTGTTCCCTCCTGGAAGGCTCTGTGCACATCTTCACGGGGCTAACATCGTTAAGTTCTCAAACAGCCCTCTCCTCATAGAGCCTTTCCTGACCTCTCAAGCTAAGGTAGTGGTCCCCGTATCATCCCTTCACTTTTCTCACTGCTTTTCGTTATCTGTTCTTTCCTTTCCTTATTTGGTCTGCCTCTGGCCAACAGGATGTCAGTTACTTGACAGCAGGGCCCGTGCTGGGCTCCATGCCCGGCTTCGCCAGCGTCTGGCGCCGGGAGCGCAGGTGCTCCAAGAGTGTGTGTTCAATGAATTGTTACTGAATGCTGCAGAACCCTGCTCCACGCTGCTTCCTCGCCCTGGCGTTTGGGAGCCTGATGACAGCCCTGCCCGTGAAGGCCGCACCTAGGGACAATGTCAGGCTGAGGAGTGAGCCCACGTGGCGCTGGCTCCGATGCTGCTGCCCTCTGTGCACTCAGCCCTTCTCCTGCGCAGGCCGGGCCCAGGGCAGGGCGCCCTCACAGCCTCCGTGCTAGGCCTGGCCTTCCACCAGCACCTCTCTCCTCTCCCAGTGCCAAAGTCCACTCTCCTTCCTGCTGTGGGGAAAATGGCACTCCTTTTAGGGGAAACACCCACTCCCCACTCAGCTTGGAGCTGGGCTTAGGAGCCAGTGAGAGCTACAGGAGGGGAGAGAGACCAGCCGGAGCATGCAGAGCAGTGGACACTCACTTCCTTGGTCAGCGTCCTTTGAGAACAGGGTAGAAACTGAGAAAAGGCCTAGGTGTCCACATCTTGCACTGAGGTTTCCAGGGGGTTCACACATCACCACAGCCGATCCACAGGGTTCCAGGAAGGACCGAGGAGCCCTCCCTCCCCCAGTGTCTAAACTGCTAACACGGGTTACCAAAGGCGTTTTACACACAAGACTGCTCAAAACCCTCAAACAACGCTTTGCAGGGGGTGCTTATGTTTCCCGGACTACAAGAGAGGAGGCTCCCAAACCAGCAGGCCGGGTGGGAGCGCACAGGGGAGGGAGGAGGGCTGCAGCCGGAATCCCAGGGACCTGCATTTCGGGGACAGGCGGGAGCCAGGGAGAGGGCGGGAGAGTGCCCAGGGAGGCAGCAGGCAATGGAGAGCACCGGGTGGAGCCGACTTTCAAGGAGGAAGGGGCAGGAAAGAGGGTGAAATATTGCAAAGCAGCCCAGGATACAAAGGTGTCAAAGGTTTTATCCACAGAAACTGCTGGTGATCTTTGGTGAGGGCAGAAGCCAGCCTACTGGGTTGACAGGACAGATGAGGGGTGTAAGACGTTGCTGAGCAGCCTGCGTCTGTGCCACAGAAAGGAGATGCAGCAAAAGCTAGCGGGGGCCAGGCTCCGGGCACATTAGCTTTTTTCCTCCTAAAATGAAACTTGAAGTCTGGGTGTAGTGTGGTGGCTCACACCTGTAATCCCAACACCTTGGGAGGCTGAGGCGGGCGGATTGCTTGAGCCCAGGCGTTTGAGACCAGCCTGGGCAACATAGTCCCCTGCCCCCTCACCCCGCATCGACAGCTCCCTCCAGTCTCCCCTCCGCTGGCCTGGCTGACCACCTGCCCTCACTCTGCAGAGACCGCTTGGCCTCTCATGGGATGGTACCTACTCCCCACCTATCCTCACGCAGTGAAGCTTAAAAACCCAGAAAGAGGGCCGGGTGCAGTGGCTCACACCTGTAATCCCAGCACTTTGGGAGGCCGAGGTGTAGTGGCGCGATCTTGGCTCACTGCTACCTCCGCCTCCCGGGTGCAAGCAATTCTCCTGCCTCAGCCCCCTGAGTAGCTGGGACTACAGGTGCACGCCGCCACGCCCAGCTAATTTTTCTTTTGTATTTTAGTAGAGACGAGGTTCACCATGTTGCCCAGGTTGGTCTCAAACTCCTGAGCTCAGGCAATCCGCCCGCCTCAGCCTCTCAAAGTGCTAGGATTACAGGGGTGAGCCACTGTGCCCGGCCAATTTTAACAGTTCTTAAAGTTCAAGTGTTGGGGCATCAATTTTGAACAGCGGAGACCCTGACAAGAGGAATCACAGTCACCTACACACTTTCCCAGGATGGGCCTCCAGTGGTACAGAGCAGGAAGCTGGGGAGAGTCACCCTTGGCAGCACAGACAAGTAGAAATGATCAGCTGATCCCAAGGACAGGCAGGAAAACCCTTTCCCAGAACCCTTCTTTTCTATGAAACAAAAACTTTAAACCACCGGGGAAGGGAAGCAAACCCCTCACATAAAAGATCAGGCAAAAGGGCCAGGTGCGGTGGCTCACTCCTGTAATCCCAGCACTTTGGGAGGCCACGAAGGGACGAGGGCAGGAGATCGAGACCATCCTGGTTAACACGGTGAAACCCCGTCTCTACTAAAAATACAAAAAAATTAGCCGGGCGTAGTGGCGGGCGCCTGTAGTCCCAGCTACTCGGGAGGCAGAGGCAGGAGAATGGCGTGAACCGGAAGGTGGTGCTTTGCAGTGAGCTGAGATCGCGCCACTGCACTCCAGCCTGGGAGAATGAGCGAGACTCTGTCTCCAGAAAAAATCAGGCAAGAATCTACTCTTAAACTACTAGGGAGGAAATGGAAATATATTGCTGTAATGTTACTTTTTTGAGACTGAGTCTTACTCTGACGCCCAGGCTGGGGTGCAGCGGCACGATCTCGGCTCACTGCAACCTCCGCCTCCCGGGTTCAAGCGATTCTCTTGCCTCAAGCTCCCGAGTAGCAGAGATTACAGGTGCCTGCCACCACCCCCGGCTAATTGTTTGTATTTTTGGTACAGACAGGGTTTCACCATGTTGGCCAGACTGGTCTCGAACTCCTGGCCTCAAGCCGTCCACCCACCTCAGCTTCCCAAAGTGCTGGGATTACAGGTGTAAGCCACCACACCCGGCCTGTTGTATTGTTCTTATGCTGTATGTGAAGTAGTGTAATATATTTGAAAGTAGTCTGTGCTGTGTTAAAGATATATATTTTGGATCCAAGCACACTAAAAAACAACAAAACTAAAAATAAAACAGAAGAACTAATGTAATAAGTCAATAAGAGGAGAAAACAGATCTATAAAAAATACTCAATCCAAAAGAAGGCCATACAAAAGGGAAAAAATAATCCCAAGAACAGATGGGGGCTGGGTGCGGTGGCTCATGCCTGTAATCCCAGCACTTTGGGAGGCCGAGGCGGGTGGATCACCTGAGGTAAGGAGTTTGAGACCAGCCTGACCAACATGGAGAAACTCTGTCTCTACTAAAAATACAAAATTAGCCGGGCGTGGTGGCACATTCCTGTAATCCCAGCTACTTGAGAGGCTGAGGCAGGAGAATCACTTGAACCGAGGAGGCAGAGGTTGCGGTGAGCCGAGATCACGCCATTGCACTCCAGCCTGGGCAACAAGAGCAAAACTCTGTCTCAAAAAAAAAAAAAAAAAAAAACAGATGGGACAAAGAGAAAATAGCAAAACTGTATATTTAAATCCAATCACATTGATAATTACATTAAATGTAAATTGTCTAAACATGCCAATTAAGAGAAAATGACTGTCAGATTGGATTTTAAAAAGACTCAAATTATATGCTGTCAACAAGGAACCCACTTTAAATATAAAGACATAGATAAGTTAAAAAGTAAAAAGATGGATAGGTTGGGCACAGTGGCTCATGCCTGTAATCCTAGCACTTTGGGAGGCCAAGGTGGGTTGATGGCTTGAATCCAGGAGTTAGAGACCAGCCTGGGCAACAAAGTGAGACCCTGTCTATACAAAAAGTAAAAAAAAATTAGCCAGGTGTTGTGGTGCAAACCTGTAGTCTCAACTACATGAGAGGCTAAGGCAGAAGAACAGCTTAGAACCTAGGAGGTCAAGGCTGCGGTGAGTTATAACTGCACCACCGGTTATAACTCACCGCAGCCTTGACCTCCTGGGCTCTAAGCTGTCCCCCAGCCCGGGGGACAGAGCAAAACCCTGTCTCAAGAAAATAAAAATAAAATAAAATAAAATAAAATAAAAAAATAAAAAGATGGAATAAGATATATCATGTGAACTTTAATCAAAAGAAAGCACGAGTGGCAACACTAATACCAGATGAAATGGACTTCAGAACAAGGAATATAACTAGACATGAAGAGATATGTTACATAATAATAAAGAGGTCAGTTCATCAAGAAGCCATACAATCATAAACGTGTATACACCAACAGAAAACTTCGAAATAAATAAAGCAAAAATGGCCAAAAAAAAGTGGGGGGTGCGGGGGAGGAACAAATCTACAATTTAGTTGAATAATTCAAAACTCCTCTTTTGGTAACTGACAGAACAAGCAAACCTTACCATCACTACCAACCAACTTAACTTGGCTGACATTTACAGAACATTCCACCCAATGACAGCAGACTACACATTCTACTCAAGTGAACATGGAACATCCACTAAAAGACACCATTCTGGGACATAAAACAAGCCTTGGTAAATAAAAAAAAAAATGAAATAATGAAATTAAATTAGAAATCAACAACAGAAAAAGACTTGGGAAATCCTCAAATACATGGAGCCTAATACACTTCTAAATAACCCATGTAACAAGGAAGAAATCACAAAGGAAATTAGAAAATATTTTAAACTGGGCCGGGCTCGGTGGCTCACGCCTGTAATCCTGGCACTTTGGGAGGTCTAGGTGGGTGGATCACCTGAGGTCAGGAGTTGGAGACCAGCCTGGCCAACATGTGAAACCCTGTCTCTACTAAAAATACAAAATTAGCTGGGCATGGTGGCATGTGCCTGTAATCCCAGCTACTCGGGAGGCTGAGGTAGGAGAATCGCTTGAACTTGGGAGGCGGAGGTTGCAGTGAGCCAGGATTATGCCACTGCACTCCAGCCTGAGCAACAGAGTGAGACTCCGTCTCAAAAAAAAAAAAAAAAAGAATTTTAAACTAAATGCAAACAAAACCCCAATATATCCAAATTTATGAGATGTAAAAAAGCAACACTCAAAAGTTTTTAGCTTTGGATTAAGAAAAAGGGAGGCTCAAATCAATAACTTAAGTTTCTACCTGAAGAATCTGAGGAGCAGGGGAAGCCAAGCACAGTGGCTCACACCTGTAATCCCAGTACTTTGGGAGGCTGGGGTGGGAGGGTCATTTAAGCCCAGGAGTTCAAGGCTTGTACCAGTGTACTCCAGAGAGACCATGTCACAAACAAAACATATGGAAAGCTCGAACCATGAAAGTTTAATAAATCTAAATGAGGACTGGGTGCAGTGGCTCATGCCTGTAATCCCAGCACTTTGGGAGGCTGAGGCAGGTGGATCACCTGAGGTCAGAAGTTCCAGACCAGCCTGGCCAACATGGTGAAACCTCGTCTCTACTAAAAAATACAAAAAATTAGCCCGGCATGGGGGCGGGTGCCTGTAATCCCAGCTACTTGAGAGGCTGAGGCAGGAGAACAGCTTGAACCTGGGAGGTGGAGGTTCCGGTGAGCCGAGATGGTGCCACTGTACTCCAGCCTGGGCGACAGAGTGAGACTCTGTCTCAAAAAAAAAAAAAAAAAAATGGCTGGGTGTGGTGGCTCACATCTGTAATTCTAGCACTTTGGGAGGCTGAAGCGGGCAGATCACTTGAGGTCAGGAGTTCGAGACCAAAAACCCAAAGTGTGGCACCAATTATTTATGATGCGCACGACCAAAAAGACTGTAGTATCCAGAATATTTAAAGTACGCCTACAAATCAAGACATGTACAACAGAATAATGAACAAAGGATATAAATATACAACTCACAGAAGGCCAGTAACATATGAAAAGATGGTTATTCATGCTTATTATTTTTTATTTATTTTATTTTTTTTTGAGATGGAGTGGCACTCTGTTGCCCAGGCTGGGGTGCAATGGCATGATCTCGGCTCTTGCAACCTCCGCCTCCTGGGTTCAAGCGATTCTCCTGTCTCAGACTCCTGAGTAGCTGGAATTACAGGCACGCGCCACCAGGCCCAGCTAATTTTTGTATTTTTAGTAAAGACAGGATTTCACCATGTTGGTCGGGCTAGTCTTGAACTCCTGACCTCAAGTGATCCGCCCACCTCGGCCTCCCAAAGTGCTGGGATTACAGGAGTGAGCCACTGCGCCCAGCTCCACTGGTTATTAAGAAAATATAAATTGAAACCACAGATGAGATTCTGTTTTACACCCCACCAAACTGGTACAATTACAAAATCTGACAATTCAGCAAAGATATGGAACACAGGAACTCTTTTACTACTGGCAGTTTAAATTGGCACCACGTTTGAAGAGCAGTTTTGTATTGTCTAAAATAGACCTACATAGTTACGGCTTAACAATTCTGCTTCTTGGTATAAACACTGGAGAAACTTGCACATGAGCATAAGCAGACATGTATAAGAATTTCTTTTCTTTTCAGAATTCTGTTTCTGAGACAGAGTCTTGCTCTGTCACTGAGGCTGGAGTGCAGTGGTGCCATCAGCTCACTGCAGCCTTCAACTCCTGTGCTTAAGTGATCCTCTGGCCTCTGCCTCCCTAGTAGTTCAGGAAGGAATAAATTTATTTATTTATAAAATAAAAATGCCAAGAATTTATGATCCAGTATCCACTTTTTTTTTTTCTTTTTTTGAGGCAGAGTCTCACTCTGTCACCCAGGCTGGAGTGCAGTGGCACGATCTCATCTCACTGCAACATCCGCCTCCTGAGTTCAAGCGATTCTTGTGCCTCAGCCTCCCAACTAGCTGAGATTACAAGTGCCTGCCACCACGCTCGGCTAATTTTTTGTATTTTTAGTAGAGATAGGGTTCTGCCATGTTGGCCAGGCTGGTCTTGAACTCCTGGCCTCAATTGATCTGCCCACCTCAGCCTCCCTAAGTGCTGGGATTACAGGCGTGAGCCACCACACCTGGCCCAGTATCCACTTCTTGGTATATACTTTTGAAAACCTCATGCAGATTTGCGGAGAGACAAATAATTGGAACATCACTTCTAATAACAATGATAACAAAAAAAATCAGAAGTAACCTAAATGTTCAATAACAGAAAACCAGCCAAAAAGACGTTCTATGGAAGAACACACAGTTGATTAAAAGAACACGATAGAACAATACTTCAAAGTTCTCCGGGCCGGGTGCAGTGGCTCACGCCTGTAATCCCAGCACTTTGGGAGGCCGAGGCGGGCGGATCACGAGGTCAGGAGATTGAGACCATCCTGGCTAACACGGTGAAACCCCGTCTCTACTAAAAATACAAAAAATTAGCCGGGCATGGTGGTGGGTGCCTGTAGTCCCAGCTACTCGGGAAGCTGAGGCAGGAGAATGGCGTGAACCCAGGAGGCAGAACTTGCAGTGAGCCGAGATCGTGCCACTGCACTCCAGCCTGGGCGACAGAGCGAGACTCCATCTCAAAAAAATTAAAAAAATAAAAATTAAAAAAAAGTTCTCCAAAACACAACCTGGAATTTTAAGTTGCAAAATGTAGACCTTATGAAAAACATGTTCACATTTCCATACTGTGCCATGCCCAAAAAAGGTGTTACCTTTAACTGGAGACATTTAAGTTAATGACCTTGGAAAAAGATAAAAATCGTTTTTATTGGCCTGGCACGGTGGCTCACGCCTATAATCCCAGCACTTTAGGAGGCCTACAACAGGCAGATCACCTGAGGTCTGGAGTTCGAGACCAGCCTGGCCAACATGGTGAACCCCCATCTCTCCTAAGAATATAAAAATTAGGGCGGGGTGGCCGGGTGGCTCACACCTGTAATCCCAGCACTTTGGGAGGCCGAGGCGGGCAGATTACCTGAGGTCAGGAGTTCGATATCAGCCTGGGCAACACGGTGAAACCCCGTCTCTACTAAAAATACAAAATTAGCCGGGCGTGGTGACACATGCCTGTAGTCCCAGCTACTTGGGAGGCTGAGGCAGGAGAATCGCTTGAACCTGGGAGGCGGAGGATGCAGTGAGCCGAGATCGCGCCATTGCACTCCAGCCTCGGCAACAAGAGTAAATCTCCGTCTCACCAAAAAAAAAAAAAAAAAGAAAAAAAAAATTAGGGTAGGGTGCTGTGGCTTATGCCTGTAATACCAGCACTTTGGGAGGCTGAAGCGGGTGGATCACTTGAATCCAGGAGTTTGAGACCAGCCTGGACAACATGGCAAAACCTCATCTCTACAAAAAATACAAAAATTAGCCAGGCATGGTAGTGTATGCACCTATAGTCCCAGCTACTGGGGAGGCTGAGGTGGGAGGATCGCTTGAGCCCAGGTCGAGGCTGCAGTGATCTGTGATTGTACCACTGCACTTCACCCTAGGTGACAGAGTGAGACCCTGTCTCAAAAAAAAAAAGAAAAAAGAAAAAAGAAAATACATTTTAAGAAAACTGAAGAACTGAGATATACGTGAGACAAAAGTCCAATGCTGATTCACACGTAATTTGAAAAGCTAATGAATAGAAATGAAGATCTGCTCTCCCCCAAGTAGATACACAGGCACACGTTTTTAGGTTGCAGATGGAAGTACTGAACTGAGAAAAAGCCAGGGAGAGAAGCAAAGATGGTTTTGGTTGTAGATTGTTGAACTTTATTTTTTTTTTCCCCAAGACAGAGTCTTGCTCTGTCGCCCAGGCTGGAGTGTAGTGGTGTGATCTGGGCTCACTGCAACCTATGCCTTCCAGGTTCAAGCGATTCTCATGCCTCAGCCTCCCGAGTAGCTGGGACTACAGGTGTGCACCCCCATGCACAGCTACTGACTGTTGAACTTTTATTTTTATTTTTTTGAGACAGAGTCTCGCTCAGTCAGCCAGGCTGGAGTGTAGTGGCGTGATCTTGGCTCACTGCAAGCTCCGCCTCCCAGGTTCACACCATTCTCCTGCTTCAGCCTCCCGAGTAGCTGGGACTACAGGTGCCCGCCACCACGCCTGGCTAATTTTTTGTATTTTTAGTAGAGATGGGGTTTCACCGTGTTAGCCAGGATGGTCTCAATCTCCTGACCTCGTGATCTGCCCGCCTCGGCCTCCCAAAGTGTTGGGATTACAGGCGTGAGCCACCGCGCCCGGCCCCTGACTGTTGAACTTT
Organism: Homo sapiens; assembly: GCF_000001405.40. Lineage (NCBI taxonomy): Eukaryota > Metazoa > Chordata > Mammalia > Primates > Hominidae > Homo > Homo sapiens. Next base: position 226,143,989 of record NC_000001.11, read on the forward strand.
AAGCCCTAATGAATTATTAGCAATTATTTATTATTTTGAACCGGTTGCTTCTCCTGCTCCAAAAGATAGATGGTCAAGACTCGGTAGCATACTTTCCAAGATGTGCTTACCTCAACTGCTCTCCTTAATGCGTCTTCAGTCTGGCTTTATGGTATCCCACACAGCAAAAATAACCAAGATGGTCACCTCATCTGTCTCCCCAGATTTCAAAAGAAAAAAATTATGCCAGTCACCCTGCCTATCAGTGGGGTCATCTGGATGTAGCAACCTCATTCTGGGACTCCACATCACACTGATCGCGCACTTCCCCACAAGTGCTCTGCAATCATCCACCCTGAGCAAGCGAGGGCTCTGCCTCTGGAGATCCATTAAAGTGTGTGGGGTCCACATATTTAATGGAACACACTACATACATGGTAGTGTAGAGAAACAACTTTATAACCTAGTCATTTTCAATAAGAAAAATCAGTGCTAGCCTTTGCATTTAAAAGTGTGGAAAAATTTAAATCTATTTTAACTCACTAAGGTAATTAATAGTAAAACTAAATAATTGGCCAGAAAGAGTTGTTTTTCAACTAGAGCCTTTTAAAACAAAAAAGATGTTTGAAACATTTCTTTTTCTCCTACCCAAATGTTGAAATACTGTACTAATGCTTCAGAGAGTAACTATATTAATGAAACATCAACAAGTTACAGATAAACATTTTAATTGATTAAATATATTACTTTCAAGATCTTTTTGAAATCGCACTTGTACTGTACTAATCAACAGCCAAAGGCAATAAGAAAGTTTAAAACCAAAAATATTCTGACATGAACACATGACAGGAACCGCTGCTATGTAAAGTAACATACACTGCTCCCAAGAACAATGATATTTTTAGGAGATAATTCATCTTAACATGTGCAAGGACAAATTTGTAATCAAAGGCTGGAAGAAATATATATTAGTGCCTGCTTTTTAAAAGTTTATTTTACATTTTAAATACAGTATTTTTCTCATAAAAAAAAAATCCAGGAAGTGCCTAACTCCATGGTTTCTATACCATATGTACATGAAAGCTGACAGAGAGCCTGACAAATGTTCTGGATGTAACAGTATGAACACCTATGAGCTGGGACTACTTCTGAATCAAAATTAAAAAACACAAATTAAGCACTGCTTAAGAAAAAAAAAATCCAGTTTCTGAACAACCAAAAGAGAACAGAGTTAGATATGTACAAAACCAGGTATTAAAAAACAGAAAGAAATACAGCACACAAAAAACTCAAACAACCCATATGTAGTGAACTGTATATACTGCAGTTAATGAAAACCCTCCTACAAGAAGTGATTTAGGATTTGAAATTTTAAAAATCTAAGTACTTCAGTAACAACATACAATAACAACATTAAGTGTATATTGCCATCTTTGTCATTTTCTATCTATACCACTCTCCCTTCTGAAAACAAGAATCACTAGCCAATCACTTATACAAATTTGAGGCAATTAATCCATATTTGTTTTCAGTAAGGAAAAAAAGATGTACCTCTTCCCGTCAATAAAGAAATAACACAAATTAAAGCTATAAAATTTAAGCATGGGCATATGTATTTCCAATTCTCCTTAATAAGTAATTCCAAACTGGAATAATGTGGGGTTTGTGACTAAGTAGTAACAAATTAAAAGAAAATAGACTGTCTCTGGCAGTGATTTCCATATTAGTGCAATGTTACTTCCCATATGCTGAATTATATTTAAATGATTTTATGTATTTTAATTCAGTAGGTGCCAATTTGAGTTTATAAAATCCTTAATTTTATTCTTTGTGCAGAAAAGTTTCAATTTGAGATACTCTATGAAGCCAAAACAAAACAAAACAAAACAAAAAACCTGTATTTTGCTACTAGTAGTATGAATACCAAATAAAGATACAAGGATTCAAAGTTTGTGGAAGTTCCTGAAGAAAAATCTCTGAGGTGTTCTACGTATCTTGATACTTCAATTATCAATTAGTTTTGAACATTCTAGTTTAAGATTATCTCAGAAAATAATTCTCTGTAATATAACTCTGAACTAAACAGCTGCACCCAAAGCAGAAACAATCTGGGTCATTCTGAACGAGATCAAACTGAGGCCATTTCTTTTTCTATTATAATCTGTGAGGTGTTGAGTTTTTAAGTTTTAAAAATGGCCTTTAATCAAAGCCAGCTGCACCTGATATAGACTTGTTAACTTATGGATTTCAAATTAGAGGACACTGTAACTACGGGCTCTCATAAGACACATGGAGCAGGCAGCAAGGGGCTAACCATCAGCCGGGTAAGGTCAACGTTGGGGTGTTTTATTTTGGAGACTTTAAATATTTAACATGTAGCTCATGTAACTTCAGCATCCACTAGTGACTCTGCTGGTCAGCACCCAAGGGCTGGATGAGTCTGAGGAATCTCCTTTAACCCCAAAGTATGAATGCTAAAGAGTCTCAAGGAAATTTTGATTCCCAGCAAGAGTTCACAAACCATCAGACCAATATCAATAAGGTAAACTGTGACTCTAATGCTCCACAAAAGTAAAAAGAAATTTCCAAATTAAATGTCATCTTCTGCCCAACCCTAGACTCCAGACTTTGTAACAACATTTTTATCTAGTATAATAGACTCTGTAGTAGACTGATTTTGACCGCCACAAAGAGTAGGAGTTGTCAAACTTGAGGAGATAGACTCCTCTCCCTGGATATTGATGGCTGCCAGCATACACCTCCTCATGACAGTCCCGTCGGTACACAGGCACAATCTCATCCAGCAAAGGCTTGTTGGCATTCTTTTTGGCTTTCTCTTCACAACCGATGTTTTCTGTAAGAACAGAGACAAGTCAATGAACAGATTCAGGAAAACCACACTTGCATCAGGCAATTAAAATCTATCCTTTCTTTTTTTTCTGGAGACAGAGTCTTGCTCTGTCACCCAGGATGGAGTGCAGCGGCGTGATCTCAGCTCATTGCAACCTCCACCTCCTGGGTGCAAGCGATTCTCCTGCCTCAGCTTCCCAAGTAGCTGGGATTACAGGCGTGCACCACTACATCCAGGTAATTTTTGTATTTTTAGTAGACATGGACTTTCACCATGTTGGCCAGGATTGTCTCAATCTCCTGACCTTGTGACCCACCTGCCTCGGCCTCCCAAAGTGCTGGGATTACAGGCGTGAGCCACCGTGCCCAGCCTATCCTTTCTTTGAGAAACTGCTCTTGTTGGGAATTCTGTTGAACCATTTAACAAGTTATGTGCATGTGAGCATTTATTAGTTCGTTCATTCATTCATTCATTCACTCATTCATTCAAATACCTAAGTATGTGCTATACACCAAACCCTGTTCTGAGCCCTGGGAGCCCAGTGATGAACATCTAGTGGTAGCAGTGGTCAGCATCCTATCTCTTTCTGTGCTTACTACCATTCCTATTTCAAGGTCCCATTTTCCCCTTTCCATAGCCATTCAATTCCTAATTCATCCTCAGGAATTTCACTCATCTGAGTAACATGAAAATGTTGCTCTCATCATCCTCCTTCTGACCAATATGAGTCCTCCCCATTTTAGAAAGATGGAAGATGATTTGTGAGGACTATTGCTTTCTGTATATCTTAAATATAAGCAGTAAAATGAAAAAATCATAGTAGAGAGATAGGCATTCAGAGATACTCTGAAAATTCAATTATTTTCACTAGGCCAATTTAACCCAGAGATGATCTAAGTGGCAAAAAATGGGCTCTGAAAGGTTTGCCCCGGTTAAGAGTTTTTTGAACTGTAATGCTATGAGGTTAGGAAAAAAAATGCCTCTAGAAACCTACAGGAATGAGAAAATTATGAACCAGCTTCGAAGTCACAGTTTAACATATTTAATACAAACCAGCTCAAAGAGGTCAAGGGAGTATTCAGCACAGAAGACAAGACTTTCGGGTTTATGGTTGTTGTTTTTGTTTGTTTGTTTGTTTAAGAGACTGGGACTACAGGCATGGATTTTCAGGTTTATAACATGGCAGAGTGAATTCTGGCAACACACTGAGTGATGCTTGTCAATGGCCACTATCAGGAATTTAAAACAAGGTAAGTTTGAGAAATTCTCACCGTCTATAGCAGATTAAGGAGATATGATGACTGACTATAATGTGGCATCCTGGAAAGGATCTTGGAACATTAGGTAAAAACTAAAAACATCTGAATAAATATGGACTTTAGTTAATTAATGAATCAATGTATCAATATTGTTTCATTAGCTGTGATGAGTGCACCACAGTACAATGTAAGATGCTAACAACAGAGGGAACTTGGTGCAGGGTATATGGGTACTCTTTGTGCTATCTTTGTAACTTTTCTGTAAATCTAAAACTATTCTAAAATTAAAAGTTTATTTTAAAAAAGCAGATGGCACTCTTATAAAGGTAGGTCAAAACCAGATTTACTTAACCACAGAAATACCTATAATTAAGCATGTTTCACATGCAAATGAGAAATACAGAACCATCCAAAATGTACACTATTGTTGACATCCAAGAAATAGACTGGTCCATTGATTCAAGACTCAAATTTTGTTTTAAATCTATAAAACTAAAGATTACTGGGATAGATGAAAAGGCATCTTTTATGAATTTAAGCCAAGGTTTAGGACCTGTAAACAATGAAGAAAATGGAGAATTAAAACAGGAGGATGTGTTACCATCCATGCTTCTTCAGAGAAAGCAAACTCCTCTGTCTACCTTTCAAGACCTAAGGAAGAAAAACCAAACCAAAACCCAAAAAACTCAGACTCTTCTACCATATGAAATACAAGACACGGTAGGACAGTAGCTTCTAAGGCATATGGACAAATACAATTTGTGAGCTAAATCTTTAAATGGGATGAAGTGACGCTCATGTAATGAACAATTCTTAGGAATGATAAAGCTTCACTGCTGTGAGGCTAAAATGTTTTAGCTGCAAATCATTTTATGATTAGGAATGGTACAAGTACAGGGAATGCCATCTTTCATTTGAGGGACATATTAGAACTAAGATCAAGGATATTAAGGTTCTTACCTCTAGAAATGAACCCCTGCCATTTTCACTAGTGATCTTCCCAACACCAATATAACCCCAAAACTATCATCAGCTGAGGGTTCAGACTAGGCAGTAACCACCTTTTAGAAGCTCTCTAATAGGCAAGCCAGGAGAAATACATTACCTCAACCAACTTCTGAACAGAGAATTCTTATTCACAAAGCTCTTTCATTTTTTTTTTTTTTTGAGACGGAGTCTGGCTCTGTCGCCCAGGCTGGAGTGCAATGGCACGATCTCAGCTCACTGCAATCTCCACCTCCCGGGTTCAAGCGATTCTCCTGCCTCAGTCTCCCAAGTAGCTGGGATTACAGGCATGTGCCACCATGCCTGGCTAATTTTTGTACTTTTAGTAGAGATGGGGTTTCACCATGTTGGCCAGGCTGGTCTTGAACTCCTGACCTCAGGTGATTCACCCACCTCAGGCTCCCAAAGTGCTGGGATTACAGGTGTCAGCCACTGCGCCCAGCCATCTTTTTTTTTTTTTTTTTTTTTTTTTTTTTGAGATGGGGTCTGGCTCTGTGGCCCAGGCTGGAGTGAAGTGACTTGATCTCAGCTCACTGCAACCTCTACCTCCTGGGCTCAAGCAATTTTCCCACCTCAGCCTCCCAAGTAGCTGGGACTACAGGTGCACACCATCACACCCAGCTAGTTTTTTGTATTTTTGGTAGAGACAGGGTTTCATCATGTTGCCCAGGCTGGTCTTGAACTCCTGAGCTCTAGCAATCCATCCGCTTTGGCCTCCCAAAGTGCTGAGATTACAGGCAGGGGCCACCGTGCCTGGCCTCACAAAGCTCTTTGTAAGTACAGTAATTTGTATGCATACAAAAAACTTTCCTTCCCAGACATCTGCAGACAGTCTGACTTTAATGAGTCCCTGTGATGCAACAGAAAGGACAGAACAGGTTCTGATGTTGTTGAAGGTCACATGAGAAAACAGTAGTGCCCCCTGGCTAATCTGCTACAGTCCTGCTCTCTAACTGCTTTTTATTTTTTTTAATTTTTTTTTTTTTTTTTTAGAGGGAGGGCCTAGCTCTGTCGCTCGGGCTGGAATGCAGTGGTGTGATCATATAGCTCACTACAGCCTCGAATTCCTGGACTCAAGCAATCCTCTTGCCTCAGCCTCCCATGTACCTGGGACTACAGGTACATGCCACCACACCCACCTAACTAAAAAAAAATTTTTTTTGTCGAGATGTGGTGTCACTCTACAAAACGGGTTGCCCAGACTGGTCTTAAACTTCTGGCCTCAAGAGATCTTCCTTACTTGGCCTCCCCAAAAGCTGAGATTACAGTCATGAGATACCATGCCCAGACAGGCTTTTTCTTTTTTTTATTTTTGAGACGGAGTCTCGCTCTGTTGCCCAGGCTGGAGTGCAGTGGTGTGATCTCGGCTCACTGCAACCTCTGCCTCCCAGGTTCAAGTGATTCTCCTGCCTCAGCCTCCCGAGTAGCTGGGATTACAGGCACCCACCACCACGCTCGGCTAATTTTTATATTTTTAGTAGAGACAGGGCTTCACCATGTTGGCCAGACTGGTCTCGAACTCCTGACCTTGTGATCCACCCACCTCGGCCTCCCAAAGTGTTGGGATTACAGGCGTGAGCCACCGCGTCCGGCCCAGGCTTTTTCAATCTTACATTTTTTCTTTCTGTCTCAGTCAGTATTATTTATGAGCAATGCTTTGCCTTGCTGGTGGTACTCAGGAATAAAGACTGATGAAAACAAAATGCCGTGTAAGACAAAGCAGCTCATGCTTCCATATTTACCAGCTAGAATCTGGACCTGTGGTATAATGAAGGATTTTAAATCTGCTTCTGGGGTAAAAGTCAATCTGCAAGATGTACTGAAATTTCTGGGATACTCTGATGGTTCATGTAGATAATGATACGGAATTATCTTTGGATTATCTTTTGATTAGCATTAAATATTAACTGTTAAATTGAATATTAAACTTAATTTCAAGAAATGTATGGCACACCTGCAGTGTATGTTTCTGTAGATAGCCCCAGAGGCCCCAGGGTGTTGCATGGTATGGTAATATGATTGGACAACTCTGTACTTCACAAGTTGATAGAACTTTCAGGCTTATTCCATGTACTTTCAATAATATCTTTTTAACTTTATCCCACTGTAATCTGTAAAGCAACATTGCCAACCCTCTTCAAGAACAAGCAGTCTGTTTACAAGCCACCTGAAAGGTCAGTTAGTCTGGAAGAACTGAGACATGGTGCTTTTCCATTCTCACAGGGCATGCATTCCATATCACTTTCAATCAAGTCAACAAATAAATTAAGTGCTTATTAAGTGTATATAAACAAACCCTACATTCTAACTTTCCTGGGTAACAAAAATAAAGAGACCCTCTTCTCAAAAAGCAATACATTTATAACCTATTTCTTAGACCAAGATATTTTAGACTGTCCTTTAAAACACCCAATTTTGTCTACTTATTCAGAGGAAGTAAAAAAATTCCACTCTAGCAAAATAGGGATTTCCAAATGGAAAAATAATTGAAATTTTTTTAAGTGGACTATTCTGGTGAGTTTCTGTATTTACATAAAAAATTTTAGAATAATGACCTAAAATGCTAATATCAACAATATAAATTTAAATAAATGCCAGGGTTGACAGGAATTCTTACTTGCTCCTTTAAAATTTTTCAAAGTGGGTCGGGTGCTGTGGCTCACGCCTGTAATCCCAGCACTTTGGGAGGCCGAGGCGGGTGGATCACAAGGTCAGGAGTTCGAGACCAGCCTGACCAACATGGTGAAACCTCGTCTCTACTAAAAATACAAAAAATTAGCCGGGCACAGTGGTGCGTGCCTGTAATCCCAGCTACTCAGGAGGCTGAGGCAGGAGAATCGCTTGAACCTAAGAGGCCGAGACTACTGTGAGCAGAGATCATGCCACTGCACTCCAGCCTGGGTGACAGAGTGAGACTCTGTCTCAAAAAAAAAAAAATTTTTTTTGAAGTAATCTTGCATATTTGGCTTTTCAACACACACGGTTAGAAGTAAAATAGTATTCAGAAAGGAGTAAAATAGCAAATTGCCAAATAGATTTTCCTGGCATTCAGAAAAATTCAGGTTTAGGCCCCAGTCCCCTACAGGAGCCTGGCCTCATAACATTTTCAGCCCAAGGTCCCACTAATGAAGAAAGTGTTCCCTAACCATGAAGTGTTAGTCAGGAAGCATAAGGCTGGGTGACACCTGAACTATGTACCATTTCTGCCAACACACAACCCAGCAGCTACTGAATATGGACCAAGGGTTCTACCTTCTTCCTCCTCGTCGTCATCGCTGGACTCACTGACATGCACGCTGACAGCAGTGTTTGGAGAGTCTGTCCATTCAAAATACACCCCAAACCCAATGTCATAATTGTCTGTGGCAAATTCCCAAAAGAGATATGATCCTTCTTCATGGGTGGGTACTCGAACAGTGACCACTTCTCCTCGGCCCACTGTAATCACGGAATCTGCATCCTGCTGAATCTTCTCTTTGAAGTCTTTGATCTGAGGTCGTGTCCACATGGATGGAGCTGCTATTACTGGAAGAGATTCTAAAGGCAATAGGTATTAAAAAGCTAAAGAAAAAGAGCCTTCACCCTGCAGGTAGCCACATTTTCATAGCACTACCTGATCAGTTGTACTCAGGCACCAAGTACAATATGGTCTAGCTTAGATCAAGGACTTGGAGGAATAAAAAAGCCTCCCCATGGGAGTCTCTCCAGATTACTATGTTTAACAATGTTGCAGGCACTCAGAGGTCATCGTACTTCTTCAAGTAACAATGGCAGCCCACAATTTTAGAAACGAATTTTTTTCAACACTCCCTCTATGGGGATTCAAGAATGACCTTGGGAAGGCCCCAGCTGGAGTGAGGGAAATATTCTAGCAAGGAAGAGAGATTCTGGCTTTAGGAATAAATTACTCTTGTGGATGTGAACAAAGAAAGCTGGACTTTGACTTCAGCCTGTCTGTTGAAAAATTCTTCACCTCCAACTATCCCAAAGTTCTAGGGGCTATTCTAAAGGAGCTCAAAGAAACAAAAACTCGGACAGGATTAGAACCACTAGGGACTGAGAAAAAGGGGTAAAGTCTTGTTACTGAGCAGTACCTATGTGCACTTGACTATGCAATAAGTTTTTCAAAGTTAGTCACAGAGCCTTTGAAATATTTTCTCTCATTTGAAGATGCTAGTATAATCCCTTGATAAGAAAAAAAAAGGGAAGGGGGCAGTAAACCAAGGGATTTCAAAGCCTTTTCTGAAGCAATTATTACTTGTTCTAAACAGACAAGGAAGATCTCTGAAACCAAATTTCTTATGAACCATACCACCATCCCTGACCACTGTCACTGAAATGCTCTCCTCTTCCTCCTTACTTAGTTAACTCCTCTTGCTTCAGATATCTCAGGTCAATTGTCCCTTCCTCTGGGAAGCCTCTGGTGGCCTCTCTGACTAGGTCACACTTCCCTGTTTTACATTCTCTCAAAGATAATGTACCTCTCTCTCCATCACCGTACTTATCACAGCTACAATCTACATTTTCTGTGTGTTATTTTGCCTCACCACTGTACTCCTAGCACTCAGGAAACCTTCAACTAATTGCTGAATGAACAAATGAGCTGCCCATGGAAAGCTAGTAGAGCTTTGAAAATGCAGTTATTTTCTAGGCAACATGATACATTAGTCTCAAAAATATATCTATTTCTATGGTAGCCAGCCTCCAAGATGGTCCCCAGAGATTCTCACCTCTGGGTCTTCATGCACTTGTGAGGTCACCACCCACAATATATAAGGATTGGTATGTGTGACCAACAGAATATGGTGGGAGTTCCAAAGTCAAGGCATAAAAGACACTGCCACTTCTGCTAGGGGAAGCCAGTAACTGTTTTGAGGACCCTCAAGAAGCCCTATGGAGAGGCTTCATGGGGCCAGGAATTGAGCTTCCAGCCAAAAGCCAGCCATGTGAGGGAACCATTTTGGAAGCAGATCTTCTAGTCCTGGCATCAACATCTTGACTGCAATCTCATGAGGGAGCCTAAGTCAGAGCCATTCAGCTAAACTGCTCCTGAAACCCTGACCCACTGAAGCTGTACAAGATAGTAATAAATGTTTATTGTTATTTCAAGCTACTAAATTTAGGTGTAATTAATTTTTGTTTGTTTTTTTTTTGAGAGACAGTCTTGCTTTGTCACCCAGGCAGGCGGAATCATAGTTCACTGCAGCCTCAAACTCTTGGGCTCAAGTGATCTTCCTGCCTCAGCCTCCCAGAGTGCTGGGATTACAGGTATGAGCCACTGCGCCCAGCCTGTAATTTGTTATGCAGCAATAGATAATTTATATATATATATATGACAAAACATAACTTTTGTCTTAAAAGTGTCCAAAGACATCTGATTTGCTCTTCTACACTGGTCTATGAGTCACCAGAGCATTAGATTCAGACTAAAAAGAGTAAAAAAATGTTCAACTCTCACAAATATGTAATTGTTCTCAAAAGCTAATTATAACCTGACTTCATGACTTTTGCCTTTCACAGATTTGGAATTATGACATCTGGACAAACACATATGCAAAACCTACCTTTTGGTCCATTCTCCAGGGCTTCTTCTGCAGCTTCTGGTTCCAGTTCTTTTTCGGAGCTGTCAGTGTGTGTTTTGGCCTGTCCATTAACTGACATCATATTACTTGGTACAGTTGCATTCACTTTTGATGATGTAGGCAAGGAAGACCCAGCCACTACTACTTCCTGTTGTTTCTGTAATGCTGCCTACAAACCAAGAGAAAGTGAAGACACACTGACCAGGAAGGCTAGCAAATAAGACATCTGCCCTGGAGTACATCTGATACCATGCTTTTGCCCTACCAAAGTGCTATGCTCAAGAAATTACTAATAAATTTTTATCAGTTTTTATCCTGTCTATAATGAATATTATTAGTACAATATCAAACTGACAGCTAAAAATAATAAAAAATCAATAAAAATTAATGTGGACAAAAACCTGCAACTAAGGCTCACATTTCTGTGATCTGAGAATCACCATAAAAACTAACCAGGAAAAATGAAAGTAAGGCCAGCCAAAGTGGCTCACACCTGTAATCCCAGCACTTTGAGAGGCGGAGGTGGGTGGATCATTTGAGGTCAGGAGCTCAAGACCAGCCTGACCAACATGGTGAAACCCCGTCTCTACTAAAAATACAAAATTAGCTGGGCATGGCAGCACACGCCTGTAATCCCAGCTACTTGGGAGGCTGAGGCAGGAGAATCGCTTGAACTCGGGAGGCGGAGGTTGCAGTGACCTGAGATCGTGCCATTGCATTCCAGCCTGAGCAACAAAAGCGAAACTCCATCTCAAAAAAAAAAAAAAAAAGTAGAAATAATCAACCCAAAATAAAACTATTAAAGGCAAAAATTGAACACAGTAATGTGCTCTTGAAATTGATGGAAGAAAAAAATCTTGATAAACTTTAAATACACAAAATTTGAATTAGAAAAATTAAACTTGGTGGGAATAGTCACAGAAGAAAATTCACAAAGGCAGAAGCTATAATTGGCAAAATCTGGTATGGGCCCCCAAAGCAATAAAAAAATCAAATATGGACAATTTATTCTAACATAATTGACCCCAAAAAGTCAATAAATTAAAACTTCAGGGAAAAATTATGATCACAATGAAATTGAAAATTGTTAATCGTGTTGTAAAATGCTGACCTAAGAATCAAACAGACTTACAGGATGCAATTTGAGGTTAAAAATATTTTCTCAATGAAAATTTGTCACTGTTTATATAGTTATGATTGAAATGTGTATTCATAAATATAAAATCAAAATGTCCTCTGAGTCAAAATGGCAGTAAAAACATCTTAAATCCAAAGGACTATTTTGGGACATTCCTCTTCTAAATCAATATGGACAGATACTACTTCAAATATCTGAGTATTACTTAGGTAACTTTGGTGGGGAACTATAAATTGAATTACAACATACATGTAGAAAGTGTACAAATGATAAATTACACAGCTTGATCAATTTTCATAAATCAAACACATCCATGTAACTAATACTCAGATCAAGACAGTATCTGCATCCAGAATATTCCCTGGTACCCCTTTCTGGGCACCTGCCCTGAAGGGTAACAACTATTTGACTTATAACACTATAGATTTGCTTTGCCTATTTTAAAACTTTAAAGAAATGGGTTGTATAGTATACATTCTTTTTTATGTCTGGCTACCTTCACTCAACATTACTTTTATAAGCTACATCTATAGAGTCACAAGTAATTGTATTTTGTTGTTTGCATTACTTTTAAGTTATTCCATCATAAAAAGATAAAATCTATCCATTCTACTGTTGATGAGCATTTGGGCATGTAAGCAATGTTTTAAACTAAAACACTGTCACAAATAAGCAAGTACGTATATGTTCACTGCAGGAAAAAAAATACACACACGCACACATACACACACACACGGAAAAAGCCTTTATGATCCCATGGGGTAGGGATAATGATATATTTTGGCATATCTCTACACACATTTCATTGAATGTATCATTTACAAGCCAATTACTTAAATGAATAGCAATGCTTCTCTTTGCTGCTAATATAGGTTAATAACACAATTAAGATTTTAAGATATCTTCTTCCAAGGTCTGGATTTTCAGTAATTTCCACATCAATTTTCTAGAAGGGATACTAGCTTCCAGAGAAAGTACCTAAAATCAAAACAAGTCAGCACACTCAGAACATTCACTGCATGACAGGAAAGCAAAAGAGCATTTTTGATGATCAATAGGCCCAGCTCAAATGGTCCCTCATCTCCACTAATCCTTTCTTGAAAGGCTCTAGCAGAAAAACAACTTTCTCTGGGAACCCCCGACCATGAATCTATTGTACTACATGTAATAGATTGTAATGATATATTTCCATACTCTCTTCCTGTTATTAGGAAGTTTAAAAAAGCACAGAAAGGTATAAAAGCAACGTATCAAACACCCACAAATGTATCTACACCCCAAAATTAACAAATGTGTTCATTTTGCTATTTATATAAAAATTAATATTTTATAGGAGTAAAGTTCCCTTTGTTCCTTCCCCAGTCTCTTTCCTTTTCTCTTCTCAGAAGCAACCAATAAATTTGATAAACTGAGTTTGATCACTCTAATCTCAATTATGGATTTTTTTTTTTTTTGAGACGGAGTTTCTCTTTTGTTGCCCAGGCTGGAGTGCAATGGCACAATCTTGGCTCACCGAAACCTCCCCCTCCTGGGTTCAAGTGATTCTCCTGCTTCAGCCTCACGAGTAGCTGAGATTACAGATGTGTACCAACATGCCAGGCTAATTTTGTATTTTTAATAGAGATGGGGTTTCTCCATATTGGTCAGGCTGTTCTCGAACTCCCAACCTCAAGTGATCCACCCACCTCAGCCTCCCAAAGTGCTGGGATTACAGGCATGTGCCACCACACCTGGCCTATGGCTTTTTTTTTCCTCGAGACAGGGTCTCACTCTGTCACCCAGGCTGGAATGTAGTGGCGCCATCACAGCTCACTATAGCCTCAAACTCCTGAGCTCGAGTGATCCTCTCGCCTCAGCCTCCCAAGTAACTGGGACTACAGGCGTGCACCACCATGCCCAGCTAATTTTTTTTTTCTTTTTTAAGAGATGGGGTCTCCCTATGTTGCCCAGGCTGGTCTCAAATTCCTGGCCTCAAGCAACCATTATGGCCTTGGCTTCCCCAGGTGCTGGGATTAAAGGCATGAGCCACTATGCCCAGCCTCCATTATGGCTTTCTAGTTTTGTTTCAAAGATTTGCGGTTTTGTCCTATTTGACTTTCTTCTCATTAAATGATAGCAACCTATAAACAGGACAGAGTGTATGTGCTATTAAAAATCATCTCACTGCCTATCAAAGAAGCAGGAAAATGGAAGTGAAACTAAAGTAGAAACAGGCTTCAGAGGAGAGAGAATAAATCTCTCAAAAATACCACTTATTATCTTGAATAAACTCTGGTTTGGCATCTTTTCCTCCTCTTCAGGATTACAAAAAACTTGCAGTGCTTTTTAACTTCTAACTGATGCCAAAGACTCAGGAGAAAAGGTTGTTTAGTAAGAATACACATTTTCAAGGAATTTAAAGAGTTTGGCAAAAACAACAAAGATTATTTCATGCAGTAAGAAATGCTGAGCAACTATAATGTAACACTTTTCTTCACTCAGATTTTTTGACAGGTGGTAACTGCTTTATAAGTGAAAATTAAGTAAGTTAAACTAAGCTACGTTAAGTTTAAGGAGGTATTTTATGCCTGCACAAGATGTAAAAAATGAATGTAAAATTAGTGTCTTCTACAAGTACAAAAATCGTTCACAGGGTAACTCTTTTCTCATTTGACTCCTCTGATAGTCCTGTGAGGTTAACAGGACAGGTGCTTTGATTTTATATCCTATTGTTACGGACTGAAAGAAAGAGCAGAACAATCAGAGCAGTAATAACTTGTCTGAGATCAAACAAGGTAATGTCAAAGCCCAAAGAGAATCCAAGTGTTATGAGACTCCCAGTCCCATGTTCTTTCACCTAAACCAACCTCTCCTATGTGGAAGCAAAATACTTGGGGGCAGGCAGTTGGAGGAGGAATAGCAATGTGCTGTTATGAGCACTGCCTAACTATGGTGCCTAACACAAAGTCAAATGGACCCAATCTAGCTCTGCAGAACCAGCCCATGGTCTTAGGGCAGGGGAGTCCTCCCACTGGAGGCTGTCCAAGCCTCTGACAATGCACTGCCTGAAGGACATCTCTGAACTATGGCTAGTTACTCAGGTCCTCATGTTCCAGGACCACTATTAGGGTCTATGCCAGACTCACAGTAAAGACACTCAACCCATACAACTCCCAAATACCCTTATGACAATATAACATCATCGGTTGCTTCGATAACACATATTTTCTCTCACAATTGCCTGTGCAATTCTCAAGTCTGCCTAAAAGATCACCCAAAAGTTACTTTACACCTTAGAGGCTAACTAATGCAAAATTCATTTGCGACTGTTAAAAAAGAACTTGGGTTCCAATGAAACTAAAAACTCTCTCTAAGGCTGAATTCTAGGGTTGTCTATCGTACCTGTTGCTGTGCAAGCTGGACTTGATACAACTGCTGCATGTACTGCTGATAGTGTTGCTCCTGCAACTGGCGGATGAGAATTTGCTGCTGTTCGTAGTTCCCTGGATACTGTTGGGCTGCATACTGCTGGAACTGCACGGCAGTCTGGGAGTTTAAAGCTGCCATTATCTGCTGCCTAAAAACATTAAAAATATATATACTAGTCTGGCTACAGGAGATTGTTCATGACAAAATAAAATGTCCTTATTACTTACTTTTACAGTCTGTAACTCTTAAAAACAACTAAGCTAGTAATGTACACCAATTAGTATGTGTTCTGGGTCCAGAAGAAAGATTTAAGAAAATAAGCCTGGCCTCTAATTTTTTACTTAGGATTTTCCAGGAAAATTCGGGATGGAAGATAAGCATATGATCATCATCATCATGACCACCATCATAATTATTAACATTTATTGTGCCCTTACTATGTGCCATGCAGTGTTGAAAGTACTCACACATACTAACCCATTTAGTCCTCACAACAACCCTCTGACAGAGGGTTCAGTAACTTGCCCAAGACTATACTGCTAGCAGATGCTACAGCCTGATGCAAATCCAGGCAGTTTGGCTCTAGAGCTACACTAATTTACCACGATGCTTTAAGATGATGGATTGTCATCTCTGACATAGATGAGGTATTTAACTGTTGGCTATGGCTTCTGTACCTAAATACATAAAAAACAGTAAGAGGCAGAAGAATAGCTGGAAGATGTTACAGGTGGCCCTGGTAAGTATAAATAAAGCCAGTGAAAAATTAAGGGTCCACAGCATTTAATTTAAAGCCTGTCTTAATAGAGGAAATACTGAAAATATCTTGGCATGCTTAGTTTAGAGATACTCATATTCTTTTATAGATAAACCACATGCTTCTTCTTTTTTTTTTTTTTGAGACGGAGTTTCACTCTGTCACCCATGCTGGAGTGCAGTGGCGTGATCTCAGCTCACTGCAACCTCCACTTCCTAGGTTCAAGCGATTCTCCTGCCTCAGCCTCCCAAGTAGCTGGGATTACAGGCACCTGCTACCACGCCTGGCTAATCTTTATATTTTTAGTAAAGACGGTTTCACCATGTTGGCCAGGCTCGTTTCAAACCCCTGACCTCAATCAAGTGATCCGCCCGCCTCGGCCTCCCAAAGTGCTGGGATTACAGGCATGAGCCACCACAGCCAGCAACCACATGCTTCTTAACTTACTTATGTGACCAACTTAACAGAGACCTCAAAGCCATCTATTAATAGATAACAAAGCAAAGCCTCACAAACTCCTACATACAGCACAACATTCGATCCACCTAGGACAACCTCCCCCAAAAAAGAGCTGCATTCATAGTCTTTCTCCAAAGTTGAATGAGGGCCTGGATTAGTTTGAGGCTAGCACTAAACCTTTTTCTGAGGAACTACCCAGAAATAATGAGAAGAAATCAATGGACTCTCATGTTCTCTGGTTTAACCTACAAGCCATGCCACCCCTACAAACTCAGACTTACTTCCCAGTGTTTTATGGGTGTTAATCACTGCCTCCTTGTACCCACAGCTCCCTCTTGAAGAACCTGTCAGTCTCTGAGTCTCAAAGCCCTTACTGAGTAAGCAATAGTTGAAGCCTCCAAATCTTGTACTAAGGACTATAAATGGATATCTGACATAGACTGGACCAACAAGATTCTCTGTCCTGGGAAACTGCAACTGGGTCTCACAGATTCCAGCCAGTCTCTGTCAGATGCATGGAAACATAGACCAAATAAATCCTCGGACAGCCTTGCATATGCCAAAGCAGACAGTTGACAATTTGCAGAGAGCAAGGATGAAGCAGAGACATAAGCTGAGAGAAGCAGAGACAAGAAACAGAGAGCGCAACCAAGCAACCTCAGCTCCTGCTTCCAATCTCTGGGTTCTGCAAGTGAACCCCCAAACCTTCTAATACATTCCTTTTTTTTTTTGAGACGGAGTTTCACTCATTACCCAGGCTGGAGTGCAATGGCGCGATCTCGGCTCACTGCAACCTCCACCTCCTGGGTTCAAGAGATTCTCCTGCCTCAGCCTCCTGAGTAGGTGGGATTACAGGCATATGCCACTGCGCCCAGCTAATTTTTTGTATTTTTAATAGAAACAGGGTTTCACTGTGTTAGCCAGGATAGTCTCCATCTCCCAACCTCAGGTGATCTCCCAACCTCAGGTGATCTGCCCGCCTCCGCCTCCCAAAGTGCTGGGATTACAGGCGTGAACCACCACACCTGGCCCGCTCATTTCTTATTTTTATTCTATTTTTTTTCCATTTCTCATTTTAAAACATAAGCCACATAATAAACTTACTTTTGCTGCTCCAACCGAAGCCTTTCTTCTTCTATCCGTCTCCTTTCCTCTTCCTCCCGTCGAAGCCTTTCCTCTTCTTCTCTCCTACGTTTCTCTTCCTCCTTTTGCAGACGTTCTCTTTCTTCCTCTTCACGCCGCCTTCGCTCCTCTTCCTCCTTCCTACAAGGCAAAGATAGAGAATGAACCCTATACGTTGAATCCTGTTTAAAAATAAAACTTTAGCTCCCAGGGAAAACTGACATGACCTTTTTAGAGAACAATGTGGATATATACATCAAAATTTAAAATACATACACTTTACTAGCAGAAACTTATAGGGAATCAATCGCACAATATACAAATCACATCAAGAATAATTATTGTTGCACAGCAACAGAAATGTGTCCATCATAAGAAACTACTTAAGTCATTATGATATTCCTATACCCTGAAGGATCCCCTCTAATATATGCTCACAGCACTAAAAGCTTTTCCTTCATAATACCTGCTGTCATTATAATTAAATTTGTGTGATACATTCAGCAATAGATCTGCATTACCCATTAAACTAGATGCTCCATAGGGGAAGAGACTGCCTATCTCACACCACGACATCCTCAGGGCTTAGCACAGTGCTGGAAAGAACAAGCACTCGACAAACGTGTACAGAAGTAAAAAATCCACCCTGAAATATCGCAGAGCCAAAGGATAGAAATACATTGCCTAATATGTAAAGACATGTAATACACTTGCTTAATGAAAAAAAAAAAGGTGAATACAAAGGAAAAGATCTGGAAGGACATACCCTAAATTTATCAGTTATTATCTATGCAGAGGAGAGTGGAATTAAAAGAAATGTGGGAAAAAAGATTTTTTTCAGTTTGTGTTTCATATACTGCCATAAATGAAAATTTTATATTGCATATATTTGTGTATTATTTCTGAAATTAAAATTTTTTGTAAAGCTTTTAATTTAAAAAAGAACGGTTAACCTCTCAGGGCAGCCCTTGCCCAGCTTTCACCCACCCCACAAGACCCTTCCAAAAAGAACAGATCCTATTGTGCTAGGAATGGACATCTTCCGGGTCTGAGAGTGGTATGGTGTTCAGGGAGCCTGCAGACAGGATGAAAGGGAAGATTTCTAAGGAGTATCAGATAAGACACTATTTCATAAACCTACCACGAGAATTGTCTGGGCTACCTCACCTTTCTCCCCTCTAACTCCTATAAGTGATTAACAACTACCTGAGCCACAGCCAAGTCTCAAAATATTGTAATAACATGACCTATTTTTTTTTTTTTTTTGAGACAGGGTCTCACTCTGTCACCCAGACTGGAGTGCAGTGGCACATTCTTGGCTCACTGCAACCTCCGCCTCCCAGGCTCAAATGATCCTCCCACCTTAGCCTCCTGAGTAGCTGGAATTACAGGGACCTGTAACCACATCCGGCTAATTTTTGTATTTTTTTTTTGTAGAGATGGGGTTTTGCCACGTTGCCCAGGCTGGTCCTGAACTCTTGGACTCAAGTGATCTGCCCGCCTCGTTCTCCCCAAGTGCTGAGATTACAGATGTGAGCCACCACAGGCGTGAGCCACTGCACCCGGCCATGACCTACTTTTAATGTGTCACAGCTGGTACAGAGCAAGAAGGTTCACAAGCCAGAGCTTAAGCTTCAGGATAGATGAAGTCTACTCTTAAACACTTTAAAATAATTCTATGTGGACTTTATCCCATGACAAAAGTATATTTTTAAAACGAAAACGCAGCTCTATATGTTGAGTAGTAACTTTTGACAATGCTTAAGAGAAATATGCATATATATCATTAAAATAAGAACTTAAAAAGCAATATATAGATACTTCTACAGACACCCTAGCGATACCTGATTGATCCAACATCACTACACAATGGACTGTAGGACATAAATCAATTTTCCAGTTAAAGAAATCTCATTCTTTTCTCATAAGAATCAAAACCTTTCCTTTAGATTAAAAAAAAAAATTTCTTTGGATAAATATCTTCTGAAAATGTAATCAAGCAATTTCCTATTATCTTAAATAGGAATAAATCATATCTAATGTTCCATCTCTTGATAACTCAGGGGTTACAGCTGTAAACATAAAAATTGTACATCATACTATTGTAATGGAGAAGTTTACCTTCATATTAAATGACCCCTGACTGCCATGCTTTTATAATTCTCGTGTCTATTTTTCATGCTTTCTATTATGTCCCTAATTATCAAGCTATTTTCTCTTCTAATCTGTTATTTCTAATCCAGGTTAAGGTAGGAAACCAGAGAATCAATTGTTTTTAAAGAATAACATCGGCTGGGCAAGGTGGCTCATGCCTGTAATCCCAGCACTTTGGGAGGACCAGGCGGGTGGATCACCTGAGGTCAGGAGTTTGAGACCAGCCTGGCCAACATAGTAAAACCTCATCTCTACTAAAAACACAAAAATTAGCTGGGTTGGTGGCAGGCACCTGTAATCCCTCTCCCAGCTACTCGGGAGGCTGAGGCAGGAGAACTGCTTGAACCCAGGAGGCAGAGGATTGTGTCACTGCACTCCGGCCTGAGCAATAGCAACAGAGCAAGACTCCATCTTAAAAAAAAAAAAAAAAAAAAAAAAAAAGTATAACATAACCTGAAGAAAAATTGGTTTTGTAGCATCATTTTCATCACCTAAAATTTTAGATAGTCAAAATTGATGAAAATATAGCCACTAGAAAAATAAGGTGTAACTATAATTCTAATTCACAACTACAACAGAGAATCCCATAAGCATAAACAGCACATTCAGTAGCTCCTCCTCCAAAACTTGAAAATAATCAATAAGCCAGCTGGAAGCCAAAGCCAACATGAATGTCTATATAAGGTAGCATAGTTGCAAACCATGAAATGGAGCATGAGGATTCTAGAAGCTCGAGGGAGACTGCAACAAAGGGTATGTCAGACCAGAGGATAGGGAGGAGGGAGTGGTTGAGTTTATGGTGGGGCTTATTCAGAAACTTAGTGTAATAAAACAAAAGGAAGGCTGCCATGATGGATGGGAGGTTCCTTTTAAAGGCACGGCCAGTAGGAAGCAGTCCTCCCTCCCCCCAAAACTTATAATACAAGTACCTGTTCACATCAGGAAGTTTGAACAATTGCCACAAGAAATGGGGATCCAAGGAAAGCAAGACACCTGATCTAGAACTAGAACAGACACTCTACAAAACAAAAGCATCAGTACACTGGGCTGCGCAGCAATAAAGTATTCCATGCCCTCAAACTTCACCTTTTTTTTTCTTGCTCTTCCTTCTCTATTTTGTGGGACGCAACATATGTTGAAAAGAGATGGCAACACCTATTTAAGAGCTTGACAAACTCCACCATGGCATCCTCTTTAGACATGTTTCCCAGGGCTGCCCATTCTCTCCTGTAAGGAATAACAAGAAAAGTTACCTCCCCTTCTTAGTAGAATGAGAACTTTTAAATTTAAACCTAAATATGAATAATTCTCAATTGTAAGTAAAATGAATGATTCTATTGGGAGCAAAAGGCTCAAAACTTCAAGTTTTAACAAGTATGTATTGATTTACTAAATTAGATACGCCACATACAATCCAAACAACTGCATTGCTGATGATTCCCATATAGCAAAAGAGTATCAATTTTTCTTTTTTCTTTTTTTTTTTGAGATAGGATCTCACTCTGTTGCCCAGACTGGAGTGCACTGGTGCGATCTTGGCTCAGCAGAACCTCTGCCTCCCAGGCTCAAGCGATTCTCCTGCTTCAGCCTCCCGAGTAGGTAGGATTACAGGCATGTGCCACTACCGCCGGCTAATTTTTTAATTTTTAGTAGAGATGGGGTTTTACTATGTTGGCCAGGCTGGTCTTGAACTCCTGACCTCAAATGATCTACCCACCTCGGCCTCCCAAAGTGCCGGGATTACAGGCATGAACTGCCGCACCTGGCCTATTTTTCTTATATAATATTTGAGCCTTAATTAAACAAAAATACTCAATGTATTCTTTTTTTGTCACAATTTTTTTTATGCCTCAATAAGGGAATCAATTACTATATATTTTAAATGGCTACTTTTAATATTATTTGGGAAGAATCAAATGAAGCTCTACTTGTCTTATGTTCATAAGCAGATGAATACAGTTCTTCCACAATATTTAACCATAAACATCTCTAAGCTAAAAACAGATAAATATCTGAAGACTCCAGAAGCTGCAAGCAAAAATGTTCAGTTCTTATCCTAAGCTAATGAACCAGCTACTTACACCTTAACCAATACACATTGTACCCTTTGCCAACATTATCCTCATTAAATTCACTATACAGAAAAACACTGTTACCTCCTGTCATTCCCCAACACATCAAAGAATCCAACCTCAGGACAAGTGTCTGGATTATATGGGCCCATAAGAACTTGCTTATGCAGTGCCACAAGCTTCAATTTTTCTTCATAAGTTGGATGAAATGCTTTGCCATCTTTTTCTATAAGAAAAAGAAACACAAAGAAAACAATTAGCACAGGCAAAATACATAATTTTCAGCATTATATACTAAAGCTTTGCTACAAAGCATGTCACAAACTGCCTGTAATAGACACAAACACTAATAGTGAAATTTTTATTTCAATTACTACTTTTAAAAAATTTTTTTATTTTTAGACAGAGTCTCACTCTGTTGCCCAGGCTGGAGTGCAATGGTGTGATGAAGGCTCACTGAAGCCTTGACCTCCGGGACTCAAATGACCCTCCCACCTCAGCCCCCCAAGTAGCTGGACTACACGTGCGTGCCACCAAACCTGTCTTTTGGCAGAGACAGGGCTGCCCAGGCTGGTCTCGAACTTTTGGGCTCAAGCAAGCCTCTCGTCTTGGCCTCCTTTTCAAAACTGCTGGGATTTGAGCCAGCATGCCCAGCCCAATTACTACATTTTATTAATAACAGAACCTAAGACGGAAATCCGGTATGCTGATTTTTTTTTTTTTTTTTTTGAGACAAGGTCTCGCTCTATTGCCCAGGCTGGAATGCAGTGGCACAATCACAGCTCACTGCAGCCTCAACCTGCTGAGCTTAAGTGATCCTCCCACCTCAGTCACCCAACTACCTGGGACTACAGGAGTATGCGCCATCATACGTGGAAAATGTTTTTATTTTTGTAGAGACAAGGTCTCACTATGTTGCCCAGGCTGGTCTCGGACTCCTGAGCTCAAGTGATTCTCCCGTCTCAGTATCCCAAAGTGCTGGCATTACAAGTGTGGACCACCATGCCTACCCTGAATTAGGTTGTAAAAATAAGCCAACTATCAATACTTATGCTAAAGCTACTACAGAAAAACCCATCTGTCAAGCTGCAGTCAGGCTACAGCCTTGACCTCCCAGGCTTAAGCAATCCTTCTGCCTCAGCCTCCCGAGAAGCTGGGACTACAGGCATGTGCCACCACATCTGGTTAATTTTTTACTTTTTGCAGAGACGATGTCTTACAATGTTGCCCAGACTGGTCTTGAACCCTGGGTTCAAGCAATCCTCCTGCCTCAGCCTCCCAAAGTGCTGGGATTACAGGTGTGAGCCACCATGCCCAGCCCAACAATCGGTTTTTAAAATAGCTTTTAAAAATAATTTTTAGCCAAAAGAGAAAAGAAAAACTTAAAATAATTTTACATTAGTCCCTTTTAACATGATCATGCATAGAAGATTATGTACACTTTGAAAGGCTGTATTCAAAAATGTATCCATCCCACTAAGGTAGTATAATGTGGTGGAAAAGGCTTTGGAATTGGATGGCCTGGGTTTAAATCTCAGCTGAGACACTTCCTAGCTATGTGACTATTTAACCTCTCAGTTTATTCATCAATAAAGAAAGGGTTACCCTTCAGAGGTTGCTACTTCAGAGGTAATAGGATTATTATTATTACTAACTTATTAATGCTTTTCTTTCCTTCACCTGATTGGCTCTGGTAGGTTTCCATATAGGCAATTAAGAGTGCGACCAGTTTGACCAATAAAGACTAACTGCTACCAACATTTAAAAGCCGTATGAAATTGGGTTCTGGTAAAATGGGAAATATTCAGAGAACAGTTCCACTTCTTTGATAAATGGTAGCACTAACTACTGGTTGATTCCAATGACAACAGACTACCAAATTTAAAGAAAACGGGGAGGGCACTTGAAAGTAGCATATGCTACTTATATGTCTCATTCATGTATATAGTGGTGAAATAAAATCACTAATAAGTGAGAAGAATATGGGTTAAAGAACAGCAGGAAACTCAGAGAAGAAAAAATATAGAAGCTGCCAATAAACATCCAAAAAGATATTCAACCCCACTAGTCAAGAAATATAAATTAAAAGCATTAGATACCAAGACCCCCACCTCCCATCAGATAAACAAAAAAGTTAGATAACATCTAAAGTTATTAAGATCCTACAAACAGGTACCCATTCTCATATATGAATGCTGAAAGTATAAACTGTTATAGTTACCTTGAAGGTCAATTTGGCAATACACAATAGTCCTTATCTTATCCCCCAGTGGATGTTTAAGACTGCAGATAATATTGAACCCTACATATATTATGTTTTTCCTAAATGTACATACCTGTAATTTATAAATTAGATACAATAAGAGATTAACAATAAAATACTGTATTATATTTGTATATTGTAATTATATAACAATATACAACAACAAGTTATGTGAATGTGGGATCTCTGTCTCTCTCAAAATATCTGAATGTATTCTACTCACCTATTTTCAGACCTTGATTAACCCCGGGTATCTGAAAGAAGGGAAAGCAAAACCATGGACAAGGAGAGACTCCTGTATTTCAAAACTATAAATGTGTATGCCCTATGATCCAGTCATTCCAGTTCTCATTACATATGCTTGACAAGCACTCTCAAATATATAAAAGGAGGCAGATACAAGGACATTCATTGCAGCACTATTTTCTTGTTACTGGAAATAACTTAAAAGGTTATCAATAAGGGAAAGTCGAAACAACATGGTACAGTCATGCTCTGCATAATGGCATTTCAGTAAAGGACAGATTGTTTATATGAGTGTAGTCCCATAAGATTATTATAATGGAGCTGAAATTTTCCTATGGCCTAGTGGTGTGGTAGCCACCATAACATGATGCAACATATAACTCAAGTATTTACGATGATGCTGGCGTTAAACTAACCTACTGTGCTGCCAGCTGTATAAAAGTATATATAGCACATACAACACATAATACTTGATGACATTAATCATCAAATACTTGATAAGGATATTAATCACCAAAAGTTTTCTTACACTACGTCACAGGTAATTATTAGAGAAACACAGCCCAGAACAACTTCCTTCTCACTTTTTATTTGAGACGGAGTCTCGCTCTGTTGCCCAGGCTGGAGTGCAGTGAGTGGCACAATCTCGACTCACTGCAGCTTCCGTCTCTTGGGTTCAAGTGATTCTCCTGCCTCAGCCTCCCAAGTAGCTAGGACTACAGGTGTGCGCCACCATACCCGGCTAGTTTTTATATTTTTAGCAGAGATGGGGTTTCACCATGTTAGCCAGGCTGGTCTCCAACTTCTGACCTCAGGTGATCCACCCATCTCAGCCTCCCAAAGTATTGAGATTACAGGCGTGAGCCACTGTGCCCACCCCCTTCTCGCTTTTAACAAATGGCGATAATTTGAAAAATAGCTCCAGCTCCTGATCTTAGCCTTGTGATTTAGAGAGTTTTTTTTTATTTTTATTTTTTTTCTCGAGACAGAGTCTCGCTCTGTCACCCAGGCTGGAGTGCCGTGGTGCGATCTCGGCTCACTGCAAGCTCTGCCTCCCGGGTTCACGCCATTCTCCTGCCTCAGCCTCCCGAGTAGCTGGGACTACAAGCGCCCGCCACCATGCTCGGCTAATTTTTTTTGTATTTTTAGTAGAGACGGGGTTTCACTGTGTTAGCCAGGATGGTCTCGATCTCCTGACCTCGTGATCTGCCCGCCTCGGCCTCCCAAAGTGCTGGGATTACAGGCATGAGCCACCGCGCCTGGACTGCCTGGCTATTTTTTTTTTTTTTTTTTTTTTTTGGGATTTTTAGTAGAGATGGGGTTTCACTGCTTTAGCCAGGATGGTCTCGATCTCCTGACCTCGTGATCGGCCTGCCTCGGCCTCCCAAAGTGCTAGCATTACAGGCGTGAGCCGAGTTTTTGTTTTTTAAAACAAAAAAAAAAAAGGGCATTAAGCAGCCGGGCACAGTGGCTCACACCTGTAATCCCAGCACTTTGGGAGGCCAAGGCAGATGGATCACCTGAGGTCAAGAGTTCGAGATCAGTCTGGCCAACATGGCAAAACCCTCTCTCTACTAAAAATACAAAAACTAGCTGGGTGTGGTGGTACAGCACATCTGTAATCCCAGCTACTCAGGGAGCTGAGGCAGGAGAATCGCTTGAACGAGATGGAGGTTGCAGCGAGCCTAAATCATACCACTGCACTCCAGCCTAAGAAACAGAGCGAGATTCCATCTCAAAAAAAAAAAAAAAAAAAAGACATTAACCTGTGTCATTTTATCTTGAGCCTATAAAAGAACATATGCTGCCAATGATTCAAGAAAAAAAGATGTGGTGGGCCTGAGACTGAGAGTGCATTTTTCCTTTCCTTTTTTTTTTTGGTTTTTTTTTTTGAGACGGAGTCTCACTCTGTCACCCAGGCTGGAGTGCAGTGGCATGATCTCGGTTCACTGCAAGCTCTGCCTCCTGGGTTCACGCCATTCTCCTGCCTCAGCCTCCCGAGTAGCTGGGACTGCAGGCGCCCGCCACCACGCCCAGCTAATTTTTTGAATTTTTTTTTTTTTTTTTTTTTTAGTAGAGACGGGGTTTCACCATGTTACCCAGGATGATCTCGATCTCCTGACCTCGTGATCTGCCCACCTGGGCCTCCCAAAGTGCTGAGATTACAGACGTGAGCCACCGTGCTCGGCCTTTCTTTTTTTAAGAATAAACTCAATTAAGTAGTTTTATCTAAATAAATGTCAGTAAAGATAAAATCACATGGAAACTATTCACCTGAAGACAACTTTTCTGATTAGTCATGCAAAACAGCAATTTCGAACATACACACACACAAAATTTTTTTTTGCTGCAGGAAGATGATTTGAACTAATAGATGGGGCAAGTGGATATGAAAAAAATTTTTTGAAATCCCTGACTATTGCTATAAAGTTATCTGTAAAATACTGCTATTTGGGTTTTCTACTAATGGAGGGAGGGTTCATTTCCTACCAGATGATACGTTTGCTTCTTTTTGAGACAGGTTCTCACTCTGTCACCCAGGCTGGAGGGCAGTGGCACGATCACAGCTCACTGCAGCCTTGAACTCCTGGGCTCAAGGGATTCTCCCACCTCAGCCTCCTGAGTAGCTGGAACTACTGGTGAGTGCCACTATGCCCAGTTAATTTTTGTGTTTTTGTAGACAGAGGGTTTTGCCATGTTACCCAGGTTGGTCTCGAGCTCCTGGCTTCAAGTAATCAATCGCCCTAGGCTTCCAAAGTGCTGGGATTATAGACACGAGCCACCATGCCTGGCCAACTTGTCTCTTTATTTCAAGCATTTGATAATGTGAACTAGGCGCAGGGTCTTTGAGGGATGGTAAGTAAACAATTTTTTTTTTTTCTGAGACAGACTCTCGCTCTGTCACCCAGGCTGGAGTGTGGTGGCACAATCTCGGCTCACTGCAACCTCCATCTCCCTGGTTCAAGGGATTCTCCTGCCTCAGCCTCCCAAGTAGCTGGAATTACAGGCATGCACCACCACGCCTGGCTACTTTTTGTACTTTTTAGTAGGGACGAGGTTTTACCATGTTGGCCAGGCTGGTCTCGAACTCCTGATCTCAGGTGATCCACCCACCTTGGCCTCCCAAAATGCTGGGATTACAGGTGTGAGCCACTGTGCCTGGTCGAGTTTCAGTACTTTTGGATGTTATTTTAACGTCTGCCCTTTTTACACCTGACAGAATTAAAAATACAGTGCAAACTTAAAAAGTATATTTATTTATTTATTATTTTGAGATGAAGTCTTGCTCTGTTACCCACGATGGAGCACAGTGGCGTGATCTCGGCTCACTGCAACTTCTGCCTCCCGGGCTCAAGCGATTCTTGTGCCTCAGCCTCCTGAGTAGCTGGGACTACAGGTGTGCGCCACCGTGCCTGGCTAATTTTTGTATTTTTCACAGAGATGGGGTTTCACCATGTTGGGTTGGCCAGGCTGGTCCTGAACTCCTGACCTCAGGTGATCTGCCCGCCTCAGCTTCCCAAAATGCTGGGATTACAGACGTGAGCCACCGTGCCTGGCCAATAAATGTGTTTTTAAAAAGAAGAATATGTGGCCACACACGGTGGCTCATGCCTGTAATCCCGGCACTTTGGGAGGCTGGGGCGGGTGGATCACCTGAGGTCAGGAGTTTGAGATCAGCCTGACTAACATGAGAAACCCCGTCTCTAATGAAAATACAAAAATTAGCCAGGCATGCTGGCGCACACCTATAATCCCAGCTACTTGGGACGCTAAAGCAGGAGAGTTGCTTGAACCTGGGAGGCGGAGGTTGCAGTGAGCCGAGATCGTGCCACTGTACTCCAGCCTGGGAAACAAGAGCAAAACTCCATCTCAAAAAAAAAAAAAAAGAGGAATACATTTTCAGTGCTAGTCCTGGTCAGGCAAACAGATTCGCTGACCTCTGTGAACTTCAGTGCTTAAGCCTACGTTTTTGTTCACAGGCCCTCATCAAAAAACACGCCCAGCAAATCTCACAAAAGAAATTGACTTTATGGGTCAACTACTGTGAGAATGAACAAAACAGTATATCCATTCTTGTGAACTGTCCTTGCATTCCCATTTACTCTTTTATGCACGTACTAGTTTTAAGAATTGCTCTATCGCCAGCTGCAGTGGCATGCACCTGTAGTCCCACCTACTTGGGAGGCTGAGACAGGAAGATCATTTGAATCCACAAGTTAGAATCTAGCCTGGGCAATCCATTAAGATTCTGACTCTGAAGAAAATAAAAATAATTGCTCTATAATCCTTTCTTTAAATCTTACTACTGAATCTCCAAATTAATAATTTTTCTAGATGAGAGCCAAATTTGTCTCAAAAAAAAAATCAAGAAAACAAACAGCCAGGTGCAGTGGCTCACACCTCTAATCCCAACACTTTGGGAGGCTGAAGGGGGAGGATCACTTGAGTCCAGGAGTTTGAGACCAACCTGGGCAACACTGCAAGACCCCATCTCTACAAAAAACTAAAAAACAGCTGGGTGTGGTGGCATACAGCTGGGTGCGGCGGCATGCGCCTGAAGTCCAGGCTTCTCTGGAGGCTCAGGATTGCTTGAGCCTGAAGGTCGAGGCTCCAATAGACTGTGAAAGCACCACCGAACTCCAGCCTGGGTGACAGATGAAGACCCTGTCTAAACAACAAACAAACAAACAAACAAACCCAGCTGGGCCTGGTGGCTCATGCCTATAATCCTGGCACTTTGGAAAGCTAGGGCAGGTGGATTGCTTGAGCCCAGGAGTTTGAGACCAGCCTGCGAAACAAAGTGAAATCCTGTCTCCACACACATACAAAAAACCAAAATTTAGCTGGGCATGGTGGCGTGTACCACAGTCCCAGCTACTAGGGTGGCCAAGATGAGAGGATCCCTTGATCTTGGGCATTGAGACTGTGGTGAGCCATGATGGTGCCACTGCACTCCAGCCTGAGTGACAGAGTGAGACCCTGTCTCAAAACGAAACAAAATTCAAAATGTTAATACTAATAATTATTTTTGAAAGACTGTATTACAAATTAATTTTATTTTATTTATTCATTTTTTATTTCCCCAAATTTTCAGTAAGCATATGTACTTTGTAATCAAACACACATACACATTATCTTTTTTAACACACATTTTTAAAGTCGAAGCAATGTATTTTCAGCCTTTGGGATGAGGTTAAGAGATTATTCTCCCAAGGAATATACAAAACCCAGGAGGCTGTGCTAACCCCAACCACTTTCGGTATAGCACAGTTCACACAGTACTGAAGTTCTAAGCTTCAGAAAAAAAACACAGAAAAATAAAAATCCTTCACAATCTATATTGCTATGCAGACTATTAGTATTACACAAAAGGTTACAGCTCTCTTACTCTTCAGGTGGCTCTGGTTGACACATCACAAGAGTTTAGTATTTTAAATCAGGTGAGAATAATTTTCTTCTTTTTTTTTCTTTTCTTTTTTTTTTTTTTTTTTTTTGAGACAGAGTCTCACTCTGTTGCCCAGGCTGGAGTGCAGTGGGATGATCTCGACTCACTGCAACTTCCACCTCCCAGGTTCAAGTGATTCTCCTGCCTCAGCCTCCCCAGTAGCTGGGATTACAGAAGTGTGCACTACCACACCTAGCTAATTTTTTTATTTTTAGTACAGAAGGGGTTTCACCATGTTGACCGGGCTAGTCTCAAAACTCCTGACATCAGGTAATCCGCCTGCCTCAGAGCCCCGAAGACCTGGGATTACAGTGTGAGCCACCGCACCCAACCAAGAATAATTTTCTTCTAAATTATTTCTGGTACCATAAACGTTAAATGTAGTTAGCAGGAAAATAATAAGTACCACTAACTGCACAGACACAAAAAGCCTTGTAGAAACTCAAAAATCTTTAACCAGGGCCCTATTCCTAAAGGAAAGTTCTATTTCAGTCCTCCCAGAAGGGAACACAAGCATCATCCTCGGCTCTTGCACTCATTAATTATTAATATTACAAAGTTATTTAATTCAATCAATTTTGGAATTCTGCTTTCTATGGCAAACAAAACCAAACACAAATTCTGCTTGGAAAAGAAAACATGCAGATAAACCTCTAATTAAACATGATAGATTGAACACAGACAATTACCTCTGATCCTTAATGAAACCACACTAAAAGGAATAAGGAAGCCAATTTAGAGAACCCTGGAAAAAGCCAGGTGTGGTGGCTCACGCCTGTAATCCCAGCACTTTGGGAGGCCAGGGCAAGTGGATCACCTGAGGTCAGGAGTTCGAGACCAGCCTGACCAACATGGTGAAACCCAGTCTCCACTAAAAATGCAAAAATTAGCTGGGAGTGGTGGTGCACGCCCTGTAATCCTAGCTACTTGGGAGGCTGAGGCAGGAGAATCGCCTGAACCCGGGAGGCAGACGTTGCAGTGAGCCAAGATCGTGCCACTGTACTCCAGCCTGGGTGACAGAGCCAGACTCCGTCTCAAAAACAAACAAACAAAAAAAGAATACTGAATGCTAGAAAACAATGAATGGGAAGGTGGGCACAGTGGCTCAGGCCTGTAATCCCAGCACTTTGGGAGGCCAAGGCAGGCAGATCACCTGAGGTCAGGACCAGCCTGACCAACATGGTGAAACCCCATCTCTACTAAAAATAAAAAAAAAATAGCCCGGCATGGTGGCATGCACCTGTAATCCCAGCTACTCACGAGGCTGAGACAGGAGAATCGCTTGAACCTGGGAGGCGGAGGTTACAGTGAGCCGAAATTGCCACTGTGTTCCAGCCTGACAAAAGAGTGAGACTCCATCTCAAAAAAAAAAAAAAAAAAAAGAAAGAAAAAGAAAAAAGAAAGCAATGAATGGAATAATGCCTTCAAAATTCCGGAAGGAAATTATTTCCAATCTAGACTTTTATGCCCAATCAAATAAATCAAAAGTGACAGTAAAACACATTTTTGGAAAGGCATGGTCTCATGCACTCTTTTCACAAGAAGATATTAAGGGGTGTGCATTTCCAAAGTAATGGAATAAATAAAAACAACAACAAAGGAAAATAAGTGATTCAGGGAAAACAAAATCTAACCACAATAGGAAAAGACGAAGGTAATTTCCAGGATGACAGTTGGGCAGCCGACTTAACTAAGTCTTACCACAAACACTAAGACTGATTCAAGAATTTAAGGACATTTAAGATAGATGTCTTTATAAAAAGGTTTGCACAAGAACAAAAATGTAATCAAAGTGTATCATCTGTTTCAGCAATGAATAACATAAAAACAAACAGCAGACAACAATTTAACCACAAAACAAAATTAAGAGTCTGAGAAGAGGAAAGGAGAAAGAGAGATACAGACATACATTAGAATTTTTTTTTTTTAATTAAAGCAGCAGTAGGAAAATGGAAGCAAATACCAGAAGAAACAGTTAAAATAATGGAAAGCAGCTGCCTCTGGGGAGAAGGCCTAGGAAATGGGAAAAACACCAGAAAACAGGATGACTATTTTTCATTATAAATGTTGTAGTCCAATTTCACCTTTTCAATTGCTCTGGTTTCCATTTTTAATAAAAAGGTAAAACGAATAAACTCATGCACAATTTCAGTAATCAGTTCATAAGCTACTATGACACAAGTGGTGGGCAGAATAATGGCTCCTCAAAGATGTTTAACTTCTGGAACCTGTGAATATGTTAGGTTACTTGCAAAGGCAGAATTAAGGTTGCAGTTGGCCTTTTCCTGAACTACTCATGTGGGCCCAATGTAATCATAAGGGTCCTTATAAATGGAAGGGAAGAAAGAAGAGTCAGAGATCTGAAGAGGCTATGGTGGCTCTGAAGATGGAGGAAGGGGCATAAACAAAAGCTTGCGGCTGGGCGTGGTGGCTCACGCCTGTAATCCCAGCACTTTGGGAAGCCGAGGCGGGTGGATCATGAGGTCAGGAGTTCAAGACCAGCCTGGCCAACATGGTGAAGCCCTGTCTCTACTAAAAATACACAAATTAGCTGGGCATGGTGCACGTGCCTGTATTCCCAGCTATTCGGGGGGCTGAGGCTGGAGAACTGCTTGAACCGGGACTGGGAGGCAGAGGTTGCAGTGACTCAAGATCGCACCACTGCACTCCAGCCTGGGCTACAGAGCGAGACTCCGTCTCAAAAAAAAAAAAAAAAAAAAGCTTTCAGGTGCTCTCCAGAAGAAACAAAGCCCTGCTGACACCTTGATTTTACCCCAACAGGACCTATCTCTAACCTACAGAACGGTAACAGTGTGTGTGTGGTTTTTGTTTGCTTTGCTTGTGGTCATATTTATTACTACAATTTTTTACACCTTCTTTAACAATAGTTGTGATCCTGGTGGTCTTTGGCAAGAGGGCACTCAGAAAAGCACGATTTAACTTTTGGTATTATGAGTGAATGAGAAATTATTATCATAAAAACTGTGACTATATGAATATGAAAAGTAAAATATACATGAAGAAAAAAATGCCTCAACTTTTGTGAATACTGACTCACAATGTCAAATAATCAGCAAAATTATAAGGCTAATTATAAAGTTTATCTGATCCATGACTGTCAATGAGATATTTTAATATTTCTTCTCAGTAAATTTAAAAAAACAGTATTTGTTAGTAGATAAATTGTTAGAAATTGTTTATTAACTGCTTTCGAAGAAACATGTCCAGCAACTTTGAGGAAAAAATGTGCACATTATTTTTAATCACATACAATCAAACATAATTGGTAATGTACCGAAGATTACATTCAGCCGTGAGTAACAGGAAACACCCACAATATTCCTGATATGAGGAAAGTGCTTATTCTCACATCAAAGTACTGGGTGAAACCAGTCACTGCACAATGCGGCAGAGGAACAAATTCCCATGTAGCTGTTTTTTTTTTTTTTTTTTTTAGACGGAGTCTTGCTTTTGTCGCTTGAACCGGGACGGGTTCAAGTGGTCCCAGTTGATGCTGGAGTGCAGTGGTGTGATCTCAGCTCACTGCAAGCTCCACCTCCCAGGTTTACGCCATTCTCCTGCCTCAGCCTCCCAAGTAGCTGGGACTACAGGTGGCCACCACCACTCTTGGCTTTTTTTTTTTTTTTAAGTAGAGACGGGTTTCACCGCATTAGCCAGGATGGTCTCCATCTCCTGAACTCGTAGATCCGCCTGCCTCAGCCTCCCAGAGTGCTGGGATTACAGGTATGAGCCACCGTGCCCAGCCCCACGTAGCTGTTTTTGACAGTACCATTGTAGCTGTCATCTTGAATCAGGAACAGTCAATACCAGTATGAACAGAGGAGTTTACTATACAAATCAGATCTTCTATCAATTTAATCCATAGACTAGGGGAGTCAGATCATCAGAGGATATTCCCAACCATGAGAGTCTGAACAGGTTGTCCGGTACACGTTAGGGCTTGCAGGAAAATCTTAAGTGCAGACGGATTTTTAGTATGAGTTGTTTTGAGCCACTATTTTTTTTTTTTTTTAGACAGGGTCTTGCTCTGTAGCCCAGGCTGGAGTGCAGTGGCACGATCTCACTCACTGCAACCTCTGCCTCCCAGGTTCATGTGATTCTCCCACCTCAGCCTCCTGAGTAGCTGGGGCTACAGGTACAAGCCACCAAGCCTGGCTAATTTTTGTGGGGTTTTTTTTGCAGAGATGGAGTTTTCCCATATTGCGCAGGCTGGTCTGGAACTCCTGAGCTCAGTGATCCACCTGCCTCAACCTCCCAAAGTGCTGGGATTACAGACGTGAGCCACTACACCCAGCCCAAGCCAATAAATTTGTGGTAATTTGTTACAAGAGCAATAGGAAACTAACATGATATACAAAACACATTTTTCAGGCAATTAAAAACAGATAATGGGATGTACATTATGTTCTTACTAAACTCACAAGTATTTAACTTTACAGTTCAAATAGGACAGCATAATTTGATACCAAGTCCAAAGCTCTGAAAGATTACAATTAAGTCCCTCCCACCTGAAATTAAGTATACAAAAGACTATTAGGGGCTGGGCGCAGTGGCTCACACCTGTAATCCCAGCACTTTGGGAGGCCAAGGTGGGCGGATCATCAGGTCAGGAGTTCGAGACCATCCTGGCTAACATGGTAAAACCCCGTCTCTACTAAAAGTACAAAAAAAAAAATTAGCCGGGCATGGTGGCGGGCGCCTGTAGTCCCAGCTACTCGGGAGGCTGAGGCAGGAGAATGGCGTGAACCCGGGAGGCGGAGCTTGCAGTGAGCCGAGATTGCGCCACTGCACTCCATCCTGGGCGACAGAGCAAGACTCCGTCTCAAAAAAAAAAAAAAAAAAAGACTATTAGGCTCACACCTCAATTGCTATTTTATAGGAGAAATCATATTTTTTCTCTTCTCTCTGGAGGCAAAGGAAAGTACCAAATTATTTCAATGTCCCTTCTAGCCTTCATTTAATGAAAGAAGGCCATAAAATCTACGGCGTGGAAAGGATGTTAAAGATAGGTGATTGAATTGCAAACTAAATCTCAAATCCTCTCTACAATATCCACCCAGCAATTGCTAACCTATGCTTGAATACTTCCTGGTGATAAGAACTCACTGTCCCAAAGCAGTCTAATCCATCTTTGAATAGCTGTGATTCTTAGCTCTTTATTCTGAGGTGGTATCTCTCAACTCCATCCACAGGGTTTATTTCCTGTCCTCAGCATTAACTAAAACACATCTAACTAATTAGACCTCAAGAAAGTCACAAAATATGTATTGTGTTTGCCCTGAGTTCTCTATTCTCTTGGCTACACATTCCCAGCTTAGTCAATCATACTTCAAATTTAAATTTAATTCCCAGCTCTGCTATTAAGTATATAACATGGACAAGTTATTTAATCTTTTGAAATCTGTTTTGTTATCAATAAAATAAATACTGCTCCTTAGGGTTCATATGAGTGTTAGAAATGTGTCCCAAAATCTTTGTATAGTGCCTGCACAGAGCAGACACTGACTAAACAGCAGCCATTATGATAATAATGGCAGGGACTTGAATTCCCACTAGGTACAAGTTGCTCTCTTCTGAATGAGCTCCATTTTGTTTTTAACCCTAAAGGATGATGCCTCAAACAAGCAGTATCCACGGCTTGTTTGAGGTGTACTCCTTGGTGCAGAGGAGAGCAGGACTATCTCTCTCTTTCCCTCATCCTAGTTACCATATTTCCACCAAAGCAGCCTAAGATCAAATCTGTTTTATTTCATGGCCATATCACACTGTTGCCTCACAGAGAATACACTTTGATTAAAATCCATCTTTTAGAAATATTAAAACTGGGCCAGGCGTGGTGGTTCACGCCTGTAATCCCAGTACTTTGAGAGGCCGGGTGGGCAGATCACCTGATGTTGGGAGTTTGGGACCAGCCTGACCCAACATGGAGAAACCCCATCTCTACTAAAAATACAAAAATTAGCCGGGTGTGGTGGTGCACACCTGTAATCCCAGCTACTTGGGAGGCTGAGGCAGGAGAATCGCTTGAACCCAGAAGGCAGAGGTTGCAGTGAGCTGAGATCGCACCACTGCACTCTAGCCTGGGCACCAAGAGTGAAACTCCGTCTCCAAAAAAAACCAAATATTAAAACTGAAAAACCAACTAGGTGCAGCAGCTCACGCCTGTAATCCCAGCACTTTGGGAGGCCGAGGTGGATGGATCACAAGGTCAGGAGTTCAAGACCAGCCTAGCCAACATAGTGAAACCCTGTCTCTACTAAAAATACAAAGATTAGCTGGGTGGGGTGGCACGTGCCTGTAGTCCCAGCTACTCGGGAGGCTGAGGCAAGAGAATAGTCTGAACCTAGGAGGCGGAGGTTGCAGTAAGCCAAGACTGGGCCATTCCACTCCAGCCTGGGCAACAGAGCAAGACTCTGTCTCCCAAAAAAAAAAAAAAAAAAGGATAATACAATGCAGTATTCCTAAATCAATGAGTAGGAAACACTCTGGGAATTGCCTAGCATATACTAACTGCTTAGTAAAAGTTTTAAGACTTCCCCTCCATTAACTCAAAACATCCATAATCAATTCTCAGAAGTACCTCCTTTTCAACAACATAAGCAGCCACAAAAATACCAATAGCCAGGCATTCTGCTAAGAGTTTATATATATAATTTCTTATAATTCCTAAAACAACCCTTTGAGTACAGGAAAGCACAAAAAGTTAACAAAATTAAGTGGCAGAGCAAGGAAAACACACCCTAAAGAGTGTTGACTCCAGAGCTTACCTTTCTAAATACTGATTCACAGTAGCTCTTGTATTAGTTAACTGATAAAACATCTGCTCCTGGGCATTGGCTACACTGTCCACTTTCTGAAAACTCATCAAGCTACACACTTAGTATTTGTGTACTTTAGTGCACTGCATGTGTGATAAAGGGAAGCCTCGGGAAAATGTTAAAATCACTTACATTAAAAACATATACACACTGGGCACAGTGGCTCACGCCTGTAATTCTAGCACTTTGGGAGGCCAAGGCAGGTGGATTACCTGAGGTCAGGAGCTCGAGACCAGCCTGACTAACATGGTGAAACCCTGTCTGTACTAAAAATACAAAAATTAGCTGGGCGTAGTGGCATGTGCCTGTAATCCCAGCTACTCGGGAGGCTGAGGCAGGAGAATTGCTTGAACCCAGGAGGCAGAGGCTGCAGTGAGCTGAGATCGCGCCATTGCACTCCAGCCTCGGTGACAGAATGAGACTCCATCTCAAAAAAAAAAAAAAAAACAATGACAACAACAACACATACACATTCCTGAATCCAGTCAAAGGAAAGTTTTGGTTCAGCTCAAATTTAACATGAACTTGGTGGCTATAATTGTTTTTCTGTCTTACATCTGTCTCTCTTAGGTCTATATATCCTCCTACAGTATTACATACTTATGTCTAAAGGTAAAGATAATAAAAGGGAAAAAGAACTCTAATAGATGTTCCATAGTAACAAACTTGAAATTATCTGAGGATAGACCACTGAAGTCCAGGAGGCACACTAATTATATATGTTTCCAATGAATAAATTACAGCTGTACAGTATTTTAAAACATTAAGGAAGCCATTTATAAATGCTCTTGTAGTTGCCTATGTTTAAAGAAGACAAGAGGAAATGGAACCATTTCAGTTGTCCATTTGTTTGCTATCATTAATATAATTCTCTCCCAACATATAATACTCTACTATCAGTAACACAATTGGGTATAATCAATAGCAATGCTAGTAGAACTATTCCATAAAGAAAATGAGTCCAAGACTTACCTTCCAAATAACTGAGGGGCCTGAGGCAGGATCCTTAACTCAGAAATGGGATTAATACCCTTACAGAAGGCCTCTTGGAGGATTAAACAAAATAATGTACATACAGTTTTTGGCATAGTACCTGAGATTTAGTAAACATCTACTCAATAACTATTGACAATTATTACTCTGAAATCTTAAATTAATGTAAACAATCTACCAGCTTAATGTAATACAGTAATAAAGTATTAGAGAAGGAAAAGTCCACCCCAAAGAACTCTAAAAACCAAAATACAATTCCCCAGGTCAACTCCATCCAAGAAGTATAAAGGTCATAATAAAATGAACCCACTGGATTCCTGTGGGTCCTTAACCCATGGAGATAAGAAAACCTAGCTTAACATTGTTAAAATAGAACTGGGCAACTCTGGCCGGGCGTGGTAGCTCATGCCTGTAATCCCAGCACTTTGAGAGGCCAAGGCGGGTGAATCGCTTGAGCTCAGGAGCTAAAGACCAGCTGGGCAACAAAGCAAGACCTCTGTCTCTACAAAAAATACAAAAATTAGCCGGGCATGGTGGCTCGTGCCTGTGGTCCCAGTCACACAGGAGGATGAGGTGGGAGGATGGCTTGAGCCTGGGAGGCATAGGGGGCAGTGAGCCAAGATCGCACTACTGCCCTCTAGCCTGCATAACAAAACCAGACTGTCTAAAAAAAAAAAAAGAATTGAGCAACTTTGCTCCTCCCTTTAAAAACCTCCAGTGGTTCCTCATCTTCTAATTTACTGACAAAAAGGCCGAACTATTAATACTTACATGGCCAGGCGCGGTGGTTCACGCCTGTAATCCCAGCGCTTTGGAAGGCCGAGGCGGGGAGATCATTTGGGGTCAGTCCAAGACCAGACTGGCCAACATGGTGAAACCCCATCTCTATTAATAATACAAAAATTAGCTGGGTGTGGTGGCACAAGCCTGTAAGCTCAGCTACTCACGAGGCTGAGGCAGGAGAATCACATGAACCCAGGAGGCAGAGGTTGCAGGGAGTGGAGATCATGCCACTGCATTCCAGCCTGGGTGACATAGCAAGACTCCGTCTCAGAAAAAAAAAATGACAATGGCATGCAAGTCCTTCCAAGAATTGAACTCAGTTACCTTCCCAGCTCTCTCCATCAAACTGCTTTCTATTTTCCATTTTGCAAACAGACATGCTTTGACTTCTCATGGCTTTCATGGCTCTTGGCCTTCCCCCCTCTGGAATGGCATCTGCTCCCTCAGTCCTCCACACTGTACTGCAGTTGTCACTGGGTCCTTAACTCCTCTTTTGGACTCTAAGCAAAAGATAACGTACTATTCATTTATAGTTGTAACCTAATATAAAACTATCCATACTGAAAAGTCAATAATGTCTGAAATTTAGATGGTAAAATGCTAACTTACATTTACCCACATCTTCATCTATTTTACTTTTACTGTCATAAAAAATTAAGAATAGTTGACGTAATTGATTCAGTCACTGGCCTATTACCACCCTGACAAGGATGGAATAAGAAATAGGGCTTGTCATTTCCAACCCAAGCTATTTGCAATGGAAAAATATATCCATGCTTTCAAGATTCGTATTTATTCCACAGTGGAAGAGAAAATGTAATGTTCTTTCCTTTATTTATTTATTTTTTTGAGATGGAGTCTTGCTCTGTTGCCCAGGCTGGAGGGCAGGGACGAAATCTTGGCTCACTGCAAGCTCCGCCTTGAGGGTTCAAGTGATTCTCCTGCCTCAGCCTCCCAAGTAGCTGGGACTATAGGCGCCTGCCACCACGCCCAGCTAATTTTTTTATTTTTTTATTTTTAGTACAGATGAGGTTTCACCGTGTTAGCCAGGGTGGTCTCGATCTCCTGACCTTGTGATCCACCCGCCTCGGCCTCCCAAAGTGCTGGGATTACAGGCAAAAGCTACCACACCCGGCCGAAAATGTAATGTTATTTCTAATTCTCGTGAGATACTGGTATAAAACCATAGAATAGCGATTAAAAGTCCCAGCAAGACTGACAAAACACCATGTGTTCCACCAGAAAAATCCACACATTAAAACAAAGGTGCCGGGCACGGTGGCTCACGCCTATAATCCCAACACTTTGGGAGGCCAAGGTGGGCAGATCACCTGAGGTCGGCAGTTCGAGACCAGCATGGAGAAACCCCGTCTCTACTAGAAATACAAAAGTACCTGGGCGTGGTGGCACATGCCTGTAATCTCAGCTACTCGGGAGGCAGAGGCAGGAGAATCACTTGAACCCTCGAGGCAGAGGTTGCAGTGAGCTGAGATCGCGCCATTGCACTCTAGCCTGAGCAACAAGAATCAAACTCTGCCTAAAAAAAAAAAAAAAAAAAAAAACCAGGCTGGGCACAGTGGCTCACACCTGTAATCCCAGCACTTTGGGAGGCTGACGCAGGAGGATCACGAGGTCAGGAAATCGAGACCATCCTGGCTAACACGGTGAAACCTCGTCTCTACGAAAAATACAAAAAATTAGCCGGGCGTGGTGGTGGGCACCTGTAGTCCCAGCTACTCGGGAGGCTGAGGCAGGAGAATGGAGTGAATCCGGGAGGTGGAGCTTGCAGTGAGCCCCGAGATGGCACCACTGCACTCCAGCCTGGGCGACAGAGTGAGACTCTATCTCAAAAACAAAAAACAAAACAAAGGCAGCATTACTTGGCTCACTCCACATTCCATAATTCTTCTGACTGCTTTTACATCCTTCCCTTTTGTCAGTTAGTGTCTCATATACTAACAGTCTCCAATGACACATGCAGAAAGGTAGCTTTTAATTGCTACACAGCTATTTCTCCTTTTTAGTACCTGGATATTGCTTTGAGAACTTCATTTAGGAAGTGAGTGAACCACACCTATCAGTGTAGCTTTATTCTCTAAGGTGACTAACACCTAGGCCCCAAGTTATAAGTTTCCCCAGGATTCCTACCACTCAAGACACATGTTAAAATAATCTGTTAGGTTAAGACCACTGAATCTTAAATCTGAGACATCATATTTTATAGAATCCAGCTCCCTTTATACATATGAAACTGATTCTGGAAAAGTTAATTGTCTAGTTTACAAGGTAACTAGAATCCAGAGCTTCCTGACTCTCCAAACAATGTTAAGTATACTACACGTTACAGTGTTTTAATCTTTTTCTTTGTTTTGAGACAGAATTTCACTTTGTCGCCCAGGATGGAGTGCAGTGGCATGATCTCGGCTCACTGCAACCTCTGCCTCCCATATTGAAGCGATTCTTTTTTTTTTTTTAGACGGAGTTTTGCTCGTCGCCCAGGCTGGAGTACAATGGTGCCATCTTGGCTCACTGCAACCTCCGCCTCCCGGGTTCAAGTGATTCTCCTGCCTCAGCCTCCCTCAGTCCTGCAACAGAGCAGGACTCCAGCTCAAAAAAAAAAAAAAAAAGGAATTAGTTCATTTCTACTCTTACTCTCTGCTACAATATACTTTACTGAAAAATAAGTTCCAAGAATAAAAATTTAAGATGGAATGTAGCTATATGAATTGTACAGAAACCACCTGATTTTTATCAAGTGGTAATATATCATCACTACAGCAAACTCTAAATTCAAGCCGGTGATCTAAAAGTCAAATGATCCAAAACCCATTAGCCATTACCAATTCCCCAAGCTAGTTAGTACACAGAGGGCTCAACTCATTGTGCAATGACCACGAATATGTCATTGAATGTGAAATGATCAAATGTTCTGGAAAATTTATAAAACTTTCACTAGTTTGCACAATTAAAGTTATTTTGAGAGAAAACAACTTCCGTGTGTATCATTACATTGAACTACTCAACTTTGGCTAGTAAAATATGTACTCCAAAAGGTACTCCCTCTGGGGAAAGTGTCATAAATATGCTGCTCTGGAATGTACGTGGAACCTAGCAACCACTTTTAAAGTTGCATTTGCTGATGTCCCTCCCTGTCCATTCGCCCTACAAGACTAAGTATCTTTAAGAATCAAACTAACGGGCTTTCATCAGTTTTTCCCACTGACAAAAATCATGTGATTGGTCTCTCCACCATTCGACTAAGTGAATCACCCAATTAAAAAAAAAAAAAACCGCACACTACAATCTTGCTCTAAGACAAGAGACATTTAACAATTAATTATGCGAAAAGCACAGAAGGTACTGTTAGGCCTTACTCTGAGAATTCACTCTTGCACATTGCTTACAATGTAAAATTTTAACCACCTAGAAGTTACTAGAACATAGTGGACATCTCTCCTCAAGAGTTTGACAAGCCGGAGAGGATGATGAGCTTAACACTTTACTTCCTCCTCTCTGCCACATCAATCTGCCGGGGGATCAAGTCCTGTTCCAGTTTATGGTTCCCAAGAATGGCTGGAAAAGCTATGTATGGAACCTCTTGACAGATTTCTTCCACTAAGGGTAAAAATCGGCGGGTTCTGATGTGACAAGCCATGGGAAATAGGAAAAGAAAAGCGTCAGTTAAAAAAATAATAATAATAAAAGGCAATCCCAGAATGGGATCCTTTGGAAGAAAGTGGGCTCATTCTTCCACCAGGGCTCCTGGAAATCCCAGAAGCTAAATCAGGTAAAATGTCCCGGTAACCTCTGGGAGGCGGGACATGACTGCTAAACCAAGGTTGCAGGCCCGTCAGGGGTGTGACCTAGTGGCCAAGCGGGTAGTGACAAACTTCGGGTACCCCCAAGGAGGGAACCCCGCTTGAGTCACCACAGCCCAGTATGAGTGGGTGAGGGCAAGTCTGGTCCAGTCACCCTGGGGACCACAGCCCACGCCGGGCTCCCGGGGCCGGGCAGAAGCGGCGGGGGTGGGGCTGGCCCGGCTCACCTTTGAAGAAGCGCAGTGCCAGGCCGTACAACTCCTCCAGGCCGAAACCCCAGCGCTGCTCCAGCCGCCGCGCCTCCTCCGCCGCGCCCCCAGCCGCCGCCTCCCCGGGCTCGGGCTGCTCCCCTGAGGCGCCCGGGCCGCGACCGGATCCAGGTGGCGAGGGCGGTGGCAGCGGTGGCGGCAGCAGCGGGGCGCCCTCCGCCCCAGGCCGCTCCTCCGGGTCCGGGCTGAGCGTGAGGCCGTCGACGGACACCTCGAGTCGCTCTGCGTTCAGCACCGCCGCCATCTCCGGCTGCTGCACCTCCTCAGCGGGGACAGACGGCAGCCACGTATCGACTTCCTGCTGACCTCTGACCTCCGCTTACCGACACCGGAACTTCCGCTGCTGAGGAGGCTGGAGGGCTCCGGGAGAGGGGCTGAGGCCTGGCGCCCCACCCCCTCCGGAATCGTCAGTTGCCCTGGCTCAGCGACCACCCTTCAGGCTCCCCAACTCCCGTTGGTCCCGAACTCCCCTCCCCCGCACCCCATCCTTTCGGATCCCAGTTGCTCCAGGTGGGCGGGTGCTACCACCCCCACCGCTCGGTTCGGTGCTGCGGCTGTCAGTGCCCAGCAGGGGCGGGGTCAGTGGAGCCCCGCGCGGGGGTCGGAGTAGGGAGGATTGACGAGGTCGGCCAGCACCCAACCCTCCAGGTCAGAGGCCCTTCACATTTGCAGGGGCCTGCGTGGTTGGCAGAGCTCTTTTGCCCACCACCATCTCGTTTGGCCTTCACAGCAACTCTAAGGAAATGCAGGGCAAATTCCCAATTTTTTTAAAAGGGGAAACTGAGACTGCAGAGAAATTCAGTGACTTTGAGGTTGCAGACGGGGCTGATCCTGGTTTTGCAGGAAGCGCAGCTCATACAATTTGTGGGGACCCTCATTAGGAAAGAGTACAAAAAGTTACGCGCAGAAGGGTAGGAAAGTGAATGTATATTTAGAAAGAGAAAGAAAAAACAAATGATATTTTAAAAGTTAATAAAACCCACAAACATCACACACATAACCGTAATATTTTCATTGACTGCCTGATATTCTTCTACAGGGCGTCTGAGAGCCCAGAAACCTATTTTTTTCTAAAAGATTGAAGTCGCCCCCGACATTATGTATATTCACCTGTGTTTCCAGACTTTGGGAGCACCATTTATGATCATTTTTCCCACCTTTGTTTTGGCTGCGTACTTCTGATTGCCTTTTCCTATAACAATTATTTTGTAACTTTTTTTTTTTTTTTTTTTTTTTGTTTTTTGCAGACAGTCCTGCTGTGCCACCCAGGCTGGAGTGTAGTGGTGCAATTCGGTTCACTGCAACCTCTGCCTCCCGGGTTCAAGCAACTCTCCTGCCTCAGCCTCCCAAGTAGTTGGGATTACAGGTGCTCACCACCACGCCCGGCTAATTTTTGTAAACTTAGTAGAGTCAGAGTTTCCCCATGTTGGCCAGGCTGGTCTCAAACTCCTGACCTCATGTGATCTGCCCGCCTCAGCCTCCCCAAAGTGCTGGGATTACAGGTGAGAGCCACCGCGCCCGGCGTATTTTGTAATTCTCTATAAAGAAAAGAGAAAGATCAGTCTTTTCTCCAGCATGGCTGATTAAATTTGTTTCTTAATAATTGTTTATAAATTTATTTCAGCATCACAACTCATTACTGATATTGTTAACGTACTTTTTTAGGGTTATTGTTCAGTTTGGGAAACC
Organism: Homo sapiens; assembly: GCF_000001405.40. NCBI lineage: Eukaryota > Metazoa > Chordata > Mammalia > Primates > Hominidae > Homo > Homo sapiens. Next base: position 226,188,121 of record NC_000001.11, read on the forward strand.
TCTCTCAAGTTTCATGGATGTGCTATGAGATTTTTATGGCCGTTTGGCTGCTTCAGTGACAATTTTGTGTGTGGTTTTTACTGAAGCCCTAGAGAGTTTTTTTCTTTTTTTTGAGACGGAGTCTCTCTCTGTCGCCCACGCTGGAGTGCAGTGGCGCGATCTTGGCTCACTGCAAGCTCCGCCTCCAGGGTTCACGCCATTCTCCTGCCTCAGCCTCCTGAGTAGCTGGGACTATAGGTGCCCACCACCATGCCCGGCTAATTTTTTTGTATTTTTAGTAGAGACGAGGTTTCACCGTGTTAGCCAGGATGGTCTCAATCTCCTGACCTTGTGATATGCCCGCCTCGGCCTCCCAAAGTGCTGGGATTACAGGCGTGAGCCACCGCGCCTGGCCGAGGGTTTTTTTCAGGACAAGATTTGTATGCTGCATTCAGACAGGATCTCATTCATTACGGTGGATAAGACATATAACTTCACATACAGACAGACTCACTGTAGTACAACTATAAGTTTTTGTCCCATAAACATAGGGTTTCTAATCTATTCCCTTTTGCATGCTTCACATAAAAACATGAAGTATGGTGCAGTTATAATTGCAGATATGACTTAGATTCTCAGTGAGTGAGAACCTTCATTTTGATTAGGCATTGAGAGAATTGATCCCTCTCCTTATAATCTTCCACTTCTGATGGTTGGAAGCATATTTTTAAGTCTTTTAATTTTAATTACTCAAAGAAGCTTCATTTTTTATTTAGCTTTCTGACCCTGTGCTTGTGCCTTCAACACTCTCACAATGATTTTCTTTTCCTCGATAAGGAAAACATGCTTGATCCTGTCACAAACACATATAGCACACATGGAACCACCATAGGCCCTGCTGACATGGTTTTTTGTGTTTTGGACAATCTCATAAGACTTCGGGTCTTATAGCACGAACCCCTTGAAGTCTGCGTGGGTACACACCACAGTAGATTTTGGTGCTTTCCCAGCCTTCTTGGTATAAAGGTAAGCAATTATATTACCAGGGGTTCAGGACAGCCTAGTTTTATTAGAAGCTGTATTGTAGGAAAGCCTACAACAGTATGTCAAACGCTGGACCATTCTATGTGCCTATAGACAACATCCCCAGAAGAGGAAAAAGAATGGAAGAATTTTACTAGCTCTTTCTTTTCTTTCAAACCTTGTTGCTCCTCCACTACCCAAGTACTTCCTGTGTCAGGCAACATAGGGTTCCTTCGCCCTTTGGCCTTGCACTTTTGTGACATGGTGCTGGCTGAATTGACATAATGGGCAGTAGGTATATTCCAGAAAGCCATTCCTACACCCATGGTGAGCAATAATTTAAAAACATGCAGAAGTGACTGCAAACCACTTAAATGCATGCCACTGACCCCAAATTAAATGTATCCCTATTCATTGTCCCCTTAGCCAAATCCCCCACAAAGCCTATAGCCATTTCAATACCTCCTAACCAGAGGAGGATGACGAAGGGAAGTTAGAAACGAAGACAGAGGTCTTAAATATCTTACTCTCAAAACTGTTACAGAAGTGTATACTGCTAAGGCCGCTCTAAGGGCCTTGGGAGGGGCCTGTGTAAGCAAGGGGCCCTGAAGCTTGAGCTTCATTAACTTTATGGTAAACCCACTTCTAGTTGTAGAGGACTAAAAACTCTAATTCTACTGCTCTAAGGTCTGTGTTCTTCCCACTTAGCTTGGATCTTTATATTTAGCTTCATTAGCTTAAAAATATGCATATTATGTGCCTAACCTTCAAAATGTTATATATACATATATATTCCCCTGTGTTTTGCTCAGTGTTCTACCTTTAACATTCAATAACTGTTGGGATGATAATGAGTAGGGTAAATATAACCCTTCTTCATGAAATGCTAGATTCTGTTTTCCAAGTTTTCACGATAAGCATTTCTTTTGTAATCAGAAAAAAAGTTATTTTTTTAAAAAGTATACAATAATTATTAAAACCTATAGAATATACCTAGGAAGGTAGGTAAAATATGGTAATTAATTAATTACATGGACTTTTTATACAAAAATTAGCTGGGCGTGGTGGTAGGCACTTGTAATCCCAGCTGCTCAGGAGGCTGAGGCAGGAGAATTGCTTGAACCTGAGAGGTGGATGTTGCAGTGAGCCAAGATCACACCACTGCGCTCCAGCCTAGGTGATGGAGAGAGACTGTCTCAAAAAAAGACATACATTAAAAAAAATTATATGGACTTTTTTATTGTTTTGTAATTTAACATATTGAATATGGTTGGAAAACCCAAACATCCTCTAGACCAAGCATCTGAACCTCTTGCTAATCGAAACATCAAGGGCCATTGTGTAGGTGGTTGCCCTTAATGACTAAAAACATTAGGGGTTGGCACAGTGCGTCATGCCTGTAATCCCAGCACTTTGGGAGGCTGAGGCAGGAGGATTGTTCGAGCCCAGGAGTTTGAGAACAGCCTGGGCAGCATAGGAAGACCCTGTCTCTACAAAAAATAAAAAATTAGCTGGGCATGGTGGCATGTGCCTAGGGTCCAGCTACTTGGGAGGCTGAGGTGGAAGGATCACTTGAGCCTGGGAGGTCAAGGCTCCAGTAAACCATGATGGCGTCACTGCATTCCAGCCTGGGCGACAGAAGGAGACCCTGTTTCTAAAAAATAAAATTAAAAAATTAGAGAATATAACTTCGCTTTAACAGTTCACTGTGGGAGATGAGTTCCAGACACGCTCACCTGAATGTCTTATTAAACTGCAGATTCTGACTCAGTAGGTATAGAGGGAGGCCTGAGAGTATACATTTCTCATAAGCTTTCTGGTGATGCCGATGCTGCTGTCTACAGACCACACTTTGAATAGCAAGTCTAGGAAACGTGTTTTTCCCATGCTTTATTGAGTATAATTGTTGTATAATAAACTGCAAATATTAAAGTTTACAATATGATGAGTTTTGGCACAGGCATATACCTGTATAACCATTACCATAAAATAACAAACATCCATTACTGTTTTGTAATTCCTTCTTCCCCCAAGATTTTTCAATAGATCTTTGTTATAATGCACTTGTCACAGTAGAATCTAACTTACATAAACAGTTCAGCGCAACTATCTGTTTTTCTTTTCCTTTTTTTTTGAGACGGAGTCTCGTTCTGTCGCCCAGGCTGGAGTGCAGTGGCGCGATCTTGGCTCACTGCAAGCTCCGCCTCCCGGGTTCACGCCATTCTCCTGCCTCAGTCTCCTGAGTAGCTGGGACTACAGGCTCCTGCCACCACACCTGGCTAATTTTTTTGTATTTTTAGTAGAGACGGGGTTTCACCGTGTTAGCCAGGATGGTCTCAATCTCCTGACCTCGTGATGCGCCTGCCTTGGCCTCCCCAAGTGCTGGGATTACAGGCGTGAGCCACCGTGCCCGGCCAACTACCTGTTTTTCTATATCCCTGTCTTTTATATGTGAGGAGGCACACAGATTGATCAAAAAGGTGTATTTTTGAAAACTTTCAAATATCTTCTCCATGTCTGTTCTTTTATAAAAGAGGATACTTTTGGGTGTTCTGCCTATGGTGTACCCATTCTTTTATTCCTTTACTTTCTTAATAAACTTGCTTTCATTTAAAAAAAAAAAAAAGGATACTTTTTTTTTTTTTTTTGAGATGGAATCTCACTCTGTTGCCCAGGCCGGAGTGCAGTGGCGCGATCTCGGCTCACTGCAACCTCCGCCTCCTGGGTTCAAGCAATTCTCCTGACTCAGCCTCCTGAGTAGCTGGGATTACAAGAATGCACCACCAGCCAGGCGCGGTAGCTCACGCCTGTAATCCCAGCACTTTGGGAGGCCGAGGCGGGCAGATCGCGAGGTCAGGAGATCGAGACCATCCTGGCTAACACAGTGAAACCTCGTCTCTACTAAAAATACAAAAAATTAGCTGTGCGTGGTGGCGGGCGCCTGTAGTCCCAGCTACTCGGGAGGCTGAGGCAGGAGAATGGCTCGATCCCAGGAGGCGGAACTTGCAGTGAGCCGAGATCGCGCCACTGCACTCCAGCCTGGGTGACAGAGCAAGACTCCATCTCAAAAAAAAAAAAAAAAAAAAAAAGAAGAATGCACCACCATGCCCAGCTAATTTTTGTATTTTTAGTAGAGATGGGGTTTCACCATGTTGCCCAGGCTGGTCTCGAACCTCTGATCTCAGGTGATCTGCCTGCCTTGGCCTCCCAAAGTGCTGGGATTCCAGGCATGAGCCACCGCGCCCAGCCAAAAAAGGATACTTTCCAATCCGCAAACTTTGCTGTGTGAATTTCTTAAGCTCCATTCCATTCAATAATTTTCCACATGAAGTGTTTACCATTTCTGAAATGCTTTCTGAAATTTAGACTTTCCATTTGTTCTCTCCACATATTTTCATCTTTTCTGTAAATATCGTGGATCACTAGACAGGGACTGAGTTCAACTTTTTGTTTCCTGCTTTTTCTGGTGAACTAATAATCAGTACTCAGTAAAGTTTTGCAGTTAGTCTTATTTAGTAATGCAGTACCCTTTAGTAGTGAAAATTATTTTGTATTCCTTGACTGCAAGCACTTAGAGATCAAGGGGCATTTCCCTGGACTTCCACAGTCCCTAGCACAGGATAGGAAACATGGTAGGTGTTCAGAATGTCTTACTGAGTGAATGAATGAAGGTGTAATTACACTATTATGTACGATATCAGTTCAGCTCAACATACATGTAAGGAGTGCCTTGTATACCAGGTATTTTATTTTATTTTATTTATTATTATTTTTTTTTTTGAGATGGAGTCTCGCTCTGTTGTCCAGGCTGGAGTGCAGTGGGATGATCTAGGCTCATCACAACCTCTGCCTCCCGGGTTCAAGCAATTCTCCTGCCTCAGCCTCCTGAGTAGCTGGGACTATAGGTGCGCACCACCATGCTCAGCTAATTTTTGTATTTTTAGTAAAGACAGTGTTTCACTATCTTGGCCAGGCTGGTCTCGAACTTGACCTCGTGATCCGCCCACCTTGGCCTCCCAAAGCGCTGGGATTACAGGCATGAGCCACCATGCCTGGCCGTATACCAGGTATTTTAGGATACAAAGGTGAGTGCTGTGGTATCTACACCCAAGGTGTTTATGGTCCAGTAGGTGAGACTGTGGCAAAAGCACCAAATTAGGGCCAGGCTTCCAGTGCTGGAATTTTACCAACTCGTGACGTTGAGTCAGTTACTTTACTTCTGTTTCCTCCTTTATAAAATGAGAATAATAGTACTATCCCCCTCTTAGGCTGTTGAGAGGACTGAATCTATGAATACTGTACATGTAAAGCACATAGAAAAGGACCTGTTTGAGACTAGGCACAGTGGCTCACACCTGTAAACCCAGCACTTTGGGAGGCCAAGGTGGGAGGATCACTTGAGGCCAGGAGTTCAAGACCAGCCTGGACAACACAGCGAGACCCTGTCTTTACAAAAAATTTCAAACATTGGCCAGGTGTGGTGGTGCACACCTGTAGTCCTAGCTATTCAGGAGGCTGAGGTAAGTGGATATTTGAGGTTATAGTGAACTATGATCGTGCCACTATACTCCAGCCTGGGCAACATAGCAAAAAGGACTAGCCTGACACGTACTGGGCCTTTAGTAAATTTTGTCCACTATTATATACAATGCTCCCTTACAATGTAAAAGAGAGTTTGCACACTCGGGGCTCCCAAGATAAAGCCTACCCACTAGTATCTTTTATTTGGCTTGGAAGAATTAGCCCCTATAATGCTTTAAATTTGAATTGGTTGCTAGCATTTTAAAATCTGGAATTTTAATGTAAAAATCCAGATTTATGACTTACCTTAAAAAACTAAGAAATCTGGCAACTGTGGGCCTGACACTGGTGCTTGACAACAATGAGGTGCAGTTGTGTAGAGAATGCCTTCTTCAGGAGAGACATGTGCTCTCAAGTTCTCAACAGTCCCCCAGCCCATGGTGACAGACACTGTCCATGCTATCTATCATGGACCTATATTTGGTTTTGTAGAAAATGATAAAAATCAGTTTATCAGCTGGGCGCAGTGGCTCACACCTATAATCCCAGCACTTTGGGAGGCCAAGGTGGGTGGATCACCTGAGATCAGGAGTTCGAGACCAGCCTGGCCAACATGGCAAAATCCTGTCTCTACTAAAAATACAAAAATTAGCCAGGCGTGGTGGTGTGTGCCTGTAGTCCCAGCTACTCAGGATGCTGAGGCAGGAGAATCACTTGAACATGGGAGGTGGAGATTGGAGTGAGCCGAGATCGCGCCACCGCATTCCAACCTGGGCGACAAGAGCAAAGCTCTGTCTCAAAAAAAAAAAAAAAAATCGGTTTATCATCTTACACAGCTCTCTATCAATTTATATTGTTACTTGCCTGACCACTGTCTTAGTCTGCTTGAATTGCTATAACAAAATACCATTTACTGGGTAGCTTAAAAACAACAGAAATTTATTGCTCACCATTCGAGAGGCTGAGAAGTCCCAGATCAAGGCTCCAGCAGATTCAGTGTCTGGTGAAGTCCTGCTTCCTAGTTTATAGATGGCCATCCTCTGGCTGAGTCCTCACATGGTAGAAGGGACAAGGGAGCTCTCTGGAGTCTCTTTTATTTTATTTTTGAGACAGGGTCTCACTCTGTCACCCAGGCTGGAGTGCAGTGGCGCAATCTCACTGCAACCTCCGCCTCCCAGGCTCAGGTGATCCTCCCACCTCAACCTCCCAATTAGCTGAGACTACAGACACACTGCATCACACCTGGCTAATTTTTGTATTTTTTTTGTAGAGATGGGGTTTCTCAAGCTCGTCTTGAACTCCTGGACTCAAGTAATCCACCTGCCTCAGCCTCCCAAAGTGTTGGGATTACAGGTGTGAGCCACCATACCTGGCCTGGGGTCTCTTTTATAAGGGCTCTAATCCCATTCATGAGGGCTCTCCCCTCATGACCTCATAACCTCCCAAGGGCCCCACCTCCTATACCAACACATAGGGGATTAGGTTTCAACATACACGTTTTAGGAAGAGGTAAACATTCTGTCTACAGCACCACTGTAGGCATTCATAACTCCCTAAGATAGAAGAAAGAGGAATACACAATGTCTGGAAGGTTTGTGGATGGCTTCCACACAGGATAGAATTATCTGATTGGTCCCTGTGCTCCTTTACATCTGAAGGATGTGGAAACAATCAGATAGGCAGAAGGAATACCATCTGCTAATGCCCTGAGGGCTAAGAGAGCCTGGCATGTTTAGTTATCCCTGGCTGGAGCATTTACTGCAAGGGTGGAGAGATAGGAGATGAGCCTGGGGAGGCCAGCAGGGGCCAGGTGTGCAGGGCCTAGAAAGATTGGCCTGCGGTGGTCCTGTAGGTGGTGGGGAGCCAGTGAAGGATTTTATGCAAGGGAATGTCATGAAGGAGAGGCTGCAGGAGAGGCTGGCAGCAGGGAGCTCAGAATGGAGGTTCCCCTTACAGTCCAGGTGAAAATAATGAGATCTGGAAGAGAAGCAGGGTAGGGAGATGACAAGAAAGAGGAGATTAGTAGCACAGTCAATAGAGCCAGCAGAGCTAACCAGAGTAGGTGAGGGAATGGGAGTCCATTACATTTAACTGTGGCAATCTGAGACCCACTTTTTGGACCTCTGTCTCTTTATCTGTAAAAAGTAGAAACTGTTTCTGCCCTAGTTTCATCACATGATGTTGATAGGTCTAAGTTAACTTATCTCTGTGAAAGTGCTCTAGAAACTTTAAAATATGATAAATAGATAAGATATGGTTTTTATAGTCGCTATAATCATTTCTCTCTGGACTTCATGTCCAAAACACTCTTTTTTTTTTTTTTTTTTTTTGCTTTGAGACAAGGTCTCATTCTGTTGCCCAGGCTGGAGTACAGTGGTGCAATCACAGCTCATTGCAGCCTCGACCTCCCTGGGCTCAGGTGATTCTCCCACCTCAGCCTCCTAAGTAACTGGGATCACAGGCATACATGCCTGGCTAAATTTTTTTGTATTTTTTGTAGAGACAGGATTTTGCTATGTCGCCCAGGCTGGGCTCAAACTCCTGGGCTCAAGCAATCCACCCACCTCGGACTCCCAAAGTGCTGGGATTACAGGCATGAGCCACTGTGCACAGCCCCAAAACACTCTTAAGGGCCACTGTCCATTATGAAATTATACATATTTTTTTCAGATTCAAAAGTAAAGATGATTCTAACAAAAAAAAAATCAAATACCGGTGGGCAGATCACTTGAGGTCAGGAGTTCGAGACCAGCCTGGCCAACATGGCGAAACCCTGTCTCTACTAAAAATACAAAAATTAGCCTGGCGTGGTGGTACACGCTTGTAGTCCCAGCTACTCGGGTGGCTGAGGCAGGAGAATTGCTTGAACCCGGGAGGCGGAGCTTGCAGTGAGCCGAGATCACGCCACTGCACTCCAGCCTGGGCGACAGAGCAAGACTCTGTCTCAAAAAAAAAAAAAAATCTGTAAGTGTTTGATTTTTCTTTTTTTGAGACGGAGACTTGCTCTGTCGCCCAGGCTGGAGTGCAGTGGCGTGATCTCGGCTCACTGCAACCTCCGCCTCCCGGGTTCACGCCATTCTCCGTCTCAGCCTCCCAAGTAGCTGGGACTGCAGGCACTCGCCACCACGCCCGGCTAATTTTTTTGTATTTTTGGTAGAGACGAGGTTTCACCGTGTTAGCCAGGATGGTCTCGATCTCCTGACCTTGTGATCCGCCCATCTCGGCCTCCCAAAGTGCTGGGATTACAGGCATGAGCCACCGCGCCCAGCCAGAAATTTGTTTTTTAAAAAACAAGTCTCCCCAAATCCCATAACATTGACAATGTTGGGAGCGTTCTTCCACTTGTCTTGCAAACTGACATTCACATAGTAATAATAATGATAATTATTATGAAATAATATCCTCCAGTTACAGCAAGAAGACGTGAAAGGTTGGGAAAGGAGACCTCTGATTCCAAGGACTCGTTCAAAAGATGCTGAGACCGAGGCTTAAGCTTCAGGGCACCTCGGCCCCACCTGCTGGCCGGAGACGGTAGCGCTGCCCCAGCCGCTCAGTGCTTATGGGGCTGGCAGAGGGATGGGATGGGGCTGGCTGGGAAGAAGAGGTCGCTGAGGCCCCGCCTGGGAGCTGCAGAGCTGGGGCAAACCTGGGGCTCTGGGCAGGTCTGCCCCAGGCAGTATACTGTGGAGAATGAAACTTTTCTAAATGATCAATAAAAAAGCCAAAGTGGAGTCAGCTGTGCTGAAGGAAAGACTGAATTATCTTTCTATTCTCTCTATAGACAAATTATGAACTTACCATATGGAGACCAAGGAGTATGCAGTCAAAAAATGGAAGAAAAATGAGTACAGAGCTGTGTCATGAAGTTAAATAATACTAGCAATAATAATATAATAGGCCAGGCGCGGTGGCTCACACCTGTAATCCCAGCACTTTGGGAGGCCAAGGCAGGCAGATCACTTGAGGTCAGGAGTTTGAGACCAGCCTGGGCAACACGGTGAAACCCCACCTCTACTAAAAATACAAAATTAGCCAGTTGGGGTGGCACACACCTGTAATCGCAGCTACTCAGGAGGCCGAGGCAGGAGAATTGCTTGAACCCGGGAGGTGGAGGCTGCAGTGAGCCAAGATTGTGCCACTACACTCTAGCCTGGGCAACAGAGTGAGACTCTGTCTCAAAAAAGAAAATAAAATTGGCAAGTGCAAACAAATAGGAAGAGTGGGAACTGGGTCCCCAAGTGCTGAAAGGATGATCAGAAAGGGGCCATAATAATTGCTTAGTGCAGTTTGCGAAGGCTTCCTGGAGGAGGGGTATTTTTGAGACTTAATTAAAATCAACAAACAAAAAGATGTGAGAGGTGCAGTAAAAGGATCTGGGAGAAGGAGGTTGAACCTAAGAATGAGATATGTCAAGGAATCCATGATGACTATCGTTATCCCAGTGACTCTCATGTAAACAGAAGCTGGTCTTCTTTTATATTCAGTTGTGCTCACAAACCTGGCCCAGTTCCTGGCACACAGGAGATGCCCAATCAGTGTTTGTTGAACCGGCTGGGCACGGGGGCTCACACCTGTAATCCCAGCACTTCAGGAGGCCGAGGCAGGTGGATCATTTAAGGTCAGGAGTTCAAGACCACCGTGGCCAACATGGCAAAACCTCATCTCTACTAAAAAAATTACAAAAATTAGCTGGGCATGATGGCATGCGCCTGCAATCCCAGCTACTAGGGAGGCTGAGGCAGGAGAATCACTTCAACTCAGGAAGTGGAGGTTGCAGTGGGCTGAGATCATGCCACTGCACTCCAGCCTGGACAACAGAGCAAGACTCCATCTCAAAAAAAAAAAAAAAGTTTGCGGAACAACTGAAACTGTATGCAGAATTCCTGGCATGGCAATACCAGGAAGTTATAGGGGACCAATATCATCTCAATAGCTTTCTAACTATTAGAACTGACCATTAAAGAGTGCCAGTAATAGCTACCAAACGCCTCAAAAATGCCAGGAGCTAGGCTAAACTCTTTATATACATTGTCTCATGTTAGCTTGCAATAGCTGTTGAAGAATCATTGTCCCTATTTATTCATTTATTTTGAGATGGAGTCTTGCTCTGTTGCCCAGCCTGGAGTGCAGTGGCGTAGTCTCGGCTCACTGCAATCTCCACCTCCCAGGTTCAAGCGATTCTCCTGCCTCAACCTCCCAAGTAGCTGGAATTACAGGTGTCTGCCACCACGCCCGGCTAATTTTTGTATTTTTTTTAGTAGAGATGAGGTTTCACTGTGTTGGCCAGGCTGGTCTCGAACTCCTGACCTCTGGTGATCTGCCTGCCTCAGCTTCCCAAAGTGTTGGGATTACAAGCATGAGCCACCGTACCCAGCTTGTCCCCATTTAAAAATAAGGAAATTCCAGGTTCAGTTCAATTAAAACATAAAAGAAAAATTAGGAAACTATCCAGGCATGGTGGCTCACACCTGTAATCTCAGCACTTGGGGTTCTGAGATGGATGATGGCTTGAGGCCAAGAGTTCGAGACCAGCTTGGGCAACATAGTGAAACCTTGTCTGTACCAAAAAAAAAAAAAGGAAACTAAATTACAGAGGTGGCTGGGGGCGGTGGCTCACACCTGTAATCCCAGCACTTTGGGAGGCCGAGGCAGGCGGATCACGAGGTCAGGAGATCGAGACCATCCTGGCTAACACAATGAAATCCCATCTCTACTAAAAAATACAAAAAAAAATAATAATAAATTAGCCGGGCGCGGTGGCAGGCGCCTGTAGTTCCAGCTACTCGGGAGGCTGAGGCAGGAGAATGGCTGGAACCCGGGAGGCGGAGCTTGCAGTGAGCAGAGATCGTGCCACTGCACTCCAGCCTGGGAGACAGAGCGAGACTCTGTCTCAAAATAGATAGATAGATAGATAAATAAATAAATAAATAAATAAATAAATAAATAAATAAATTACAGAGGTTAAGCAACGTGCATAGGGTGCATGTTATCTATTTACCTGTAGATAGACTTTTGGATTTCTTCAAATTCTGGGCTAATACAAATTAAACTGCTATGAACATTTAGATACAAATCTTTGCATAGACATGATTTCATTCCTCTAGAACCTGATGTGTGTCCAAATCCCATCCTGAAGTTCTAGCAGTGCCTCCAGCCCTGGCTGGTTTTTGCCTCATGCATCTTGCTCACATGTGGGGTGAAATCCATCATTTTCCCTCCACAGATCTGATCAAGAGCATTCCTCAAGGGTATATCCTTGGAAGATCAAGGTCCGTATACAGCTTACCTCCCAAACCCCCATCCCCCTCAGTGGGATCTCCCAGGATATTAATAACGGTTAGTTAATTTTTTCTTTTTTTCTTTTTTCTTCTTCTTTCTTCTTTCTTCTCCTCTTCCTCTTTCTCCTTCTCCTGCTTCCTCTTCACCTTCCTCTTTTTATTTCCTCTTTTCTTTTCTTTCCTCCTCCTACTCTTCTTCCTCTTCTTCTTCCTCCTCCTCCTCCTTCTCCTTCTTCTCCTTCTCTCCTTCTTCTCCTCCTTCTTCTCATTCTTCTCCTTCTCCTCGGACAGGGTCTTGTTTTATTGTTCAGGCTGGAGTGCAGTGGCACTATCATGGCTTACTGCAGCCCCCATCTCCTGGGTTCAAGCCATCTTCCTGCCTCAGCTTCCCAAGAAGCTGGGACTACAGGCATGTGCCACCATACTCAGAAAAATTTTAAACTTTTTGTAGTGGTGGGGTCTCCCTATGATGCCCAGACTGGTCTCCAACTTCTGGGCTCAAGCGATCCTCCCATCTTGACCTCCCAAAGTTAGTTAATGTATTTCACATATACTATGCCCTACACGCTTTATCTATTTGGTATTATTTCTCAAATTTTTCTTGAAGTAGATGTTTATAGGTGAGGAAACAAAGGGTCAGGGAGATCTATAATAACAGAACATTACTCAACAGAGAGGTGAGAGAGGGCAGTGCTAAGCAGAGTAGACTCTAGAGCTGGTTTGCACAATTTTGGAGCCAGTTATACACTATCCTAGCTGTGTGATCTTGGGCATGTTGCATAACCACCCCATGCCTCAGTTGCTACGTCTGCAAAATGGAACAATAGTAATAGTACCTAATCAGGATGTTGTGTATGTTAACACATATAACCACACTTAGAATAGTGACTGGCACAGTTAATTCTCCATAAGTGTCAGCTATTTAATTATTGCTATTTTTATAAAACCCTCCCAGAGTCCTGAGTCAACAAGGGGATAAGAAAGATCCTGTCACCAGATGCCAGAACACAGGCAGAAATCCCAGCTCCTACTCCACATCCAGGCTGCTGTAGGTAAACCACTCAAGGGAACACTACACAAGAAGGAAAAGGCATTCCCAGCTGCCAGAAAACTATTCAAGATAAAATCTAGGTGTTTTTCTTTTTTACTGTAAAAGTACACGTTTGTTGTAGAAAATTTTGTTAACAGAATAATATAAAGAGAAAAATTTAGATAGAATTCTGCCACCAGAAAGCTTCTATTAACACAGGTTCTGTTAATACGATTGTTTCCTAGTGGGGTGCTTTCCTGGCCTGGCCCAGCAGAGGTTGCTGTTTGAGAAACAAAGCCCTCCTCCCATCTCTTTGCTTGGGGCTGGCCAGGGGAAAGCAAGATTTAAATCCAGTCTCATGGCGAGGGGTGCAGAGAGCTCTCAAAAGTGTGCACAGGATAGAGACAGTGTCGAGTGCCCATCAATAAGGGACAAGTGACATACATTATGGTACATCCATTCAGTGGAGTTCTAGTAGTTGTTAACAAGCATGCCCTAAAATGGAAAGATCTCAAAAATATATTACTATGTTACAAAAGCAAGGTGCAGAACCGTGTTTATAGTATGGTTCTTTTTTCTTTCTTTTTTTTTTTTTGAGACAGGCTCTCTCTCTGTCTGTCACCCAGGCTGGTATGCAGTGGTGCAATCACAGCTCACTGCAGCCTTGACCTCCCAGCCTCAAGCAATCCTTCTCCTTCAGCCTTTGGAGTAGCTGGGACCATAGATGTGCGCCACCATGCCTGGCTAATTTTTAAATTTTTAGTAGAGACAAGGTCTCACTATGTTGCTCAGGTTGATCTCCAACTCCTGGGCTTGAGAGATCCTCCCCACTCAGCCTCCCAAAGTGCTAAGATTACAGACATGAGACACCATGCCCAGCCATATAGTAGGGTTCTTTTGGATTGAAATATGTATGTAGATTAAAAAATAAAAATATATGGGATATATATGGGTGAGATTTAACCTTTCATTTCCTACTTTCTGTACTGTTTGAATTTTCCAGTCTTCCACATGCATTATTTTTTAAATGCCACTGAGAATTAACTGGGAAGGAAGATTATGGCTTATTTCAAAAATCTTTCTATTGTGTACATACTTGTATTTTTTTTTTTTTTTAGACGGAGTCTTGCTCTGTTGCCCTGGCTGGAGTGCAATGGCGCGATCTTGGCTCACTGCAATCTCCGCCTCTTGGGTTCAAGCAATTCTCCTGCCTCAGCCTCCCAGGTAGCTGGGACTGTAGGTGCCCACCACCACGCCCAGCTAATTATTGTATTTTCAGTAGAGACGGGGGTTTTACCATGTTGGCCAAGCTGGCCTCGAACTCCTGACCTCAGGTTATCCACCCACCTCAGTTTATCCACCCGCCTCAGTTTATCCACCTGCCTCAGCCTTCCAATGTGCTGAGATTACAGGCCTGGGCCACCGCACCTGGCCCATACTTGTATTTTTTAAAAATAATCTTTTCCTCAAAGCCTATTGTAGGATTTTTTTGAGCTACAGCACCTGTTGCTACCATAGCTGCTATGCCTCCTAGTGCCTGACACATAATAAATATTGAGCAAACATTTGTTCAATGGGTGAATAAATCTAATATAAAGGTCAGAAGCATTTCTTTTTAGCTTTATTTCCCTTCAGAGAATATTTCCTGAATTAAATTTACTGCATCTTCCCCTCTAGTGTTCCTACAGTCCCTGAAGGGCAGGTTAGGTGACAAGGTTATCTTAAACTCACCTTTTGCAGCTTTCCTCTTCTGCCAAAAGCTCAACCATCTGACACATTCATTGCAAAATTATGTAGCTGGGCACAATGGCTCACACCTGTAATCCTAGCACTTTGGGAGGCTGAGGTGGGCGGATCACTTGAGCCCAGGAATTTGAGACCAACCTGGGCAATATGGTGAAACCCCATCTCTACAAAAAATACAAAAAATGAGCTGCGCGTGGTGGCATGCGCCTGTAGTCTCAGCTACTCAGGAGCCTGAGGTGGGAGGATCGCTTGAGTCCAGGAAGTTGAGGCTGCAGTGAACCATGATCGCACAACTGCACTTCAGCTTGGGTGACAGAGAGAGACTCTGTCTTAAAAAAAAAAAAAAAAAGAAGTATGTACTGGTCACTTACTGCAAAGGACAGAACAAAGAGCTGCTGCTAATTTCTTGGAAAGATTTTCCTAGTGAAGTTATTCATTTAACAAACATTAATTGAGCACCTACCATATATTCCTGGCGCAGGATGATTGGGGTGGTCTCTGTTCTAATGTACCCTGAGGCCTGAGCACCATGGATCTCAGCCCTATCAGACCCAAAGCCTCTTTGTTAAACAGACAGTTTTTAATATCCCTTTTACCATGTGAAAGAAATTCATAAATAAAACAACATATGTACCCAATGAATTTGTAAATGTCCTAATTGTAATATAAAGGAGACATACAGGGAAAGTGACTAATAACAAAACTGTGAATGTTTGTACATGACTCCTAGGATGATCATGAAGTGGTCAGAGGTTTGAACCTATCCATGGAACCACCCTGAATACATCTGCTGCAAATGCAGATGGATACCAGCTTCTCTGTGGGTGATGTGATCTTTTAAATTTCAAACAACCCTTGAGAAACAAATTAGTTTCAGTAATAGATGCTTTCTTGAAAAATTCATCATATGTTAAAACCATGCACAAATTCACCGTGTTTATTTGTAAAAACGCAGGTTCTAGGCTCAGATAATTATAGATTGTGTTTTTGTCGCCATAACTGTCCAGGGACGAGGGATGTTGAGTGAACTGACCTGTGCATTGCAGGACATCTGGCATCCCCTGCCCCACCCAGCAATCACCAGGCCCATCCTCTCCAGGCCTGAGCCTTTTCTCCTCTGAGAAGAGATCCCCCACTGTTGAGAACACTGGGTCCAGGGGCTGCTATGTGAGGCGTCAGAGGCAGGAACTCTGAAAAGTCAGAAGCAGCCCTGTCTCACTGCATATCTTCAAGCACCAGGAAGTCCTGACACCCAGGAAAATGTGGTGTGCAAACCCCAGAGCAGGGACTAGGGTGATGGATTCCCAGGTGTCACACAGCAGGATTCTGGCTGGAACAGACATAAAGGTGATAATCGAATAAAACCCCCAGTAAGAAGGACCTTATAATAAGTACCAAGAGAGCAGGCCAGCCATGCTCTCCCTCATGACACAGGCATGTGTGCCAGGCTACATCTATTTAAAACAAAACAACTTTTTAAGGTGTCTGGGAAGCAGGGCTATGGTGGCTGTTGTATTAGGTGCAGAACAGGTGAGAGGCTCATAGTACATACAGCACACATCAGTCAAAAGGCAGACAGGCAGGGGATAAGGCAATATTTTCTTATATAATTTTTATTCCTTATGTAATTTATTTATTAATCCTTAATATTAATTATATTTAGTATATTTTATACTCAATATATTTTAATATATCATGTATTTTAATAAATATAAAATATAAATATATTCTACAACTATAATCAAATAATATAATCATATAAATATTAATGATTAATATTAATCATTAATAAAGAAATATCCAGTCAGGCTTGGTGGCTGATGCCTGTAATCCCAGCATGTTGGAAGGTTGGAAGGAGGATCACTTGAACTCAGGAGTTTGAAACCAGCTTGGGCAACATAGTGAAACCTTGTCCTTACCAAAAAAAAAAAAAAATACAAAAATTAGCCAGCTATGGTGGCTCATGTCTCTAGCTCCAGCTACTCAAGAGGCTGAGGTGAGAGGATCGCTTGAGCCTGGGAGGCAGAAGTTGCAGTGAGCCGAGATCACGCCACTACACTCCAGCCTGGGTGACAGAGCGAGACTCCGTCTCAAAAAAAAATCCTTTATTTCTTATTAACTTATTTTCTAATAATATATTTACTTTTTAATTATCACAAAATAATAGATATTTGTGGGAAAAAAATAAAAGATTAACACAGCACTGAAGGGTATAAGGGTGAAAAGTAAAATTCCTCTTCCCTACCCTAACTTCCCAGTCCCACTTCCCAGGATTGAGTTTCTACTTATTTATTTATTTATGTATTTATTTATTTTTCAAGGCAGAGTCTTGTTCTGTCACCCAGGCATGATCATGGCTCACTGCCACCTCAACCTCCCAGGCTCAAGCAATCCTCCTGCCTCAGCCTCCCCAGTAGCTGGACTACAGGGGTGTACCACCACACCTGGCTAATAAAAAAATTTTTTTTTTTTTTGTAGAGACAGGGTCTCCCAACCAGCCTGGTAACACGGTGAGACCCCATCTCTACAAAAAAAAGTAAAAAAATTAGTCGGCTGGGCGTGGTGGCTCACACCTATAATCCCAGCACTTTGGGAAGCCAAGGTGGGTGGATCACCTGAGGTCAGGAGTTCGAGACCAGCCTGGCCGACGTGGTGAAACCCTGTCTCTGCTAAAAATACAAAAACTATCTGGGCATGGTGGTGGGTCCCTGTAATCCCAGCAACTCAGGAGGCTGAGGCAGGAAAATCGCTTGAACCCAGGAGGCGGAGGCTGCAGTGAGCTGAAATTGCACCATTGCACTCCAGCCTGGGCAACAGAGCAAGCTTCTGTCTTAAAAAAAAAAAAAAAAGGCCGAGCACAGTGGCTCATGCCTATAATCCCAGCACTTTGGGAGGCTGAGATGGGCAGAGCACGAGGTCAGGAGTTTGAGACCAGCCTGACCAACATGGTGAAACCCTGTCTCTACTAAAAATACCAACAAAATATCCAGGCGCGGTGGTGTGTCTGTCCTCCCAGCTACTCAGGAGGCTGAGCAGCAGAATCGCTTGAACCCAGGAGGCAGAGGTTGCAGTGAGCTGAGATCATGCCACTGCACTCCAGCCTGGGCGACAGAGCGAGACTCCGTCTCAAAAAGAAAAAAAAAAAAAAAAAAATTAGCCAGGTGTGGTGGCACATGCCTGTAATCCCAGTTACTCAGGAGGCAGGAGAATCGCTTGAACCCAGAAGGTGGAGATTGCAGTGAGCCAAAATCGAGCCATTGCACTCCAGCCTGGGCGACAGAGTGAGACTCCATCTCAAAAAAAAAGAAAAAGAAAATGGTATCTTGGCTGGGTGTGGTGGCTCACGCCTGTAATCCCAACACTTTGGGAGTCTAAGGCAGATGGATCACCTGAGCGCAGGAGTTCCAGACTAGCCTGGCCAACATGGGAAAATCCTGTCTCTACTGAAAATACAAAAATTAGCTGGGCATGGTGGCATATGCCTATAATCCCAGCTATTTGGGAGGCTGAGGCAGGAGAATCACTTGAACCCGGGAGGCAGAGGTTGCAGTGAGCCAAGATCGTGCCACTGCAATATAGTCTGGGTGACAAAGCAAGACTCCATCTCAAAAAAAAAAGAGAGAGAGAAAAGAAACTGTATCTTTTCCATATTGTTTTATTGTGTAGCTTGCTCCCCCCTCAGCAATATATCATTATCCCATGACAATCAGTGTTATTTCACAACACAATTTTAATTAATTTTTTTTTTTTTGAGACAGGATCTCACTTTGATGTTTAGGCTGGAGTACAGTGGCTTGATCTTGGCTCACTGCAGCCTTGACTTTCTGGGCTCCAGTGATCCTCCTGCCTCAGCCTCCTGAGTAGCTGGGACTACAGGTACACACCACCACACCTGGCTAAGTTTTTGTATTTTTTGTAGAGATGGGGTTTCTCCATGTTGCCCAGGCTGGTCTAGAACTCCTGGCCACAAGCAATCTGCCCACCTTGCCTCCCAAAGTGCTAGGATTACCTAGGCGTGGACCACCGTGCTTGGCCACAACACAATTTTTAATAGTTGAACAGCATTCTGTCTTATGGATGTACCATAATTCACCCAAGCAATCCTCTATTGGTGCTGCTTTATCAGATCAGATGTGGAGAGGTCAAGTGACCAGCAACACATATTCCCTGTGCACCTCTTCTGTGTTCAGTGTGTGCTGAGGGGAGGAGAGAAGGGCAGGTCATGGCCGTGTCTTCAGGAAGCCAACCATCCACAAACACGGCTCCAGGAATGACACGAGACTGTGTGTTGCTAACTTGGGAGGTTATGAATGTGCTGGAGTTGAAGAAGTGAGTGATGGAGCAATGGAGGGTTGCCGTGGTGAGGTTAGACTGTGGTATCAGGCAGACCTGGGTTTGAGTCCAGGCTTGGCTGCCAAACAACTTGAGTAACCAGGTTTTGGGTAAGTTACTTGGTCCTGTCCCAAAGCCCCAGCAACTTCATTTGTAAAATAAATTGTGGTATCTATACAATGGAATATTATTCAGCCATAAAAAGGAATAAAGTTCTGATACATGCAATAACATTAGATGAACCTCAAAAACACTACACTAAGTGAAAGAAACCAGGCACAAAAGATCACATCTTGTATGACTCCGTTTTATTTTTTTAAGAGACAAGGTCGGCTGGGCATGGTGGCTCACGCCTGTAATCCAGCACTTTGGGAGGCTGAGGTGGGCGGATCACTTGAGATCAGTAGTTGGAGACCAGCCTGAGCAACATGGTGAAACCCCGTCTCTACTAAAAATACAAAACTTAGCTGGGCATGGTGGCACACGCCTATAGTCCCAGCTATTCGGGAGGCTGAGGCATGAGAATCGCTCGAACCTGGGAGGCGGAGGCTGCAGTGAGCCAAGATCATGCCACTGCACTCCAGCCTGGGCGACAGAGCAAGACCCTGTCTCGGGAAAAAAAAAGAGACAGGGTCTCTCTCTCACCCAGGCTGGAGTGCAATGGTGTCATCATAGCTCATTGCAGCCTCAAATTACTGGGCTCAACTGATTCTCCTGTGTCAGCCTCCCAAAGTGCTGGGATTACAGGCATGAGCCACTGCGTGCAACTCTAACCATCCTATTTAAAAGTGTAATCTCCACCCTATTCCCTATCCCCCTTCCCAGACTATATGGACAAGAAATCAGGGGTTAAGTGTTGGCCCAAGTCACTACCAGTTGACGGAAAAGACCCTACCACTTCTAACAAAAAACATAATTATACCACACTAAATTATTGTATAATCATGTATTGATTTTGTTTATTGTCCCCAAGATGGCTGAGATTTTGCTGTTTTGTTCCCTGCTGTGTTCACAGGGCCTAGAACAGGTAAGCTCAAGCGAGGTGCTCCATGAATACCTTGTGAATGTGTCAGTTCCCAGAGGCCAGGACGTCTTCCAGGAGATGCATGGAATGGAGGGGCCGGGGCCAGAGAGAAGGTCTGCGGCTGAGTGAGGGACCTTAGGGGCTCAGAAATCCTAAACTTCTGGCCAGGCGTGGTGGCTCATGCCTGTAATCCCAGCTTTTTCGGAGGCCAAGATGGGCGGATCGCTTGAGGCCAGGAACCCTGTCTCCACAAAAAATACAAAAATTAGCCAGGCTTGGTGGTGCCTGCCTGTAATCCTAGCTACTCAGAAGGCTGAGGCAGGATAATCACTTGAACCTGGGAGGCAGAGTTTGCAGTGAGCCGAGATCATGCCACTGCACTCCAGCCTGGGTGACAGAGTGACTCTGTCTCAAAAAAAAAAAAGAAATACTAAACTTCTGGTTGATTTTCTGATTGTTCTGAGAGAGGTTGGGAAGGAGGGCACACTGACCAGATGGTAGGTTCCAGCAGAGCCAGGGCATAACTGTTTTTCCCCAAATGGATTGTCTGAGTACACAGTTGTCATCTCAAGGTCCAGTCCCTCTGGGGTTCCCGTGGAAGAAATAGCTTCATTCCTGGATGCTCCTCAATGGCTGGAAGGGAGTAGGAAAGCTCTGAGACAGGTGACCCTGGCTTTCCCATGGTCTCCAATGGAGTGCCAGGAGTCCACAGGGTAGTGGCAGAAATGGAGTGGGGTTTGGAGGGGGTGAGCAGACCCATCTATACCACGTACAAGCTATGGAAGCTTGGGCACCTCATCTACATTCTCAGAACCTCAGTTTCCCAACCTGTCAAATGGGAGAAACAGTGCATAAAGAGTGGATTGTCGGGGAATTTGTCAAGGTAATAATGCACAGAACACCTAGAAAAGTGCCGAGCCCAGCACAGACACTGCTTTCTCCTTCTTGCCATAGGCCGCAGTGGGCTGTAGGGCTTCACTGGATTGTAGAGTCACTGCTCATTTCTAGGTGGGTGTGTTTGAGAGCAAAGCCTCAGCAGGTTTGCAACTGGAACCTCCATGCAGCACACTGTTGATCAGAGTCCACGAAAAGGTCCTGTAATAAAAGCCCAACATATTCATTCCTAAGGGTTTTTATCGGTGGTCAGATGAACACACGACTCCATCTCCAGCGGAGCCGGGGAAACGAGGCGAGCTGCCTGGGCAGTTTGGGGCCACCTTCTGTCTGCCAGACCTGGTGCGATATGATGGACAGTGAGGGCCTGCCCCAGGGCCTTCTACAGAGCCTCAGACACTGGGGGTGCGGGGAGAGTCTGGATCATTGAGGGGACACACATCCAATCCCAGCACAGGAGGGTCCAGGTGGCACAAGTGAAAAGCCCACCAGGCATTTGGCCGTCTCCGTCTGTCCGCGCTGTTCCTGCAACTCAACACGGCGCCGCTCTTTTTCCGTTCTCTGAAGCTGCCTCCGGCAGATGGCTGAAATGCCCCTCTGAGCCAGGAGGCACCTGCGCTACGTGCGGGAAGTGGTCGGACTCCCAAGGTCATCTCCTCTCTGGAGTCATTTCCTCTCCTGAGATGACAACTCTGTTCTCAGAGTGTCCTTGATGCTCAGGCATTGCAGGTTCCCTCTCTGCACCCAGGGTCCCAGGACAGGTCCAGAGCCCCATCATGGGACTTGGTGAGAATCTGGAGCTGGTGCTCTTCCGGGGCCACTCTGGACAGGGATGGGGAAAGTTGATTGGAGTCTCTGAGGCAGAGAGAGGGAGAGGAGCCAGGCCTCAGGCTTTCCAAACCCTTCTCCTTCTGGTGATTTGAGGTTGGTGGATAATCCTTGTGCTGCTTCCCTCTCCCGGCTGCTGGCTTTCAGATCATATTTCACTGTTCACTGAGGTTTCTACCAAAGAGTGCCAGGAGAAAAGAAAAGAGATAAAAAATACCAAATCGTTTAATGAGATTATCTACTTGCAACTCTAAGTTTAAAAAAAAAAATTGGCCAATGGGGAGAATAAAACCTGACCAAAAAGAGTACTGGAAAGATTATAGGTTGATTTCAATTCTGCCATATTTTACCTTCTGATGTACAATTGAGAAATGGTTGAAAATAAATTAATACTTAAGTACTGTACACATAGGGTGTTCCAAAGACTCAGACAGAGCAGTTAAATTTCCAGATCCCCTACCAAAGCCCCCAGAGCCTGCTCATGTGGTAGGAAAGTGAGTTATGATTATGGAGTCACAGAATTCTAGAAATCCTCTATTCCAGTCTTCGAATCAGGCCGCATATTGGAATCACCCGGGGAGCTTTAAAAATTCCTAATATTGGGGTCCCACCCGCCCCAAGAGACCTAGATTTCTTTCATCTGGGGTGCAGCCCGGTATCCAAATTTTAAAAATGCCCCCAGGAGATTCTGATATGCAGCTAAGTTTGGGAAGCACCCCATCTTCTCCTTTGACACATCTGGAAACTAAGGCTCAGAGAGGAAAGGCCTCGCCTGAAGTTACCAAGGCGGCCTTGTGGGCCTCCATCCCTTGGGCCCAGTTTCCTCAGCATGTTGTCACAAGTCCCCTCCTCAGGGAAATCACAGATTCTCATTCCTGATAAGCGCTGTCCTCCCGCATCCCATCCCCCCTCGCGCCCTAGGTGTGACTGATTGGCATGCTAATTCCCCACCGGCATCACCCTCTGGGGGGCTTCACAAGTACCTGTCAGCTGACCACTTCCTCTTGCCGCTCCTCCAAGGCTTCAAAAACCCAGGAGAAACTTAATATGGCCCCAAGACCCTTTCATCCCATGGCTGCCTTTCATCTGAGCCTTTGAAAGTGCCGTGAAAAGTTTCAACTATCAAAGAACCCCCAGGAAGAAGGCAGCAGGCAAGGACCACTTCCCCATTTCAATGCTGGCAAAACTGAGGCTCTGGGAGAAGCTGACAGTTGCTCCAGGCTGTAAAGCTGCAAATCTTCAGCTCTGCCCTCTGGTTCCTTTTTGAGATAAATCAGTTGACAGAAACCTGTAGGGGCTGAAAGAACCCCTGCTGAGTCTTCCAGAAAGAGATAGTGAACCAGACAGTTGCTCTTGGGTGGACACTGTCCCTTGTCCTTGTCCTTATCCTCTTGAATCTCAGCAACTTGAATGGGTTCCTTACCTCTGCACCCTCAGGAGTTGGGGTTCCAGCATTTCCTACAACCACTGCCTGAGCGACCACCATTTGAGCTGGTCACTGAGTTTGCCATTAACATGGAGTCCTGCCCACCAGGAGCTCACAGACCAGATGGGATCCAAGATGAGCACACCTGAAAAAACACTGACTTTGCAGAGCAGTGTGGTGAGATGTGACAGACTGGCAGTGTGAGTGCCTGCCAGGGGCCTGGCCAGGTGGAGGCCATGGACGGCAGGAGGGGCTGTCGACTGAGCTAAAGTGAGTGTCTCCACCTCATGAAATCTGCAGCATCAATAACATCAGCACCAACATTAGTGTAGGAAGAATCACCAAGATACTCCATGAGCAGTGGTTTGTAATGTGTTCATTACTATGCACACGTTGGTTTTGGCTTGTATGGGCAGGGCTGTACAGCTTAAAAAATGTAAATATGCCAGGCACAGTGGCTCACACTTGTCATCCCAGCACTTGGGAGGATCGCTTGAGGCCAGGAGTTGGAGGCAAGCCTGGGCAATATAGTGAGACCTCATCTCTATTAAAAAAAAAAAAATTCAAAATTAATCAGGCATGGTGGCATGCACCACCTATAGTCCTAGCTACTTGGGAGGCTGAGGTGTGAGGATAGCTTGAACCCAGGAGTTGGAGGCTGCAGTGAGCTATGATTGCACCACTGCACTCCAGCCTGGGCAATAGAGTGAGACAGTGTCTCAAAAAAAAAGTAACTAGGTAAGCTCATGTGTTCACTGCTGGCACATTTTGCAAAAGAGAAAACCGATGCTCAGAGAGGTTAAGGGACTTGCCTGAGGGCCAGCAACTGATGAGGAACTAAAGTGAAGACAGTCGGGCATGGTGGCTCACGCCTGTAATCCCAGCACTTTGGGAGGCCGAGGCGGGTGGATCACCTGAGGTTAGGGGTTCAAGACCAGCCTGCGCAACATGGCAAAACCCTGTCTCTACTAAAAATACAAAAATTAGCCGGGTGTGGTGGCAGGTTCCTGTAGTCCCAGCTACTTGGGAGGCTGAGATCACGCCACTGCACTCCAGCCTAAGTAACAGAGCAAGACTCCATCTCAAAATAATAATAATAATAATAATAAAATAAAAAATAGGGCGAAGACAAATTCAAGAACCTGCACTATTTGTAGCGTTAGAGTCTTGACCCAGCAAGGGCAGGACCTGTCAGAGCTCATACAGGAGGCCAGCAACAGAGGCACCTTCGCCCCTGCATATTTATTCATTTCTGAAGTGTTCATTGGGCATTATCCAGTACCACATTCTGGGCTGGGGTTGGAAGTGTGGTGAACAAGGCAGACCCGGCTTCCGACAGTCTCCCAGGGATGACAGCCCATCACAAAGGGAATCCCGGTCCACGGAGATGAAGAGTACACATGGGAGGGCTGACGGTGCCCTGCAGAAGACCTTGACCTGGTCTTGGGGTATGGGCTCTTTTAGGGTGTCCTCACCCACATTTCCACGTGGGACAGACCTCAAGCCATCTACTTAGCTCAGGTCAGGAACTTTGATGGCTGTGTGGGTGGAAGGGGGAGTCACTTGGACGGAGCTGTGTGTGAGGGGGTGCCCCTGTCTGGATCCTGGCTGTGGAATGACACCCAGCCACAGTTTAGTATTAGGCCTGAATGGACGCCTGCTGCGAGGAAAAGCTGTGGGGCTAAACCAGGGAGACTAATTTTAGGGTCTGAGATGGATGCTCGCCCAACAGCCTCCACCAGCCCTTCCTTCCCCAGGCCCTGGCTGGCTCAACCCCTTCACCCCTCAGACTTAGGGTGCCTCATGGAGGCCCAAGTAAGAGATGCGAGCTTGTCCTCACACCATGCTCTCCACCACGCCTCATTCTCTTTCTAGGAAGCAGAGGCCTGCTCACGTTCCTGATCTTCTGACTTAGCGGCTTTCAAAACATCTTTGAGTCTAAACAAAGGCTGTCGCAAAGTTCCTCGCTCAAGACAGATCTCTCTCAAGGCCCTCCTGGAGTAAATGTAATTATGTTCCTCTCCCACCCCCAGACTGAGCAGGCCTGGCCCTGGTCACGGCAGAGATTATTACAGATTTTGTAGCATCCGAGTTGTACAGCAGACACAGTAATACCAAATATTTGTGCCCTCAAAGAAATTATATTCTGCTTAGGGGAACAAGATTAGTTTACATAAAAACTATACATGAAATTTACATAAATTTACATATGTATATGCACACACAGAGAAGGCTTTATTTGAAAGGGTTGATAATGGCTACCCCAGGATAGATTTATTTATGGGTTTTTTTTTTATGGTTTATGTTTGATGTATCTGTAGTAAGCATAGAATACTTTGTTCTTTGTAGAGACAGGGTCTCCCTTTGTTGCTCAGGCGGTCTTGAACTCCTGGACTCAAGCGATCCTCTTGCCTCAGCCTCCCAAAGTGTGGGATCACAGGTGTGAGCCACCAAGCCTAGCCTAGCATATAATATATAAAAATATTACACTAATATAATATATATTATATATATAATAATAAGAGAAAATTTTACAAAAAATAGGACTAGCATAAGGTGATAGAGAACAGCACATAATTAACAGAAACACTGTGATGTGGGCAGCTCCGGGCAGAGAAACCTTGGTTTCCAAGGGAAGGAGGACTTGAACCAGCTGTGCAGCAAGGTGGGTGGGTGGGACTTGCAGCAGGAGGAGGAACCGTCTTAGGCTAGAGAAGGAACAGGGAGTGGAGAGTGGGGTATGCGAGGTGAGGAAGGATGGCCTAAAGCAGGGCCAGATGGCTAGGCCCTGGATTTGGTCCATGTTGTTCTCATTCCAACAACCTGGTGCCTATTGAGCCCGTTCCCTCCGCCTGGGTCATCCTCCACCCCATGGGGTGCAGGGATGAAAGGCCACATCTATGAAATCATACATAAAAGGCCTGTCTTTGGTGCCTCTGAGAGCCACTCAGGGACTTCCAAGCTGGGCAGCGCCTGGCAAATCCTCCGTTAGGCCTGCAGGAGGCAATGTGGATAATTAATTAATTAATTTATTTATTTATTTATTATTTTTTTGAGACGGAGTCTTGCTCTGTCGCCCAGGCTGGAGTGCAGTGGCGCGATCTCGGCTCACTGCAAGCTCTGCCCCCGCATTCACACCATTCTCCTGCCTCAGCCTCCCGAGTAGCTGGGACTACAGGCGTCCGCCACCATGCCCGCCTAATTTTTTTTTTTTGTATTTTTAGTAGAGACAGGGTTTCATCGTGTTAGCCAGGATGATCTCGATCTCCTGACCTCGTGATCCGCCCGTCTCGGCCTCCCAAAGTGCTGGGATTACAGGCGTGAGCCATCGCGCCCGGCCGGCAATGTGGAGAATTTAAAGCAGGTTCTCCTGCTGCAGTGGACCAAGAGTGGGCTACCCAACTGGAAATTTCCCAGGCTGGGCTCCTGGGCTCAGCACTGCCCAGACAAGTACCTGCTTGCCCCAGTCTGTGCCTCCAGCCTAGGAACCCAGGACTGAGTGTGCAGGAGGTGGGAGTGGCCTTCCAGAGTGGGCTCCCTATCCCCAGCTGCTTCCCCAAGATGAGGCCTGGGCCTATGCACCCCATCCCTGCTAGAGCTACCAGAAAGGATGCACCCTCTGTGTGGCCCGATGCTGGGTGTGTTTCTGATGCCTCACTGAGGGTCACTGTTAGGGGCTGTGGTTAGGGAAGTCCCTTCTCCCAGACTTCTAAATGAACAGTTGTAAGCTGATCCACTGTGTGGCCATCTTGCCACCTGTGCTGATATAGCCTCCAGCGCCTCATTTGGAGTAAATTTAACAGATAAGAAAAAATTCCTGGAGACATCCAGAACTCAACCCAGAGGCCCCAGAAACTTGCACAGGACAACAGGGGAGAAGAGATGGACCTCCCGGGTAAAGGGTTGTTGGTGGAAGGAAAAGCATCCCCCTTGATTTTCCTTGTCTGTGTGTCCCAGATCTTCCTCTGGGGCCGCTGGGTCCTCAGGGTCCATGCCCCACAGCCTGATGCCTGTGCTGGGGGTAGAGTGCGGTCTTCCAAGCCTGGGCCCCAGCCTGCCTGCTGTGCTGGCTCTCTGCAGGCCTGGCACATTCTGCATTTGTACTTTTGTTCACACCTCTGCTCCCAGGGTCCTTCTCACGACCTACCTAAACCCTGCCTCCTTTCAGGCTCGGCCCTGGCCCCCTTCATCCAGAAAGCCTCCTCCCCACACTCAAACCCGCCCCTACCTCTCCACCAAGCCCATATTCCCCAGACACTGAGCACAGCCAGGTGTTCTGTGGGGTGTGTAGGAACTAGGGCTTGGTGGCTGTGGCTTGTGCAGCCTGCCCTGGGGAGGATTCCCCAGAGGAAAAGTCATGCTCACATCCGGCACTGCACTCCTCCAGCCCCTGGCTCCACAGGGAGGGACTGGGGCTGTCGAGTCTCCTCTGGGTTCACACAGCGAGAGCCACCTCAGACCAGAAGACCTTGCCTTCCCAAAATGGTACTTTTGTTCTCATGCTCACTATCTTCTACCTCTCTCAAAGATGCTTTTTTTTAAAGCTTTTTATTCTGGAAAATCTCAAATATACACAAAAGTAGAGAGAGTCGTAGAATGAATCCTCATGACCTAGCTTCAACTGTTACCAGTTTCCAGCCGGCAACCTTGCTTCTTCTCCATTTCCCTCTCCTTCCCTTAGCCTCAAACTAGATTATTTTGAAGCAAATCCCAGACATTTTATTATTTCATCTGCCAAAATTTCTGCATATATCTCTAAAAGACGAGGAGGCTTTTAAAAATATGACCCCAAAATCACCATATAAACTAAAAGAAAATTAACCACAATTCCATTATCTCACATCTAATGCTTAAAATGTCCCAACTTTTCCTAGAAATAAATATTTACAGATAGTTTGCTTCAATCAGGATCCAATCATTGCATTTGGTTCATATGTCTTTTAGGTCTCTTTGAATCTATAGGTTCTTTTTCTATCTCTCTCTTTTGCAGTTGCTTTGATTATCTGATGAAGCAGCTGGCTGTTTATCCTGTAGACCCCGCAGCAGTCTGGTTTTTGTTGATTGTCTTCCTGTAGCGATGTGGGGAGAGTTCTTGTTCCCTGCAGTTCTTTCGAATAGGCAGTGAGTTCCAATGCTGGATTCGATTCTGGTTTTATATTTTGGCAAGAATGATTCA
Source organism: Homo sapiens (assembly GCF_000001405.40). Lineage (NCBI taxonomy): Eukaryota > Metazoa > Chordata > Mammalia > Primates > Hominidae > Homo > Homo sapiens. The sequence goes on from NC_000001.11 coordinate 226,216,378, forward strand.
TAGGTGGTAGTGTGTATTTCTACAGGGAAGTAGTTATCAGTAGCCACGAAGGTCATTGCTTAGGCCCATTATTTGATCAGAGGTTGCCAAATGGGGCTATTCTAACTGTAGCATCCCTTCTTTATTTACTAGCAGAATACTTCCATAAGGAGGAACTTTTCTTCGTCAGCAGTCTGTTTACCTTGTGTTGCAGTAATACAGAAAAGGCAGGACAAATGCTTGCCTCCTTCTCTTGGCTTACCAGTTTGCAGAATTAAGCATTTTTTCCCTAGAACCTTCCAAGGGGATCAGTTTTGTTTCCCCAGGATCATCACAAAATAATAGATTTTAACACATTTAATGTGTTTCAGTCTACTGCTGTTATTTTTCTTATTGATGCTCACACTCTCATATGTTTGGCTAGTGGGAGCCTCCTCATATTATTTATTGAGAGTGTTTGCTACCTTGGTAGACGGTTACAGTTTTCTTGTTTTCAGCTATGACTATTCCAGGCCTGTGGTGTTTTTTTTTGTTTTTGTTATTGTTTTTGAGGCAGATTCTCGCTCTGATGCCCAGGCTGGAGTGCAGTGGTGCGATCTCAGCTCACTGTAACCTCTGCCTCCCGGGTTCAAGCGATCCTCCTGCCTTAGCCTCCCAAGTAGCTGGGACTATAGGTGCACGCCACCATGCCCAGCTAATTATTGTATTTTTGGTAGAGACAGGATTTTGCCATGTTGGCCAGGCTGGTCTCGAACTCCTGACCTCAAACAATCAGCACGCCTTGGCCTCCCAAAGTGCTGGGATTACAGGCATGAGCCACTGCACCTGGCCCAGGTTTGTGTATTTTTTCTCCCAGGCCTAGAATGAGCCATTTCTCAGTGGAGTGTTTTTTTCTCTTGTGGGAAATGGTATGGAGAGACGAGAGTCTGAGTGCTAATGGCTTTCAATGATCGCACAATGGGCAACCACGTTATAAACACGGCTCTCTTTGGCACTATTTGTACAAGTGATAAACCCAAAGTGAATGCAGATTTGGGGCAATATATGAGAATGAGCTGAGTGTAGGTCTAAGGGAGATTCCCGAGAGGGGTGAGTCGGCTGAGCCAGATGGACTTCCTCAGTGCAGGCCAGCCACTCACCCAAGCAGCCAGGCTGCTAAACAGAAGAGATTCTTCTTACGTACTGCAACTCGGGGCCTGGCCTGACACGAGTTGGTGCTTGGAGCACGTGAGTTCAATGTAAAAGAAGAGGTCAAAGTTATTTCCTCTTCCATCTACATGAGTACAGAAAGTTCAGGTTACTATGAAGGCTAAATGCCCAATCGCCTGAGAGAGTAGAACTGTTGATTTCAAACCACATCTTCCTAGTGCACACTGAAATGAATGAGGATCTATTTGAAAGTGTCTTATTATATCCCAGATCCTCCAAGAACCTGTGTTTGATTAGATAACAGAGTGGCATTTTACCTGCAGGATGTCTTCCAGCGATTACAGGCAATCCAAAGAGAAAATGTTTGGGAAATACACACCCAATGTGTGCAGGCTGGGACAGAGTCCAGAATTGATCTTAGGTTACTCTGGGTGTCTGCTAACACTTTAATAAATTATTTGGGGCAGGGTGCAGTGGCTCACGCCTGTAATCCCAAAACACTGGAGGCTGAGGCGGGCAGATCACTTGAGGTCAGGTGTTTGAGACCAGCCTGGCCAACATGGCAAAACCCCATCTCTACTAAAAATACAAAAAAATAGCTGGGCATGGTGGTGCGCACCTGTAATTCCAGCTACTTGGGAGGCTGAGGCAGGAGAATTGCCTGAATCTGGGAAGTAGAGGTTGCAGTGAGCCGAGATTGTGCCATTGCACTTGAGTCTGGGCGACAAGAGCAAAACTCCGTCTCAAAAAATAAATAAATAAAAATTAAAAAAATAAATTATTTGGGAGCAGAAAAGACAAATATTGGCAGATTCTATGTTCTCCTAATGCCTCTCTCTTTACTTGTCCTTGTCCAGTATGACTTCATGCAAGATATGTGATACACATGAATTCAATATCATGTCATATCCCACAGAGTCAGTGAATGACAGCAGAGTTTCACTGTATGGTTAGAAAATAATTAAATGAGGTTTAAGTCAAATGACAATGTTAAAGAAACTTGTATTATTATTCCTTAGTAGTATCATAATTCTTTAGCCAGCAAGTGACCTCAAATTGTCACTTTTGGAGAAAGATAATTTACGAATGCTACAGTAACGTGTTTTTGTTTTTTAAAGACAGGGTCTTGCTCTGGTGTCCAGGCTGGAGTGCAGTGGTGTAATTATAGCTCACTGCAGCTTCAAACTCCTCCTGGGCTCAAGCAATCTTCCCACCTCAGCCTCCTGAGTAGCTGGACTATACGTGTGCACCTCCATACCCGACTAATTACAATAATATTTAACACGCTTTTTGCCAAATCTATAGGAGTCTGTCAGGTATAAAATGAAGTAACGGGCTGGGCGCGGTGGCTAACACCTATAATCCCGGCACTTTGGGAGGCTGAGATGGGCGGATCACCAGAGGTCAGGAGTTCAAGACCAGCCTGGCCAACATGGTGAAACCCCATCTCTACTAAAAATACAAAAATTAGCTGGGCGGGGTAGCACATGTCTGTAATCCCAGCTACTTGGGAGGCTGAGGCAGGAGAATTGCTTGAACCTGGGAGGCAGAGGTTGCAGTGAGCTGAGATCATGCCACTGCATTCCCACCTGGGTAACAGAGTGAGACTCTGTCTCAATAAAATAAAATAATAAAATAAAATAACAACTTTGATGATCCAGAGTTGTGATTAAACAATAAAAATGAGAGTCTAGAATTCAAGTCTAGTGTATTATTTTGTACCAACTGGATACCTCTCTGTATATACACATAAAAGGTTATCAGAGCCGGGCACAGTGGCTCACACCTGTAATCCCAGCACTTTGGGAGGCTAAGATGGGTGGATCGCTTGAACCCAGAAGTTTCAGACCAGTCTGAGCAACATGGCGAAACCCTCATCTCTACAAAAAATACAAAAATTAGCTGGGCATAGTGGTGCGCACTTGTAGTCCCAGCTATTTGGGAGGCTGAGGTGGGAGAATCACCTGAGCCTGAGGAGGTAGAGGCTGCAGTGAGCTGTGATCCACTGCACTCCAGCCTGGGTGACAGAGCAAGACCCTGTCTCGAAAAAAGTAAATAAAATAAAATTATCAAAAAAGGGTGATTGGCCGGGCGCGGTGGCTCACGCCTGTAATCCCAGCACTTTGGGAGGCCGAGGCGGGTGGATCACGAGGTCAGGAGATCGAGACCATCCTGGCTAACACGGTGAAACCCCGTCTCTACTAAAAATACAAAAAATTAGCTGGGCATGGTAGCAGGCGCCTGTAGTCCCACCTACTCAGGAGGCTGAGGCAGGAGAATGGCGTGAATCTGGGGGGTGGAGCTTGCAGTGAGCTGAGATCGCACCACTGCACTCCAGCCTGGGTGACAGAGCGAGACTTCATCTCAAAACAAACAAACAAACAAACAAAAAGGGTGATTTGCTGGATGACGGTTTAGGGCTGTGCTGATAGATATGGAAGCTACTAGCCACCTATGGGTAAATTCAAATCTGCTAAAATGAAATGAAAAATTCAGTTCTTCAGTCACAGTAGCCCCATTTCAAGTGCTCAGTGCATACACTGAAGAAAGGAATATCAGTCAAATGTCAGGTTTGAGAATATTCTGCTAGTTGTTTCAGTTCTTCGTTTCAAGTATGCAGATATAAGTTTGGAAAACTTCTGGATTCTGTTCTCTGAGGTTGAAATGTTATTTTAACTTTATTGGTTAACTGTGTGGATTGGGGTTGCAAAAGACTCCTCTGTGTGAGACGAGGCTTCAGGCAAAAATAGTGGGAGGAAGAAAAGGAATCACTATTTTAAAATACACGTTGGGTTCAGCATCTATTGTGTGCTTAGTTTTTGAATGTATATGGTGCCAAATACACAACAACAAACAAGGCTTCTTAACGAGGGGATTTAATCACTTTCCTGGCACATTAATACCTTTTGGGGGCTGTTGTCTTTCAGTCTGTTGTAACCACTGGTTCTGAAATAAACTTCAGGAATTGTGGAGGCCTGGGCAGCCAGAGGAGAGGAAATCAAAGTGAGGCCAGGATCAAAGGGGCAAACAGCGCTGCGGATCTCAAGGTGGAAGCAGAGCCGTCAACTCCCCTCGGCTGTCTTTTCCTGGTTTTCCCTTTAATAAATACCCAGGATCTCGGCCAGGTCTTAGGCAGTGGAGGGCCTGACTTGAACAACAAAGAGAGCCCGGGGAAGAGAGTACTTAGCACTTGGGGAGGAAAGACAGGCCTCTGTGATATTTGGGTGATTCAGTGACAGGAACCGTGGTGGGAAATGTTGAGGACGCAGAACGGGACAGTGACCCCAAGTGGCCCCATCCTGCCCAGACTGGGCTGCTGTAGAACCGGCCCTGGATCCAGATAATCATGTTTTTTTTTCCCTACTGCCTCTTGTATTTACTGGTCTTCCCTCATTATACAGGAAGCATCCTTGAGGATTGTCTTCTATTTCACCTTGCCTTCCCTTGTGTCTATTTCAAGTTACTGACAGACTAAATGTAAATAATGGCCAAAATCTCTCAGCAAATCAAGTGGTGAGCTCGCCCAGGTGCTGGAGAGGGAGGAATCCAGATCCTAATCTCAGTGATTGCTGTCTTCAGCTAACCCTGAACTTAAGTTTGCTATGCTGGAGCTGGTCAGCTGATGTGCTTCTGTAGAAAAAAAGCACTTTATGGAGCTTTATACATCACAGGGTATCTGTTTTGGGAAAATAACTTGCAATAATTATTTTAAAAATTATATTGCCAAGGATAGGGCTCTTCCCATTTTCCTATTGAAAAACTGAATATAGAAGAATTAGCAAATGGATATGTGATATACATATCCATTGTATGCCTGCAGCAGGGTAACTGAGTCAGGAATCTAGAACTTGGATATAGTGAAAACCATTTATATGTTTATAAGTGTCTGTCAAAGAAGAGAAGTAGCAAATCATTTTAATTTCAAGTGCTTTTGTAGAAACTCAATATGACTTCTATCTTTCCAACCCTAGTCAATGAAAATCCCAAGTGAAATGGGAAATCCACTCGCATGGAGAAGTAATTTCTTTTTTCTTTTTCTTTTCTTTTTTTTTTTTTTGAGATGGAGTCTCAGTCAGTCACCCAGGCTGGAGTGCAGTGGCGCGATCTTGGCTCACTGCAACCTCTGCCTCCCGGGTTCAAGCAATTCTCCTGCCTCAGCCTCCTGAGTAGCTGGGATTACAGGCTTGTGCCACCACGCCCGGCTAATAATTGTTTATTTATTTATTTATTTATTTATTTATTTATTTATTTATTTTGAGACGAAGTCTCGCTCTGTCACCCAGGCTGGAGTGCAGTGGCATGATCTCAGCTCACTGCAAGCTCCACCTCCCAGGTTCACGCCATTCTCCTGCCTCAGCCTCCTGAGTAGCTGGGACTACAGGTGCCCACCACCATGCTCGGCTAATTTTTTTTTTTGTATTTTTAGTAGAGACGGGGTTTCACCGTGTTAGCCAGGATAGTCTCGATCTCCTGACCTGGTGATCCGCCCGCCTCAGCCTCCCAAAGTGCTGGGATTACAGGCATGAGCCACTGCACCTGGCCAATGGATGTTGGCTGTTTTGGAGATGCTGGGGAATTAACTTTTTTTTTTTTTTCTGAGTCAGAGTTTCACTCTTGTTGCCCAGGCTGGAGTGCAATGGCACAATCTTGGCTCACTGCAACCAAGAGAAGAGGGGGAAAGAAAGGAGAAGGGGTGGAAGGAAGATGGAAGAGCAGGAGGTAAGTATATCAGCTGCCCAGAAGGGCCTCAGGGGCTACACAGGACACAGTCCCTGCCAACCCCACCCCTTACCACAGCCAGGAGAGAATCAAGCCCAAAATTCTTCTCTGCAGCAGCTCCAAGAAAACTTTCCGCTTTGCCACCTGGAATGTCCACCCAGGATAAAAAGATCCAAGCTCTTCTGAGACTGTCTTTTGACCTTCTAGAATGCAGAGACAGGACGGGGATTGTGCCCTGAAAGATCCTCCCAATAAAGATCTCCCTTTGAGTCGACCACAGTGAGTGATCCCGGTGAAATCAGCGCTCAGGTGCTGGGGGCAAAAAGACCTGGGCCTCTGTGTTCCTCTCTTGAGTTCTTGCACTGTGGTGGGGCAGTTCCCATAGTGGACCATGGGTTTCTCTTTCAATAAGGAGAGCTCAGTGACATCCAATTCGACAGACATTCACTAAGGGGCCTAGCACCGCGCCTCACGCAGAATAGGTGTACAAAGCAGACACTCAATAAACTCAGAAAGGGAGAGGTGGGTTCCTGCTTGCTAAGACTTTATATCTAGCAGATAGAGAAACCATAACCATAGCACAAAGTAGAGAAAATGGGAGCTTTCAGAGCCCCAAGGGGCAGAGGAAAGAATGATGATTCAGGGCGCGTGGAAACTTCATGAGGTGGCTTTCATCTCCTCCCATCCAATAGACGGGTCTTAAGCATTGTTGAGTATCTCCAGAAAGGCCAAACTGCGCCGTATCCTCTGCTAATGGGGCACGTTGCCAACCCCGCCCTACCTAGGGTATCTTTATTGGTGGGCCCATGGACATTCCAGCCAGACCCCCCCACTCCCCCCACCCATTTAATCAGGAGGAATGTGCTGCCCCCTGGATCCTTTATCTTCACCCCCCTCCCCGCTTGGATTCAGGATGTGTTAGGGAGGCTTGCAGAAGACAGGGGCCGGGCTGTTTGACCAACCTGGTACAGGGTCTAGCACATAGCAGGGGTGGTAAATAAATAGCTTTGATGAGGACAGACGGGACTAGGGCAAGGCTCAAGGCCCAGGCCATGTAAGGCACAGGCCAGGCAAGGTGCTTCCGCCGCTCTTAACGGGGATTTGACCCGGAGAAGAGAGTTCTGTCGCCTGCGGCCCGCGCACCCGGGCCCCTCCGGGCTGCCCCTCCCAGGCAAATAGTCCTTCGGGGATGTGGATTGCGCCGTCCGGGCGGGTGGGCGGGGAAGAACACGGAGGGGGCCGGGACCCAAGTTCACGCCTCCCTCCTGCATCCCGCAGCCGGCGGAAGCGATTATTCCCCGGCGTCTGGCGGGGCCGGGGGCGGGCTCGCACCCGGAGGAGACACGGGTCTCCCCGAGCCCACCTTTGATCGCACCGCCCCGCCTTCCCAGCCCCTGGCCCGGGAGGGTATAAGTGCGGCCCGCGCCCCTCCGAGCGGCGCGCTGGGTTCCGGAGCGATGGCCACAGCCGAGTCCCGTGCGCTCCAGTTTGCCGAGGGCGCCGCGTTTCCAGCGTACCGGGCCCCCCACGCCGGCGGGGCGCTCCTGCCGCCCCCGAGCCCTGCGGCAGCCCTGCTCCCTGCGCCGCCCGCGGGCCCCGGCCCAGCGACCTTTGCGGGCTTCCTCGGCCGGGACCCCGGGCCGGCCCCGCCGCCCCCCGCCAGCCTGGGCTCGCCTGCGCCCCCCAAAGGCGCGGCCGCCCCGTCGGCGTCGCAGCGCCGCAAGCGCACGTCTTTCAGCGCCGAACAGCTGCAGCTGCTGGAGCTCGTCTTCCGCCGGACCCGGTACCCCGACATCCACTTGCGCGAGCGCCTGGCCGCGCTCACCCTGCTCCCCGAGTCCAGGATCCAGGTGAGGGCCCGCTGCGTTCGCAAGTGCGCGCTGGAGCGGAGGCGCTGCGGACTCTAGGTCTGGACTGCGGGCTCCTGAGGCCACACCCGGGACGTTGCAGGCACGGTGCTTCCCCTGAGGCTCTGCGTACTAGACTGAAATAGGGGGTGATATCGGCACCTGCTGCATAGGGTGGTTGCGAGGCCTGTGTGAAATAATTTAGGCCTGCACTGAACGATTTCTCTCATTATTAAATATAATAAGGGCTCCTAGGAGGCTAGCCGGTCCCCTGAAATGGCCAGAAAGTAATTCCCAGCAGGAAGATAAGAAGTTTTACACTTTTTCTTTATCCGGGAAGAAGACACAGATGAGGGGCAGTTGGGGTTTTCCTCTGGCTTTGAGCGTGAGAATGGTAGCTGAAAACGGGGAAGGCTGGCTCGCCAAGTTACCCCCATGCTACTTTCTTGGCAAGTGTTACGTTTTGGGATTAGATTTGAAAGGATGTAGCGAATTGAGATAAAGCGAGAAGCACCTGGAGCTTGTTTTCAGTTTGAAAAATCTAGTGCAAGGTGTGTTTATTTTTATTTATTTAGTTTTTATTTGAGATGGAGTTTTAACTCTTGTTGCCCAGGCTGGAGTGCAATGGCGCGATCTGGGCTCACTGCAACCTCCGCCTCCCAGGTTCAAGTGATTCTCCTGCCTCAGCCTCCCGAGTAGCTGAGATTACAGGCGCCAGCCACCACGCCCAGCTAATTTTTGTATTTTTAGTAGAGACGGGGTTTTACCATGTTGGTCAGGCTGGTTTCGAACTCCTGACCTCAGGTGATCCACCCGCCTCAAAGTGCTGGGATTACAGGCGTGAGCCACCGCGCCCGGCCGTGTTTATTATCTAAAGTAATTTAGATCAGAATCTTAGAGTTGGTAAGGAGAAGCCTGCCTTTTTGTCTGTCTGTAGCCCCGTGGTCGGTGTCCAAGCGCAGTTTTAAGTAGCAGCCCTCATTTAAACACTGGGAGAGTGGACTTGTTTTCTCTGCACCCCTGGCGGTCATACAGCTGTCAGTCTCAACAGCTGGCATGAGCAAAATACCTCCTTGATTAGTTTGACAAGGGAGTGCAGACCTTAAAAAACAGGTTTTCTTCATAATTTAATGCAGTTTTTTTCTAAGAATTCTAAGTGCTTCCATTTTTGTGACCCCATTTTTCATGAAAATTTCTCTAACTAAAGAGTAGATAGAACTAGGCATTATTCCAATGTTTCCATCTGGGAATGGGGAGGCAAGGAAAGCCAGGTGTTCTGAACTTCTAATCGTCAACCCAAGTGCTTTCTGAAGACAAGGCTCTGGAGAGGAAGCCAGGGGATGTTAAACTGGAACTTACCAGTATGAACTGTGAACATAATGTTAGCATAAAAAACTCCAACCAAAAGCAGCTTTTATTTTCTCCCCTCTTCCAGGTATGGTTCCAGAACAGGCGTGCCAAGTCTCGGCGTCAGAGTGGGAAATCCTTCCAACCTTTGGCTAGGCCGGAGATTATCCTCAACCACTGTGCTCCTGGAACTGAAACGAAATGTCTGAAGCCCCAGCTGCCTCTTGAGGTAGATGTGAACTGCCTGCCCGAACCAAACGGGGTTGGAGGGGGCATCTCTGACTCTAGCTCCCAAGGTCAGAATTTTGAAACCTGTTCCCCTCTCTCTGAAGACATTGGTTCAAAGCTGGACTCATGGGAGGAACACATCTTTTCTGCCTTTGGTAACTTTTGAGGATTCTGGGAGAATTCGGGATAAGCTCTGAGGAGCCATGACTGACAGCCTGGGAGAGACACATCAGCATACTGTCCTTTCTGACTTCCATGCTAAGGACATGTCCTTGTTAACCTTGATGATGGTTTTGACAGCACCTCTCACATTTGAAGGTACCCCGCCACTTTGTCAATGACGTTTTAAGCCCACACTCCCACCCCAGAGTTCCCGCATTCGTTTTTACCTGTGTTCTCTCCAAGCCTGCACATTCCATTGGTCTGCATCCCTATGCCTTCTTGCCAGGCCTGTTTTTAGTTTTTGGACTGGTTGTTCAGAACTCATTATTTTCTTCACAAGAATGCCTCAGCTTGACTCAGTTTCCCCTTGTGTTTGACAGCTGCCATTTTCTCCTGGTCCCTCCAAGGCTTATAATCTTAAAGTCACTCTACCCCGTCTCTTCAACCCTCATCCTAGGTTTATTACTTTTTAAAATTGGGCCTGTCATCTTCACGTTCAATCATAGCTCCAATGACTCTGCATGCAGATTATTTCGACAGCCCCCTTGCCTCTAGCTTCTCAACTACTTAAAAAAAATTACCCTCTGTGGGCCAGGTGCAGTGGCTCACTCCTGCAATCTCAGCACTTTGGGAGGCCGAGTGGGTGGATCACCTGAAGTCAGGAGTTCAAGACCAGCCTGGCCAATATGGCGAAACCCCATCTCTGCTAAAAATATAAAACTTAGCTGGGCACGGTGACGGGAGCCTGTAGTCCCAGCTACTCAGGAGGCTGAGGCAGGAGAATCACTTGAGCCTGGGAGGTGGAGGTTGCAGTGATCTAAGATCGTGCCACTGCACTTCAGCCTGGGAGACAGAGGGAGGCTCTCAAAAAAAAAAAAAAAAAAAAAAAAAATTACTCTATGGTTCTGTGGTAGCCTCCAGTTGCTACCAAATTATAAAAAGCTTTCAGTTACCCTCCCAGATAACTGATATCATCCTTAGCCTGCAGGACAGCTATGCAAATCTGAAGGTCAACTATCCACAATATATGCTTTGGTCTTAAAGTCACTCCTTTCAGTTTTGAACCAAATTCATACCTTTTGCTTTCAAAACACTCGAGGACTCCCCACCTGCCTTCTGAAGTCTGAAATTTTCTCTAAGTAATCCTGATTTTGCACCTGTTACTTCGATCACTCCATTACCCTTAGCACTTGTTATTGTACTTCCTGTGCAAGTTTTGTGGATTATTAAATGTCTTTCACAAATGTTCCAATGTAATTTCTATTTAAATGAATTCTTCTAGATAACTCCTAGTACAGTGCTTCACTCCACAATTGCTCAGTACATACTATGTGGCCATGAAAGACATTTCTAAAAGTTTCTGCAAATGTAGTTTTTAGCCAGTAATCAATATTATATCAGCAGGCCACTGAGCTGAGAAATTTAATTGGGTTAAAAACATTTTTGCTTGAATGTTTAATAATATTTTGTGAGTATTTTGGTTTTGGGAAATTTCTCTTTGCAATTTATAATTCTAAATGTATGTAAATAACCGTTTCTAAGTCAGTCTAAGATCAATTAAAATATTTTGATATTTTGAGAGTTTTCAAACTCCTTTAGAGTCAAAGGAAATGGTCTGTGTATGAGGCAACCACAGGTGAAGTTTCTTTGTAAACTGTGCTTTAAAGTAGGCTCATGGGATGCCATAGCTAGCTAGGGCCAGGACATCATGTCTTGATGGTTACTAGAAGAGCATGAGATTATACATGCCAGATGCCCTAATTTTCAGAGATGTTATTCAAGTGGTTTGTACTTTTCTTTTTTTGAGATGGAGTTTTGCTCTGTCACCCAGGCTGGAGTGTAGTGGCATGATCTTGGCTCACTGCAACCTCTGCCTCCCGGGTTCAAGCGATTCTCCTGCCTCAGCCTCCCGAGTAGCTGGGATTACAGGCGCCCGTCACCACGCCCAGCTAATTTTGTATTTTTTAAAGCAACCAAGAGCTGGGCAACAGAGCAAGACTGTGTCAAAAAACACCACAACATACAAAAATTAGCTGGGCATGGTGGCACATGCCTGTAATCCCAGCTACTCAGGAGGCAGAGGCAGGAGAACTGCTTGAACCTGGGAGGTGGAGGTTGCAGTGAGCCAAGATCGTGCCACTGCACTCCAGCCTGGGCAACAGAGCAAGAATCCATCTCAAAAAACAAAAACAACAAAAACCAACCAAGAGTTTCCAAGCACTTAGGAGTTGAGGAAAAAAGCAAGCAAGCAAGCAACCAACCAGGAGGTTGGGCACAGTAGCTCATGCCTGTAATTCCAGCAGTTTGGGAGGCTGAAGTGGGAGGTTTGCCTGACCCCAGGAGTTTGAGACCAGTCTGGACAACATAGCAAGACCCTGTCTCTTGAAAAAAAAAAAAAAAAAAGCCAGGCACGGTGGCTCACGCTGTAATCCCAGGACTTTGGGAGGCTAAGGCAGGCAGATCACTTGAGGTCAGGAGTTCAAGACCAGCCTGGCCAACATGGTGAAACCCTCTCTCTACTAAAAATACAAAAATTAGCTGGGCATGGTGGCAGGTGTCTGTAGTCCCAGCTACTCAGGAGACTGAGGCAGGAGAATTGCTTGAACTCGGGAGGCGGAGGTTGCACTGAGCCGAGACTGGGCCACTGCACTCCAGCCTGGGTGACAGTGAGACTCTGTCTCAAAAAAAAAAAAAAAAAAAAAAAGTCAGGCATGGTGGCATGTGCCTGTGGTCCCAGCTAATCGTGAGGCTGATGTGGGAGGACTGCTTGAGTTCAGGAGTTCAAGGCTGCAGTGACCTATGAGCGTGCCACTGCACTCAGCCTGAGTGACAGAGTGAGACCTTGTCCCTGCCATTCCCCCAGCAAAAAGCAGCCAAGAGAACATAGTTGAGGCCTTAGCAGCAAAGTGTACTTATCGATTCTTTGAAAACTGTTTGAAACCAAAAATGAGCTGATAAACATTAGCTATTAACACTGTGCTCAGGGCCCATCCTGGAGGTGCTCAGGAGGTCTCACAATCACAGAGCTTTACATTTAAACTTGTGACTTACATTTAAACTTGTGACATGGCCAAATGAGATACTGCAAATACATCCACAAAACTGAAAGACATATAACACTTTAAATTATGGTCCACTAAGAATCGCACTTACGAAAAAATCTGGTAATTATTTTATTATTGCTTTTATATTGTCTCATGTTGTTTCCCCAGTGAACAACTGTAAAAATCTATAAATATGTAAATCCTGTTGTCACATTTTAAATTGTGGGATCCTCTAAGAAGTAGCCTGCAGCTCTCTCAAACTCTAAGAGGCCCTAACTGCTAAATGTGTTACAGACATTATCTATTTTATCCTCACACCTACCATGTAAGACAGGGACTAATCTTCCTACTTTAAAGATCAAGAAACTGAATCTAAGTAGTGTCTCACAATTATACAGCTTATAAATGGCATGGCCAGGACTCAAACTCAGCCCACCCATTAGTCTACCACCATACAGTGCCTCCTATATTGCAGTGGTCTTGTTAGTCAGGACTAATGATAAAGTAATGTGATAGGTTTAAAAGCAATCACCAAGTCAGAATTTCTACATGCCAGTCATTACTGTCTCATCTTTCAAGGAAATCACCACGGAAGACCATACTCTTATTCTGATGACATTAATGTTGCTTAGAGCTTTTTTGAAACTCTCATTTGCCCACTCATTACACAAATATTTATTTGTTGCCCATGAACAGGCACTTTACCAGGACCTGGAAATAAATGGTGAACAAAAACAGAAACAGTCCCTCCCCTCATGGAGCAGAGGCTAGTAGGGAGACAAAAGACCTCCAAGAAATATTAATATTAAATTGCAAATGTGCCAAGTGCTGGAAGGAGAGATATATGATCTGGAGACATTGTAATAGATGTGCTGTGGTTAATGAAAGCTTCCTTGAAAAAGTGATGCTGAAGGTGAGATCTGGAAGATGATCAAGAGTTACAAGGAGAGGAGAGGGAACACACTGCATGTGCAAAGACCCTGTGAAGTAACGAGCAGATAAAGAAGTGGGGGGGGGGGGGCCAGATCATGCATGGCTTTATAGGTCTTGTAAAAGAGTTTTGAATTTGTCCTGAAAGCCAAATGAAGACTTTAAAAGCATTTATAGACAGAGGGATAACATGATCCATTCTGCATTTTAAGATGATCCCTCTGACTGCATTTGAAGAGGGCTGAGTAGATGCTGGGAGGTAAGTTAGGAGACAATTGCAGTGTTCCAGGCCAGTGATGATGGCAGCTGGGCTGCAAGTAGTGGTGATAATGAAGATGGAGAGAGGTGCATTGATTCAAAAATGCTAATGGGCAAATATTTTTGTAGATTCTCAATGGTTACGAGTGAATGTGACTTTTGGAACTAGCTTAAAGTAACTCAGAACCAAATCTATATAAATAAAAGCCATGTATGTGCTTGCATGTTTGCTCAATCTGGCTTTGATAGCTTTCTTTAGAGCTCCGAAAGTGTGTTAAGCAGTGGCATATCATTCAAATCAATGTATGGCTGACCCAACATGACTACTTGGAAATATAGATTTCTTCCTCCCAAAACAGAAATAAAATTCAACTGTATTCTCCAGCACAGTCCCTGCTGTCAACACATGAAGGCACTGAAAGATAAACAGTGCTCAATTAAATATGTGTAAAATGAGGTACTATTTAAGTGTGACAAATAAGCCTTAAGAAATGTAAGTAAGACAGGCCGGGTATGGTGGCTCACACCTGTAATCCCAGCACTTTGGGAGGCTGAGGCAGGTGGATCACTTGAGGTTGGGAGTTCGAGACCAGCCTGACCAATACGGTGAAACTCTGTTTCTACTAAAAATACAAAAATTAGCCAGGCGTGGTGGCGCGTGCCTGTAATCCCAGCTACTCAGGAGGCTGAGGTGGAAGAATCCCTTGAACCCAAGACCTGGAGGTTGTGGTGAGCTGAGATTGCATCACTGCACTCCAGCCTGGGCGACAGAGAAAAAAAAAAAGAAATGTAAAAGAAAAAATGCACAAAATACCCAATTCTAGGCAGAATATATTAAAATCAACCTTTCACTAGGTCTATACCAGGCCAAATAACTTACCTGCTTAATACCATACCACTGGATGGTATGGTAATAAATAAAATCCGTATCACTGGATGGTATGGTATGGTAATAAATAAAATCCATACCATTGGATGGTATGGTACTTCAGAGAGACTCGGTAATCTGTACTGTTTCCCCTAAAAATATAACTTAATGGAAATTACAATTCTTCAAAACTTTTTAAACAGAAGGAATGCATATTGACTTGAATTAAATGAAAATATAGAAAATAATAATTTTCATAGATCAATTTATTTAGAATTACAAATATTAAGAATAGAAGATTTATGCATTTCTTAATTAACATAACAGTTTAGCTAAATATAAACTCTGCACTAAAGTTCTGCAGTGGCACAATACCAACAAAGAATACGGAAGCCTTTTTAAACTATACAAAAATTTCAAATGGAAAATAATCTTGTTTCAGTTTTATTATACATTAACATATAAAAAGTCTCATTTTATGAGACATCTAAAGGAATTAAAACCACCTCTACAGCTATATCTTAAACTCCAAATTTGAAAAAAATTTATATTTTGAGTTTATAATATTCTATTAAAACGAAGAAAATTCCAAATACATACTTTTTACAAGATTAACATTTTAGGCAGCGTTTTCCTAAAAAAGAAAAACAACCAAAACAAGCCTTTCTTCTGCATTTCACAGCACTGGTTATTATATTTGTTTTCCTTATAAAATCTTTTTACTTTATAAATTGTGTACTGTTGGATTTTAACCAGTAATCTGGTTTAAAAGTTGTGCAAATAAACAAAAAAATATGAAAATAGTGTGTTATCATTTTTTTTTTAATAAATCTCACAACAATGCACTTTTGACCTGAACTGATGGGAAGACATGCCAAATCCATTTTTAGAAATTTAGCATTTTGCACCTTTTTTCCCCCTGTTCCTTCATTTTCTTTCAACAAACAACAAAGGTTTCTTTTATATGTTATGATAAATTAAAATATTTATTATTATAAAATGATCTACAGAACCATGTCACATTGCAAGTATATATAACATATACTTGTAAAGTCCACATTTCCCATCTATATTTCAGTGGTTTCCTTAAAACTAGGACTTCCCACACCTCATGATGTTATCTTTTGAAGACTGAGATGGTGATCAACTAAATCAAGTGGAGTTGTAATTTTCTGGATGGAATTTCCACACTGCCACCGACATGAATAAAAAGACCAGGTTTCTTCATACTCTCCATTGCAGCAGTTGTCTGCATGTGTTGCGGTGAATTCATGCACATTAAAAAAAATGGTCAATGTATTCTTCCACGAAATTATATTATGTTCAGATATTTCAGTTTAAAAATATTTGTGAATATAAACATATGTAACATAAGCAATGCTACTGCATCTGAATAATAAAAGAAAAATAAATATAATGCTGGTCAGCAATGCTGGTTTAAGAAGCAGTACAGTCTATTAAAATGCCTTATTTGGAGATTTAAATTTCCCTTGTTTTCCAGCAGTTAGGTTATTTGGTGTTGGAAGCCTATATAAAGGAAAAGAACTTCTCAAAAACAATGTCCCGTGCAGTTGGAATAATGAAATCTTTACTCAGTCTCTGTTGGTGTTATTTGCTGCAAAGGCATGTAAGTTTCCCATCTGGCTCAGGCCACTCTGAATATGTGCAACATGGATTTCTACATTATTCTGAAAGCAACTAAAGAAAGAAGAAACATGGTTAACTACTTTATTTCAAAAAATTAAGAAAAAAATTTTTAAAAGAAGACCTGAATTTTAGTTAGGAAACAGCTATGATAAATCTTAGGGAAGGAATAAATCTCCTCTAATATATTAGCCATAATTCTACTTCAGTAGTAGTTGAACAAATATGCTCTAAAGAAGCAAAGGAGCCACGGGGGGCTGGAAGGAGAAGATGAGTCTCTCACTGACTGGGGAAGCTCTACCTCTAAGCTCAACCTCCATGCTGACCCCAAACCTAAATATATGTCCTGATTTCTTTATATACAAAATCCATGTGAAATTTCTATTCTGTCCATAGGCTGGATATAAGTGAAAAGCTCTTACAAATATATTTAACGGATAATAATATATGAGTACTTCACAAATATGCATAATTCTTAAAACCTGGACTGAAAATTACTATGAACTTCACATTAAAATGATTAGAGTATACCTAACGAATTACCTGATATTAGAAGCGTCTATTGTACTCTTGATATCATTTAATGAGTCTGTAAGTGATTTGAATTCAAAGGAATTCAGGTCTCCTCCTTCTGCTAGACACTAAAGGGAAAAAAATTTCAAAATTTAATTGCATTATAGCTCAAATATAGTCATAAAATACCTGATATAATCAATGAATTAATTTCTTAGCAACAAATTAGCGTGGGTTGCTTTGTGTCAAATTAAGAAAATATTTTCTCTAAGATTTACCTTAATTTGTAACAAAATAGCTGTAAGCCTGGAAATTAAGTCTGTCAGATTTTCATTTTCAACGCAGGGCTGTCCTGTTGAGGAATTTGCATGCCGAACAATTTCCTGTGCTTCTTCCTCACACCTGCGTCTCATATCTGTTGGCTGATCTGCAGGCTGGAGCCCCTGGTCTGGAGCAAGCTGAATACAGATGATTGAAGCATGAGACGCATGTTCGAGAAGCCATGATTATTTCTGTATGTGTTTGTGCCCTCTTTTCAGATTTTAATTTTTATAAAACTAGCATTTAAAACTAAAGTGGTACTCTTACCTTAGAAGTTTTTTTCCTTTAACAGTTTCTGATTTTCTATTTTTTGTAATTTTTAATTTTGATATAATTTCAAACTTCTAAAAAAAGTTAAAAGAATAAAACAAAGAACTCTTGATAACATTTACTCAGATTTACTGTTTATGTTTTACTACATTTGATCTGCCATTTGATCTCTGTGAATGTATAATTCTTCCCGTTACTAATTTAAGAATAAGTTGCAAACACTGTGCCTCATTACCTCTAATCACTCCAGTTTGTATTTCCTTGGTATTTTTGAAGAGTACGAGCCAATTATTTTGTGTAATATCCCCCAATGTGGGTTTGTTTGTTTCCTTATGATTAGACTGAAGTTATGCATTTTTGGGCAGAAATACTACAAATGTGGTGCTGAGTTCTCTGGCATCTTTATTAGAAGGCACGTGATGTTGACCTGTCCCATTACTGGTGATGTTCTCTTTGATCAATTGGTAAGTTAAGTGTCTGCCAGATTTCCCTACAGTAAAGGATTTCCTTTTTGTAAGTACTAAGTAGTTGTGAAGAGATACTTTGAGGCTATGTAAACATCCTATTTGTCATCAAACTTTTACCTACCAATTTTAGCATCTGTTGATGATTCTTGTCTATATCAATTATTACTATGATGGTTGCAAAATGGTGTTTTTCTCACTCTTAACACTGCTTCTATATTTATTAGTTGGCATTTTACTACAAAGTAGTTTCCCTTAAAAAATGAACTAGTATCAGTATGAACCCATACTGACATAACTTTTATTCTATGGGTTATAATCTCTTACTATATTTATTTATTCTGAAGCTCAAATTGTCCCAGATTTGGCCAGTGGGAACCCTGTCAAGCTGGCCCTTTTTGACACGTCCCCGTAATTTGGGGGCACATTTTACTTCCTTGGCATAATAAGGTGGGCCGGGCTCATCTTCTTTCTCTGCCTCAGGTCTGGAATCAGTCTCTTTTTCAAGAAGTCCTGCTTTTTTAAATTGGAGAACAGAGATAAGAGACCAAGATCTGGGTCTAGTGTGTTCTTTGCTATTAGGGTGTCTTTGCTTTTGGCTCTCTCAGCAGACATATACACTCACTTATACATATAGCATAAAGATAAAATAAACCATGAATTCATACTGATTCCCCCTATTCCCATCTAATGCCACAGGGTTCACTCTAGTCTTCCCCCTCTTCATAACTGCCTTCTTCAACAGTGAGAAACCTGGCTCGCGTTATCCTAAATTTTTTTTTTTTTTTTTTGAGACAGTCTCACTCTGTTGCCCAGGCTGGAGTGCAGTGGTGCGATCTCAGCTCACTGCAACCTCTGCCTCCCAGGTTCAATATACTTATTTGCTTCTTTGCTCAGTCCTAGAGTACACAGTAAGAGTTTCAGAACTGCTGCTGGGTGTGGTGGCTCATGCCTGTAATCCCAGTACTTTGGGAGGCCGAGGTGGGTGGATCACCTGAGGTCAGGAGTTCAAGACCAGCCTGGCCAACATGTCTCTACTAAAAATATAAAAATTAGCTGGGCATGGTGGTACATGCCTGTAATCATAGCTACTGGGGAGGCTGAGGCAGGAGAATCGCTTGAACCCCGGAGGCAGAGGTTGCAGTGAACCGAGATTGCGCCCCTGTACTCCAGCCTGGTGGACAAGAGCGAAAATCCGTCTCAAAAAAAAAAAAAAAAAAAAAGAGTTTCAGGACTGCTATGCATGCCACCAAGAGAAAAAATTCTACTAACTAGAGTTCAATGTTTATTTAAATTTTGGTTCAGACTAAAGGTATACAGTCAAAATATAAGTTGAGTATCCCTTATCCAAAATGCTTGGGACCAGAAGTGTTTTGGATTTAGGATTTTTTAAAATTTTAGAATATTTGCATTATACTTACCGGTTGAGAATCCCAAATACAAAACTCCAAAATCCAAACTGCTCCAGGGAGCATTTCCTTTGAGTTTCACTTTGGCACTCAAAAAATTTTGGACTTTGGAGCATTTCAGACTTGGGATGCTCAACCTATGCTATGTTCAAGCTATCTGAATCAGTTTTTATCCCCTTCAGTAAGTTTATGTCACTCCTTTGAAATATAGTTAGGTTCATTTATTTCTGTTTGCATTTACTTGTATTTGTTGGGGAAACAAACACTCAGAAAAATGTCATTCCTTCTTGCTCACCAACTCCTACCCCATTCCCAAATTAGTTTCTAATGTATCCTTTCTGCTTCCTTTTGAAAAATTAAGCTGATACATATACATTGTATTTCCACTTATTTCCTACTCCAAAGGTTATACTTTGGAATATGTATGTGTATTTTCGTATTTGCTTTTTGCATCTAATAACATATCCTGGAAATCACTCTGTGTCAGTAAATAGAGAACTTCCTCTCTTACAGCAGCATAGTATTCAATTGTGTGGATGTACCATAAATAGTCAGTTCCCTATGTGTGGGCATTTATGTTTATTTCTAATATTTTTTAATTACCAATAATGCTTCAATGAATAACTGTATCCTTTAATACTTTTCTAAAATTTAAATTGAAGCATACATAAATACATAAAAGTACACAAATCGTAAAGTGTACAGGTTAATGAGTTTTCACAAATCAAACATGCCTGAGAAGTCAGCAACTAGATTAAGAACCAGAATATTACCAATGCCCCAGACCCCCTGATAATGCCATCTTCCAGTACCACCTCCCTCAGGGTAATCACCATCCTGACTTCTAGCATCAGAGGTTAGCTTTTGAGCTTTATAAAAATGTAATCATACATTATATATTCTCTTGTGTCTGACTTTATTTATTTATTTATTTATTTTTTCTTGAGACTGAGTCTCGCTCTGTTGCCCAGGCTGGAGTGCAATGGCGCAATCTCGGCTCACTGCAAGCTCCGCCTCCTGGGTTCACGCCATTCTCCTGCCTCAGCCTCCCGAGTAGCTGGGACTACAGGCGCCCGCCACCACGCCCAGCTAATTTTTTTTGTATTTTTAGTAGAGACAGGTTTTCACCGTGTTAGCCAGGATGGTCTCGATCTCCTGACCTCGTGATCCGCCTGCCTTGGCCTCCCAAAGTGCTGGGATTACAGGCGTGAGCCACCGCACCCGGCGTGTCTGACTTTATTTGTTCCACATTGTGTTTGTGAGATCCATCTATGGCACTGAGTTGTAGTCGAGTTCATTCATTCTCATTGCTGGGTAGCATTTCCATTGTGTAATTATACCATGTTTATTAGTTGATTGTAGTACTGATGGGTATTTGGGTACTTTGTGATTTCTGGCTATAAGGAACAGTGAGGCTATGAACATTCTAGTATATGTATTTTGGTAAATACATGTTGATGTATCTTTTTGGTATATATTGAGAAGTAGAATTGCTTAGTCATGGTGTTCTCTCTGATATGTTCTTATTTTAAAATCTATATTGTAGTTCCATAAGAGCTTTGAGAAGATTAAATCACTTTACTTCATTAGGAAAGGAGCCTATCACAAATGGCCTTGGGTACTACAAAAAGATTGATGAGCAACCCGTTTCTGCATGTACCATCAGCTTTGTTATGTGTCATCCTGGACTGCATAGTCTGCATGTCTTGTGAATAATTGCTAGTCCAGGGGAGAAAATCTATTTACTAATACAATGCATATTGTTATGTGGATGACTGACAACTATCAGGAAAATAAGCCAACTGTTTAAAAATCTGATATTGCTGGGCGCGGTGACTCATGCCTGTAATCCCAGCACTTTGGGAGGCTGAGGCAGGCGGATCACCTGAGGTCGGGAGTTTGAGACCAGCCTCATCAACATGGAGAAACCCTGTCTCTACTAAAAATACAAAATTACCTGGGCGTGGTAATGCATGCCTGTAATCCCAGCTACTCGGGAGGCTGAGGCAGGAGAATCACTTGAACCTGGGAGGCAGAGGTTGCAGTGGGCCGAGATGATGCCACTGCACTCCAGCCTGGGCAACAAGGGCGAAACTCTGTCTCAAAAAAAAAAAAAAAAAAAAAATCTGGTATCACAGCTGGGCACAGTGGCTCATGTCTCTAATCCAAGCACTTTGGGAGGCCGAGGAGGGCGGATCACTTGAGGTCAGGAGTTCGAGACCAGCCTGGCCTATAATATGGTGAAACCCCATCTCTACTAAAAATACAAAAAAATTAGCCGGGCATGGTGGTGCACAGCTGTAATCCTAGCTACTCAGAAGGCTGAGGCAGGAGAATTGCTTGAACCTGGGAGGCAGAGGTTCCAGTGAGCCGAGATTGTGCCACTGCACTCCAGCCTGGGCAACAGAGTAAGACTCTGTCTCAAAAAAAAAAAAAAAAGAATCTGATATCACAAATAGAGGTGGCTTTCCTGGAAACACACAACCTCAAAGTATGCAAATTCAGGAGCATTTTAAACTCAACTGAATCATTTTAATTCTTACCCTGTAGTAGGAAACTCAAATTTTGGATGAAACTGTTGAACCACTCTCATATGATCACATGTGAATGAAAATTCACAAACAACCCTGTTATCTATGTATTTGAAATTCAAGAATTCATAGTTCTAATGCTAATTTAAGGTTTAAAAGAGAAGGCAACAAAATTGTATGGCCAGCATGATCAGAACTTTGTGAGAAAAAGCAGGTATTGTTTAAAAAACAAAAACAAAAAAACAACCAAAAAAGACTAAGAAGAAATAAAGCAAAATTTGGTCTTTGGGGCTGGGCACAGTGGCTCACACCTATATCTCAGTACTTTGGAAGGCCAAGGTAGGAGGATCGCTTGAGCCCACGAGTTTGAGACCAGCCTGAGCAACATAGCGAGACTTCATCTCTATAAAAAATAAACTGGGCATGTCGTGCACCTGTGGTTCCAGCTACTCAGGAGGCTGAGGTTGGGGGATAGCTTGAGCCTGGGAAGTTGAGGCTGTAGTTCGCCAAGATTGCAAGATTGCATCACTGTACTCCAGCCTGGTCAACAGAGCTAGACCCTGTCTCAAAAAAAATAAATAAATAAATAAAGAAGAAGAAAAAACAATGACAACAACAAAATTTGGTTTCTGGGGTAGTGGAATTAAGAGTAATTAGTTTTCTGGATTTTTCCAAATTTTTTTGGAGGGCCTTATTTGTATCTTGAACCAAAAAACTCAGAATTGACAGCTTTCTGTGTATAAAGCACTCTTCAACACTGATGCTGGGAGGAGTAAGAAACTTTATATAATACAGTTCTGCTAAAGGACTTTATGAAGATATTGGCTTGGTATGGATTTTCTAAAGTGTGAAAGTAAAAGGATTAAGCTTCAAATACAAATATGGAGGGAAATCTATACATATCACTTACCTCATAGCAATACTGTTGAACTTTATGCAAAACTTTGTTTAGGTCCTTGTTCAGCTGTTCAAGCTCCAGAACAATTGTTGCATATCTCCGCTGAAATTCAATGCTGATGGGCATGGAATATGATTTCTGAGAAGAGAAAAAAATCAGATCTTGGTAAGAGTTTGTTTTTTAGCAATGCAATTTCAATGATCTAAAAGGAGATTTGACTTATCTAAAAAGCAAACTAAAGGTTATTAAATTTGTCTGTTTTAATTGTTATAGTCTTGTCTGTGATAATGGCATTGTTATTTAGGAGATTGTCCTTGTTTATTGGAGCATCATGATGTCTGCCATTTGCTTTTTTGAAAAGGAGATCTTCTATAGAGATAAATTAAATGGAGCAAAATGTTAATTGATAAATGTGTAAGCAATGTTCGTTATATTCGTCTTTCAACTTTTTCATAGGATTGTTAGTTGTTAAACCGTATGTCCTCATTTAAAGCATTCTAGTTATTTAAATCAATTGACGCTGTACCTGGAATCAATTCAGTATAGCATAATGGTTTAAGAGCGTGGGTATTAGAATCAGATTATATATGTTCAAATTCCACCTCTATCATCATCTAGCTGTGTGATGTTAAGGAAGTTTCTTAATCTCTCTGTGCCTCATGTTCCTCAACTGCAAAATGGGGATTATAAGAATATCTATCTAGTGGGGTTGTTGCAAAGATTAAATGAGATAATACATGCTAGCACAGTGCTTCCCACATAGAAGATGCTCAATGGATATTAACTTTTTATTGTGTCATCATTCCATATATGCTCCTTACCAACAAGTGTTAATGGACTTTGATGCCATTTCCTTCCCTCTCTTCACAATACTTCCAATAAATTATACTCTCCATTTCATTCCTGCTAAAAATGCTGGCAATGAAACCTCTCTAGTCAAGGAAAATTTAACATTTCTTTTTTCAGAGGATTTCTGAGAAAGCACGTTGTTATGCACTAAGGAAGCAAAATCGCTCCTTCTAGTAAGTATAGGTAGGGAAAGAAAACTTTCCTAGACCTAGGGAGGAACTACTTATATAGGTTCCAAATCACAGAATTATAGACTGAGCTAACAGAAACCTCAGAGGTCATCTAGTTAAGCCATACCATTTTACAGAGGAGAAAACTGAGGCCTAGAAAAGTTAAATGACTTAACAGCACACACTATTAATGATGTGCTGATTACTTAATGATGACAACAGATGTACTAAATAGAGCTGACTAACGTGCCATGCACTAAGAGTGGTTTTGTTGTTGTTGTTTTTGGGATGGCGTCTTGCTATGTTGCCCAGGCTAGACTCGAACTCCTGGCCTGAAGCCATCCTCCTGCCTCAGCCTCCCAAGTAGCTGTGACTATAGCATGTGCCACCACACCCAGCTTGTTCTAAGTTTTTTTTTTTTTTTTTTTGAGACAGGGTTTCACTCCCGTCACCCAGGCTGGAGTGCAATGACGTGATCTCCGCTCACTACAACCTCTGCCTCCTAAGCTCAAGCAATCCTTCTGCCTCAGCCTCTCAAGTAGGTGGGACTACAGGTGCGTGCCATCACACCTGGCTAATTGTTGTACTTTTAGTGGAGATGGGGTTTCATCATGTTGGCCAGGCTGGTCTCGAACTCCTGACCTCAAGTGATCTGCCTGCCTTGGCCTCCCTAAGTGCTGGGATTACAGGTGTGAGCCACCGCGCCTGGCCTGTTTTGTTTTTTAGAGACAGGGTCTCACTCTGTTGCCCAGGCAGGACTGCAGTGGCATGATCATAACTCAGTGCAGCCTCAAACTCCTGGACTCAAAGGATCCTCCTGTCTCAGCCTCCCAAGTAGCTTGGACTACAGGCATGTGCCACTATGCCTGGCTAATGTTCTAAGTGTTTTTAAAGGATTTCATTGAATCCTCACAATAACCCCATGAGAAAGAAGATATTATTGCTTATTGTCTCCATTTTACATATGAGGCCCATGTACCGCAGCCAGTAAGTGGTAACCTTGTGGGATCTGAAGCCAGTTTGCATCAGTTAGAATTCCTCTGCTACTATAGATCTGAAGCAGTAAAAGAGAAAGAGGGGAGGGAATGCCACAGTGGGAGTAGGGAAGGGATAATTTCCACATAGGCCTGGAATCATATCCAGGACATCCTACTTTTAGTTTACCATTGGTGCTTCCTGAATTGCTTCCTATTCGTAAACCTCAGTTTTTGTGAAGTTAAAACCACTGGATCATCCGAAAGATTTTCTATAAGAATGCAGGGATAATGCAGGACATGCTGAATTTAATTTCATTTCCTTGTTGGGAATTGGGGGTTACTGAGGATATAGTGTAACATAAATTATAACTAAGTATTTGATCAAGCCTCTTCTCGGGGAAAAGTGTATACTTTTGCAGACTCAGAACTAGTTAATCAAAATCAAAATCATTAAAAGCTCTATCTCTTACAGCGAATTTGAGGGTGTCAAAAGTCTCTATCTTCATCTTTTGTGTTCAACATTTTAATGAATTAAAGATGTACAAAGGGTTTACATATACAGTATACATCAAAATGTATGAAATTGGGAGATGGCTAATGCATTACAAAATGGGGTGATATAGGCCGGGTGCGGTGGCTCACGCCTGTAATCCCAGCACTTTGGGAGGCTGAGGCGGGTGGATCACGAGGTCAGGAGATCGAGACCATCCTGGCTAACACGGTGAAACCCCGTCTCTACTAAAAATACAAAAAATTAGCTGGGTGTGGTGGCAGGTGCCTGCAGTCCCAGCTACTCGGGAGGCTGAGGCAGGAGAATGGCATGAACCCGCGAGGTGGAGCTTGCAGTGAACTGAGATCGCGCCACTGCACTCCAGCCTGGGCGACAGAGCGAGACTCTGTTTCAAAAAAAAAAAAGAAAAGGGGGTGATGTAACTAATGAACCATAAAAAAAATTCCAACACTAAACAGATATATACTTCCTGTCAAAATTATCATCTGGTTATATCTCCAACTTCTAAAAATATTTTTTGAGCTCCCTTTTTTGAAGCTGTTCTCAAAGTCTTTATCTTTTTGAGTATCTCCCAATGATGGAAAATATTTCCCTTATCTTCTTAAACATCTAAATAATAAAGGGTTAATATAGAAGAATAAATGTACAAGAATGACCAAACCAATTTTGAAAGAGAAAGACAAATGGAGGGACTTGTACTGGTAGTTATCAAACAGTATGGTATTGACATGGGAGACAAATACACCAATGGGAGAGAATGGTGGCCAGTCTATACTGAATTCCAACACATATGTATATGTATGCCTGGCACATATGTTTGTGTGTGTACGAATATATGTATATTGTTTGGAAATTTTGTATATAGTAAAGCTGGCCTTTCAAATCAGTGGGAAAGGATGAACTATTAATAAATTGGAACAATTATCTATTTGAGGAAAAAAGCTCTCTGTACTCAAATCATTCACAAAATTTTAGGATGTACTGAAGGTCTAAATATTAAAAGAAACTATAAAAGTATCATGAGAAGACAGGAGAATATGTTTATGAATAAGAGGTAAAGAAGCTATTTTAAACAAGTTACAAATACCAGAAAAAGGAACAGGCTGATATAGAGCTGACCCTCAGACAACACAGGTTTGAATGGTGCAGGTCCACTTACATTACTTATATGCAGACTTTTTTTAAAATTAATTTTTGCAACAGCCTACCAGATCGTATAGATGCAGACTTTTTCAAAAGTTACAGCAGTGTGCCTGCTTCTCCTGCCTTCCCTTCCATCTCCTCTACCTCTTCTGCCTCTGCCACCTGAGACAGCAAAACCAACCCCTCCACTTCCTCCTTCTCCTCAGCCTACTCAACGTGAAGATGACAAGGATGAAAACCTTTATGATCTACTCCCGCTTAATGAATAATGAATATGTTTTCTTTACCTTATGATTTTCTTAACATTTCCTTTTCTCTAGCTTACTTTATGTAAGGATACAGTATATAATGCATATAGAAGATATGTGTTCATCTACTATTTAGGTTATCAGTAAAGCTCCTGGTCAACAGTAGGCTATTAGTAGTTAAGTTTTAGGGGAGTCAAAAGGTATATGCGGATTTTTGACTGCTGGCGGGGGTTGCACCCCTAACCCCCATGTTGTTTGAGGGTCAACTGTATTTGACTACATCAAAATTTAAATTTTCTGTACTATGGTAACATGCGAAACAAATAATTTTGTTAATATAAATGGCCAATTAAAATACAAAAAGATGCTTAATTCCACTAGTAGCCTTAGAAATACAAAATAAAACAATGAGATTTATATTTCACCTATCAGATTGCTAACAATTTAAAGATCTTCTAACACTAGGATTGAAGAGAGTGATCTATATTTACTGATACTATACAGTGAAAAGCAGAATGTTACATAGTATAAAATTTATTTAAAAATGTCTGCCCTTGGCCGGGCATGGTGGTTCAGGCCTGTAATCCCTGCACTTTGGGAGGCCAAGGCGGGCAGATCACTTGAGGTCAGGAGTTCGAGACCAGCCTGGCCAACATGGTGAAACCCCATCTCTACTAAAAATACACAAAATTAGCTGGGCGTGGTGGTGCGTGCCTGTAATCCCAGCTACTTGGGAGGTTGAGGCAGGAGAATCGCTTAAACCCAGGAGGTAGAGGTTGCAGTAAGCCAAGATTACAGCACTGCACTCCAGCCTGGGCAACAGAGCGAGACTCCGTCTCAAAAAAAAAAAAAAAAAAAAAAGGTCCCCTCCTCAAAAAAACCCAATAGTATATATTCTATAGGTATTTATACATTAAAAAATAAATACAAAGAAAGAAAAACACACATGAAACTCAATAAGAATGGTAATTTTTTAAAGAAAAGTATATTCATTTTACACATATACACATACAATTAAAAATTATTATTATTTTTTGAGATGGAGTCTTGCTCTGTCGCCCAGGCTGGAGTGCAGTGGCACAATCTCGGCTTACTGCAACCTCCACCTCCAAGGTTCAAGTGATTCTCCTGCCTCAGCCTCCCGAATAGCTGGGATTACAGGTGCAGGCTACCTGCGCCGGGCTAAGTTTTGTATTTTTACTAGAGGTGGGGTTTCACCATGTTGGCCAGGCTAATCTCGAACTCCTGACCTCAAGTGATCCACCCACCTCAGCCTCCCAAAGTGCTGGGATTACAGGCGTGAGCCACCGTGCCTGGCCTAAAAATTACTTTTGGAGGTGGAGGAGGGTAGATCACTTGAGGCCAGGAGTTAAAGACTAGCCTGGCCAACATGGTGAAACCCCGTCTCTACCAAAAATATAAAAAATTAGCCGGGCGCGGTGGCGCATGCCTGTAATCCCAGCTACTCGGGAGGCTGAGGCAGGAGAATCGCTTGAACCTGGGAGGCAGACGTTGCAGTGAGCCGAGATCGTGCCTCTCCACTCCAGCCTGGGTGACAAAGCAAGACTCCGTCTCAAAAAATAAATAAATAAAATAAAAACAAGTCAAAAATATGACATTCAATTAGGCTTGTATGAATAAGGTGAGGCATTTGAACCATTAGAAATAACTAATACATTCTGATAAAAAACCAGGTATGATCACAAAGTAATGAAAGATTTTCTTGTGTGGCTTACAGGTTCATGTTGAAGGCAAACAGTCTGTAAAAATATGAGCTTATAAGGGACAAGATGGAAAATATCAGATTTAGCAGTTCATGATCAAGGGTATGGATTTATTTGACTAGTCCTCTACAGATATTCATTTAACCATTTACAATTTTTTGCTATTACAACAATGCTGTGATGAACATCCTTGTATGCGCATCTTCTGAATGATACTCTAGAAGTAAAATTTCTGGCCCGTCAGTATGGCCAAGCTACCTTCCAAAAAGACTTCAATTAACTTATATTCCCACCTAAAGTGTATAAACATGCTCCTTCTTGATGAACATTCAGGTTGTTTCTAACCTTCAGATCTTGCAAACATGCTGCAATGAACATGTAGTCATTTTGGACAAAGGCAAACATAAGTGTAGAAGTTTCCAGGAGTGCAACTGCTAAATCAAAGGATTTGAGCATTTTAAATCTTGATAGATATTGCCAAAGCACCTGTAGAGGCCAGAGGGAACTCCCCTTCACCATCTGAAGGCTCACTGAAAATCACTGACAAAAGAGAGATTAATAGGAAAAAAGGCATACACATTTATTTGGTTATAATTTTATGTGACGCCAGAGTCTTCAGAATGAAGAATACAAAATAAACTGTCAATTTTTGTGCTTAGGTTCACAAAGCATATGGACAGTGGTATAGAAATATGATTGGACACAGGAGACTGAGGCATAAGAATTGCTACACCCTTCATAAAAGATGTACTAATTTATGTGTAAGAATGCCTACTTGTCTACATCCTCACCAATACAGTGTTTTGTTAAAGTTTCTTAGTTCTGCCAGTCACATACTTGTCTTTTTTCCCCCCCCCCAAGAAACAGGGTCTCACTCTGTCACCCAGACTGGAGTTCAGCGGTACCATCCTAGCTCACCACAGCCTCAAACTTCTGGGCTCAAGCAATCCTCCCCCATCAGTCTCCTGAGGAGCTGGAACTATACCATGCCTGGCTAATTTTTCTAAAAAACAAAAATTTTTTTTTTTTGAGACTCAGTCTTGCTCTGCTGGCCAGGCTGGAGTGCAGTGGCGTGGTCTGGGCTCTCACTGCAACCTCTCTCTGCTTCCTGGGTTCAAGTGATTCTCCTGCCTCAGCCTCCTGCGTAGCTGGGATTATAGCTGTGTGCCACCACGCCTGGCTAATTTTTGTATTTTTACTAGAAACGGGGTTTGGCTATGTTGGCCAGGCTAGTCTCAAACTCCTGGCCTCAAGCAATCCAATGGCATGAGCCATTATACCCAGCCCCAATTAAACATTTTTATTGTTCCATTTCCCACCTACTTCCCCCTAATTAGCTTGATAAATATTCATCTTTTACTATTATTTTAATAGGTTAGAGATTAAAATGTCATCCATCTTTGATTTATCTAGGCCTATATGTATATACACCCCTACCCTGACCAACAGACAATTGTATAATTCTCTCTATACTTTAAGTGCCACAAGAGTTATTTAATGTGTCACTTAGATTAATCCACATATTTACCCTTTTTGTTGTTTCTTCATTCCCTGAATCTTCATGTTTCTTTTACAAACTTCAAGTTTTTTCTTCTGCTTAAACAAAAACTTTAGTATTTCCTTTAATGTAGGTATTCTGGTAAGAAAGTCCATAAATTTGTCTACAACTGTCCTTGTAACTTTATCCTTGAAGGCATTTTCACTGGTTATGGAAATCTAGGTTGGTAGTTATTTTGTTTCAGCCCTGTGAAGATGTCATTCCATTATCTTCTGTCTTCTATTGTTTCTGTGGAGATGGTAGCTCTCAGACAAATTGTTGGTTGCTCGTTTGTACATACTCCCCACTCCCATCCTGCCCTGGGTACTCTAACATTTTTTCACTTTGTGTTTAGTTTCAGCAGTTTTAAGATAACGTGCCTAGGTCGGGCGCGGTGGCTCACGCCTGTAATCCCAGCACTTTGGGAGGCCAAGGCTGGTGGATCATGAGGTCAGGAGATCGAGACCATCCTGGCCAACATGGTGAAACCCCGTCTCTACTAAAAAAAAAAAAAAAATACAAAAAATTAGCTGGGTGTGGTGGCAGGCGCCTGTAGTCCCAGCTACTTGGGAGGCTAAGGCAGGAGAATGGTGTGAATCTGGGAGTCGGAGCTTGCAGTGAGCTGAGATTGTGCCACTGCACTCCAGCCTGGGTGACAGAGCGAGACTCTGTCTCAAAAAAAAAAAAAAAAAAAAAGATAATGTGTCTAAAAGTCACTATCAATTTATTTATCTCATTGGGGTTGATAGGAATTTATCTGTGGCTTGTTGCCTTTTGACGGTTTTGGAACGCCTTTAGTCATTATCTTTTAAAATACTGCTTTTGTCCCATTCTTTCTTTTTCCTTCTGCTATTCCGTTACACATTAGACCTTCCTCACTGTATTTCCTATTTATCGTCTCTTCTCTTCTAAATTTTCCACTCATTTTTATCTTCATGTTTCATTCGGGATATTTTCTTCTGATCTATTTTAAATTACTAGCTCTCTCTTTAGCTGTTTCTAATCTGCTGTGGTTGTATCCACCGAGTTCTTAATTTTGATTGCTAGAGTTTATAGTTTTCATTTGGTCTTTTTTATTGTTGTTTCCAGTTCTCTTCTAAAATTCTCAATTTTGTCTCATCTCTTTTAACAAATTAAGCATTTAAAATATATTTCTAAAAACTCCATTGTCTAGTCTACCTACTGTCTACAGTTGATTTTCTTTTTTCCTTAGGGTTATTGTGTCTCCTATTGTGTCTTGAATTTAAATTGAGTTTTAGATACTATATATAAAAATTTATAGAAATAATTTGAGGCCTATAAAAATGCTATATTCCTCCAAAGAGGACTTAAAGTTTGCCAACTTCTCCCAACCCTTGGTGGGTCTCTGGACTCTAATTTTGGCCTCCAACCCACTTAAGCCTTTCAAGAATGCCACTTAGCTTCTCAGCTAGCTTTTCTGGAACTTGCAGAAGTCCCCAAGGAAAAAGCAACCCTGAACATCAGGTTCCCCCTTACTTCTTTCCTTCTTTTCCCAGATCCTATAATTCCTTAATGCCTTGTTGTTTGTTTTCTTTCTTTTTTTTTTTTTTTGAGACAGAGTCTCGCTCTGTTGCCCAGGCTAGAGTACAGTGGCACAATCTTGGCTCACTGCAATGTCTGCTTCGTGGGTTCAAGCGACTCTCCTGCCTCAGCCTCCCAAGTAGCTGGGATTACAGGTGCACACCTATCACACCCAGCTAATTTTTTTTATTTTCAGTAGAGACAGGGTTTTGCCATGTTGGCCAGGCTTGTCTTGAACTCGTGACCTCAAGTGATCCACTCGCCTTGGCCTCCCAAAGTGCTGGGATTACAGGTATGAGCCACTGTGCCAGGCCTTCTTAATGCCTTGTTAATGCTCCAGTGTTCTTCAAGCAGGTTATTTTAATATTTTATTCCAGAGGAAACAGTTATTTACAGCAGGAAGGTTAATCCAAATTACCTAGTCTACTCTTACCAAAAGCAGAAAAAAACCTTAACTTTCCCCAAATAGTACATTCAAATTCTTTAGAGAAGTGCTTCTTTCTCTCCATTTAACTTGAGTAAATGCCACGTTTGAGTTCTGTCACTGAGATGAAGAAGGGGAACAAGGAGAAAGACCTTGAATTAATTGCCTTTTAAAATACTAATCTCACTTCTGCACTTCATCATATTTGCCAACTCTGGATCTAGGGCCTCTTGTAGCTATGGTTTCTGTTTCATTTAAAAACATGCCAGAAAAAATTTCGAAATCTCATAGACATTGTTAAGCAGACTGCTTCATTTTTTCTGTTTACTTCTTTTTGTACCTCATATTCTATGTGCAATTATAAAGGATATGAAAAAAATTTGTTCAGCCTACCATCTTTAAATTAACTTTCATTAAATCTTTCATTTTACTTTCTAAAATTTATCCTACAGATAGACACAAACAAATGCACAAAAATATTAGCATTATATTAATAAAATGCTGGAAATAAATATGTTAACAGGAAGTTGTTTAAATTATGGTACAATACAATCATTTTAAAAGATAAGCCAATATATCATAATTTAATTCCATTTTGCATGAAAATAATTTTTAGTATATGCACAGAAAAAGAAATCCATATGGTAAACATATAAATAAACATATTTATAACATATGCTAACTTAATACTATTTATGGAGAAGGCATTATAAAGAACTACAGTTTGACTCATTAAATCATTTCATAATATTTGAATTTTTATAGGGAAACTATTTTTACATAAATAAAACAAATAATAAAACATATCAAGCCAACTAGATTACTTCTACAGAGTTCTCATATGCTAAGAAGCCAAGCCAACATCAAAACGGTCTCTGGGAATACAAATTCGTTTTACACTGAAGCCTACATCTCCTTGGTTTGCGAAACAACCCAAAATAGGTCTCTATTTGAAAGCAGATAAGATTAACTGGGCAAAGGCAAGCCCAGTGCTTTAAAGCATGGAACTTAGAAGAAAACAGTCCTAACTAGTGATATTAAAGGGAAATAATTCATTTATACATAAAGATAGAAGAGATGATAAGGTGACCAGAGAAAAACAGAAGTGGGGTGGAAGAGCACTGAAAAGGCATCGAATATAAAGGGCAGAAGTAGAACTGATGGAAACCAAGAATTAGAGTCCAGTAGGAAAGAAGCACGCACATACATTTCTATGTTTAAGATATGTAATGGCAATATGCTATAGCTAATCCTTTTCATTTTCGGATGGCTTGTGTATCTGATAATACTAATTTCATGTTATGCTTAAATGAGTTAAACTGGGAAATAAACCCAAGTTTTAATACCTGTACTGCTAAAGAGAGCAGTATGATCTTACGCTGAAATCACCTGACATTTTTGGTCTTAAAAATTCAGTAATTTTTGGATAAAAAAAATTCTATAATCCTAAAAGAGGATTGTTCTTTATTCACTTAGGTATCTACTTTTGCAGCTGTAGATACCTAACTGTATCCACACCTATACCCTTATAACATTTCATTCCAGAGATTCCCAGTGCCACTATTCCCATTCCTGCACTTACAACAGACACTGATCATCAGTCACAGCACTTTGCCCCTTGAGCACAGTCAGAGCCCTCCCTTTCAGACTTCTATACAGTCATTTTCAATAAACTGGAGATAGTACATGAGATAAAACCTATTTGCCATCCTACATATCCTTAAGCAAGATGTGAATTTCATTACAATTCAAAGACTTTCTTAGTGAATAGTGCCTACATAAACAGCTTTTTAAAAAACTCTGGGCCGGGTGCTGTGGCTGGCTGGGTGCTGTGGCTCACACCTGTAATCCCGAGGTGGGTGGATCACCTGAGGTCAGGAGTTCCAGAGCAGCCTGGCCAACATGGCGAAACCCCGTCTCTACTAAAAATACAAAAATTAGCTGGTCGTGGTGGTGTGCGCCTGTAATCCTAGCTACTTGAGAGGCTGAGGCAGGCGAATCACTTGAACCCGGGAGGTGGAGGTTGCAGTGAGCCGAGATTGCACCATTGCACTCCAGCCTGGGCGACGAGCAAAATTCCATCTCAGAAAAAAAAAAAAAAAGACTTCTGGTAATTATCTTATGAATAAAATTGGCTCTCATTTTTTGAACTCATTAGATAATAAATTAGGATATAAACGTTGTCAAGATAACCTAAAGATGACAACATAGATATTTCCTGACTTACTTATTCTGAAACATTTTTTATAACCTGCCATTACAACTTCCTTGGTCACAGGTATCTGAGCAATTCTAGACTCATGCAAACTGCTGAAAGAACCTAATATATCCATTAATCCTATTCAACTGTACAGTCAATGGCATAATGAGGTCTGGGGCAATGCACTGCCAATTTACTTAGCATATGTTCTGTATAACAAGAGATAGTGATAGCAATGAAGATTTACTGTTGTATGTATGTATGTATTCCTGTATTCATTCATTTACTGAGACAGGGTCTCGCTATCACCCAGGCTAGACTGTAGTGGTAGAATCATAGCTCACTGCAGTCTCTGACTCTAGACTCAAGCAATCCTTTTGCTTCAGCCTCCCAAGAAGGTGGACTACAGGTGTGGACCTCATGCAAATGAGGATTTAAAAATAATATTTATCTGAAGGTTTCCTTCCATAGATATTTTTAAATCATTAGATATAGATGGTCTCACTATTTTAAAATTAGACAAGCAAATGAAGAAAAAAAAAGAGAAATTCTTACCAATTTTTCTGCTTCTGTGTTCATTTCCCTTAATTTCTTGATATGTTCCTTTTTAATCATGAGAATTTTTGATAATCTGGTCTACAGACAAAGAAGAAATATTTTAGAATAAACAGAGGCATTTAGGTATATTGGTTAGACATTAAATTTCCAATATTTTAGTAAGATACTTCAGCAATAGATTTTAGTGTTTCAACATATATATATAGCATAGCATTGTTTTGGTTTTTTTTTCTGAGACAGAGTCTCCCTCTGTCACCCAGGCTGGAGTGCAGTGGCACAGTCTTGGCTCACTGCAACCTCTGCCTCCCAGTTCAAGCAATTCTCAACTCAGCCTCCCGAGTAGCAGGGATTACAGGCACACGCAACCATGCCTGACTAATTTTTGTAATTTTTTTTTTTTTTTGGAGACGGAGTCTTGCTCTGCTGCCCAGGCTGGAGTGCAATGGCGTGATCTTGGCTCACGGCAACCTCCGCCTCCCAGGCTCAAGCAATTCTCCTGCCTCAGCCTCCCGAGTAGCTGGGATTACAGGCACCCGCCACCATGCCCAACTAATTTTTGTATCTTTAGTAGAGATGGGGTTTTGCCATGTTGGCCAGGCTGGTCTTGAACTCCTGACCTCAGATGATCCACTCACCTTGGCCTCCCAAAGTGCTGGGATTACAGGCATGAGCCAGGGCACCCAACCATTTTTGTATTTTTAGTAGAGACAGGGTTTCACCATGCTGGCCAGACTGGTCTCGAACTCCTGACCTCAAGTGATCTGCCCATCTTGGCCTCCCAAACTGCTGGGATTACAGACATGAGTCACCACACTCAGCGTCATAGCACTGTATTTTATATATCTGATTAAACCGACAAGCAAATATTATTTTAAAAATCCATTGTAACTAGGACATGTCAAAAGGACTAAGGAGTCAATCTGAACAAGCTTTCACTGGTCCAAAATAGGGCAATTTGCAGACCAGTAAGAACAATAACTGAAATGAACTAAAGCCAAATGTTAAAATCCATGAGTTACAATGATACTTAGGAAGAAGAAATAACACAGTGAGAGCAAGTCTGAAATCTTATTGAATGAATGGATCTAAGCATTGATAATCAATGGCAGCTAACATTAAAAAATAATTAGGTCAGAGATGCAGTGGCTCACACCTGTAATCCCAGTACTTTGGGAGGCCAAGGCGGGAAGATCACTTAAGCCCAAGAGTTTGTGACCACCCTCAGCTTCCCAAGTAGCTGGGATCGTGAGTCTAGGAGTTTGAGACCTCATCTCCACAAAAAATAAACAAAATTAGCTGGGTTTGGTGGCTTGCATCTGTAGTCCCAGTTACTCAGGAGGCTGAGGTGGGAGAACTTTGAGCCTGGGAGGTGGAGGATGCAGTGAACTGAAATCATGCCACCGCACTCCAGCCTGGGCAACAGAGCAAGACCCCATCTCAAAATAAATAAATAAATAAATAAATAAATAAATAAATAAATGAATGAATGAATGAATGTCTCCTATCAAAAGAACACAAAACCACCTGTAAAAGTAGTCACATAAAAACAATCAGCCAACCAAAAAACCTAAATCCGTCAAACCTCTAGAAATAATTTTCAATTTACGTTAAGATACAAAGAACATGTTAAATAATCCCACAAGGATTTAGTCAAAAAATCGAGACTGTGGGAGACTGTATGGATAAATAATCCAGTTTCTTCAATAAGTTGCATGGAGAAAAAAGGCACTCAACATTTAAAAAACAACTGAAAAATCTGAATACCAACTGAATATTTGATATTGACATTTAAATTTTTATAGATGTAATGATGGTATTGTAGTTACGTTGCTTAAAAAAAAGAAATCCAGGCCAGGTGTGGTAGCTCACGCCTATAATCCCAGCACTTTGGGAGGCGGGTGGATCACCTGAGGTCAGGAGTTTGAGACCAACCTGGCCAACATAGTAAAACCCCGTCTCTACTAAAAATACAAAAATTAGCAGTGCGTGGTGGTGGACACCTGTAGTTCCAGCTACTCGGCAGGCTGAGGCAGGAGAATCGCTTGAACCCGGGAGGCAGAGGCTGCAGTGAGCAAAGTGGCGCCACTGAACTCCAGCCTGGGGGACAAGAGCGAAACACCCTCTCAAAAAAGAAATCCCAGCTGGGCACAGTGGCTCACACCTATAATCCCAGGACTTTGGGAGGCAGAGGTGGGAGGATCACTTGAGTCCAGGAGTTTGAGACCAGCCTGGGCAACACAGCAAGACCCCATCTCTATGAAAAAGTAAAAAATTAGCCAAGTGTGGTGGCGCCCACCTGTAGTCCCAGCTACTCAGGAGGCTGAGGCGGGAGGATTGCTTGAGCCCAGGGGTTTGAGGCTGTAGTGATCTGTGATCATGCCACTGCACTCAGCCTGGGTGACAAAGTGACTGAAACCCTGTCTCAAAAAAAAAAAAAAAAGAGAAAGAAAGAAAGAAAAAAATGTATCTCTCTTTTTTTTGGAGATGGAATCTTGCTCTGTCGCCCAGGCTAGAACGCAACTGCATGATCTTGGCTTCACCTCCCAGGTTCAAGGAATCCTCATGCCTCAGGCTCCCGAGTAGCTGGGACTACAGGCTCGCACCACCACGCCTGGATAATTTTTGTATTTTTAGTAGAGATGAGGTTTTACCATGTTGGCCAGGCTGGTCTTGAACTTCCTGACCTCAGGTGATCCATTAGCCTCAGCCTCCCAAAGTGCTGGGATTACATACAGGCATAAGCCATCATGCCTGGCCAAAAAAAGGGTTATCTCTTAGAAATAAATAAAAAGGGCCGGGTACGGTGGCTCACGCCTGTAATCCCAGCACTTTGGGAGGCCAAGGTGGGTGGATCACCTGAGGTCAGGAGTTTGAGACCAACCTGGCCAACATGGTAAAACCCCATCTCTACTAAAAATACAAAATTTAGCCGGCATGATGGCAGGCACCTGTAATCCTGGCTACTCAGAAGGCTGAGGCAGGAGAATCACATGAACCCAGGAAGCAGAGTCTGCAATGAGCTAAGATCACACCACTGCACTCCAGCCTGGGCAACAGAGTAAGATTCTGTTTCAAAAAAGAAAAAAAAGAAAGAAAGAAATAATAAGGCCGGGTGTGGTAGCTTATAGCTACCCAGGCTGAGTGCAGTAGCGTGATCATGGCTCACTGCAGCCTCAACCTCCTGGGCTCAAGTGATCTTCCCACCTCAGACTCCTGAGTAGTAGGGACTACAGGGGCGTATCACCACACCTGGCTAATTTTTGTATTTTTTTGTACAGATGGGGTCTCACTATGTTGCCCAGGCTTGTCTTCAACTCCTAGACTCAATCCTTGTCTATGTTGCCCAGGCTTGTCTTGAACTCCTAGACTTCCAATCCTCCCAGCTTGGCCACCTAAAGTGCTGGGATTGTAGGTGTGAACCACTGTGCCTGGCGGCAAAACATTTTTAATGTTTATTTTGTCATAAGAAAAAATACATTTGGAACAGCAAAAAAATCAAAATATCAACTTCACTTAAGAGCAAAACTGAGAGTTTTATAAAACCTCACATACTATAAAAGGTAGGGACATAAAATAACTTTTATTTTTACCTCTTAAGTATCTTAAAATAATAGTGGAAGTAGTATTTTAACTAGGCTTTACATATAGATTATAAATTTTAAATTAAGTACTAAAATCAAATACATAGACTTTCAGTTTACAGTCTGGGATATAAGAAGCTGGGAAGGTGCTACTCCATCCTAACACCAGGTAAAAAGCTGACATACTTAAAAAAATCAATGACACTTGGCCAGGCGCGGTGGCTCACGCCTGTAATCCCAGCACTTTGGGAGGACGAGACGGGCGGATCACGAGGTCAGGAGATCGAGACCATCCTGGCTAACACGGTGAAACCCCATCTCTACTAAAAATACAAAAAATTAGCCGGGCGTAGTGGAGGGTGACTGTAGTCCCAGCTACTCGGGAGGCTGAGGCAGAAGAATGGCGTGAACCCGGAAGGCGGAGCTTGCAGTGAGCTGAGATCGTGCCACTACACTCTTGCCTGGGCGACAGAGCGAGACTCTGTCTCAAAAAAAAAAAAAAAAAAAAAAGTCAACGACACTTCTTAGATCTCTAAGAAAATTGAGGGCCAAGGCAAACTGTTCACAAAATTGGAAAGAATGAAAGGCAAGTATGTAGAATCACAATTTACTGGAGCAGAAACCCATGAGCAAAAACCTCTAGGAACCAGTGCTTGGGTAGGGAAAACTGAACTGTAATATATGTGGTAGGTGCATTAAGCATTTACTCTACGGGACCCAGTTAGGAGGCTTTTTTGAAAAGCATACTTTGTGAGTTTTACTTCCAGGGGCTTAATCTGGTTCTTAGTGAATACTGCAGAAATACTCCCTCTTGCTTCCTGCAAGGGGAAGGAAAACTAACGATTTTGAATTAAGATGGAGCATTCTGTTCTTAGCAAGGCCTGCCCTCAGGAAAAACTATTTAACCAGAAGCTAACATGCTAGGGTTTTATCAGAGGCTTACTGACCTGGGGGAAGAGAAAAACCCAACCCCAGCCCACTCTAGCCACCCCGTACCACATAAGAGGAGGAAAAACTGAGGTGCATTTGTGAAGTTCATAGTCCAGAGGCTCAGGCTGACACAGTTCCTTTTACATAGTACATCATGTTTGGCAATTAAGAAAAAATTACAAGGTACGCCAGGAGGCAAAAAAAAACATAGTTTGAAGAGACAAAGCAAGCATAAAAACCAGCCTTAGATATGGCAGGGATGTTGAAATTTGAAAGAACTATGAGTAATAAGCTAAGGCCTCTAATGGATAAAATAGCATGCAAGA
This sequence comes from Homo sapiens, assembly GCF_000001405.40. NCBI lineage: Eukaryota > Metazoa > Chordata > Mammalia > Primates > Hominidae > Homo > Homo sapiens. The sequence goes on from NC_000001.11 coordinate 226,255,679, forward strand.
ACAGATGGGCAATGCAAGCAAAGAGATGAAAATTTCTCGAGCTTGAGGATATATTATTTATTTTTCTTTTTTTTCTTCCACAACAGTTATCTCAGAAGAGGATATATTAATAGGAACTTCCAAAACTAAAAAACAAAGAGAACAAAGACTGAAAAAATCAGCACAGAATGTCCAAGGATTGTGGGACAACTACAAAAGGTATAACTTATGCATTAATGGAAATACAAGGAGAGGAAAGAGAGAAAAAAAGGAAGAACTATCTGAAATATAATGAATGAGAATTTCCCCAATTTAATGTCAAATACCAAAGCAAAGATCTAAGAATCTCAGAGAATACCAAGCAGAAGAAACACCACAAAAACCTCTAGATTTACACATATCATATTCAAACTACAGAAAATCCAAGATAAAGAAAAATTCTGGTCCAGCTATGGTGGCTCACACCTCTAATCCCAGCACTTTGGGAGGCTAAGGCGGGCAGACTGCTTGAGCCTAGCAGCTCGAGACCAGCCTGGACAACATGGCAAAACCCCATCTCTACATACTAAAAAAAAGGAAAAAAAAATCCTGAAAGAAAACACTTTACCGATAGAGGAGCAAAGATAAGAACTTCATCTGACTTCTTCTTAGAAACCAGGCAAGCAAGAGGAGACTGGAGTGAAATATCTTGCGTTGAGAAAAAAAATCTGGCAATCTAAACCTCTGCACCCTATGAAATTATCATTCAAAAGTAAAACAGGACTGGGCATCATAGCTCACGCCTGTAATCTCAGCACTTTGGAAGGCCAAGAGGGAGGACTGCTTAAGCCCAGGAGTTGTGCAGCAGCCTGAGAAACACCGCCAGACCTTATCTCTACAATAATAAATAAAATAAATATATATATATATATATTTTTTTGAGACAGAGTCTCGCTCTGTCACCCAGGCTGGAGTGCAGTGGTGCGATCTTGGCTCACTGCAAGCTCCGCCTCCTGGGTTCACAACAGTCTCCTGCCTCAGCCTCCCGAGTAGCTGGGACTACAGGCGCCCACCACCATGCCCAGCTAATTTTTTGTATTTTTAGTAGAGACAGGGTTTCACCATGTTAGTCAGGATGGTCTGGATCTCCTGACCTCGTGATCTGCCCACCTGGCCTCCCAAAGTGCTGGGATTACAGGCATGAGCCACCGCACCCGGCCAATAAAATAAAATTTTTTTTAAGTGAAAGAAAAATACTTTCTCAGAGAAAAAAACTTGAGAAAATCTGTCGCCAGTAGGACTGCCTTGTAAGAAATGATTTTTTTCTTTTTTTCTGAGACGGAATCTTGCTCTGTTGCCCAGGCTGGAGTGCAATGGAGCGATTTTGGCTCCCTGCAGCCTCCACCTCCCAGGTCCAAGCGATTCTCGTGCCTCAGCCTCCCAAGTAGCTGGGACTATAAATGCCACCAGGCCCGGCTAATTTTTGTATTTTTAGTAGAGACGGGGTTTCACCATGTTGGCCAGGCTGGTCTCGAACTCCTGACCTCAAGTGATCTACCCACCTCAGCCTCCCAAAGTGCTAGGATCACAGGCGTGAGCCACCACACCTGGCCAGAAATGTTAAATGATGTTCTTTAAAGAAAAAGAAAATTTTATATGTCAGAAACTCAGATATAAATAAAGGAAATGTATCAAAGAAAGAATACGTTGAAGGTAAAATACAAACTTTTATTTTCCTTATTCCTAATTGTTCCAACAGATAACAGTTTGTTCAAAATAATAACAGCAACAGCATATTTGATTATATATGATTATGTGTATATATGCTTATGCATGCTTAGGTATAAATAAAATAATGAGAGCAATGATACAAAGGAAAGGAGGGATGAATTAGGATTATTTTGTTATTATCAGGTACTAGCACTACCCATGAAGCTGTACAGTGTTATTTGAAAGTGGATATGGATTAGTTGTAAAAGTATATAATGTAAACTCTAGGGCAACCATTAAAGAAAGCTAAAAGAAAAAAAAGTATAACCTATATGCTAAGAAAGCAGAGAAAAATGGAATTATATAAAGTAAACCATAAAACACAAAAAAAGAGTGGAATATAAAAATAGAAATAAAGAATATGAGCAACAAATAGAACATAGTAATAAACACGGTAGATATTTATTACTATATGATAATCCAACTACATCAACAACCACTTTGAAATCTACTTTAAACATAAAGACACAGATAGATTAAAAGTAAATGGATGAAGGCCAGGTGTGGTGGCTCATGCCTATAATCCCAGTACTTTGGGAGGCCGAGGTGGGTCCCATCGCTTGAGCCAAGGAGTTCAAGACCAGCCTGGGGTACACTGACACCCCATGTCTATACAAAAAATACAAAAATTAGCAGGTGTGGTGTCTTGTGCCTGTAGTCCCAGCTACTTGGGAGGCTGAGGTGGGAGGATTGCTTAAGTCCAGGAGGTTGAGGCTGTAGTGAGCCACCGCACTCCAGCCTAGGCTACAGAGGGAGACCCTGTTCTCAAAAACAAACAAACAAACAAACAAACAAACAAACAAACAAAACAGGGCTAGTCTCAGTGGCTGACACTTGTAATTCCAGCACTTTGGGAGGCTGAGGCAGGCAGATTTCTTGTGGTCAGGAGTTCCAGACCAGCCTGGCCAACATGGTGAAAACCTGTCTCTACTAAAAATACTAATATTAGCCAGATGTGGTGGAGGACGCATGTAATCCTAGCTACTTGGGAGGCTGAGGCATGAGAATCATTTGAACCCAGGAGGCAGAGGCTGCCTGGGTGACAGAGCAAGACTTTGTCTCAAAAAAAAAAAAAAAAAGTAAATGGATAAAGAATATGCCATGCTAACACTAATCAAAAGAAAGCAGGAGCAGTTATATCAATTTCAGACAAAGCTGACTCCAGAGCAAGAAAAGGTGTCAGGAATAAAAAGGGGCATTATGGCTGGGTGTGGTGGCTCACACCTGTAATCCCAGCACTTTGGGAGGCTGATGCGAGCGGATCACAAGGTCAGGAGATCGAGACTGTCCTGGCTAACACGGTGAAACCCCGTCTCTACTAAAAATACAAAAAAATTAGCCGGGCATGGTGGCGGGCACCTGTAGTCCCAGCTACTCAGGAGACTGAGGCAGGAGAATGGCATGAACCTGGGATGTGGAGCTTGCAGTGAGCCGAGATCACGCCACTGCACTCCAGCCAAGGGTGACAGAGCAAGACTCTGTCTCAACAAAAAAAAAAAAAAAAAAAAAAAAAAAAAAGGCATTACATAATGAGAAAGGGGTCAATGTTCCAAGAAGACATAATAATTTTTTTTTTTTTTTTGAGACAGAGTCTTGCTCTGTCACCCAGGCCAGAGGGCAGTGTTGCAATGTCAGCTCACGCCTCCTGGGTTCAAGCAATTCTCCTGTCTCAGCCTCCCAAGTAGCTGGGATTACAGGTGTCTGCCACCACACCTAGCTAATTTTGTATTTTTAGTAGAGACGGGGTTTCACCACATTGGCCAGGCTGGTCTCGAATTCCTGACCTCAAGTGATCTGCCCGCCTAAGCTTCCCAAAGGGCTGGGATTACAGGGGTGAGCCACCACACCCGGCCAACAATACTTAATATTTATATGCCTAATAACAGAACATCAAAACATGAGGCAAAATGATTAACTATTGACAAATAGATCAATCCACCATTATAGTTGGAGATTTTGATACCCCTCTATCAGAAATGAACAGATTCAATGGGCAGAAAATCAGCAAGGACATAAACTCAACAATACCATCAATTAACTGGATATAATTGGTATCTATAGACTACTTCATCCAACAACCATAGAATATACTTTCTACTCAAGGTCGTGCGGAAAATTCATGAAGAGCTCATTCTGGGCCACAAAACATACCTTAACAAAATTAAAACAATAGAAATCATACAATGTATGCTCTTACACCACAATGAACTTCTACTAGAAATCAATAACAAAGAAAGCTGTAAAATCCGAAGATATGTCTAAATAATACGAGTCAAAAAAGCAATCTAAAAGAAGAAATGAAAAAATATTCTGAACTAGATAAAAATAAAAAGACAACTTGTCAAAATTTGTGTGATGCAGCCAAAGCAGTGCTTAGTGGGAAACTTGTAGTATCGAATGCATATATTAGTAAAGAAGACTTAAAATCAGTAATTTAAGCTTCCACCTTAGGAAACTAAAAAAAAAAAATAGGAAATTAAATACAAAGTAATCAGAATAATATAAACTAGAGCAGAAATCAATAAAATTGAAAACAGAAAATAGAAAAAAATCAACAAAACCAAAAGCTGGTTGTTTAAAAAGATCAATGATACTGATAAGCCTCTAGCTAGGCTAAGAAAAAAGAGAGAGGACACAAATTATTAATTTCAGAAATGAAAAAGGGGCATCACTACAGATCCTATGGACTTTAAAAAGATAAACTCCTTGAAATTTCTAAATTTGCACAAGAAAAAAATGGAAGGCTCTGAATAGGCTTATATCTACTAAATAAATTGAGTCAATAATTAACCTTCCAAAACAGATAGCACCAGGCCCAGATGGGTTCACTAAGGAATTCTACTAAACATTTGAGGAAGAAATTATACCCAACCTCTGTTATGTTTTAGAGGATAGAAGCAGAGGAAATACTTCCTAACTCTTCTCCAAGGTTAGCATTACCTTAATACCAAAATCTGACAAAGACACAGTGAAAGAAAACTATAAGCCAGGCACAATGGAATGTACTCATAGTCCTAGCTACTGGGAGGCTGAAGTGGGAGGATCACTTGAACCCAGGAGTCTGCGCCTAGCCTGGGCAACATAGATCCCCTGTCCAAACATGAAAAGAAAAAAACTATAGATCAGTATCTTTCATAAACACAGATGCAAAAATCCTCAATAAAATATTAGCAAATTGAATCCAATGATGTATAAAAGAATTTAAGATCACGGCCAAATGAGTTTTTTTTTTTTTTTTTTTTTTTTTTTTTTTTTTGAGACAGTGTCTTGCTCTGTCACCCAGGCCGGAGTGCAGTGGCACGAACTCGGCTCACTGCAAGCTCCGCCTCCCAGGTTCACGCCAGTCTCCTGTCTCAGCCTCCCGAGTAACTGGGACTACAGGCACTGGCCACCACGCCTGGCTAATTTTTTTGTATTTTTAGTAGAGACGGGGTTTCACCATGTTAGCCAGGATGGTCTCGATCTCCTGACCTCGTGATCTGCCTGCCTCGGCCTCCCAAAGTGCTGGGATTACAGGCGTGAGCCACCGCACCCGGCCCCAAGTGAGATTTACCTGAAGTATGCAAGGCTGATTCAATGTTTGAAAATTAATTAATATAATCCATCACATCAGTAGGCTAAAGAAGAAAAATATGATCAGATTGATAGAGGCAAAGTATTTGACAAAATTCAACACTCATTCATGATAAAAACTCTCAGTAAGCTAGGAATAGACAACGTCCTCAACCTGATAAAAAAAAAAAAAATCTACAAAAAAACCTCATGTCTAATATCATACTTAATGGTGAGAAACTAGAAGTTTTCCCACTAAGATCAGGAAGAAGGCAACAATGTCCTCTCTTATCACTCTTTTCAACATCATACTGGAAGTCCTAGCTAATGCAATAAGATAAGAAAGAGAAATTAAAGGTAGAATTGGGAAGGAAAAAAACAACTATCTGTTTTAGGCGGGTGACATGACTGTCTACGTAGACAATCTGAAAGAAATGAGAAAAAAAAAAAATCCCTGGAACTAATAAGTGACTACAGCAAAGTTGCAGGATACAAAGTTAACATACAAAAGTCAATTGCTTTGTCAAACAATAAACAATTATGATGTGAAATTAAAAACACAGTATCATTTACCTTAACACCCCCCAAAATGAAATACTTAAGTATAAATCCAACAAATATGTACAAGACCTATGTGAGCAAAACTCTGATGAAAGAAATCAAAGAACTAAATAAATAAGAGATATTTCATGTTCATGGATAAGAAGACACAACACTGTCAAGATACCAGTTCTTCTCAACTTGATCTATAAATTCAATTCAATACAAGTCAAAATCCCAGCGAGTTGTTTTATGGATATTGACAAAATGATTCTAAAGTCTATATTGAAAGGCAAAAGACCTACTATAGCCAACACAATATTGAAGTAGAAGAACAAAGTTGAAGGACTGACACTATTCAACTTCAAAACATACTATAAACCTACAGTAATCAAGACAGTGTGGTAGTGGCAAAGAATAAAATAAAATAGATCAATGGAACAGAATAGAGAGCCCAGAAATAAATCCACATAGTCAATTATCTTCAACAAATGGGCAAAGGCAGTTGCGCAACAAATGGGCAACAGTGGAGAAAAGTCAAGTCTTCAACAAATGGTGCTGCAACAACTGGACATCCACAAACAAACAACAAAAAAATGAATCTAGACAAAAACCTTACACCTTTCACAAAGGGAATCACAAACATAGATGTAAAATCCAAAACTATAAAACTCCTAGAAAGTAACACAGGAAAAAAAATCTAGATGACTTTGGTTTTGTGACAACCAACTTTAGATATGACATCAAGGGCATGATCCATGTAAGAATGAAATGATGAGCTGAACTTCATTAAAATTAAAAACTTCTGTTTGGTTAAAGACATTGTAAAGAGAATGAAAAGACAAGCCACAGACTGGGAGAAAATATTTGTAAAATATACATCCGATAAGGAACTGCTTTCCAAAATATACAAAGAACTCTTAAAACCCAACAATAAGAAAACAAACAATTGGATTAAAAAATGAGCCAAAGACCTTAACAGACACCTCACCAAAGAAGATATACAGATGGCAGATAAGCATATGAAAAGATGGTCAATGAGGAAATGTATATGTCATCAGGGAAATGCAAATTTAAATAATAAGATACCACAACAAACCTATTAGAATGGCCAAAATCCAGAACACTGACAACACCAAATGCTAACGAGGATGTGGAGCAACAGGAAATCCCATTCACTGCTGCTGGGAATGCAAAATGGTACAGCCACTTTAGAACACAGCTTGTCAGTTTCTTATATAACTAAGCATACTCTTACCATATGAACCAGCAATTACACTCCTTGGTATTTACCCAAAGGAGCTGAAAACTTACGGCCACACAAAAACCTGCACACAGATGTTTATGGCACCTTTATTCATAATTGCCAAAATTTGAAAGCAACCAAGATGTCTTTCAGTTTGTCAATGAGTAAATAAACTGTGGTACATCCCGACAATGTAATATTACTCAATGCTAAAAAGAAATGAGCTATCAAGCCACGAATAGACATGAAAGAAACTTAAATGTATACTAGTAAGTGAAAGAAACCAATATAAAAAGGCTATATACTGTATGACTTCAAATATATGACAGTCTGCAAAAGATAAAACTATGGAAACAGTAAAAAGATCAGTGATTTCCAGGGGCTCAGGGGAAGAGATAAAAAGGTGAAACACAGAAGATTTTTAGGGCAGCAAAACTACTCTATATGATACATAATGGTGGATACATGATATTATACATTTGTCAAAACTCTTAAAATGTTCCACATCTTTAAATACATTAATGTGAACTATGGTCTTTAGGTGAAATGATGTGTTAATGAAAGTTCACTGACTGTAACAAATGTACCATCTGCTGGGAGATAATAGGGGGAGACTACACATGTGTGGGGTCAGGAAGTATATGGGAAATATCTGTATCTTCTTCTCAATTTTGCTATGAACCTAAAATTGGTCTAAAAAAATAAAGTGTATTGAATTAAAAATCAAATATAACAAGGATCGATAAAAATATCACATAGTGATATTTAGACATAGTGTAGTAGTACTTAGCTTCTGGCTCCCTTTGCTTATTGATCTCTCTCAAACTCTCTCACACACACAACACCTGTTCAAATATAACATATTAGCTTTGTTTTTACTTCTACTATTTAAAAGAAAAAATTAAAAACAAGTGTCTTCTTTGTGAAAAGAATAAGTCTTTGCTCTTATCACATTTTCAATCTTTCATATAAAATATCCATCTGCCTTGAGAAGCCAAAGGTATAAGAAATTTTATATTGCAAGGATAACTAACAATATATCATTGGCTGGGCATGGTGACTCAAGCCTGTAATCTTAGCACTTTGGAAAGCCAAGGTGGGAGGAACATTTGAGCCCAGGAGTTCAAGACCAGCCTAGGTAACATAGTGAGACTCCATCTCTACAAAACCAATAAAAAATATATTAGCTGGGAGTGGTGGTACATGCCTGCAGTCTCAGCTACTTGGGAGGCTGAGGTGGGAGGACTGCCTGAGACTGGAGGTTAAGGCTGCAGTGAGCCATAATGGCACCCCTGTACTCCAGCCTGGACAACAGAGCAAGACTTTGTCTCAAACAAACAAATAAATAAATAAATAGGCCAGGTGCAGTCGCTCATGCCTGCAATTCCAGCACTTTGGGAGGCCGAGGGCGATCATGTGAGGTCAGGAGTTTGAGACCAGCCTGGCCAACATGGTGAAACCCCGTCTCTACTAAAAATACAAAAAATTAGCTGGGTGTGGTGGCGTGCGCCTGTAATCCCAGCAACTTGGGAGGCTGAGGTGATTCCACTGGAACCCGGGAGGTAGAGGCTACAGTGAGCTGAGATCGTGCCACTGCACTCCAGCCTGGGAGACAGAGTGAGACTCTGTCTCAAATAAAATAAATAAACAAATAAATAAATAAATATTAAATAAAAAAATGTGATTGAGGAACACAGAATGCTATATACAGACACACAACTGACAAGACCTTTCCTCAAAATAACATCAACTGCAAAAGAACACTGTGAATATTTTCATGGATTATGTTATAAACATTTTTATTTATAAAGATCATATCAGCCAGGTGCAGTAGCTCACACCTCTAATCCCAGCACTTTGGGAGGCCAAGGTGGGGGGATCACTTGAAGTTAGGAACTGGAGACCAGCCTGGCCAGCACAGTGAAACCCCATCTCTATTAAAATTACAAAAAAAATTAGCCGGGCATAGTGGTGCATGCCTGTAATCCCAGCTACTCAGGAGGCTGAAGCAGGAGAAAAGCTTGAATCCAGGAGGTAGAGGTTGCAGTGAGCCCAGACTGACCCACTGCACTCCAGCCTGGGCAACAGAGCAAGACTCAGTCTCAAAATGAATAAATAAATAAACAAATGAAAATAAAGATCATTTCTATCCCAAGCCAAAGTAGTTTTCATTTTCCAAAAAGGAAATGAAACATTATTAGACTATGATTCAAACTAAAAAATTTATTTAATCTAATTTTCAAACTCACTACATTTTTAAGAGTCCAGCTATAAGGAAATTTTCCAATATAATACTTCTACACTTAGTTCAGTTTAGGCTTAGATTTCTTAGTGTCTAATCACTAAGTACTTAGCAGGTGAATACCTGTTTCTAGTCTCTGAAAAGAAATAAAATTTCTTCTAACCATATAAGCTAGCCAGGACATCATAACTGTTGAACTGACTGATGATGGCAGAATATGCTGAGGTTACTAAATAAAAGCCTTCATAGTTACCCAAGTTATTAACAGCCAAACATTCAGAATTTCACAGAACATATGCAAGAATGTTTGAGCCCTTAAAATAGCAGAATAATAAGAACTCAGACACAAGACAAAGCTCAAGAAGAAAGATCTTTAAGTCTTTTTTGGTTTTTATAACTTTTATTTTCAGGCTTTGTTGGAAATAGCAGCTCTTAAAACCTACACGGTGATAAACCTACACGGCCCTAGAAAAATTTTCAACTTTAATAACATAAAAGGCATTGAGTTTTTAAACAAACAGCCAAGATATTCAGAACAATTCTTACCACTTGGATAAGAAATTCTACTGGAAAACCACCTAATGTTTCAGTGTCAGAGCCAGAAATTTTACTTCTCCACGGCGACTGTCCTAATAAAGGATCATTATCCTATGGGAATAAAAAGGAATTATTTAATCATTGACTATTCAGAGGAAGTATCTTATTTTTTTATTTTTATTTTTTTTTAGACGGAGTCTCGCTCTGTTGCCACTTGTGATCTCGGCTCACTGCAATCTCTGACTCCTGGGTTCAAGCGATTCTCCTGCCTCAGCCTCCCGAGCAGCTGGGATTACAGGCGCGCGCCACCACGCCCAGCTAATTTTTGTATTTTTAGCAGAGACGGCGTTTCACCATGTTGATCAGGTTGGTCTCGAACTCCTGACCTCGTGATCCGCCTGCCTCAGCCTCCCAAAGTGCTGGGATTACAGGCGTGAGCCACTGCGCCCGGCCAGGAAGTATCTTATTTTTAGAAAAAGAGAAAATTCTGTTATAATTAATATTATATTAAAATCCAATAAAAAGGAAATTATTTCTGGAGATGAAGCAACTATTTATTTTATTTAATATTTTCAATTCAAAATAGTGTGCATACTTTGAAGTTGCTGTAATAGATGTGTATTTCTTAAGAACATAGTTCACCTTCATAAAAATCAATTAAATTATTGATATTTCTAAAATATACTTACTATAATTGGTGACTGGAGAGGAGGAGTATAATGTAACCGTGGTGGGGTCATAAAAAATCGAGAAGGCCGCTGTTTTTGTCCAAAGGCAGCAATTGGCATTGTCTCATGAGGTTCATTACTCTGAGAAAACAGAATAATTCACAAAACTTAAAGAAATTTACCAATCATTTAAGCTTTATAATCATTGTATTTCAGCTTGAGATATATATTCACGCATATTCTATGATTCATATAGAATTTATTACTTATATATTTAATTATTTATAGAGTAGCATATTAGTCTATACAGATCAAAGGCTAGAACTTGAAACAGAGTATGAAAACACTACTTTGCTGCCAAAAGGATGAACCTCCAGAAGAAAAAAAGAAATAAAAAAAAAGGGGGGGGGTCAAAATAGTTCAGAGAATCAAAGATTAATATTAAAGTTTTCTATGGCCACATTTGGTTATCTGCATTTAGACTGTCTGAATATACCCTACAATTAAAAATCAACTCTTATTTAGCCAGGGAGAAATATTTGGGTGATCTCATAAAAACAGTTAAATTAATGAAACAGAGAAGCAATTTACTTTTTTTTTTTTTTGAGACCGAGTTTTACTCTTGTTGACCAAACTGGAGTGCAATGGCGCGATCTCGGATCACTGCAGCCTCCACCTCCTGGGTTCAAGCAATTCTCCTGCCTCAGCCTCCCAAGTAGCTGGGATTACAGACATGTGCTACCCCACCCAGCTAATTTTTGTATTTTTAGTAGAGATGGGGTTTCACCATGTTGGCCAGGCTGGTCTTGAACTCCTGACATCAGGTGATCCGCCCATCTCAGCCTCCCAAAGTGCTGGGATTATAGGTGTGAGCAACCGCGCCTGGCCAATTTACTTTTTTTGAAAGGAGAGTTTAAAGCTTTCATCCTTTAATGTAAAAACTTAAGAGCAGTGTACTCTGTTCTACATTTAGTTCTAATTTTCTTTCTCTCCTATTGCGGAGAGATATCAAGCAATATTGTATTTCTGCACTAAGGAGATATATATATATATATATATATATTTCTTTTAGGAAATATATTTACAAAGACATACATATATATGTGTGTGTATATATATTATGTATATATGTATGTATGTATGTATGTATGTATATTCTAGGCAGAGGTTGCAGTGAGCCGAGATCACACCACTGCACTCCAGCCTGGGCGACAGAGCAAGACTCCGTCTCAAAAAAAAAAAAAAAAAAAGATCTCAATTCTAGTCTCAGCCTAATAGGAAACCAGATCTAGAGCCTTGAATAAATTACGCAATTGTACTTATGTCTGAGTTTCATCATGCAAAAGTGAAGGTAATTAACACCCACCTTGCATGCCTCTGAAGATAAAACAGGAGAACAAATAAGTACAAGATGTTACTATACTTTAAAAACAATTTTGCAAGAGGACTATACTTTAACCTAACAGCTGCAATGAAAATGTTATGTAGCTTCTTCTCCAAGGTTATTTAGTCAGGACTCATCAGTTTGGTTATACTAAAGTGCTGTGTCGTTAAGGTCCAACAGAGAAATGCTAGTTCCTGGCAAATGGAAGACTTAAGTATAGATCCGAACCAGGGGTCTAGCAGATAGGGCTGGGGTCCCCTAAGGATCTCTTCCTCTGTGAGATAAAGTCTTGATTCTATCATAAAATACGATTTCTAAAAAAACTCTATATAACACATTTAACAGGCATAAAACACAAATGTATTATGAAATACTACTTACGAGAACTTCATAGTCAGGGATGGTATGGGTTCCAAGCCCTGTCCTATCAAAAGTTACTCTATAAGTAGCATTAAGAGTATCCACAGCATCTATTTGTCCAGTGAACAAACCATCATGAACACCACGTAATCGTGCTGAGAAAAGAACAAAGGCATTATGATGTGTGGGAGATACAAAGAATAGTCAAATATAAAACTGTTCCAAGCATGTAATTTAAATCATAGTACAGTATTTTGTCTATTAGAGTTTCAAAACAAGCACACACTTTATTTTTGGCTTAGAGAAACAACAAAGAATTTTTGAAACAAAAACAAAAACTATAAATGATGATCCCTAATTTCATATTTGAATAAAATTATATTACTCCCAAATTAAGAGAAAAATATTTTAAATCATTTAACTGCAAAAAAAACAACAAAAGAACTTTGGTCATTATACTCATGAGTGAAGCACCAGGAGTAGTTCAATTTAAAAAAAAAGACAAAGATGTTGTGTAGAAAATAATTAAAGAAGTTAATACTGCAGGCCTGATGCTGCTATACTTAGGAAAACCTCCTTGCAAGGTTGGCCTTTGTCTGGTATCTGGGAACTTGGATTTCGGAAGTGTTCCCACTGTTCCCTAATTAATAATGGTGGTTTTACTGTGTCTAGATTGTGCAAACGATGTGGTTAATGCTGGACACCTGCTTTCCCTCTGGAAGACTGGAATTTTAGTATGTACTAGGCAAAAGATGCCTACATACTCAGCCCCCAGTAGAACTCTGGTCACTGAGTCTCTAATGAGCTTCCCTGGTAGACAACACTTATAAGCATTGTGACAACTTGTTTCTGGGAGAATTAAAAGTCTTGCATGACTCTATTGGGAGAGGACTTTTGAAAACTTGCACGTGGTTTCCTCTGGACTTTGCCCCAAGCACCTTATTCTTTTGCCAATTTTGTTTTGTGTCCTTCACTGTAACAAATCTTACCCATGAGTACATGTGCTGAGTATTCTGAGTCTTTCTAGTGAATCACCAAAACTAGTAGTCTTGGAACTGATGACACAGATGAACTGTGTCACTATTATTTAAGTCCAGCCTAAAATAACATCAGAGAAATCCAAACAAACATCCAGCATGAGTAAAAAATTTAAGAACAACAGCATTGATGGCTGTAAACTGGGCAAAGTAATACATTTTATACTAACCAAAAAGTATAATACACAACATTTTAATAGAACACAGAAATACACAATGCAAGACTGTTTAAAATAAAAGGATCAATTGATAAAAACACAACTGTAGAGGACTAAAATCTCTCTCAGTTTCTGACAGATCCTTTAAGGGAAAAGTAAACATGGATACAGAAGATGTAAATAATGAAGCTGAGTAAACAAATATAAGCATAGAAAAGGACTACTAGTTATGGTGGCATGAAGAGGCTGGTAATTCCTCTCCACAAAAAACAAGTACAAACCTGAATGAGATTGTGAAAAACAACCATTCCAGGGTACTGGAAATGGATCAAATGTAGAAAACAAGAAACGTTTATTGTTGAAGAAGTGCTAGAGCTTCAGGTTAGGGCAGGGGGACTCAGTGGCCTCTTTGCACGAGGTTATTCACACACCCACTACTACCACCAACGTGGTCGATGAGAATGGTTTTATTAGTTCAGGGTTGGTCACGAAAACCAGCCAGAATTTTGACTGGTCATGAAAGACAGCCAGAAATTTAACAGGGAGATCATGGAAACTAGAGAGCCATAAAAGGGCGGAAATAAGCTCTCTACCATCCCTGGCTAACTGGGTTACTATGCAAATGGAGGGGGAAGATCCAATAGTCTGGCAAAAAGTAAAAGCTAAGGATGACTTGAAAACTAGCAGCAACTTTGTATTTACATTCCCCAACTCACATATAAATCAATGTGAGGCTTTTCCCGATCAAGATGTTTGAGCATAACCTCTGTTCAAATCATTAGGTGACCACTAAATTATTATTATTATTTTGAGATGGGAGTCTCGCTCCGTTGCCCAGGATGGAATGCAGTGGCACGATCTCGCTCACTGCAACCTCCACCTCCCGGGTTCAAGTGATTCTCCTGCCTCAGCCTCCTGAGTAGCTGGGATTACAAGTGCCCGCCACCACACCCGGCTAATTTTTTTTTGTATTTTTAGTAGAGACAGGGTGTCACATGCTGGCCAGGCTGGTCACAAACTCCTGACATCAGGTGATCCGCCCGCCTCAGACTCCCAAAGTGTTGGGATTACAGGCGTGAGCCACCGCACCCAGCCCTGACCACTAAATTATATGCAGACACAGGGGTAACTCTTTGGAAATCAAGTTTAATAATAATAATAAATATAAGAATAAAAAATGAAGCAGAGACATCAGTATTTGCATAGCCAAGTTATTAAAGCAAATCCAACAACTCTCCAAAAAATTAGAATACATAGTTGCTACAATATATTATCTGAAATATCAAGTTTTCCACCAAAAATTACTAGACATGTAAAGAAGTAGGAAAGCATGGCTCTTAAGAAAAGTACAGTAAGAAATTGAGAGAGATATTTAGCAAAGACTTAAAAAAGCAGCTGTTATAAATATGTTCAAAGAATTAAAGTAGGCTGGGCGTGGTGGCTCACTTTGGGAGGCCCAAGAGGGTGGATCGCTGGAGCTCAGGAGTTCAAGACCAGTCTGTGCAACATGGTGAAACCCCATCTCTACAAAAACATACAAAAAAATTAGCCAGGCATGGTGGCATGTGCCTGTAGTCCCTGGAGGCTGAGGTGGGAGGATTGCTTGAGCCCAAGAGGTAGAGAGGTAGAGACTGCAGTGAGCCAGGATAGTACCACTGCACTCCAGCCTGGAAGACAGAGCAAGACTCTGTCTCAAAAAAAAAAAAAAAAAAAAAAAAAAGGTTTGTGTATGTATGTACTTTTTTCCTATTCTCTTCATTTCTGTTTTTTGAAAAATTTATTTGATAAATAAAATCTTTTTTATTTCTTTTCCATTTACTCCTTTAGATAACCTACAGAAAATCCCAGATAACCTGGAATTATCGTTCATTTTACAAAGATTACTTTTAGGATAGTTCAGATTCTTATAATTTCTTAACAAATCAATGATTTTAATATCTTTTTTAACACTCTCATTTCTCCAGGGGTAAACAACTGTGGCTTAAGTATGACGTCTCAAACAACTTTCTATATACTGTAGCTAAAGTATCATGTCTAGACATTTTTCCAAACTTCTCTACTATTCAAATTTTCCATTACTTTGAATACGCAGTGCATCTGTCAAAACTCTTGTGCTTCTAACTCTGTATCTGACAATCACAAAGTCCAGTCACTTTTTACCTGCCAGATTCTTTGTTCCTACAGCAAAATCCCTAATAGAGTGACTTTTTAATTCTTTTGGCTCTTGTTTTTGAGGAAAAATCTACTACTCTTTGTTTACTAAAATATTTTCTAAAGAAGGAATATGTTTAATTAAATTCTATTGTGGTCAGAGAAATTCTCTATATGATTTCAATCTTTCAAAATGTATTGACATTTTTAATGGGCCAGTATATGGTATATGTCGATAAACAAGCCATTTGCCTATGTAAATAATATGTATTCTGCAGTTGAGTGTATTGTTCTAAACATATTATTTAGATCAAGATGACTGATAGTGTTGTTGAGATCCTCTATATGTGTATTAACATTTTTTGGCTTCTTCTACCTATTAATTACTGGAAGTGAGGTGTTAAAATCTACAACTATGATTGTGGATTTGTCTATTTCTTTCTTTAGTTATCTCAACTGTTGCTTTCAAGTATTTTGAAGCTTTATTGTTAGGTATATAGTAATATACATACATAATATTAGGATTGGTATATCTTTCTGAACTGGCCATTTTTATCATTATGAAATACTTCTGACAATACTGTCTTGATGCCTGTTTTTCTCTGATGTTAAAATAGCCACTTTAGCTTTCTTACAGTTACTATTTGCACTGCATATCTTTTTCATCTTTTTGCTTTCAACCTGTCTATGATTTTATATTTAAGTATAACTCTTGAAGACAGCATATAGATGAGTCTTACTTTTTTTTAATCCGTTCTCATTATCTTAACTTTTTTTTTTTTTTTTTGAGACAGAGTCTCACTGTTGCACAGACTAGAGTGCAGAGTACAGTGGGTGAGATCTTGGCTCGCTGCAACTTCTACCTCCCAGGTTCAAGTGATTCTCCTGCCTCAGCCTCCTGAGTAGCTGGGATTACAGGCACGTGCCACCATGCCTGGCTAGTTTTGTGTTTTTAGTGGAGACGGGGTTTCACCATGTTGGCCAGGCTGGTCTTGAACTCCTGACCTCAAGTGATCTGCCTGCCTCGGCCTGCCAAAGTGCTGGGATTACAGGCATGAGCCACCATGCCCAGCCAATCATTACTTTTTAATTGAAGTGGCTTTTTTTTTTTTTTTTGAGACAGAGTCTAGCTGTGTCACCCA
The DNA here is from genome assembly GCF_000001405.40 of Homo sapiens. NCBI lineage: Eukaryota > Metazoa > Chordata > Mammalia > Primates > Hominidae > Homo > Homo sapiens. The sequence goes on from NC_000001.11 coordinate 226,272,424, forward strand.
AACTGGAGTGCAGTGGCATGATCATAGCTCACTGTAGCCTTGAACTCCTGTGCTCAAGCGATCGTCTCAGCGTCCTGAGTAGCTGGGACTACAGGTGCCCACTACCATGCTTGACCTTTTTTTTTTTTTTTTTTTTAATGTTTGTAGAGACAGGGTCTCACTATGGTGGGAAAAAGCTGAGTGTTAGGAAAAAAGCTGAGGCAGGGCTTGCATGTCTGACATAATGTCCCCTGGAATGTGTCTAGACTTGCTGGCTCCTTGCTTCTAGCCCTCCTAGGCTCCTAGATTGATTGTATTCCCATTATCTCAAGTAGCAGAACATGTTCTATATAAAGGCTAAGCCGTCACAGCTGTAGATCATGTGCCTGCCTTTTTGACCCCCACATTCTCACCACCTGTTTCTTTGTTGGATTACCAATAAACAGTGTAGGGTCCCAGAGCTTGGGGCCTTCACAGCCTCCACAATCGCGATGGGTCCCTGGTCCCACTTTCTTTCTCAAACTGTCTTTTTCTCAATCCTTTGATTCAGCTGGACATCATCACCCCCACGACCTGGTGTTGGGTCTGATCACCCCAACACACTATGTAGCCCAGGCTAGTCTCAAACTCCTGTGCTTAAGTGATCCTCGTGCCTTGGCCTCCCCCAAAGTGCTGGGATTAGAGGTGTGAGCCAGTGTGCTTGGCAGAAGTGTTTATAGTTCATTGGCATTTAATACAACAATAGGATGGCCAGACTTAAGTCTACCACCTTGCTATTTTCTATTTATCCCATTTGGGTTTTTTGTTGTTCCCTGTCCCTTCTTTCCTGCCATCTTTTTTTTTTAATTAGGTAATTTTTTTTTTTTTTTTTTTTTTGAGACAAGGTCTCACTCTGTCCAGGCTGGAGTGCTGTGGTATAATCACTGCTCACTGCAGTTGAGACTAAGGTAATCCTCCCATCTCAGCCTTCCAAGGAACTGGAACTACAGGAGCACAACACACCTGACCAATTTTTGTATTTTTTGTAGAAACAGTGTTTCACCATGTTGCCAGGCTGGTCTCAAACTCCTGGGCTCAGGTGAGTGGCTTGCCTCAGCCTCCCAAAGTGCTGGGATGATAGGCATGAGCCACTGTACCTGGCCAAATTCAATATTTAAAAAATCAAATTCTCTTTTGACTTTTTAACTATACCTCTTTGCATTTGTTTTCTTCTTCTTCTTTTTTTTAAAAAGGCAGTTCCCAAACCAGCAGCATTACTTTGAAACTTGTCAGACATGCAAATTCCCAGGCCCTATCCCAGACCTTCTGAATCAGAAACTCAGAGGTAGAGCCCAGCAATATGTTTTATCAAGCCCTCCAGGTGATTCTGATGCATACTAAAGTTTTTGAGCCACAATGGGCTAGGAACTACAATGCTCCCTCTCAACATTACTTTTTTTTTTTTTTTTTCTTTGAGACGGAGTCTCACTCTGTCACCCAGGCTGGAGTGCAGTGGCGCAATCTCGGCTCACTGCAACCTCCGCCTCCTGGGTTCAAGTGATTCTCATGCCTCAGCCTCCCAAGTAGCTAGGATTACAGGCGTACATCACTATTCCCAGCTAATTTTTGTATTTTTAGTAGAGACAGGGTTTCACCATGTTGGTCAGGCTGCAACTCCTGGCCTCAAGTGATCCACTTGCCTTGGCCTCCCAAAATGCTGGGATTACAGGCATGACCCACTACGCCTGGCCTTAACATTACTTTCTACTAAATTAATACTGTGTGTTCTTACATAAAATTTAAGAACTTGGCAACACAATAATTTCATTTTATTCATTTATTCATTTCTGGTGCTCTATGGTCCTTTCCGTAGATTCCAGTTTACATAAGATATCATGTAATGTAAAAAAGTTCCTTTCAGTCTGAAGAACTTTTTTGGCATTACTTCTAGCATTTTTTCTGATATGAAGTTGGCTGCCATCCATATCAGTGCTCCTCTTACATAATATGCTGTTTTTCTGTGACTGCTTTTAAGAGTTTCTCTGAAGATTTTCTGTATTGTGTCTAATGATGGGTTTTGTGTATATGTGGGTATCCTGCTTGGGGTTCAGAGTATCTTAGATCTATATTTTTGGAAAAATTTCAGCTTTTGTTTCATCTAATATTTTTTATGTGCATCGGCACATAAAATAATGTCCCCTCTCTCCTGTTTTTACGGGGACTACAATTACACATATGTTATCTTGCTTAATATTGTCTCAGAGGGATCTGAGGGTCTATTTTTTTTTTTCATTTTTTTCCTACCTGTTTTCATACTTGGATAATTTCTACTGATAACATTCTCAAGTTCACCGACCCAGTCTTTTAGTGTTTCCAATTTGCTTTTAAGTTCATTCAGAAGTTTTTCTTTTCAAATATTATACTTTTCAGTTCTAAATTCATTTTCTTTATCTGAAAAAATGTCCATTTATTCACTCAGATTTTCTCTGTTCATTATATTTATATTTACATTTAAGTTCACGAACATGTCTTATGATAGCTATTTTGAAGTCACTGTCTGCTAATCCCAACATCTGAGTCATCTCAGAGTCTATCTCTATTGATGGCTTTTTTATTGACTTATGGAATAGTCTTTTTTTCCCCACAAGTACAGCAATTTTTTTATTGTATGCTACACAGGGTGTTGAATTTTTTTCTTGTAGACAAAAAAAATTACTGGCAGATCTTTTCGATCCCATCACACTTGCTTTTATATTTTGTAGGGGCTGGTCTGTTTCAGTTATGAACTTATTTAGAGCATGTTTACTCCTTAAGGAGGCCCTGTGAACTTGATATAATTTCCATAAGTCACAACATATCATTATTCTTTTGATTTTTTTCAACCACTTACAAATATAAAAAGTATTCTTAGCTCACAAACTATGCATAAATAGGTGGCAGCCTAGATTTGGCCTATAGGCCGTAAGTTTGCTGACCCCTGCACTAGCCCAAAGAGAAAATGTAAAACATTGCTTTAAAAAAGCTCTAGGCTAGGCTGGGTGCGGTGGCTCACACCTGTAATCCCAGCACTTTGGGAGGCCGAGGCGGGTGGATTATGAGGTCAGGAGTTCGAGACCAGCCTGACCAATATGGTGAAACCCCGTCTCTACTAAAAATACAAAATATGTCGGGTGTGGTGGCGTGCACCTGCAGTCCCAGCTACTCGGGAGGCTGATGCAGGAGAATCGCTTGAACCTGGGAGGCAGAGGCTGCAGTGAGCCGAGACTGAGGCACTGCACTCCAGCCTGGCAACAGAGCAAGACTCCGTCTCAGAAAAAAAAAAAAAAAAAAAGAAAAAAAGAAAAAATAGCTCTAGGCTGGGTGCAGCGGCTCACGCCTGTAATCCCAACACTTTGGGAGGCCGAGGTGGACAGAAGATCACTTGAGGTTGGGAGTTTGAGACCAACCAGCCTGGCCAACTTGGTGGAATCTCATCTCTACTAAAAAAATTACAAAAATTAGCCAGGCGTGGTGGCGGGTGCCGGTAATCCCAGTTACTCAGGAAGCTGAGGCAGGAGAATTGCTTGAACCCTGGAGGTGGAGGTTGTAGTGAGCCGAGATCACACCACTGCACTCCAGCCTGGGCAACAGAGCAAGACTTTGTCTCAAAAAACAAAAACAAAAATAAAAAACACAACACACAAAACAGCTCTAGTAATTTTCTCACATTTTGCTATAGCCTGTCTAACCTATTCTCCACTGTAACAAGAGTACTTACATAAAAACACTACCTAAGATTTTCAGTCTTGTCAAATAATATCACCAGTTCTTAAAATTCTAAAACAATGAATTTCTAAGGATTTCCTAATGAGTCTGAGAGTCACTCTTCACGTCAGCATTTCTCTGGCATAAATCAGTATGTCAGCATTAGTACTTATACTAGACTTTATTGCTGTAGTTATTTATATGGAGTTTTTACAACTAAACATTTTTCAAATATGCTGTCTACCCATCTCATCCCATTTCCACCTCTACTTCCAGACTAGTTTTAAGACAGAGATCATATCATCTATAATCTGTTGATTACACAGTGAGTTGTCAATATACACTCATTTATTACCAAATCTAGTCTCTCCTAGATAAACTGTGTTTGCATTTCATATGCATGATTCAGTCTCTTCTCTATTTTCTACCTTTCATCTTAATCGTTTTTACAATATAATGGAAACAAGTACCACTTTTATAGCCAGGAAAAATGATATAAATATGTAACTCCAGGTTCCCTTCCCTCCAAAAACTATTCTCGAATTACTCCAACCATTTTTCAATGGTTGAAGTACAATTACTCAGTACAATTACTAGCCTATTCTATCCACTTAACTCCTTATTTCTTGTATTACATATATTGTAATTTGCCTTCACCAAGTAATTAAGGATTAACTTAAACCTGAGATTTTGCACTTTCTCTCCATGAGTACACAGAATCACATCTATAAAACGGACAAAATTTACACCCCTATAAAATGTTGAGCAGACTAGTGAATAATTTAGTTTTATTCAATCATTAGAAATGGACTATTTCTAGACCCAAAGTCCACGAGAACAATGGTATTTGTGAACTAACCAGACAAGGCTAGTTAGGAAAGGAAAACAAACAATGTAGAAGGAAAATATAGAATAATTAAAAATAAAAAAAATTTACGGCCAGGTGTGGTGATTCATGCCTGTAATCCCGCACTTTGGGAAACTGAGGCAGGAGGATTGCTTGAGCCCGGGAGGTCGAGGCCACAGTGAGCCAAGATCCAGCCTAGGTGCACTCCAGCCTAGGTGACAGAGGGAGACTCAGTCTCAAAAAGAAAAAAAAAAAAAAAAAAAACTTTAAAATAATACATAGCTATACTTACTCCAATAGATTATTAAATTTCATCTTTGTAGCAGTTGGCTTTAGTTTATATTGTAGTAGATGTTACTTTGAACCAATACACTTTTTCCCAATTACTTTAAAAAATAGATTTCATGCATGAAGAAAGAGTAACTTCTATAGTAAATTGCACAGAGCTACAGTTTAAGCTTTCTAAATTTAAAAGCCATTTCTCGAATAGAGATTATCTGGGTTATTTACACCTTCAGAATTTTGTCCCATGTGTACGTGTAAACACATTCTAGTGAAAAATCAAAGTCACTAAGGAAAAAAAATATCAAGTGATGTGTACTACAGAACCCCTACTCCATCCCTGAGCATCAACCAGGCTCAGAGAGAGTTGAGGGATAGGGATAGGGTGAGGGTTAACGATGTCTATTGTAAATATTTCTTGGTAATTAAAAATGAAATAAAATAAGAACCAAAGAAACAAAAAAGATTACCTTGATTAAAAATTACAAGTCAAAAGAGTAATTAGCTTGTTTTCACTTACCTGTAACTTTCGTTCCAATAACCAGAGGCAAAGGAATTTCATCTGGGAGATCTTTGAATTGTGAAACATCTGCAACTTTCCTTTGTTGTAAGAGCCTTATTTTCTGCCGTTTCTGTTTTAATGCTGATCTCTCTTCCTCAAAAAATGCAGAAGAACATCTAGAATAAATTATAAAAAACATACAAACTGATAACTACCCCATATAAAAACTTAAAATCTTTTTTTTTTCTTTTTTTGAGATAGAGTCTGGCTCTGTCATCCAGGCTGGAGTGCAGTGGCACAATCTTGGCTCACTGCAACCTCCATCTCCGGCTCAAGCGATTCTGGGCTCCACCTCCTGGACTCAAGTGCTGAGATTAAAAACTTAAAATCAGCCGGACGTGGTGGCTCACGCCTGTTATCCCAGCACTTTGGGAGGCTGAGGCGGACAGATCAATTGAGGTCAGGAGTTAGAGACCAGCCTGGCCAACATGGCCAAACCACGTCTCTACTAAAACTACAAAAATTAGCCAGGCGTGGTGGCAGGCGCCTGTAATCCCAGCTACTCAGGGGGCTGAGGCAGGAGAATCGCTTGAATCTGGGAGGCGGAGGTTGCAGTGAGCTGAGATTGCGCCACTGCACTCCAGCCTGGGCGACAAGAGTGAGACTCCATCTTAAAAAAAACAAAAACAAAAACAAAAAAACCTTAAAATCTATTCATCTCACCACTCCTTTTTTTCTTCTCATTAAGTATACTGTATTCAAAAATAGGTTCTTAGATTGTTTCTGGCCGGGCGTGGTGGCTCATGCCTGTAATCCTAGCAGTATGGGAGGCCACGGCGGGTGGATGACCTGAGGTCAGGAGTTCGAGACTAACCTGGCCAACATGGCAAAATCCCGTCTGTACTAAAAATGCAAAAATTAGACAGGCGTGGTGGCAGGCGCCTATAATCCCAGCTACTCAGGAGGCTGAGGCAGGGGAATCGCTTGAACCCAGAGGGCAGAGGCTGCAGTGGGCCAAGATTGAGCCACTTCACTCCAGCCTGGGTGACAGAGTAAAACTCCGTCTCAAAAAAAAAAAAGAAAGGCCGGGCGCGGTGGCTCACGCCTGTAATCCCAGCACTTTGGGAGGCCGAGGCGGGTAGATATCGAGGTCAGGAAATCCAGACCATCCTGGCTAACATGGTGAAACCCCGTCTCTACTAAAAAAAAAAAAAAAACCAAAAAACAAACAAACAAACAAAAAAACCACAAAAAATTAGCAGGGCATGGCGGCGGGTGCCTGTAGTCCCTGGTACTTGGGAGGCTGAGGCAGGAGAATGGCGTGAACCCGGGAGGCTGAGCTTGCAGTGAGCCAAGATCGTGCCACTGCGCTCCAGCCTGGGCAACAGAGCGAGACTCCGTCTTGGGGGAAAAAAAAATTGTTTCTTTTTGGCCAAGCATGGTGGCTCATGTTTTAATCCTGGCACTTTGTAGTCCGAGGTGGAAGAATTGCTTGAGCCCAGGAGTCTGAGACCAGCCTGGGCAACATAGTGAGACTTTGTTTCTGCTAAAAATAAAAAAATTAGCTAGGCATAATGGTGTGCATCCAGCTACTTGGGAGGCTGAGGCCGGAGGATCATTTGAGCCCAGGAAGTTGAGGCTGCAATGAGCTAAGCTGTGATTGTACCACTGCACTCCAGCCTGCACAACAGAGGGAGACTGTTCCCCACCCACCCAAAAAAAAGAGCTGGGCAAAGTGGCTCATACTTGTAATCTCAGCACTTTGGGAGGCTGAGGCGGATGGACTGCCTGAGCTCAGGAGTTTGAGACCAGCCTGGGCAACATGGTGAAACCTCATTTCTGCCAAAAATACAAAAAAAAAAAAAAAAAAAAGCTGGGTGTGGCGGAATGAGCCTGTAGTCCCAGCTAGTCGGGAGGCTGAGGCGGGAGGATTGTTTGAGCCTGGGAGACAGAAGTTGTAGTGAGCCGAGATTGCACCACTCCAGCCTGGGCAACAGAGCAAGACCCAGTCTGAAAAAAAAAAAAAAAAAAGGAAGGAAAGAAAAAGGAACTGTTTCTTTTCACAGTAAATTACCTTTCATTTTTTAAAAAACAGGACCTTCCAAGACTCAAAGATTTTGCAGGTTATTCCTTCCTACAAAGCAAAATAATTTTTTCACCATCCTTTGATGAAATTGTGCCTGGAATCTAGATCTCATAGGGACCAAGTTCCATTTCAATATTCTACCCAAAAGAACATGATATTTTCTCTGTGACCCAGTAAACACACCAATATAGCAGTTAAAGATGAGACTTCCTACTATGTAAACTTTTAATCATAATTTTTGCCTTAAAAGTATAAATGCTGAATTCCCTCTTATTTCTAGAGCCTATCTTCCTTCCGTTTTCAAATCCCAGGATGAAGCAAAGTATTTAAACATCACTTTCATGCCATGTTATGGCTTTCACTTTCAAAGGTACATTATGAGCTCTATTGTCATTTGTCTCAAAAACTAAATAAAAACAATGAGAAAAAAGGATATAAAGACCAGCACTGTATAAAGTGAATTGTTGTAAGCAATGATGAATAAGGACTGGAAATACACAGAAAGAGCTTAGCTGATAATAATGATTTTTTTGTATGATTTCTGAACTTGTTGAATATTGATTCAAGCAGTATATATGGGAAGAATATGAGAAGATAAAGCAAAGGATAATGAGTTACTAGTAAGCTAAGTAGTACTATAAAAACAGACTTGCGGCCGGGCGCAGTGGCTCACACCTGTAATCCCAGCACTTTGGGAGGCCGAGGTGGGCGGATCATGAGGTCAGGAGATCGAGACCATCCTGGCCAATATGGTGAAACCCATCTCTACCAAAAACACAAAAATTAGCTAGGCGTGGCAGTGTGTGCCTGTAATCCCAGCTACTTGAGAGGCTGAGGCAGGAGAGTCGCTTGAACCTGGGAGACAGAGATTGCAGTGAGCCGAAATCACACCACTGCACTCCAGCCTGGCAACAGAGCGAGACTCCATCTCAAAAACAAACACATAAACAAAAAAAACCAGACTTGCTTCTGGTGTAAACAACATCTTTTAGAAATCTTCCTGGTATATAACCATTATGGAAATTAGTATGGAGGTTCCTCAAAAAACTAAAAATCCAGCAATCCCATGGTTAGGTGTATATTCAAAAAAAGGAAATCAGTATATCAAAGAGATATCTGTACTCCCATGTTTATTGTAGCACTATTTACAATAGCCAAGATATGGAATCACCCTAAGCGTCCATCAACAGATGAATGGAATTTTAAAATATGGTATATATGCACAATGGAATCTTATTCAGCCACAAAATATAATGAAATCCTGTCATTTGCAGCAACATAGATGATATTGGAAGTCATTATGCTAAGTGTAATAAGCCAGGCACAGAAAAACAAGTATAAGATGTTCTCATTCATACATGGAAACTAAAAATGTGGATCTCATGGAGGTAGAAATTATTAATAGAATGGTGGTTACCAGAGGCTGGGAAGGGAAAAGGGAGGGGAGGATGAAGATAAGTTAGCTAAGGGGTACAAAAATATAGTGAGATAGATTAGCTAAGGGGTACAAAAATATAGTGAGATAGAAGGAATAAGTTCTAGTATTTGACAGTACGGTAGGAAAATTATAGTTAATAATTTATTGACTATTTTTTGTTTTTACTTTGTTTTTTATTGACTATTTCCACATAATTAGAAGAGAAAAATTATAATGTTCCCAACACAAAGAAAAATGTTTGAGGTAATGGATATCCCAATTACCCTGATTTGATCATTACACACTGTACACATGTACTCCCAAAATATGTACAACTATTATATATCAATTTAAAAAATATACCAAAAAAAGTCTTCTTGACATAAGAACCCAGGACCCATACTATTTCCCTATAGTTGACAATTTTTTTTTCTTTTTCTTTTTTTTTTTTTGATTTGGAGTCTCGCTCTGTTGCCCAGGCTGGAGTGCAGTGGTGTGATCTCGGCTCACTGCAACCTCCACTACCCAGGCTCAAGCAATTCTCCTGCCTCAGCCCCCTGAGTAGCTGGGACTACAGGTATGTGCCACCACGCCCAGCTAATTTTTGTGTTTTTAGTAGAGACGGGGTTTCACCATATTGGCCAGGCTGCTCTCGAACTCCTGACCTCATGATTCACCTGCCCTGGCCTCCCAAAGTGCTGGGATTATAGTGTTAACCACCGGCGCCCAGCCATTATACTTTTCTTACAGATCCTTTGTTGACACCTTAGACATATACAATCAAAAAATGCATATGTTCCTCTATTTTTCTCAAATAGCTACAGTATGCACTGTTGTGTATTTTGCTTTCTTTTCTTGACACAGCATAGCAATCATTTCCATATTAGTACATAGAAACCATCTTCTGTTTTTGTTTTATGTTAAATGGTTTCAGGGTTTTCTATTATATGGAGTGCCATACTATAATCATTCCCCCATTTATGGACTTTTAGGCTGTTGCCAATCTTTTACTACTACAAACAATACTGCAATAAATACCTTTGTACATGTAATTTCATCTGTGTGCAAGTAGCTCTGTGTTGTACATTCTTGAAAGTGCTACATCAAGGCAATGGAAATTTGTAAATTTTATAGATATTACCAAATTGTCCTCCACAGAGATTATATAAAATTAGTCTCTCACCAGTAATATGTATGAGTGACTAACCATGCCATTACTAACCCAACACATTAAAACCTTTATGAACTCTGCCCATCTGATAGTTAAAAGCAGTATCTCGGCCGGGCGCGGTGGCTCACGCCTGTGATCCCAGCACTTTGGGAGGCCGAGGCGGGCAGATCACCTGAGGTCAGGAGTTCAAGACCAGCCTGGCCAACAGGGTGAAACTCCGTCTCTACTAAAAATACAAAAATTAGCCAGGCGTGGTGGCAGGCGCCTGTAATCCCAGCTACTCAGGAGCCTGAGGCAGGAGAATCACTTGAACCTGGGAGGCAGAGGTTGCAGTGAGCCAAGATCGTGCCACTGCACCCCAGCCTGGGCAACAGAGTGAGACTCTGTCTCAAAAAACAAAAAACAAAAAACAAAAAAAACTGTATCTCAGCAAACTTTGATTTTGCATTTCCCATTATGAGTAAAATGGAATTTTTTTCATGTTTACAAGAGCCATTTCTTTTTCCTTTCCTATCAATTACCTGTTGTTGTTCTTGCTTTTAAACAGACAGGGTCTCCCTTTGTTGCCCACGCTGGAGTGCAAGGGGGCAATCACAGCTCACTGCAGTCTCAAGTCCTGGGTTCAAGTGATCCTCCCACCTTGGTCTTGTGAGTAGCTAGGATCACAGTCATGTGTCACCCAACTGGCTAAGTTTATTTTATTTACTTATTTTTGAGGCAGGGTCTTGTTCTGTTGCCCAGGCTTGAGTGCAGTGGCGTGAGCATGGCTCACTGCAGCCTCAACATCCAGAGCTCAAGCGATACTCCCACCTCAGCCTCCTGAGTAGCATGCCTGGGTAATTTTTGAATTTTTTTTTTTTTTTTTTTTTTTTTTTGGTGGAGATGGGGTCTCACCATGGTGCCCAGGCTGGTCTTGAGTTCCTGAGCTCAAGTGATCTTCCTGCCTGAGCCTCCCAAAGTGCTGGGATTACAGGTGTGAGCCACCACACCCAGCCTGAATCATCTACTTATAATCATTTTTATTATGCGTTACCTGACATTTTCTTATTGATAGGAGTTCTTTATATAGTAGGGAATTAGCTCTCTGTAATAAGATGTGATGGATATTTCTGTACTATCTTTCAACTCTGTTTACAGGCTTTTGTTTTTGGCCATGTAAAACGTTCTTATTTTTGTATAGCCAAATTTATTAATGTTTTCTTTTATGGCTCCTAGGTTTGAAGCCTGCTTTTCCAGGCCAGGCATGGTAGCTCATACCCATAATCTCAGCACTCTGGGAGGCCGGGGCAGGCGGATTGCCTGAGGTCAGATGTTTGAGACCAGTCTGACCAACATGGTGAAACCCCGTCTCTACTAAAAATACAAAAGTTAGCCAGGCATGGTGGCGGGCGCCTGTAGTCCCAGCTACTCTACTCAGGAGGCTGAGGTAGGAGCTTAGGAGGCAGAGGTTGCAGTGAGCCGAGATTGTGCAACCACACGTCAGCCTGGGTGACAGAGCAAGACTCCCATCTCAAAAAAAAAAGAGAGAGAGAGAGAAAGGCCTTTTCCAATTCAAGATTAAGTAAAACTCTCTTATGTTTTCCTCTTGTGGTTTTATTCTTTCATTTAAAAAAATATTTAAATCTTCAATCCTTTTCAAATATTTCCTAGTTGTAAGGCATGAGAACAACTTGTTTTTTTCTATAGACTACTAAACAGTAGTCTCGGTTTCCATTAAACAAACAATCCACCCTCTTCTTCACCATGTACTTGAGAGTCAACCATTGCAACTATTATACTAAACTCCCAGAGACATCTGTGACTGTATCTGGATTTTCTTTTCTTTTTCATTCATTTTTCTATTTATGCACCACTACCACTCTGCTTTAATTATGATCACTTTATAATCTATTTTAAAGTGCTCTTTAAAGTGGAATCTCTCTTCATTACTTTGCTTTTTCAGAATTTTCCTGCTTGATTTCTCCCCTCTTATATGTGAATTTTAGAATTAACTCATCTAATTAAAAAAAGAGGCCAGGTGTAGTGGCTCACACCTGTAATCCTAGCACTTTGGGAGGCTGAGGTGGGTGGATCACCTGAGGTCAGGAGTTCAAAACCAGCCTGGCCAACATGGCAAAACCTTGTCTCTACTAAAAATACAAAAATTAGCTGGGCATGGTGGCGAGCACCTATAATCCCAGCTACTCAGGAGGCTGAGGCAGGAGAATCACTTGAACCCAGAAGGCAGAGGCTGCAGTAAGCCGAGATCACGCCACTGCACTCCAGCCTGGGTGACAGAGCAAGACTCTGTCTCAACAAAACAACAAAAAAGGCCTGTTAATATTTTTATTGGGACTGATTTTAACTTATAGACTAATTTAGGATGTTGAGTCTTCTTTTCCAAGATCCTGTATGTCTTAATGTTTCTTCATATGTATCTTGCATATTTCCTCTTAGGTTCTTTCCTGGTAGTTTATCTTCCTTTGTTTCTTCCTTTTTATCTTCCAAGTGGATGGAGTTTCACCAATTGATTTTTAAAATTAAGATATTTTAAGGTTTATTGTATCAATAATTTGTATTATACCTGGACTTCCTCAAAGAAAGAAAAACTACACATTTTATTGAAAAAAGACTTCAACTATTAATTAACCTTGATGAATTAAAGGACTATAAGATTAAATAATGTTATGGTAAGAGAATAGAAGATCAATTAACGAGAAATATTATGACACTCAAACTACAGAACTATGACAAAACAGTAAATAGTGACCAATATCCCACTCTGATGGACAATAATTAGAAACAGTGTAACTCAATTTGCTCAAACACGCAAAATGATAGCAAAAAGTCACCAAATGGCTACTGTAATTACCAAAGGCCATAAATTATGAGTATGAAACACACTAAATAACATATCAAATTTTAATTTTGTTATTATAAGAAATATTAAAAACATCATCATCAAGGTCATCTTGATGACAGTTTAATTAAAAGTTCTCTCTGTATTTCATCACCATCTAAAGAAATCATTAAATCTAAATTCCATTTCTATTTGTCCAAATCACTTTATATTTACAGACCTTCCTTGAACTTTCCCACCATTTAAAATGAAAAAGTCTTGCACATACTTTTTACCAGGCAGATAGACATAATGTGAGAACTAATGATCTAATTATTCTTCTAACATATTTCCAATTTTCACTCAAAAGTAATATAAGGTTTTCCAATGTGTTACCAGGATAACACTGGAAAAGAAAAAATCATTTCACATGAAGAGCAATTCTCAGGAAGTAACATATTAGATAGATTAATTTGTTTTCTACTTTTATATAAAATAAAATAGGCACTTCTGGGAAGGCTCCTGAGATTATAAAGGATTTCACAAAAGATAACAAAAATGTACACAGAACTTTACAGCATCCTTAAATACTTTTTAGGACATTCTTAAATATTTTTTGGAACACAGAGGGACATAGATAATGTAAAACTAAAAAATTACGTTGAAAACCTGTGATCCTAACAAAAATGAAATTGTGCATTTAATTATAAGATGCATACGTATAAACAGCACCTACATTAAAGTTGGTTAACAGGATATATTTAACATATAATCAATTATTCTGAAAAGTTATGTTTTGGTACTAGTCATTTTAAAGATTAAAAAAATCAATGTACTAATGATACTAACAACTATTATTTATTGATTTTATTTTTTAATTCTTTTTTAGAGGAATGGTCTCACTGTGTTGCCCAGGCTAGAGTGCAGTGACTATTCACAGGTGTAATCACAGCATACTACAGCCCTGAACCCCTGGCCTTAAGCAAATACCCCATCTTAGCCTTCCAAGTAACTGGGATTATAAGTACATGCACTGCTACTGGCTTGATTTTATTTTAAACAAAAACAAAAACATTATTTTTACCTCCGTGGTTTTCCCATAAGCCGCCGAATTTTTCCCCATTCTACTCTTGTTAACTTTCTTGTTTTCAAATTAGGAAAAGATTCCTTTAGACATACACAGAAGTCATTATCACCTTCAAAAAGTGGTCTGTAAAACAGATATAGTATTTTAATGGTTACATACAATGTGTTACTTTCTTAAAACACATAAAATCACAAAATGCTAAACTTTCACTTCTACCCCATATATATATATAAACTGGCACAAATTCAAAGTGCTAAAACTAAATCCTTGGCATTTGTGAAACATCTAATGTCGTGTAAAAGTTGCTCAGGAAATATTATTTGTGTTGTGATTCCAAGAGACACTGATTTTTGTTCAATCTCTTATACAGGTATATCCTTTGGGAGGCTATCGTGGCCCTGGCCTTGTATCAGGTGAAGATAAACCAAGTTAGCTACAAAGTATCTTTGTCCCAAAGGAATACCATCACCAAGGAGTCCTCTTTGGAATTAAACCAGTCTTGGGACACTGGAGGACTCCAGAGGGTTAGATTAGCTTGGGGGATCCCAGAAGAACTCAGATTACACTGAGACACCCTGAAAACTCTCTTAAGCCTATGGACAAAAATAAAACAATTCTATTCATGAGTCTGGGAAACCAGGAACCAGTGTTGGCAATGATACATAAATGCCTTGGGCTCAAATATGAACATTCATGAGATTCACAAGCTCCAGAGTAGGCAATTGGTATAGAAAACAGAGAAGGGAAGAAAATATAAATATCCAGCAGAGCAAGCAGCAATGACTGGCATATGAGGAAGGATTATAAATAAGAACTTTTCCTCAGTAAATTCCATTGTTGAATAATTGTATTTCAGCCAAATCTCATACTACGTCATACTTAAGCATATGTGTATACCTAGCGTGCTTAAGTACCACATCCAAACTAGAAAGACTACCCTCTTAAAAATCTTAAGCCATTTTTACCATTAGTAATGGTTTCTCTATGATTATACCAGCACTTAACATCTCAATTATAAAATGAATCTCATTCACTGCAAATAATGGTGTTTTAAGGTATCTCTACTCCATAGTCTTTAAGAATTCTAACACAGAAATTATACCGTAATCAATTCTTCACAAAAATGTACAGTTTTCTTCCCCAAAAAGGATAACAGGGAAGAAAACTATGACAAATAGAATAGATCCAACTGGAATGTGGAACAGAAAAATGAATTTAGAGAAAAATAAGATCAAAGTAGACCTATAGAAAATGTTGTAGCTTAAAACACTTGAAAAACTTAAATTTCTGATTCAAGTAATATTCATAATATAAGCCATGATACATACTTATCTATATTTGAATAGAACCACTCGTATATACACCATTTATGTGCTTTAGGAAGCTTGAGCAGATTACGTAATCGAAAACCAATCTTCTGTGAAGCTTTCTTATCTGGTGTTGACATTGTTGCTGTAAATTTCTATACAATAAAAAAAAGAGATTAATTTATGGCTCCATTAAGTAAAAATGAACATTTATAACCCTGAATAAATTTGCAAAAGGTAAATTATGTTTAAGTACTTAAAAAGGTTCACTGATTCACTGATATTCAACATGGAATTTTGTTGCTGTTTTAAACACTCCGATTATTTTTGATTATTGCCTTTTTTTTTTTTGACAGTCTTGCTCTGTTGCCCAGGCTGGAATGCAGTGGCACAATCTCGGCTCACTGCAACCTCTGCCTCCCGGGTTCAAGCTACTCTCTTGTCTCAACCTCCCAAGTAGCTGGGACTACAGGCGCACGCCACCACACCCAGCTAATTTTTGTATTTTTAGTAGAGATGGGGTTTCACCATGTTGGCCAGGCTGGTCTCAAACTCCTGACCTCAGGTAATCTGCCTGCCTCAGCCTCCCAAAGTGCTGGGATTACTGGTGTGAGCCACAGCGCCCAGCTTAGATGGATACTTTTTTAACCTAATAAAACATTTCTCCCCACTCCAACCCAAAAACCAGTATCGTAATATTAAAAGACGATGAGAACGACAAATATTTCAACTACCACCACTAACCTAGTATGACAAAGATTTCAACTACCACCACTATTTCATAACACTGTTTTGAAGGAATTGGCCAATCAGGTAAGAAGAATAAAATTTAGAAAGAAGATAAAACTACCATTTCCTTGTAGGTGAAAACTCAAGAAAATCAACTGTAACAATTAAAAACAGTAAGAAAATTTAATGAAATGGGTAAATACAAAGTTGATATACAAAAACCATGATTCAAAAAAATCACTATATGTAAATAATAACTGGACAGGCCATAAGAGTTTATATCCTGTTTATAACAGCACAAAAATGGACATAAACAAAAAAATTAAATATGTAGGAATATACTTACGAAACATGCAAGACTGATATGGAAAAAAATTAAGTCTACTGTGAAATACTATGAACTAAGTGGAACTACAATCAGTTCTTAGGTAGTCTCAATGTTACCTATATATATCATTTCCCATAAATTATAATATTAGTCCAATCCCAGTCAAAATGCCAACAGGATTTTTTTTTCCTAGTCAAGTTGATTCTAAAGTCTACATGGAAAAATAAATGCACAAAAATATTTAGGAAAAAATCTTATGCTGGGCGCAGTGGCTCACGCCTGTAATCCCAGCACTTTGGGAGACCGAGATGGGCGGATCACAAGGTCAGGAGCTCCAGACAGCCAGGCCAATATAGTGAAACCCCATCTCTACTAAAAATACAAAAATTAGCCGGGCGTGGTGGCTGTGCCTGTAGTGCCAGCTACTCAGGAGGCTGAGGCAGAAGACTAGCTTGAACCTGGGAGGCGGAGGTTGCAGTGAGCAGAGATCACACCACTGCACTCCAGCCTGGGCGACAGAGTGAGACTCCATGTCAAAAAAAAAGAAAGAAAAGGAAAAAAATCTCAAAAAAAGAATATGTGATAATATCTTACCAGGCATTAAAACACAGTATAAAGTCATGTTAAACCAATTTTGTGTGTGTGTGTGTGTGTGTGTTTTGGTTTTGTTTGTTCTTTTGAGACAGGGTCTCTCTCTCTGTCACTTAGGCTGAAGTGCAGTGGTGCAAACATTGCTCACTACAGCCTTGACCTCCTGGGCTCAAGCCATCCTCCCACCTGAACCTCCCAAGTAGCTGGGACTGCAGGCATGTGCCACCACACTGGGCTAATTCATGCATTTTTTGTGGAGACGGGCTCTCGCTATGTTACCAGGTTGGTCCCAAACTCCTGGGCTCAAGCGATCTTCCTGCCTCAGCCTCCCAAAGAGCTAGGATTACAGGTATGAGCTGCCATGCCCAGCCAAAATAATTTGATACTAGCACATATAGAGATATGCTAGATGTAGAGATAGAAAGCCTGAAAGTAATCCCAAATACTTATACGAATTTAGCTTTGATGAAGGCAGCATTTTAAATCAATGTTTAAAAAGATGGATTACCCAATAAATGTTACTAGGACAACTAAGTAGTCCTCCGGGGGGGGGGGTGGGGGGGGGTGGGAAAGCTAGGTTGCAATTTTACTTCATCCCTTACTGCAAAATAAATTCCAGATGTACTGAAGGTTCAAACCAAAAAAATGAAATATGAGAGAATTCTAAAATGATAAATTTTAGTGTAGAAAAGGTCTTTCTGAGCATGACAAACTCAAGAAGTCATTAAAAGGTAACAAAGTTACATTTGATCCTTAAAATATTTTAAAATCCCATATGTTAAAAAATACAGAAACAAATCAAAAGACAAACTATAAACTCTAAAAAAAATTACAGCCATTATAAACATCCAAAGGGCCAATATTTTTAATATATACAAAATTCTTATAAACTAGTAACACAATGACCCACAATCCAATAGAAAAATGGGAAAAAGGCATAAACAGTTTACAGAAAAGGAAAGAAATAATTTTTAAACATATGAAAAGTGTCTCAACTTTGCTCTTATATAAAATGCCAACTAAAACAAGTGAGAGGCTATTTCTTTTTTTTTTTTTTTTCTTTTTTTTGAGATGGAGTCTCGCTCTGTTGCCCAGGCTGGAGTGCAGTGGCACGATCTCGGCTCACTGCAAGCTCCACCTCCCGGGTTCACGCCATTCTCCTGTCTCAGCCTCCCGAGTAGCTGGGACTACAGGCGCCCGCCACCACGCCCGGCTAATTTTTTGTATTTTTTGTAGAGACGGGGTTTCACCGTGTTAGCCAGGGTGGTCTTGATCTCCTGACCTCGTGATCCGCCCACCTCGGCCTCCCAAAGTGCTGGGATTACAGGCGTAAGCCACCGCACCCGGCCAAGGCTATTTCTATATATCAGATTAGCAAAAATCTAGATGGTTGGTTCTGTACTGAGTTGGAGGCATTTGGAAAATAGGAACTCTAATATATATAAACCAGTACAATTTCTTTCCTTTTTTTAAAAAAATTTTTTAACACAGCGTCTTGCTCTGTCACCTAGGCTGCAGCATACTGACACGATCGCGGCTCACTGCAGCCTTCGCCTCCCAGGTTCAACCTATTCTCATGCCTCAGCCTCCCGAGTAGCTGGGACTACAGGCACGTGCCGCCACACCTGGCTAATTTTTCTATTTTTAGTAGAGATGGGGTTTTGCCATGTTGGCCAGGCTGGTCTTGAACTCCTGACCTCAGGTGATCTGCCCACCTCGGCCTCCCAAAGTGCTGCTATTACAGGTGTGAGCCACTGTGCATGGTCCCAGTTCAATTTATTCGGAGAGTATTTGGTACTGCTTTAAAAACTTTAAATGTACATAATTTACGATCCAGCAATTCCACATCTTAGGCATCTGTCCTAGAAAAAAACTTGCAAATTTATACAAACATGCTCAGGATGTTCACTGCAGCATTATTTGTCAAAGTAAAAATTTACGAACAATTTAAATGCTCCCAAATGGGAGAATTTATAAATAATGATATAAAATTGAATACTATTCAATAGTAAAAAGAAATGAAACACTGAATCCGATTATCTCAATCAATCAACATGGCCAGATCTCAAAAAAAGACAGTGAAAAAATTACAGAATGACACATGGCACAATACCATGAAAATGATACTACAAATGTAATTTTTAGAATACATACATTTAGAAAAAGAAAAAATATATATACATTTAACAATATTAAATATTTTCTATGAATACATTAAAAGTATATTTAAAAGGTTTCATAAGGATAATCAAACTAATTATAGTGGCTGCCACTGTATGAGGGAAGTACATATTGGAATGGTAAGTTAGGGTCAAAATTTTAAAATTTTTATTATAAACTTTGTATTTTGGAAAAGTTGTAGATTTACAGGCAAGTTGCAAAGATAGTACATATTCCCACATGCCCTTCACCTGGCTTTCCCTAACATCAATATCTTATAGTAACTTTGGTATATTTGTCAAAACTAGTGCAATACTATTAACTAAACTACAGGCTTTATTTGGATTTTACCAGTTTTTTCACCAACATCCTTTTTCTGTTCCAGAAACCAATTCAGGATACCACACTGCATTTAGAAAAATAACTTTGTTTTTCTTTGTTTTCCCTCAGTGACCATTCTCAGGAGAAAAAAAAAAATTAAATGTAAAAAGAAGAAAAAAGAAAAAATTTATAAGTGAGGAGATGTTTAGCATAAATAACCAAATTACTATAAAATATTCTTATCACAAAAAGTGTTATTTCTTTCTACTACATTATTGACCCAGATTTTTAAATAGGGTATATAGGGTATTAGCAGCTCATCGAATATAAAACTATATTAAGGACCCGCCTGTTGGGTATGGGAAAATAGATTCAAATTGTTAGAGGGAATCTTCTATTGACTGATTGAGATAGGGTCTCACTCTGTCACCCAGGCTGGAGTGTAGTGGCGCAATTTCGGCTCACTGCAGCTTCCACCTCCCAGATTCAAGTGATTCTCCTGTCTCAGCCTCCTGAGAAGCTGGGACTACAGGCGTGTGCACCACACCCAGCTAATTTTTGTATTTTTGGTAGAGACGGGATTTCACCATGTTGCCCAGGCCAGTCTGGAACTCCTGAGCTTAAGCCATCCACCTGCCTTAGCCTCCCAAAGTGCTACAGGCGGGCACCACTGCACCAGACCAGAAACATAAATTATTAAAACTGACAGGGTCTCTGTTCTATTGCCCAGGCTGGACTGTAGTGGTCTGATCATAGCTCACTACAGCCTCAATCTCCTGGGCTGAAGTGATCCTACTTTGGCCTCCCAAAGAGCTGGTACCACAGGTGCCCACCACCATGCCTGGCTAATTTTTAAAAAAAATTTTTTTTGTAGAGACAGGGTCTCACTCTGTTGCCCAAGCTGGTCTCAAACTCCTGAGCTCAAGCGATCCTCCCACCTTGGCCTCTCAAAATGAGCCACTGCCCAGCCAAACTAAATGCTTTAAATATATGATTTGTATATGTAAAGTCTATCTCAACAAAGCTGGTTTTTTTTCTTTTTAAAGTAGGACTCTGGAGACAGGCTGCCTGACTGTTACTAGCCTTTACTTCCTAGCTTTGAGTTCTTGGGCAAGATACTTATCTGTGTCTGTTTTCTCATCTACAAAATGGGAAATAATGTAACAGTAACCTATCTCATAGGAGTTGTTGAAGATTAAATCAAAGTAATACCTATGAAGTGCTTAGAACAGGACTCAACACATAAGTAATCAGTAAAAGTTAGTTTTCATAATTTTTCAGCTCTGGGTGGTGTTCTTTAAATAAACATACAGACAAAATACGAGAGATTTAGAAGATATGACTAAGGAGGGTAAGGGAACAAGCCATGTCAGGTAAATGAAGATGGAAAGCACTAGAGATTCTACAACTAGTAAAGAGAAAACTCAGAGGATATAAAAACTTTTCACATACTTGAAGAAGTCTCATATCATGTTTATCCTACATTATATTTGTTCTGTATTGCTCAGAATTCTCTGTATTGCTAAAAAGGGCTCTGTAAAATAGTCCAGAAGGAGTGATGTGCTCAGGAAGGAAGGCAGTGGATAGAGTTGCGACAGGACAGTGTCACAGTCATAAAGATCAGTTTTCTGTATGTTTGTGAATCATCTAGATTATCCTAGTAACATAGCTATTCCAAAGTCTAGCTAACAAAATTGTTATTTAACTATTTCTTGTTCATTCAACCTTGTATACAACAGCTAACTTAGCCAAGAAATGCACACTGCATTTTAGTTTCAACAAGATCAAACTATTATTATTTTTAAATTTATTTTAATTTATTTTTTGAGACAGACTCTTGTTCTGTCACCCTTGCTGGAGTGTACAGCTGTGATCTCGGCTCACTGCAACCTCTGCCTCCCAGGTTCAAGTAAGTAGCTGGGATTACAGGCGTGTGCCACCACGCCCAACTAATTTTTGTATTTACTGTAGAGATGGCATTTTGCCATGTTGGCCAGACTCGTCTCAAACTCCTGACATCAAGTGATCCTGCCTTGGCCTCCCAAAGTGCTGGGATTACAAAATCAAATTATTAGATGCTTATGTGCACTTGTCCTTGACAACTTTTTTTTTTGAAGTTCAAGATACATTTTTGTTCATTCTACAGAACATGAACATATTTTCCTGTTTAAAATTATCATAAGGCATTTAAGAGTTTTTATTGGTAGGGTAGATTGCTGGTCATGCTTTTAATTTATTTAATGCTAAGTCCTTGGGTCAGGTGTGGTGGCTCACACCTGTAATCCCAGCAGTTTAGGAGGCTGAGGTGAGTGGATCGCTTGAGGTCAGGAGTTTGAGACCAGCCTGGCCAATGTGGCAAAACCCTGTCTCTACTGAAAATACAAAAATTAGCCAGGTGTGGTGGTGCGTGCCTATAGTCCCAGCTACTTGGGAGGCTGAGGGACAAGAATCACTTCAGTATGGGAGGCAGAGATTGCAGTGAGCCAAGATCGTGCCAATGCAGTCCAAAAAAAAAAAAAAAAAACCTGGCTGGGCGCAGTGGCTCACGCCTGTAATCCCAGCACTTTGGGAGGCTGAGGTGGGCAGATCACCTGAGGTCAGGAGTTCAAGATCGGCCTGACTAACATGCAGAAACCCCATCTCTACTAAAAATACAAAATTAGCCAGGCACATGCCTGTAATCCCAGCTACTCGGGAGGCTAAGGCAGGAGAATCACTTGAACCAAGGAGCTGGAGATTGCAGTGAGCTGAGATCACACCACTGCACTCCACCTGGGCAACAAGAGCAAAACTCTGTCTCAAAAAAAAAAAACAAAAAAAAAAAAACCTAATGCTAAATTCTTGGTTGAGAATATCACCTCTACCATCCATTATACTAGAAAATCTTGTTTTATAAGGCTTTGGAAAATAATGAAAGAGAAATAGGGAATGATTATATCAGAAGTTATAAATTGAATAAGACAAAAATTACATTACCCTTAAAGTTAATATTTCCCTATCTAATTTTCATTCCTTTAATTTTTACATGTCTACTTTTTTTTTTTTTGAGACAGAGTCTTGCTCTGTTGCCCAGGCTGGAGTGCAGTGGCATGATCTCGGCTCACTGCAACCTCAGCCTCCTGGGTTCAAACGATTCTCATGCCTCAGCCTCTCAAGTAGCTGAGATTACAGGCGTGTGCCACTATGCTAGCTAGTTTTTTTGTATGTTTAGTAGAGACAGGGTTTCGCCATGTTGGCCAGGCTGATCTCGAACTCCTGGCCTCAAGTGATGCACTCACCTTGGCTTTCCAAAGTGCTGTGATTATAGTCATGAGCCACCATGCCCAGCCCACTATGAGTTTTTAAATGCCAAAAATAAATAAGGAGATACGATTTCATGCTAAATATTTTCCTCTCAGCAGGGTGCAGTGGCTCACGACTGTAATCCCAGCACTTTGGGAGGCCGAGGCGGGTAGATCACTTGAGGTCAGGAGTTCAAGACCAGCCTGGCCAACATGGTGAAACCCCGTCTCTACTAAAATATAAAAATCAGCTGGGCGTGGTGGTGTGATCCTGTAATCCCAGGTACTCGGGAGGCTGAGGCAGGAGAATCATTTGAACCCGGGAGGCAAAAGTAGCAGTAAGCCGAGATCACGCCACTGTACTCCAGCCTGGGCGACAGAGTGAGACTCCGTCTCAAAATATATATATATAAATAAACATATATATATATATTTTTTTCCTCTCTTGGATAAAGGAAGTCTTCAATGTACTTCTCTTGGTGATCAAGTAAAACATTTTTTCCCTCTTATATCTGTGCAAACCTACAAATTGATGCCATGTTGCCAAATTCTTCCACTATCTCCATGCTTAAAAGTGTGCATTTGTAGGACTAATGACTGGCTTTCTATCCTGTTTTAAAGTTGATCAAAAAAATAACATTTTCTAGGTAACTAAAACAGGACCAGAGCAGCCGTACGAATTTAAAGAAAAGAACTTGTTACTCAAAATGTAACAGAAATATAAACTTTATTAGGCTGAGCATTTGCTTACTTCCTTTCCAATGAAACAAAATTTTAGCACACACATACCTGTGGAACCATTGCAACCCTCTGGTTTCTTTTAGGTGACCTTGTATTTATTTGCCTATCATCTTCATCAGAAAAAAGTCGACTTCGTTTTGAATTTCTGAAAGGCTATGATAGAAATGTTTTCATTTAATGAAAAAGCCGAACCCTCCCATTTTTGTTCCAAAATACAATTCTATACTTGGAAAACTGAGCTAACTCTGGATTATCAGCAGTATGGAAGGATAAAGTATGGGCAACACAAAGCACACAAAGCCAAATATAAATAATCTCAGATTTAGAAAGCAGTAAGATGTATTTATACAAGGTGCTTATGAATGAAATACCTAGCTGATGAATAAAGTAAAACTGGAACCCCAAGTCTCCTTAGTACACTGGCAGCCTTGGACAGTGATGATAGGAAAATAAGTTCCGGAAATTCCAGTTCAAATTATGTTGTTGCTTGGGTTAATACCAATTGGGTGTGTGACATGATATGTCTGCTGCATAGGGCTGGGCTGGGCCAAAGGTTCTAAATCACTCTAGAAGAGTAAGCCTAAATGTGTATACTATTATACTCTATCTGCTGTCAAAAATTGTTAACCGAATTTTCACTTGTAAATAAAAGATACATATGATAGATACCTGATAATTACCCATAGAACTAAAAAAGTTGTTTAAGTACCAAAAGTACATCATACACTTAAGGGTCTGTAATAGTAAAGATTTTACAGTTCACCCTAGGTTCAGAGGTTTCATTAATAGAGAGAAAAAGAAATAATATCCCGATAAGACCTACATCCTTTTCAAAGCCTTCTCCCACCCCTCATGGCTATTTGGAAGAGAAACAGGTGCAGGCGGCTAACAACATATGGGCAACATCCACTCGGGTCTATGAACCCTTGAAATTAAACCCACTCTGGCTGGGCACAGTGGCTCATGCCTATAATCCCAGCACTTTGGAAGGCCGAGGCAGGAGGATCACTTGAGCCCAGGAGCTGGAAACCAGCCTGGGCAACACAAGGAGACCCCATCTCTACAAAAAAAAAATTTTTTATTAGCTGGGCGTGGTGGCACACACCTGTAGTCCCAGCTACTAGGGAGGCTGAGCGGGCAGGATCGCTTGAGCCTGGGAGTTCCTGACCAGCCTGGGCGACAGAGCGAGACCTCGTCTCAAAAAAAGAAAAACAAAAAGAAATTAAACCCACTCAGAGTCTTGATACTCTATAGCCCTGACAGGAATTCCATTCTACACTGCCCCCCTTCCCTGACCACAAGCAGAGAAGAGGAAGGGAATGAAGATGATGGAATTGACACAGTGAGGAAAGCCCCTCACATTCACTGTGGTCAGCTGCCCAGGCTACTGTGACTGCTGCTGTCTATCCCAACTCCAGGACTGTTTCATGACAGACCCTTAAAACCTCCTGGCTACCTGGCAGGGCAGGAGAGAAAGAGAGTTCCTAAAACTGTTAGTCATGTCAATTATATGCTCATCTCTACTTCCCACCTCTAAATGCACTTACCTTTGAGCTACACAATGATTTCTTTTTTTTTCTTTTTGTCTATACAAGATTTTAATACCTTACCACATATATATATTTTTGCAGGTACCAAAGCCATGTAAAATTTTTTGCGTATCTAATAAAAGTATAAGTTGTAGTTTTTGTTTTTCCTATTTAAAGAAACTATTACACAATTACTGAACAAATGCTTACTGATGACCAGATTATCACTGGGTACAGATTAATTTACCTAAATAAGATCAAACAGTGCTTAATGACACTTGAGGTTGGGAAAAAAACTTGTAAATTTTTTACTGTGCTGCAAGAATTTACACATGACAATAATACAGACAACTTAGCTAGAATTATTCTAAAATGTAAGAAAAACTCACTCCTTACCATTTCCACAGCAGAGCTTGTATTCCTGCCTTTCCAAACAGGTGTTTTCTGTAAAGAACTGTACTTTTCATTCCACGTGTTAGATAAGCTTCCTTCTGTAATAAATAGTTAATACTAATGGAATTTTGGCTTAGTTCAAAGGATTTCATACCATGAATACTGTTTTTTTCATAACAGCCATATATCTAAAATATTTAATATGGAAAAAATATACTGACTATAATAATTTTAGATTATTATAAATGAAAAAGCTCTTCCGTATTTTTCTGTCAAACTCTCTAAATAATTTGATAAAGCAATGCATCTTGAAAGTATTAAATGTCCATACTGAAACATGTGCTTCTTTTTCTTTGTTTTTGGATTTTTAATAATTTCTCCATTCCAACTTGCCAAGAACTATCTCATAACTTTTGGTACAATTCTGAAAGCAGGGGAATCAAAAATGGAAAAAGCCTTTTCTAACCTTGAATTTAGAGCACATTTCTTTTTTACTTTTTCTTTGTGTGTGAGACAGAGTACTTGCTCCATCGCCCAGGCTGGAGTGCAGTGGCACAATCTTGGCTCACTGCAACCTCTGCCTCCCAGGTTAAAGTGGTTCTCCTGCCTCAGCCTCCCCAGTAGTGGGATTACAGGTGTGTGCCACCACGCCTAGCTAATTTTTGTATTTTTAGTAGAGACAGGGTTTCTCCATGTTGGCCAGGCTGGTCTCAAACTCCTGACTTCAGGTGATCTACCCGCCTCAGTGTCTCAAAGTGTTGAGATTACAGGCATGAGCCACCAGGCCAGCCTGTATTTAGAGCACATTTCTAAATGTTTTCTGCTTTAATATGTGAATCACTTGATATATAAAAAGGAAATTAGGCCAGGTGCAATGGCTCATGCCTATAATTCCAGGACTTTGGGAGGCCGAGGTGGGTGGATCATTTGAGGCCATGAGTTCGAGACCAACCTGCCCAACATGGTGAAACGCCACCTCTACAAAAAATACAAAAATTAGCTGGGCATGGTGGCACGCACCTGTAGTCCCAGCTATTCAGGAGGCTGAGGCAGAGAATTGCTGGAACCTGGGAGGCGAAGGTCGAAGCAAGCCAGGGTCAAAGCGAGCCAGGGTCGAAGCAAGCCGAGATAGCACCACTGCACTTCAGTCTGGGCAACATGGCAAGTCTCTGTCCCCTCACAAAAAAAGAAAAAGTAAATCAGCGTGGTTATTTCTGTTTTCCTTAATTCAGAGAAATGTCTTCAGAGTTGTACACAAGCAGAAAAGAATTCTATCGAATAGACATATTATGATTTACACATATTATAATGATTAGACATATTGTGAAAATAAAGAGGGGTAAGTTTAATTTTTGTAAAAAAGATGTTTATATAGAGGCATAGAAAACTGGGATGAATATACAAGCTGGTTATTTTTATTTTCTTCTAGTGGCTCATCAGCATTTTCTCATTTTTTCCATAAGAAATGTACGTTACTTATATAAATGATTTATCAAGATGAATGAGTGCCGGGTGCAGTGGCTCACATCTGTAATCCCAGCACATTGGGAGGCCAAAGTGGGAGGATCACCTGAGGTCAGGAGTTCAAGACCAGCCTGGCCAACATGATGAAAACCCATCTCTATTAAAAATACAAAAATTAGCCAGGTGTGGTGATGCATGCCTGCAGTCCCAGCTACTCAGGAGGCTGAGGCACAAGAATCACTTGACCCAGGAGGCAGAGGTTGCAGTGAGCCAAGATATTGTGCCACTGCACTCCAGCCTGGGCGACAAACCGAGACTCAGTCTCAAAAAAAAAAAAAAAAAAGGCAGGGGGGAGAGAAATGAGTTTAATATTGGGAGAAAAAGAATAATGGAATAATTTTTAAGAATCACAAAAGACAAACAAACTGGGGTGTTCTGGAAGACAAATTGTCTTCTCAAGCTAGAAGGATTTAATTTGGTAAATCACCAATCCAAAGCACAATATAGTAGCTTTAAAGACTAAAAGTACTTTGAGAATATTTAGCTTGGTTCCAAATTTATTGACCTACCAGAATCTTAATCAAGAGGTAAAATTTTAAAGAAACTATGTTAAAAAGGTTAGTCTAATGTACCTGCCAAAAGAAATAGTGAGACCAAGGAACATGTCAAACTTTTTCTTAGAATGAGAAAAGTACTATTATTCTTTTATTTTTATTTCAAGACATTATTACTTAGAAAGCAAGATTCTTTTTTTTTTTTTTTGGAATTTGAGACAGAGTCTTACTCTGTCACCCAGACTCCCAGACTGGAGTGTGGTGGCGCGATCTTGGCTTACGGCAATCTCTGCCTCCCAGGTTCAAACAATTCTCCTGCCTCAGCCTCTCAAGTAGCTGGGATTATAGGCACCTGCCACCACTCCCGGATAATTTTGTATTTTTAGTAGAGATGGGGTTTCACCTTGTTAGCCAGGCTAATCACGAACTCCTGAGCTCAAGTGGTCCGCCTGCCTCAGCCTCCCAAAGTGCCGGGATTACAGGCGTGAGCCACCGTGCCCAGTGAAAGCAAGACTCTTAAAAATAAGCTATTACGGGCCAGGTGTGGTGGCTCATGCCTGTAATCTCAGCACTTTGCAAAGCTGAGGCAGCAGGATCCCTTGAGCCCAGGAGTTCGAGACCAGCCTGGGCAACAAAGTGAGGCCTCCTCTCTACAAAAAATAAAGAAATTAGCTGGGCATGGTAGCATGTGCCTGTGGTCCCAGCTACATGGGAAGCTGAGGCAAGAGGATCACTTGAGCCCAGGAGGTCGAGGCTACAGTGAACTGTAATCACATCACCACACTCTAGCCTGTGTGACAAAGCGAGACCCTGTCTCAAAAAATAAATAAACAAAAAATCTGCTGGGCACAGTGGCTCACGCCTGTAATCCCAGCACTTTGGGAGGCCAAGGTGGGCAGATCACTTGAGGCCAGGAGTTTGAGGCCAGCCTGGCCAACATGGTGAAATCCCGTCTCTACTGAAATTACAAAAATTAGCCAGGCATGGTGGCACATGCCTGTAATCCCAGCTACTCAGGGGGCTGAGGCAGGAGAATCGCTTGAGCCTGGGACGCAGAGGTTGCAGTGAGCCAAGATTGCACCGTTGTACTCCAGCCTGGGCAACAGAGAGAGACTGTCTCAAAAACAAACAAACAAACAATTATGCTAACATATAGGTCAGCACAGTCGTTTAACAAATGCTTTTAATCTAAATATTTATGGAATGTTTAATTAGAAAGGTTTTTAATCAATAATTTTAGAAATTTTTAAAAATAATTTCTAACAACTGAGGATCAATTCTCCTATAAAAGCATATTAATTTAAGGTTATCAGTGAAAACCAATACTGAAAAGCTACAATGAATCATAACTTAGAAGGAAAATGGAAACACTATATCCAGATTAATTTAACAAATTAGACTTTTAGCTATGGTATACCTAAAAATGCTATACTTCTTACCTTTTAAACTGACAAGGGCTTTTGCTGAAGAGCCTGCAATTAAAAATAAAACAAATCAATAATTATTTCATAACCAAAGTGAGAGAAAAAGACCTTGGTTTGGGGGTAAAAGTGATCCATTTAGTTTTAGTAATGTTGAGTTTGAAGAGATGGTGGAATGTGCAATTCGAAATATCTGGCAGACAATTCAAACTATAAACCAGAACTCAGATAAAGAAAGAACTGGAGAGAGACATATGAGAGTCTTGCTGAAGTTGTGAGAACTGGAGACCATTCCAGGAGAAGAAAGTGAAGAAACAGAAGAAAGAGGAAGAGTGGGGACAGAGGTAATTTTGGATCCTCATCCAGGCGTGCTGTGGTGCTGGAAGAAAAGAGAAAGGGAACCGACATCCATTGAGGCAAAGACTGATGTAGTAATGGAGTGGAAAAAAACAGGCAATGGAAATGATTCAGGGACTGTCAGAGCAAGCAATAAGTCCCTTGAAAGTCTAGAATGCAGGTATATGTGATACTTCAAGATCTAAGCTGGAAAAGGGAATACAGAATGGCCAAGAGGGGCTAGAATAAAGTTGGAGGGGTCCACTGGATAAAACAAACTCCAGTGTACATTAGAGGCCAGGTATGATGGCTGACACCTGTAATCCCAGTGCTTTGGAAGGCCAAGGTGGGAAGGCTAGCTTGAGGCCAGGAGTCTGAGACCAGCCTGGGCAACATAAGGAGATCCTGTCTCTAAAAAAATGTTTTTAATTCACTGGGTATGGGGGCACGTGCCTAAAGTGTCAGCTACTCAGGGGGCTGATGTGAGAGGCCTGCTGGAGCCTGGGAGGTTGAGGCGGCAGTGAGCTGTGACCGTGCCACTGCACTTCAGCCTGACAGACAGAGTACGACTCTGCCTCAAAAAAATAAAAAAGACATTAGAATAACAAGGAAGCTCCTCATACATGCAAAATCTAGACTGAATCTATATTATTAATAAACAACAGGGGATTCTGTTGCAGGTAACCCACTTTGAGAAACATCAGGCTACAGGTTCTGGTGTGAATGAATTATAGGATCTATGGGTAGGGAAAGTAGAAAAATCAATAGAGAGGCCGGGTGCGGTGGCTCACGCCTGTAATCCCAGCACTTTGGGAGGCCGAGGTGGGCGGATCACAAGGTCAGGAGATCAAGACCATCTTGGCTAACACGGTGAAAACCCGTCTCTACTAAAAACACAAAAAATTAACTGGGTGTGGTGGCGAGCACCTGTAGTCCCAGCTACTCGGGAGGCTGAGGTGGGAGAATGGCGTGAGCCCACAAGGCAGAGCTTGCAGTGAGCAAAGATTGCGCCACTGCACTCCATCCAGCCTGGGTGACAGAGTGAGACTCCATGTCCAAAAAAAAAAAAAAAACAAACCAATAGAGAAAGAAGCTTTTTGAGAGTGAGAAAGCACTAAATTTAAAAATCTCAGAATTGGATGTATACATTGCAAAGTCCAAGTCATCTGAAAAATAATAATTAAGGATGATCTCAGGGGATTAAATAAAAAAGAACATGAACTAGGAACAAAAATCAGAGAGGACGGATTAATCCTCCTTGCTATTTAACAAAAGCAGCTATGATTTACATCTCATATAAATGGATAACAGACTTAAAATGAGAAGCAACAGATAAAGTATGGCAGTTATGAAACACTTCATCTCAGATCCTTAAACACTATGCATCTCTGATCACTAAACCTCAACTGACTTTTTCCTCCACAGGTCTGTGTAAGAGACTTGTGAAACAGACACCTATTAGCATTAAAGACACTTACTTTCACTCTACTCTCTTGCCCAGATGTGAAGAATAGTTAACAGGACACCATAAAAGCTTCTGCATGGCAAATGAAGCTTAATGACAAAAGGCAGTAAAGTCATGGGGGTGAATGACATAAAATCTTGCTAAAAAGTCTCAAACAATGAAACACAACTGTAAAGCAGCAATAGTAGACAATACACACATCTGTGTACCAAAAGATATGCAGTGCATTTGAGAAAAAGTAGTAACCATTCACTCACTGAATATGTAGAGTACTGATGGCATGCCAGTCCCTACCTGCTCTAGGCAATGGGAATACAACAGCAAGCAAAATAGTCAAAGTCCCTGCTCTCATGGAATGTACATTCTAGTGATGGGAGGCAAACAAAAACAGCTATCGAGTAATGATAAGCACTCTGGAAAAAATAAAGCAGAAGAAGAAGAATACGCAGGGTGGGGATGGAGGGAAGGAAAACTATTTGTATATAAGGTGTTCATGATGAGCTTCTATGAAAGGTGATGCTTAAGCAGAGATCTGAAGGAAGAGGTATATAGGCCATAAGAATATCCACTCCTGCTCCACGAAGGCAGGAACCATATCTTGGGGATTCTGACCAATCACCTTTAACCTTTTTTTTCTTTTTCGTTTTCTTTTTTCTTTTTCTTTTTTTGAAATGGAGTCTCACTCTGTCACCCAGGTTGGAGTGCGGTGGCGCAATCTCAGCTCACTGCAACCTCCACCTCCCGGGTTCAAGAAATTCTCCCCACCTCAGCCTTCCAGGTAGCTAGGATTACAGGTGCATGCCACCATACGCAGCTAATTTTTGTATTTTTAGTAGAGACAGGGTTTCGCCATGTTGGCCAGGCTGGTCTCGAACTCCTGACCTCAGGTGACCACCCGGCTCGGCCTCCCAAAGTGCTGGGATTATAGGCGTGAGCCACCGCAACCGGTCCTTCTTTCCTTTTTCTAGATGCAGGATAGCATAGTGGTTAAGAAAACAGGTTCTAGATTGAGACTAGCTATGTTTGAATCTTGGTCCTGACACTTTCTTGCATGCTACCTTAAGCAAGTTACTTTGCCTCTCTGTGCTATTGTTTCTTCATGTGTAAAATGAGGATTAAATGAGTTAATACATGTAAAAGTGCATAGAACAATGCATATATTACACAGTTAATTTTGATATAATGCTGTTAGTATTATTTTGAGCAATCAAAAAATAATAGGTTAAGAACATGGATTTTTCAGTCAGGCGAATCTGATTAAATTAGAATCTTGCTCTAACGAGGTGTTCATTAATCCAAAGATTCTACCCTTCTTAGTTCATAAGCATGATGATTGGGTTTTCATACTCATGTGTGAGATGTGTCTCTCTCAAACTTTGTGAAAAGTCAGCACATGACCCATCTGATGTGGAAAAAAAAATTTTATTGAATGCCTACCATAAGCACTGTTAGGGGCGAGGGTTACCCCAAAGAACAAGACAAACAAAGCCTCTCCTCACAGGAAGCTTAAACTCTAGTGGAAAGAGACATATATATATAAAACACGTACATAATAATTATAGCTCATGATAAAGGAAATAAACAGGGTGATATTGGTGGGGACGGGGGAATTACTCTAAGTACTAGCTACCTTACTTTTGAGTACAGACGGTTTCTCTGAGGAGGTAACATCTAAAAAACTAGCTGTGAGAGAGCAGGAAATCAAAGCAATGAGTCTGGGCAGAAGAAACAGGTTAAGTCCTAAGAAGGGAGGAGGGGTGACTGTGCTTGCATAGGGAAGAATGGTATGAAAGGGCAGAGGTAAGCCAGGTGTTATGCATGGAACTGGGAATGCAATTAAGACAGTACCTGCTCTGATGGGGCTACTAACCAATCACATAAACAAATACAAAACTGCAACTGTAATAGCTGCCACTAGGAAGTTACATAGTAATACAAAAAGATTTAAAGAATATGGGCCTGGCCTGGCACAGTGGCTCACACCTGTAATCCCAGCACTTTGGGGGGCTAAATGACTTGAGGGCAGGAGTTCGAGACCAGCCAGGTTCTACTAAAAATACAAAAGTTAGCCGGGCTTGGTGGCACACATCTGTAATCACAGCTACTCAGGAGGCTAAGGCAGGAGAATTGCTTGAACTCTAGAGGCGGAGGTTGCAGTGAGCAAAGACTGCACCGCTGCACTCCAGCCTGGGTGACAGAGCAAGACTCCATCTTTAAAAAAAAATAAAGATAGGCCCTGCATGGTGGCTGAAGCCTGTAATCTCAGCACTTTGGAAGGCTAAGGCAGGAGCATCGCTTGAGGCCAGGAGTTTGAGACCAGCCTGAGCAACATAGGGAGACCTCGTCTCTACAAAAAAAAGAAAAAAAAAAAAAAAAAAAAAAAAAACCTTAGTTGGGCATGGTGGTACATGCCTGCGGTCCCAGCTACTGGGGAGACTGATGCCGGAGGATCTCCTTAGCCCAGAAGATCAAGGCTGCAGTGAGCCACGATCATGCCTCTGCACTCCAGTCTACACAACAGAGGGAGACCCTGTCTCTTTAAAAAACAAAAAACAGATTTAAAGAAGACATAATTTAGTCAGGGAGGATGGGAAATGGCTCTCTGAAGAAGCATAAAATGGGATCTAAAAGACAATTAGAAGTTAACTGAAAGTAAGGGGGGTGTGGGGGGGTAGCATTCCAGGTTGAGAGAACAGCATGTGCAAAGACCCTGGAGAAAAGGGGAGACTGGCGAGTATCGGGAATGAAAAAGGTCCAATTTACCCCAAGGGATAGAATGAGGGGACAAGTGGTAAAACATAAAGCTGAGAGGTAGGGAGCAGCCAGACCACAAAGGGTCTTATAGCTACTAAAGGGTTTGTAACAGGAGGATGACATACATTCGTTTTGAAAGGATCCCTCTCGCTGTGTGTTTGTGGGAAGGGGGCTGAATTAATGAGAGGCTGAGGTAATTGGTAAAGAGAAGAAATGGTAACAGTTTGGGCTATGCTGATGGTAAGAAATGGGTAGAATTGATAGATATTTAGAAGGTAAAATTTACAGACTTAGTAAAGGCTTAAATATGGGAAGTGAAAGGGAGGAAAGTGGCTGGGGGCGCGGTGGCTCACCCCTGTAATCCCAGCACTTTGGGAGGTTGAGGCGGGTGCATCACCTGAGGTCAGGAGTTTGAGACCAGCCTAGCCAACATGGTGAAACCCCGCCTCTACTAAAAATACAAGAATTAGCCAGGTGTGGTGGCGGGCGCCTGTAAACCCAGCTACTCAGGAGGCCGAGGCAGGAGAATGGCTTGAACCCGGGAGGCGGAGGCTGCAGTGAGCTGAGATCGCACACTGCACTCCAGCCTAGGTGACACAGCAAGACTCTGTCTCAAAAAAAAAACAAAAGAAAAGAAAGAGAGGGAAGTGCCAAAGAAAATCTCTAGGTTTCTGCCCTGCCAGCTGAATGCACAGTGGAACCATTCGAATCACTAGAAGTATCTGTCCTGGGGTAGGACTGAGGTGGATTTTAAACCTGTGCAGTTTGAGGGGCCTTTGAAGCATCTAAGAAGAAATGTGAAACAGGCAAGAGATATCAAGAAAGGGAGCTCAGGAAAGATCTGGGCTGAAGATAGCCTTAATTTCCTTATATAAAATGTGAGCACTTACATCAACTGAAATGAAGATTAAATGAGCAAATACATGTAATATCCTTTGCATGGCATCTGGTTCATAGTAAATACTCAATAAATGGTAGCTTTCATTATTGATAATGTTATATCGACTCCTGAACAATATATTAGCTAGCCTCCTTGACTAAATGTGGCCAAAAAACATACTGCTATTTCCAGTATCAAATTGAAATCGCTTTTCCTTTTCAAGACCCTGCTCTAGTTTCAGTAATAATACCTGTTACTTTGCACTAATTCCATAAAAATTATTTATGTATACTTGATTTGTGGCACTGTATGACAAAGAAAGAAAGAAAATCCCTGGTTTCAACAAAGCTGAAGTCTACCTAAACAAGACATACGCTTCACAAATACACACCAATGCACCAGAGATGTCACAAAGTAATATAAATGATTAGGTTATATAATTTGAAAGTGGAGCTGGAATTTGAACCCTAATATAAATCCCAAGTCCCTACAAAGAACCACAGTAAATTCTCAATAAATGCTGGATGATATGAAGCAAATATTCCTAATGGCAGTTGTAAGAAAGCCACTTAAAATGCCTCTCATTACAACAGAATGACTACAGTAACCAAAACAGTAGCTCTAGTGATTGTGACATCCAAGAGGTGATAAGACATGTTTATGATAAAGATACCAAGGATGATGAAAAACATTTTCGGATGACAAGTACACTGTGCTTAGTAGGTCCACACTCATTTGGGAGCATTCTAAGTCACAATCAAGACCAGCTGCGGTGGCTCACGCCTGTAATCCCAGCACTTTGGGAGGCCGAGGCGGGTGGATCACCTGAGGTCGGGAGTTCGAGACCAGCCTGACCAACATGGAGAAACCCCCATCTCTACTAAAAATACAAAAAAATTAGGCAGGCGTGGTGGCACATGCCTGTAACCCCAGCTATTCGGGAGGCTGAGGTAGGAGAATCGCTTGAACCTGGGAGGCAGAGGTTGCAATGAGCCGAGATAGTACCATTGCACCCCAGCCTGGGCAATGAGTGAAACTCCATCTCAAAATAAATAAATAAATAAAATAAATCACAATCAATTGTATTCTACAAATAAACAGTACAGCTCATGACTGGTCAATAGCTGTGCCCTACCCAATACAGTGACTACTAGCTACATGTGACTATGCAAGTTAAAATTAAATAAAATTCAAAATTCAGTTCCTCCATCACTCTAGCCACATTTGAAATGTTCCATGGCTACATATGGCTAGTAGCTTGGCTGCCCTACTGGACATCACAAAAGAGAACAGTTCTATCATGGACAAAGTTCCTTGGGGACTTAGTGCTGCTCTCTATCAAATTTAAAACACAAACACTTTTAATACGACTTTTCACCAGCTTGGCAACTTGAATTTTTAACTTTATAACTTACTAAGAACACATGACCTCACAAAGAAAATGGAATCGGTAGTATGTTGAGTCCTCATTTTTAAGTCCATTTGCCTTGTGCATAGATAAGATTCAATAGTAAT
Source organism: Homo sapiens (assembly GCF_000001405.40). Classification (NCBI taxonomy): domain Eukaryota; kingdom Metazoa; phylum Chordata; class Mammalia; order Primates; family Hominidae; genus Homo; species Homo sapiens. The sequence continues at coordinate 226,308,105 of NC_000001.11, forward strand.
TGAGCCTTTCACAAATATGTATAAACTGAATAGTGAAAGTGGATTCAGGACTTTTTTTTGTAATTAAATAACATATTTGTCTTTTCATATAATTTATGCAATATTGTAAATTACAAAATTAAGTTCCATTGCCCTTAAACTATGGAATTGGTGCTTTTACTTACTCAACACAAGTGAGCATACATGTCTTAGATGTCAGGGTGAGTAAACATGGTTAGGGGAGGCAATGCCCTAGGGTGGGTGTCAGGCAGGGTACACGTACGCTGTGTTGGTCACATCCATGCATAAAGGTACCTTTATGGCTCTTAAGACACATATAGAATAAAGTCTGCGGGACGGGGTCTACCTGAACACTGAGTATCCGGGCTGGATGATCTCAGGAAAGGTCCACAGCCACCTGTGGTCCCAGGGGAAGGGGCCAACCCTCTGACACGGAAACACTTCCAGGGGTGGACACACCGGTGGGGGGGTGGGGAGGACAGTGAAGATCACAAGTGCCCGTAGAGGCAGGAGCTGTGACAGGACAAGATCAGAGGCTGGGGCAAGAAGAAGGGGCCGTGGACCACCCCGTGCCCAGCCCGAGCCCTCCCCCGGCCCCGGGACAGGCGAGTTACATAACCCCGGCGGGCGTCTCTCGGCGCCGGGCGAGTGGTGCAGGCGGCGAGGACAGCCCCCGCGCCCAGGGGCCGCTCTTCCCTCCACCTCGGCTGGGGGCCGGAGTGGCGCCAGGGGAGCAGCCACCGCCTCCGCCTGGCACAGGCTGGACTCCCGGGCTCTCGGTTTCCGGCCCTGGCGCTCACACAACCCCAGAAACCAACACACAGACACCATAACAAAGGCGGCGACGCGGCGGCAACACCGGAGTGGGAGGACTAGGGGACCACAGTGGGGCTGGCAGTCAGCCCACCTGCCCAGCGGAGGGCACGGCCGTCCGTCCCGGCCGGTGCAACCGCTGGGCAAGCAGCAGGCGGGAAAAGGGGGGGGTGCTTTGAGGTGCTACTCACTCTCGTCAGGCAACTGGTCGAGCTCCGCCATCTTGAACGAGCCGCGCCGCTTTTTCAAAGGCTGCCCGCCGCGGTGCATTGTGGGGCGGAGACTGTCTTTGCGAGGGAGGTTCGAATGCGGAGCTCGCTGCCCGCGGCGCCGCGCTGCGCTGCTCCCGCCGCGGCTGGCTGAGGCGGGCCCGGCTCCGCCCGCGCCTGCCCGGGGAGGAGGTGCCGCCGAAGGGGGGCCGCGCCTCGCCCCTCCGCCGCCGCCTCCGGCCGAGCCGGGCGGGAGGAAGGGAGGAAGGAGGCCGCACGGCGAGGCCCGGCGCCGGAGCGCGGGGGGAGCAGTACCAGCTCCGGAGTCCCGCCCGGGCCCCGCTCCCGGCGCATGTTCCGCGGCCCGCGCTGCAGCTGCGGGAACTGCAGGCTGTTTGTTCCGAGTGGAGAACGGGAGGGAGGCCCCGGCGGGGGGAAAGAAGCCCTCGGTTCTGGGTCGCATTGCCCGAGGGGGCTCTACGCAAAGTGAAATACTCACAGTTCCCGAAACCCACGTTGCTTGGGCGCCTCCGTCCCCTCACTTTTCCCGAGACCGCCGGCCGCAGCAGCCCCCTGCGCGTCGCGACGTCCGGGACTCGGTCCCAGCGGCCCCTCGCGATCCGGGCACGCCTTTCCCGAATGTTGGAAGCTGAGCTGCGTGCAGCCGGGGAGCGAGACCTTGAGAGGTCATGAAGTTGGTCATTTAGGCCGACAGCTAAAGAACTGTTCTGCTCAGCTGTTTCATCCATTCGACACTAGATCGTGCAGTGGGCTGGAAGAGAATTAGAAAACGAGTAACAGGAGGCTTCGAGAGGATACAGAAAGGAACAGTGACACTACAAGGTGATAAAGTACCTGATCCAAATGTTATGAGAATACTGGACGAGAATTGAACGAAATTGAAAGAAGCCCAAGGAAAAATTTCACAATATCTGTCTGTAACACTTTCCAGTAATAAAACACTGTTGCTTTTCAAAAATTCATTTAACGAATGTCATTGAGCTCCAATCCTTTTCTCCAGGAATTTATGGGGGTTGGAGGAATGAGACCGTTAAGCAGTCAAAAGACAACGTGGGTGAATTCCAGGAACTACAAAGTTAAAAGGCGGTAGACTAAGGTGACAGAGTGGTACACAGAGGCCCGCCCAGGCTAAGGAGTTGAACTTGCTTAGTCCACTGGAGCAGTGGAAAAGTCGGGTGTAAGAGGGGCACGTTTCTATTTGTGTTTTAGAACAAAAATATGGGAAATGGATTGGTGGGGGACAAGATGAGAGCCTAGAAACCAGTCAGGAAGAAGCTTATTTGGGGCATGCAAAGGACAGAAGAGAGATGCCTGCACTGGTAGCTAGAGAGGTGCAGCGGGTGGGCTCTGGAGCCCCAGGGCCTCGATGGGAAGAATCCAGATGGGCTGCTAGTTGTATAATCTCAGGCACGTTGGTTTCTTAACCGAATTCTCTGTGCCTCAGTTTCTTATCTGTAAAATGCAAATAACAGGGTTATTTTGAGGGCTAAACGATTTGATAGATGTAAGGACCTTATACTAGCTGCTAGCACCCATCAGCTAGCCACTATTACCACCATTACCACAGCATAGGCAGTATTAGAGAGAGGTGGCAGCATGCACTCCACCTTTCAAGACGTGGAAAATAAAGGATTGGGTGAGTCACTGGGTGTGAGGAGAAGGAAGTCTCATTGCTGATGCCAGCTCTGTGCCTTGGGTAACTGGGTGCTGCCATGCTAAGGTAGGAGGGAGAGCAGGGAGTGAGCAGGGAGGGTGAAAGTTCAATTTTACAAAGTAATCCTTCCTTCAGAGCTAGCTTAACCTCTCCTTTGCCTTCTAAACACACTCTGATCTGCTCCCTAAGAAGATTAAAACACTGGTCCTTGTTGTCAGCACCTAGGGGGTGCTTCAGCAGCTTGCACTTCAGTATCAATTTGGAGATGAGATCAAGAAAAGGTCAGCCCTTTAAGAATGGAAGAATAGAAATTAAAAAAACATGAGAGGTTACCAGAGTGGGAGAAGCAAAAGCTTTGTGAATGTCATGATAGTCAAGGTGTCATTAGACCAAGGCAAACCTGGTTTTATTCTGAGGCAGTTTTCATGTACACGCAACAACACAACTACTGTTTAAATCAATGTTTTTAGGCCCTTGCCTGATAATCTGCATTTTAAACAAAAACTTTGACTCTTCTCATAAATCCAAAGCCTGAAGCTGTATCCTAGCCCCAGATCTAGCGCTTAGCTGTGTGATCGAAGCCAAGGCACACCTAACTCTTCAATAAGTTTCGTTATTGAATATTTATGACAGGTTTTACAATGATTGGCTTACTTGATTCTCCCAACAACCTGGTAATTTGTCCAAAGACAATGGCAAGCAAGTGCTAGAATCAGGAATCTAGCCCACTTTTCGGTGCCTCAGTGACTCCCTCTGTGATGGGAGGATTACACGTATGTCTTTGTCCATTTGTGCTGCTATAACAAAACATCTGAGACTGGGTAATTTATAGACAACAAGAATTTTTTTTTTTTTTTTTGAGATGGAGTTTTGCTCTTGTCACCCACGCTGGAGTACAATGGTGTGATCTCGGCTCACTGCAACCTCTGCCTCCTGGGTTCAAGCGATTCTCCTGCCTCTGCCTCCAGAGTAGCTGGGATTACAGGTGCCTGCCACCACTCCTGGCTAATTTTTGTGTTCTTAGTAGAGACAGGGTTTCACCAGTTTGGCCAGGCTGGTCTTGAACTCCTGATCTCAAGTGATCTACCTGCCTCAGCCTCCCAAAGTGCTGGGATTACAGGCATGAGCCACCGTGCCCAGCCGACAACAAGAATTTATTTCTCACAGTTTCAAACGCTGGGAAGTCCAAGATCAAGGTGCCAATGTTGGTGTCTGGTGAGGGCAGCTCTCTGTTTCCAAGATGGTGGCTCGTTGCTCCATCCTCTGGAGGGGATGCATGCTGTGTCCTCACATGGTAGAAGGGACAGAAAGGCAAGAGAACACCTCCTTCAGTCTTGAGCCCTTTCATAAGGGTGCTAACCCCATTCACGAGAGCAGAACCCTCATGACTTAATCACCTCCCAGAGGCCACACCACTTAATACTGTTGCATTGGGGATTATGTTACAACTGAATTTTGGAGGGAATACCATCATTCAAACCATAGCAACATGCAACACAGGGGTATTAAGTTTCCTGCAATCACTTATTCCAATTTAAAATGACATGACTGTGTGTGGTGTTTGCTTTTTAAAAAAAACAAACCACGGTGTGGATAAGGTCATTAAGTCATGAAAAACCTAAATAAAAATACACCATAAGAAACATCTCATGTACCATCATAAATATATCCACCTACTATGTACCCACAAAAATTCTAAAAAATTTTAAAAATACCATAAGAAAAATAAACATGGCCACGTTTTAGAAATACCAGGTTTGACCATTTCTAGTCCTGTGGCCTATTTATCAATTATTGGGTTGGATTATTTTTGTGAAAACAGTTGCAATGACTAAAGATAAAATGTGTGTGTTGGGGGCCTGGTGCAGTGGCTCACACCTGTAATCCCAGCACTTTGGGAGGCTGAGGCAGGTGGATCGCCTGAGCACCTGAGATCAGGGGTTTGAGACCAGCCTGACCAACATGGTGAAACCCAGTCTCTACTAAAAATACAAAACTAGCCAGGCGTGGTGGCTTGTGCCTGTAATTCAAGCTACTTGGAAGGCTGAGGCAGGAGAATTGCTTGAACCTAGGAGGTGAAGACTGCAGTGAGCTGAGATCACACCACTGCACTCCAGCCTGGGTGACAGGGTGAGACTCCGTCTCAAAAAAAAAAAAAAAAAAAAAAAAAGCGTGTGTGTGTATAGTATGTGTGTGAATGTTTTTATAAATACTTTTGATAAAGTTGGGAATTTGAGTTAGTAATGAAAAAACAAAGACAATTCAGTTTGCCTTGCTTGAGTATCTCAGCCATAATGAGGTAAAAAGGCTCTCCAGCCTATAAATATATATATTTTTAAGTTATGTTGCTGGTAGGACTCCACACTCAGCATTTCCTCTTCCAGCATCCAAGTACACCAGGAGTACTGATGGCCCCAGGATCTAGGTTCAAATTGCAGTTCACCTACTTCCCTTGTGTGTATTCTTGAACAAATTACTCTCAGTAGTAGTTTTTAGTTTTCTTCTCCCTTTCTTGAAGGGTTATCATGAAGATTAAATTACATATTGTAAATTAAGTGCCTACCAAGATCTCCAGTGACTGTTGGTATCCTTCCTTGATGAGAATCCCTCTTTTACAACATAAATATTCTCAAAAATGTGCCCAGTGGCCATCCTGGTAATTCCCTTCAGAATCATCTCCCTGAACATGTTCAGAGCAGTGGAAACAGGCGTGAGGAGTGAGAGCAGAAGACATGGGTTCTAAGCCTTGCTTTACCTCTAGTGAGCACCATGATCTCGGACAAGTCATTGAACCTTTCTGCCTTCGTCTTTCCCATTTGGGGAGTGAATATAACTACACTGCCCTACCTAGATCACAATGTGAGGATGCATGTCCATAAAATTGAGATAATAAAAGATAAAATTCTCTACATGTGCTAGATATTATGTATAACATCCAAGTTTAGTGGAGTTTAGTATGTTACACTACTCTAATGAAAACTATAACAAAGCTTTTTAAAAAATCATATACAATACAAATGTGAAACTCATAATGAACCAAAGACCTAAATGTAAAAGCTAAACCATAAAAATTCCTAAAAGAAAACATAGGTGTAAATCTTCATGACCTTAGATTAAGCAACAGTTTCTCAGCTATGACACAAAAGCACAATCAACCAAAGAAAGTATAAATTGGACCTCATCAAAATTAAAAATTTGTGTGTTTCAAAGGGCACTATCAAGAAAGTGAAAAGACAACCCTTAGAATGGGAGAAAATATTTGCAAATCTTATATCTGATAAAGCACTTGTATCCAAAACATTTAAACACATTTAAAACTCTTATAACTTGGTAATAAAAAGACAACCCAATTCAAAAATGTGTGAAGGATCTGAATAGACATTTCTCCACAGTAGATAAGTCAATAAGCACACAAAAGACTGTTCAAGATCATTATCATTGGGGAGCTACAAATCAAAACCACAATGAGATACCAATTCACACCCACTGGGATAGCTATGATAAAAAAGACAGATAATAACAAGTGTTGGCAAGGATGTGAAGAAATCAGAACACTGTGTACTGCTATTGGGAATGTAAAATGGTGCAGCTGCTATGGAAAACAATATGGTGGTTCTTCAAAGATTTATACATAAAAGTACTATGCTATATGATCCAGCAATTCTACTCTGAATATAAATACCCAAAATAATGAAAAGCAAGGACTCAAACAAATATTTGTACACCCATGTTCTTAGCAGTATTACTTCACAATAGCCAAGAGTTGGACGCAACCTAAGTATTTATTGATGGATGAATGGAAAAAGAAAATGTGGTACATAAATACAATAGAAAATTATTTAGTCTAGAAAAGGAAGAAAATTCTGTCATATATGAGGGGTCTTAAGAAAGTTCATGGAAAATGCATATTATGAAAAAACTGGTCATGCATGGTGGCTCGTGTCTGTAACCCCAGCACTTTGGGAGGCCAAGGCAAGCAGATCACCTGAGGTCGGGAGTTCGAGACCAGACTGGCCAAAATGGCAAAACCCTGTCTCTACTGAAAATACAAAAATTAGCCGGGTGTGGTGGTGGGCACCTGTAATCCCAGCTATTCGGGAGGCTGAGGCAGGAAAATTGCTTGAACCCGGGTGGTGGAGGTTGCAGTGAGCCGAGATCGCACCACTGCACTCCAGCCTGGGCAACAGAGTGAGATTCCGTCTCAAAAAAATGGAAAAAAGAAAAAAAGTATGCATGGATTTCAAAATTTTTTTGCACCAAAATAAACTTGTACTTACTTGTTATAACATGCCTGAATGGGATCTAGTCTGAAACACTAAGAAGGATAAGACATCAGTTTGAACAGAGTACCTTTCAGAGCAACATAAATTCTGCCAAAATTGAAGCAAGAACAAACATCAATGGTGAAGCTTGATGGTGGACAAATGGAAGCTTTACGGTGAAGCTTGGGTGAAAGAATGATGAAATTATTGATGCTCTTAAAGCAAACTAAATATAGCCTGAGAAGAAAGTCCATACTTCTGTATTTGAGTCCTTGTGGACTAACTGTAACCTAGTGTAATAGGCAGACAAGATTAAAAACTTAACTTAGGAGTATGTGCCTATAACTAAATTGCTGAGTCTTGGCCAATCCCAGCAGCCATACTTCAAGCACTCTTAGACTGCTGAGTGTTCAAACTGTGTTCAAATAAGGCAAATGTTAACCTGTAACCAATCCAGCTGTTTCTGTACCTCACTTCTGATTTCTGTACATCACTTTACTTTTTTTGCCTATAAATTTGTTCTGACCATGAGGCACCCCTGGAGTCTCTCTGAATCTGCTGTAATTCTAGGGGCTGCCCAATTTGGGAATTGTCCATTGCTCAATTAAACTCCTTTAATTAGGCTGAAGTTTTTCTTTTAACAATGCTTTGCAAAAAGTTTATGAGGATGATGCACCAAAGAATTCAGCAGTTTACAAATAGATAACTCATTTTAAGAGAGGACAAGACGATATTGAAGATGAAACCTGAAGCAACAGAGCATCCACTTCAATTTTCAAGGAAAAAGTTAACCTTATTTGTACCCTAATTGAAGAAGACTGATTATTAACAGCAGAAACAATACCCAACACCATAGATATCTCAATTGGCTCACTTTACACAATTCTAATAGAAAAATTAAAGGTGAGCAAACTTTTCATTTGATGGATGCCAAAACAGTTGCATTCAGATCAGCTGCAGACAAGAGCAGAGAGCACAGCATTTTTTTTTCCTTCCATGTCAGACAGGTAATATGCCGATGTTGTAACAAGGTTCAAGGGTGGGACATCTCACACATGAGCATGAACACACAATCATCGTGCTCAGGAGCTACAAAAGGATTGAGCAGAGCTTTCAATGGAAATTTTAAACGAGTGGGGTCAGGATCCTGAAGCACTTCCTTGAAGAATTATAACAGGAGATGAGACGTGGCTTTACCAGTATGATCCTGAAGACAAAGCACAATCTAAACAATGGCAACCAAGAGGTGGAAGTGGTCCAGTCACAGCAAAAGTGGACCAGTCAAGAGCAAAGGTCATGGCAATAGCTTTTTGGGATGCTTGAGGTATTTTACTTGTTAACTGTCCGGAGGGCCAAAGAATGATAACATCTGCTTATTACAGGAGTGTTTTGAGAAAGTTAGTCAAAGCTTTAGCAGAAAATCCCTAAGAAATCTTCACTAGGGAGTCTTTCTCTGCCACACCAATGTTACTGTTCATTCCTCTCATCAAAATGGGTGCAAGCAAGAGTTTCAACAGGCTGGACACAGTGGCTCATGCCTGTAATCCAGCACTTTGGGAGGCCAAGGCAGGTGAATTGCTTGAGCCCAGGAATTAGAGACCAGCGTGGGCAACATGGTGAAACCCCGTCTCTACAAAAAATACAAAAATTAGCCAGGCGTGGTTGCGCATGCCTGTAGTCCCAGCTGCTCGGAAGGCTGAGGTGGGAGAATTGCTTGGGCCCAGGAGGTAGAGGTTGTGGTGAGCCGTGATTGTGTCACTCCACTCCAGTCTGGGCTACAGAGTGAGGCCCTGCCTCAAAAAACAAACAAACAAACAAATAAATAAATAGAGTTTCAAAAGGAAATCATTAGGCATCCACCTTACAGTCCTGATTTGCCTCCTTCTGCCTTCATTTCCTAATCTTTAAAAAAAACCATTAAACTACACCTATTTTTCTTCAGTTAGTATCGTAAAAGAGACTGCACTGACATGGTTACGTTCCCAGGACCCTCAGTTCTTTAGGGATGGACTAAATGGCTGGTATCATTGCTTACAAAAGAAAGTGTCCCGAACTTGGTGAAGTCTATGTTGAGAAATAAAGTTTATATTTTTTATTTTAACTTTTTTGACAATTATTTAAGATCTTTATTGACAAGTGCTTGCAGTTCATTGACTATTTTGAAAAAACACCAAGTTGTAAACTTTTATTACAAATTTAAAATGAAGTTCTTAAGTCTCAACTTGACCAGATATGAAACAATTTAAAAATCTTTAGAGGCATATTGAGAAAAGCCAGACTTTTTTTTTTTTTAAGAAAACCACATTTGTTATCACCAAAAAGAGTTGTCTTTAGGAAAAAAGTGATTTTAAAAACCCATGCTGCACAGATAATGCAGATAGTTCTAATAATTGGTCAGCAGCAAAGAGCAAACAATGTCTTCAGTGCCAATCTTTTGTTCATTTCTTATTGCTGCAGTTTCACATTCATTTCTTCTTGTTGTACGACTAAAGGGGATGATGGTAGAGATGGTAAGCTGGTATTTACTCAGCCCTACCCTGCTCAGCCTTGGCCATGGGCAAATTTTCTTTTTTTTTTCTTTTTTTTTTTTTTTTTTGAGACGGAGTTTCGCTCTGTCGCCCAGGCTGGAGTGCAGTGGCGCGATCTCGACTCACTGCAAGCTCCGCCTCCCGGGTTCACGCCATTCTCCTGCCTCAGCCTCCTGTGTAGCTGGGACTACAGGCACGCGCCACCATGCCCGGCTAATTTTTGTATTTTTAGTAGAGACGGGGTTTCACCGTGTTAGCCAGGATGGTCTCGATCTCCTGACCTCGTGATCCGCCCGTCTCGGCCTCCCAAAGTGCTGGGATTACAGGCGTGAGCCACCGCGCCCGGCCGGCCATGGGCAAATTTTCAGCTGCTTTTGTCTCTTTGCCATATTTTCGGGGTCTCCACCTGGGCACCGACCTTGCTGCTGACCTGGGGTCTCATCTCCTTGATTTCTTTTTATCCTCTTCATCACCATCCTCTCTAGGCTGTCTTTGGCTAAGAGGGCCCCAGTGGAATCATGGCCTATAGCCACATACATATCTTGCCTCACTGGTCTACCTGGTGCTCCTGCACCCTGGCTGTCAGCATCCTCCATCTCCGCTCCCTGCGCTGGAGGGCTGGAACACTGTGGTCCACGCCCATAGGGTCTCTTCAGGTAGTAGGGCAGGAACCTTCTCCAGGAACCTTCTCCTGAGGAAGGGCCAGTCTTGTTGGGCCTGGCCTTTGGGAGCACTCTCCTATCCTTCCTTCTTTTCCCCACGCTCACTATTCTGGTAATTCCGCTGGTAATTGTGTGGAGGACCCCCAGGACGTGGATTGCTTCCATAATGGTTACGGCCTGCTCCACGTTTACTGCCTTGCAGTGGAATTCCACCAGGGCTGTGACATCTGCTGCTTCCACACCCTTTTCTCCTTCAGCGTCAGACTCCACAGTCTCTCCAGTTCCTACACAGCCAAGGTACTTCCTGGGGTTCTTTTTTAATGGCAGATCTGTTTCTTACATTGAATCATTTTCCTTTTCCCGAAAATCTTCGCCATGACCTTCTTGTCCCTACCCACAGAACCATGGATGTGAGGCCGCCGAGGCCACTACTCCCTGGGCAGCCAAGGCTGGTGGTAGAGGTGTGGCTACTTTCAGGGCTTTCTGGGGTATCTCAGCTCCTGATCAAACTTTATTTTTTTATTTTTATTTTTTGAGACAGGGTCTCACTCTGTTGCTTAAGCTGAAGTGCAGTGGTACAATCATAGCTTACTGCAGCCTCAACCTCCCTGGCTCAAGGAATCCTCCCACTTCAGCCTCCCAAGTAGCTGGGAATACAGATACGCACCACCACACCCAGCTAATTTTTTATTTTTTGAGACAAAGTCCTGCTGTGACGCCCAGGTTGGAGAGCAATGGCACAATTTTGGTTCACTGCAACCTCCACTTACCAGGTTCAAGCGATTCTCCTGCCTCAGCCTCCTGAGTAGCTGGAATTACAGGCACGTGCCACCACACCCAGCTAATTTTTGTATTTTTAGTAGACACGGGGTTTCACCGTGTTGGCCAGGCTGGAATCAAACTCCTAAGCTCAAGTGATCCTCCTACCTTGGCCTCCCAAAGTGCTGCGATTACAGGTGTAAGTCACTGCACCCAGTCTTAAAAAAAAATCATTTAATTCAATTTTTCCACTAACTTCTTGAAGTCCGCTCGTACTACAGCATAGATCAATCTTGAAGACTTTATGCTTAGCCGAATAAGCCAGCGAAATAACACATAAGGAGAAATACTGTAGGATTCCACTTATGTGAGGAACCTGGAGTTCTCGAATTCATAGAGAAAAAGCAGAATGGTGCTTGCCAGGGGTTGAAGGGGAGAGGAGTGAGGAGTTATTGTTTAATGGGTACAGAGTTTCAGTTTTGGATGATAAAAAAGTTCTGGAGGTGGATGGTGGTGATGGTTTCACAACAATGTGAATGTACTTAGTGTACTTAGTGCCACTGAACTGTACGCTTTAAAATGGCTAAAATGGTAAATATTATATTATGTGCATTTTACCACAAGAAAAAAATTCATATTACACAAACATTACAGGTATGATTCCAATTACTAAATATATTTGCATAGATTAAGCTCAGAACAAAAGATATCCAATGTTTATGGTGGTTATCTCTGAGTGATAGGGTTATGGGTGCTTTTAATTTTCTCTGAATCTGTATTTATAATAGAGAAATTATAAGTAGTAAATTATATAAAATTATGAGCAGTAAAATGTTTTTTATTACTTTTGCCAGTACTGCAAGTCCAAAATATTTTGTATTATCTTTTTTTTTTTTTTGAGACAGAGTTTCTCTCTTGTCACCCAGGCTGTATTGCAATGGAACAATCTTGGCTCACTGCAACCTCTGCCTACCAGATTCAAGGTTCAAGCAATTTCACTTCAGCCTCCCGAGTAGCTGGGATTATAGGCACCTGCCACCACACTGGCTAATTTTTATATTTTTGGTAGACATAGGATTTCGCCATGTTGGACAGGCTGGTCTCCAACTCCTGACCTCAGGTGATCCGCTCACCTTGGCCTCCCAAAGTGCTGGTATTACAGGCGTGAGCCACCGTGCCTGGTCTTGTATTACTTTTATAATAAAAGCAGGCATTGAAAAATGTGGTAAAAGAGGGAAACAACAGACACTTGAGGGTGGAGAGTGGGAGGAGGGAGCGGATCAGAAAAAATAACTGTTGGCTATTAGGCTTAGTAACTGGGTGATGAAATAATCTGTACAACAAACCCCCATGACATGAGTTTACCTATATAACAACCTGCACATGTACCCCGAACCTAAAATAAAAGTTAAACAAAAGGAAAAAAGTGGTATACCATACAATGAAATATTATTCAGCCATAAAAAGGAATGAAGTACCGGTAAATGTTACAACATGAATGAACCTTGAAAACATCATATGCTAAGTGAAAGAAGACAGTCATAGAAGATCACATATTGTATGATTCCACTCATGTGAAATGTGCAGAATAGGTAAATCCATGGAGATAAAGGACAGATTAGTGATTGCTTAGGGCTGATGGGAATAGGGGCAGGGGTGGGGGATGGGGATTGACTACTAATGAGTACAGGGTTTCTTTCTCTCTTCTTCTCTCTTTCTTTTTTAGAGACAAGGTCTTGCTTGCTGTTGCCCAAGCTGAAGTATAGTGGCCTTATCATAGCTCACTGCAGCCTAGAACTCTTGGGGCTCGAGAAATCCTCCTGCCTCAGCCTCTGGAGTGGCTGGGACTAGTGTGTGCCACCATGCCTGGCTAAATTTTTTTTTTGTAGAGACAGGGATCTCATCATGTTGCTTACGCTGGTCTTAAATTCCTGGCGAGAGGTGAAGCCAGCGCGCCTTCTGGATGGGGTGGGCACTTGGAGAACCTTTCTATCTAGCTAGAGGATTGTAAATACACCAATCAGCACTCTGTGTCTAGCTAGAGGATTGTAAATGCACCAATCAACGTTCCATAAAAATTGACCAATCAGCACTCTGTAAAATGGACCAATCAGCACTCTGTGAAATAGACCAATCAACGGGACATGGGAGGGGCCAAATAAGGGAATAAAAGCTGGCCACCGGAGTCAGAAGTGGTAACGTGTTCTGCCTTGTTATTTTGCACTTCAGATTGATTCTTGCTGTTGCTTACTGTTTGGGTCTGCGCTACTTTTAAGAGCTGTAACCCTCGCTACAGAGGTCTGTGGGTTCGTTCTTGAAGTCAGCAAGACCACGAACCCACTGGAAGGAAGACACTGTGGATATATCTGAAGGAACAAACTCTGGACACACCGTTTTTGTGACTTCTTAACACTCAACACCAACGTCCGCAGCTTCATTCTTGAAGTCAGTGAGACCAAGAACCCACCGGAAAGAACCGACTCCGGACCCACTGGCCTCAAGGGATCCTTCTGCCTCAGTCTCCCAAAGTGCTGGAGCCGCCGTGTTCAGTCCACTGTACAGGGTTTCATTTTGGGGTGATGAAAATGTCTTGTAATTGGCCGGGTGTGGTGGCTCACGCCTGTGATCCCAGCACTCTGGGAGGCTGAGGAGGGTAGATCACTTGGGGAGAGGAGTTCAAGACCGGCCTGACCAATACGGTGAAACCCTGTCTGTTTTAAAAATACAAAAATTAACTGGGTGTGGTGGTGGGCAGTGGTAATGCAGATACTCGGGAGGCTGAGGCTGGAGAATCACTTGAACCTGGGAGGCAGAGGCTCAGTGAGTTGAGATCGTGCCACTGCATTCCAGCCCGGGTGACAGCAAGAATCCGTCTCAAAAAAAAGTCCTGAAATCAACCCTGGTGGTTGCACAACTCTGTGCATACAGTAGTCCCCACTTCTCCAGAGTTTCTCTTGCCGTGGTTTCATTTACCCATAAACAACTGAGGTCCGAAAAGAGATGAGTACAGTATAAGATATTTAGAGACACAGTTACAATATACAGTAACTTGTATTACAGTATACATTTGTTACAGTATATTGCTGTGATTGCTCTGTTTTATTATTATTTTTGAGACAAGGTCTGTCATCCAGGCTGGAGTGCAGGGGTGCAATGATGGCTCACTATAGCCTGGACCTCCCCAGGCTCGGGTGATTTTGCTACCTCAGCCTCCATAGTAGCTGGGACCACTGGCATGCATCACCACACCCAGCAATTTTTGTATATTTTATAGAGATGGGGTTTTGCCATGTTGCCCAGGCTGGTCTTGAACTCCTGGGCTCAAGCAGTCTGCTTGCCCTGGCCTCCCAAAGTGCTGGGGTTACATGCGTGAGCCGCTGTGCCCAGCCTGTTCTATTTTATTATTAGTTATTGTTGTTAATCTCTTACTTTGCTAATTTACAAATTAAACTTTATCGTAGGTATGTATGTATAGAGAAAACAGTATATATAGGATTCAGTACTATCGTCAGTTTCAGGCATCCAATGGGGGTCCTGGAATGTATCCCCCAGGGTTAAGTGTGAACTAGTATATACTAAAAACTATAGAATTGTGTATTTTAAATAGGTGAATTGTGGTCTGTGAAGTATAACTCAATAAATGTGTTACAAGGAAAATCTTGTTTTCAGACTAGGTTTTATCCCAATCTTAAAATCTTTGGTAGTCGTTTTGTGCTAGACCCCTTCCTAGGCACTTAATGAAGATGTGAAGTCAAAGAGGCACTCTACTAGGCAATTTTATTTATTTATTTATTTATTTATTTATTTTTTGAGACGGGGTCTCACTCTGTTGCTCAGGCTGGACTGCAGTGGGGCAATCACAGCTCCTGCAGCCTCAACCTCCCAGGCTCAAGCCACATCCTCCCACCTCGGACTGCCAAATAGCTGGGACTGCAGAGGCACGCTACTACAGGGGCACACTATTTTTTGTAGAGACAGGGTTTTGCCATGTTGCCCAGGCTGGTCTAGAACTCCTGAGCTCAAGCAATCCGCCCTCAGTCTCCCAAAGTGATGGGATTACCGGCACTTGGCCTGTTCAGAATTTCTTAAATGAATTAGCACATATAAGCTAGAGGAGCCCACCAGCCCAGGCTACCCAAGGAGGAATACCTTGTCATCAGAACTGCCCAAACCAGAAAGATTGGATGACTCAACACAGTGCAGATTTGTGAATTCTAACCCAGAAAGATTGCCCCTTCAGGACCTGTATGTGTCCAAGGAAACATTAAGAGTTTAATAGCCTGGGCAACATAGTCAAACTCTGCCTCCACAAAAATTAGCTGGGTGAGGTGGTGTGCGCCTGTAGTCCCAGCTACACAGGAGGCTGAGGTGTGAGGATCAGTTGGGCTGGGGAGGTTGAAGCTCCAGTGAGCTATGATTGCACCACTGCAGTCCAGCCTGGGAAACAGAGCAAGACCCTGTCTCAAAAAAAAAAAAAAAAAAAAAAGAAAAGAAAAAGGTTTATAGTCATCAATTCTGCTGTCTTCTCATAACCCCTAGTATTCTAGGCAATTTAATAGGGTACGATTATTCAGTAATTGGCCAGCAAATACTTATTAATTAAGCACCTACTATGTGGCAGGAACTAAGGTTGCAAAATTCAATGTGACATAGTGCCTCGCAGAGCTTTCAGTCTAAGGGAAGACACAGACACATTCCATAAGCAATTGCAATAGTTTGACAGTAGCTGTCCTAGGGCTGAGGTCAAGATACTGTAGGAGCATAGTGGAGTGCGGGATGTAGGGGAGGAAAAGAAATATTTTTTCCTTGATCATCACTGGGTTTGTGGCTGAAGCCCCTATAACAAAAGATAGTTTAACAAGAAAAGTATACACATTTATTTATTTAAGTTTCATGCGACATGGGAGACTTTAAAAGGAAATGGCTGGGTGCAGTGGCTCGCGCCTGTAATGCCTCGGGAGACTGAGGTGGGCTGATCACCTGAGGCCAGGAGTTTGAGACCAGCCTAGCCAAGATGGCGAAACCCAGTCTCTACTAAAATTACAAAAATTAGCTGGGTGTGGTGGCATGCGCCTGTAATCCCAGCTACTTGGGAGGCTGAGGTAGGAGAATCGCTTGAACCCGGGAGGCAGAGCTTGCAGTGATTCAAGAGCAAGCCACTGCACTCCAGCCCAGACAACAGAGCAAACCTCCGTCTCAAAAAAACAAAAAAAGGAAATGGCCCAAACAAACAGGTAAATCTGTGTATATTTTATGCTAGGTTTGATGGAGAAGTGGATGGTCCTGGAAAAATATAATTGGATAAAAAGTATGATCTAATGTTAATAAAGTGTGAGGGGACCACTTAGCAAGACCTATTTGTTCCGATTTTTCTTTGTGTCTCTGTGTGTTCAGAGATAAGGATGTCCCTTTCCTCTAGGTATAGGGAGGGACCTCTCCAATGAGGTCTCATGACCTGCTTCAAGGGAGAAGGCTGAGAGGAAGATGAGATGGACCTACTTGCTTCTGCTGTTTTCTCAAATACCAAAGTGCTGTATTTGTGGGTAGCATGTCCTGAACTTAATCAGAGGTTGATAGGGGGTGAGGTAAGAAATGTTTCCCAGTCTTTGAACTGAGACCTGAAGGCTGAGTAGAAGTTAGAGAGAGGAAGTGGAAGAAGAAAGTACTATGATTGGCAGAAAGTCATGTGCAAAGGCCCAGGGGAAAGAAAGAACAGAGCTTTTATCCCAGGAACTTTAAGTAGTTGAGGATAGTTGAAGAGTTTAAAATTAGATGTGGCAAAAGCTAAGACTCAAGAGATAAACAGGGGCCTCACAAGTATAGAGGGCTTTTGAAACCTTTCCTGAAATGGGTTTTGATACCTATGGAGGTGCACCACTGCTAGTCAGGGTTCTCTAGAGAGAGAGAACCAACAGGGGATGATTAGATAGATAGATAGATAGATAGATAGATAGATAGATAGATACATACATACATACATACATACATACATACATATACAGACAGAGGAGAAGGGATTTATTAGGGAATTGGCTCACATGATTCTGGAAGCTGAGAAGTCCCATGACAGGCCATCTGCAAGCTGGAGACCCTGGGATGCTGGTATTGTGGCTCAATCCAAGTCAAAAAGTCTTAGAACCAGGGATGCCAATGGTGTAATTCTCAGCCCAAGCCCCAAAGCCTGAGAACCTGGTGGGGTGGGTGGTGCTCATGTAAGCCCTAGAGTCTCAAGGCTGGAGAGCCTGGGGTCCTGATATCCAAGGACAGGAGGAGAAGAGTAGGTCCCAGCTCCAGGAGAGAGAGGAAATCCTTTTCTCTCCTTTTTTTGTTCTATCTTGGCCCCCAGCCAATTGGTTGGTGCCCAGCCACATTGAGGGAAGATCTTCCCCTCTTAGTCCACTGACTCACACGCCAGTCTGCTCTGGAAACCCAGACAGACACACCCAGAAGGAATGTTTTACCATCTCTGTAGGTGTTCCTTAATCCAATCCAGTTGACACCTAACCTTAACCATCACAGCCACTGAGATCTCCAGCCTCCAACTGCTGTCCCTAAGCTCTGCCACAGTATTCATATCAACACCATGCTCTCCCCAGGCTGCTCCTAGCCAATAACTGCGCATGGCAGAGCTGCTCAAACCAGCCCATTCCATGCCTCCTCTAATGGGCTTTCTTGGCTGTGGGGGCTCCTGTGTGGTCTGGTCAGGATAGGCTGCACGCTTACCTGTAGAGCTGCCTGGAGCCTGATGGTGACCCTTGGCCAACACTATGGAATATATCAAATGATGTTCTGTAACCATCGGTCTGTGGATTGTTTGGGGAACAGGACATACCAGCCCATCAGCACTGTTTAATAATTGTTTCTTTGATGGAGCCTGGAGGATTTCAATATTAAGGCTGGTCATGGAGCTAAAACATGCCTATGTGACCAGTTCACTCCAAGAGATCCCACCATGAGTGAGCTTTGGACTTCCTGGTATGTACACACATGACGGTTCAAGACCTGAACGTGTAGCACAGGCAGTGGGAGTCAGCAGAGACAGAACAAAGAAGCCTGTGCCTGAGATCTGTAGCCCCTTCTTTGCATAACGTTGCCTGCTGTTACCATACTGTATCCTTTGCCTGTTAAAAACTGATATGTGAGGGCTGGGCTGGGTGGCTCACGCCTGTAATCCCAGCACTTTGGGAGGCTGAGGAAGGTGGATCATGTGAAGTCTGGAGTTCAAGACCAGCCTGGCCAAGATGGTGAAACCCTGTCTCTACTAAAAATACAAAAATTAGCTGGGCATGGTGGTGCACACCTGTAATCCCAGCTACTCGAGAGGCTGAGGTGGGAGAATTGCTTGAACCCGAGAGGTAGAGATTGGGGTGAGTCGAGATCTGCCACTGCACTCCAGCCCGGGTGACAGAGTGAGACTCTCAAAAAACAAAACAAAACAAAACAAAACTGGTCTGTATGAGTATAGAAACTGTTGGAGTCCTGTGAGTCCTTTCAGCAAGCAAACATGGAAGGTAATCAGAGCATGATGAACACAGCCTCCCATTGGCCTAGCTGTCTCTCTGCTTTATTCCTCAAAAGCATTTCCCCAAATAAATAAATCTATACATCTGATTGTGTCCTAGCCTCTGTTTCTCAGAAAACTTGAACAGGAACAGGGTATCAAGAGTGGCTGGAAAAGCACACAGTTTAGGATTGACTAATTTCTCACCTGGCTGGCAAGGAGTATCCCATCCCAAGTGGAATGTGGGGCACGGATAATGCCTGATTCAAGGTGGCCCAAAATATCCGAGTGGAGGGGAACACCTTTGCTGGTGAGATGATTCAGGCATTGAAAGACAGGGGAAAGACACTGCTTAAAAACACAGTGGAGTTGGCTGGTTATTAGTGCCCCGTATAGGAATAATGAAAAGCGAGAGTTAAACACATACCAGCTAAGTGGAGAGCCAGAGCCCTCATTGGTAGCTTACAAAGAGGCCATCATTGCCTTTACGAAGAGTGAACACAGCTGAGGAGCAAACTCAGGTCTTAATGTTACTGAACAGAATTGGAGTCCGCTTGCCTGGTGCAATAAGGCCAGAAGAACCACACTGAGGTTTGCAGCAGGAGAAAGGAGGGAGTTTATTTGCAGGGTGCCAAGTGAGAATCAAGCAGCTCTTGCTTAAATCTTGACCTCCCTGATGGGTTGAAAGTAAGGACGTTTTGTTTTGTTCTTTGAGACAGGATCTCGCTCTGTCACCCACGCTGGAGTGTGGTGGTGCAATCATAGCTCACTGCAACCTCAAACTCCCGGGGTCAAGCGATCCTCCCATCTCAGCTTCCCAAGTAGCTAGGGCTATAGGCATGTGCCACCATAACTGGCTAGTTTAAAATTTTTTGTAGAGATCGGGGGCAGGTGTGTAGGGGGGGGTGGGGTCTTGCTATTTTGCCCAGGCTGATCTCGAACACTTGGCCTCAAGAAATCCTCCTGCCTCAGCCTCCCAAGGTGCTGGGATTACAGACATGAGCCACTGTGCCTGGCCTGAAAGAAAGAATTTTTAAAGGCAGGGGTAGATTTTAGGAAAGCAGAAGTTACAGGCAAAATCATAAATCAATACATGGAGATTATACACTGTTTTGGCCTAAAAAGGTGGGATATCTTGAAGTGGGGGCTTACAGGTCACTGATAGACTCAAGATTTTCTGATTTGCAATTGGTTGAGGATGAGAAGTTTTGTTTAAAAATTTGGGGTCAGCAGCAAAGAATGTTAGCTCTGGCTTGTGGGCATGACCTCCTCCAGGCCCCTCAGGAAGAAATTGAGAACAAAGAAGTCCAGTCCTCAGCTCCCTGTTCTCTGAGGTCTAAAGTGCCAGCAGATCCATTTGATAGGGGTTTGAGTTCCTGAAAAATAACTCAGTGACATATGTTAAGATGTTATCTTTAGTTTCTGTAGGGGAACCAAACATCCTGTGATTCTAACTACTGTTTTAAACTACCATTACCTTCTTGCGTATCAAGTTGCTTATTTACTTCTCAGGAGTAGCTAGGAGCCTGGAATTTCCCTTGAAGGAATTCACCATTTTCCTTTATTTCCATGCTCGAGGTGCCTGAAGGCTCAAAAAGGGGGGGTCCCTGCTCCCTCTCATTAATAGTTAAAGTCATTGAGTTCCAGAGGCATTTAAATGGTCAGCCAAGGCTGGGCACGGTGGCTCACACCTGTAATCCCAGCACTTTGGGAGGCCAAGGCAGGCAGATCACTTGAGGTCAGGAGTTCGAGACCAGCCTGGCCAACATGGTAAAACCCAGTCTCTACAAAAAATACAAAAATTAGCTGGGCATGGTGGTGCGTGCCTGTAATCCTAGCTACTGGGCAGGCTGAGGCACGAGAATCACTTAAACTGGGGACGCAGAAGTTGCACTGAGCTGAGATCACACCACTGCACTCCAGCCTGGGCAACAGAGCGAGATTCCATCTCAAAAAAAAATAAGTAAATAAGAATAAAAAATAAATGCTTAGCCAAGACAAGTTGTTTACACAACCTCAGAGCCCTGGTTGAGGAAGCCTGGGACCCGGACACGCAGGATGGAGACATCTGGGGATGTGCCCTAAAGGATTCGTCTCTGCAGACTCAAAGGTCACATACAGAGGTATCCAGCCTCCTCCCAGGCCCGGCGCGCTGGCTCACACTGTAATCCCAGCACTTTGGGAGGCCGAGGCGGGTGGATCACAAGGTCAGGAGATCGAGACCATCCTGGCTAACACGGTGAAGCCCCGTCTCTATGAAAAATACAAAAAATTAGCCGGGCGTAGTGGCGGGCACCTGTAGTCCCAGCTACTGGGGAGGCTGAGGCAGGAGAATGGCATGAACCCGGAAGGCGGAGCTTGCAGTGAGCCGAGATCGCGCCACTGCACTCCAGCCTGGGAGACAGAGACTCTGTCTCAAAAAAAAACAAACAAAAAAATTGAAACATACAATTCAGTAAAGTGCACAAATCTTTAGTGTATAACATCTTGACAATTTGTTTCTTTTTAAAATCAACTATTATTGAGATAAAGGTTATATATATTAAAATGTACCTATTTTTAGTGTATGGTTTGATGAATTTTGACATCTATGTATATATCATCATAATTAAGATATATAACATCTCCATCACCAACAAAATTTTCCTCATACTCCTTTGTAGTCAGTCCTACCCCTCCCAGTACTAGGCAAACACTGGTCTGCTTTTTGTCACTATATAGTAGTTTTTCCTGTTCTAGGACTTTATATTAAAAAATCCTACTATATATATGTATTATACACACACACACACACACATACACACTTTTTCGGATCTGGATTCTTTAGCTCATCAATAAAGTTTTCAAGATCCATTCATGTTGTTGTGTACTGTGTCTATCAGAAGTTTGCTCCTTTTTATTGCTGAGTAGTATTCCCTTGTATGGACAAACCAATTTGCTTATCTATTTGCCTATAGATGGATATATATTTTTTGAGATGGAGTTTCGTTCTTGTCGCCCAGGCTGGAGTGCATTGGCATGATCTTGGCTCACTGCAACCTCTGCCTCCAGGGTTCAAGGGATTCTGCTGCCTCAGCCTCCCAAGTAGCTGACATTACAGGTGCCCACCACCATGCCCAGCTAATTTTTGTATTTTTAGTAGAGACGGGGTTTCACCATGTTGGCCAGGCTGGTCTTGAACCCCCACCCTCAGGTGATCCGCCCACCTTAGCTTCCCAAAGTGCTGGAATTACAGGCATGAGCCACCTTGCCCAGCTAGATGTGTATTTGGTTTTAATACCCATCCACAAATATTCATGGCAGCTATTATTAATAAAACTATTATTAATAAAGCTGCCATGAATATGCATGTACAAGTCTTTTGGGGCTCATGGGATTTCATTCTCTTGGGTAAATACCTAGGAATGGAATGGTTGGGTCATATGGTGGGTACATATTTAACTTTATAAGAACCTGCCAAATGGATTTCCAAGGTGGCTGTGCCATTTGACATCCCTATCAATTCTGGCCGCTCTATATTCTCTTCAGCGGTTGGTAATGTCAGATTTTTGACTTTTTTAAATGTGTGTGCCCTTCTGATAGGTATGTAATGATATTGATTTCTAGATTCTTTTGTGGTCAAATAAAATATTCTATATTGTGGGCCAGGAGAAGTGGTTCACGGCTATAATCCCAGCACTTTGCAAGGCTGAGGCGGGCAGATGATTTGAGGTCAGGAGTTTGAGACCAGCCTGACCAACATGGTGAAACTTCCTCTCTACTAAAAATACAAAGAAATTAGCTGAGCGTTGTGGTGCACACCTGTAGTCCCAACTACTTGGGAGTCTGAGGCAGGAGAATCGCTTGAGCCGGGAGGCTAAGGTTGCAGTGAGCTGAGATCGTGCCACTGCATTCCAGCCTAGGCAACAGAGCAAGACTCCATCTCAAAAACCAAAACCAAAACCAAAACAAAACAGAACTCTATATTGTGACAGTCTTTTTCACTGTAAGATTTGTTTCATGCCCAGGACATGGACTGTCTTGGTGAATGTTACATTTGCACTTGAAAAAAAAATGTGTTTTTGCTTTTTTTTTTTTTTTGAGACGGATTCTCACTCTGTTGCCCAGGCTGGAGTGCAGTGGCACGATCTCGGCTCAATGCAACCTCCGCCTCCCAGGTTCACGTGATTCTCCTGCCTCAGCCTCCTGAGTAGCTGGGACTATGGCATGTGCTGCCATGCTTGGCTAATTTTTTGTTTTTGTTTTGTTTTGTAGAGATGGGGTTTCTCCATGTTGCCCAGGCTTCCATCCATTTATTCTTTTTTTTTTTTTTTTTTGAGAAGGAGTTTTGCTCTTGTTGCCCGGGCTGGAGTGCAATGGCGCCATCTCGGCTCATCGCAACCTTCACCTCCTGGGTTCAAGTGATTCTCCTGCCTAAGCATCCTAAGTAGCTGGGGTAACAGGCATGCGCCACCATGTCCGGCTAATTTTGTATTTTTAGTAGAGATGGGGTTTCTCCATGTTGGTCAGGCTGGTCTCGAACTCCTGACTTCTGGTGATCTGCCCGCCTCGGCCTCCCAAAGTGCTGGGATTACAGGCGTGAGCCACCTTGCCTGGTCCATTTATTCTTAATCTGTTGTCTTTATATTCAAATTAGATTTCTTTATGGAGTATATAGTTTTGTCTCACTCTTTTTTTTTTTAGGGTCTTCCTGTGTCGCCCAGGCTGGAGTGCAGTGATGTGATCTTGGCTCACTGCAACCTCCGCCTCCCAGGTTCAATTGATTCTCATGCCTCAGCCTCCCGAGTAGCTGGGATTACAGGCATGTGCCACCACACCCAGCTAATTTTTGTATTTTTTAGTAGAGATGGGTTTCACCACGTTGGTCAGGATGGTCTCAATCTCTTGACCTCGTGATACGCCTGCCTCAGTCTCTCAAAGTGCTGGGATTACAGGCGTTAGCCACCGTGCCCAGCCTCATTTTTTTTTAAAGGTCAATGAGATACAATTCGTTAAGAATAAAAATATATTGTTTCGCCAGGTGCAGTGGCTCATGCCTGTAATCTTGGCACTTTGGGAGGCCGAGGTGGTGCATCATTTGAATCCAGGAGTTTGAGACCAGCCTGCCCAACATGGGGAAACCCCATCTCTACTAAAAATACAAAAATTAGCTGGGTGTGGTGGTGCATGCCTGTAGTCCCAGCTACTCAGGAGGCTGAGGCACGAGAATCGCTTAAGCCTGGGAGGCGGAGGTTGCAGTGAGTCAAGATTGCGCCACTGCACTCCAGCCTGGGTGACACAGCAAGACACAGTTTCAAAAAAAAAAAAAATTAGCCAGTGTGGTGGCCTGTGCCTGTAATCCCAGCTACTCGGGAGACTGAGGCAGGAGAACCGCTCGAACCTGGGAAGTAGAGGCTGCAGAGAGCCAAGAGGGCACTGCATCCAGCCTGGGTGACAGAGCGAGATTCTGCCTCAACAAAAAAAAATAATAATCAATAAAAATACATCGTTTCAAACTTAGAATAATTTAATATTCTCTTTATTATTTCACATGTATCTGGAAATGGAATAGATACCTGTTCTCATCCTGTCCCGAGGCAGCGTTCCAGCAACTGGTACACGGTTCCCAGATAGAGTCAAAGTGACTTTCCTCTTGCAACCATTTTCATTGTCAAAAAAAAATTTGTTTTCATATATTTCAAGAGTAGCTTCAGATTAATACCTCTCAGAACAATCTCGTCCTCAAGGCCAACTTGGTTTAGAGCCTTTAACTGCAAATAATTTCCAGGCAACACTGACGACCAACATAAGGTAAATAACATATAGGCACATTTCAGTTCTATGGATTTCACTTTCATATTTTAAGTCTATCACTTTATACCTTCAGCATCAACATTAAAATAGAACCTAAGAAGATTTCTGTTTGAGCAACATTCTATATAAGTATCTCCACCTCTACCCCACTTGCAATCAGACTAGATTAATTTGCTTTCAATTATAATAACTGATAACTTTAACAGATTTTTAATCTAATAGTTTAACAGCTTTTAATTATAAAACCTATTCTCAATTATAATTTATAATTTTTTAAATTTAATTTTTTTTTGAGACAGGGTCTTGCTCTGTCACCCAGGTTGGAGTGCAATGGCACCATCACAACTTACTGCAGCCTCAACCTCCTGGGCTCAATCAATTCTCCCACCTCAGCCTCGCCAGTAGCTGAGACTACAATTGTATGTCATCATACCTGACTAATTTTTTAAATTTTTTTGTAGAGACAAAGTCTCACTATGTTGCCCAGGCTGGCCTTGAACTTCTGGGCTCAAGTGATCCTCCCACCTCAGTCTCCCAAAGTGCTGGTGTTACGGGCATTAGCCACTGCACCTGGCATGTAATTTACAGTTAAAAAGACTAGTTCAAGTACTTACGTTGATGAATCCCATACAACACCAAAACAAAGGAAAATTATTTTCAATATAATTAACTGCAGATACATGGCTTAGTAAGACTACTAAAACAGCTCATGCCATGTATTTAAAAACAAAAACAAAAACAAAACCAAAACATGCCTGAGGCAAGGAGATTGCGGCTGCAGTGAGCTGTGATTGCCCCAGCCTGGGTGACAGAGTGAGATACTATCTCTTAAAAACAGAAAAAAAATATGAGAAAAAAAAAAGCTGTACTGAGATGGATTTTAAAATAATCTCAGAAAATAGAAAAATTATTAATAATCTTTACAGCTTTTGATTACATATCTTCATAATGATAATTTTAATCACAGGTCTCAAATTTTGTTGCAAATATATTGCCATTAGGTCTCTAATCGTAGATTATCTTTTGTTGAATATTCTGCTGATAAATAAACAACTGCTTAACATTCCAATCAAATGTATTCTCACAATTAACTACAAGACTGGTGCCACTACTGGGAAACGAGCTGAGTTAATCAGCAGTTACATCAAATGTAATGAATCCCAAATCACTTCTTTCTCTCGGTCCGTTGAAGTCATCTACGTTTTTCAGCTTGATCGGCGAGTCATTGCCACCACACCAGGATGCTTCCGTCTTTGAAGGCAGTGGTGATGGTGAAAGCAGCTAAATATGAGCGCCACCATCAGGCTGAGAAGCGGCAGAGAGTTCACCTGCGACACCACCGCATTCATCTCCCACGACCCTGTGTCCACATGCACGCTTGGGCTCCTGTTTCAGGAGTGTATCACATATCTTTAAATATTGTTATGCTACTTTACATATCATGTGAGAACCTTTTAATAATGCAACTCCATTTTCCCTTTGGAACCTTTGTGCTATTGTTTTAAGACATTTCATTTCCATTTCCATTAGAAAGTCCAAACTATATTTTTATATTTGCTTTAAATGGTCAATTATCTTTTTAGAGAAATTCTTTTAAATGAAAAAAGTATTTTATATTTACCATGTATTTACATCTCTTTCTTTCTTTTTTTTTTTTTTTTTGAGTTGGAGTCTTGCTCTGTCGCCCAGGCTGGAGTGCAGTGGCACAATCTCGGCTCACTGCAAGCTCTGCCTCCTGGGTTCATGCCATTCTCCTGCCTCAGCCTCCCGGGTAGCTGGGACTACAGGCACCCGCCACCACACCCGGCTAATTTTTTGTATTTATAGTAGAGATGGGGTTTCACCGTGTTAGCCAGGATGGTCTCGATCTCCTGATCTCGTGATCCGCCCGCTTTGGCCTCCCAAAGTGCTGGGATTACAGGCATGAGCCACCGCGCCAGGCCACATCTCGTTATTTCTTTGTGTAGATCTAATTTTTCTATCTGTCACCCATGCTGGAGTGCAGTGACACAATCACGGCTCACTGAAACCCCAAACTTCTGGGCTCAAGCAATCCCTCTATCTTTAGCCTCCTGAGTAGCTGGGACTAAAGGTGTGTGCCACCATAACCAGCTAATTTTTCTCTATTTTTGGTAGAGATTGTGTCTCGCTAGTTGCCCAGGCTTGTCTTGAACTCCTGGCCTGAGGCAATCCTCTCCCTACTGCCTCCCAAAATGCTGGGATAGGCTGGGTGCAGTGGCTTATGCCTGTAATCCCAGCACTTTGGAAGGCCGACGGGGGCAGATCACTTGAGGTCAGGAGTTCAAGACCAGCCTGGCCAACATGGCGAAACCCCATCTCTATTAATATAAAAAATATTGAAAAAACAAGGCAACAACAAAAAGCCCAAAGTGCTGGGATTACATGCATGAGCCACCGTGCCCAGCCAAAAAAATATTTCTTATAATGCCGTTCTCTGGAAATGACCTCACAGCTTTTATTTATCTGAAAATGTCTTTCTTTTCTTTTCTTCTTTTTTTTTTTTGAGATGGAGTCTTGCTCTGTCGTCCAGGCTGGAGTGCAGTGGCATGATCTCAACTCACCGCAACCTCTGCCTCCCAGGTTCAAGTGATTCTATTCTCCTGCCTCAGCCTCCCCAGTAGCTGGGATTACAGGCGCATGCCACCATGCCTGGCTAATTTTTGTATTTTTAGTAGAGACAGGGTTTCACCATTGTTGTCCAGGCCGGTCTCAAACTCCTGACCTCAAGCAATCCGCCCACCTTGGCCTCCCAAAGTGCTGGGATTACAGGCGTGAGCCACTGCACCTGGCCACAACATTGGTACTTTTGATATTTGTCCTTTTTTTTTCCTTCACACTCACAGACTCAGGTCGCAACTTTTGACATTTGGATTGACAAAGGCTTGGCACTTGTTGACATGTCTTTGTTGTGGAGGCCTTTCCTGTGCACCGTAGGATGTTTAACAGCATCCCTGCTGCTGTGGTCTGAATGTTTGTGTCTCTCCCAAATTAATATGTTGAAGTCTAACACTAATAGTATTAGAGGAGGTGGGGCATTTGGGATTGGTGTCCTTATGAAAGAGGCCCCAGAGAGCTGCCCTGTCCCCTTTCGCCATGTGAGAAAGCAGCGAGGACACATTCTCTAAACCAGGAAGCGGGCTCTCATCAGACACCAAATCTGCCAGTGCCTTGATCTAGGTCCTCCCAGCCTCCAGAACTGTGAGAAATACATTTCTGTTATTTATAAACCACCCAGTGTTTTGTTATAGCCACACAAATGGACTAAGACACCTGGCCTCTACCTTCTAGACAATGGTAGCATCTTCCCAGTCATGACAATATAAATTGTCTCCAGATACAGCAAAATATCCTCTGGGGAGTAAACTTACCCCTGGTTGAGAACTGCTGTTCTAGGTCTATTTCAGTTCTACTCCTAAGGTGTAACCCTTCACGGATCTTTACCACATATCCTCAGTGTTTAATCAGGTCTCTTCACTCAGAGTTGGAACTCAAACATACCCCAGTAGTGTGTGGGCTCTGGGAACTGTCCAACTTACATTTCCCCATAGTGATTTTTTGCTTGGCTTTATGGAGTTTCCTGTTAGAGATACAGCTTAATATTTAGCACAAGACTCCAGAACACTGTTATGCAGATTTCCTGGGCTCTTTTTTGGACTCTTTTCTCTGTGTTACTTTGCCTTGCAAATTCCAGCCACCTTAGCCTCCTGAAACCAATCTCTGTCCTTCAACTTGGTGAAACGACTATATTCTGTTTAGGTTCCCTCTTCTTGCACCACAGCAGTCTGGGAAGTATCTCCAGGCAGACAGCCTAGGTCATTTTTGGACTCATTCCATTTATTTTCCTTCTCACAGTCTTGAATTGCCTATAGTACATGTATGCACATTTATAGTACGTGTATGAACATTTGTTTCATATACTTTGCCCAGTTTCCTTATAGCAGGAGGGCATGTTTGGTACTTGTTACTCTGTCAGGGCTGGAAACAGAAGTCTCCCTCAATAATTACATTTTTAAACATTTCATCTACTAACATGCCCTGTTGATGTTGGTCTTCCTTCCTGTCACTCTTTACTACTTATCTTTTCTAAACACATAATTACTGAGTAGGCCAAGAAAGACATTTCGAGTAAATGCTACTTTGTTTTCTTTGAGATTACCTTTTCTAAAATGCGTCAGATCTCTATTTTGCTTTTGGGCAATCACATTCATCCTTGGGTAAATACTGACCATATCCATTATTCGCTGTACCCAAGGCGGATACACTTGCATTTCAAATTAGAGGTAAGCAGAATGGTCCTCTGTTCATTGATATAGGAAAATGATGGGCCAGGAAAATAATTAGCCAGGTGTGATGGCTCCCACCTGTAATCCCAGCACTTTAGGAGGCTGAGGCAAGAGGATCACTCGCATCCAGAAGTTTGAGACCAGCCTGGGCAACAAAGTGAGACTTTGTCTCTACAAAAATTAGCCAGGGATGGTGTTTGTACCTGTAGTCCCAGCTACTTGGGATGCTGAACTGGGAAGATCAGTTGAGCGCAGGAGGTGGGGGCTGCGTTGAGCCATGATCATGCCACTGCACTCCAGGCTGGGTGACAGCGAGAGCCTGTCTCAAAAAAATAAAATAAAATAAAATACAAATAAATAAAATAAAATAAAATAAAATAAAATAAAAGACAGACTTAAGATTGAGATAGACCCCTATCCCCTTCCACCGTTTGAGGACATAACAAGAAGGTGGCATCTATGAACCAGGAGACAGGCCCTCACTAGATACCGAACCCGCTGCATCTTCATCTTGGTCTTCCCAGCTCCAGAACTGTGAGAAATAAAGGTCTGTTGTTTATCAGCTACCAAGTCCACGGTATTCTGTTTGTTATAGCAGTCCAGACGGATGAAGACGATAATCATAGTAGTTAACATTTACAGACTACCCACCACACACCAGTCACTAGTTAACACTTTACCTACACGTTTCTCAGTTATCCTCACAACCTTTTGAGAGGGCCAGCCTTATTATCTCCATTTTACAAATGTACCAAGAGTTGAAGCAACTTTCCAGGGTCACACGGCCAGGAAGCAGCAGTCAGGTGGCTCATGTTCCTCACCACGTCATGGCTGTGACAGCTCCACTGTCTCTACAACATGGGCACTAAGCTTTACAAAGGCTCCCTCTTTCAGCGAAGCTTCTACATGGTGCCCGTTTATTAATTTAAAAATGTAAAAGTCCCTAACATTGAAATGAGTGATATAAGAATTGTATTAGTCACTCTCGAGCTTTTTCATACATTTTTCTGTTTGAATGGAATAATTTGCATTTTTTGAAATGGAAAACAATTAGTCACACATCAAATTCTACTGCATCACTAATACACTGTCTCACGAGCATACTACTAGGAATTATTTGGCCTGCCACGTCTGCCAGGGATCTACAATTAAGAATTCACCCACCATGTTGTCTTTAAGTCTCATTGCATTTCCTATGCCCAGATAAATCCTCTGTCCCTAGTTGATTCAAGAAATATTTATTGCATGCATCTTGCATGCAGGATAAGTACTCTCCAGTTGTTGTTTTTTTTTTTTTTTTCTGTTTTGAAAGCAAATCTTGTACTTTGGTTGCAAGCGTTCTTAAATTTATTGTGTCACCTGCATGAGCAAGTGTATTTAGTATTTAGTAAATACAGACTAGGTATTTAGTAACTATCTGTGCATTCACTGACTCCCACCCCTAGTCCTGGAACTTGTTCTTTCTCCTACTACCTTAGTTGTTTAATTCTAATCCTTCCCCTGGGCCTCTGTGTTGAGGAAACCATATTACATCTCCATTAACCATCAGTGTCCTTAAGTTCTCAGTTATTTAGTACCTCCTCTTAATTTGTTCCTGTATCATTCTCATTCCACTTCTAAAGCATAATTTCCTCTCAAACTATATGGATTTTTCTCTATATTTAGCTCTTGGTTTTTCTAATCTCCTCCCCCTCCCTTCCCCTCATGTTTTGCTTCGTTTGCTCCTCATACATTCCCGTTCCTGTTCCTTTAGGGAGAAAACTGACACACATACACACTCACTGAGGCCTCCCTCCAGTAGGGATTTTTTTTTTTTTCTTCTGAGACAGAGTCTTGCTCTGTCACCCAGGCTGGAGTGCAGTGGTGTGATCTCGGCTCACTGCAACCTCCGTCTCCCGGGTTCAAGCAATTGTCCTGCCTCAGCCTCCCGAGTAGCTGGGATTACAGGCACGCCCCACCACGCCCAGCTAATTTTTGTATTTTTAGTAGAGATGGGTTTCACCATGTTGGCCAGGATGGTCTTGATCTCCTGACCTCATGATCCGCCCACCTTGGCCTCCCAAAGTGCTGGGATTACAGGTGTGAGCCACCGTGCTTGGCCCTTTTTTTTTTTTTTGAGACAGAGTCTTGCTCTGTCACCCAGGCTGGAGTGCAGTGGCATGATCTAGGCTCACTGCAACCTCTGCCTCCCAGGCTCAAGTGATTCTTGTGCCTCAGCCTCTTGAATAGCTGGGATTACAGGTGCATGCCACCATGTCTGGCTAAATTTTGTATTTTTAGTAGAGACGGGCTTTCACCATGTTGGCCAGGCTGGTCTTGAACTCCTGACCTCAAGTGATCCACCTGCCTCAGCCTCCAAGAGTGCTCACACCACCACGCCTGGCTTTTGTTTGTTTGTTTGTTTTTGTTTTTTTTTTTGAGACAGGTTCTTGTTCTGTCACCCAGGCTGGAGTGCAGTGACGCAATCATGGCTCACTGCAGCCTCAACCTCCTGGGCTCAAGTGATCCTCCCTCTTCAGCATTCCAAGTAGCTGGGACTACAGGTAACTGCCACCACACTGACTATTTTTTGTAGAGATGGGGTTTCATCATGTTGCCCTGGCTGGTCTTGAACTCCTGGGCTCAAGTGATCCACTGCCTCAGCCTCCCTAAGTGCTGGGATCACAGGTGCATGAAACTATGCCTGGCTAATTTTTAATTTTTTGTAGAGATGGGGTCTTGCCATGTTGCCTAGGCTGGTCTTGAACTTCTGGGTTCATGCAATCATACAGGCATGAATCACTGCACCCAGCTGGGAAATCTTTCTAAAGTCCTTTATGTATTGAGAATTCTTCACTGTATCAGTTATACCTTGTGTTGTAAATAACAGAATCCCCTCACTTGAATGGATTTGGTTTCAGGTAATGAGAATCCTGGAGGAGGACGTCTTCAGGTTGGTGGATGTGCAGTTTGGGAAGGCTACCAGGGACCTAGGTGTACTCTCTCCTTACTCTCCCTTCCCCCAGCACATCAGCTTGTCCTCGGGAAAGCTCTTCTCACGGCACTGATGG
The DNA here is from genome assembly GCF_000001405.40 of Homo sapiens. NCBI lineage: Eukaryota > Metazoa > Chordata > Mammalia > Primates > Hominidae > Homo > Homo sapiens. The sequence goes on from NC_000001.11 coordinate 226,339,661, forward strand.
TAATGACACACCTAGGAATCCCGACATCAGCATGCCCTTATTGTACCATCTCAGCTCACTGGAGCCTAGACCTCCTGGGCTCAAGCAATCCTCCCATCTCAGCCTCCCAAGTAGCTGGGGTCACAGGCACATGCCACCATGCTTGGCTAATATTTTATTTATTTATTTTTTTTGTAGAGACAAGGTCTCACTAGATTGCTCAGGCTGGTTTTGAATGCCTGGGCTCAAGTAATTCTCCTGCCACAGCCTTCCAAACTGCTGGGATTACAGGCATGATGAGCCACCACACCTGGCCACATGCACTTTTTTAACTAATGCACTAGTAAGGGCGATGGGACAACCATGATTGATTTAGACCAGAGGGGTCAAGTTAGCAACCAAGTGCCGGGGGTATGTGGAATCACCTGGGTAGCTTTAAAAACCACTGATGCCTGAGTGTCCATGCCCTCATCATCCATTTTCATTGGTGATTTGGTTTGGCTGTGTCCCTACCCAAATCTCATCTTGAATTCCCACATGTTGTGGGAGGAACTTGGTGGGAGGTAATTGAATCATCGGGGCAGGTCTTTCCTGTGCTGTTCTCGTAATAGTGAATAAGTCTCACAAGATCTGATGGTTTAAAAAATGGGAGTTTCTCTGCACAAGCTCTCTCTTTGCTTACTGCCATCCATGTAAGACGTGACTTGCTCCTCCTTGCCTTCCACCATGATTGTGAGGCTTCCCCAGACACATAGAACTGTAAGTCCAATTAAACCTCTTTCTTTTGTAAATTGTCCAGTCTTGAGTATGTCTTTATCAGCAGCATGAACATGGACTAATACAGTAAATTGGTACCTGTAGAGTGGGGGTGCTGCTGGAAAGATATCTGAAAATGTGGAAGTGACTTTGGAAATGGGCAACAGGCAGAGGTTGGAACAGCTGGAGAGCTCAGAAGACAGGAAAATGTAGGAAAGTTTAGAACTCCCTTTAGTTTAGACTTGTTGAATGACTTTGACCAAAATACCGATAATGATATGGACAATGAAATCTAGGCTGAGGTGGTCTCAGATAAAGATGAAGAACTTGCTGGGGACTGGAACAAAGGTGACTCTTGTTATGTTTTAGCAAAGAGGCTGGCAGCATTTTGCCCCTGCCCTAGAGATTTGTGGAAGTTTGAACTTGAGAGAGATGATTTAGGGTAGCTGGTGGAAAAAATTTCTAAGCAGCAAAACATTCAAGAGGTGACTTGGGTGCTGTTAAAGGCATTCAGTTTTATAAGGGAAGCAGAGCATAAAAGTTCAGAAAATTTGCAGCCTGACAATGTGATAGAAAAGAAAATCCCATTTTCTGAGGAGAAATTCAAGTTGGCTATAAAAATTTGCAAAAGTAATGGGGGGCCGAATGTTAACCTGCAAGACAATGGGGAAAATGGCCCCAGGGCATGTCAGAGGTCTTCACAGCAGCCCCTCCCATCACAGGCCCAGAGACCTATGAGGAAAAAATGGTTTCGTGGGTTGGGCCCAAGGTCCCCATGCTGTGTGCAGCCTAGGGACTTGGTGCCCTGCATTCCAGCCACTCTAGCCATGGCTAAAAGGGGCCAAGGTACAGCTTGGGCTGTTGCTTCAGAGGGTGGAAGCCCCAAGCCTTGGCAGTTTCCATGTGGTGTTGAGCCAGTGGGTGCATATAAGTCAAGAACTGAGGTTTGGGAACCTCCACCTAGATTTCAGAGGATGTATGGAAACACCTGGATGTCCAGGCAGAAGTTTGCTGCAGGGGCAGGGTGCTCATGGAGAACCTCTGCTAGGGCAGTGTGAAAGGGAAATGTGGGGTCGGAGCCCCCACACAGAGTCCCTACTGGGGCACTACCTAGTGGAGCTGTTAGAAGAGGGCCACCATTCTTTAGACCCCAGAATGGTGTATCTACAGCTTGCACCATGTGCTTGGACAAGCCGCAGATGGTCAACAGCACATGAAAGCAGCCAGGAGGGGGGCTATACCCTGCAAAGCCACAGGGGCAGAGCTGCCCAAGACCAAGGGGACTTACCTCCTGCATCAGTGTGACCTGGATGTGAGACCTGGAGTCAAAGAGATCATTTTAGAGCCTTAAGATTTGACTGCGCTGGGTGCGGTGGCTCATGCCTGTAATCCCAGCACTTTGGGAGGCCGAGGTGGGCAGATCATGAGGTCAGGAGTTTGAGACCAGCCTGCCCAACATACTGAATCCCTGTCTCTACTAAAAATACAAAAATTAGCCAGGCGGGGTGTCGGGCACCTGTAATCCCAGCTACTCGGGAGGCTGAGGCAGAAGAATTGCTTGAACCCGGAAGGTGGATGTTGCAGTGAGCCAAGATCATGCCATTCACTCCAGCCTGGGCGACAGTGCAAGACTTCATCTCAAAAAAAAAAAAAAAAAGATTTGACTGTCCCAGTGGATTTTGGACTTGCATGGGGCCTGCAGCTCCTTTGTTTTGGCCAATTTCTCCCATTTGGAATGGCTGTATTTACCCAATCCCTGTACCCTCATTGCATCTAGGAAGGAACTAACTTGCTTTTGATTTACAGGCTCATAGGTGGAAGGGACTTGCCTTGTCTTGGATGAGACTTTGGAGTGTGGACTTTTGAGTTGATGCTGTAATGAGTTAAGATTTTGGAGGACTGTGGCCGGGCGTGGTGGCTCACGCCTGTAATCCCAGCACTTTGGGAGGCCGAGGTGGGTGGATCACGAGGTCAGGAGATTGAGACCATCCTGGCTAACACAGTGAAACCCCATCTCTAATAAAAGTACAAAAAAATTAGCCAGGCGTGGTGGCAGATGCCTGTAGTCCCAGCTGCTCTAGAGGCTGAGGCAGAAGAATGGTGTCAACCCAGGAGATGGAGCTTGTAGTGAGCCGAGATCACACCACTGCACTCCAGCCTGGGCGACAGAGCTAGACTCTATTTAAAAAAAAAAAAAGATTTTGGAGGACTGTTGGGAAGGCATGATTGGTTTTGAAATGTACGGAGATGAGATTTGGGAGGGGCCAGGGGCAGAATGATATGGTTTGGCTGTGTTCCCCACCCAAATCTCATAATGAATTCCCACGTGTTGTGAGAGGAACCTGGTGGGAGGTAATTTGAACCATGGGGGCAAATGTTTCCTGTGCTGCTCTGGTGATAGTAAGTCTCATGAGATGTGATGGTTACTATAAGGGGGAGGTTTCCTGCAGAAGCTTTCTTTGCCTGCTACCATCCATGTAAGACATGATTTGCTCCTCCTTGCCTTCCACCATGATTATGAGGCTTCCCCAACCACATGGAACTGTAAGTCCAATTGAAACTCTTTCTTTTGTAAATTGCCTGGTCTTGGGTATGTCTTTATTGGTAGCATGAAAATTGAGTAATACAATTGGTTTGGGATGTGCCTGGATGCGGGGGTGGGGGGGGGGGGGATTAAAAATCTTCCCAGGTGATTCTAATGTATAGCCAAGAGTTGAGAGGGGTGAGGAGTAAATATCAGGAAAGAAATGGGACCAGGAAGGAGAGAAATGATTGTTGGGACAGATGAAAAATAGTGTCTGCTTCTCTCATGCATCTTTATCAAAAGTAAAGTATGCTTCATACATTTTTTCATTGATTCCTTTCCTCTTTCAGTATTTTTTGGGCTTCTACAATGTTCGGGAGATGAGAAATCAAAGGACACTGTTAGGAAATTAGAAGAAGTTATATAGGTCAAATAAAATAGAAAAAGTATACTGCCCCCAGGCAAACACAACCCCAAGGCAAGGGACTCGACTAGGGAAGAAAAGGCTGGATTTCAGCCCTCATTCCCTCCTTTGACTAGGCATCCTCATGCAGTGTGCAAACTCAGCTGTGCAAGGAAGCCAAAAGCATCCAAAGATAAACAAGACACAGGCCCTGCTTGTCAAGACCTCATCATCTGAACCGGGGAAACAACAGGTAAACATACCAACTGCTTTTGATAGTTTAAGATCCATCCTAGGGGTAGCCATAGAAAGTAGAAGGCATCTGAAAGTTATATTGTTAGATTACATCTTGTGGTTTTTCAGGAGACAAATGCTTTTAATTTTTTTAGCCAATTTTCTAACAGAAGAGTGATTATATACGCATATATATTTTAGGAAACAGGTTCTCACTCTGTCGCCCGGGCTGAAGTTCAGTGATGTAGTGGGGCGATCATGGCTCCTTGCAGCCTCAACTTCCTGGATGCAAGAGATCCTCCCACCTCAGCCTTTTGAGTAACTTGGACTACAGGTGCTCACCACCACACCTGGATAATGTTTTAACTTTTGTTTTGTTTTGTTTTGTAGAGATGGGGTCTCACTGTGTTGCCCACAGTGAGACCTTGAACTCCTGGGCTCAAGTGATCCTTCTGCCTTGGCCTCTCAGAGTGCTGGGATTACAGGTAGGAGCCACTGTACCCGGCCTTGCATATCCTTATGTAATGACATCCTGCACAGCACTAATTCATTAGAAGGTTTTTTGTGTTTTTGAGACAGGGTCTCACTCTGTCACCCAGGCTGCAGTGCAGTGGTGTGATCTCAGCTCACTGCAACCTCTGTCTCCCGGGTTCAAGCAATTCTCCTGCCTTGGCCTCCTGAGTAGCTGGGATTACAGGTGCGTGTCACCACGCTTCGCTAACTTTTGTATTTTTGGTAGAGGTGGGGTTTCGCCATGTTGGCCAGGCTGGTCTTGAACTCCTGACCTCAGGTGATCCACCCACCTCAGCCTCCCAAAGTACTGGGATTACAGGCGTGAGCCACTGCACCCAGCCCCAGTCTTAAAAAATAAAATAATTTTTAAAAATTTAAATGTTAAAAAAACGAAAACCAAAACTTTTCACAGTATTTGTTAAAAGTCTTTCTTTTCCCTGTTCTGAGGGTACTGAGCATGGATGCATCTCAGCCAAGGAGAGCTGGCGGTGTCGCCCACCCAGAGCCATTGAGCCTAAACAAGTGCAGCGATGGCACAGCTCTCAGCCAGTCTCCTGTGCATTCTGCCTGGTTGAGTGAGTTCTGCGGCTCTCTAGCTTCTCTTTTTGCATTTATTTTGTCTCTGGCAAGTAGTTCTAACCCACGAAGGCTGGCTGTAGAAGTAATAGGGCTGGAACTATTTCAGAGAAGCTAAGGGAAAATATGTTGGATTTTAACAGAGACTGAAGGGGCTTGCAAAGAAACAGTCCAGGAAGAGAGGTAGGCAGGTGAGTGAGGACTGTGAGAGTCCCCTGACTTCATGAAGGAAATAAAGATGTCACTGCCCGTCAAGAGAACTGACAGGAAGAATTATGGCTTCAAGTATGATATGGTTTGACTCTGTGTCCCCACCCAAATCTCATCTTGAATTGTACTCCCATAATTCTCACATGTTGTAGGAGGTACCTGGTGGGAGATAATTTGAATCTTGGGGGAAATTTCCTCTGTACTGTTCTTGTGGTAGTGAATAAGTCTCACAAGATCTGATGGTTTTATCAGGGGTTTCCACTTTGCATCTTCCTCATTTTCTCTTGCCACTGCCATGTAAGAAGTGTCTTTCACCTCCTGCCATGATTCTGAGGCCTCCCCAGCCATGTGGAACTGTAAGTCCAATTAAGCCTCTTTTTCTTCCCAGTCTCGAGTATTCCTTTATCATCAGTGTGAAAACGGACTAATACAAAGCATGTCCATGACCTCAGGAGATTTGGAGAGAAAGGACGAGCAATTGGCAGTGGCTAATGCCCAGAACACCAGCAGAGGCCTGCACCAGCAGAGACTACTCAGAAGTGATTTGCTTAATGCTCCTATTTCCAGAAGTGCTAAACAGAATATGCTCTAGCTTTTGCCAGCTAATACTTTCCGAGTAGCAAGAATTAGTTCACTCAGTTAACATGGGTTTAAAAAAAAAAAAAAGCAAGGGGCTGGCATGGTGGCTGAAGCCTGTAATCCTAGCACTTTGGGAGGCTGAGGCCGGGGGATCACCTGAGGCCAGGAGTTCAAGACCAGCCTGGCCAACATGGTGAAACCTTATCTTTACTACAAATACAAAAAACTAGCCAGGCATGGTGGTGCACACATGTAGTGCCGGCTACTTGGGAAGCTGAAGCAGGGGAATTGCTTGAACCTGGGAGGAGGAGGTTGCAGTGAGCCGAGGCCATGCCACTGCACTCCAGCCTGGGCAACAGAGCAAGACTCCATCTCAGAAAAACAAAAAACAAAAAACAAAAAAAGAGTAAGCCATAGAAAAGCTAAGTCTTGATAGGGACTGGGGAGCTGGGAAGGAAATTTGAAAAAAACACAGGTCACCTGCCACACAGATGGGAGCTGAGGTAGTAGATTTGGTCTCCATATAAAATAAATTTTTCTGGCCAGGTACGGTGGCTCACTCCTGTAATCCCAGCACTTTGGGAGGCCGAGGCAGGTGGATCACCTGAGGTCAGGCGTTCGAGACCAGCCTGGCCAACGTGGTAAAACCCCGTCTCTACTAAAAATATAAAAATTAGCCAGGTATGGTGGCAGGCGCCTGTAATCCCAGCTACTCGGGAGGCTGAGGCAGGAGGTCGCTTGAGGCAGAGGTTGCAGTGAGCCGAGATCATGCCATTGCACTCCAGCCTGGGGGACAAGTGTGACTTCGTCTCAAAAAAATAAATAAATAAAATAAAATAAATCTTTCTGTTTAACAACAAACGGAGCCTTATAAGGTATGATTATTAGAATTATTCAATTATAACTGACCTTATAAGGTATGATTATTAGAATTATTCAAGCAGTGTTGGTTTGACCAACACTCAAGGAAGCCATGCAAAGGAGTCACACACTGGCTAGAAGGCTGGCCTATATCCAGGGTTCTTACCCCTGAGACCCCAAAGAAAGGTAAAGTCCCTGCTGGATGCGGTGGCTCAGCCTGTAATCCCAGCACTTTGGGAGGCCAAGGCGGGTGGATCACTTGAGGCCTGGAGGTTAAGACCAGCCTGGCCAACATAGTGAAACCCCATCTCTGCTGAAAATACAAAAAATTAGCTGGGTGTGGTGGCACACGCCTGTAGTCCCAGCTACTCAGAAGGTTGAGGCATGAGCATTGCTTGAACCCAGGAGGCTGAGGTTGCAGTGAGCCAAGATTGCATCACTGCACTCCAGCCTGGGTGACACAGCGAGACTCCGTCTCAAAAAAAAAAAAAAAAAAGAAAAGAAAAAGAAAAACAAAGGTGAGGACCCTTCTTTTCCTCTGAAAAATTCACATACTTATTGAATTGATAATTTATTGCTGCATAATAAATCACTCCAATAACATAGTAGTTTCTTATCTCACAGCTTCTGTGGGTCAGGAATTTGGACGCAGCTTAGGTGGGTGATCCTGGCTCATGAGATTGAAGTGAATGTCGACCAGGGCTGCAGTCATCTAACACAGCAGCTGTCAGCTGGGGTAGGGGGGTGATTTTGCTCCTCAGGGGACATTTGGCAACATCTGGAAACATTTTTTATAGTCACTAAGTTGGGGGAGTATGCTACTGGCATCTAGTGGATGGGGGCCAGGGATGCTGTGATGGCTCCTACAGCATACAGCACAACTCCCCACAACAAAAATTATCCAGCCCCAAATGTCAATAGAGGCACCCTGATCCAAAGGCTCAAACAGGGCTGAAGGATCCCCTTCTGAGAAGGCTCACTCACACGGCAGGTAAGGGCTGCTGGTGTGCTCCCAACATGGCAGCTGGCTTTCCCCTGAGCAAGTCAGCTAAGAAAGAGGGCAAGGGGGCTGGGCGCGGTGCCTCACGCCTGTAATCCCAGCACTTTGGGAGGCCGAGGTGGGCGGATCACCTGAGGTCAGGAGTTTGAGACCAGCCTGGCCAACATGGCGAAACCCTGTCTCTATTAAAAATACAAAAATTAGCCGGGTATGGTGGCGCATGCTACTGGGGAGGCTGAGGTTGGAGAATCACTTGAACCCAGGAGACAGAGGTTGCAGTGAGCTGAGATTGCGCCATTGCACTCCACCCTGGGTGACGAGAACGAAACTCCATCTCAAAAAAAAAAAAAAAAAAAGGGCCAGGGGGCGTGGTGGCTCACACCTATAATCCTAGCACTTTGGTAGGCTAAGGAGGGCAGATTGCCTGAGGCTGAGAGGTCAAGACCAGCCCGCGGAACATAGTGAGACACCTGTCTCTACCCAAAAAAACAAAAACAAAAACAAAAACAAACAAACAAACAAAATATATATATATATATATATATATATATATATATGGCAACGAGGAAGCCTTTTATGATGAGTTTATTAGAAGCAAGTTACTGAGTACAGTCTTCACTGAAGGGACAGGACCTGGCTTCCACCAGTTTTTTTGTTTTTGTTTTGTTTTTCAACCTCTCTCCCTTGGCTTCCACCATTTGAAGAGGGAATCATCAAAGAATTTATGGACATTTGAAAACCAGCAACCCTATCCACAACACAATTCTACACATTAAGTTCAGTGTCACAGATTCCAGAGCCTGCCCATGGAATCCCTAAATTAAATAACTCAAGGTTCCTTCCAGCTCCAACAGATAAAATCTAATAACTTCTGATCAAGACATCTTCAAGGACAGGTAAAAACTAACAAAGCAGCAAAAACCTCAGGATTCTATCCCCAGCCCCTGTGTTCACATTATACCCTTCCTTTCCTCCTCCTCCTGGCTCTCCATCCAAGGTCCTTGCAACTTACTGTGTCACTGTATTTCAATCCAAAGCAGGACTGAGGGGCTGACGTTTACGCATGAACCTTGAGACTCCAAGAGAAAGATTAGCTGAGGTTTCAAGACCCCCCCGCCCACTCCCACCTTTTAGACTTAATGCAAGTAGGACTGACAATGTTGCAAGTAAAGGTAGTTCTTATTGTCTGGTTAGAGGAAATGAGGTACAGCCAGGTTCAGCAATGGACCCATTCATGGATGTCATGGGCTGATTCCCTGAGGCTTTATTTAATTTCAGTCCATTCATTTAGTTGCTTTCCATTAATCATGAGTAATATCCCCCAGGAATGGTGGTCCTAAGACGGTTCTTGGAAAAAGAAAGCAAAGTCCATTTGATTTTTTAACTTAGTTCTCAAGATTTTCTAGAGAATCATTTCTTGGTAGTGATTTTCTGTTTTCAGAATGGAGAAGGAGATGCTTACAGGCTTCTGGGTGTAAAATGGCTTCCTCAATCCAGCGCTTTGATGGATCAAAGGGAGACAGTAATAGACTATTCCGTGACCCGCCCTTGAAGCGTCAGGCGAGCTCAGCTGAGCACTTGGGGAAAAGTACTGATGGAGCAGAGGGTTTTTAAAAACAGGGCCCAGGTGTTTTTCCTGGCCTGGAAACGCTGCCAGTTTTACTTCTTGCCACCCCTTTGATCACCTTTGGAACAAGCAGGGGCTGTGAAGAGAACAGTCAGGCTCAGGCACCACCATCCCTTGCCTTAGAAGTCTGGGTGTTACTGGGAGGTGCTGACCAAATGGCGTCTGTGTGTTGGGGTGGTGGGGGGGCCTCCCTTCCTGGGGCCTCTCAGGATGGGAGAGGACAGTGCTTTGTGGCGTGAAGGCACTGCGGAAGAGGAACAACGAGCCTACTCCTTGGGAAGCAGATACGACCTGTGGGTCTGTCACACATGGGCAACGAAACCTCTGTGTGTCCTCGCCCCTGGGGCTCACCTGCTGCAGGCCCCATTCATCACCCGAGAGTGAAAGAAAGGACAGAGCACAGCATGGCCAGGTGGGTTCATTGTACAAACAGGACCCAAAACGGAGAGGTCCCGGGGTTTATTTATCAGTCAGGGTCTCGCTCTGTCACCCAGGCAGTGGTGCAAACACTGCTCACTGGAGACTTGACCTCCTGGGCTCAAGCAGTTCTCCTGCCTCAGCCCCCTAAGTAGCTGGAACTTAAAGGCCTGTACCATCATGCCCGGCTAATTTTTTTTTTTCTTTTTTAGATGGAGTCTCGCTCTGTTGCCCAGGCTGGAGTGCAGTGGCGCGATCTCAGCTCACTGCAACCTCTGCCTCCCGGGTTCAAGCGATTCTCGTGCCTCAGCCTCCCAAGTAGCTGGGTTCACAGGTGCTTGCCACTACGTCCAGCTAATTTTTGGTATTTTTAGTAGAGGCAGGGTTTCCTTATGTTGCCCAGGCTGGTCTTGAACTCCTGAGCTCAAGTGATCCACCTGCCTCGGGCTCCCAAAGTGCTAGGATTACAGAAGTGAGTCTCCGCGCCCGGCCTCCGGCTAATTTTTAAAATGTTTTTATTTTTTGTAGAGACAAGGTCTTGCTGTGTTACCCAGGCTGGTCTCAAATTCTTGGCCTCGAGCCATCTTCCTGCCTCAGCCTCCCAGTGTTGAGATTAAGCATGAGCCACTGCACCTGGCGAGATCCTGGGTTCTAAGGAAGACTTCTTGGGGTTCACTGAGGGTGTGGGGTTGTGCTGGGAACTCCACCCTGAACTTTGCACTCCTTAGGCCCATCCTGCCTCCTTCTCTCCTCTGCCGGAGGCCCTGACCCAGGCCTCCACCCACGCTTCGCCTCCAGGGCTGCAGCATGGGGCCCAGACTCCCCTGCTTCCCCTTCTCGTGGCTATTAAAGGCAAATAAACAGACCCTTTTACAACTCTAGAGGTTTCCTGCCTGTTGTTACGGGGAGCAGGCAGCTGTTAGCAATCAGCAAATGTGGGCAAGTTCCTGAGGTGCCAGAACTGTACAGCGTTCTTATGGGGAGCCCTGCTCCGCAGGCCGCTGCTCCCTTATCTTCAGTCAGCCGGCAGGTTTCCTGATTTCCTTATCTCAGAGCCTACCTTTGGCCAAGGGGACCTTCTCCTCCACAAAACCCAACGTCCCAGTCAGAAATGACAATAAGCCCTTTGGAAGTGATTCAAGCAGAAAAATAAGTGCCGCTTTGTTTCTCTCCAGCGGGTAATTATGTTCCGCCAGGGGATGAGGCCTGAAGAAAGTTTCCTTAGAAACCGAGGCCAGCAGCAGTCTTTCAGGTGTGCGTTCTGGGAGTAAAGGCCAGGAGCTTCTTGGAGGTAACCGGCACTGGCAACGAGCTTGGCAACCTCGATATGGCCAGTGCTATGGAGCCGGAGGAACCAGGAGAAGCTTGCTGTGGAGAGGAGGCACCAGCAGAAGCCACCCCTGGTGCCCACGTCCCCAGCCACAGTGCCTTCCATCCAGGGCTGAGGGCACCACAGTTAACAACGGGAAAGTGAAGGGACTTGGGGAACCCAAGCCCAGTGCTTATGTGTGCTAAACAGTAGGGATAATGAGAGTGTGACAGGAAAATAGAGACTTCCCAATCCTATTTAAAAGGTTGATGGTTTTTATTATCTGATTTTACAGGCTTATTGTGAAAAAATGTGAAAAACCCCAAAGATTAAAATTACTCTTATGTTTACCACATACAGACTACTACTTTTCCATTTTGGGGTTTTCTTCTCAATCCTTTTTTCTAAAATGCATATATATATATATATATATTTTTTTTTTTTCTCACAAAATTGCATCATGCATCAGGCAATGATGTGCCTCGCCAATTTTTGTATCTTTTTAGTGGAGATGGGGTTTCACCATGTTGGCCAGGCTGGTCTTGAACTCCTGCTGGGATTACAGGAGTGAGCCACAGCACCTGGCCTAATTTCCAAATTTTATCAAATTAATGTATGTACATATAGTGTGATAAGCAAGTGCAGTAGTTGAAAGGTTTAAAATAGAACAAGGGGCCGGGCGCTGTGGCTCACGCCTATAATCCCAGCACTTTGGGAGGCCGAGGCAGGCAGATCACCTGAGGTCAGGAGTTCGAGATCAGCCTGGCCAACATGGTGAAACCCTGTTTCTACCAAAAATACAAAAATTAGCTGGGTGTGGTGGCATGCACCTGTAGTCCCAGCTACTTGGGAGGCTGAGGCAGGAGAATCGCTTCAACCTGGGAGGCGGATGTTGCAGTGAGCCAAGATTGTGCTACTGCACTCCAGCCTGGGCAACGGGACGAGACTCTTCTCAAAAAAAAATAAAATAGAATGAGGGCTGGGCGTGGTGGCTCATAGCACTTCGGAAGGCTGAGGTGGGAGGATCCCTTGAGTCCAGGAGAGAACAGTGTGGGCAAAATAGTGAGACCCCCCCCCCCGCCCCCGTCCCCTGCATGCTGCACACATGGTCAAGGCTCTTGGATGGAGAAGGCCCCCAGCTGGGCTGACTCAAGTAAAGAGGAAACTTTATGAGAAAGTGACGAAGACTCTGGGTATCCAAAAGAAAGAAGCAGAGGATCAGGTCTGTGGGAAACAGGAAGTGGAAGCAGAAAGTCCCATCTTCTCTCCCCTGAGGTGGGAGGGGCATGGCCTCTGGAGAGCTGCTGGGCTCCCTCTTCCCTTTGATGACTTCTACCAACTCACTATGCAGAGTCTAACTTGGTCCACCTATGACATCTTAGCTCTAATTTTTTTTACCACTGAGGGGCAGGAGTTGATGTTGTTTTTTGAATGGCATTTAAAATCAACTTTTATTTATTAAGGTGTGATTTATCTTCAGTAAACTATCTAAAGTGTGCGACTAAATGGATTTGACATCATAATCGACACGCACATTTCCATCACCCCCGAAAAGAGTCCCTGGAGGTGCAACAATTTTTTCTTTGTACAAATTGCTAAGCGTATTGACTGCTGGCTTTGGGTTATGTGAAGGGAGTTGTCACTTGGTCCACTCAATAAGCAGGATTTGTGTAGAGGCCAGGCAAGGAAAGGCCCATCTAAATAGTCATCTACTGTATGACCTTGGGCAGGTTAGTCCCGCTGTGCCTCAGGTTCCCATATGTAGACTCAATCATAATATCCCTCATGGGGTTGGTGTGAGGATCAAATTTAAAAATGTGCAACAGAATGTTAAAATCAAAGTTGTGGCCAGGCACAGTGGCTATGTCTGTAATCCCAGAACTTTGGGAGGCTGAGGAGGAGGATTGCTTGAACCCAGGAGTTCAAAACCAGCCAGTCAACATAGTCAGACCCCATGTCTATAAACAATAAAAATAAAAATTAGCCTGGTGTGGTGGCATGCGCCTGTAGTCCCAGCTACTGGGGAGGCTGAGGCAGGAGGATCACTTGAATCCGGGAGGCAGAGGTTGCAGTGAGCCAAGATTGTACCACTGCACTCCAGCCTGGGCAACACAGAAAGACCCTGTCTCAAAAGAAAAAAAAATTGAAGTTTTAATGGAGATTTCAAGATAAAATACGTGAAAAGAAACAGTCTGCGAAGAGCTCCGTGATTTTTGGGAGCTTCAGCTAGGTGGGGGATATAAAAGGGCCCAGAGCATGCAGAGGGAGGGAGCATTTCCTAAGAAGGCTGTCCTAGGCCAAGAGCCCATGCTCCCCCCACTAAGCAGAAGGGAGTGATTGTCTCCTTGGAGTTTATTGGTAACTCCTCAGCGGCAGGTGTGGTGGTCCAGGGTCAGTCCCGTCCTCTGGGAGACACAGGACTAACTGCTTTTTGGGGAGCAACTGGAGAGCTGTGTGGGGACTGGCCAAGCTCCTGGAGATGGTCAGGGCCAGGGATGTGTGAGTGAGTCCTGTGGACCAGGTGTGGGTGTCCAGTGGGAGAGAGCAGGGTCTTGTCCAGTGGAGAACCCAGCAGCAGGGAGCTGGAGTAAGTGCCTAATCACTAAGAACTGCACAGGGGGCTACTGCAACAGGCACCTGCCTGGTTTAAGGGAGTGCCCTCTGAGAGACCCAGCAGGGACCCCCTGAAAAGCTGATGAACGTACCCTAAGGAAGAGCCAGTGACACATGCCTGCCAGAGCTGGATTAACCGGGTACCAGTGCAGGGAAGTCCTTTCCTATCCCCCAGTGGCTCCCTCCCTTCACCTTCCCTGAAACTGCCTAGAAAGTAGGACAAGAAGAGGAGAGGCTGAGAAATGGAGGAGAAAGCAACTTTTTTCTTTCCTACCGCAGGCCTCCAGCCCAGGGAGAGAGAAACGTTAATGCTAAATCAAGTTCAGAGATTTGACTGTTACCGTGGACTAGACATCCCAATTACTGAGCTGGAAGTGTCTGAATCTGAGAGTCACCAGGGGAAACTGTCTTTTACAGAAGGGAAGGCCTGCAGAATTTCCTTCCAGTGGCAGGGGAAGGCGTCTCCTCTGAACAATTTTAAAGGGCCAGTGGGAGAAAAATAAATGGTTTGTTCACACGTGTTTGTTCAACATAAGGTAGTTAAGACGTGTTTTGTTGAGTGTCCGTTAGTTTATCAGAGGTGTCCTGCATTTCATCAGTGCTGTCACAAGCCAGGGCCTGCCTGGAGATGATCCCTGCCCCGGGGACCAATGCGGGAGATGCCCAAGACGACCACACTGCAGTTCACTGGGCTTGTTCTTAGGGAGTTGCTAACCCTGCCCCGGAGATCTCAGAGGTCCTCACAGGCCCTCGGGCTGGTCCTGGTGTCCTGGGCACCACTGTGGTTGCCCATCCTAAGAGGGAATGGAACTGCCACCAGTATAACTGGAATCCAGTAACTGCTCAGGCAAAAGACTGTAGCCCCAGTCAAGGAAAGCAGGACCATCCCCTGGGCAGAAACATGAGTTCACAGCAAAAAGACAAGCTAGGGAGGAAAAGACGTTTGGTTGACAATGACCTCCGCAGTGTCATCAAAGCCTGGCTGAGCCTGTGAGATTAGCACTAAGTACCGCCACTTAAACTATTCTGGGCAACTGTTTCTATTTCTGTGATGGTTTACATCTTTTTTTCACAAAATCAAAGAACATTAAGCAGCTGAGGGAACCTTAGTGATGATCTGCACCTGAAGTTCTAAAGACCTTGAGCTCAAGGGCCGCTGAGAATCTGATGGGCTTATGGACCCACTACCCACAAAAGTGCCCGTGTCTCAGCTTCTGTGCACAATTTCTAGGGCATGACACGCTCTCAGGCCACATTCTTCACTCCCTTTGTCCTTGCTGACATCCTGCACCGTGCCTGATACTCTAACTCCAGCCTTCCTGCAGCTGTGGGGCACAGGCATGTGCCCCAACCCCTAGGCAATGAGATGAGAAGACAGGACTATTGGGAACAATGGAGAAAAGTTTTTCTCTCTGGTAAAAGATGAGGGGGTAACTCTCCTTTCCTGCCTCTGGATGGTGGTGCTAGGTGTCCAACTGCCATCTGGCAACCATGAAAAGCCAAGAGAAACAGAGAAGCAGAATTAACCAACGCTGCAAACATCAATTTTTAAAAATTTTTATTAAAAAAAAATTGAGACAGAATCTCACTATGTTGCCTCACCCAGGCTGGAGCACAGTGGCGCCATCTCAGCTCTCTGCAACCTCTGCCTCCTGGGTTCAAGCAATTCTCCCACCTCAGCCTCTCAAGTAGCGGGGACTACAGGCACGTGCCACTCTGCCTGGCTAAATTTTTGTATTTTTACTAGAGATGGGGTTTCACTATGTTGGCCAGGCTGGTCTCCAACTCCTGACCTCAGGTGATCCTCCCACTTCAGCCTCCCGAAGTACTGGGATTACAGGCATGAGCCACCGCACCCAACCTTGTTTTTTTAGAGTCAGGTCTCGCTGTCGTCCAGACTGGTGCAGCGATGTGATGTGATCACAGTTCACTGCAGGCCGGAACCCCGGGGCTCAAGTGATTGTGATCCTCCGACCACAGCCTCCCTAGCAGCTGGGACTACAGGCACAAGCCACCATGCCTGGCCAAGTTTTTAAATTTTTTGTAGAGACAGGGTTTCATTATGCTGCTGGGCTGGTCTTAAAACTCCTGGCCTCTGGAGATCCTCCTGCCTTGGCCTTCCCGAGAGTTGGGATTACGGGTGTGAGCCACAGTGTCTGGCTCCCACTTCTTGAAATGTGGCTTTCCTTTTTATTTTTTAAGCTGAAAGCAGCTCAACTGACAAACAGATTCCCCAAAGACCACCCAAACCAACTTTTAAGAGTTCATGGACCCAGTTTAGGAAGCATGACTAGTCTGGTCTCCTCATTCTACTGTCTTCTCTGGTCAACTTGCTTCTGCAACTAGAAATTAATCATGGAAAGGTGAAGGCAGGCTGGAATGTGGCTTTCCGAGTCACTGTGTGTTGTCTCTGAACTCTCTGGAAGAACTGGGATGAAAGGCAGTCTTCACATATGAAGAACAATAAGGTAGAAACATCACAATGGAAAAGACACGTTCTCAACCTGGCTCAATCTCAGCCTCTCTTGGGACCTCTTACCTCTCTGAGCCTGTTTCCACATCTGCCTACTTCACATTAGGTTGTCTCGAGGGACTGCACATGAAAGTGCCAGAGTAGGTTCTTGCTGGCATCTGGCTGACTTCTTCCGGACCACAGTTGTTCCACAGCATGAAGATGCAGCCTGCCACCCACGAGTGGTTCAGAGGATGATCCAGGAGGCTGAGTTGGCTGCTGCCTTCTTTCACTTTGGCCAGGAGAGCAGTGAGAGCACAGTGCACCCGGGATACTGAGGCCCTGCCACCCGCTTGTCATCAGGGAGAAGAGGCAGGAGCTGGTGCCACCATCTGCTTCTCACCACCCTCCATCAATACCCTGCTGGCTTGACTGCCTGCTGGCTCCATAGCTTGGGTTCTTGTTGGTTCACAGAAACAAAATCCTTTAAAATTATATTTCTGGAATCTTATAAAGTGCTAGGCAGACACAGAGATCACAACAGCTCCAAACTTTGTTATTGGCTCTAAACCAAAGTTGCACACTGGCTTATTCAAATCTAAAAAGCCCAGCCTGGTCCCTGGGTGAGTACCACATGGCTAAAATTAGCCTGGCCATCTGCTGAGACAGCAGCTGGGCTATTCTGAGCCCCAGCAGGCCTGCCTGAAGTGGAGCTGGGCCTGGGAGTAAGTGCTGGAGAGGCTGGACACTTCACAGTTAAGGGGACTACAGGGAGGGACATGGAGGATGAGGCCACACTGAGAGGGAAGGCCAGTGTCATGGTGATGGTTTCACAGGATAGAAAAAACACAGGATGGTTTCTGTGTCCTGTTCTCTAGTTTCTCCTCTTACCTGGAGCTTCCTTTTTGGATTCAGACTCGAGCAAAACCACTCTTTGGGATTTTAACAATAATGACTAAGATTTATGAAGCACTTATTATAGGTCAGGAACCACACGAAGTACTTTAGGAGAATCAGCACACACACTCTCAAGACAATTCTAAAAGGTAGGTACAAGATCTGGGGGATTCAGAATGGCCTGATTGTTCCTTTTACAGAGCCCATGAGAGAGGTTTGGTTGAAAGCACCAGACAGGCATGAGCCCTGGCTCAGACAACCCCAAGAATATAGGGATTCCCTTCTGTGGGCCCTGACCCCTGCCTGCCTTCATCTCTGGAAAGGACCAAGAGTATCCTCAGAATCCAGAATCCACTGAACTAAAGGGCAGGACTTTTAGGGGTACAAATGTGATGTACACATTTATAGGTACCCTATAATAAAGAACTCGATTTGAGTGTATGCATAGCCATTGTAACTCACCATCAGAAACCCTACACTCAGGCTAGACTTGTTCTGTGGCTTAAAACTGCAGCGTCTCAGCCGGGTGGAGTGGCTCATACCTATAATCCCAGCACTTTGAGAGGCCGAGGCAGGTGGATCACTTGAGGCCAGGAGTTTGAGGCCAGCCTGGCCAACATGGTGAAACCCCATCTCTACTAAAAACACAAAAATTAGCAGGGCGTGGTGGTGTGTGCCTGTAATCCCAGCTACTAGGGAGGCTGTGGCGGGAGAATCCCCTGAACCCGGGAGGCAGAAGTTGTAGGGAGGTGGAGGTTGCAGTGAGCTGAGATGGCGCCACTGCACTCCAATTTGGCCTGGGCAACAGAGTGAGACTCTGTTTCAAAAAACCCCAAAACACAACAACAAAACCCCCTAAAACCTGCAATGTCTCTGCCCCTCTAACTGGCTGCTTTGGTCTTTTTTTCTGTAATTGGTCATGAAGCCATAGTGGACATCTGTGACATTCCTTCTAGCACCCATTCCTTACTTCCTTTGCCCTCAGCCAGAACCTGTTGACTAGAGTGACCCAAGCCTTCGTTCCTGAAGGGTCTGAATTTTCCACAGTGCTGTCATTTTTTGGAGTTGCAGTGTTTTTGGTTGCTGTACTTCCCCTTGCCTTTACCACTGGACATGGTGGCACTAAAGCCCTCCCGAGAATCTCCTGGGCTCTAGACATAGTCCTGCTTGCCTCCCTGTGCAGCATCCCACTTTCCCCTTGGTAATCAGGATCAGTCCCTTCTGCCAGCAAGGTCACCCCCTCCTCTGCACATTGCTGCAGTGGTACAAGGAGCCCCAAACAGCCATATGGTAGCCTCATCTTCTAAGTCGATGAAACCATAATTGTGTTGTCCGCTAGAAGCATCTCTCCCTTAGGGACTAAGACCTCCAAACACAAGCCCTGTGAGGGGATATCAGATGTGGTGACAGCAAGAGGAACTACTCCCACCTCACCCACTGGTTCCCAGACCCATGTGCTTTGGCCGGGGGGGAGACACCAGGTTGGTCTCTGATTTCAAGCCTCTACTGCATCCGTAAGATGAAACCCCATCCCTTCAGGACGCTGTCTCACAACTGGCACCATCATGAGCCATTCTACTCTTCATTTAGGTCATTTCTGGGTGATGGGGCATGTGGCAAAACCAGTTAATTCTAAGTACAAGCCTGATGCTGAACTCTGTGCTGTAGAATGAGGTCGCTGATCAGAAGCAAAGCTATACAGAATGCCACAGTGGTGGGTGGCATTGAGTGCTCTGAGTCCACATGGCCCATAGGACGCACACCAGCTGTCCCTATTACCAGCACTGTTCCCTAGTCCAGTGGGCAACATTTTTCACATAAGGGCTAATTCGCTGAGGAGGAAGGTGTTTACAGGCCACATTTTCTTTACTTTTGAAGTCTCCAAAATATATCTTATAACCTAGATGACCTGCTCTAGAGAACAGTAAAGAGAAATGAGAAAACCAACATTGACCTCTTAAGCCATACAAATGGGCATATTTGGCACATGCCAAAGGGAAGCTGCCATCTAACCTTCCATGCTGAGGCTGAATGGCAGAAGTGAGGGGGCAGTGGGATGCTAAGCACTGTATCAGACCTCCCTAAACCTCAATGGCCTCAACTTAGACTCAATTTGGCAGGCCCTGCCTGATGAAATGGTGGAAACACTATGCCTCAAAAAAGCAACCACCAATCTCTGAGGAGTCAAAACAGAATTTAAGGGAAAGGCAATGACACCACTTTGAGAAATGCGAACTCCTAAAGCACCTGGGTGTACTTTATAGAGCGGAATAAAACCAGCCCAACAGGTCAGAGGTGAATGATTCCCAATGTTCAGATCTTAACAGTTAAGATACAAGGTTTCTGAAGGCCAAAAGACAATGCAGCTTCCAGGCTTTTGGTGTAAACAATTAACACTGAGTACATACTATGCCCGCACCAGGGACAAGGCCACCATTAGATTTCATTCCTAAAAGCAGTACTTGAGGTTTGCCCTAAGGCAAAGTTCTAGGCAAATCATTCTATAGCAGCTTCGCCTTAGAGCTCTGGGACGCTTGAAGGAATGGTTCTTCACCTCTTGTGTAGCAAGAGATAACCACTGATGCAGAATTCATTGGCTAGCACATTGGCTAAAACACTACTGTGTACGCAGCGCATCTTTTATAGATGTATGCATGCACCACTGTGTGCAACAGTGTGCTCTGACATGTGAGCCCAGTACTGCCTTGGGCAACTACTGTTGGCCAAGGGCACTTCCAGGCACAAAGGCGGGAGGAGGGCAGCTCACCAGGAGGGGCAGAGGGCTATACCTCTCTCTTCTCTCATGGAGCACCCCGAGTTTCTATGCAAGGTTGGCTTTAATTTTTTTTTTTTTTTTTGAGACGGAGTCTCGCTGTGTTGCCCAGGCTGGAGTGCAGTGGCGCGATCTCGGCTCACTGCAGGCTCCAACCCCAGGTTCACGGTTGGCTTTAATTTTTAAACGAAATTCTCACATTTTAGTTGCTACCCTGAGATAGGACTTGAATTTTTTTTTTGAGACCGGAGTCTTGCTCTGTTGCCACACATGATCTCAGCTCACTGCAACCTCTGACTCCCGGGTTCAAGCGACTCTCCTGCCTCAGCCTCCTGAGTAGCTGGGATTCCAGGTGAGCGCCACCATGTCTAGCTAATTTTTGTATTTTTAGTAGAGATGAAATTTTACCAGTTGGCGAAGATGGTCTCCATCTCCTGACCTCGTGAACCGCCCGCCTTGGCCTCCCAAAATGTTGGGATTACAGGTGTTAGCCACTGCATCCGGCCAGGACTTGAATTTTTTTAAAGTGAAGGGAGAAAAGCAGAATGTGTATACTAAAACATAAAGTGCTAATTTCTCTCTTTTGAAAGGAAAATAGATTGAGAAATGTGAATCTTCCTTAAAAAAAGAAACCAGTTTTGATTACAGGGAACTCACTAAGTAATCACTCCAACCTAAAAATACTTATTTCATCAGGTACTGTGAGGGTAATTGCCTTTCTCTGTGCTGATTAAAAAAAAAGGTAAAGAGTGCAGAATACTCAGGAGCCCAAGAGCCGAACAGCCTGGATTGCTGGATGATCAGGAGAGAGGGTCTCCAGGTCAAAGGTGCTGGTCTTGAACTCCTGGCCTCAAATGATCCTCCCACCTCGGCCTCCCAAAGCACTGGGATTACAGGTGTGAGCTACTACCTCACTTGTCCCCTTCCGTAAAAGGTCAGAGGTGACATAAGACACTGGCCCTGCTTTCAGGCAATTGAAACGTAAACATTTAAGTATGATTCTCAAATGCAGAGCAGTTGTACAAGGCAATGTGGTGTATGAAAGGCAGTCCTCCAGAGAGCAGGATGAGTTCATCACCACAATGCATCTGATAAGCCGAAAAAAAAAAAAAGTGTCTCCTATGCCTGGTGCTTGGCCCACCCTTAGGTGGGGCATTCCCATTAAGCAATGCTATTTGCTGCCTGGCACGTTCTGGGGTTTCACAGATTAAGGGTAGAAACAATCCCCCCAAAGTCTCTTGGGACCTTGCACTGTGAAGATTAACCATATCTGTAGTCAGAATGAGACCAGACACGCAATACACAAATAGAGAAGGCATCTGCATTTTTAATCGAGTATTACTATTAGCCCTTGGGTAAGTATATTTGTGGTAGAGTTTTAATTTGGAAGACAAAAGTGCCCATAAGAAAGTCAAGAATTTCAAATGCAACTTTTAATACTACATATTTCAAGAGCTCCCATGTTCAGTATTCCTGGAGAAGGAAAGCTCTTTTTGTTTCTAAGTATGAGAAATTGTTAGCGTTCCTTCCTTTGGTCTTCCCACACCCCTCACCACAAGAGGCAAACAAAAAAAACTAAAAAGGGGACAATAAGTGCAAGATAAAAAAGAAAATCTAAATAGTATGAAATTAGTTTTTATTTTTAACTAAAAATAAATGCTTAACATCTTTCCAAAATCAAAACTAAAGACGAACACTTAGAAAAAAGGGTGGAAGTGTATTTTTCCTTCCCTGGGGAAACCAGTAAGGCAGACATTCTAACGAAGCTTGGTTTTTTCCATAGGACTAGTCTATGCAACAGAATCTCTCTCCAGCCTTTTCTCTATGTCAGTTTTATCTACCTGGCAAGAAAAAACAAAAACAACCCCAAAACAACCCCTCCCCACAGACACAACACAAAACAAGGGACTTGAGAAGTTAGAGAAAACCTTTAACACGTTTCTGTAAAATCCTTTCTGAGGTGGTTTAGTACAGGTACTACCCATCAGCAACTTAGCGGCCAGGTGAGTTGGTGCAGAAGCGCTTCGGGTGAATTCATACCAGAGCCACCGGGTGTGACTCGGCTACCTCTCCCAATTACCACAGGGAGGTCTTAAAATTGAATTTCAGTTTCAGCAGATACTTCAGATTTACCTGAGCAATATCATAGACAATGTACCTGAGGGGAAGCTTGTTAAGGAGCCAACAGCCATACAACAGAGGGTATGTACATGTGCCTCATCTCCCCCAGGCTGGCAGGACGCTCAGTGCCAGCCTGAAAGTCACTCTAAGGCCTCTTCATGGGGCTGGGTTGCCTCATCTCCCCGGGGCTGGCAGGATGCTCAATGCCAGCCTGAAAGTTACTCTAAGTCTTCTTCAGGCAGACTGAGGAGAGGAGATCATCCTCTGGAAACTGGGGGAAGGCTCATACCCTGTAAGCCAGGCTATGCACAGGGAGGGACCACAGAAGGGAAACAGTCACCATGGGACACACTACAGGACAGCCTCTAATCCTTGTCTGCCCCAGGTAATCTGACAGCACATAAGTGACTCTGTAGCTCGAGAACATCCCTTTGTGCTCACACAGCATACTCAAGAAAGGATACTCGTTATATAGTAGAGAGGTGTCATTCACACCAGATGAAATCCCGGTCCCAAGAGGAACGTCTACACCATCCAGACTAATGTTAGCTGAAGGATCAGGGGTAGTTTTGCCCAAACCTGAAAAACAGAAGTCACAAGTGACATGAACTGTGAGTACAGATGTGGCAAAGCTTCCAGGGAGATGAGCTCTATTTGATGTTGGGTCCATGTGGTCTTTCTTTTTTTTTTTTTTCCTTTTTGAGATGGAGTCTCACTGTCGCCCAGGCCGGAGTGCAATGGTGTGACTTCAGCTCAGTGCAACCTCCGCCTCCCGGATTCAAGCAATTCTCGTGCCTCAGCCTCCTGAGTAGCTGGGATTACAGGTGCGCGCCACCACACCCAGCTAATTTTCTGTATTTTAGTAGAGACAGGGTTTCACCATGTTGGCCAGGATGGTCTCGAACTCCTGACCTCAGGTGATCCACCACACCCAGCCTCATGTGCTCATTTTAAAGACATGCTCTATCTTTCTTCAGATATAAAACTAAGGCAATAAACCAAAGTTCCCAGGGCATCAACCTTCACTGAGTTTAATGAGAACAGTGGCAGTACCCTCCCTACAGGATCACATTTCGGCTCAATAGAATTTCAAAGCGGCCACTTCAACCAGGCAGTGGAAGGTTCTAAATCATATGCTGCAAATTCTAGCAATCCAAGATGCTCCAGGCACTACTATGTCACGAGAGGTCCCTCACTGCTGTAGCTACAAGTTAGGTTAAAGCCGAAACCCGTGCATCTGGTTACTGGTGCCTGCACCAAGATTCTCCTGTGGCATCTGTGATACCAGCTGCAGCCACAGAGAGTGAACTGTTTTTAAAAATGAACCTCCTGCTATAGAGCTTGCCTATTTTTTTTTTTTTTTTACAAAAATAAATAAAATGAACCTCCAATCATGGTCAGTTGCAGCATATTAACCACCACCACCACCCCCCAAACAACAACAACAACGCACACACACCCCTCGAAAAGATAAAATGAATCTCCAGCTGTTTGACAGCCAGCCACAAGGCAGCCTTCTCAGGACAGCAAGCCCCCGGCTTCTGTGCTGTCCAGGGTGCCTCGGGCTGTAGCAACAGCTTTGGAAACACTTTACCTTTGACACTGTGCTTGCCCTTGGGTAACTTGCTGATATGTGAAGCGTGCTTCAGTTCATACCTATTCAAAAGAGGACAGTCTCAGAAGAGGCCTTCACACTGGGCTCTCGAAACCAACAGTTTGATTAGGAGAATAAGATCAGATACAGAGATGAGATAAAAGTCCACAAAACCCAGACCATCTAAACTGCTCAGGCTCCCTCCTGAGTTTCTGGAACTGTTCCAGAACCTGAAACTGCAGTTGCGGCTGAACATAGTTTGTGCCCAGCGATCACTGCTATGGGGCCATTTTCAAGGCAAGGCCCTATTTGGAGTGGTGGTCAGCAGCTCTAGGTTTCCGTCCACATTCCACAGTCCCCAGACCCCTGGCCTTTTACATGACCTTGTGCTTTTGGTTACAGTTCACAGGACTAGGGTCGATGTCCAAATCAAGCTGGACTAATCAGATCTTTCTCTATGGAGAATCTGGAAGTGGAATTAAAATTCCAGTTCCATTTGGGTTGGTCTAAGAAAACTGAAACACTGGTGAGTGGAGGAGGCGGCCTGGGGGATCATCCTTTGTGCAACTCAATCTCTCTGCTTCCCAGTCCATGGAGAGAAGACACTGCCAGCTCTGGAGGCCTGGCTGCGTTCCTGCCCTTGCATTTCCTGAAGTATCCTTGTATCTCCCTTGTTCCCTTAACTTGAATTGGATTCTGCTACTTATAAGAAAAGAATCCTAATTGGTGCGTCCAGTAACTGCAGTGGGGAATTTCTACTCTCCCAGCCAAGGGGAGTTCTGCCTATAGCCCATTCCACCTGTCCCCATGAAATGCCATCAGTCCCAGAGCCAGGTTTACTCACATGTTTCCAAGGGCAACTTCTCCCAACAGGATTAAGCCTATTGGGTCTCCCTGAGACGTATGGCAGTAGTTGGCACTCTTGGAGACCATGTCAGCGAAATAGATCCCTTTACCAAACATGTAGCCTGTCTGGAAGGTCGGAAAAGGGAGAGCTGAGAATCTTCTGATGGGAAATTAGGAGCAGCTGTTCACTGAGTGCCAACTTGAGCAAGCCACCCAGCTAAGTGCTGCAATCCATCACTTCTAATTCTCACAATGCCCATGGTGAGGAAATACCAAAGTTTTAGCTCACAAGCCAGGCTGTCAGATCCTAGCTCTGCCAGGTGCCAAGGAGCTGCAAGAAGCTACGTAACCTCTCTGGACTCTACTTGCCTCTTTTCTCAAATGGGGAACACAGTCTCATGGAGCTGCCATGAGGACGGAATGAGCTCATCAGTGTTACTTAAACTAGCGCCTGTCAACACCCAAGGAATGCAGGCTGGTATTTTTATTCCCTTTTGTAAATGAAACACGAGGTTCACAAAGGGTAGGCCATTTGCCCGTTATACACTACTGCACAGCCCCAGAGAGAATCATTTAAACTTCTCTCCTCCTCATTCTACAACTGTGAAACAAGAGGCTTAGAAGGTCCTGTCCAGGTGGACCCATCTAGAATCCAGCAGGTGGCATCACGATCCCTCGTGTCTAGGTAAAGCCTTACTCATTCATCGCTACGTTTTCCTGCTGAAGACACTGACACTCAGAGGTGGCCCGGCTGGGAAGTGGTAGAGATAAGCCTGGACTCAGCTTGGCCTGTAGCCACGTGTCTGTTCTTTGCTTGTCAACACACCCGATTAGCATCTGCAGCAGGCCCTGGCCTGGATGCTCTGCCTCCTTTGTTCCAGAAACTGTGTTTGAAACCCCTGACAGGGTTAGGGTCAGGAGGATAAAAGGGTGAAGGCCCAAAGAAAGGATGTCTGGCAGAATCCCCCTAAACCAACTAGACCTCTTGCTCAAAGTTCTTTATGGAGACACCTGCAGAGACAGGCATTGCCCACCCCTCGCCAGGCCAGGCACATACCACGGGCGCTTCAGGCGGGGCTATCCGAAGACCCTGGGACAGGATCCCAGCAAAGTTGGTGGTCCTGGACCCGTGCCACAGCAATCTTCGGTTATGAAGCTGCTTAAAGGGCTTGTAACGCTGGCATTCGCCTTCACGCTCTATCTTAAAGATCTGGTTGGAGTAGTAAACAAAGGGAAGGACAAAAGAAGCCATTTGTTACTCTGGTTGACTGAAAGACAGGACTGGATACACGAGAAATGACCGGCTGTCCCTAAGGCTAGAAGACTTAAGGTCTGCTGCAATGTAAAAAGTGTTTTCCACAAGGCTGGGATGGAAGGTCCAGGTCCTGCCCAGCAGCGCCCAGCCATTGCTGGTTAGTATTACTGTGCAGCAGATGTGCACTTGAGGAACTTTATCTTGGACATCTGATAATCTATGTTCTGAGACCAGGTTTGGGGACAGGAAATGTCCTTTAAAACAGAATAAAAAGCCATCCCCAAACTACTGTATAAGACTGCTAATTTTATAATCCCAGCACTTTGGGAGGCCAACGCAGGCGGATCATCTGAGGTCAGGAGTTCAAGACCAGCCTGGCCAACATAGTGAATCCCTATCTCTACTAAAAATACAAAAATTAGCAGAGTGTGGTGGCTCACGCCTGTAATCCCAGCTACTCTGGAGGCTGAGACAGGAGAATCACTTGAACCCAGGAGGCAGAGGCTGCAGCAGGCCGGGATTGCACCACTGCACTCCAGCCTGGGTGATAGAGTGAGACTCCATGTCAAAAAAAAAAACAAAAAACAAACAAACAAAAAAAAAACTACTAATTTTTCTGCTGAACAAATGAGTCACTTCTTTGGGTTATTTAAAGTAAATAAACTGCTCTTTTCTACCCAGGCCCAGGTTGGAGGAGTGGGCAGGGAAGAGCTGGCAGGACACAGAAGGAAGTGGGGGAAGAAGGGATTCTTACATCGATGACTTCCAAGTCATACGCATTGTGTGTGGTTGCATGAGTGTTCTTAACATACTTCCTGATGATCTCGGCTTCTTCAGAATCTCTGTCAACCACCTGGATAAACAGAATCTTGGGATTAGCACAAAAGAGACCCAGGAGAGCTACAGAGGAGGAATGCTCAGGCTCAGTCAATGCATAGCTCAACACCACACTCCTCAAAGGAAGCCGGGCATGACCGAGAGCCTGTGTCCCAGGCCTGTGGGCTGGGCAGATCCTGGGCCAGTGGCTCCACTTACCTAAGCCTCCACCTCTTCATCTACTTGGGCTGCTAGAGAATCTCAGGGTTCCTTTTTGTCTTAAAATTCTATGTTTTGGGATATCAGGGAAGCTAGAATGTGGGATTCACTGTCAGTGAACAGGGCATCTCCAGAACAAGCAATTGGCTCCTGGAAGAGAGTCCAGCTCAGCATGAGTTAAAACACAATGGGCCAGAGGAAGTCACAGCTATGATGTGCAATGAAAATTATCCCTGGCTCAGAGCACAGGCCTAACAAGCATCTGTCAAATAGCTGATGTAATCTATGCTCAGTAAGCCTGAGTATTACGGAGGAGACTAGTTATGTTTTATTTTCATATTTATATTCAAACTTCAGAAAACCTAGAATGCTGGTCTACCTCCCTGTCTTTTAATTAAAAGGCTTCAGAATTGTAAAAAGAGAATAAGAATCCCTTCACGAAGAACCACACCTACAGTTTTCCCATCAGGAAGGTGCTCTAGGGGCAAAACAAATGACATGTGGTGTCTTACCCTGCTTGGACCCATAGGTCTATACTTTGTCCTAGGAAAGAAGCCAAGGCTCTTTCTTTAGCGATGTAAACACCTGGTACCAGACTCAACATACTCTCGCCCACCCAAACCCCTGCAACACTGCAGGGAATGGGCTGAGGACAATGGGGCACATGAGTGTGGAGATAGGCTCAAGGACCGGGCCATCTAGAAGCTGAGGCAAAAATCCCTCCTCTAGTTGGTCTAAGCGGGGTGTTCAGAGACTGTGTGTGCCAACACAGTCCACTTCAGCACCAGAGAAAAATGAACGCAAGCATTGTGTTTTTATTACAGGTGCCATCAAGCATTTCCACTTCTGAAATGGACACCGGTAATAAGTCTTCTAAAAGTTCACGCTACAAGGGTTTAGAAAAACAGAGCTCCTCTCTAGATTAAGGAGAGGAAACAAACAAACAAACAAACAAAAAAGAACTTTTGGTAAGACCCTCAAAAATAAATTTGTACGCCAAGCTGAGGTGCTGGCTTGGAAGGCTGCCTTGCAAACAAGGTGCATTATCTACACGTGAAACGCCCAAAGGTTCTCAAAGGACCACCAGCAGCAATGTCCGGGAACTTGTTAGAAAAGTGAATTATTGGGCGCCAGCCACCTGTGTTTTAACAAGCTTTCCAGGAGATCCTAACACACATGGAAGTTTGGGACCGCTGCTCTCAGGATGAGAGGTTAAGATGCTTGAGGAAGGCCTGACCCTGTTACCTTAATGTCAGTTTTGAGCTTCTCATAGTTGACATCGATGGGATCCTTGCTGCTATCATCAGACCCTCCCCTGAGCAGACTGTAGGCCACCTCGATGTCCAGCAGGTTGTCAAGCATTTCCACCTTGGCCTGGAGGAGCAAAAGAAAGCCCCCGACTTAGGTATCATGGTGAATGAGACAGACTCACCCAGGTGGCAGAGAAAACCTACATGCAGAGAAGGTCCAACACAGTGAATGGCAAACCCTCCTGCTGGTCAGGGCCAGCCTGTTACCTGCTGCACATATTGAGAGCTCATAAGGACTTTCTGGAATGTTAACAAGGCCTTGTGGCCTGGGGGAGTTGAGAGGTGGAAGAACTGTCTTTCCTCTCGTACATGCTGACATTTGGGACCTACAGTGAAGGTACTTTAGACAAATGGGTCCTGAGCCAGGAGCTGTCTTAAAAGGCAGGGAGGGAAAATGGGGAGGAAGATGCTGTTATGAGGGAGAGGCTGTCCCTCTCCAACAGCTCTTTCCCCAGTGGATTTGGTAGAACAGGGGCAGGAAAAACAGCTCTGCCTCCATCAATGTGGGTAGAAACCCAACTTCAAAACAAGGGCAAGAGGGTGGCCCTCCCAGCATTGGTGCTGCCCTCAGGGATCATGATGGGGAGGGACGGCTGCAAGGTAGTCACACCCCAGCCCAGCAGACCTGCAGTCCCTTCTGAACCCTTGCGCTACCTGCACACTGTCTGCATTGTTCAGGAGCGGAGGCTTCTTCATCCCAAAGTCGTGGGGGATCAGGGTGTAAAAGCGATTTGAGAGATCCAGGATCTGAGAGTCGCTGCTGCCCTGAGACACCGCCTGGAGAGGAGGGGACAGAAGGAATGCAAGACTGAGGGAGCAGCTCCAAGCCCCCGGCCAGGCTTTCTCTTTTAGCAGGTGGGTGCTGCAGCAGGTCCAGAAGTAGCGTGGTATGTGCACATGCCAGGACACATGGGAAACGACCAGAAGACCATCTTCCTGTTAAAGAGCAGGGCAGGACCCCCATCCTCTAAAAGCACTGCTCAACACGTGATGGGCTTCTCCCATGAAGTTTCATTTGTACAAAGAACTGTGCAGTTACAGACATTTGAAACCCCGCCACAACTATGCAAAATGTTAACTGTAAAATCTAGGTGGTGGGCTAATGACTATTGCTGTAAAATTCCTTCAACTTTTTGTATGTTTGAAACATTTTCATAATAAAATGTTGGGAGGAGGTTGCCCATCGCTATAAAATTCAGTCAGGCTCCCTGCCTCCACTGACCTTCATTGGAATTAGTTTTTACTGTACCTGGAGGTTGAGGTGGCCAGGCACAGAAAGGCTAAGCAATCCTTACACTCACTGCCAGTGTCACTTGGTGCTCTATATGCAAAGGGTGCACAAAAAATGCACAGAGATGGAAGAGCGGGGCCACTGGGATTCCAGGAATTTCGCAGACAGCCTAGGTGACCACAGGAAGGTCAAGGGAATATGAAGTGGCACCCAGCAGGTCCGAAGCCCCACGCCTGCTTCTCGCTGTGACATGGACTTCACCAAGTTGTACAACTTCCATCTGTGCTGCCCAGGTGGCTCTGGCAATGGGTAAGGATGCTATTCCAGCTCTTCTTCCTGAAGACTATTGCATGGGAAGAAGCTGGGGCCGAGGAAAGCCTTGTAAGTTCTCAGTCAGTAAGGAACAAGGAGAGAGGTTCACTGCTCAGAGCCAGC
Source organism: Homo sapiens (assembly GCF_000001405.40). Classification (NCBI taxonomy): domain Eukaryota; kingdom Metazoa; phylum Chordata; class Mammalia; order Primates; family Hominidae; genus Homo; species Homo sapiens. The sequence goes on from NC_000001.11 coordinate 226,369,211, forward strand.
TGTAACTGAAGTTGACAGATCCGGTTCAGCGCCTTTTCTCCAGCACCAGCCAGAAAGCCCGCTGCCTGGGCCCACTTCTGCTTCCTGTGTGCTTTCCTTCTTTCTACAGGCCAGGCCTGCACCCACCCACAAATATAAGCGGAACCCTCCAGCCCCTCCAGGATGTAGCTGGAAGGCTCCGGGACTGGTAGACCTTGAAAGATGCTCAAAGAATGTTGAAATAACATGAATGAAAGAGGCTTCCATTTGATGACTTCCTAGTAACTGCAAAATAAACTCTGCCTAACTCTTAAGGACACATAAAATAAAAACCACAACACAGGTGACCCTTGAACAATCGATTTGAAGTATGCGGGTCCACTTATACACAGATGTTTTCAATAAATACAGTTAGCTCTCTACACCTGTGGGCTCTGCAGTTGAGAATTCAACCAAACTCAGATAAAAAATATAGTATTCTCAGGCCAGGTGTGGTGGCTCATGCCTGTAATCCCAGCACTTTGGGAGGCTGAGGCAGGCGGATCACTTGAACCCAGGAGTTTGAGACCAGTCTGGCCAACATAGTGAAACCCCACCTCTACTAAAAATACAAAAAAATTAGCCGGGTGTGGTGGCCCATGCTTGCAACCCCAGCTACTTGGGAGTCTGAGGCACGAGAACCGCTTGAACCTGGGGATGGAGGTTGCAGTGAGCTGAGATTGTGACACTGCACTCCAGCCTGGGGGACAGAGCAAGACTCTGTCTCAAAAAAGAAAAAGAAAGAAAAATCCCACCAAAAAAAAAAAAAAAAAATCTCAGGATGCGAGACCCACAGATGTGCAGGGCCAACTTTTCTCCTCCATGGGTTCTGCAGGGCACTCTAGGACTTGAGCATGAGTGAATTTTAGTAACCCCGAGGGAGTCCTGGAACCAATCCCCGAGGATACAGAGGGATGACTTCACTTTTAACAGAGAGGGTAACCAACGTCTTCAAGTTTATGGTCAGTTTACTAAGTATCTGACAACTGAAAAATGTTGCTCTTCATTAGTTTTGTGATAAACTTTTGTAAGTAGCAGGCACTTGTCATTTATTGAACTGAAAAAAATCGAAACCCTCGTGAAGTGCAGTTCAGTACTTCCAGTTTCTTAACCTTGAGTAAATGTTACCCCTGCCACCCCCAGGTCTCACCCCCTAAGTCGGCCAGAGGAGGGTTCCAGGAGGCCCCTGGTAGCCCTGTGCTTACCTGCTGGACCTCACTGAGGATGGAGTATGCGGCCTGGATCTGCCTTTTGCTCAGCTTCCCCAAGGGCATCTTCTGAAGGTCGATCTGAGGAGACAGGGGATTTCGCTCTGAAAGCTGGGCACTGTGCAGTGTGATCGCAGGAGAGCTGGACCGGGCAGCCCACCCTCAGGCCCCCAACAGGAGCAGTCAGGAGCCTGCTGGGATTTCCTGAGGACACCAGTGACCCAAATCCAGAGTCTGTAGCCCCACCCCACCATGAGGGATGGCAGTGTGTCTGAAGATTCTTGCTCACTTCCTTTACGGCTGGGCTTAGCCAACCATGTCTCCTCTGCCCCTATGCCCAGTTTCAAACAGTCCAGCACGTCTGGACGAAGATATAGCATAATTCCCATCCAATTCTGATGTGCAGATGAGGGCTCATAAATCATGCTGACCACCCCACCCAGCGGCCTTCCCTGGGGTCCCAGAGCCAAGGCAGTTAGTTAAGTGCACCCCTGGGTTCCCACCTGGAAAAGAACCAAGAGTTTTCAAGTGTTGAACACTATTTTTAAAAAGGACACACTCCTGAACTTATGGACTTACATTCAAATCAATGCTGTCCCTTTCAGATCAGTCACCTCCAACAAATATTGCTACTGCTCATATCTTGGGAACTGCCTGCCATCAAGAGAAGCTGCAGTGGAAGAAGCATGAGATCTGCAGCCTTCATTTTCCATTTGTTAAGTGGGGCCACCTTCCTTAAAAGGCACTCACTCCCTTTTGCGAGCAGCCCTGCCTATTTGGCTCAGCCCCTGCGTGGAGACACCTGTGTACCAATGGGCCCCACACTCTGTATCCTGAGACATCGTCTCTGGGGCTTTGCCAATAGACCCTTCTGAGCTCCCTGGGGGCCGTGACTGCGCCTTTCCATTTCTGCATGTCCAGCACTTCCTGCAGTGCTTGGAACAAAGAACTGAACAAGAATCTTAGAAATGGAACTGCTATGGTGATAAAATTAAATAAAAGGATGTGAAAAGTGCTCACAGCTCATCAGACACCTACCAGGAGCCAACAGCTTCTAATAACATCCACAAGCCCTGGCATGGGCTTCCCTGTACCCTCAACACTGCAAACTCCATCCTAAGGGAAGATCTGATTTCTGGCAAGAATTAAGTAGCCGGAGCCACATCTGGGGAAGAAGGTGGATAATCTATTTCAAGCCAAGAACAAGGTACAATAAAAGAACAGAGTGACTTTGGTATGGACCCTCAATCAGCTCTGAAAGCAATTCTCAAGAAGGAATCCCAAAAGAAGTTCTGACGGCAGAGCATGGCCAGAGTGAGGGCAGAGCTCTGAAGGGCGCGACATTTTCCACGCTGTATAATTCTGGTGTTTATGTAAAAAAAAGAAAATACCTAGTTTCCCTAATTGTACACCCCTCAAAACATACGCACAGACTAAAAATAAGAGGTGGGCTCCATCCACACAGGCCGCCCTCACTACTGGAAAAGAAACTCAGGCACAGCGCTGGACAGCGGGCTGGGAGCAGTGGCTCCACAGCTGCCCAGTTGAGAGAGAAACAGAAAAGTGGGAGAAACACCTTGGCACTGGGGACCCACGAGCCCCAGCTGCAGCCAGGAGGAGGCTTCTAGGGCTGCAGCCTGGAACCCTGCCCCCTGCCATGTGTCGTGACTGCCCGGAACCCATTCCCTTCTGGACTCAGGATGTGCCCTCCTCACAGGGAGAGTCAGGTTCCCCTGGTGCTGGGGATGAAGCCCCGAGGGCCACTGTGTCTACTTCTCCACATGGTTACCCCAATCCCACGTGGACCCCGCTGAGGTCAGGAGTGGGCACCCCGCTTTCCACACACTTCCAGCTAGCTGCCTTTTAGCTTGTTTCAGCAAGCAGCGCCCCTGTCCCTTTTCTTCCTGCTAAACTAGTTACCTGTCCAGTGAAAAACATTAAAATGTCATTTCAGGCTGGGGGCCATGGCTCATGCCTGTAATCCCAGCACTTTGGGAGGCTGAGGCAGGTGGATCATCTGAGGTTAGGAGTTCAAGACCAGCCTGGCCAAAATGGTGAAACCCCATCTCTACTAAAAATAAAAAAACAATTAGCCAGGCACAGTCGTGCACGCCTGTAGTCCCAGCTACTCGGGAGGCTGAGGCAGGAGAATCGCTTGAACCCAGGAGGCAGAGGTTACAATGAGCCGAGATCGTGCATTGCACTCCAGCCCAGGCGAAGAGAGTGAAACTCCGTCTCAAACCAAACCAAACCAAACCAAACACAAAACAACAACAAAAACAACATTTCACAGGAAAGGACTTGGGTTTGAGAATAGCTGAGAACGTCTATGAATCACAGATAGACCAAGGTGTGGGAGACTGGAAATGAAGTGCAGGACTTCAAAACGTGAATGAAACGAGCCCCTCTTCTCCCTTACCGTAGCACCTCTCAACCTTTCCCTCCACCTCCGTCCCTCATTCTCAGTGAGCCCACCCATAAGTTGTTCACACTAGTGACCTCATAAACAAAAGTCAGATCACACAGCGATTTCAACAAGCACAGCGAACAAGCCCTGGCCATTTTTTAAACCCGTTAGAGGATGTAACTCAACACTCCACTCTACAACAGCACAGGCGTGAGCATTCCTGCCAGGCTGAGCTCTTGGCAGGGAGATACGGGGTTGGCCCTGATGTCCATGCGGCTTAGGCTGCCAGTGGTTTATACTGCCCAGTTTTGACCCCCTGTCCTCCCAGCTCTAAGGCAGGCCAGGAGGTTCTAGGAGGAAGGACTTGGGAAGACAGCAGAACGTGAGCGTGAAGGGAGCAACCCCATGGAGAAGGGTGGAATGCTTAAGGCTGATCTGAGACTCTTAACCTCCACTGGTTCCTAGGAGCCTAGAACAAAGGGAATAACCAAATGCATCACAGCTGCTTGTTTTTCAGAGCAGCCTGAAGCTTCTGGGTTCAGCAGCTAGGGTAGAGAGGAGAGGGTGTTTGCTGGCCAGGTGGGACCACCTCTGCTCTGAAGGCCCCCAGGGTCAGTACTTAAGAGCTCTGATGCTAGGAGCAGCAAGAACAAGGGGGCCGCCCTTTTGCACTCATCTCCCGGGCGGAGAGCGGAGATGAGAAGGAGAACAGACAGGAAACACGGAGCCTCTGCCTGCAGTCTCTGCCATTCTGCCCTGGACAGAAGCATGACTAATCCAGCAACCACCACCCCCACCCCACTGCCAACCTTTTAAAAACTGGTATGAATTTTATCTTACGAATCAAGCGTCACAGCAATTTTCTTTTACTCTAAGTGGGCTATCTTGCACTTCCCATGGTAACTCCAGTTGGTTGGTTTGGTTGGGCCACAAAGGAAGCATGGCTAATACACCTTGCCACAGCATGAAGAAGGGGAAAAATACAAAGGGTGGGCCGGGCACGATGGCTCACACCTATATTCCTAGCATTTGGGGAGACTGAGGTGGGTGGATCACTTGAGCTCAGCAGTTGGAGACCAGCTTGGGCAACAACATGGTGAGACTCTGTCTCAGAAAAAAAGTACAAAGGGGACTAGGGACCAGGAACAACTCTCTCCAACACAACACATGCTTCACTGCAAATCAAACAACCCTCTGCAAAAGTGCAACCACTCCAGGCCCCAACACTCACACAATTTAAGATTGAAGGACAGGTACAAGAAGCTGACAGCCAATGTATTGTTTTTGAAACAGAAACAAGAACAGGCAGACAGCTCTTCACTAGCTCAGCAAATAATCATCCACAGCAAATGCTCACAGATAAAATGATAAAGCGCAATAACCTCATACTCCACCATGGCTTTCTTCATACTTTCCACATCAAAGATCATCTTGATGAGGTCCTGAACTGGCTTGGGGAGCTTGGACTTGGTGCCAGGATTTACTGTCAGCTTCTTCACTGCCTCTTCATCCTTCAGGAAAAAAGCACATTGCTAAGAGACCCAAATCAACAACTCAAGCAAGGTATCTGCGTCTGTGGGGCTGGACTGCAGACAAAGGACACAGGCTAGAGTGCCACCAGCAAAAAAAGCTGAGTGTTAATCAAAAAGGTGTGGAAAACAGTGGCCAGGATGAGTGTGCCTGATGCTGCACATGGGTCAGACTCTTCCTGTGCCTGCCCTGAAGTTCTCTTGGCTGCTCCAGATTCTTATTCTAGTTGCCACTGCAGCGTCTGCATGGGCTGACCCACCCTGGGGTTGCTGGTCCCTGCCTGGGAACCTGTCTAGTGCCCACTCATGCCCAACCTGGAAGTGCTGGGCAGCTGTAGAAGCAAACTTTGGAGCAATGGGACATGAAACTGATGGACAAATTCCTTCTCTTTTCTCTTACACTTCCTCACACAAGGGCCAGTTGCAAGACTAAGTTTATATAGCCTTCTCTAAATTCCCAAAGTACCAAGCAACCAGTCCCATGCGCTGCCAGCCAGGCTGACAGTGTTAAAGCACATCGTAGCATTAGCTGTCCGTCCTCTTCCTAAGCTGCCTAATAGACTATTGAGACTCCACCCCCCACTGTCTGAAGAACCCAGGTTATATCAAGATCACACTGTACTGAAACTGCTTTAACTCTTTAGACTTGAACTGTATGAGGGTATAGACGGTGCTCTGTCCAGCACAGTGTCCCTAGCAACTAAAACGGAATTTGGTATTTGGAGTGAAAGGAATTGGCACTGGGCTTTGAACCTGGAATCAGACTGGCTTACCCAAGAGCTAACTTGCGTTGTTAGTGTTCATGGCTGCTGCTGTCACCTTCATAGTAGACCTACTCTCAGTGTTGAAACACCATCTTAAATGTACTCTGTTATCTTCTGGGTGTAACTTCATTGGAGGGCAAAGTATCTATGTGTTCAAAACCCCTATTTAAGTGCATCTACCTTATGACCCAGTACCTACTTGTAATGACAACAATCACAGAGGCACACAAATATTTAAATGTATATCAGCATCATTACAGTAAATGCCCAGAATCAATCTAAATGACTAACAGGAGGCAGGAAGCTGTTCTGATTAATGATAAATTCCAGCCCACGCACAGGACGGGATTCAATGCAGCCTTAAATAATGCTCTGGACTGGTGCAGCCAGTGGCCAATACAGTAGCCACTGGCCAAACTGAGGTGTGCTGTAGGTGCAAAATATACACCAGATTTCAAAGACTTAGTAGAGAAAAAACTAAAAGGGAAATTTTCTCATTAATAATTTTATTGGTATTGATCAGGTGTTGAAATTAGAATATTTTGGATATACGGGGTTAAATAATGCCAAGATTAATTTCATTGGCTTCTTGCTTTTTAAAATGTGGCTATAAAAAACTTTAAATGTATTGAAATGGCTTGAATTATAATTCTATTGGACAGCACTGCTCTAGAAGACATAAGGAAATGCTCCTGGTACATTAGGGCAAAAAGCAGATGGTTGTAACATGGTACATATGGTGGTGGGAAACGTACATATGCAGTGAAAGCTGACTGAAAAAGATATCTACCATTACTTTAACTGTGGTTAATTCCGGGCAATCTTAGTTTTTTGTGCCTTAGTATTAATATTTCTCAAAAATTTTTAAAGTATTTAACTCAGTAAGGGGCGCTACCGAGTCAGGCCAAATCTGTCCTGAAAGTCTACTGTCTGAGCCTCATCATTGTATAAGCAAGATGTAAATCCTATTTTTAATATGGAGAGTTCATGAGGCCCTCTGTAAACTAAAGAATTCCCCCTACGAGACATGCTAGGCCTCAAAGATTTAGAATTAAAATCTCTACCCACCTACAGATCTTTTTGTAAAATAAATGTTTTCTTTTATCTGATTAAAAAAGTGATAAATTTTCATTTTTAAAAAGGCAAGCATTTTGCAAAGAAAAAAGACAAAACAGAAAAGTTAAAAATGTCAACCAATAGACAAATGAATGCTGTGTGCTAACAGATGTAAGGAGACGCCCAAAACTACAGAGACAGCACTAGGAAATAATTTGGGACTAATAAAGTGTGACCTAGCAGAGCAGGTCAAGTTACTATAATTCTGTCATGACAGACCAGTCACATGATCAAGGGTGACCATGGGTTCAGATAAAAAGCCTTATCTGGAATCTCTGAATTACGTCCTATTGTTTCAGGAGTAACTGAAAAGACTGTTCCTCCTCGATATCTCAAAGATGCTACCACAATTCTCATTTAAGCTCTATCTCATACTTCAAGGTGTTGACTGTATTAAATGCTTTTTCTGCCATCTACTGAGATGATCATGTGGTTTTTGTCCTCCATTCTATTCATATATTACATTGATTTTTAAATGTCGAACCAACCTTACATTCCTGGGATAAATCCCACTTGGGAGTGGTGTATAGATCCGTCTATGCTGCTGGATTCGGTTTGTTAGGATTTTGTATCTCTATTCATAGGGTTTCTGCATGTCTATTCACAGGAAACTGCTCTGTAGTTCTCCTGTGCTGCTTTGGCTCTGGTATCAGGGTGGTACTGGCCTTCATGCAATGAGCTGGGAAGTATTTTCTTCTATTTTTGGGGGAGAATTTGTGAAGGACTATTATTCTCCTTTCAACATTTGGTAGTATGTTTACTATGATGCCACCTGATCCACGATGTGGATTTTCTAGAATAAGGTGTCCCTTCCTTTTCCTAGAAGCAGACAGTGTAAGGGCATTATGTGGTTACCTGGCCATAGTCAATCTCCAGGGGGTAGAACTTTTTGGGATACTTCGTGAAATTTTTGGAGTGCCAAGCGTTCCCGGTTTTTTCTTCATATAATTTCATGAAGTGCTCAATGGCATCCTCCTTGGACGGCATCTGTTCCAGTTTGTTGCTACCGATCACCGTACCCACACGGCCCCAGGACCTGAATATCCAATACCTGCAGTGGGAAGGAGGGTGTCAGATACACATGTGTGGGTCAGCTGTCCCATTTCAGGAGCTCCCCTTTCCTGCCATTACATTCACGTGGGGAAGAATTTTACACACCCCAAAAGGATGGTGATTAACACAGAACAAACACAACTGCTATAACAATAAAGGGTCTTTATTTTACTTTTCATTAAACTTTCAAATCATATTGACTACAAAAAATGCCAAAGAATAGTTTAAACTTGGTTCTGGCAGCCAAGCCTGAGGACTGAATCCTGGAGTCTGGAGACCTTTGCATAAAAATGATTCTAGTCCTCTCCCCAAAGAAATACAAAGTACTATCTGGAAGTCATGTGTTCAAGGAGTCAACCCTTACAGCTGTACCCTAAAAATAATGAAACTTTCAACTCAGATCCAAGGCCAAGACATGATGAAATGAGGGGGGCAGTGGCAATGGCTCCTCAGGTCCGGTGACCTAGAGATGCAGGCTGTCATGTTCAAATTCCATCTCAATTGAGGGTACACATCACACACACCCAGCTGCTGTGCTGCTCAGCTTTGGATGAGCTAATTTTTGATTAACTCAAAGCAGAGGTAATGCAACACTTAATTGTCATTTCATAATAAATATATATATATCATAAACCCACATACAAGATTTGTGTACATTTTAAAGATAGAACTACAGATTTCAAAGAAAATTTGGGACTCCCTGGCCATTCTCTGGGCTACTGAACAGGGGTATAAAAATTCATTCTCTGCTTGGTTTTTCCTGTGAAAATTTTTGAGAAGCACTACCTTGATCTACGTTGAAAATTTTTTCTGACCCTAACAGCCTACACCACCCTTTCACTTAACACCAGGAAATCTAAGCCACCAGAAAAATGTCCACATCCACAATCAACGTTAGAATTTAGTAAGAGTTCCTTCCACATGCCTTTACACTGACACATAAATGCTATTTTGTGGTGGCTGTACTGAGGGGCAATGAACTCACTAGATAAGGACCACTCTGCCTAGAAACATAAGGACAAAAGCCAGCCCAACCTCTCACCACCTCCCAGCTGCTGTACCCCACCATCCACACTCCAACCTTGCCTGTCTCACCATGTTAAAAAAAAAAAAAGGCAAATCCAACCTCTTTAGTTACTAGGGAGTTTGAACATTAAAGAGTAAGTTCAACGCTTGCCAACCTTTATTTGCTTCAAAGTTTTAAAACATATGTAAAATCAGAAAATCTTGATTCAAGTAGCTGAAAGAAAAGCCAGCTGGGGCTGGGTGCAGAGGCTCATGCCTGTAATCCCAGCACTTTGAGAGGCTGAGGCGGGAGGATCACTTGAGTCCAGGAGTTTGAGACCAGTCTGGGCAACACAGCGAGGCCCGTCTCCATAAAAAATAAGGCATGGTGGTGCGCACCTATAGTCCCAGTTACTCAGGAGGCTGAGGTGGGAGGATTGCTTGAGCCTGGGAGGTCAAGGCTCCGCTGAGCTGTGATTACGCCACTGCACTCCAGCCTGGGTAACAGAGCGAGACTATTTCAAAAAACAAAACAAATAGTTGCAAAACAACAACAAAAAACAAAACACCAAACAAAAAGAAAAGCCAGCAGAAGAATATGTGAAACCATACCTTGGGACAACTGTACAAGGACAGCAACGCTACTGGTTAGTAAGTGGCTTCTTTCTCCCCTTTAAGCAAAGGCCTTATAATTTGTTTTTGATCTCTGTGATTAGATTTCATTCCCCAGGCACTGGGCCTAACGGGTTTCACAAGGCTGATGGCACAGCACTAACCAATGCAGGACGGGCCCATGTCTCTGCACAACCAGGCTACACCTGCAGAACTCACCTGTTTTCCTTGTCGTCCTCCAGAAGCTGCAGCTTGTAGTAGGAGTTGGTTCCTTTAACGATGTCCACCAGGCCAAGGGTGGCACTGAAGACCTTCCCACCTTTCTCCAGGACATGCGCAGAGTGTTCCAGTCCTGTCCCAGAGGAAAAGCACCTACAGTTTTCTCTCCCCTTGAGGTGCTAGCACTCTCACGGAGAAGGGATCTGCAGGCCTGAGGTTCACGCCTCTTGGATACACTACCACCACCCTCGGGAGGCTCCCCACAAATGTGTGTTCTCAGGACTGGGGGAGCTGGTGAAGGAGGCCTGAGTGAGGACAAAGGCACGACCACACTGCCCCAGGTATGCTGCGGGCATTTGGATGTGTGCTCCTAGTCAGCTGGGGGTTGGGGGGCGGCACAGCCCACTTTGCTGGCAGTCCTGTTTGCTTACCAGAATCAGGATCCACAGCTGCTCCTCCTTTAAGAGTTAATTTCATTCTCTTTTCAGATTTGTTGATACCTTGGAGGAGAACAGAAAAATGTAAACATGAAGTTAAATGTAACTAAAAAGTAAGGGGAAGGTAGAAGGCAAATGAGTTGTTCTCATTCCCATCATCTGTCAACTCGGCATCTATATACACACTACTCCCGCCACCCCAAAGCGCCTGCCATTCTGTGTCCTGCTCTGCAGCACTCAACAGGCCATGTCAGGGACACAAAGGGAGAGGTTCCGTGGACAACAACCTGGCCACCAATGTCCCTGGCTTTTGGCCCTGGAGGGGGCAGCTTGGGGCCCTCACCTTCCTCCTTGACCTGGCCCTTGCTTTTTTTGGAGAGCGCAGCCCCTGACTTCCCTCTTGGGGCCACAACTTCAACAGGCTCTGCCTTCACCTCTGCCCCCCAAGGGGACAAGATGTGCGCTAAGAACAACTCCTGAAGGCTCTTGGTGGAGGCGGAGACGTCCTGGAGGAAGTCCTCAGACACAACTCGGATGTTGGCTTCCTTTACTTCCTCCATCTTCTTATTCATCTTTTCCACCTCCTCTGTTCAAATTGAAAGGAAAAAAAACCAAAATACAAGTTTAAAACAAAACTGAAACTTCAAATTACTACAGTTATATTTAGTGTGTACTTCCAAACCCTCAGCATTCACAGCTCTCCTTTGCTTCCAAGTCTAATGCTCCCAAGAGTGTTTTTATCAGCAACATTCCCCCTTTTCTAAGGTATGATGAGCCAGGGCAGCCTTCTCCAAACCATTCTACAGCACGATGTTAACAAACACTCCAAAGAAAAAACACCCTGATGTCAAATATGTATGGGAAATCCTGTATTCTATTTCTCTGGTTCCTGAAGACCTACAGTGGTAATCAGCATAATAAACCCACACAGAAACCTGTTTAGCTTTGTTTTACCCTACCTTTTCCAAACATACTTGAACCTTGAACTTCTGTTTTGGCAGATATCTATGCACATCTTACAGAGCAGTGCGAAGTGATGAGAATACAGGTTGAGCAGCTTCCCTTATCCGAGATGCTTGAGACCAGAAACCTTTCAGACCTTAAAATACTTGCTTCATATTTACTGACTGAGCATCTAATCCAAAACTCTGAAATCTGAAATGCTCCAATGAACATTTCCTTTGAGCATCATGTTGTCACTCAAAAAGTGTTGAATTTTGAGGCAATTTGTTTGGGCTTCGGGACTAGGGAGACTCAACCTATAGTAGCTTACCGTCTTTAGTTGAGAACACGCAATGCATGTGAATCTACAGTACAAAGCAGCAACACTGAGAGCAAATACTGGTTTCCCTTCATAAAGAACCACAGCGATGATGATGTTAAGATCCAGTTTTTCAGCGCTGTGTTCGACTCTTCCTCACTTACTCGTCATCACAATCATAAGATACAGAAGCATTGTCCCTGTTGCACAAATTCAGATTCAACTCACTTTTGGTGCTGATGCACAGGGAAGCCTTGTTGGCCGTCCCCGTCAACTTCCCCCCGAGTTTCTCAATCATGGCCTTCACTTCATCCTTGTTCCGGGACAGCTTCCCGAGAGTCAGGATCTTCATGTTGGATAATGGCTTATCTGGGATGAAAGGAGAGAATCATTCAGCAAGGCCAGCTCTGGTGCTGCTCCCCAGTAAGGGGAGGTGGAGGAGCAGGTGAGCCAAGCAGCGAGCTCCTGGGAAAAGCCTATGAAAATACACTCGCGAGAAAACAGGACGGGACAGCAAGCTGCCACCTGAGTACCTACAGATGTCCCTCAGCACAGAAAGGACTGGGCAGGGAGCAAGCCACAAAATGCCACTCCATGGCCAGGCCAGCCTCGCGGCGTGAGCCAGGCAGCTGCGGGTTACCCCAGGTCCGCGCCAAGGTCAGGCTAGGAAGGCTGCATCTGCGGACGAGGGACCAGGAGGCTGGAGTCGGATGGGAAGAGGGGTAAGGTCACATGAACCCCCAATTCCTTCTGTTATTCTCCCAAACAAACTGCAATTCTTATGAATTAACCCCATTTTAAAATGAGACATGTCCATGATAGTCCCTCAAAGCAGTGGCCAGCACAATCACACGGAGCTGAGCTAACTGATTCTAGGAGAAAAGCAGCAGCCTGGTGTGCACTGACCCAGGCCAGAAAGGCCTGGACAGGGGTGTGCCTTCTGTTCACAGCAAACAACACAGTGCAGGTGACACCCGTCCAGAACTGGAGTAGCTGCAAGGAAAAGTCCTTCCTGCCTTCCCTGTGAGGGCAAACAACTAGGAAACACTGACAGTTTAACTGAAACTGCTGAGGTCTCCAGAGAACAAAATTATTGACTCATGCTGAACTGCAAGTCAGGGGAAAGCAGAGGAGGGAACCCTCCATGGAGGGGTCAGAATGCCAGCCCCCAACTGGCCCTTCATGTGGGCACCTGGACCCAGGCTGCCAGCAGCACAGTGGACTCGGGATGACCACCAGCACACACTGCAGTGACCACTGGTCCCCTCTCAGGATATGAAAAGGAAGTCAATAACAGGTTTATGTTCAAGGAAGGAACCCTCATCCTCCACCCACCAAACTGTGACCTTCACCAATAGACTATGCCACATGTCTCTGAGTAAACAAGCAGCGGGTCACTTCTCCTGCCAAAAAAATACGTTGCTCTCACTGTCTTGGTTGGCTTGGGGCATTTCTCACTAGTGCTGATTAGTAACTCCCTCTGCATACAACAGAGACTTGAGCATCACACCAGGGCCCGGATGACTGGTGGGCGCAGGGCAGCCTGGAGAGTGAGGCCTGGGATGCTCCTCTGCAGTGCAGTCAGGCAGGAGACCCTGCGCCCAACTCCAGGTAAGGCTGTCGACCTAGCCTTTCTTAGGAGCCCCTCTCCTAGCCTCCCAGAGTAAGAGCTGCTTGTTCTTCTACAATGTTTATTTTATTTTTAGAGATAGGGTATCACTCCATCGCCCAAGCTGGTGTGCATTAGCGTGATCATAGCTCAGTGCAGCCTTGACCTCCCAGGCTCAAGGGATCCTCCGCCTCAGCCTCCTGAGTATCTAGGGCTAAAGGCACATACTCGGATTAATTTTAAACATTTTTGTAGAGATGGGGTCTCACTACATTGCCCAGGTTGGTCTCAAACTCCTGGCCTCAGCAATTCTTTTGCCTCAGCTTCCTAAAGTGCTGGGATTACAGGTGTGAGTCACTGCTCCCAGCCGATGCTATGTTCTTAACACTCTCCCACCTTGCTGTGGTCAGGGGTGTAACAAGCCAAGAGAAGAGGCCTATCCCCTGCAGGGCAAGGCTTCCCCATGGTGGGGTCAGCAAAGAGAGACCCTTGACGGATACTTTCTTCACCAGCTCCACACCACCAGCAAGTAGTGGGCAAACAATTCCTGCAAAGCAGCTCTAAGACCGGGGTCCCAAATGCTGTACCTGCTGAAGCAGAGGAGTTCACAGCAGCAGGAGCCGAGGCTGTGGAGGGCGGAGGCGTGGCCGCCACGGAGGCGCTGGTTTCTGGGGGGAATATACGGTCCTGTTTTTTAACCTTCAATTTCTTGAGGTAAGAGATTTCTCGGAATTCCTAAAAAATATTAAGTTTTAGTTAAGAAGCCAGCTCTCCCTTGAGGTAACCACCCCATAGACCAAAGAGGATTTGGCTTGTCCAAATCAAATAATCTCTTTTTTTCTTCTTACAATAAAGAGTAACAAAAAATAGAAAAATGTGAGGCTTTAAGGATGAAAGACAGTATTATTGCTGCTACAGTACTTATTTCCGGTACTTTTACATTTATAATAGGGCTAATATTGTGGCTGCTTTAAGAGAAAAATCTTTCCCTAAAAAAAACAAAAACAGAAACCAGTGGCCAATTCGGTCAGGGAACCACCACTGGAACTGCTGTATGACTACAACCTCCCTGGCCTCATTCCTGAGTTGCTCCCTTCGAGAGTTAATAGGCCTCTGTGGGATCACATGCCTACTCCAGAACTCCAAGACCCCGAATACTATATACACACTGGGAGATTATTACCCAAAAGGAAATCACAGTATTTGCTTTCCTTTTTAGAAGAAGGAAAAATGAATGCAGGGAGCCCTATGGTATTCACTATAAATTCTTCCATCAGCACAATTCACTCTTCACTCTGACTGATTTACAAGGGGCCTTGCTCTAAATGGTCACTCAATAAGTATCAAATACATGAAGCTCAGGGAAAGATACTGTGCTCCCAGGTCTTCATCCAATCAAGAAACTGCCCTTTCCAGCTATGCCTGTGTTCAGGATGTCAGTTAGATACAAGAGGTCACAGATTGCTTCCGACACACACAGACCACCTAATATGTGCTACCAACCATAGTCTGGTTAAAAAGACAGTTTCTGCTCTTCAGAAAGTATCTCATTCGTGACTGAGCATCAGCTATAGGAAGGTGAACTTTAACAAAGGAGCTAAGCTATGCCAGAGGTGTGCCAAGGTGATGTGAGACAGGGAATGCTAGCATGCACTTGGAGGCAGTGATCTGCTAAGCCCACTGGGAGCTGAAAACACAGGGGACTGCCTAAGCACAGCCATCTGAGTAGCACACGGTGGCATGTGGGGTGCCCTGGCTAGGCGCCCTATTGCTAGGTACTCCTAAAAAGAATGAGCAAGACTGGCGGTGGGGTGGGGAGAGGGGTATGTGAGAAGGAAGAAAAGGGTGGCAGAAAAAGGCTGCAGAAGGCCAGCAAAGCCGCATCACAGAGGGCTCTGAGGACAAGCTACAGAGCTGGCCTTGATTCTGTGGGACAAGTGCCTGGGGGCAACAGTGTCACTGCCTGGGCAGCAAGCACTGCCAGACCAAAAACTTGTCTCGCACATGCACATAACCTTTAAAAATGTATATAGATGCTCTACAATTGATATATAAAATACAAGGAATGGCACATTGCTTATTGCCATCTTACTATTTCCCCATCAAAGATAGTAAAAGAAATACAAATACCACGTAAGGGTCTGTAAGATTTGCATACCCAGAAAAATCGGGGAATCAGTCTAAGATTTTAAGGGTGGGGGAAGTGACAAGGTCAGATTTATTTTAGAGGAACCACTCAAACGCACAGAGAGAAAATTAGGAGGGATCATGCAATCATGGCAGTGAACAAGTGAGCCAGGGGCCAGTGGAAATGGAGTTCAGTTGTAGGTGTAGAGCGAGTAATGTCGATAGTTACTCAGGTAACGATTCCTGAGTGTGTACTGTGTGCCGCTGTTCCAAGTGCAACAGCGAGGGAAGCAGCTTGGTGAGTGGCAGAGCTCTGCACCTACCCAGGCTGCTGGGCCTGGGTCCTGCTGAGTCTGAGGGAGCACAGGCAAAGGCCTCGGAGCAGCCAGCCCCACAAAGATACTGCTAGAACCCCACCAGCCGGCTCCAAAGGAGGCTCCCCATGGAGGTATTTTGCGTTGAGAATTCCATAAGCAGTTCCATTAAAAAAAGAGAGAACGTGCGATACTAGGAGATACGTGAACCCTGGATCCAATTCTCCTGCTAGCACTAAGGCAAGGAAATGTCCTTGAAAAAACCTTGTATCAGAAAGCAGGAATTACTATCCATTTCTTCACCATATGTCCCTCAAGCCTAGAACTGTGCCTGGCACATAGGAGGCATTCAATAGATAAAAACTATTCATGGTCTTTGCAAGCAACATTTTACACCAAATGGACCTCTACTCCATACTTAGAGGAGCTTCGGTTCTACATTTGCGTAGTTTGCAAACATGTAATTTTATATTCTGGTAAACAGGATGACGCAGCTGTAAAGAAGTCTGAGGAACATGGCCCTGCAATCTCAGGGACCTGAAGTATAAACAAGCGCAGAAAGTGGGGCCAGGTTTTTCTCCCAACAGATCCCAGGATCTTCCCCTACCCCTTACCTTTGGGGTTACCCACTCCTTCCGGTTGGGTGTCTGTGTCTTGACCATACACTTGGTCCAGGCAGTGACGTCCCCAGTGCAGTAATAGGCATCGCTCTTGAAGACCAGCTGACCCGAGCATTCCTCGCAGGGAAGGAGGGCACCGAACACCATGCCATCAGCTACTCGGTCCAAGATCTGCAGCCAGTGGAGAAACATGTCAGAGGGCAAATGCGGGACTACAAAAAAGGACACTTACTAATGTGGGATGGAGGAACTTGCACAGATTCCACTCACTACAAAGAAGAGAGGCTTCTTGCTGTGGGCTTGCTATGGGGCTCTTAACACCCCACCCACCCTTGGTTTACAATGGAGCTTGGATTCTTGTAGGAGACCTTATTTCCAAGTGTTCCTGCAGCGCCCCCAACCCTCAGTGATTTAGAAATGAAGGGAAAGCAACCACTGGCATTGCAGAAAGTACAGTGCCAAGCCAACTCCCAAGAATGACAGCAGAGAAGGGCCAGCTGGGGACACTGATGGGAAACCATCATGCCACCCCTCAGGAGGGGGCTCTCCTCTCTTCACAGGCCTGGCACTCTAGAGCAAGCACTAACATGTGGAAGATGTCTGGTGGGGCGTGTGAATGCCGGCCCCATCCACCCCGGAAAAATGGTGACCACGATGGTGGTGATGACCGTGCAACACAACCACGATTTATACTCCTTGCAATTAATACCAGCAGGTGTTCACACGGAGGGCCTCCCACACTCCATTGGGACAGTCACTCCACAACGACGGGGTCGGCCTCACATGCGTGTCCCACTTAACACAAAGGCAGCTCACCGCCGACTCCCCAGAAGGCACTTGCTGCTTGTTGAAGATGAGTAGCTCCTTCAGGTCATTAGTTGAACACACTTTCTTTAGCTCGTCCTTGATGTTCCAGATCAGGTCGTTCTGAGCCTATGGACAAGACCCAGTGGCTGAGAGGCTAGCTCTTTTCAAAGGAAGAATCCAACTGGAGGAGGAGCCCTGGTCATGCTGAGCCTCCAGTTATACCCTTGTGCACCAGCGAGCTGCCCCTGCAAATCTGGGTGATTAGCACAGGATTTGACTCCCAGTCATGCTCCTGTGGACACCAAATTAAACCTGCTGTGTGGTCTCTCAGAGAATACTGTGGAAGGTGATGAGGAAGCCCTAAGGGTGTGGGGGAGACTGCACCAAGGCTCCTGGAACCAACCCTCAGAAATCAATCCCCAGAAACACCAGGTAAGAGCCTGGAGGTGCTAGGCTGAGCCCACGGCCCACGTTTATCAGCAACTAGAGGAGGCAGGGTATGGCCATTCTCCACCAATCTTAGAGTAGGAATGATTCGCAAACACCAATTTCCTTGATGGTATATTATATTCAGTATCATGCAGGAATGTATTTAAGCTCTTCTGAAAATGGAAGTTTTAATCTTTATTAAGTGCCTACTCTTGGTTGGATGCTTTTACGTGTCTTCTAACTTATTTTTTCTTTGAGATGGAGTCTCACTCTGTTGCCCAGACTGGAGTGCAATGATGCGGTCTCAGCTCACTGCAACCTCCACCTTCTGGGTTCAAGCAATTCTCCTGCCTCAGTCTCCTGAGTAGCTGGGATTACAGGTGTGCACCACCACGCCCAGCTAATTTTTGTATTTTTAATAGAAACGGTGTTTCACCATGTTGGCCAGGCTAGTCTCAAACTCCTGGCCTCAAGTGATCCGCCTGCCTCGGCCTTCCAAAGTGCTGGGATTACAGGTGCTCAAGCCACTGCACCCGGCCTCATCTCATTTATTCTCATAACAATCAAGCTTGCTGAGGAAGCTATCAGCCTCTCCATTTTAAAGGCTGAGGTAAGTCTCCTCCTTCCCCAGGAAAATGGGCAAGTTATTCGCCATCTCTGCTCAGATTCCACCTCTGCAAAATGGAGACAAAAATGCCAGCCCTATCATATCCTATAGGGTTGCTATTAGTATCAAAAGAGGATTTTAACTCCACTGGCAAAGGTACAGGCACACACGTCTGCACCTGTTTCCCAGCTTCATTTTTAAGGGGTCTCTCGACATCTCCTCTCCATCACACACAGCATACACTGGGACACCAGGAATGGAGACATGAGAGGATGAGGAAAAGGTCTAGTGATACAGGGTTAAATGGAAGAAGTACAACAATGTCACCTGGGTGACCAAGGGGGGAGAGCCAACAGACACAGATGTGCCACAGTGGGAACGCTGAGGGGCATTTTAATTTTCTGACTCTCTATACATCTCTGATACCACTAGGGAAGAGAGAAGGACACTAATCTCACCAAATGGCCAATGTGAAGTGGCACCACAGTTCTCCTGCAGCCAGTTTTGGTGCATGACAGACACTTTTTTACCATAAGACAATTGAACAAAATGTGTGATTCTTATTTAGCAACTAGAACCATATCAGAAACTGCTTTTAATTTTAGTACCACTAGTAAAAACTGAATACTCATAGAAGAGACACAAGCAGATGGTTCATAGAAATCATGTTCTCAAGAGAGACCAACTGTTCTCCCTCAATTTCCCAGACATCCAGCATTTTCTGATTAATAATTTTTGCTTTGCTTCAACATGTACATAATCAACACAGGGATGAATCTTTCTGGTCAAGGACCACTGATTTAATGGATAGTTTTCTTCTGTCATTATCAGTCTATTCCTTTTTTAAAAATGAAGATCTTCATTTAAAAAATGTGGAGACACTTGATCTCTTCAAGCCATTTGTCTATGCTAAGAATCTTTGGCATCCTCTAAGTATTCAGTTTCCAAAGTTTGCAAGTGACCACAAAGGTGCAGGGTGTACAGTTGTGCATAATTTGGCCAAAGCATGAATCTCTGTCATCCCAGTATGAGGCTGGTGAGCGGAAACAGAGCACTCAGCCCTTGCTCAAGCCTGGCTGCAGGTCAGACACCTACAGCCTAATGTGGATTCTCTTCCAAATAAAAATGGTTTCTTTTGGAGGAGGAAAAAGAATCTGGGGAAAAGCCATGCTATTTAATAACTGCCATCAATTTGCTAAAGGTCTTAATAAGTGGGACACAACTCCTTGAATTGTCTTCCCAGAATGAGAAAGAGAATCCAGACAGCAGAATGTCGAAAGGAGACACAGAGCTGAGAACTCACCTTTAGGGCTTTTTCAAGCTTACTATCCTTGTCTTTTTCTTTTTTAGATTTCTTCTTCGCCACTTCATCCACTCCATCCACCTCATCGCCTTTTCTCTTTCTGAAGGAGACACAGGATATGAGAGACAGCCAGAGCCATTAAAAGTCTGACACCCAATGACTTGCGGTGATGCAGTATCTTAATGTCATTCTATCAACTCCCTGTAGGGCCTACTCACACTTGTCACTCCCTAACCCCTGCCCCACTCAGTGCCCTTAGGCGATCACTGTCTACTCAGGGAGTACTTGCAGCCAAGATGGCAGAAGACACCATCCAATTCAGAACATACTCTCCCAGCCAGGGAGAGGGGCTAGGGTTGTTCCAGGGACTCAGAACAACCCATTACAAGAATCCAGGGCTCAGACCCCGTCTGAGGTTAAAAAAAAAAAAGAAACCCATGTATCTCCTGGCCTGGAAGGTTCTAGCCGGGACTAGGCTAGAGGTAAGCCCATGGCTAGGGGGTAGGGATTGCAGAAAGACAAAGCA
Organism: Homo sapiens; assembly: GCF_000001405.40. NCBI lineage: Eukaryota > Metazoa > Chordata > Mammalia > Primates > Hominidae > Homo > Homo sapiens. The sequence goes on from NC_000001.11 coordinate 226,389,182, forward strand.
CAAGTCCAGGGAGCTAGGCCTTTTGAGCTAAAACACAGAGCAAGGGAAAGAGGCTGCTCACAGAGGTGGGGCTGTACTGCCATATAAAGCCCTGACAAGAAGTGACAGTCAAAGCAGTGCTAACCAGCCTGCCCCAGCTGGCTCAGCAAACACAGCTCTGAGGCTATCACCTGCCCCCAAAATACAGGCGCAGGACAGCCGCAGTGGTCTGTCAGTCTCAGCTATCACATAGACCTGAGCACAAACCCTTGCACTTTCCTCATCCATAAAATAGGGAAAAGAATACCATCTGCCTCACAGAACTCTGGTGATGGGCAAATGAAACAGTCCAAATACAGGGCTTCATATAGTGTCTGGCATACGAAATGTGCTCAACACATTCTGGCAGTTATCATGGCATAAGTGGGAGCTGATGAACTCCAACACCTATATCACATGCTGCAATGCCCTGTGGCCTTTTTGACCCATGGCCTGATTTTTCAGTTTTCTTCCACATTCTAGAGCCCCATGTGCTGCTGCAATGAACAGGCGTTATGAACTGAGATAATGTGTGATGGCTGCTTGATGGTTGCCCAGTCACCGTTCAAGGAGCAGGGTGCATACCAGGCTCTGCCACACCACCCCTGGTGTGCTTGTTAACAAGCAGTTCTCCAGACTGAGGCTGAGGGACCAGCAGAGGGTAAACTGGAGAGACCAAGAGGTGTCCATGGATTCAAGACAGTCACTGATGGTCCTTCCCATTCTAAATTTTAACACCATGCAAAACCCTTATCATTCTCAACTCTAAGCCAGGAAAATTATCCACTGCCCATCCCCTAACTAAAAATGGTCACCATTCTCCCAGCATTGTTCCGAATAGTGATCAACCCAGGCACAACAAATACCCAGGGAAGGAAGGTGGTCTTTTAAGTATCTAAAGGGTTGTGGTGGGAAAGTGTAGTTAGCCTGTCCATGGAGCTCAGATGTTGGAAGGGGAATAGACCACCAGGAAGCAGGTCTCACAGGGGAGAGGGCTCTCAGCAGAGGCCATGGGAACCCCTGGCTGTCTTTCCCTACCCTGTCCTTTGCCCCCACATCTCTGCTGTCACCATTCCTCAGTTTGCATCTCCCTGGCTTACTGACAGTCAGCGAAGGGAAACAGAGGAGTGGTATGGAACCTGTAGGGCCTTTGGGCCTCCCTTGAACCCCTCACTGAACCCCCAGGGCAACCCCGCAGTGCTCCACCCACCCTTCACTCTTGACTCCTGGGAGCTGCTTCTTCAGGGCTTCTTTATCCTCTGTAGCAAGGAGGCTGAAGCCCTTGAGCTGACTCGCACTGTACTCGGGCCGGAAACCCAGCTCCTCCCTGTTCTTGACAAAGCAGCCTGGATGGTACCAGCGGTCAATCATGCCTAGCTGTGGCTTCTCCGGGTCCACCATCTTCTTGGACAGGCGCACCTGGCCCTGCAGGAAAAACCATATGTGGTACCAAGGGAGCGACAAGCAAGGATAGTGAACATGATACGGGCAGCCTGTGCTCCAGCCAGTGAGGAGCTGAGGGTCCAAGCCAAGGCCTGCCCGCCAACTTGAAGACTCATGAGCTTTTGAGAGGTTTAGCTCTCTCAGGTCATCAAGGATTGTGTGTTACCCACCCTCAAGACTCAGGGTTCCTTAAATTCCAAATGGCTGGCAACCTACCTACCTGCCTGGACATGTGAAGAATTGCTAACATTCCCCTTAAGATGTTTCTGCTGACCTGGGGCAGGCATAAAAACACATGGTATGGTGTGCTGGGCAGAGCTAGAGCCTTGCACACCTGCGTGGGCTTCCAATGCAGCACTTTTTTTTTTTTTTTTTTTGAGACAGGGTCTTGCTTTGTTGCCTAGGCTGGAGTGCAGTGACTTGATCTGAGCTCACTGCAACTTCTGCCTCCCAGGCTTAAGTGACCCTCCTACCTCGGCCTTGCCTGGCTAATTTTTTTGCAGAGATGAGGTCTCACTATGTTGCCCGGGCTGGTCCAGAACTCCTGGACTCAAGCAATACTCCTGCCTCAGCCTACCACCCCACCGTGCCCAGCCCCCAATGCAGCACTTTTGTACTAGCAGGGACTTTCTGTCCACTCCCACCCTCCTATGGCCTCCTTAGTCTCTTTACAGATGACACCCCCTAAGGAGTAATAAACCCACAGGCAAGAATCCAGTCCTGCCAGCCTGCCCAGGTCCCCAGTCCCCAGGCCTGATATTCCCAGGAGAGTTCCAGGCCTGGGAGGCTCAATCCAGAGAATGCAGCAGGAGGGGTTCCTGGCATTACATAAAACCAGTAACCCAGCAGCACATACCATCCGGCATTCCCCTTGAGGTAAAGAGGATCTTAATGTTTGCCTTAAATTTTTGGTGGTTGAAGGTAGCTGGAGAAGATACAGCAATTCCATGTTTTTCTTTTCTAAATACCCATTGGCTCACCTCAGTTTTCTGTACAATACCTCCGGGAGGCAGAGACTTTCAATTAATGCCTTAAATGAATCAATTAATATGTGCATGTCACATTAGAGAAGGGTGAGAAGGCTGCGGGGCACAAGCCTTCCCTTCTACCTGTGTGTCCATCCATTTTCTCTGACTGGCTGTCAGCCTTCAAGGGCTAGAACTGGTGGGAAAGCCTGGTTAATGAAGTTCCTTTGATTAAACAGAAGGCTGGAGGCTCATAACAGGGTAAACACACTCCTTATACCTAATTCTACCATAAAACACAGACAAACAGTCTCTCCCCAGCCACTGCTGGGTCCAAAAGAGACTCCTTTTGTTAACATTTTCCAAGAGCAGATGCATACATACATGAGAACTGGACCGTGATAAGGAGGACCAGACCTGTCTGGAAGTCACTGACGTATCTGGTCAATACTAATGTCTTCACTTTATTTTTAATCACTTACGTTGAGCTAGCACCCTAAAGCCCCCATTTCTTCTTTTCTCTTGAGATAGCCAATAACATCATTGCAAGCAATCCATAAAGTTCAGGGATCTGGGCCCCCAAGATCTTACCTTTTCTATCTTCTCCATACACCCCTTGCACGTACTTCTGTTGGACTTGGCATACTCTGCTGCAAAGTCACCCAGAGTCTTCTCTGCCTTGCTACCAATTCCATCCTGGCCTTTGCCTGGAGAATCAAACAGACAGCAATGCTCATCTCAACAGCCCCAAAATGCAGCTCAGAGGAGCCCCGTCCTCTTCTACCTCCCCAGGATCCTTCCACTAGGACACCTTATGCCTTGGGAGACTACGATTGGTCCATCTCATCTGTCTGTTTGTAACAACCGTGGTCAGCTAATAGAGCTTCTTTTCTGGAGATAAATGACCCTTCTCAGACTGAGCTCCTTGAAAGAGCAGCATATCAGGGGGTGGTCAGCTGTCTGACATTCCATCTCCTCCCCTTTCTCTGGAGGCCCCTCCCACACTTTAGAAAGCACTTATTAGGTGCTTACCTTAAAAGCCTGGAAGCATACTGACGTCTCACTAAGGCTTCTAATTTCCATTATACTTCTATTTACCAAAGTGTTGAATTAAAGGAAATATTTTGATATAAGTCAGACACAAGTATATGTAAGAATTAAATATGTACTAAAGGTATCATTTCAAATTAGTGGGAAAAGGTTGAATTATTCAATAAAGAGTTCTGGGGATCACTGGCTAGCCATTTGGGACAAAAACTGGATTCTTCTCTTATTATAAAAATAAATTCCCAGGTTGAATGTTTCTTGCCTAAGATTAGGAATAAGACGAAGCTATCTTCCCATCACTTCTATTCCACATGGTATTGGAGGTTCTAGTAAGTGCATTAAGGAAAGAAAAAGAAACACAAGGTGTAAGTTTGGAAAATAGTAAGTAAAGCCATCTCTACTTGTAGATGATTCTATTTGATATTCCTAAGAGATATCTTAAGAAATCTATTTTAAAACCTACTAAATTAAGTGAATTTAGCAAATACGCAGGGCACACTGTCAATATACAAACATACAAAAATGTCTAATACTAGCAATAAACATACTGGAAAAGGCAAGGACACTGGTATTTAAACAGCGTTAAGATACATAAAACACTTAGATAAATTTAACAAAAGATGTGCAAGATCTCTACACTAAAAGCTGTAAGACTTTGCTGAAATCAAAGAAGACCTAAATAAATGAAGAGATGCATCATGTTCATGGACTGTTAAGATGTCAATTATCTGCAATTTGATCCATGGATCCAGTGAGATGCCAATCAAATTCCTAGCAGCTGTATTTGTAATAGCCCCAAACTGGCAACAACCCCAAAGTCACCTACAGAAAAATGGATAAACAAATGGATATATCCAAACAAAGCACTACTCCCCAGAAATAAAAAGAACTAATGACACACAAGATGACCTGGATGAATCTCACAGGCATTGCTCTGAGTGAAGAAAGCGTGTAAGAGGGTATACAATTCCTTTTCTTCCTGAAATTCTAAATCAGGCAAAATTAATCTATGGGGATAGAAATCAGAACAGTGGTTACCTGAGTCAGGGAAAAAAGACTAGAAAAACTACAAGGGAACTTCACAGGGTGACAGAAATGTCTATAACTCAACGGGGTCTATGCTAGATATGTATAAGCATTTGTCAAAACTCACTGAACTGTATACGTAAGATCTGTGCATGTAACTATGTAAATCATTTTTAATATTCCAGATATAATACCAAAGACACACCACAAATGAGAAGACAGACATGACTACACAAACGTTAGTGAAAGATGAAACTTTAATGAGGCAAAAAAATACAATAGACAAAACTAAAAGAAAATGTCAAACTTGGAAAAATATTTGTAAAAACATGTTATGACAAAGAATCAGTATCTTTTACATTTCCTTAAGAAAAACACAAGGCCAGGCATGGTAATCCCACCTCACACCTGTAATCCCAGCACTCTGCGAGGATGAGGCAGGAGGATCACTTGAGCCCAGGAGTTCAAGACCAGCCTGGGCAACATAGAGACCTCCTCCATTTAAGGAAGAAACAAACAAAACAACCAAACCCCAGCATGGTGGCGCACGCCTGTACTCCTAGCTACTTAGGAAGCTAAGGTAAGAAGATTGCTTAAGTCTAGGAGTTCAAGGCTACAGTGAGCTAGGATCGTGCAACTCCACTCTAGCCTTGGGTGACAGAGTGAGACCCTGACTCCAAAAAAAGGAAACACTTAGGAATGGTATGTTAGTAGAGAAATGGGTATATTATATACTGCTGGTATAGTATGTGCAATTGAAGCAACCTTTTCTGGAAGGCAATTTGGCACATACATAGAAAGCCTTAAAATTGTTCATCTCTTTGAACAGTAACTGCACATCTTAGAATTAAAGAAATAACTGTACAGGTGCGTGGGATGTACAAGAAGTTTGCAGCAGCTCTACGTGTAATATAACTAAAAGGTTAAAATTCTAGTCTCAAAGAAAGACAGGGCTGGGTGCGGTAGCTCACGCTTGTAGTCCCAGCTGCTCAGCAGACTGGAGGATTGCTTAAGCCCAGGAGGCCAAGGCTGGAGTGTAGGCTGTGATCGTTCCACTGCACTCCAGCCTGGGTGACAGAGCAAGATGTTGTCTTGAAAAAAAAGAAAAAAAGACAGACTGGATTTGAATCCTGGCTCAGGAATTTACTACCAGTATAACCTTGGGTCAGTTACCTAACTTCTCTGTGCCTGAACTTCCTCACCTGTAAAAACTGACAAATGACACGATTAAATTAATATGTCAAGTACTTGGAATACTGGATGAAATTTAGCAAAACCTCACTAAATGACTACTGTGCACTTGAATCTGTAACTTTTAACATGAGAAGAGTAAATATCAAGTTGTAAAAGTACTAACAGGTCAACATCACTAGTCGTTAGGGAAATGAAAATCAAAAACCACAGTGAGATACTACTTCACACACATTAGGATGGCTATTATTTAAAAAAAAAAAAAGTGTTCATACGAATGAGGACAAATTGGAACCCCCTTGTCTTGCTGGTGGAAATGGAAGAGCTGTTATAGAAAACAGGATGGAGGCTACTCAAAAAATTAAGCATGGAATTACCATGATTCAGTGATTTCACTTCTGGGTATACACAGCAGACAAGTGAAAGCAAGGTCTGTAACATATATCTGTATACCGATGTTCATTATAGCATTATTAATAATATTCATTATCATTATTATGAATATTATGAATACCATTCATAATAGCCAAAATGCAGAAACCTGGCCGTGTGCAGTGGCTCACGCCTGTAATCCCAGCCTGGCCCATGTGGTGAAACCTTGTCTCCACTAAAAATACAAAAAATTTAGGTGGATGTGGTGGTGCATGCCTATAATCCCAGCTACTCGGGAGGCTGAGGCAGGAGAATTACCTGAACCCAGGAGGTGGAGGTTGCAGTGAGCTGAGATTGCACCACTGCACTCCAGCCTGGGCAAGAGTGAGACTCTGTCTCAAAAAAAACAAAAAACAAAGTGCAGAAACCACCTAAATTTCCACAGACATACAAATGGGCAAATGAAATATGGCATATTCGTGCAATTAATGTTTATTATGTCTTTAAAAAGAAGGAAATTCAGACACATGCTGCAACACGGACGAACCCAGAAGAACTATGCTGAGTGAAGTAAGCCAGACACAAAAGGACAAATACTGTCTAACTCCACTTACATGAGGTGCTAGAGTTGTCAACTTCACAGAGACAGAAGCAACAGCGGTCATGAGGGGCAGGGAGAACAGGCAGTTATTGCTTAATGGATTGGGAGTTTCAGTTTGGGAAGATGAAAAAGTTCTGGAGCTGGATGATGGTAATGTTTGCCTAACAATGTGAATCTACTTCATGCCACTGAACTCTACACTTAAAAATGGTTAAGACAGGCCAGGCGCAGTGGCTCACGCCTATAATCCCAGCACTTTGGGAGGCCGAGGCAGGTAGATCACCTGAGGTCAGGAGTTCAAGACCAGCCTGGCCAACACAGTGAAACCCCATCTCTACTAAAAATACAAAAATTAGCCAGACGTGGTGGCGCACACCTGTAATCCCAGCTACTTGGGAGGCTGAGGCAGAAGAATCGCCTGAACCCGGGAGACAGAGGATGCAGTGAGCCATGATTGCGCCACTGTACTCCAACCTGGGCGACAGAGCAAGACCCTGTCTCAAAAAAATTTTTTTTTAAAAAAAGAAAAGGGTTAAGGTAAATTTTATGTTATGCCTATTTTGCCACCAAAAAAAAAAAAAAATCAAGTAAGAAAAGTGATACTTAGAGTAGGATCTCAATTCTGCAGGAAAGAAAGAAAATCAAGCACACTCACAAGCAAATTAGTATTTTCTATGGAGATATCCCACATGTTAATAAGTCATTTCTGAATTAGAGGATTTGGGATGAATTAAACTTTTCATATATCTAAAAATAGTAAGTTAGGCTCTCTGGATGAAAAATCCCTGGACAATTAGTAGGTAGTATCCTAACTGTATGGTTATGATGGTTTCACAAAAAGACACATTTTCAGTAAAATCATTATGCCTTTTCATATTATAAAATTACACTTAGGTCAGCCTGGCCAATATGGCAAAACTCTATCTCTACTAAAAATACCCAGCCAGGTGTGGTGGCACACACCTGTAATCCCAGCAACCCGGGAGGCAGAGGTTGCAGTGAGCTGAGATGGCACCACTGCACTCCAGCCTGGGTGACAGAGATTATCTATGTACTCAGGTATATTTAAATTATAACTAGATATAACATATCTATGCCCCTAAACCTACAACTTCCCCTATCCTGAATACAAAAGAGAAAACAGCCACAGAACAACAAAAATGTCAGCCAGGTGTATTTGCTCATGCCTATAAACCCTGTGCTTTGGGAGGCAGAGGTGAGATTGTTTGAAGCCAAGAGTTTGAGACCAGCCTGGGGTCTTGCCAAGCAAGATCCCTTGGGCAACACAGTGAGACTCTGTCTCTATCTTAAAAAAAAAAAAAAAAAAAAAGTTAAAAAATTAGTTGGGCAACTGTAGTCCTAGCTTCTCCAGAGGCTGACGTGGGAGGATTGCTTGAGCCCAGGAGTTAGAAACTGCAGTGAGCTAAGATCATGCCGGTACATTCCAGCCTAGGCAACAGAATGAGAGCTGTCCTCTGTTAAATCTGACATACTCACCCTCTGAACCCTTTCTTGGCAAATTTATTTACTTTTTAAAATTCCCAATTCTGAGCCGTTACTAACCTGTTTGCAGTAAGCAGCTAGTCAGACATACCAACAGCTGCAAGGACCAGCTGCTGCAAGGGCAGACAGTGATATGGTTTGGATCTGTGTCCCCACTAAATCTCCTATCAAATTATAATCCCGAATGTTGGAGGTGGGGCCTGGTGGGAGGTCACTGGATCACCGGGACAGATTTCTCCCTTGGTGCTGTGTCATGATACTTGTGAGTTCTCCTGAGATCTGGTTGTTGAAAAATGTGTAGCACCTCCCCTTTCACTCTCTTCCTCCTGCTCCGGCCATGTCAACTGCCGGCTTCTCCTCTGCCTTCTGCCATGACAGTAACAAGGTTGGAGGACTGACACTACCCAACCTAAAGACTTACTATGAAGCCACAGCAGTCAACACAGTGTGGTACTGGCAAAAGGATACGTAGATCAGTGGGACAGAACAGGGAGCCCAGAAACAGAGCCACACAAGCACAGTCCACTGATCTTTGACAAAAAAGTAAAGGCAAAAATGGAGAAAAGATAGTCTTTTCAACAAACGGAGCTGTAACAACTGGACATCCACATGCGAAAAAAAAAAAAGAAAAAAAATAAAGGAATCTAGACACAGACCTTACACCCTTCACAAAAAGTAACCAAAATGGATAACAGACCTAAATGTAAGACACAAAACTGTTAAACTTCTAGAAGAAAATCTATATGACCTTGGGTCTGGTGATGACTTTTTACAAACACCAAAAGCCCAATCCACTAAAGAAGTAACTGATTAACTAGACTTCACAAAATTAAGAACTTCTGCTCTGCGGAAGACCAGCCACACACTGAGAAAAAATATTTTCAAAAGACATATGACAAAGGGCTGTTATCCAAAATATACCAAGAACTCTTAGGACTCAACAGTAAGAAAACAAACAATGTGATTTTAAAAAGAGCAAAACCAGGAGTTTGAGACCAGTCTGGGCAACAAGGTGGGGCCCTGTCTCTACAAAAAATTTAAAAAAATTAGCCAGGCATGGTGGTGCGCACCTGTAGTCCCAGCTACTCAAGAGGCTGAGGTGGGAGACAGAGGTCAAGGCTGCAGCGAACTGTGATCACACCACTGCACTCTAGCCTGGGCGACGGAGCAAGACAGTCTTAAAAAAAAAAAAAAAAAGTGGGGGTAGGGGCAGGCAAAAGACATTTCACCAAAGATATACAGATGGTAAATAAACGTATGAGAAGATGTTCAAGATAATTACAGTATTAGGGAAATGCAAATTAAAACAATAATAAAATACTATATATCTATTGGAATGGCCAAAATCCAAAACAATGATAACACCAAATGCTGGCAAAGATGTATAATGATACGAACTCTCATCTATTGCTGGTGGGAATGGAAAATGATTCAGCTTTTTGAAAGACAGCTTGGCAGTTTCTTACAAAACTAAATATACTCTTACCACATGATCCAGCAATTGTACTCCTTGATTACCCAAAGGAGTTGAAAACTTATGTCCCCATAAAAACCTGCACATGGTGGGTGTTTCTAGCAGCTTTGTTCATAATCACCAAAACTTGGAAGCAATCAAGATGTCCTTCAGCAGGTCAATGAATAAACAAACTGTGGTAATCCAGACAATGGAATATTATTCAGTAATAAAAAGAAATGAGCTATCAATACGACAAGACATGGAGGAATCTTTTTTTTTTTTTTTTTTTGAGATGGAGTTTCGCTCTGTTGCCAGGCTGGAGTGCAGTGGCATGATCTCGGCTCACTGCAACCTCCGCCTCCCAGTACAACCAATTCTCCTGTCTCGGCCTCCCGAGTAGCTGGGACTACAGGTGCACACCACCACACCGGCTAATTTTTGTATTTTTAATAGAGACAGGGTTTCACCATATTGGCCAGGCTGGTCTCGAACTCCTGACCTCGTAATCTGCTGGGCTCGGCCTCCCAAAGTGCTGGGATTACAGATGTGAGCCACCGTGCCCGGCTCGACATGGAGGAATCTTAAGAGCACATTGCTAGTGAGAGAAGCCAATCTGAAAAGGCTACCTTCTGTATGATTCCAACTATATTATATTCTGGAAAAGGAAAAACTATGGAGAAAGCAAAAAGATCAGTGGTTACTGGAGGTTAGAGGGGAGGGAGGAATGACTAGGCAAAGCACAGAGATTTCCCAGGCAGTGAAAGGACTCTGGAGGCTACCATAAAGGTACATGCATGTCAATGTATGTTTGTTAAAACTGACAGAATGTACAATGCAAAGAGTGAGCCCTCATGTAAACTACAGACCTCGAGGGATAACGATGTGTCAATGTGGCTCATCAGTTATAACCATGGACCACTCCGATAACGATGTGTCAATGTAGCTCATCAGCTATAACCATGGACCACTCTGGTGGCGATGTTGATTGTGGACAAAAGTCTGTGTATGTGTGGGGTGGGTAGGGCTAGCGGGTATATGGAAACTCTGTACTTTACTCAATTTTGCTGTGAACCTAAAACTGCTATAAGAAAAAAAGTCTACATACAGAAGAATGTCATGAACCTGGGAGGCGGAGCTTACGGTGAGCCGAGATCACACCACTGCACCCCAGCTTGGGTGACAGAGCGAGAATCCGTCTCCAACAACAACGAAAAAAGTTTACATATAAAAAAAGGTTAAACAGACAATGGAACAGAAATTTTTAAAAGGACCCCAAAATACAGAGATTTTGTGCATGATACAAGACACCTCTCAATGGGGGAGATGAATAAGCCAATAAACAAAGTACAAAAAATTAGCTGGGCATGGTGGCAGGCACCACGCTACTCGGGAGGCTGAGGCAGGAGAATCGCCTGAACCCGGGAGGCGGAGGTGGCAGTGAGCCAAGACCATGCCACAGCACTCCAGCCTGGGCAACAGAGTGAGACTCCATCTCGAAAACAAAACAAAAACAAAAACAACAACAAAAAAACAAAGTAGGGAAACTAGATCATCATCTGGAAAAAAATAAAACTGGAGTCACGCCTCACACCACACATCAGCACACACCGGGATAACTCTCAAATAGAGTAAACATTTAGATGTTAAAAGAAATAAGGAACCATAAAATTACACGTACTGGATGTAGTTCATCTGTATCCCCAGGGTGGGCTACCTGACAGTGGCTGCTGGTGCCACAGCCTTGTTCCCTAGCACTGTCACTGCCTCAGGGTAAGGGCCACACCCTGGCATACCCACCCTGTAGTGACCACCACAGTAACAAACACAGCACTGTCACCAACAGGCCAACTCTTTCAAAACCAGGGACTGAGAGTCCTCCCGCCACTTCCAGATCTAGAGGCAGCTCTGGCTGCAGGGCGTGACTGTGCAGAGGCCAGGAACACAGTCTGGAAGTGCAGAGAACCACAGCACCTCCAGCGAGCTAAAACCAATGAGAAACAAGAGGCAGAAAGAACCAATGGATAATGCTGCTCCCTTCCTCCTGCTCCGAGGGGCTTTTCTGAAGCTTAGTGGCAAAGGACTTGCGTGAGGGCATCCTGCATGACCAAGCCATTGGCTGTTTCTCATGAAGCCATGGCCAGCTTGACAGCGTATGGCACTGTGCTTGCCCTCCTGCCTCCCCTTCCTCCCTCTCTCTTGCTGCCCTAGGATTACCTCTCCTAATAAAGCTTTTAATAGCTTTGCTTTCTGCTCTGCTATGTCACCTGACGTGACCTGTACTAAGACATGGGAGAAGACATAAAAGGAGAAAACTGTGGAGACAGTAAAAAGAGCAGTGGTTGTCAGGAATTAGGAGGGATAAACAGGGGATTTTTAGAGCAGTGAAACTGATGCAGGGCAGGCCAGCCCTAAATTGGGGATTGGCCTGGGCGGGTCCTTGGCTTCGCTCTGGAAAGCATTTAAGAGCGAGCTCGTGGTAGAAGAAAGCAGCTTTATTGAGGCAGCAGTGTTATGGCTCTGTGACTGCTCCTGCAGAGCAGGGCTACCCCACAGGCACTGTGCTGAGAGCAGCAGCTCAAAGGCAGTTCTGAAGTCATATTTACACCCACTTTTAATTATATGCAAATTAAGGGGCAGACTATGCAGACATGTTAAGAAACGGGGTGGTAACTTTTAGGTCATCAGATTGTTGTCACAGAAAGGGGTGGTAACTTCCGGGTATTGCCATGGCAATGGTAAACTGATATGGCACACTGGTGGGTGTTTTATGGAAAGCTGCTTCGTCCCTGTCCCTGCTTTAGTTAGTCCTCGGTTTGGTTTGGTGTCTGAGCCCCACCTCCTACCTCATTCCCCTCTCAGAGATGAGCTATTCTTCCTTAATCTTAAGGGGGCTGCAGAAGGGTGCAGGTCTGAAACTACTCTGTATGATACTATAATGGCAGATGCATGTCATCATACATTTGTCCAAACCCATAGAATGTAGAGCATCAGGAGTTTCTGGACTCTGGGCAATAATGATGTGTCAGTGTAGGTTCCTCAATTATAACAAATGTACTACTCTGGTGGGAGGTGTTGACAAGGAAGAGCCTGTGTGGTGGGAGGGGGAGGGGGTACTGGAAACTCTTTGTTCTTTGCTTACTTTTGCCATGAACAAAAATAAAGTATATTAAAAACAAAACAACTTTAAAGGCTACATTCCAAGCACCTGGAAAAACAAAATACCAAATATCATGCAACAGATGATGCTGAGTCCAGGAGGTGTTGCTGAAATAACATGGGCACCATACGCTTGATCTGCACATGTGGGAGAGGGCAAGCTGGGGGAGGTTTGCTTTGCTCTCTGAGACGAGGCCCTCCTGGGAGCTTCAGGGTGGGGGCTGAATGCCCATGCTGCCCCAGTATGTACACACCTGTCACTCCTCCAGCTTCCGCTGTCTTCTTGACTTTCTGCTGGTCATCCCACCGAAGCTCAGAGAACCCATCCACCTCAACGTCAGGGTGCCGGATGGAGTGGCCCACCTTCCAGAAGCAGGAGAAGTGGTACCAGTGTGGGACTTTTCCATCAAACATGGGCGACTAGAAGGAAGAGAAACAGAGGGAAGTAAGTAAGCAGTTAACTTTTGACTTAGACCCACTAGACCTTGACCTTGACCTCGACCCCAGTCCCAGCCCCAGCAGTGGGATAGCACATGAAACTTTTGTTCTCCTATCTGTGAAAGGAGGACAGCCTCCGCTCTCACATGAAGAGCTGCAGCATCCTTCTCACGATCTTCCCCAAGGGTCAGAAGACTGTAGCCCACTGTTCTTGAGCTCATTCTCTTAGGACACCAAACACAGCCACGAGAAAGGTGGCCTTTTACCACTGAGCTCTGCCCCACGTCCCTTTTGACCACACACTGCTACATTTAGTGGTGAGCTGCCTCATGGCCTAGTGAAATGCACAGAAGACACTTGTGCAGAGTCACAATCCTGCAGCATCTGCTGGGAATGGCCAGACAACTGCTCCAGGCTTGCCTGGACTCAAAGGGCCTGTGTGCCCCAGAAAAGGGCTCTTTAAGTGCCTCTGCAGTTAAGAATAACAAGGAACAAGTCCCAGATAATGAGCAAAGCAGAGAAAGTGTGTCAGAAAAAAGTGTCAAGCTTGCAGCAGCCACACAGATGGGAGTGGAATGAATGGAGGTCTTTGAGGCAACTGTGACAGCGGATGGTTCGGGGCAGCATGCCTAGAGCTGGAGTCAGCTGCTCACTGGCCTTCTGGGGCGCAGTTTCCCAGGCGTAGGACCTGAGAAGTCTGGCCACAGGGAACACAGTTCCCCTCTCCAGGTGGTTTGCTTCCCACTAGGCCTTTCATTGTGACAGGGTCAGGTTCTGCTCCCAGGCCTCGAGCACTGTCTGGCTTTGTTTTTGAGACCGAGTCTTGCACTGAGTGCAGTGGTGCGATCTCAGCTCACTGCAACCTCTGTCTCCTGGGTTCAAGCGATTCTCCTGCCTCGGCCTCCTGAGTAGCTGGGACTACAGGCACGTGCCACCCATGCCTGGCTAATTTTTGTATTGTTAGTAGCAATGGGGCTTCACCATGTTGGCCAGGCTGGTCTCGAACTTCTGACCTCGTGACCCGCCCGCCTCGGCTTCCCGAAGTGCTGGGATTACAGGCATGAACCACTGCACCCAGTCCTGGCTTTACAGAGTGGACGGTGACAGCGATTGGGAAGAAGGGGAAGACACAGTATGTAGTGTGTGTCCCTGCTCCTTTCATAAGCCATCCTGTGTAATCCCACAATCTGCCTCTGGGTGGGAACCAGCCCTTTCATTCACAGATGGAGACAGTGGGGCTGGAAATCCTTGCCTGGGGGGTTGGGAGTCACAGAGGCAGCAAATGAATGATTTGACACTATGATTCCTCCCACCACACTCCACTGCCCGGCAGGAAGAGCTACTTAAAAATACACCAACTGTGATCTGACTAAAGTAAGGGAAGTCCCAAACATCTGCTTTTATAGAACATAAAGCTAAATGTCACACAGATGCAATAAGACTATTAAAACAGCATTAAAAGTAAATGTGCTGAATTTTTAGGATGGAGTTGCGGGGACAGGGAAAATACTCTGGAAAAGCAATGATAAGGTACCCCACTATCTCTCTCCACTGTGAGTGGCCTCTTTCTGGATGTGATGTATTAAAATGCACAGCTAAGACTATGGCAGCACAAGGACTCCTCAACATCAGCTTTCCCCTGGGTCTGGAATGCTCTCCAGCCCTGTTCAGAGCACTCCCTCAGATCTCCCAATGCTCCTTCCACAGCTCCCCTCACTAAGAACTATGCATTTGGTGATTATTTCATAAGGGCCTATCTTGCTATTCTCTAGCAACATGTCACAGAGGGCACGCAGTGTTTGCTTAGGGCTCCAAGTCAGATGGAACAAAAAAGGAAGGATGGGGAAATTCCTGCTGTAGAAGAGACAACAAATGGCATTTCTGAGAGCATACTCATGTTCCAACTCTCAAACGTTCCACCAGATCTCAATTAGGCTGCTGATACAGATCCCTAAGCATCTGGCTATCATGGAATATTTGCAATGGCCTCGACCTGGCTCTGCCTGCTTGTCTACCCCTTGTCTACCCTTCCTGTGCAATGTTCCAGTTACCCTTGTATAAAGAGCACAGGTAATGGCTATGGCACTTCTTCCTGGCTCTGCCAGGGGCCCCAGACCTGCTGCCCTTTGGTCTGGGTGCTGTCTCCCCCAACCACCGGCACAGTGCTGGACACCCTGGAGGTGCTGCCCAATGGTGCAATCACAGCACAAGCTTAGAGGACAAGAGCCTCAGCAGAAGCACCCCTGACCAAAGCAATGCTTTGCCCTAAACTCAGGACTGAGAATGATGTGGCAGAAAGGCACCAAACCAAGGTCACAAGACTATCGACTCCATTTGTTAGCTGCACAGCTGAGGCAAGGCACAGAATCTTTGGCTGTGCACCCAAGCAAAAACTGAGCACCTAACATACCAGGGTCCTCACCCAACCAGCAGCTGGTGAACTGGGTTCCCTTCTGTGCAGAACAGGCCATGCTACCTGTCCACCTAGGCCACAGAGAGAATGAACTGACCTCACTGCATGCCTCCGGGTGCTCAAACCCTCCCAGGACAGAGCAACTCAAAGGTCTACCGCCATCCTCCTCCCACCAAAATGCTGGAGGGCCCAGCTCATCCCTCCCAAGATGCCCCAGGCATGAGGGCTAAAGTGTCAGGTATCAGATACTCAGAGAACAATACTCCCATGTAAATGTAAAAGAAGGTATTTAAATTCAAGCAAGTGAAAAGGCTTCTTTCTTTTTGGCCTTCACCAGCTCAGTCTACCAGACCAACTTTAAATTCTGAATTAAAACTCTGAATCCACCCTTAATCACCATTACATAAAAATCACAGTTACTTTTAATAATAAAGAGTTTCTTTCACTATCAAGTATACCAAAGGAAAGCCCAGAATGTTGTTATTACTATTTTTTTTTTCAGACAGGGTCTGGGTCTGGGTCTGGGTCTGTCGCCCAGGCTGGAGTGCAGTGGCACTATCTCAGCTCACTGCAACCTCCACCTCCCAGGCTCAAGCAATCTTCCAGCTTCAGCCTCCGGAGTAGCTGGGACTTAACAGGCACGCACCACCACGACCCGCTAATCATTGCATTTTTTTGTAGAGACAGGTTTCACCATGTTGGCCAGGCTGGTCTCAAACTGCTGAGCTTAAGTAATCTGCCCACCCCAGCCTCCCAAAGTGCTGAGATTACAAGCATGCGCCACCAAGCCCGGCCCCAGAATGCTAAACTTGATCAGGTTCAGTTTCCTCCATCCGGCCTCCCCCACAGCTAAGCCTCCTCTAACTTCCTCCACAGCGGTGTTGTTCTAGCCTCAACACAGTCTGGACTTGGGTTTTGTTTGTCTTTCCACCAGAACACGGTACTCTGCCCACCTGTTAAGGCGCCTGGATGTCCCTTTCTCAGAATAACATTTAAAAATGCGTAATAAAAAGGCTCGCAAATGGCCAGTCACGGTGGCTCATGCCTGTAACCCTAGCACTTTGTGGGGCCGAGGTGCATGGATCGCTTGAGCTCAGGAGTTTGAGACCAGCCTGGGCAACATAGTGAGACCCCATCTCAAAAAACAAAACAAACAAAAAGGCTCGAAAAGGAAACACTGAGATAATTATCAAAACATTTGAAAGGTAATTTGGGTACAGTAACCCGTGAGCTTTTAAGCATTAAATAACAAGATCTAGTACAGCCTCTAATAACTGTGATTTTTGTAGCAATGAGAGTAAATTATATTTTGAAAAACTTCCAACTGTAAAGTGATATGAAAATATCTGTAATTATCACTGGTGAAAAAAAAATAGGGACTGCTAATATGCCTTTGCTTTGCTGCTTACATTTATGATTAGAGGAAATAATTTTATCTAGAGGTTAGTGGAGATGGAGATATCAATTTTTTCTTATCTAAACTCATGGACCTCTTGCCTTCTACCTACCATCCCACAGACCCTGGGTTAAGAGCTCCTGCACCAGGAGTGAGAACTTCATAACAGGCTGCCTTGTATATTCAAAGTAAGTTCTAGGTTCCTTAGTGGGCAACAAGGCTCTTCAAATTGTAGGCCCTGTCTACTTCCCTATTCTCATCTTTCTGCTCCACTTCTGTGAATTAACGACTCCTAATCAAGCTTCCACCCTTAGCTGGGTCATCTCGGACTCCTAGGCACACAATGCCTAGAGCACAGCTCCATCAGGTGGCATCCATCCTCTCTTACGGTAACGTTTGTTTACCAGTCATTTCCCGTTTAACCAAACTGGAAATTCCCAAAGGTGGATTCTGTGTCCTTAAAACCTAACAGAGTGCTTAGAACTTAAAAAATGCCTACCAAATAAGCACTGTGTGCCACGTACTGACTTAGGTATGCCCCGAGGACACCAAGATGACAGGCATATTGTGAAATAAGATAACGGAAGTACACCTGGCACTTGGGTATCCACTCGGTAAATGTCGCCCTCCCTTGTACTAAGTACTGAAAATCCACTGAGGGATATCTGGTCATTCCTAAAACACATTACAGCTCATGGAAGGGAGGAAAATCAAGCTACCTTGACCATGAGCACTAAGCTTGGGTAATATGTTGGAAGCGAGGAGGAACAGGGCAGATGAGAACCAGAATTATTAATACAAAGGTAGACATCGGCAAACTGGAAGCTGGAGGCAGGAGCCCCTGGGAAATGACAGGGGCCTTCAAGCCCACCACCTCACAGAAGGCTCAGGAAACCTCAGAAGGGGATTCAATCTATCAAAAAGCCCACATGAGAAACCCCCCTGGAGCCACTCTTACTCAAACCAGACAGCTGCAAATGCACCAAGAGAACGCGTCTGTGAATCTGGAAAATTTGGGGAAAATGTTACTTTAAAGCACAAATTAGGCTCAAAGTGAATGTACTGTACAGAAATGACACCTTTCTGCATAGTTCTGCCTAATTAAAATAAAAAATGAGAGTGAGCGTTTAAATGACGTGTTGAAATGACTGCCAAAAATAGGTTTAACAAAAAAAAAAAAAACCCACATGTCAGTCGCCACCATCCATGTAGAACAAAAACCCTCCAGAACAAGATAGGTCAAAATCAGATTAGCTTAAAGAGACCATGTACAATTCCCCCCCAACCCCTGAGGCGAACGGCAGTAATAAAACACCGCCACCCAGAAAGGAGAAGAGAAGAGGCTCCTCGTTTTCACAAAGCGAAAGGCAACACCAGCTGCAGACTTTATTTCCCGGGCTTTTCCTGCAACATCAGCAAAACCTTCCGGAAGGGTCGGCCGGGCCGCTCGGGAGGAGGGGCGGCCGCGGCCCCATAGGCCCCAAGTGCCGCTCCGAGGGCCCGGGCCCGCTCGCTCCCTGGGCCCGCCCTCCCCCAGCCTTCCCGGACACAGTTAACCCGGGGCGCCGCGTCCCCGCCCCGCCGCCCGCACAGCGGCCCGCACCTGCACCATGATGGCCATCCGGAGCGAGTCCTTGGGGATGCTCTCGCTGCATTTCTTGCAAGAGGCGCGCCCGCTCTTGGCGTACTCGACTCGATAGAGCTTATCCGAAGACTCCGCCATCCTCCCCTAGCTGCCGCCAAAGCTCCGGAAGCCCGACGCCACGACCTAGAAACACGCTGCCGCCTCGCCGCCTCGCGTGCGCTCACCCAGCCGCAGGCGCCTGAGCGGCCAGAGCCGCCACCGAACACGCCGCACCGGCCACCGCCGTTCCCTGATAGATTGCTGATGCCTGGCCGCGGGAACGCCCACGGAACCCGCGTCCACGGGGCGGGGCCGGCGGCGCGCGCGCCCCCTGCCGGCCGGGGGGCGGAGTTTCCCGGGCGCCTGCCGGGTGGAGCTCTGCGGGCCGCTGCCCTGGGGGCCGAGGCGGGGCTTGGGCTGAGCTAGTAGCTCTTTGGAGGACCCGGCGCCACCCCTTTGATTGTTCTGTCCCAGGAAGTCTTACTTGATTTCACAACTAATTTTACCCCCAACCCCTCCCCCTTTTATTTTTGAGACTGAGTCTCACCGCGCTGGAGTGCAGTGCCGCCATCATGGCTCACTGCAGTCTGGAACTCCTGAGCCCAGCGATCCTCCCACCTCAGCCTCCCGAGTAGCTGGGACTACAGGCGCTCACCACAACTGGCTAATTAAAAAAAAATTTTTTTTAGGGACAGGGTCTCGCCAAGTTGGCTAGACTGGTCTCAAACTCCTGCTACAAGTGATCTTCACGCCTCAGCCTCCCGAAGTGCTGGGATCAGGGGCATGAGCTACCACGCCGGCCCCAAACTCTTAAGTGTGTCCTCTCTCCCCTGAGGGCAGCTGGGTCCGGGAAGCGCAGGCCCCCGCCTCGGGAATATAGTTGATTGGCCCGAGGTGGACCCTGCAGTGCTAGGTCCACCCTCCTGGCTTGGACGGGCGTTCTAACCTGCCGTCCACAGACCGTCGGGACAAAATACCAACTGAAACCTAGCATTTCCTTTATTATGAATTTGACTACAAATACCAGGAGTATTAGCAGTACCTGTGACTTTGTGGGCAATAGTCATCACAGACGTTTTCATGTTACTTTACAGTTGTTGGTGATAACTCGAAATATTATTAAGCTCATCACTACTCGAAATTGTGGTAATGACTGCACCTGTTGCTATCAGATATTTTGTGTGTGTGTGTGTGTGTGTGTGTAAAGAAAGAGATGGGGAATCTCTCCATGTTGCCCAGGCTGGTCTTGAACCCCTGGCCTCAAGCAATCCTCCCACCTCGACTTCCCAAATTGCTGGGATTACAGGCATGAGCCACTGCACCTGGCCTAGATCTTGTTGTTTAATATAGAACTATACTTCAAAATATAGTTTATTAAAATTGGTTTCTTTTCTAATCCTATGCATTTTTTTTTTTCATTTCAAAGATTGTAACATGAGTGTGCTTTATTTGAAAATATTCAATTCTGGTATAGAGGATAAGAAAAATAAGCAGATGAATAAAACTCATAAAAAGTGTTAACCATAGAGAAGAAGCTAGTGGCTTAAGAGACAAGGATGTTGAGTAAGCAAGAAGGTTGTGAGACATAGGCCGAATCCTAAAAGTTAGTAACCAGTTAGATACGTTGAAGGTAGGCTGGGCACAGTGGCTCATGCCTATAATCCTAGCACTTTGGGAGGCTGAGGTGGCCGGATCCCTTGAGCCCAGGAGTTCAAGACCAGCCTGGACAACATGGCAAAACCTTGTCTCTACAAAAATTAGCTGGGGGTGGTGGCAGGTGCCTGTAGTCCCATCTACTCGGGAGGCTGAAGTGGGAGGATCACCTGAGCCCTGAAGGTTGAGGCTGTGGTGAGCCATGATAGTGCCACTGGACTCTAGCCTGGGTGACAGTGTGACCCTGTCTCAAAAAAAAAAAAAAAAGATATTTTGAAGGTAAACAGAATAAGTGGAAAATATGATGGAACAAATAAAAGTTTTACTTAGAGAATGACCAAGTCAAAAGGCATGATCATGCCATCTCTGGGTTGACAACTATATCATCCCTAAATGGCCACTCATTGGTGATAAGATTATGGTCCCATCCTGGCACCCATATGCTCTGCCCCAAAAATGCAGCTAAAGTTCAGGTCTGTTCAGCAGGCTGATTGGTGAGCTGCAGCTGTGGCTGAGTGTGCTTGCACTTGTGTCTCTCTGATAGTGCAGTGTGAGTTGCTCCAGGTACCCTCTGTTGAGCCGCCTTGAGCATCCTCAACTCTGTCAGTGGGACAGGCTGATGCGGCAGAGAGAGGGAAAACATATCAATATTAGCCAGGTGCAGTGGCTCATGCCTGTAATCCCAGCGCTTTGGGAATCTGAGGCGGGTGGATCACCTAAGGTCAGGAGTTCAAAACCAGCCTGGTCAACATGGTGAAACCCCGTCTCTACTAAGAATACAAAAATTAGCTGGGCATTGTGGTGCGTGCCTGTAATCCCAGCTACTCGGGAGGCTGAGGCATGAGAATCGCTTGAACCCAGGAGGTGGAAGTTGCAGTGAGCCGAGATCACGCCATTGCACTCCAGCCTGGGCAACATAGTGAGACAGTCTCAAAAAAAGAAAAGAAGAGAAAAGGGGAGGGGAGGGGAGGATGGGAGGGGAGGGGAGGATGGGAGAGGAGGGGAGGAGGGGAGGGGAGGGGAGGGGGAAGGGGGGAGGGGTGGGAGGGGAGGGGAGGGGAGGATTCCCTAATTCTAGGTTCTGGTGGTGTGGTCCATCTGCCTCGCCTGTACCCTATCCTGTGTATGTTATGCACCCCATCGAGTTCTTGCTGTAAGTGGTTTTAAACTGATTCAATAAACCCTGCAATTCAAGCATCATAATTTGGTCTGTGAGGCTTTCTGTTTTGTAACTTGTGGGATAGTTTGCCTGATAATGTACCTAGAAGCTACTATTGCATTAAGGTAGGTTCCTCCACAATATTTATTCTGGAAAGGGCTTCATGGACCACCAAAGGGGTCCTAGGCACACACACAAAAGGTTAAGAATTCCTGCCCTAGAACCTAAGGAAAGCCAACTATCACCTACTGCCTTCTCAATATTTCAGTTTGGATGGCTTATATGCATCTCCATTTATGTCCAAAACTACCCTAGTGCTTCCCATCTCAGGAAATGGCCCACCATTCTTTGCATTACTTAGGCCAAATGCTTTGTAGTCAACTTGACTCTTCTCTTTTGTCCCATGTTCAATCCATCCCCGAATTCTAACTTCCTGACTTTGATCCTTTCTCATGGCCCAGCTGCCATCCTTTTTGGTGGCTCTGTATCCCTCACCAGAATGTAAGCTCCATGAGGGCAGGAGCTTGTGTCTGTTTTGTTGCAATAGCCTCAGTGCCTGGAACAGTGTCAGGCACTCACCAATATTTGTTGAATGAATGACTGAATCCCACAGTTGGCCCTCCCTTCGCACAGGCCAACAGTTTAATTAATAATGTTACTTCACATTTGTATATAACTAACTTATACTGTGCCTTAAATTTGAAATTCCCATGCTGATTTATAACCCCTATAGTATACCAGGCAAAGTTGGTGGCTATACAAAATACCACCAGGACAGGGTTGTCTGAAGAATTACTTGATAATTCTTGTTAATAATACAAAAACAGAAAAAGAACGCCATCATGCAGTTTACAAATAAATCTTAGGTGGCTTTACATTTCAATTTTTTTCTTTAAAAGGAATGAGCTGTGTCCAGGTAGGTTAAATGCTTTATAGACAAGAGAAAAAAAAAAAAGCTGCCATAGAACCACCTTATTTGTCATTATCATCGACTTCATTTTTTATTTTCCTTACCTTCTCTGTCTTTCTCCGCTTTGTTTTTTTTTCTTGCCTTTTTCGGCCTTGACAGCATCATTTTTGCCACATCAGCTTTCCTTTGGCTGGATATGCAGCATTCTGCTCTTGGTACTTTTCCTTCAGTTGAGAAGCCTTCTTTTTGGGCTGCTTGCCATCTGCAGCATGGTCACTCATGTCCCTCCCAGGTTCTTGGCATCACTGCCAGTGGACAGACCGGGATCTCCTTTGATTTGAGGGCAGTACTCAGAACACAAAGTGAAAGCCCAAAGGAGGCCTTTCGGGTGCATTAGAATCTCTGAATTTCTGTTTTACTTCTCTTTTAGGAGGGATATCAGTTTTCATTTCTTTTTCATAAAGGGCCTTGAATACTTTTGGCCATGCCTCCAATTTCCTTCTCTTTAGCAAGTAAGGTTTTCCACCTTTCTGAACATGTTAATGAACATTCTGAGAAGATGAATGAAGTGTCTGGTTGCTTCTCCTGTATCCTGGCAAGCGTGCGCAGAATGCCCGTGATGACATTTTGTCCCTGGGATCATTGGGCTCTCCTTCGCCCATGTTTAGTTATTTTTGCTCAGTGAGGCACAGAATCACTCAGTGTCCACTTGGCCCTCACTTACCTTGGCAGTGTCTCTAGGTAAGGAGTTCTAGATCAGCCTGGACAACATAGCACGACCCTGTCTCCACACACACAAAAAAGTAAATAAACTCACAACAAACATTTGGTGTAAGGTATGGGTCCAGCTACATTCTTCTGCATGTGGAGATCCACCATCTGTGGAAGAGACTGTCCTTTTCCCACTGAATGATCTTGGCACCCTTGTTGAAATCATTTAACCATATATGTTGAGGGTTTATTTTTGGGCTCTCTATTCTGTTCCATTGGTCTATATGTTTGTCTTTATTCCAACGCCACATCATAGTAAGTTTTGAAATCAGAAAGTGTGAGACCTCCAACTTTATCTTTATTTTACAAAGTTGATTTGTCTTGGTTTGGTTTTATATTTTGTCAAGATTGATCAGGAGTGGAAAGAAGAGATGGTGGCTCGTGCCTGTAATCCCAGCACTTTGGGAGGCCAAGGCAGGCGGATCACAAGGTCAGGAGTTTGAGACCAGCCTGACTAACACGGTGAAACCCTGTCTCTACTAAAAATACAAAACAATTAGCTGGGCATGGTGGTGCATGCCTATAATCCCAGCTACTCAGGAGGCTGAGGCAGGAGAATCCCTTGATCTTGGGAGGCAGAGGTTGCAGTGAGCCGAGATTGCACCACTGCACTCTAGCCTGGTCGACAGACCAAGACTGTCTCAAAAAGAAAAAAAAGAAAGAAGAGAGACACACAATTCTGACTGCTGGTGTATGTGTGTGTGGTGGTGGGGTGGGGGGGATGTCTAAAGCCCCACACCAGGGATTTCCTGTTAAGCAGGTGAGGCAGAAGTTGCACAGAGGAGCTGGGCTCCCATTTCACACCTAGAGACAAGGGAGATGGGAGTGCAGGCTAGCCTATGTCTGGGAAGAAGGCAGGGACAGATTTCCGTGGACAACTAGCAGTGTCTGCCACAGTTGTATCTTACATTATTCTTCTTCCTCAGGACTAAATGGCCCTGCAATCCAAAAAATCAGATCTTCAGATGTGGGGACACTTTTTTTTTTTCTATCATTGATTTGACTACTTGCTTTGCTTCATTTTTAGAAATACCCTCCCAATTTCATAATGTTCTGTTTATCTCTTTAACTTTTGGCGAGTTAATGAGAAGCTGTCTCAGCTTAATTTCTTGGGTCACTGACAAAAGCTTCTGCTGTGTCCATCTTTCATTAGATTAACAAATTTTAGCCATTACATGTTTTACTTTCCAGTATCTTGAGCTGATGTTTAATGAATGTAATATAGTCTAGAAGTTATTGCTCTCTTAATGATATGTCTTTAATTTTTAGGTTTTGTCAGTTCTGCTGAGTTTGGTGTAGTAAGACCCTTCCATAATGTCGTGTTCCAAAACACAAATGGTAAGATGTGGGGTTGTGTAATTGTGAGGTTAGTGAGAAGATTGCTCTGAGCCTCCAACTATAGCTGGTTCTCAGGATGTGGCTGTGGGTCCAAATTCATCCTGGTCATGGCTGTGGTTTGATACTCCCGGGTAGCAATTTTCCACCCCAGCTTACATATTGATGGGTTCAATTTGGGGTCTTGTGGCTTCCTGGGACTTATGGAGAGCAGCAGCGTTTTCAGGAGTCTCCCCTGTTTGTGGCCTGATCCAGGGAGAGTAGATCTGGAGAATCTTTGGGACAAGAAGGACCGTACCACTTCCTCCCACTTCTGAAGAGGGTCACGTGTTATTTCCCTACCTGGTTGTGCTCTCTTCCATGCTCTCCTCCCTTATCCCCTTATCGCATGACACGATTTATCTTGCTCCTATTTGAAAATGAGGTGTGGGGGAAGAAGGACGCCATCACCAGTCACCGTAACACTGAATCCGAGCTCACTGCGTTTATTGTAGGTGTCTTTCACAGTGTTGACGGTCTTCAACAATTCAGTGGTTCTTGCTTATCTGCTCATTTGTGTATTTGAGACGATCTTGATACCTATCTCCTGCTTTCTTTCCACAGCTACGTCTGGTGACTTTGTGTGTGGGGAGGTGAGGGTGGGTGTGTGCCCCTGCGATGGGGGTGCCAGTGGGTTGTCTCTGGCTGTGGGAGTTCCATCTTCCCCAGGGGTTGGTAGCAGCCTGGAGCCACAGAGCCTCCCTCATCCCCACACTGGCTGTGCCCACACCACCTTGACAGATGCCAGGACCCCCTCCTCCTTGCCTGGGTTTGCAGTTTCCTTACTCGCTCCTGGCTCGGCAGCAGGCCCCTCCTCGGCTGCTATCTGGGAGTCTCCCACATGCACCTAATCCTGTGTGCTGTCCATCCTGCAGGGCTTCCTGATATATAGGTCCACTGCAGATTGTGAGGCCTGTGATTCCATCCTTGGGCCTCACAGGGCCTAACATGAATTCCCAGGCACTAACTAGATATTTCCCCACCCAGCAGGAAAGGCTCCCCGCCAGCCGGTTCCCCAGTCAACTGGATCAGCTGTACCCTACCTACCTAGACCCCAACTTAATGGATTTCACCTTCCTGCCAGCTGGGCAAAAGATTCAAACAAGCCAATTGCATCCTCATGTGGGATCCAAGGGTCACCCCACCATCTTGTCACTACAAAGCCTGCCTCCCACAGTCCCTGCTGGCTCACTCTGCTCCCCACGGCAGCCCCTATGTGGCCCTGCAGGGTGGGCGGTGTCCTTCTCCCCCAGACTCTGAGCAATAAGCTGCTGCCAGCCTCTTCTGTCCAGTGTCAGGTACCATGTCCTTGACCATCACATGCTATTGAGGGCGGGAGATCCCTCCTCCACCAATGGGGTGAATAGGAAGTGATCCAAAAGCACTGATGGCACACTGCTGTATGCTTTTCCTGTTCTATTAGGGATACATTAGTTTACTTTAAGATACTTCTTCTCTGACTTCATGGGATTTGGGACATGAGGGGTGTTAAATGACATGTGCTCAGTCTATCTTCCCATAAATTACTTGGTTTTAAAAAAAAAATTAGATTGTTTCGGTTGTTTCCTTTTTTTTCTTCTTTTTCTGTTAAAAAACGTGAAAAATAGGCCGGGCACAGTGACTCACGCCTGTAATCCCAGCACTTTGGGAGGCCGAGGTGGGAAGATCACCTGAGATCAGGAGTTGGAGACCAGCCTGGCCAACATGGTAAAACCCCGTCTCTACTAAAAATACAAAAATTAGCCAGACGTAGTGGCCCACCCCTGTATTCCCAACTACTCTAGAGGCTGAGGCAGGAGAATTGCTTGAACCTGGGAGGTGGAGGTTGCAGTGAGCTGAGATCACACCACTGCACTCCAGCCTGGGTGACAGAGCGAGACTCTGTCTCACAAAAAAAAAAAAAAAAGTGAAAAATAATGCTGTCATTTTCACCCTTCTACATTTGTCTTTGTATACCTTTACTATGATTTCTTTGAGATGGATTCCTAGAAGCTGGGTTGCTGATGAGGTGTGTACATTTAAAATCTTTAGAGATTCTGGCAAATTGCCCTTTGGAAACGCTGTACCCGTTTATACATCCACCAGCAACACACCTGGGATTATAGGTGTGAGACTAACAATATCCACAGCTGTGAACATATGTGGAAATGCACAATCCTTTGAATTTTGAGAAGTAAATGGTTTTCTGCTTTTATTTTATTGTATTTCATTTTATTTAGACAGAGTCTCACTCTGTTGCCCAGGCTGAAGTGCAGCGGTGTGATCTCGGCTCACTGCAACGTCCACCTCCCACATACAAGCAATTCTCCTGCCTCAGCCTCCTGAGTAGCTGGAATTACAGGTGCGCGCCACTACGCCCGGCCTGTTTTATTTTTTTTGAGACAGGTTCTCACTTTGTCGCTCAGCCTGGAGTGCAGTGGTGCCATGGTGGCTCACTGCAGCCTTGACCTTGAGGACTCAAGCGATCCTCCCGCCTCAGCCCCCCAAATAGCTGGGACTAATTTTTGTATTTTTTGTAGAGATGAGACTTCGCCATGTTGCCCAGCTGGTCTGGAACTCCTTGACTCAAGTGATCCGCCCACCTTGGCCTCTAAAAGTGCTGCTGATATTACAGGCATGAGCCACTGTGTCTGGCCGATTTTCTAATTTTATTTGTAATGATGTTTTTGAAGAATAACATACATACAGTGACATGTGTGTACCTGGAGTGTACAGTTTGATGAATTTTTTACTGAGGGATTCACCTCTATGACCACAAGCCAGGTCAGAGTGTAGAACACTCCCAGCTCTTCCCCAGCCACAGTTCTGACTTCTATTGTTATAGTTTTGCTTTTGAGCTTTTTTATAAGTGGAATTATATACTATGTGATCTTTTGTACTTGACTGCTTTTACTCAACATTATGAATGTGAGGGTCACCCATATGGTTTCGTGTGGGTGCACTTTGTTCATTCTCATTGCTATGTACTATTTCATTGGGTGACCAGTCATCAGTTTACTTTCCATTCTTTTGCTGATGGAGGTTTGGGCTGTTTTTATTTTTTGGGGGCCATTTCAAGTTTTTTTGCTATCCACTTGAAGGTACATACCTTTTGGTTCACCTTCATATCAGTTTCGGTTAGATGTTTATTTGGGAGTGGGATTACCAAGTCATAGGGTTTGCATATGTTTAGCTTTGGTA
The DNA here is from genome assembly GCF_000001405.40 of Homo sapiens. Taxonomy (NCBI): domain Eukaryota; kingdom Metazoa; phylum Chordata; class Mammalia; order Primates; family Hominidae; genus Homo; species Homo sapiens. The sequence continues at coordinate 226,416,878 of NC_000001.11, forward strand.
GATTCTGCCAAAGAGTTTTCCAAGATGGTTGTATCAAGTCACACCTTCAAGAGCAATATATGAGAGTTCTAGTTGTTCCACAGTTGATACTTAATATTGTTGTATTATCAATTATTTATTTATTTAGAGACAAGGTCTCAGTCTGTCACCTAGGCTGAATGCAGTAGTGCAGTCATAGCTCACTGCAGCCTCAAATTCCTGGGTTCAAGTGATTCTCCTGCCCCAGGCTCCTGAGGAGCTGGGACTACAGGTGCACACTATCATACCCAGCTAGTTTTTTTTTTTTACTCTAGAGATGAGGTCTTACTCTGTTGCCTGGGTTGGTCTCAATCTTCTGGCCTCAGGCAATCCTCCCGTCTTGGCCTCCCAAAGCAGTGGGATTACAGGTGTGAGCCACCATGCCTGGGCTGTATTATCAGTTTTTAATGTGTGTTTTCTTTTTTGAAATGTTTTTTAGACAAACATCCTCAGGGTGTGGTTTTTGGATGGGGGGAATTTGCAGCGTCTCCTTCCCTCAATTATGTTTTTTTTGGGAAGGACAGTGTCTTACTCTGCCCCCCAGGCTAGAGTGCAGTGGCGTGATCTCAGCTCACTGCAACCTCAGCCTCCTGGGCTCAAGTGATCCTCCCACCTTAGCCTCCAGAGTAGTTGGGACTACAGGCTCGTGCCACCACGCTTGGCTAATTTTTTCGCCATGTTGGCCAGGTAGACCTTCTGGACTCAAGCAATCCCCCCTCCTTGGCCTCCCGAAGTTCTGGAATTACAGGCATAAGCCACCATAATATTTTTATTTATGTAGATTTTGGTTGGCAATAAGGTTGAATATCTTTTTATGTTTCATTGGCTGTTGCAATTTCTTCTGCTGTGAATTTCCTGTATCACCTTGTGCCCATTAAAAATAATTCCCAATGTTGTTTGCTTTAAGCTTCACAGTCTTTTTAAAAAAGTGATATAAACATGTCTTACTTTATTTCCCTTGTTTGCTCTTAACTTCCAAATGCTCTTTAACATGCATTATGTTGCCTGGTTTATTAAAAGAGTGAGACTAGAGAAAAAAGATGTTCTCGCACGATGAAGGAAGAAAGAAATGCTTAAGGGAGCCTGTGGTGGGTGGATTGAAGCCAGAGGCCTGTGAGGTGTGAGAGGCAGAGGGGGCTTGGTTTCCATGGCTGCCTCTACCACATACTGCCTCCTCTTCTTTTCTTTTTTTCCTTTTTAAAAAAAACCACAATGTAAACAGCCTTGTCTATTTTTCTGATTATATAAATAATGCACAAAGTCTGTGAAAACAAGACAAAACCACACTCTTTTGAAGTATAAAGAAGAACATCTAACACCTGCAATCCGACCCCCTTAACACTTTGGTGACTACCCCAGAAGGCAGGCATCCTGCAGGCAGGAGCCCTGGGTCTCATTCTCATTCTTTACTGTAACCCTCAAGCCAGGAGCAGAGCTTGGCATAAACATGACCTCATGGATGACCCCAGGGCTCTCCCCTTGCTTTGATGACTGCTTCCCAAGCCTCTGCAAGGGAGAGATGTATGGTTTGCACTAAAGGAGCATCTTGGGCACAAAGCCCTCCTGGGGCTCAGGGTGGAGGAAAGGGTATAGCCATGAGATTCTTTTTTTTTTTTTTTTGAGACGGAGTTTTACTCTTGTCACCCAAGCTGGAGTGCAATGGCGTGATCTTGGCTCACTGCAACCTCTGCCTCCTGGTTCAAGCGATTCTCTTGCCTCAGCCTCCAGAGCAGCTGGGACTATAGGCGCCCGCCACCACGCCCAGCGAATTTTTGTATTTTTAGTGGAGAGATGAGGTTTCACCACGTTGGCCAGGCTGTCTCAAACTCCTGACCTCAGATGATCAGCCCGCCTTGGCCTCCCAAACTGCTGGGATTACAGGTGTGAGCCACCATGCCTGGCTCTTTTTAAGTGATTGACAATACTTGAACATAGATCTGTTCCAAAGGGACAGCTGGGACAGGCTTCTTAGAAAAAACAGCCTCTCCAGAGAAGAAATAAACAATACATTAATTAAAGGCAACCCTCTGTAACAGTCCTTACCATGACAATTACATTTCCTTATTCCATTAGAAATTCTTTGAGGACTGACACTTTCTGCTCGAGAGTCTTACTCATTTTATATCCCCACTGCCTGGTGAATGAATGTATAAATGAGAAAATGAATGAACAGCACAGCCCTCCTACTTGGCAATATAGGTTAAGTTTTAACATGTGAAGTCTTTTGTATTCTTAACACTTAGCCTAGTACCTGGCACAGGTACTAGGTTGGTACTTAGTAAACATTTGTTGAGTGAATGAATGAATGATTGAATATGTATATAAATATGTCAAACCAATTTTTTGGACTTGCCTTTAAAAAAGTCAGGGCAAGTCCATTAGGGCATGATGAAAGGCAGAGCCCACTGGGTGGCATTGAGTTAATTCAGTTCAGCTGATGCTGGTTGACTTTGCCACGTGCAGAGCGCTCTGCCTGGCACCACCGCCGCAATTCTGCCCACGTAGACCAGTTCTACTGAGTACATTTCTCACCGAGCAAATAAGCCCAGTTATTTTAAAACATGAGGCCAGCATACAGAAACTCGCAATTGCCTCCAAAAATTATGTTCCCTCCAAGCCCACGCAATTGTCCTGGATGCTGATTTTCTGTCAAGAATGGGGCTTTGTTGTGATGGAATGAGACACCCTGGAAATAAATGCCAGGAGACCACAGCTTGATCTGTAGGGCTGGGGCTGATGTGGGAGCCTCGGCGGCCACAGCCAGCTGACTTCTCAAATGACAGCAAAGTCATGAGAAATGTAGATTTTTTAATTTCCTTGATTATAGTTTGAGAACCTTTGTCCTTGTTTTCTTAATGACTGAGTGGATCTTATTTTACTCCTTTCTTCTTTTAAACACACCATAAAGGAGGAAAGGAAAGAAAATAAAGCTACAGATAGTTTACCAATCCAAGAGGGAAATAGCTTCAAGAAACCACATTTGCATTACGACCCAGCTGGGCATCTTTGCTTTTATGAAACAGAGCTGCTTTGGAAATTGTTACATAATTCTAACCAGAGTGCAGATTTCCTGACCATATTTACACAGAAACTTTTTTCAATTGTTATGATTTATTTTTCAATAACTCTTCTTTAAAAAAAATAGCATCAAAATTCCATGATTCTTCTTTCTCTACAATTTCAGGGGGCAGAAAATTCAGCTAGAACTAAACACAAATAATTTAATGTTTTAAGATTTGATTTTTTTGAATTACAGTAGAACCCTATTGTGGTAGGATTTGTTATCTGACATATTGAAAAATAATTGAGTTGAATTTAGTTCTCTAGTATACAATTACATGTGCCAAAATCCTCAGACTTTTTTTTTTTTTTTTTGAGACGGTATTGCTCTGTTGCCCATGCTGAAGTGCAGTGGTGTGGTCAATAGCTCACTGTAGCCTCTAACTCCTGGGCTCAAGTGATACTCCTACCTTGGCCTCCCAAGGCGCTGAGATTACAGGCATGAGCCACTGCTCCTGGCCCAAAACCCCCAGACTTTTAAAACAGTGACGGTTTGTGGAGACACACCTGGTCTGCTAGATTTACAGCTGAGGCCAGAGGTAATTGCTTTTCCAAAGGTCACCCAAGGCCTATGCCTTCCTCACACTGGCCCAGCAGAGACAATTAATTTATGAGTTGAGGGCTAGTGTTCTGGAAAGAGGCATTCCATAATCGTGAGACGGTAAATGGGTAGGGATCTAAGGAGGTAGCCACGAGCAAGCCTGTGATGATTCCAGCTCAGGAAGCAGGGTTGACCCAAGACAGGGTTGGTCACCTTGATAATACCACAGACAGGCACAAAGCACAAGGCCCCTATTCAGAATCAGCAATGGGACTGTGTCCAGTGGACATGACCCAAGAGGCCCTTCTCTCAAAGCTGACCAGCCAGCTATAGTTAAGAACCCAAGACAGTGCACTGGCATTTGCGCAGAGCTGCCTAATCTAAACTCACAGATTTTCCCCTGCCATGCACTGAATCCTTTTTTTTTTTTTTTTTTTTTTACAATAATCTGCTCACATATCTGGCTTTCCCATCTGTCTTGGTCTGTTTGGGCTGTAATAACACAATACCATAGAACAGGTGGCTTACAAACAACAGAAATTTATTCCTCACAATCTGGAGTCTGGGAAGTCCAAGATCAACGTGCTGGCACATTCAGTGTCTGGTGAGGGCCACTTCCTCATAGATGGCGCCTTCTCACTGTAACCTCACATGATGAAAGGGAAAAAAACTTGTATTTTTCTTGTAGAGATGGGGTTTTGCCATGTTGCCCAGGCTGGTCTGGAGCTCCCAGGCTGAAGCAATCTGCCCATCTCGGCCTCCCAAAGTCCTCAGGTCTCTTTTATATATGGGCATTAATCCTATTCACAAGGGCTATGTCCTCACGGCCAAATCACCTCCCAAAAGCCCCATCTCCAAACTGTCACTTGGGGGTTAGGATTTCAACTTATGAATTTGGGGGTAACATAAACATTCAGTCCATTGTACCCTCTAACCTGTGAATTCCTTTATGACAAAGGCAGTATCTTGCTCATCTTTCAAACCCTAATACCTAACACAGTGATTGGCACAAAAATAACTCAATAAATGCTTGCAAAATAAATGAGCAGTGGCAACTACCCCATGTAGAGCCTAGGGGAGCATAAAATCATAGCCAGCCATTGCTTAATAAATGTGAACTTGATCGTCCTTTCTGAACTGTAATTCCAGCTCTAGGTTTATCCTAGGAAGGCTTTTCCAGGGGCACCAGGAAGACAGGAAGATTGCCAAAATGTTTATAGTAGGATTGTTTATAAGAGCCCCAAATGGAAACAACCCAAATATCTACAAACAGTAGAACAGATAAGTGTATTGTAGTATAGTCATTCAATAGAATACCATATGTCAATGTAAATGAATGAATTACAGCCCACATGTCAATACATGTGAATCTCAAAACACAAGCCTAAGTGAAATGAGTAATTCAGAAAATAATTCATTTAGTGTGGATCCACTTATACAAAATTCAAAGTCAGGAAAAATGAAACAATACTCTGTTTAAAGTTGCATACATATATTGTAATACATTAAAGAAAAGCAAGGAAATGATTAACATACATTTTCAAATAGTGGTTATTTCTGGGGTGATGGAGGGAAATACAACTGGAGAAGAAAATTCAGGGAGCTCTAAACTTATTGGTACTATTCCATTTCTTAAACTTGATGATGAGTACATGACTATATTATTACTAATCTTTAAAAGGGTTATATATAATATTCACATTCATATATTTCATAATAAAAGGGTTTTTTGTTTGTTTGTTTTTTTGAGACAGGGCCTCACTCTGTTGCCCAGGCTAGAGAGCAGTGGCGGGATCTCAGCTCACTGCAGGCTCAACTTCCTGGGCTCAACTGATTCTTCCACCGCAGCCTCCTGAGTAGCTGGGACTACACGCACCCACCAACACACCGGGCTAATTTTTGTATTTTTTTTTTTTTTGTAGAGACGGGGTTACACCATGTTGCCCAGGCTGGTCTCAAACCCCTGGGCTGAAGCAATCCACCTATCTCGGCCTCCCAAAGTGCTGGTATTACAGGCATAAGCCACTGTGCTTGGCCCAATTTCACAATAAAAAGTTTCAAACAACAAACCAAGAGCAGACAAACCCAACGGAAGCTCTCCGCAGCACTTCTGCCCTGGGTCTGTCTTTGGAGGTGGGAAGCAACATGTTGCGAAGCGCAGGGCTCTCGGGCAGTCTGATTGTCCTTGCAGTGAGTGAGTCTGCTGGAGTATGAAGCAGGATCCATTGCACTGTGCCCATCTGCTTGAGGGGTCTGCCTATAGTGTAAGCAAGGGCCATGGAAGGGCAGGTGTCCTTGGTCCAGGGAACAGTGTCTCTCCATAGGATCACTTCTTTCTGGGCATCCTTAAAGGGGAAATAAATTAACAGCCCTACCCTGTAACCGCAAACTATGGTTTCCCAAGGGTCTGTGCCCAGTGGGTGCTGGTGCCCATTAACAGGCAGCTTCTTTGGGGCCACTCATCAACAGGACCTTGTTAAAAGTAAGGATTGAGCCTCTGGGAGATTACAGAGCTAGCCATTCAACAAGTCCAGCTTAGAGTTTTCTCAGAAATTAAGGGAAGAAGAAAGCTTTTGACTAGGTCCCTGACAGATAATCTAGGTCCTCATTCCAGAGTCACACAAGGCATGCTAGTTAAATTGCCCAGGTTGTGAAATCCCAGGAGGACCTGCCTCTTGCTAGCTCTGTGTCTATAAGCAAAGTTCTTCATCTCTCTAGGCCCATCTGCTCACCTGTAAAATGGAGATAATAGTAGTATGTACCTAGGAGGCCAATGTGAAGATTAAGAAAGATAATGCATGTTAAGACTCTAGTGAGGCCCACAGAGGAAGCTCCATAAATATTTGATATTAAATGAATGCCCTCTGGTCAAGACTTGCCAGCCTGAGAAGAGGCCATGCTCTGAGCACTCACATTCTCGAGATGTAATTGTGATGGTGACAAGATGGCCATTCCACAGGGAGGCCAGTTGACTGGTGCTCAAGGAATGACCAGGTGGCCTGACCTTGATGGGCTCACCATGTTCTAGGGTCTGACACTGAGCTTTCTTAGTCTCGTAACTCAATTTTGTCCACGTATCCAGAAGGAATCCATTGGGAACCCATTGGGAGACTGATATGAAAATCAGGACACCAATTTATTAATTTACCATGGGAAATAGCAGTGCTTGGGGGCCAAGTGTGGTGGCTCACAGATGTCATCCCAACACTTTGGGAGGCCGAGGCAGGGGGATTGCTTGAGGCCAGGCATTCGAGACCAGCATGGGAAACACAGAGAGACCCTGTCTCGACAAAAACAATTTTTTTTTTCTGAGGCAGGGTCTCGCTCTGTTGCCCAGGCTGGAGTGCAGTGGCATGATCTTGGCTGACTGCAGCCTCCTCCTGTCAGGCTCAACTGATCCTCCCACCTCAGCCTCCCAAGTAGTTGAGGCTACAGGCGTGCGCAGGATGCTACAAGCATGCCAGGATAATTTTTGAATTTTTTGTATAGATGGGGTTTCGCCATGTTGCCCAGGCTGGTCTTGAACTCCTGGGGTCAAGCAATCCCCTTGGCTTGCCCTCCCAAAGTGCTGAGATTACAGATGTGGGCTACCACACCCAACCATTCTACAAAAAATTTTAAAAAGTTAGGTAGTCATGGTGGCATGGGCCTGTAGTCCCAGAGGTTGAGGTGGGAGGATGGCTTGAGCTCAGGGCTGCAATGAATTGTGATTGTGCCACTGCACTCCAGCCTGGGTGACAGAGTGAGACTCCGTCTCTTTAAAAAAAGACAAAAGAGAGAGAGAGAGCGAAATAGCAGTGCTTGGTAGACTGAAATTTGAAATCTGCTAGGCAGGGCTGTTGTCCTTTTAGGAAAAGGGATGGGAAACCAGCTGAGAATCTGAAGCTACAGGGAGAGCAAGGAACCAGCATCTGGGGTGAGGACAAAAGGATCTTAACGGCCAAAGTTACCTCTATTTGGCACCACCCTACTCCTCCTTTCCCTCTGGCCTATTGGCAGAGTGGAGCTTCTGAAGCAGGCTGCAAGTTGCCTTTGACTCTGATCTTGTTATGGGGTCAAGAACAATCTTTGCTTTTAAAATCTGGCTACTTATTAAATCTTTGAAGTTCGAAAGATTGACTAGGGCTTGGGGAGTTCATTCCATAGCCTGGAAATAAATTGCCCTATTGTCCACTAGATGGTGTTCAAAATACACACACTCACCCAGCACAGGCAACTCTGGAAACACACAAATCAACCTAATGAGGTGTGATGTTGATGAAAGAAACCCGCAAGATCTACTCCAGCCTGGGTTGGTTGTCTTGTTTAATTTGCCGGCAGCACACTTGGAGAAGAGATTTGGAAACTGGCAGGAGAGGAGGAAGATGCGCCTTTTAGACAATCCCTCTGGTTGCATTGTGAGGAAAGCTGCAAGGCTGCAGGCAGAGAAAATTGGGAGCTGTTGGAGCCATCCTGGTGAGAGGTGATGGCGGCCTGGACCAGGACAGTGGCAGTGGGAGGAGAGAAGAGGATAGTCCTAGGAGGCAGAAAAGGCAGGGGTTTGAGGGCAGACTGGATATAGCACTCTTTGAATTTGCTAGTTTCAATTTTTTTTTTTTATTTTTTGTTGTTTGTTTTTTCCTCTGCACGTTGTAAGCTCTGAAAGAGCAGAGATGTGGGCTTATCAGTGTATTTCCGGTGCTGCACAGAGTAGATACTCAATAGACTTTTTGGATAACAATGAATAACAGAGCTAACATTTTTTGCATGATAATGTGAGCCCTTCTAAGCACTGTACATGTATTAATTTCATTTATTACCCCTCAAATACACACCTGGGCCCTGGCCCAGATCCAAATCTCTGGGACAGAAACCTAGGCCAGTGTATTTTGAAAATCCTCCACAGGAAATCCTTTTCTTTTTAAATTTTTAATTATTATTTTTAGACATGGGGGTCTCACTATGTTGCCCATTCTGCAGTACGGTGATTACTCACAGGTGCGGTTCCACTACTGATCAGAACGGGAGTTTTGAACTGCTCCGTTTTTGACCTGAGTCAGTTCACCCCTCCTTAAGCAACCTGGTGGCCCCTTGCTCCCAGTGTGTCCGGAATTGGTGGGTTCTCGGTCTCACTGACTTCAACAATGAAGCCGCGGACCCTCGCGGTGAGTGTTACATTACAGCTCTTAAGGTGGCGCGTCTGGAGTTTGTTCCTTCTGATGGCCGGATGTGTTAGGAGTTTCTTCTTTCTGGTGGGTTCGTGGTTTCGCTGGCTCAGAAGTAAAGCTGCAGACCTTGGCGGTGAGTGTTACAGCTCATAAAAAAAGCGTGGACCCAAAGAGTGAGCAGTAGCAAGATTTATTGCAAAGAGCGAAAGAACAAAGCTTCCACACTGCAGAAGAATATCCCAGGAGGGTTGCCGCTGCTGGCTCCGGCAGCCTACTTTTATTCTCTTATCTGGCCCCACCCACGTTCGCTGACTGGTAGAGCCCAGTGGTCTGTTTTGACAGGGCGCTGATTGGTGCGTTTACAATCCCTGAGCTAGACACAAAGGTTGTCGAAGGCCCCACCAGAGTAGCTAGATACAGAGTGTCCATTGGTGCACTCACAAACCCTGAGCTAGACACAGTGTGCTGATTGGTGTGTTTACAAACCTTGAGCTAGAGACAGAGTGCCGATTGGTGTATTTACAATCCCTGAGCTAGACATAAAGGTTCTCCACGTCCCCACCAGACTCAGGAGCCCAGCTGGCTTCACCCAGTGGATCACGCACCAGGGCTGCAGGTGGAGCTCCCTGCCAGTCCCGCGCCATTTGGCCGCGCTTCTCAGCCTTTGGGTGGTCGATGGGACTGGGCACCATGGAGCAGGGGTGGCGCTCGTCAGGGAGGCTCGGGCCGCACAGGAGCCCATGGAGGGGGTGGGAGGCTCAGGCATGGCGGGCTGCAGGTCCCGAGCCCTGCCCCTCGGGAAGGCAGCTAAGGCCCGGGAGAAATCGAGCACAGCGCCGGTGGGCTGGCACTGCTGGGGGACCCAGTACACCCTCCGCAGCCGCTGGCCCGGGTGCTAAGTCCCTCATTGCCCGGGGCTGGCAGGGCCAGCTGGCTGCTCCGAGTGCGGGGCCGCCAAGCCCACGCCCACCGGAACTCCAGCTGGCCCGCAAGCCCCGCGCGCAGCCCTGGTTCCCGCTCACTCCTCTCCCTCCACACCTCCCTGCAAGCTGAGGGAGCCGGCTCTGGCCTTGGCCAGCCCAGAAAGGGGCTCCCACAGTGCAGCGGTGGGCTGAAGGGCTCCTCAAGTGCCACCAAAGTGGGAGCCCAGGCAGAGGAGGCGCCGAGAGCGAGCGAGGGCTGTGAGGACTGCCAGCACGCTGTCACCTCTCACCAGGAGGTCACCATATTGATGCCAGACTTAGTGTGGACACCCCACTGGCATAGCGCACTACAGCCCAGAACTCCTGGGCTCAATCCACCCTCTGGGCTCAAGCAGTCCTCTTGCCACAGCCTCCCAAGTAGCTGGGACTACAGGTACACGCTTCTGTGCCTGGCTCCACAGGCAGCCCCGAAATCCTTCAGACTGCTGCCCGTGTTCTCTTGTCTCCTTTCTCCCTTTCTTCACGGAACACTGCAAGCCCCACACAAGTCTCCTCATTCCTATCCCTCCTGGGAATTGTGCCCATCATGGAGTCAGCCCTGGTCCCTCATGCACAGAAGCCCTGCCCACTAGGTGGCCTCCAGGGAGGCAGTCCTTGGCACCCTGGCTCCTGACTCTCCTTGCAGGGTGGGTACCTGGCCTCTGACCTTACCCCTACACTTAGTCCTCAGGCCCACTGTTGCACATCCTGGCCTTCCTTGTACCTTCTTGCAGTTCACTTTCTTCAGCATCCACAGCGGCCCCAACTTCAGTCCCTTTGGGCCTCATTTCAGCTACCATATGCTCTCCTACCAGTGCTTGGAGCACACAAAGTCCAGACAGCAGAGCGGTGCGGGGACCTGGGCCCACAGGGGCCCACATATAGAGCCATTGGCAAGGCCTTAGCTCTTGCTGTTCCCTCTCCAACAAAAGTGCAAACCGTAATTGCATTTAGTTCAGTTCAACAGTCATTCATCAAGTACCTACAGTGCACCAGGCATAGTAGTAGGCCCATCACCTATTACCAAAGTGAATAAGATACCTGGTTTGCACCCAAGCACCTCACCTCTGCAGGTGCGGCCACATAGGCATCTAACTGTTACAAGGCACCTGCTAGAGAAAAGGTGCAGCATGTACAGGGAGAAGGAAGATATTGATTAATCTGGGGAGCTCCATGGTCCTTTAAAACTCAGCTCAGGCTGGACGCAGTGGCTCACGCCTGTAATCCCAGCACATTGGGAGGCTGAGGCGGGTGGATCACCTGAGGTCAGGTGTTTGAGACCAGCCTGGCTAACATAGTGAAACCCCGTCTCTACTAAAAATACAAAAATTAGCCAGGCGTGATGGAACACACCTGTAATCCCAGTTACTCGGGAGGCTGAGCAGGAGAATTGCTCGAGCCCGGGAGACGGAGGTTGCAGTGAGCCGGGATCGTGCCACTGCTCTCTAGCCTGGCCGACAGAGCGAGACTCTGTCTTAAAAAAAAAAAAAAGAAAACTCAGCTCAAATGTCATCTCCTCCCAGAAAACCTTAAAGCCCCATAGGCAGAGCCCAGGGTTGATGAAGAACCCCAACATTGGGCTCCCAGGCCCTGATAGCATTTACTGCACTGTAAGGAGTGCATGGTTCCCGGGGGTCACCTGTCTGTGAGCAGCTTCAGGTAGGCCCCAGATGTCTCCATCTTTCCCTTCCCAGAAACCAGGGCATGGTGCATAGTTGGTACTCTGTCTTTGCTTGTGGAGTGAAAAGGAGGTGCCATTTAAGAGGAGTCTTTGTGAACAGGGAGGATTTAGAAGGTGAAGACAGTGGTAGCGGTGCAGGGAGCAGGGTGAGATTAAGAAGGACAGAGGCAAAGGCATGAGGCCCGGGCTGTTTTGGTGTCCCCTCCCTGCCTTACTCTCTGGGGCATCTGAGCAGGAGGGACCCCCACTCTGCCTCCAGAATGCTGAGTTTTCAGGGACACCCTTCTCACTTAGAGCCAGGTACACATGCCCACGGTTTACACCACTGTGCCCTGGCTCTCTGCTGCTGGACGTTTGCATGGCCTCGAAGGGCAGGTGTGTGGTCAACCTAACATTGCTTTGCCTAAGTGTGTTCCCATCCTTTCTCTCCCTCCCCAGCAGCTGTAGCTGAGCCTGTTGGTCTCATCCCTGTGTGAACTTTAGAATCACCAGGGGAGCTTTTTGAAAATACAGATGCTTTATTTAATTGGTCTGGGGTGGGGCTCAGGCATCATTAATTTTTAAAGCTCCCCAGGTGACTCCAATGTGCAGCCAGTGTGGAGAAGCACTAGGCTAGCGCCCGCCTGGGGCAGAACTCTTCCTACCCGCACCTCTCCTCCAGCACTCTTTGATCTCTCCAAGCCTCCTTTCCAGTAGTTTCATCTCAAGCAGTGTCTCCCTGGGCTCCTTCGTGTCCGCACATCCCAGAGCCCTCTCAGCACTGAATTATACACATCCTAGCAGACAACTGCTGTGTGAATTACTGAGGGCAGAGCTGTAAAGACATCTCCTGGCAAATAAATTAAAGCGTTCAATCATTCAGCCAAGAGCCAAGGCAGAGAGACGCTGAGCCCCTAGAGAGAAGGGAGCTGGGGAGAGAGCGTGGGGGAAGGGGAGAGGGAGTGAGAGGCTGTCTCACTGAGAGAAGCCACAGGGGTCGGGGGAGGGAGGAGTGCAGGAAGTGTGCTGGGGGCACATGTCACAGCGAGCCAAAAGGGTCCTCCCTCCCTTGAGTCACCTCTTTGGTAGGCTGGGATGAATGACACATGTCTGGGACAGGGAGGGAGGCCCAGGCAGGCAGCCGCCGGTGTGCCCACTGCTTGGGGGATGGACTAACTGGGCACAGTCACTTCTCCAGGTGGGCAATGTGCTGTTAGCCTATTAACAGTGGGGTGTCTGGACTGAGTATGGTGGCTCTCAGCACTTTGGGAGGCTGAGGCAGGGGGATTGCTTGAGACCTGGAGTTCGAGACCAGCCCGGGCAACATATGAGACCCCGTCTCCACAAATAATACAAAAATTGGCCAGGTGTGGTGGTGCTCACCAGTAGTCCCAGCTACATGGGAGGCTGAGGCAGGAGGATCACTTGAGTCCAGGAGTTCTAGACCAGCCTGGGCCATAGAGAGAGACCCCATCTCAAAAAAAAGTGGATGTCTGGAATGCTGCCCTCCTTGCCAGGCAGCCTGTCTATTCTCTGCAGCCATTCGGGGTCTGAGCCAGAAGTTTCTTTCCTGAGGAACAAGGATCCTGCCTCTCCAGGCCTAGGACACAGGCCAATAGGACTTCTAGGGGCAGGGGCTCCTGGGAGCTCACAACCCACTCTCGTTTAATGCACTGCTAAGTGACACCCCCAACAGCAGCACTGGCTTTGAGCAGAGGACTGGGACATGATCAGATGGGATTGGCTCCTCAGCCTGACACCCATGCACCAGGCACTGGGGGCTCAGTGCTGATGTCTTGACCTTGAGGAATCACGGCCTCATGATAGAGGCCTGGGGATCCCCGCGGGGCACAGGGAGATCAGAAGTGGTGGTGGCACATTTGCACTCACTGCAACACATCATTACAGCATGCCTGTCTTTCTCTGTCAGCAAGTATCTGGGGCCTTTGTCCAGGAACTCTCATCAGGGAGTCAGCTACTGGCCATAGATCTGTTCCACAAGGCTGTCCTGTCTGCAGACTCTGCCGGGCAGTGTGGTGAGAGAGCTGGCGAGGCATGGTGACCTTGGGATGGGTGCCCCGGAGCAGTGCTGGCTCTGTTCCTTGACCATAGATGGTGCCTTGGCTGGCAGTTCATCATCTATGCCCTTGGTGGTCGTGGTGGGGTGCTGAGCCAAGCCTTTTCCACTCACCAGACAATCAGATGCCCAAACACACCGTTGCAGGCCAGGAGCTTCATTGTAACACCCTAAGGGCAGCTTGGTTCTGGTTCTGGAAGGCCCTCAGCAGGCAGTGGTAACCCCAGCACGAACAGGAATTGCATCCTAGTGGGGGAGAGTTCTGTGAAGTCACTGATAGACCAGCTGCTCGGTTAGGTGGCCGGTGGGTGGCACTCTTAAAGTTTCATGGTTACAAAAATTAGACGATCATGGTGGTGGACGCCTGTAATCCCAGCTACTTGGGAGGCTGGGGCAGGGGGAATTGCTTGAACCCGGGAGGCGGAGGTTGCAGTGAGCTGAGATTGCGCCACTGCACTCCAGCCTGGGCAACAGAGTGACACTCCGTCTCAAAAAAGAAAACAAATGTTTCATGGAGTATTTGCGAGCTAAACAATGGGTACATGTGGACACAGAGAATGGAATAATAAACACTGGAGACTCCAAAAGATGGGAGTATAAGCAGTGGGTAAGGGCTGAAAAATTACCTATTGGGTACAATGTTCACCATAGTGACGGGTTCACTAAAAGCCTAGACTTTACCACTATGCCATATATGCAAGTAAGAAACCTGCACTTTTACCCCCCAAAATGTATATATTAACATTCTACAATTCACTTTAAACATGTGTAACTTTTATTTGCCAATTCTACCTCAACAAAACTTTTTATTTTTTATTTTTTGAGACAGTGTCCGGCTCTGGCTCTGTCACCGTCACCCAGGCTGGAGTGCAGTGGCACAATCACAGCTCACAGCAGCCTCGATCTCCCAGGCTTCAGCAATCCTCCCACCTCAGCCTTCCAAGTCGCTGGGACTACAGCCATGTGCCACTAGGCCTGGCTGATTTTTTTTTTTTTTTTTTTTAAGTAGAAATGAGGTCTTGCTGGCTGGTCTTGAACTCCTCAGCTCAAGTGATCCTCCCACCTCGGCCTTGAAAAGTGCTGGGATTATAGGAATGAGTCACTGCGCCCGGCCAAAAAAATATTTTTTTTTTAAAAAAACAAGCAAACAAAGAATTTCATGGCATATATGCCTAAGTTTGGAATGGCTAATTGTTAAATTAAGTCAATACTTTGCTTGGACCATGTTTAAGAGTTTAAATATACATATATATCTACAAAGAACACAAACAAATTTACAAGAAAAAAAAATCCCATCAAAAAGTGGGCAAAGGATATGAACAGACACTTCTCAAAAGAAGACATTTATGCAGCCAACAGACACATGAAAAAATGCTCATCATCACTGGCCATCAGAGAAATGCAAATCAAAACCACAATGAGATACCATCTCACACCAGTTAGAATGGCGATCATTAAAAAGTCAGGAAATGACAGATGCTGGAGAGGATGTGGAGACATAGGAACGCTTTTACACTGTTGGTGGGACTGTAAACTAGTTCAACCATTGTGGAAGACAGTGTGGCAATTCCTCAAGGATCTAGAACTAGAAATACCATTTGACCCAGTGATCCCATTACTGGGTATATACCCAAAAGATTATAAATCATGCTGCTATAAACACACATCACACGTATGTTTATTGCGGCACTATTCAGAATAGCAAAGACTTGGAACCAACCCAAATGTCCATCAATGATAGACTGTATTAAGAAAATGTGGCATATACACACTGTGGAATACTATGCAGCCATAAAAAAGGATGAGTTCATGTCCTTTGTAGGGACATGGATGAATCTGGAAACCATCATTCTCAGCAAACTGTCACAAGGACAAAAAACCAAACACCACATGTTCTCACTCATAGGTGGGAATTGAACAATGAGAACACTTGGACACAGGAGGGGGAACATCACACACCGGGGCCTGTTGTGGGGTGGTGGGGGGGATAGCATTGGGAGATATACCTAATGTAAATGATGAGTTAGTGGGTGCAGCACACCAACATGGCACATGTATACATGTGTAACAAACCTGCATGTTGTGCACATGTACCCTAGAACTTAAAGTATCATTAAAAAATAAAATAAAATACAATAAAAACAGACTATTAAGCAACATTAAAATATATATATATATATGAAAATAAAACATTTAAATCCAACTATAAATGGGAAGTAAGTGGGCTGTCCATATCTCCTGGTTAAGAATGTCATGCTGCTCTGCACAAGCTGGAATTGCACAGGGATCATGGTGGGGGCCTAGAGGGTATGTTTGGTGTTGCTCCCGGTTTGGGCAAATGGACACACAGCCCTGCTTGAGGATCCAAGTCCCACAGGCTGCCGGCAGAGCCTGTTTATCCCTCACAAAGAGGTTGTCATCAATTTCCAATTAGCTGGAAGCTTGGCGGGCAGCTTCAGGCTCCAGACTCCATCATACTAATGAAGGCGGGGCCCCTGCTGGAGACAGCGCTGAACGAGGATGGAAGTCAAATTAGGTTATTCCTATGGAGGGATATCCAGTCTTTGTTTTGGGGCTGCTGGCTTACCTCTGCAGGGAGGGGAATTTCTCTGGACTCGTAGGGTGAACTCGACCCAACATCTTCCTCTGGGCTGGGGTGCTGGGAGTGAGAGGTGAGTGAGCCTCAAGGCTCTGTGTCTTCCTTCCAGAGGGGGCAGGCAGAGCTGAGGACAGAGCTGTGGCATTGTCTGTTGCCTTGGACTTGTAGCAAGGAGAAACACTGGGGTCCCGGAGCCTGGGGGAAACCCCTAGAGGGGGCTGCATCATCTGTCCACGGGCAGATGAGGTGAGGGGAACTGGGAATGGCTTCTCCTTCGGAGTGACGGGGGTAGCCCAGACTCCATCATGGGGAGCTGACTAAACCTCAGGCCCTAGGTGCACTGACAGGACGGGGCCTGTTTGCAGTGGCAGGAAAGGAGAGGCCAGAGACCTTCATTCTCTAGTCGGCAGTCTGAAGGGTGGCAGCAGGCTTCAGAGCTGTTGCTGGGGAGTCTGTAGGAGCAGCTGCGCTCCCTTCTTCACAGGCAGTGCCCTGGGAATACCAGGTTTCCTTATTGATTTGCCCTAGTCTGTCAGATGCAAACAGGCTTTCATAGAATCCAAGGAAACATCTGCTGAGAAGAATTACAGTGGGCAGTAAAGCATTTCTCTGGGGAGCTTGTGTGCTCGTTCTTTCCTCCCCCTTCTCCTCCGGCTTCTGGGAGGGGTTTGAGATATGGAGAAAGACCATTCTGAGCTCCCTCATGGTGGACCGAGGGTCAGGACCAGCCCTTTGCCTTCTTGCCATGGATTCTCAGGAAGGCGGAAACAACCAGGTGCCTTGATGGGCTGCGACCTAGCAGAGGGGCAGGCACGCGGCTCATCCTGACCCCATGCTCAGCGTCAGGGTCTCCACCTCGGGACCCCCATCAGCCTCCTGTGTGCTGAGCATGTCCAGCACTACACAAGGGGATTATGGGAGGAAGGGGGAAATGCAGGACAGAACTGAAATAATACTTCTTCAGTGAAGACTTGGGGCTAAAGAGCCAAGGCCCGGGACCTGCATGCACAGCATGTGAGATGGGCAGAGGGGCCATGTCCCGTTGGCTCCAGCATGGAGGCTCCTGAGTGGAGCCATGTGTGTCCACAGGCATGGGGTCAGTGGCCTCCACATACGTGATCTCCTGCGCCCTTCACAGAACCCCTGCTGGCCAAGCTGGTCAGGCATCACCTCCACGAAGCAGAAGGGTTGCTGCCAATGAAGTCATGGCAGAATGGGGACAGGAAAGGAGAGTCCATCATGAAACCCCATGCTTCCTACACATGTTGCCTGATTCCAGTGGTTCTCAATCTTATTCTTATTTATTATTTTTTAAAGAGACGGGGGTCTCTGGGAGTTCCAGGTTATAGTGTGCTATGATCACACCACTGCACTCCAGCCTGGGTGACAGGGTGAGATCCTGTCTCTAAATAAATAAATTCATTAATTAAAAAAAAAAAAGAAAAAAAGAGACAGGGTCTCACATCTCATTCTGTTGCCCAGCTGGAGTGCAGTGGCATGATCATGGCTCATTACAGCCTTGACCTCCTGGGCTCAAGCAATCTTCCCATCTCAGCTTCCTGAAGACCTGGGATTACAAGTGTGAGCCACCATGCTTGGCTTGTTCTCAATCTTTAGAGCCTAGAAGGATCATGAGATGTAAAAATGAAATTCCTAGGCCTCACTCCCATAGATTCTGATTAAGAAGGTCTGGGGTAGGGTTCAGGGATCTGCCTTTTAACGGAAGGGGGCAGATGAAACCATAATTGGAGAAGCATTGTCTCAGTCCAGTAAAACTAACAGATATCCACAAAGATCTGCAGTTGCTTTAAATTCACCAAGAGGCTTAAATTAATTAACAAGCATTTTCTGAGAGCCTATAATTATGTCCCCAAGTTATTAGGGCCTGCTTCATGGGTGAGCGCATTGCACAAGGCCCCACACTTGAGGTTTAGTGCTCTGTGGTGGCTGTCCTTGAAATTCTCCATGATTTACTCTTTGCGTCTGTGCTTTTTGAGACAGTCTCACTCTACTGCCCAGGCTGGAGTGCAGTGGCGAGATCACGACTAGCAGCCTTGACTTCCTGGGTCCAAGCAATCCTCCTACCTTCCCTCCCGAGTAACTGGGACTATAGGCCTGCTTGGCTAATTTTTACATTTTTTTGTTGAGATATGGTCCCGCCGTGTTGCTCAGGCTGGTCTCAAACTTTTGGACTCACATGATCCTCCTGCTTCAGCCTCCCGCTTCAGCCTCCCAAAGTGCTGGGATTATAGGCGTGAGCCACGATGCCTGACTGGATCTGTGCTTTTGTAAGTGAAGTCTAATGGGACAGTGGAGCATATGAGGGGTCTTGGTGCCTGGGCCTCACAACCGTTGCCTCTGGCCTGTGGGTTCTTAGCCTCACTGTTCTCAGCCCATCCCAAGATCGCAGCCACCAGCCTTCCCAGCAGGAGTCTGGGCCCAGGCAGGAAGAGCCAGTGTCTGGCATGGGTACCCCATGGTGTCTTAGAGCGGGCCATGGTGGCAGCTGGCCAGCCTACCACCCCTGGCCCCAGGTACTGATGTGTTCTGGTGTGCAGATCTACACATCCTAGGGGTCTCCTCTCTGCCAGGTTGGAGCAATGGGTCAGTGGGAGAGGCATATGCCTGCCTGGACTTCCCCAGACCTGGCTTCCTGACCTCTAGGAGGTTACAACTGACGTAAATGGAGAGGAAGGAAGCTGGCATTGATTGAACGCACACTCCTCTCTAAGACTCATTTGCTTTTCGCTGATATATCCTAGTGCCTAGGACATTGGCATGTGGGCAGTGCTCAAAAACACTCAGGGAAGGAATGAATACATGGAGAAACTCTTTGAGGTCGATTTATATTTCTTCCATTTTACAGATTAGAAATTAAGGGTTAAGGAGGCTAAACAACCTGCTGGAGGTCTAAAATCAGTAAATGACAGAAATAAGATTTAAATGCAGGTCAGAATTCCAAAGCCTTTGCCCTTTCTGTGTCACAAGTCTAAAGACATGGCTTAAGCACACTGGCTGCTGGGCCAGGATTTGACCAATGATGCCAGTACTGACCCACCAACTGTCCAATCGCCACCAAGTCAGAGCTTCTCCTGGGAGTGGTTTCCTGGTTGTCCCTGGATGTCCAAGGAGGAGAGGGATTCTGAGCCCAGTAAGAGATTTGTGATTCGGATTTTCACTGGTTCTGCTCTTCGTGGACCATGTCTCAGTCCAAGGAAAAGAGAGGACTAAAGAGATATATTCATGAAAATCCTCTAATTCAACTGACTCAATTAGGACTTTCCAATTGCTCAAATTGAAAATCTCAACCCAAAATGAGCTAAAACTATTTAATCTTATTTCATGTAACGGAAAAGTCCAAGCCTGGGTAACAGAACTTGACCCCATCTCTACTAAAAAAAAAAACCAAAAAAAAATTATCTGGGCACGGCAGCATGCGCCTGTAGTCCCAGCTACTCAGGAGGCTGAGGCAGGAGGATCACTTGAGCCCAGGAGGTTGATGTTGCAGTGAGCCATGATTGTGCCACCTCACTCCAGCCTGGGTGACAGAACAAGACCCTGTCTCAAAAAAAAAAAAAAAAAAGAAAAAAGAAAAGAGGAAATTCCAGAGCTAATCAGACTCCAGGTGAGTTGATTCCAGGGCTCACCAAGGACCCAGGCTCTTGCCATCTCTTAATGTTTCATCCTCAGTGTTGGCAGCTGCAGATGTGACATCTAGAGGAAGTTATTGGGACTGGGCTAGACTATTCATCTGGGGCGGAATGGATGTTGAGGATCAACTACAACGTCACCACATCATCAGTGCACAAGCAGCCCTGCTTTAGGACCTCACTGGAAAACATCCCAGGAAGAAACTGTCCATCCTACATTGCCACAGACCACTGCCCAGCCCAGGCAGCCCGAGGGGTCTAGCATATCAGTCACACCAGTGGTGGCAGTACTGGTTGTACCAGCAGAGCTAACTGGGTGCTGGTGGTGCTTGATCCCAGAGGAAGCTGCAGTGTACCTTCACAAGGCTCGGTAGTCAGCCAAGGTCCCAACAGCAGCCATCACCAAAGGAGGCTGCACCTGGACAGCAGCAGTAGGAGGAAGAGTGGTAGCTGGCACATGACACCCAGGACTTATTTGTTAACACATCTGAGACGCCCCTGGGGAACTGCAGAAATAATTGAAGTTCCTGCAGGTGGCTGGCATCCAAGCATAACAGATGGGGCAAGGTGAGCTAGCGAAGCTTGGCTTTTCTTGCTAAAGGAACTCTGTCAGCCCCGGACACTGGTTATGTGTACAATGCCTGAGAGAGCTGGGTGAGAGAGCCTCCAGCGTAAGGCTCCCGTCAGCTCTGCCCCCTCCCTGGGTGGGAGTTATCACAGCTTGGACACAATTCCAGGGGAAACCCGGGCCAAACTCTTCTCTTTGAGTGTGCCAATGGTCACGTAATGTTAATGCTGGTTGTTCCTGGGTGGTGTGATTAGATTACTTTCTTTCTTTTCCTTTTCCTTCCCTTTTTTCCTCATTGATTTTTCCCTTTCCTCCCTTCCCCTTCTTTTCTTGCTTTCTTTCTTTTTTTTTTTTTTTTGGTAATTTTCTGTACTACTAAATTAAAAAATGTTTTATTAACCTTTTCTGAATAGATGCTACATCTCATGGTTCAAAACTAAAAAAATACATTTAGAAAGTAATCAATGAATCAGAAGCCACATGTAGGGCTTGTAAATGAAACCAACAAGCAAACAAACAGTGAAGAATCTTCTTTATATCTCTATCTGCCCAGTTTCCCTTCAGCCCTCCTCTTTTCCATTATATTCTTTGGTTTATCCTATAATAACATGTGTATGCTTGCAGAGTTTCTTTATGCATATACAAACAGGTGAAAATATATTTTTATTTTCTCCCCCTTTTTTGCACATATATACTGCTGTATACCTTACCTTTTTCACCTAACAACATACCTTGGAGATCTTTATCAGTACATAAAAAATCCTCACTTTCTTGTATAGCTGCCCTTTGTGATAGGGCATGATAATACCACAATTTTTAAAAATCGTCTGCTATTGATGGGCCTTCAGTTTGTTTTCAAACTTTTGCTAATCCAAATGATGTTGCATCAAAAAAACTTGTGCATACATTATTTTGCATATATGTAAGTATTCCTGTGGGATAAACTCCCAAAAGTGTAACTGCTAAGTCAAAGGGAGTACGTGGTTGTGATATTGACTGATTTGGCAAATTGCCCTCTGTAAGTGTTGCATTAATTTATACCACCACCAGGAGTATCTAAGAGTGTCTTTTCCCCACAGCTTTGCCAACAGAGAGTGTTATCAAATTTTTGGAATTTTGTCAGTCTGATAGGTGAAGGTTATCTCGGTGTGGTTTTAAAATCATCCTTATTGGGCTATGATTTTAATACAACAGAATGGACTCATTTTAGTCATACAGTTCAAAGAGTTTTGAATCAATCAAGGTATAGAACGTTTCCATCACCCCAAAAGATTGACTTGTGCCCCTGCCCAATCAACACCCTTCCCATCCTGTCGGGAGAAACCACTACTGTGATTTTTATCACTATAAGTCAGTTTTGCTTTTGGCTCTCTCAGCTCTTTTGGCTCTCTGAGCAGCACCATGGCAGTTGGCAAGAATAAGCACCTTAAGAAAGGTGGCAAACAGGGGGCCAGGAAGAAAGTGGTTGATCCATTTTCTAAGAAAGATTGGTATGATGTGAAAGCACCTGCTATGTTCACAAGAAATATTGGAGAGATGCTAGTCACCAGGACTGAAGGAACCCAAATGTATCAGATGGCCTCAAGGGTTGTGTGTTTGAAGTGAGTCTTGCTGATTTGCAGAATGATGATGTTGTATTTAGAAAATTCAAGCTGATTACTGAAGATGTTCAGGGCAAAAACTGCCTGACTAACTTCCATGGCATGGATCTGACCTGTGACAAAATGTGCTCCATGGTCAAAAAATGGCAGACAATGATTGAAGCTCCTGTCAATGTCAAGACTACCAACGGTTACGTGCTTCGTCTGTTCTGTGTTGGTTTTGCTAAGAAACACAACAATCCGATATGGAAGACCTCTTATGCTCAGCATCAACAAGTCCGCCAAATCCGGAAGAAGATTTTGGAAATCATGACCTGAGAGGCGCAGACAAATGACCTGAAAGAAGTGGTCAATAAATTGATTGCAGACAGCATTGGAAAAGACATAAAAAGGCTTGCCAATCTGTTTGTCCTCTCCATGATGTCTTCATTAGCAAAGTAAAAATGCTGAAGAAGCCCAAGTCTGAACTGGGAAAACTCATGGAGCTTCATGGTGAAGGTAGCAGTTCTGGAAAAGCCACTGGGGACGAGACAGGTGCTAAAGTTGAACGAGCTGATGGATATGAACCACGGTCCTTGAATCTGTTTGAAGTTAGGACTTACAATAGTGGCAAATAAAAAAGTCTTATTTGTGAAAGAAAATTAGTTTTGCCTGTTTCAGAATTCACAGAAATGGAATCAAATAATGTGTACTCTTTTCTGACCAGCTTCTTTTGCTCAGCATGTTTTTGAGATTCACCCATGATGTTGCATTCCTTTTTATTGCAGAGTAGTATTCCATTGAATATTCAAATATACCACACCTTTTGGGTTTGTTTTTCATTCATATGTTGATGTTCATTTTTTCCTATAAACTTTATAATCAGTTTGTCTGGTTAAAAAAATGGTGTTTGTAATAGACTGCATCCCCTTTATCAAGTAAATTATGGAGAACTGAAGTTTTTATTATGTTGAGTCTTCCTCTCCAAAAACATGGTATATTTATTCCCTTTGTTCCAGCCTTCCTTTATGTTCCTCAGTGTGTTTTAAAGCTTTACCCAATTCTGGTTATAGTCATTCCTAATTGTTAGCAGGTGGCAGGTTTGGCTTTTTTCCCCAATTTTCCTTGCTTAAATTTAGAAAAAAAATTGAATATGTATACTTTTATTTTTTATTTTATTGTATTGTATTTTTTGAGATGGAGTCTTGCTCTTTCTCTCAGGCTGGAGTGCAGTGACGTGATCTCAGCTCACTGCAACTTCCATCTCCTGGGTTCAGGTGACTCTCCTGCCTCAGCCTCCCAAGTAGCTGGGGCTGCAGGAGCACACCACCATGCCCAGATAATTTTTGTATTTTTACAAAAATACAAATTTGATGGATATATAATTTCCAGCTTGGGACTATTATGGATAAAGCAGTTATGAACAATAATGTACAAATATTTTTGTGTTTATATGCTTTCATGTGTCTTCAGTAATTTCCAAGAAGTGAAATTTCTGAGTAATATGATACAATGTATGTTTAACTTGGTAAGAAACTAGCCATCTGCTTTCCAAAGTGGTTGTACCATTTTATCCTCCCATCAGCAAAGTACAAAAGTTCAATAGTCACATATCCTTATCAATACTTGATATTGTTATTATTTTATATTTTGGTCATTGTAGAAGATATGTGGTGGTATCTAATCATAGATTTAATGTGCATTTCCATGATGATTAATGATGTTGAACATATTTTCAAGTACTTATTGGCTATTCCTAATCTTTGGTTTGTTTGTTTGTTTGTTTTCTTTATGAGACAAGGTCTCTCTTCCAGGCTGGAGTGCAGAGACTGGTGCAATCATAGCTCACTGCAGCCTGGAACTTCTGGGCTCAAATGATCTTCCCACCTCGGCCTCCCAAGTAGCTAGAACTACAGGTGACTGCCACCATGCCTGACTAGTTTTTTAATTTTTTGTAGAGACAGGGTCTTGCTACATTGCCCAGGCTGGTCTCGGACTCTTGGCCTCAAGTGATTCTCCCATCTTAACCTCCCGAAGTGCTGGGGTTACAGACGTGAGCCACTGCACCCAGCTCTCTTCTTAATCTTTTGCGGAGTGTCTTGTCAAATCTCTTCCCCATTTTGTATTGAGTTATTTGTCTTTTTAATACTGGGTTATTGGAGTTCCTTATATAACTCTCAGTGAAGTTTTAATTTGCCTTCTTTTGTGATGTATGACATTGAGCATCTTTTCACATGCCTAAGAGCCGTTTGTATTTTCCTTCCTGTGAACTGTCTATTCATATCCTTTGCCTCTATTTCTATTGAGTTGTTAGTCTTTGTCTTACTGATTTCTAGAAAGTCTTTATACATTAGAAAGGTTAACCCTTTGTCTGAGATAGGAATTGCAATTATTTTCCCCAGTTGCTTGTTCACTTTTGACTTAGCTTATTGATGCTCTTTGCCATGCAGAGGTTTTAATTTTTATGTATTTGAACTTATCAATCTTCTGTGGCTCCTGAATTTCTGAGTCATGGGTCTTCCTTATTCCAGGATTCAAAGAGATTCTATCATGCTTTATTCTATCATGTCTTCTCTCATGTCTTAGCCCAGATTACCTAGAAAACAGATCTTTTTTTTTTGTTTTTTTGTTTGTTTTTTTTTTGAAATGGAGTCTTGTTCTGTGGCCTAGGCTGGAGGGCAGTGGTGTGATCTCAGCTCACTGCAACCTCCGCCTCCCGGGTTCAAGCGATTCTCCTGCCTCAGCCTCCTGAGTAGCTGGGATTACAGGTGCATGACACCACGCCAGGCTAGTTTTTTGTATTTTTGGTAGAGATGGGGTTTCACATGTTGGCCAGGCTGGTCTCTAACTCCTGAGCTCAGGTGATCCACCCACCTCGACCTCCCAAAGTGCTGAGATTGCATGTGTGAGCCACCACGCCCAGCCGGAGAACAGATCTTAAAGCAAAGCAATAGAGAGATGAAATTACAGTGAAGCAAGAGAGAGTAAAAGGGGATGGAGAAGGCGAGGCAGGAAGGCACATGCAAGGTGGCTGGCCAGGCTTCACAAGAAACAGCAGGATGCTTCCAAACAGTTCTTTGGCCACAGGGGGAGGAAAGGAGGGGCGTTATCCATTGTTTCCTTCTATCTCTTTTCTACCATTGGTCCGAGCTTGTCCTGAGGCTGCTACTGCTCTGCCCTTCAGGTATGGGCGTGTTTCCCAGTTCCATTTACTGACAAGTTCCTCTTCTCCATTGATTTGAAAGGTCTCTTTTGTTATACACAACATTTCTATTTTTTAATTTTCTATTTAAAATTTTCTTTTCTATTCCATTGGTCTTTCTCTTCAAGCTGTTTTATTTATTTATTTATTTATTGAAATGGAGTCTTGCTCTGTTGCCCAGGCTGGAGTGCAGTGGCATGATCTCGGCACACTGCAACCTCCACCTCCTGGATTCAAGCAATTCTCCTGCCTCAGCCTCCTGAGTAGCTGGGACTACAGGTTTCTGCCACCACACCCGGCTAATTTTTGTATTTTGGGTAGAGATGGGGTTTCACTGTGTTGGCCAGGCTGGTCTTGAACTCCTGACCTCAAGTGATCCACCTGTCTTGGCCTCCCAAAGTGCTGGGATTACAGGCGTGAGCCACTGTGCCAGACCCCAAGCTGTTTTAATTATTGAAATTTTGGAATATGTTTTAGTATCTGGTAGGCCTCGTTCCTCATCTTCTTTATCAGTATTTTCTTAGGTATTCTTATTCATTTTTTCATAAACTTTATAAACAGTTTGTCTGGTTAAAAAAATGGTGTTTTTAACAGACTGCATCACCTTTATAAATTAAATTATGGAGAACTGAAGCTTTTAGTATGTTGAGTCTTCCTCTCCAAAAACATGGTATATTTATTCCCTTTGTTCCAGCCTGCCTTTGCGTTCCTCAGTCGTTTCAAGGCGTTTTAAGGCTTTACCTGATTCTTGTTATAGTCATTCCTCGTGTTAGCAGGTGGTAGGATTGACTTTTTCCCCCAATTTTCTTTGCTTGAATTTAGAAAAATAATTGAATCTGTATACTTTTAAATTAAAACAATAAATAATTAATTTTTAAATGGTAAAATAAAGGGGAGAAAGGATAGTTTTTTTAAAAAAATAAGAACATACTATGTACCTCATAAATAAGTACAATTATTGTATGTCAATTAAAAAATAAGATAAAATAAATTTAGAAATAAATAAAAATTATAAAACGAGAACAAACACCAAAACCAAAGTTTTGTGTGTTTTTTTTTGTTTGTGTGTTTGTTTGTTTTAGAGATGGGGTCCTACTAAGTTGCCCAGGCTGGTCTCATACTTCTGGGCTTAGGTGATCCATCCTGTCTCAGCCTCCCAAAGTGCTGAGATTACAGGCATGAGCTAGCATGCCTGGCCCCAAACCAACATTGTACTTTCTCCGGTCTGGCGAGGCTGAGTTCTGGTAGCCTGAAAATGCTGACGCAGCCATTGACTGGGTTTGACCCAGGAGCTCTGAGGGGCCCTGAGAGCTCACAATCTGGCAGGGGAGGGTGGAACGGATGAGAGGTTGTTGCTTTTGCTCGGCTAATGTGGGAGTCCACATTAGTCCGAGGCTATTCCCAGGGCCACAGAATCTACTTTACCCACTGCCCTCATCTTTGGTAAAATGCCTCTCCCAACTGAAGAATAAACACACTTACTTTCTCACTTACTCTTTATTTTTAATTTTTTTTTTTTTTTTTTTTTGTAGAGAAGGGTGTCTCATTATGCTGCCCAGGATGGTCTCAAACTCCTGACCTCGACTTCCCAAAGTGTTGGGATTACAGGCATGAGTCACTGCACTCAGTCACTCTCTCACTCTAAGAACCTCCTTGCTCAACTAAATTTCTTTCTTTTGATGCCAGGAAGTCATAGGCTGGGAGCTGGCATCAGACTTGCTCTGGAATCTATTTTTATTACCTATGTATCACTATGTGAGTCAATGACTTTGCCTGCTGAGCATCAATCACAAAGAAACCGCTTTTCCCAGTCAGAGTTCTGGGTGGCGATCTGGGGGACAAAGGCAAGGAGAGGAAAACTTGGGAGGTTTTCTAGGTGTTAGTTCTGCCCTGGGGTCACACAGCAAGTTGCCTTCCTTTCCATGTGTTCTCTGTCTGTGTCTTCTCTTCTCCAGCCTTTCTGCTTCTTTAGCAGAAGACATCTGGCCGAATGTCACGGAAAGTGTTTCATTCAATGCATTTAAGAAATGAGATCAAAGTTTCTTTCTATAATTGGCTTACACACACTGTTGAGTCAGCTTTGCTTTTCCCTGTCTTTCCCCGTTTTATTTTTTTAATTTTTTTTGAGATAGGGTCTTCCTCTGTCACCCAGGCTGGAGCGCAGTGGCTCAATCACAGCTCATTACAGACTCGACCTCCTGGGCTCAAGAGATCCTCCCGCCTTGGCCTCCCAAATGTGCTGGGATTACAGTTGTGAGCCACTGTCCAGGCCTCCTCTGTTTTATTTATGCAAGTATTTCAAAGGTATTTCAGGGAATATTCGCACCTTATGACTTTGTTCTTCAGAGAAAGTTAAAGAGTCTTATCTGGGAAAGATGAGGCAGGAATCCAGGAGGGAGGGAGAGATGAGGTTCTGGGTGCCTCTGGAGCTGGCTTTGGCCAGTTTTTTAGAAGAATGTAATTCTTGCCCCCTCTCTTCAACCCAATGCCTGTCCCCGTCTCACCAGCACATTTACTGGAGGGACAATCTAATCCCAATGGCCAAGCCATTCTGTGCAAAACTCTTAAGCTCTTCCCAGCACCAGTCTTATTTTATTACCTTTTTCTTTTCTTTTTTTTTTAAACTCACACCAAAAGCCACATTCAAAGCACCAGTCTTATTAGCTCACCTTTTCTCTCTTTCTCCTTTCTCTTGTGGTTGGAGAGGCTTTATGGATGGGAAGGACTGAAGTGAGTTAGCTAACTAGAGATTTATTTGGTTTTGAGGGACCTTGTTCCACCTATTTTGGTTCAGAGTCTAGTCAAATAACTTTATTAAAGAAGATAAGCTTGTTGTGTTCCGTCTTAGGATACCAAACCAACATGCCTGTCTCTTCAAATGTTCCTCAAATGAGGTAGTGCTTCAGTTAGGTTGCCCGTGGCTGCAAGCAATGAAAAATACAGCTCTGCTCACTTAAACGATAAAGACAGCTATTGTCCTGTGAGGCAGTCAAGGTGCTTGGCCCCCTAAATCACTGACATGAGGCAGATTGACTAATAGGAGAGAAGACATATGAATTTGTTTAACATGTATACACAGGAAGCTTCAGAATGAAGACCCAATCCCCTAGTGGGGTGCAGAAGCTTATGCACCACCTTGAGGTTGCAGAGAGAATGTGGGCTCAGAGCATGGCCCCAGACAGGTTTCAGTGGCAACACAGGTTGTGGGAGGAAGAAAGGAAGTGGCTTGGCTAGCAAAGGCAGTCCTGTTGTGTAGATGAAACCTCACGGGGAGCAACCCTCAGAAAGAGCAGATGGCGGATGCTTCTTTTCAGACCTGCAGGTGTCAGAATCTCAGTTAATCTTTCCAGACAAGGGAAGGGCTGGCTGCATTAATGCAGAGTCTCTACAGATCTACAGGTGCAAATTTCTCCCGCAAAAGACAACCTTACAGGCCACTTCAGAATATGTCAAAGAAATCTGTTTTGGGGTAAAGTATTAATATTTTGATTTCCTTCACCTGCATACTCAAGTCCTGAGGGGAGGTGGACGACAGGATGGACACCACACAGGCCTCTGGATCTCTTTCTCTGTCAGCCTCTCCCCCAGCCTCCTCTGGGCACACACTTCATCTTCAGGGCTGGTGCAAGATGGCAGCCCCAGTTCAGCCTCAGTGAGAAGGAGAATGTTCACAGGAAAAAAGTGCAAGTAGAAAATAAAATCCTAAGGCCCTCAACCAAATGAACAGACCCCATTTTGGCCAAGGGGATCCCAGATAAACCTTAAAAACAGTGCCCAGCTGTGACAGGACAGGAGGTCAGACAAGCCTCATTACACCCCCTCCCTTTTGCGGTTTAGACGCAACAACTGACCAGCATTAATGATAAAATAGAGATTACAAGACAGACAGAAGAGGCTCTTTTTGGCAATAAGATACCAAATTATACATAGGACCTAAGGCCATGCCAGGTAAGGGTTAAGCGTGCACAGTTTATTAAAGAATAAACTATGTTCTCAGATGTGAGGGTGATCTGGCTGCGACACCTGTCACCCCATGGATCATCAGGGTTGATTCGGCTGATCCGGCTGGCTAGGTGGGTATCCCCTTCCTCCCTCTCTCTCCAAGTACGTCCCTCCCAAAGCTGCGCACTCAAAGAGGATGACCATCCCCGATGGAGGAGGACCCAGCTTTGGTCAAGGATGTATGAGTAGCCATGCTCCCCTGCTAGAACCTCCAAACAAGCTCTCAAGAATAAGCTATGTTCTGTCATAAGGTTTTTCTTTTTTTCTAGCAGCTGAACAAGCAATGGCCTCAAGATAAGCAAGATGAAAATAATCATAGCTCCCCGCCAGATGCTGACTGACCCTCTTCCTCCAGCCACAACTACAGCTTTGACTGGACAAGAAACTGATGGCTGTGACTTTCTCTTGATAAGAGACCACTGACCATGAGCTGGTTCTAGCTGGTTTACAGAGCTTGTGCACTTGAGTGCCCCCATATCTCTGCTTCACCTTTTGATATATAGGGCCCAACTGTAATACATTTACGTGTTAAGTCTCTGCCTCTAAATGAACATGGGTCATATGTAACATGCATTTTTATTCAGTATGCAGGTGTTCATGAACCACCTTCATGAATATTCATAGCTCCTCCTATCATCTGTTGAATATATATACTTGGCCAACCCATTCAACATAAATCCCTATTTCACCCTCCCCTCTTGAAGTGCCTACTTTCAGGGTCTGCTGGAGGCTACAGTTCCCAGCCTGTGGGATGGCCAGTCTACAGGTTGTGACCCCTATTATAAGAAATAAAGGCTCCTTTTCTAAATGTATAAATCTCAGGATTTTTTTCAGTTGATAAAATTGAGGCTAACTTCCTAAGAGCCATGCACCTCATTGGCTTGTATGAGCATGATAGCTGAACTAAACTGGAGTTCTGTCAGGAGTGGGGAATGCAAAATGGGTGTTGGGTAGGCGACCAGCAATGTCCACCAGAGATGGGCTCCAGATCCTTCTCATTCTTGGTTGCCCTTGCGAAAATAAGTAGTTCAAAATCTAAGCTGTTGGAACTCTAAATTATTTTGAGCCTTAAAGAAATCTGGCTGGACACGGTGGCTGTGATTCCAGCACTTTGGGAGGCCGAGGCAGGGAGATCACTTGATGACAGGAGTTCGAGACTAGCCCAGCCAACATAGCGAAGCCCCATCTCTACTAAAAATTCAAAAAATTAGCTAAGCGTGGTGGCACACGGCTGTAATCCCAGCTACTCGGGAGGCTGAGGCACGAATTGCTTGAACCCAGGAGGCGGAGGTTGCAGTGAGCAAGATTGACCCACCACACTCCAGTATGGGCGACAGAGGGAAACTCGGTCTCAGAAAAAAAAAGGAATGTAATTATGGAGCCTGAGTCATGTGACAAGCAGCTGTAACCTTTGTTTCTCTGTTTATAGATGAGCCGGCTTCCTTAGCTGCATTATTTTGTAAAATGTACTGAATGACTAAAAAGCACCAGGGAAGATCTCCTTTCCTCTTCACTATTGATCTTCATTATAGATTCACTTCCATATTACCTTGCTTTTCTTTTCTTTTTTTTTTTTTTGAGACAAAGTCTCGATCTGCCATCTAGGCTGGAGTGCAGTGGTGCAATCTTGGCTCACTGCAACCTCCGTGTCCCAGGTTCAAGCAATTCTCCTGCCTCAACCTCCCCAGTAGCTGGGATTACAGGCGCCTGCCGCCATGCCTGGCTGATTTTTTGTATTTTGGGTAGAGATGGGGTTTCACCATGTTGGCCAGGCTGGTCTCAAACTCCTGACCTCAAGTGATCTGCCTACCTCGGCCTCCCAAAGTGCTGGGATTACAGGTATGAGCCACCTGTTAGACATACCCTTTTAAATTGGAAAAGAAATGAAAACAAGATGTAGGGAAAAGAAAACACACTGAAACTAATTAATTTGTTGTAATTCATAAACCAACCTTGAATAGAAAATGTAATCCTGTTAAATTTCTTTGTTTTCTGCCTATACAAGCAACCATGTAACTTTTAAATTTGGAACAGTGACCCTATTTCTCTGGCGTCTGTGTCTCCTGAAGAGCCATTTCCAGTTTTTCCCTTGAATAAACCCTTTAAAATTGGAGTCTAAGGCCAGGTGGGGTGCCTCATGCCTGTATTCCCAACATTTTCGAAGGCTGAGTTGGGAGGATGATTTGAGGCCAGGAGTTCATGACCAGCCAGGGCAACACAGTGAGATCCTGTCCCTAAAAAAATTTGAAAATCAGCCAGATGCGGTGATGCACGCCTGTAATCCTAGCTATTTGGGAGGCCAAGCCCAGGAGGTCAAGGCTGCAGGCAGCTATGATTTCACCACTGCACTCCAGCATGGGTGACAGAATGAAAAAAAAAAGAAAAAAAAAGATTCTGATCCTTTTGATTATTTCAGGTTGACACCCTCTTCTGCATCTTTTGTTAAAATCAGCCTTGAATGATGGCCACAACTTGAATACACAGAGAAGGAGGTAGAGAAGGGACCTATTGTGTGAATATGCAAGAATTTCTTAAGAAGTCTGTAGCCCTGTTGGAGAGGGTGCTCTGACCTGCATAAATGACTATCTGACCACTAGACAAGCATGATTCATCTCATTTTTCCAGCTTGATAAAAATAAGCAACATGACTATCCAAGTTCATTCATCTTGTTTCATATTTACCCAATGGTCTTCTTAATTAAATTTCTACAATAGATTTTCTTACTGTGAAGACAATATTCAGACTGGCCAAAGTAAATTCTCTAACCCTCTTGTCAATTAGATAGTAAATGTCATATTTCTCATTCTAAATTAATAACTAGTCCTTTTTGCTCCTTAAGCAATTTCTTTGGAATTTTGGTTTAATCAGTTTGTGGCCTGATCGCCCCTGGTGAATTGAGGACATGTTAATCTCCTGAACTAAAGAACTAGAGGAGGAAGTAACATGCCTTAGCATATCTAAAGAAGTATAAATGCATGCTATTATCATGATTGTGACTGTTGGCATTAGGTTCTTGGTGACTGTAACAGAGTGACAACAAGCTGGGTGGACTCATTCTAAAAACCGTTTCCGCTTTTTCTTTTCTTTTTTCTTTTTTTTTGGGGGGGGACAGGGTCTTGCTCTGTCGCCCAGGCTGGAGTGCAGTGATCTCTGCTCACTGCAGCCTCAACCTCCTGGGCTCAAGCGATCCTCTCACCTCAGCCTCCCAAGTAGCTGGGACTATAAGCGTGCGCCACCACACCCAGCTAATTTTTGTGTTTTTTGTAGAGACAAGGTTTCACCATGTTGCCTAGGCTGGTTTCAAACTCCTGGGCTCAAGCAATTCCCCTGCCTTGTTTCTCAAAATGTTGGCATGAGCCACAGCACTGGGCCTGTTTCCTTTTTTTAATCTATACAAACCTGGTTGGCCAAGGTGACAATTAATAAATTAACAGGTAAGAAGACTGTGCGAGAGACATTTGGACATTTTCTAGGGACATGTTGCAAAGTGGGGAGGTGGTGTGGAAGCTGGTGTAAACTACAGTCCTTGGAACTCTGTCCTATGGCCTGGACCCATTCGAATTAGCTTAGCTGCCTTGTGAGGGCAACTGTGGGTATAGGAAAATGTGAGCTACTGTATACCACCTTTGCTTAGTAAGTAAATGAGCATTTATTAATCATTGCCTGTGTGAACATGAGAACATATGGAAATAGCATGAATATACAAACATCATATTATCAGAACTTCTGGGTTTGACAGGAAAACCACACTAATTCCTTTAGAAATAGAATTCCTATTTGCTTATTTAACAGGTCTGTTGTTACTTTAGGCACAGCTAGATTCAGTTGCTCCGATAAGGTTCTCAAGGTGTCCTCTCCCTCTTTCCATCTGGTCTATCCCACCCCTGCTTGTATGCAGGTGCTATGGCTGCCACCTGGACTCACATTCTCCTGGCTTGACAACTCCAGTTGAAAAAAAACAAGTCTTAGTCTTACCCAATGTTTATAAATTAATTCCAGAGAAGCCTATGATTGGCTATAATTAGGTCACATGTCTTTTTCTAAACCAATCACTATAGCAGGAGCATGAGGTACAACGATTGGCCCATTCTGGGTCAGCCCTACCCAGACCATATAGGATTGTGCTAGAGGACACGTTCTGCCGTTATCATCCAGATCATTTGAGTCCCTGTGCAGTTGCCTGCGGAAGATCTCATGCTAGTGATGTAGGAAGCCAGACATGGTCCCTGTACTCCACATGTTTACAAGCTCTGTCTTTGGCTGGGGGACTATGCGATTAGGGTCTGGTTTATTCCCCACTCGTGAAGGGGCTTGTTGAGAAGGGGGAGTTTGAAAAGCACTGAGAGACATGGCATTGCTCTTAGAGGTTTGGTTGTGTTCTAAGGGACATTAAAGTATGTTTGTGTAGAGGAAAAATAAGAACTATGACACAACGTTGAGAAATAAAATCCTAAGCCCCTCAACTGACTGAAGGGACCTCCTCTTGGCCAAGGAACCCCAGAGTAACCTTGAAAACTGAGTTCTCAGCCATGATGGAATGGGGGACTCAACACCTTGTTATACTCCCTCCCTTGTTAATCACCATTAGGCTTTCTTCCGAGGGCTGAACAGAAACCAGCCCTTTCAAAAGATTCCACACTGATATCAACCAACCACCTGATGCTGCCCCTCTTTTTTTGCCTGATAAGAGACCACCAACCACAGAGTGGTCTTGGCCAGTCTACGGAGAATGCTCAGTGAGGGTCTTCATGTCCTCTGCTTCACCTTTTGATGTCAGAGGGTAGAAAACTCCACCCCCAGATCATTCTAACACAGCCATTTTTTTGTACATGGGTCCTACGAAAGGGTATGAAGCTCAGTTGTGCATGAGCACGTTTTTCCTTCCATAAATATTCATGACTCCTCCTCTAGCTTACTGAATATGTATAATCAGCCACCCTGCTCAGCATAAATTCCTGACCCCTCTGCCCCTCCCTTGGAGTATCTGTTTCTGGCTTCTGACTGGAGGCTATGCTTCCCAATCTGTCAGAATGACTACCCTGCAGGCTACAGCCCTTTATGAGAAATAAGGCTCTCCTTTCTAATTGTATGAACCTCAACATTCTTCAGTTGACAATACCAACCCATGAGAGCTGTCTGCATCCTAAGGAAGGGTATCTCAGCTACATCAATATATTAGGGTGGCCTAATTTGCATGTCTGCAAAACCCACCACCAGATGTGTGGGGGTGACAGAGGCAGCAAGCACAATGATCAAATCTAGGATCATTGTAATTAACTTTCACATACAACCCATGATAGCAAGGGTGCGAACAGCAGGACCCCTACAGACACCAATCTCAGAGAGGGAATCCCACCATAGCGTATAAGAATGTGCAACTCTCATAGCTTGGTGGCACTTGCTCTCACTGCAAGATGCATGCCATCCTCTGCTAAATTAGCTAAACTAACACCTGAAGGTTCTGGACATTCTCTGAAGAAAGTCTTCATACCGGGTCCAATGCACAGGTTAGCCTACACAGCTGTGGGGTAGGGAGAACAGCTGTGTTACAAGTGACCAAAAGGAACCCTTGCAGACACCCCCCTGGAAGTTAAGGTTCTGAGTGACCTTTCACTTTTATTCCTCAAAGGAATGTGTGTGCATTTTAAATAAAGAGTTCATTTAGATAATTTTATACTGGAAATCTTTATGTTGAACAATCCTATAACAAATATAAGTACAGTCATTTGAAAAGCCTGCCTCTTGCTGGGCTCCACTAATTACTATATCAAAGCCAGTGATTGTAGCCAGGGCTCCTGAAGGTTCACCTGTATCAGGCCCCTCTGATTTGACAACCCCCAGTTGAGGCCCCATGCTACATCCACTTGGCCCAGTGAGGGAGTGAAGAGGAGGATTCTTGAACTTCATCAGCACTCCCTGGGGAGAACAAAGGCTGTTAGGTAGGGGCTGGCTAGTTCACCCTCAGCACTACCCTAGAGTCCACACGTTCCCTGCACAGGACGCCCAGCAATGCCAAGTTCAAGGTCATTTATTTCCCTCAGTGTTCCTGGGGGCTGAGGGCAAAGCTTGACTTCCCTACCTGCTTCCACACACCTGGATAATGAAGGTCTGTACCTCCTACAGTTTTTTTGTTTGTTTGTTTTTATTGTAGAGACAGGGTCTTGCTGTGTCACACAGGCTGGAGTGTAGTAGCGTGATCATAACTCACCGCAGCCTCCAACTCTCAGGCTCAAGCAGTCCTCCTGCCTCAGCCTCTCAAGCAGCTGGGACTATAGGAATGCTACAGTGCCTGACTAATTTAAAAAACATTTTGTAGAGATGAGGTCTTGTTACGTTGGCCAGGCTGTTCTTGAACTCTTGGCCTCAATCCTCCCACCTTGTCCTCCCAAAGTGCTGGGATTACCGGCATGAACCATGGAACACCAGCCTCACAGTTTTTACTACTCTTCTCAGATATTGCTCAGAAGAGATGGAGGCATTTAGGCTATCTGTCCCATTTGTCTTTCTCTCCAGGCCATAGAGCAGGGTAAAGGGGCCATCATTTCAGATCTGAGGGCACTGAGGCACTGAAGGGGAGGAGCTGGGCCATGGTCACGGTCAGGTGGTGGTGATGGCTGAACCGAATCGCTGAGCCATCTAAACCTCATCACCCACCACCCAACAAAGAGAGAGGGAGAACTCCCATTTCCAGTGGGCAGTCTTTTACAGAAAGCTCTTTGTTGCCGAAGGAAGTTTCTGAATAGCAGAAAATAGCCTTCTGGACTTGGTCAAGACCTGCTCTCAGGACAGTGGCCCAGGGTGGGCTGACTTGGGGGAGTCTCCCTGGGTGCTTTATCAGCACTTCCCTGCACTGTACCCTATTAGCTCACACTCTCTTACCGAGAGCAAATTACAGACAGCATACTGTGGAAGGAAAGAGGTTTATAGATTCTAGCACTGTAGAACCCCTTTTCTGTTTTTAATAGTATTAGGACTTAGAAAAGAGGATAGCACACTTCAGGGCTTGTTGGATTGGCTATTTTTACTTCTCCTTTGTTAGATTTTAAGCTTGCAGAACATTTTACCTTCGTAATAGTCATAATAATCCTAATGCCATCAGTTTGCCTGTGCGGGGTGTCTTTTCTTTTAGAGCAGCCTCACTTTCATCGTCTCATTTGAACAATCCTGGTAATCCTCTCTGAAGCCTCTCTAGGGGATCTACAGCCAGCACTTCTGGGGCTCTTTGAGGCCCAGGAGGCAGGGCCTGGGCCAGGGTGGGGGATATGTAATTTGTAATTTGACAAGAGCAGATTCTTCCCTAGAGTTCTCTGCTCCAGCCCAGCACAGGGCCTCTGGCTGAGTGTTGGCAGCTTAACAAGCCAAGACATATCTTTCTTCTTATGTCCTTAAATCCTTCAGGGTAAGGGTTGTGAGGCTCCTGCCTCATGGTTTGTTAGATGATGTATCTATTCTGGGGGCTGAGTGTCTGTTACCATGTGAGGCTAGCTGTGCAGGGCCCACCAGGACAATGTCGCTAAGACCTTGGGCTGCAGGGGAAGAGAGGGTGAGGGGCCGGGGCAGGACTGCCCACCTGTCCACCCCTGCATACTCACTGCTGACGGTGGGCACAGGAGCACCCGACTGGAATACTGATGAGACAGGCCTGGGCCAGGCCCTGACTCTGGGCCCTGTCAGGCTCCTAAGGGAAAGCCAAATGAGCAAGTTCAAGTAGAAGGTGTTGAAGAAATCGATGGAGAAAACAAAGAATTCTTTAAGGGCATTTTTGAAAGCAGGTAGGGTTTTTGTTTTTTTGTTTTTTTTCTCATTTTTGAAAGTAGGTGGCTAGGGAGGCAAGTGCACTGGGAGACAGTGACAGGTTCAGATGAGGCTGTACTTGCTGGGTGATGGCCAGGATTCATGCACAGGGATCACAAAAGTGGCTGTCAGGCACATGGGGACAAAAGCAGGCTTTTCCTGGCCCAGGAGGAGGGGCAGGATTTGAGGGTGGGTGGGGAAGAGATAGAAGTGACTGTCTCAAAGCCTGTGAAGAAATATGCTAGTCATATGCAAATCAGGTACAAATGAACTTGAGACCTCATTTCACACACATCTTTGACCCTGGGGAAAAGTCTTAAATGAGATCAAGATTTTCTCTGGAGCAGAGGCTGGCAGGGATTAAGGGGTGGTGGGTACCTCTGTGGTCTGCCCAAGTGGCTCCTGTCACTGGTCAGCTACAACTGGGCCATCGGCTGGGCTGGGATGTTTTCTCGGAAAATTTCATTGTTGGGTTAATAAAGGCCCATTCGTGTTCTGTTCTGGTTCCCCATTTGGCAGAGCAGCCGTGGCAGGGGAGGCCCCAGGCCAAATGGACAATAAGGCTCGTGTGTGTGTGTGTGTGTGCTGCACACGTGTGTGTGGCTATTTATGGTTACAGCCTGGTCTATACAGCTCTGTGCCCTGCTTGTTAGGCTGTGCTGAATGGTGCAAAAAACTCTTACTTAGGAGTCCAAATAGGTGGGCTGAAGCCGCAGTCCCATCACTTCTGAGCCAGACTGGGGCTGGCCTTTCTATCATGAGCCTGGCCTTTCTATCATGAGCCTGAGTGTTTCAGGTAGAAGTAGACATAGTGAGTCATTCCTTCCCTTGACAGCATCTTTAAGGGATAAAGACTAAAACTCCCTCCCTTTCCTCTCCAACCCTTTTCCCCAGACGTTAGAGAGATTTGGATAATGCATAAGAATACTTGAAGTTCTTGGAGAAGCTGTTATTACATTTCCTTTGTCAACTTCCATGGCTGCAAAGCACTTTAAGATAATAATAAAGACAGCAATAACAACTTGTACTTATAGAGGGCTTCTGCTTTCAGGGAACCTCTACCCTATTATTGCATTTTAAACAGTCACAGGATTCCACTAGATGACCAAGTTTTGGGATTTTTTTAAACCCACAGTTGATCTATTCAGCAATTGAAGAACATTTGGGTTGTTTCCAATTTTTTCTTTCTTTTATTATTATTTTAATTGATACATAATAATTGTACATATTGATGAGGTACAGTGTGATATTTTGATACATGTACACAATGTGTAATGATCAAATCAGGGTAATTAGCATATACATCATCTCAAGCCTTTATCATTTCTTTGTGCTGGGAACAATGGCAAGTTGTTTTGGGGAAGGGCCAGCAGTTCCGGAGGTTTACTGGGTCCCAGGCACTGTGCTGGCGCTTCACACGTGTTCTTATTTAATTTCCACAGCCTCAGACCTGGTTACCAGGATACCTGGACACCTCTCACCTGGTGTCAGGAGCCCAATTTGTCAGAGGAAGAAAATGAGATTCAGAGAGATTAAATGTTCTTGCCTCACCTCAAGTCACTTTTTTGCAAAGTGGCAGATATAATTAATCAATACAAATAAAAGCCACTCACCCAAGGCAACCTTGTAGAATCCTCGACCCCCACAGTTCTGACTTGGAGCTGGGTCGCATCTGAAGATGCACTTACAGAAACAGAGTAAATAATTGAAGAGTAATTTTCAGCCTTGAATCTTCTGAAGAACGTTTAGGAGGATCCAATTTCTAATTCCCAGCTGTATCTCTAGTCACTCCCGTTTCACCCTCTAATTCCAGTCCCCTGATACTCTCTGGAACTCCACGTTCACCCCAAAACTGCTACCCTCCTCTGGCCCAGCCACCTTTTACTCCCCGTTTTTTCTTTTCTCTTTTGTATTCTTCTTTTTAAAATATTTATTTATTTATTTAATTTTTTTAGACAGAGTCTCATTCTGTTGCCCAGGCTGGAGTTTAGTGGTGCAATCTTGGCTCACTGAAACCTCTGCTTCCGGGTTCAAGCGATTCTCCTGCCTCAGTCTCCCAAGTAGCTGGGACTACAGGCACATGCCACCATGCCCGACCAATTTTTGTATTTTTAGTAGACACAGGGTTTCACCATGTTGACCAGGCTGGTCTTCAACTCCTGACTTCAGGTGATCCACCTGCCTTGGCCTCCCAAAGTGCTGGGATTACATGTGTGAACCACTGCACCCGGCCAGCTGCGGTGTCTTCATGGAGGTGTTGAACATACCAACTGTGCGCCTGCTATGGATAGTGTAAGAGGGCCACACGTATCCTCTGCTGACCTGTTGCTGAGACACATCCCTCATTCCTCACCTCCAACAGCTGCCCCTCCAGGCAGGGCCGTGGATCTCCCCCTACTACACATACGCGCGTGCACGCACACACGGCCTCCACCCCAAGAGCCAAGCCTACCTTTGGAGGTCACCTTTTCCTTCTCTTTCTGCAGATTGACTTAGCCTCTCTCTCGCCCTCTGTCCCCATCTCCCAGGGCTTGTCTAGACTTTCTGGGTACCTCCTCAGATTCCTTCTGCAGCACAGGAAACCTCATTGCTAGCCTCAGGGACTGTCACAGAGAATGGCAGATTCTGCTGGCAATTACAGGCTCTCTGGGGCTTAGAGGAGGGGGCCTCTGTGAGGATTTCCCGCATCAATTTCAGTTGAGAGATTCATTCAAATCCAGATGTCTTTGACTTAACACTTAGGGTCTCCTCATTGTCCTCAGGACCCCTGTATTTATGGAGCAGCTGTGGTATGCTCAGTGCAGGCCTGGGAAGGAAGAAAACGGAGAAAGCAAGCCGCAAGAAGGACATTAGAAGGACATTGTTTCTTTTCTTTTCTTTCTTTTTTTTTTTCTTTTTTTTTGAGACAGGGTCTTGCTCTGTCACCCAGGCTGGAGTGCAGTGGCATAATCACGGCTTCGCAGCTCACTGCAGCCTCGACCTCCTGGGCTCATGGGACCACAGGTGCACACCATCACAACCGGCTAATTAATTTTTTTTTAAGAGATGGGGTCTCATTGTGTTGTCCAGGCTAGTCTCAAACTCCTAGGCTCAAGTAAACGTCCTGCCTCAGCCTCCCAAAATGCTGGGATTACAGGCATGAGCCACCACACCTCGCCAAGACATTGTTTCTGTTCTCAAGAATTTCCCATCTAGTTGGGAACCCAAGGCTAACACTGATGCGAATATAAATAAAAATAATCTCCTCTATTTGTCTAGCACTCCACAGTCTACAGAGTGTTTTAACATAGTTCTGTTTTTCTCAGCCATTCCCCAGGAGCAGTCCCTAGTAGCCCAGGCACAGGATGGCAGAGGATGGTGATTTTTCTCTGAGGTGGTATCGCCCAGTGCAGCTTGTGTGCAGGTTTCAAATCTCTCTAAAGTCTGCTGTTGTCTTAAATACTTGTGGGGATTTCTTGTTCTACTCCATGCTGAACCTGTGTTGGCATAAATATAATAATAATGTGCTAAATTGTTTTCCTTGGAGTAAAACTGAGGTTCCTGCTGATCCTTTAGTTTGAGACAGGAAGATACCCCCGCTAACCTCAGCCCAGGGCGGATGCTTACTACTGTTTGAGATGCACGTGATCGCCCAACGACTCCCTGGGTAAAGGATGACTCCTCCCATGTAAACAAGACAACTAGTTCGCAGAGCGAAGAGACCAGCTCAGTTCCCCTGGCTCAAAGGGGATGGGGCTGGCCGTTCAGTCCAGGTCTTCTGGTAGAAGGCTCTTTGCACGTGCCACCCAGCCTGATGGGCAGGGAGCCACAGCTCTGGTCTCGGTGGGTGTAACTAACCAAGAAGAGCTTTAATGTAAGGTCTGTAGGGGGCGCTGCCAGGGCTGCCATGGAAGAGGGCTCTTTTTTCCCTCCGTCTAACACAGGAAGTTGAGCAGGGCATATTCTTTCGCTGAGTAACGGGGAGTCAGTGACTTTTTCTTCCGTGGTAAGGTACATTTGCAAAGATAAAAAGCCCTCAGCCATTTGGTTTTGATCATCTCAGGAGCTGCCAATGGGCTTCCAGAAGCTTGAGTGGCAGCCGTAGAATGGAGCCTGCCTCACTTTCCCCCCATGGCTCTGGCCGCCTGACCTTATCCTCTGCAGTCAACAACCCTCAGCCACATAAACAGTCCCAGGTGCTGGTTCACCAGCTGCTGGCTGGGCCCAACAACTGCTTCAGGTGTGCTTTTGTCAAAAGGCAACATTACAGCAAAGTTAGTTTAAAGATCTCAGCTGGCTTTATTTGCGATTGTAGAATCCATAAAATAGAATAAATGCCCCAATGAGTTGAACAGAGGGGGTTGGTTTTTATGGACAGAAGAAGGACTGAAGGAAGCAGAAACAGATAACAAAAAGTGGATTGGCTGTTTAAAGGTTATTTTCCTTGTAAGGGGCAGAGCCAGACAGAACAATAGAGAAAGAACTGTCTGGTTAATAGCAGGTTAAGGACTAGCGCAGAGGGAACTTCGTTTTGCCCACTGAAGATTGAAACTGGCCTGCTTGGGAAATTGGCTGTTCTCTCTCTCGCCTCGTTTCTTGAAAGGTTAGATGACAACTTAGTTTAGGTTTGGTGACATGGAACTTTAGCATAGGTGACTCTATTTTGATTTTTAGTCTGGTCTGTTGGGGCAAAGTGCAGGAGCTTGGTAAAAACTGATGTCCTCTTGGGAGTTTTTTAATTTTTAATTTTTAAATTTACTTCTAGAGACAGCGTCTTGCTCTGTCTTCCAGGCTGGAGTGCAGTGGTACAATCGTAGCTCACTGCAGCCTCAAACTGCTGGGCTCAAGTGATTTTCCCATCTCAGCCTCCAGAGCAGCTGGGACTATAGGCGGTGCCACCATGGCTGGCTGATAGGAGTTTTTGTTTAACATGTTGAAGGCAAATGTTTGGTGGAGGCCCTTTTACTCAACCTCTGCT
Organism: Homo sapiens; assembly: GCF_000001405.40. Classification (NCBI taxonomy): domain Eukaryota; kingdom Metazoa; phylum Chordata; class Mammalia; order Primates; family Hominidae; genus Homo; species Homo sapiens. Next base: position 226,458,696 of record NC_000001.11, read on the forward strand.
TAGCACAGTCACCTAACTGACCTTCACTCTCAGGCCCTCTGTAAAAGATAACTGCCCACAGCCTACGGGCACCTGGCATGCTTTTGCTTCCATAGTTGATATGAATTATTTCTTACCAAGAATTCATTGTTCCCAAACCTGATTATGCCAGTTGGACTTGTTACTACACTTACATAATTTAATTGAATTAATATGTATAACGTGAGTGCAAAAAATTTTCTTGGAAAACTAACCTAAAAGCTTTCAGAGGATTTAATAAAGGCAAGTCAAATCACACACACACAAATTAGATGTGGATGAGAGAATCGAAAAGATTGGGGAAAAGATACTAAAAAACTAGGCTTCTGAACTGGGATTGCCTCATAAGTGTCTTCACCATTGATAGCGAAAAGGGCTTATTCTGCTCATTGCTCAGTGTGCCAATCACTGAGACTGTGAGTTTTGCAGCAGAGAAAGGGTTTATTCACAAGGCATCTGTGATGGCTAATATTAAGTGTCAACTTGATTGGATTGAAGGTTGCAAAGTATTGTTTCTGGGTGTATCTGGGTGTTTCTGGGTGTTACCAGAGGAGATTAACATTTGAGTTCGTGGACTGGCAGAAAAAGACCCATCCTCAACGTGGATGGGCACCATCTAATTGGCTGCCAGCCCAGCTAGAAAAAGCAGGAAGAAGAAGGTGAGATGAGCTGGCTTGCTGAGTCTCCTGGCCTTCATCTTTCTCCTGTGCTGGATGCTTCCTGCCCTTGAACATCAGACTCCAGGTTCTTTGACCTTTGGACTCTTGGACTTACACCAGTGGTTTTCCAAGGGCTCTTGGGCCTTCGGCTATAGACTGAAGCCTTCCCTACTTTTGAGGCTTTGGAACTTGGGCTGAGCCACTGCTGGCTTTCTTGCTCCTCAGCTTGCAGATGGCTTGCTGTGGGAATTCAACTTGTGATTGTGTGAGTCAATCTCCTTGATAAACTCCCCTTCATATATACATCTATCCTGTTAGCTCTGTCCCTCTGGAGAACCCTGACTAATACAGCGTCCAAGCAAGGAGGTGGGAGAACAGGTCTCAAATCCACCTCTCCAAAGATGGGGTTTTAGAGATATTTATGGGATGGAGCACCTAGGCCCTCTGAGGCATCAGAAATGGTGATGGGGGTAAGGCAAAGTGAGGTAATCGGTGATCTTCGCAAGCTTAGTGGGCTTTGTGGCTCTTCATAGGTTGCGTGTTCACAAATGGCATGATTAACATGATCGGAGGGAGGGTTTTTGGTCTTCTGGTGTTAAAAGGTCACCCACCGGCGACTCACACAGGCCCAGCTGAAGGGTCAGTGGTCTTAGCTGGTTCGAACTGGACAAGAGCTGACCCCAGGTTTCTGAAAAACAACTTAATTACTGTGGCGACACATATGTCAGAGAGGTTATCTATAAGGAAGCTAGTGGGGGTTTAGATATATATTGTTTAGCTACATGACTTTTAGTTATATGGGTTTTAAAATCAACTAAAAGCAAGTGACTAAAAACAAAGGAGGCAAGTTTTTAAGTTCTGCAGACCCAACCAGGTTAGCCCTGGGTTTCACCATCTCCCTTTACTTTAAAGAAGCAGAGACTGGAAATCCTCAGGGATAAATAGTAGGTCTGCTACCCATGAGAAAGAGGACTCGTAACTCCACGCCGCAGATCTATGAGCAAGGAAGATACCTTTAACTCCACTCTGAAAGATTGCAGGAATATTTACACAAAAAATAATTTTTTTTTGAGACAGAGTCTTGCTGTCACCCAGGCTAGAGTGCATGGTGCAAATCTCACCTCACTGCAACCTCAACCTCCCGGGTTCAAGCGATTCTCCTGCCTCAGCCTCTTGAGTAGCTGGGATTACAGGCACACGCCACCATGCCCGGCTACTTTTTGTATTTTTAGTAGAGACTGGGTTTCACCATATTGGCCAGCTGGTCTTGAACTCCTGACCTCACATGATCCTCCTGCCTTGGCCTCCCAAAGTGCTGGGAGTACAGGGGTGAGCCACTGCACCCAGCAAAAAATAAAATGTTTAATGGATATATATATATGACACACACATATATAATTTTTAGTGAATTCACTCTTCGACTGTTTTGATTAACATACCAATTTCTGTATATGGTTGTGATGGATATGAGAGCTCCACTTACCACAGTTATGGGATGATGGGGTGCTGATCTACTGAATCATTGGACTTCAGAGAGGGAGGTGAATGGGAGCCTGGGAAATCAATGGTATGTAGACTTCATGTTAAACGAGGTCAGCTCTGGGATTGTAATGTTGATGTTACACAACCATAAGCTAAACTATTTTCATATGTGTTTGCTCCCCATTGCATCTCCATAGTGCCTGGCACGTAGGAGGCTCTCAACTACCATTGACCCAGTGAATGAATACATGAAAGAGTCTTGTGAACATCAGAGAAGTTCCTGGGTTAGCTGTGTTTTAATAAGTCCAGATCTACATCCCCTGAAGGTAGAAGGTAGAACAAGAAGAAATGTTCTAAGGACTCTCCCTTGGAGCTGTCTGGGAGCTGCATGATAAAGTGGAATAGCTACTGATGTTTCACTTATCACATCTGGCAAATGGAGATGAAAAAAGAAAGTCACTTCCCCTTCCCCTGATTGAGCACGTAGAGCATAGGAACTCACGCTGACCGAAGCCCTTTGGTCAATATGAAGTGTTAAACAAAAAGTGGAACACATATAAGGTATTGATATATTAAGTTATGGTGCAGTCCCCGACTTAAGAAAGCTCATATTTAAAAAAAAATCTGAGTTAAGGTACAGATAGACCAGGGAACAGTTGTTTGCATCACAAGAATGTCTTCACTTTGCAAATAAAGTCAACAGAGGTGATTTAAAAGTAGTTTTGAGCACTTAAAAAATGCAGTGCAATTAAAAATAGTACAATGAAAAATATTTTCCAAATTTAGAAATGGTTGTAAGGCCAAATCTCGTCAGGTCAATTGATAGTTGTGTGTGTGTGTGTGTGTGTGTGTGTGTGTGTGTGTGTGTATGGTAGGTGTTCCTGCAAAGGCTTTTGCCTCACCTGACAAGCTTCTAGGGGTCATAGACTCGGTCTTACACATCTAGAGCGTGGATCATCTCCCACACAGCTGGTGTATCTGTAAAATGTGCATAACAGAATGATCTTGCAGCATTCTTGGGAAGACATATGTGTAGTATGCTGAATAATGGCCTCCAAAATGTGCAGGTTGCAGGGATTAGGATCTGATATCAGATCTGATCTAATACCTGTAACTTGTAAGTTTTACTTTATTTGGAAAAAGGATCTTTGCAAATGTGATTAAGTTAAAGATGTCAAGATGGGGCGATTATCCTGGATTATTTGGGTAAGCCTTCACGCAATCACATGAATCTTCATAAGAGGGAGGCAGAGGGAGATTTGGCCACACGCAGAGAAGAAGGTGACGTGAAGAAGGAGCAGACAAGATTTGAAGACTCTGGTCTTGAAGATGGGAATGATGTAGCCACAAGCCAAGGAATGCTGGCCTGTGGATTCTTTCCTAGCAGCTCTGGAGGAAGCATGGCCCTGCTGAGACTGTGATTTTGGCTGAGGGATACTGATTTCAAGTGTGTGGCCTCCGGAAGTATGAGAGAATACATTTCTGTTGTTTTGCTTTATTTTTAAAAAGAGAATGTTGTTGTTGTTTTGAGACAGAGTCTGTCTCTGTTGCCTAGGCTGGATTGCAAACCTCTGCCACCCAGATTCAAGCGTTTCTTGTGCCTCAGCTTCCCGCATAGCTGGGATCACAGGTGTGCGCCACCATGCCTGGCTAATTTTTGTATTTTTAGTAGAGATGGGGTTTTGCCATGTTGGCCAGGCTGGTCTCGAATTCCTGGCCTCAAATGATCTGCCCTCCTCGGCCTCCCAAAGTGCTGGGATTACAGGTGTGAGCCACTGTGCCCGGCCTACATTTCTGTTGTTTTAAACCATCAAGTTTGGGTTAATTTGTTGCAGCAGCCATAGGGAACTCTATATGATATGCAAATTAACGGACACAGTGCCTGGACCCAAAAAGTTTTTAGGAATCTGACCGATCTTGGTTTGAATTACCACTTCATCTATTGCTCTGTGCTTTGGGTAAATTACTTAATCTCAGTCTAAGCATTAGGTTTTTCACTGTAAAAGAGTAACAGCAACTGTTTCATAGGATTGTTGTGAGGGTTAAATGAGAAAATGTAAAGTGCCTAGGATAGAGCAGGATTTGCCAACCTTGGCACTATTGACATTTTGGGCTGGATGATTCTTTATTGTAGGGGGCTGTGCTGGGCATCGTAGGCTGCTTAATAGTCTCCTTAGCCTTTACATACTCAATGCCAGTAGGGTTCCTCACTATAGTGCTGATGGTAGGAAAATGTCTTCAGACATTGCCACCTGTTCCCTGGGGGCAACATCACTCTGATTGAGAAGGACTGGTACAGAGTTTGGCTCTTAGAAAGTGCTCAGCAGATAGTAACAATTATTCTTTACTGAATGAATGGGAGGCAGTAGAGTATGGTGCTTAGGAACTTGTGCTTGGGCCTCCGACTCCCTGGATTCTAATCCAATCTCTACCGCTTACCAACCCTGTGACCTCAGTTGTGTTATTTAACATCTCTGTGCCTCAATTACTGGTCTGCAAAAAGGAAATATAATAAGAGGTACTTCATAGGGTTATTGTAAGGATTAGATGAGATGATTCAGATAAAGCATTTATGATAGAATCTGCCATATTGGCTGGGTGCAGTGGCTCACACCTGTAATCCCAAAGCTTTGGGAGGCTGAGGCGGGTGGATCATTTGAGGTCAGGAGTTGAAAACCAGCCTGGCCAACATGGTAAAACCCCCTCTCTACTAAAAATACAAAAATTAGCTGGGTGTGGTGGTGCATGCTTGTAATCCCAGCTATCCAGGAGGCTGAGGCACAAGAATCACTAGAACCTGGGAGGCGGAGGTTGCAGTGAGCCTAGATCATGCCACTGCACTCCAGCCTGGGCGACAGAGTGAGACTCAGTCTCAAAAAAAAAAAAATCTGGATTATGTTACTGAGAAGAAGGGGAGCATGGGTGCTGGGAAAGGCAATCAGCAGATCTTGTCATAGAGGGTTGAGTAAGTTTTCCAAGAGAGGGGCAGTTTCTACTGCTAAATATTGTGATTTTACAGAAGAATTTTGAAGTCCAAAGTTGTAAACCAGAGGAGGTACATCTAGGAGATAACTGGGGAGCAGATGGTAGAAGGAGAGTAAGTGAGGCTATCAAGCTGTCCATATACTCTCCAGCTAGCCATTAGAAATCGACATTTCCCCTGTCTAACTGAGAGGTGACAATGGCTAGCAGCCCTCGTTTGCTCTTGGCACCTCCTGGGCCTTGGCGTCCACTATGGCCATGCTTGAGGAGCCCTTCCAGCCCGCAGCTGCATTGTGGGAGCCCCTCTCTGGGCTGGCCGAGGCCGGAACCGGCTCCCTCTGCTTGCGGGGAGGTGTGGAGGGAGAGGCGCGGATGGGAACCAGGGCTGCGTGCGGCCCTCGTGGACCAGTGCGAGTTCCAGGTGGGCGTGGGCTTGGTGGGCCCTGCACTCTGAGCAGCCGGCTGGCACCACCGGCCTTGGGCAGTGAGAGGCTTATCACCTGGGACAGCAGCTGTGGATGGTGCCCCGGGTCCCCCAGCACTGCCCTGGCTCCCCCAGCGCCTCGCTGGAATTCTCACTGGGCCTCAGCCGCATCCCTGTGGGGCAGGGCTCGGGACCTGCAGTCCGTGGCCATGCCCCGGCCATGCTCCAGCCCCGCTGTCTAGGTAAAGGATTGTAAATGCACCAATCAGCACTCTGTGCCTAGCTCAAGGTTTGTAAATGCACCAATCAGTGCTCTGTGTCTAGCTAATCTAGTGGGTATTTGGAGAACTTTTGTGTCTAGCTAAAGGATTGTAAATGCACCAATCAGCACTCTGTGTCTAGCTCAAGGTTTGTAAACGCACCAATCAGCACCCTGTCAAAATGGACCAATCAGCCCTCTGTAAAATGGGCCAATCAGCTCTCTGTAAAATGGACCAATCAGCAGGATGTGGGTGGGGTCAGATAAGACAATAAACTCAGGCTGCCTGAGCCAGCAGTGGCAACTTGCCAGGATCTATTTGGGCACTGTAGAAGCTTTGTTTTTTTGCTGTTTGTACTGAATCTTGCTGCTGCTCACTCTTTGGGTTCTCACTGTCTCTATGAGCTGTAACACTCATATGAAGGTCTGCAGCTTCACTCCTGAGGCCAGCGAGACCATGAACCCACCAGAAGGAAGAAATTCCGAACATGTCCGAACATCAGAAGGAAGAAACTCCGGAGACACCATCTTTAAAAACTGTAACACTCACTGCAAGAGTCTGCGGCTTCATTCTTGAAGTCAGTGAGACCAAGAACCCACCAATTTCGGATACATAACCTCAGACCAATATCAAATTAATACCCTATCCAAGCATCCCTTCCTTAACACTAACCCTACCGCAATCTCATACCAACCCTAAACTCTTCTTCTTTTTTTTTTTTTTTGACGGGAGTTTTGCTCCTGTTGCCAAGGCTGGAGTGCAATGGTGTGATCTCAGCTCACCACAACTTCCACCTCCTGGGTTCAGGTGATGCTTCTGTCTCAGCCTCCTGAATAGCTGGGATTACAGGCATGCGCCACCATGCCTGGCTAATTTTGTATTTTTAGTAGAGATGGGATTTCTCCATGTTGGTCAGGCTGGTCTCGAACTCCCAACTTCAGGTGAGTCACCTGCCTCAGCCTCCCAAAGTGCTGGGCTTATAGGCATGAGCCACTGTGCCCAGCACACCAACCCTAATCTTAACCTGATGTTCATGCTGCCCCTGGGCCTGTAAAGATAACATCCGTGATGTGGTTTTGCGCACTCCTCCCCATTGTGCCAAGGCGAGGATCCTTCAATCCAATTGGTATCCTAACCTTAACCCTAACCATAACCCTAACCCCAACACTAACCCTAACATTAACTGTAACTGACTCCAATCCTAATCCTCACCCAGACTGTAGCCCAAATGCTGACCTTAACCTTGATACCAACCCGAACGTCTTAACTCCCCTTCAATACTAACCCCATCTCTAACCTCAATTTTAACCTTCTTATCCTTTTTTGAATCTTAACTCTAATTTCATTGCTAACTGTAACCCCTTCCCTAAATTTAACCCTAAATGCAATCACAACTCCAAATTCAGCCCAAATTCCAACACTGATCCTAATCTCCAAAAAGAGCCCATTCTCCCTCCCAAGTCAACTTTACCTCCGCAGATGGGGTGTCTAAAAGGGCCCAGCTGGGTAGTGGAGAGAGCATAGACCTTGGGCCTCATCCAGCCACCCTGCCTCGGCTCACTGGGGTTAACAACATTGGACATGCAGGAATCATATTGGAATGTTATCATCTCAGACTCGAGTCTGAGGCGTGAATTCTGGTGGGAATTGCTCTGTAAGATGGCAAAACCATGGAATGCCATTTCACCAATTTGGCCTTTCCATTGAGTTTAAATATAATTGCAGCAAATTGTGCTGATTTGTATTTCACAGGCTTGGATTTAGTGGCTTTTGAATTCATCATCTAAATGTGTGTAAATTATCCACTCTGGCCCAGAATCCAGCAATTTTTATAAGAGGACTGTAATTTTTGTAGGAGGGCTTTACGCCACCTCCTACTAGCACTGACTAGCTGGGCATGGGGCCAGCTGAAGATTCAAAGGAAGCATGAAAGAGCATTAGCGAAATTCATAGGAACAAGGAACACTTTTTAGAGAGCAGAAGAAAAGCAGTAGATGTTCTTGATTCTATACAATGCAACAAATGTTGCCGTGTGAGGCACTGGGATTGGCACTGCAGGAAATCAAACACAGGAAAGATTGTTATTAGGCATGGGGCGTGGGGAATGTGGGGAGGGGAAGCAAGACCCGCACAAACCATGTCTCACTCCCTCAGTTCTCTGCCTCAATGTTACAGTACAAGAAAGGCCATCTTGTGCACTTGATAAAAAATGACCACCGTGCTGCCTGAGTCATGGTCCCACAGGAAACAGAAAGTACGTTCCATAGGGATTTTGAAGAGCATTCAGGAAAAGGTGGAAGCAGGAAAAGGGAACTAACTAGGGACACTGAGGCTCCCAGGGACCAGCGTCATTGAGAAGCCATTCCCAATCCTGGGCTGGAGGGGTAGGAGAAGGGAATGGTGTATGTGCATCTAGTTGCAAGTGGATGATGGAAGAGGCTCTTCTGGATAGAGCTGTAATCCTCGAGGGATGCAGCCCTGCCTGAACTGAGGGTGGGAGGAAGTAAGGAAGACGCTCCTGGATCTCCCTCCCCTCTCACCAGTGGTGTATTGGAACTGGCCCATACCGGTTTATGAGGACTGATTGTATGCAGTGCATTCTAACTCCAGTGTCAAGATGGCAGTTTGGAATCTCTCATGGTGGGAGTATTTGCACCACAGAAATGGGCAAATACTACAAATCAGGACATATTTTTCCCTGGAGAGCTGGCTGATAAACATTGACTAGCGCACCACTGCCTCCAATTCACTCATCTCCTCGTCCTGCCTCTCATTGGCTGAATCCAACAAGAAGTCAGAGGGCAGGGGAGCTTGAGGGAAAGTCATTATGGGTCAGCACTTGGGGTCACAGAGCTCTGAGGGAGGAGAATGGATGGGAAGGAGGGGCAGCATGTGGAGAAAAACCAACACACCCCATTGACACTTTTTTATTTTCTTGCTCTGCTTTAATTTTTTTTTAGGAACTTATCACCTCCCGCCATATTGCAGAGTTAATTGTTTACCATCTGTCTTCCTCACTAGAGTGGAAGCTCCATGAGAGAAGGGATTTGTTTTCTTCTCTAAGGTGTCTCTGGCACTTGGAGCAGTGTCTGACAGCTAGCAGATGCTCAGTAACCTGTTGAATGGAAAACTACAAGGCAGAATTTGTTGAATGGCTTAAGCAAAATTGGAAGTGCTGGGTTATGTGGGGGAGAGATTCCCTGCAGTGTGGAGTGTGAGGTTCCCGTGGAACACCTAGAGAGAAATGTCTAGCAGACAGTTGGAAATGCAGAGATTGGGGCTGAAGATGCAAGCTTGAGCAGCTGATCGTGGAGGACGCCAGTCCTCCTAGATGAAGGGACTGTTGGAAGAGGAGACAAATGACAAGGATAGAGACTTCAAGAATTCCTATACCTAGGAGGGAGCAGGAGGAGAAGACCCAAGGCAGCAGACAGAGAAAAAGGAGAATGAGGATGAGATGCAGAAGTTAAGGAAGGAACATCTCAGGGAGAGGAGGTGAGTGATGCCAATGGGAATTGGCATTTAGTCAACACTCGGCTGTTTGTGCTGAATGAGGTTGAAATGAAGCTTGAGAAATGGCCACTAGACTGTACAATGACTTGTGGCTCACACCAGGGTCATTTCAGATGAGCTTGGGTGTGTTCACGGTGGTATGGCTGTAGACAGGGTCATTTCAATCAAGTGGGTTCAGAAGCACGAGTCGAGTGAGCTGAGGAGTGAATGGACTGCTTGCAAAAACATGATGCTGAGTGTGAGGAGCAGACAAGAAAGATCACATATTGTATGATTTTATTTACATGAAATTTCCAGAATACGCAAATCTAAAGAGACAGGAAGTAGAGGAGTGGTTGCCCAGAGCTGGGAGCGTGGGGTGGGAGGAAATGGGGAGTGACTGCTAATGGGCAAAGGGTTTCTTGTTGGGGTGATGAAAATGTTCTAAAATTGATTGCGGGATGGTTGTACAACTCGGTGAATATACTAAAAACCATCAAATTGTACACTTTAAATGGGTGAATTGCATGGTATATTAACCTCAATAAAGCTTTTATTTAAAAATTAATTATGAAGTACTTTGTATATATGAATATATACCCTGTATTTAGTCTTCTCTGAGCTACCATTGACTGTCAGAAGCATCATTATTTTATGTACCACAAAAAGAGATAACACTCTACCAAATAAACTAAGGCTATTTTTTTCTTATCATGTTGATGTGAGATGCATCCCAATTTCAGAGAGGTTAAATTTTAAAAATGTGTGCCTTAGAATCAATGAAATAAGGTGCATAGCATGTATGTGTGGTTGTGGAGGAGAAGGTGGGGTTGGATATAGGCAGTGAACTAAACAAATATCAAAGAATGAGCACCCAGGACACCAATAGAATGTGCAGCAGTACAGCTGTAGCCCTTTATGTGTCCTTCCCAGTTCTGTCCCTCCCCTCTGGTGGCCACCATTCTTGATTTTGTTTCCTTAAATGTGGCATAAGTATACATAAGAGAAAATTTGCCATTTTAACCATTTTTAATTGTATAGCTCAGTGGCATTAAGTCTATTCATATCGTTGTACAAGCATCACTCTCATCCATTTCCAGAACTTTTTTACCTTCCCAAACCAAAACTCTGGACCCATTAAATAGTAACTTCCCCTTCCTCCGGCCCCTGACAACCACCATTCTACTTTCTTTCTCTGATATGGTTTGAATGTTTTGTCCCCTCCAAATCTCATTTTGAAATGTGACCTCCAATGTTGGAGGTGGGGCCTGGTGGGGAGTGTTTTGGTCATGGAGGTGAATCCCTCATGAATAGCTTAGTGCTGTCCTATGAGTTCATGTGAGATCCAGTTGTTTAAAGAGGCTGGTACCTCCTTGCCCTCTGTCTTGCTCCTTCTCTGTTGCTGGTTCTCACTGTGTCATATGCAGGCTCCTCTTTTGCCTTCTACCATGATTGTAAGTTTTCTGAGGTCTCACCAGAAGCAGATGCCAGCATCATACTGCTTGTACAGCCTGCAGAACTGTGAGCCAAATAAACCTCTTTTCTTTATAAATTACCAAGTTTCAGGTATTTTTTAATAGCAACACGAAGTAATACAGTTTCTATGAATTTGACTATTCTAGATACCTCAGATAAGTGGAGTCATATAACACCTGTATTTGTCCTTCTGTGTCTGCCTTACTTCACTTAGTGTAATGTCTTCACCACGGTTTATCCATGTCGCAGTATGTGACAGAATGTCCTCCCTTTTTAAGGCTGAATAATATTCCATTGTATGTATAGACCACATTTTGTTTATCCATTCATATGGCGATGGACATCTGGGTTGCTTCTACCTTTTGCCTGCTATGACATTGGTGTAAAGCCAGGCATGGTGGCTCATGCCTGTAATCCCTGCACTTTGGGAGGCCAAGGTGGGTGGACCATTTGAGGTCAGGAGTTTGAAACCAGCTTGGCCAAGATGGTGGAACCCCATCTCTACTAAAAATACAAAAGTTAGCCAGATGTGATAATCCCAGCAGGCACCTGTAATTCCAGCTACTTGGGAGGCTAAGGCAGGAGGATTGCTTGAACCCAGGAGGCAGAGGTTGCAGTGAGCTGAGATCATGCCACTGCACTCTAGCCTGGGTGACAGAGCGAGACTCCATCTAAAAAAAAAAACAACAACAACCAAACAACAACAACAAACAAACAAAAAAAGACATTGGTATACAAATAACTGTTTAAGTTCCTGCTTTCAATTTTTAAAAATTATTGTTTTTTACAGAGACAGGGTATTGCCATGTTGACCAGGCTGGTCTCAAACTCCTGGTCTCCAGTGACCCTCCCACCTCAGCTTCCCAAAGACTACAGGTGTACACCACCATGCCAGGCTTCAAGTTTTTGTGTGTATATATTCAGAAGTGGAATTGCTGGAGCAAATGTAATTCTACGTTTAATATTTTAAGGAACTGCCATTCAGTTTTCCATATGGCTGCACTATCTTGCATTCCCACCAGCAATGCACGAGCGTTCCAATTCCTCCACATTCTCACCAACACTTTTATTTTCAATGAGTGTTCTTTAAAATACTACTCATCCTAATGGGTGTGACTGCCATCTTGATTTTGAATATACAGTTCCTTTGTTTTTCTTCATGGTTTTACTAAACGTATGTACCTCTAAATAATACATTGTTTAATTTCACAAGGTTTTGAACTTTATTCCAAGAAATCAATTCAACAAATATTCACAGAGCGTCTGCTGGGTGAAGGCAATGACAATGAATAGGATGGGTGAGCAAGGCCCTGCCCCATGGGGCTGGTGGCCTGGTGAGGACAGTGCTGTTCCTATAGGGAATTACAAGAAGGATGCAGTTCCAAAGGGGGTTTGCAGGAGAGAGTTGCTGGGGGTTTAACTTAGTTCATGGGGTCAGATAGGGCTTTGGAAGGAGTCACGTTAAGTTTGATGATAAATAATAGGAACTGAATAGAGAACAGCTGTGTGGAGGGGAGGCCGGATCAAGAGGTTTTTGTTTTTGGAAGAGGAAATCTGCCCACAAGAACAAGAGAAGGGGAGCGTGAACAAGCCCTTGTGTTGCCCAGGCCCAGAGGCGACAGGCAGGTGGAATGTAAGTCACTGACCACATGGCCGGCCGCCACCTTTCTGCAGGGCTCTTAGAGGGATTGGAGAGGTCGCCTCCCAGAGACACTGATTCTAAGGCCTCAAGGGACAAGCTCCCTGTGCTCATTCACCCCATAGCCTCACTCCCACAGGCCTATGCAGGAACATGGAAAAGCCAGATTCTGAATGAAGCAACTCTGTTCAAGTGGGCTGAGGGGCTGGGAGGAGGGAAGGGGAAGTGGGGTGCTGACAGCAGCAGAGTCTCTCACAACCACCCAAAGCACAATTGAGAACTGCTCCACCACCCCCTGCAATCTGCCACGGCGGTCACCTTCTGCCTGGTTCTATTGATAGGCCCAGGGCATGTGTTCTACTTCAGGATAAAAACAAATTGGAGATCATTAAAACATCCTCTGTGTGCTGTGAATGGGGAGCTGTGGGGTAGGAAGGGCTCATGCCTTGGGGTTCCTGCCCTTTTCCTTTAACCTTTTCTCTTCTATGACCAATGTGCTGGGAATCCCACAGGGAGTCCAAGGTTCAGGCCCTTTTCCACTGTGCTCCAGAGCCTGTGGGGTGGAGCTGGAAGGGAAGGGAAGGTCAAAGGTGTCTCGGTGTTGAGGAACCCAGGACACCTGGAATGGCCAGGACTTCTAAGGGAAAGCCGCACACCGCAGCATCACTTGGTGGAGCTGATTTTGCAGCCAGACTTAAGTTCAAATCCTAGCTCTTCCACCTCTCAACTGTGTGACCTCTGGAAAGTTACTTAACTTCTCTGAGTCTTTCTTGCCTCAACTATAAAGTGGAGATCACAGTCCTCTGCAGATCAATTTGAAAATGAAAAGAGGTAATATATGTAAAGTTGTTGGTATAGTGCCTGGCATGTAGGTTAGCACTTAATAAAAAATATTTATGTTCATATAATGGGATACCACTCAATAATAAGAAGGACTGAATTGCTGATACATGCAGCAATGTCGATGAATCTCAAAATAATTATGATGAGTGAAAGAAGCCAGACCAAGAAAGAATACAAACTGCCTGATTCCATTCATATGAAACTCTAGAAAATGCAAACAGCTCTAGTGACAGAAGGCAGATCAGTGGTTACCCGAGGATGGGAACACAGGCCTGGGGAGGATTACAAAGGGTCCTTGGGAAGCTCTTGGGGGTGACGGCTATGTTCATTATCTCGATTGTATTGATGGTTTCATGGTGCGTACATGTGTCAAAACTTATAAAATAGAAGACCTTAAATATGTGTGGTTTATTGTATGCAAATAATATCTCAATAAAAATTTTAAAATCAACTAAAATGTAATGATGAGGGTGATGATCTTATTGAGTTGTCCTTCCCCACCCCCACCCTCTCCACCCTCCGTACCCAGAGGATCACCATTCTCAAAAATCACAGAACTTCTCCTGAGTGGAGGGGCTGACATAGAAACATCAGCAGAACTCCTCCAGATTCCTAGCAGGGAAGAGATTTGGAGAGAAAGAGCCCCAGGGAAAGTTCTATGGGTTTCTGGGATGTGACCCCCTTTCACTGAGAACTACAGGCAGGAGGAGCCATGAGCAGGGGCTCCTGCACCTCTTGGGAGCTCACCCATCAGTTTATGGGCAAGAGGCTGTTGGGGGGATGCAAGTGGGGCACTTCTACCCTTTAACTCGGGGTCATGGACCCACAGATGACAGCTCTGGAAGCTCCCTGGGCCCCTTTAGAGCTGTGCTTCTCTTCTGTTGTTTGTGCTCTACATATTTGTTAGATAATAGTGGCCCACTATGGCCATGGTTCTAAGTCTGGGGCTGAACCTCAGAAAGTGGAGGATCATTGGTTCTCATCAGAAAAGGTGTGAAGTGGAAGGACGTGATTCAATTCAAGTGCCACACCCCCAACCTTTTTTTGAGAGTGTCTCACTCTGTTGCCCAGGCTAGCATGCAGTGGCATGATCATAGCTCACTGCATCCTCTATCTCCCCGACTTACATGATCCTCCCCGCTCAGCCTCCAGAGTAGCTGGGACTACAGGTGTACACCATGATGCCTGGCTAATTTTTTTGATTTTTAGTAGAGATGGGGTCTCCCTATGTTGCCCAGGCTGATCTTGAACTCCTGAGCTCAAGTAATCCTCTTGCCTCAGCCTCCCAAAGTGCTGGAATTATAGGCATGAGCCAACGTGCCCAACCAAGCCCATTTTTGCTCAGGGGAGACAGAGCCCCAAGGAAGCCAGGAGACTCTAAGTCTCATGGCCATCTCCTCCTGCTCCTCCCCTGTGTAGAGGCTGAGCTGCCCAATGTCAGGCACTGTGCTTGGACACTGGCTTCTCCCTGGCAGACATCTGCGTGGAGCTCCTCTCTCCCGGCTGCCTAGCTCGTGCTTGCCACTCTCCTTGCCAGGCTGGAAGGGCAGCCAGCCCATTGTCAGGTTCAAGGACTCAGGGACGCAATATCCCTGGGGTGCTTCCTGAGCCTGTGTGTGTTCAGAAGGGGTGGTGGGACACAAGGAGACCTGGAAGACTCTGCCATGGCCAAGTTCCTAATCCCTGCAGGTGGCGGGATCCTGGTCTTAGAACTATGCCAGGCCCCAGGCAGAGGGTGCAGACTGGTGAGAGGCCCGCAGGCTGATACAGACTGATTGGGTCTGGTCCACACATGTGTTTGTTTTTGTTCTAATTGCTTTAGCTGCTGCATTAATCAGGGTTCACCAGAGAAACAGAAGCACTGGAATAGGTAGATGGATGGATGAGAGAGGATTTGCTAGGTGAATTGACTCCTGCAATGGTGGAGGCTGAGTGCCACGCACCATAGGCCATCTGCAAGCTGGAGAATCAGAGAAGCTGGGAGTATGGCTCAATCCAAGTCAGAAGGCCCCAGAACCAAAGAAGCCAATGGTGTCACTCTCAGCCCAAGGCTGAAGGCCTGAGAGACCCTGGAAAGCTGCTGGGGTAAGTCCCAGAGTTCAGAGGCCAAGGACTGGGAGTTCTGATGTCCAAAGGCAGGAGGAAAAAGGCACGCCACTCTGGAAGAGAGAGAGAGCATTCACCCTTCTTCTGCCTTTTTGTTTCTTCCAGGTCCCCTGCTGATTGGGTGATGGCCACCCACGTTGAGGGAGGATCTTCCCTCTCAGTCCACCCACTCACACGCCAGTCTCCTCTGGAAGCACCCTTGCAGATACACCCAGAAACAGTGCTTCACCAGCCATCCAGGCATCCCTCAATCCAGGCAAGTTAACACCTAAAATTAACCATCACAGTTACTAATATGGGAAAATTGGAGGACTACTAATAAAACTCAGATTCTCAGCTTCTTTTGATGATTGGAAGATCTGACATCACTGTGCCCAGCTAGCTGAATGATAATAGTTGTCTGGGACAGAGTAACAGCTGCCCTGCTAATAGTAAGAATAATAAGGATGACAAGAGCTAACACAGAGCTCAGACAATGTGCCAGGCACGCTTCCCATGCAATTCACTTACCATGGCCTCCTAGGGCCCACTTCCCCTATTTAGGTCTCAGCCTGAGCCTGTAGGAGGCTCCAGGTGTTAACCCTTGCTCCAGAGGAGGAGGGAAACCCTGGAAGGGGAAGCCCTGGGCCCCAGTCAGCCTCCAGGCTGCTGCCCTGGGCTGAAAGAGCAGATCTTCTTAACGCTGTGCCAGCCACTTTTCAGATTCATTTTAATCTTCTCACTTCTGCCACTTGGCAGCTGCCATCATACTTTACTCCCTGCCTGCTACCACTGCTTCTTGTCACTTCCAAACACCATCAGCCTTTTGATCTGGCTTTCAGGAGGGCAGAGGAGCTCCTTGATTGGGGCCAGACCCATTCACCACATGTGACGGCTTAGGCAGGACTTCGGGAGTGAGCTTGCTGGACTCATGTTGGTTTATTACTTAGGGACCTTGGGAGGCAAATCCTTGATGAAATCTCATGCGGGGATGTAGCCTTGATTTTAGCAAGGCATTTGATGAAATGTCTCAAGTCCTACAGCCAAGCTGAATAAATGTGAGCCAGCTGGTAGCAGGATTTAAGTGGATTTTTAACTAGTAGAAAAACTGCACCCAGACAGATGAGATGATTGGATGCATGTCAGTGTGGCTCACTGGAAAGAAAACAGAAAATATGTTTGCCACGTGTTTAGAGGACAAGCCTTGAAACACCGAGGTGGAGAGTCTCCATCCAGAGACAGCAAAACCCCTTTGAAATACCAGCTCTGCCACACACTGGCTGTGTGGTTGCGGGCAGACTTCCTCTGCCTCCCGGGGGTTGGTTTCCTCATCTATTCAATAAGGATAATAGCAATACGATCTCCAAGGGGTGCTGTGAGGATTAAATGGTTTAATGCCCAGGGGACCTTCAGAAAGTGTCACTGTGGTAGTGATCACGTTCACAATGACAGGTTGCTATGGAGAAACTGAGACAGAGAACTAGGCTCTGAGTCCTAATTTTTCCCCCAGTTAAGTTAGGTAGATATGTGCCTACCTCACTGTTGCAAACACTAAACTCTGTTGTCCACCTGGGACAAAGGTAAATGGGAAGGATACTCACAGGTCTTAGCCCCTGTTGGGCACACAGGGACATGACTGAAGCCCAGATGTCACTGGGTGAGAGGGAGAAAACAGATTGTAACTAAGAATAAAATGGAAGCTAGGAGAAAGGGGACAGAGAAAGATGAGTGAGAGCAAGGGAGAGAGACACAGAGGGGCCCCCTAACTTTGTCCGCTCATGGGGGAAGGTCTTACGGTTTGACAAACGATGACCTTGAGAGGGCTTGGCAGTGTCTCAGAAGGGATTGATGAGGTTCTACTTTTTTTTTTTTTACTTTTTAATTTTATTATTATTTTTTGAGATAGAGTCTTGCTCTGTCACCCAGGCTGGAGTGCAGTGGCATGAACATGGCCCACTGCAGCCTGGGACTCCCGCTTTCAAGTAATTCTCCCACCTCAGCCTCCTGAGTAGCTAGGACCACAGACACGCACCACTGCTAATTTTTTGTATTTTTAGTAGAGGCAGGGTTTCACTATGTCCAGGCTGGTCTCAAACTCCTGGCCTCAAGCGATCCACCTACCTCAGCCTCCCAAAGTTCTAGGATTATAGGCATGAGCCACCGCACCTGGCCCTGATGAGGTTCTAGGAGGGGTGGGTGACTGTGATAAGGTGGGTGCACAGCTGCCAGGGCTGCCTCTCACTCGGATCCACTGGAAAGTAGGACTTGAACACCGGATGAATTCCCAAATCCCCAAACTTGGAGGGTGCCTCTGCTGCTGAGCTGCCTGTTTTCTGAGGGGGCCAGCAGCCCATTTCTCTGCTGAGTGTCTGGGAGAACTGTGCTCATGTTTGAACTCATACATGAAGAAGGACAGGTGGACTATTTTGCCTGAAAAGAGAAGTGTTCTTTTTCTCAGAAGCCCCAACCTTCAAGCACCTGGCACATAGTAGACGCTGGTTAAATGTTGAGCAAAGGAAAGAATGAAGCCTAGAATGGAAGTAGGGGTGGCAGCTCAAAAGGGACTTGAAAGCCTGTTCTGATGGTGGTGAGGACAAGCGGGGTTCTCACGCAGCCAGCATCATCCCCTGCAGAGATCACAAAACCCTTTTTTATAGCTATCAAACTATGATGTTCACATGTTTTTTTTTTAAAATCACAGGGTCCTGAAAGGCTTAAAACGAAAGCAGTAGATCCTTGCACTTTCCTGTCCTACTTCCCAGAGATGACACTATTATGACTCCCCTCAAACATATTTATTGCTGCGTCATTTGTAACAGAAGAGGGTTGAAATGAACTAGATGTCCACAAAAAGGTCAATGAATGCTATGCAGCAGCAGAAAAACAATAAAGAATCTATGTACCGATGGAAAGTGATCTCACTATATATTACCTGCAAAAAGCAAGATGCAGACGAGTTTGCAAAGTGTGCTACCAGTCATGGGAAAAAGGGGGAGAAAGATATGTGTGTTGCCATTTGTATAGAGCACTCATGGGAGGCCCAGGCGGCAATGTCACACTTGAGCAACGAGCTGAAAGAGTGCAGAGTGACTCATGTCTATGGGCGTATGCATTATATACATTAAATCATTTTGTTAGATTATGAAAGAAACCCATCATATCTGTTGCCTCCCAGGCGAGAGAACTGGCTAGGAAACAAGGGTAGGAGGGACTCATTATACTCTTCTATGTATTTCGGATTACTTAATTATAAAAAATAAAAAGGTTAATAATCTCATTGTGGCCAATAGATTTTAGGGTGGCCCCAAAGATCCCCCTATCCTGGTGTTTACACTCCTTGGGTGAGGTCAGGATTTATATGGTAAAGGTGATGGAATAGTACTTCCCTGATGTTTTACACAACTCCATCTTAGCAGAAGCAGACTGGAGGCTCCCTGGGGTGAGGGCAGGAGGCAGCATGACAAAGTCAGTAGCCATGTTGGAGAAGCAAGGAACTGGGGGTGGCCTTCAGGGACTTTGGGTGGCCCGTAGGCCTGAGGGAGGCCTCTAGCCCACCGCCAGGAAAAAGCAGGTACCCTCAGTCAAGCAACTACTAAAAAATGAATTTTCAGCTGGACATGGTGGCACACACCTGTAGTCCCAGCTACTCGGGAGGCTGAGACAGGAGGATTGCTTGAGCCCAGGAGTTTGAATTCAGCTTGTGCATCATTGTGAGACACCATCTCTAAAAAATATTAGGTTGGTGCAAAAGTAATCGCATTTTTTGCCGTTATTATTTAATATTCAAAAAAAGAATTCTGCCAACAATCTGCTGAGCTTGGAATACGATTCTTCCTCAGCTGAGCTCCAGATCAGAAAGTGGCCAGGCTGATGCCTTGATTTCAGCTGGGGGAGGACCTGCGGAGGACCTCACTTGAGCTGTGCCCAGACTCCTGACCCACAGAAACTGTGAGACGCTAATTATGTGCTGTAAGTTGCTAAGTTTGTGGTGATTTGTTATGTAGTAATAGAAAACAGATACCCTCTTTGAGCTGTTTCTTCTGGTATTTACCTCTGTATTTCTAAATAATGTGTTTATATTGCTTTTCTTGATTTATCACGTTTAGAAATTATCTACTGCTGTCCTGTTATGGCAGAGAAGGGTGTGTTCTCTTCCCATCCCATTCCCTCTGCTACTGAGCAAAAGAGGCTAGCTGCCCGAGGTGCTAGAAACCAATGCTATGACACCAGGTTTTTTTTGTTTGTTTGTTTTGTTTTGTTTTGTTGTTTGAGATGGAGTCTCACTCTGTCACCCAGGCTGGAGTGCAGTGGCACGATCTTGGCTCACCACAACCTCCGCCACCTGGGTTCAAGCGATTCTCCTGCCTCAGCCTCCCAAGTAGCTGGGATTACAGGTGCCTGCCACCGGGCCCAGCTAAGTTTTGAGGTTTTAGTAGAGACGGGGTTTCACCATCTTGGCCAGGCTGGTCTTGAACTTGTGACCTCATGATCCACCCGCCTTGGCCTCCCAAAGTGCTGGGATTACAGGCGTGAGCCACTGCGCCCGGCCGACACCAGGTTTTTAAGAAAAGCTTCTTACAGCAAGTTGACTAACAAGGAGACAGGAGTCCAGCTCAAATCTGTCTCCCTATGCTGGCTCTAAGGCAGGAATTTTATTCAAAAAGGTGTATGGGTGGGTTCTGGGATTAGCAGTGATTTGATGGAAGGAAAGGGGAGGTCTAGAAAGGCATGCACGCTTTAGATAAGCCATCTCCCCTTTCCTCCATTCCACCAATCCCTACCTATGCAAGGAAGGGGGAGGTCCTTGGGTGTGCACAGTTATCTCTTCCTGCTACTTCGTGGATTGCATGTGTGAATTTGGGGAGCGTTGCTATGAAACATAGTGAATGTTCAGGCTGTGACATCAGCAAGCTCATTCTGTGCAAACTCCAGTTGGCCGTATTAGTGCCCATCAATTTCAGCCAGTTTTTTTTTTTTTTTCTTTTTTTTGAGATGGAGTCTCGCTCTGTCACCCAGGCTGGAGTGCAGTGGTGTGATCTCGGCTCACTGCAACCTCCACCTTCTGGGTTCACGCCATTCTCCTGCCTCAGCCTCCCGAGTAGCTGGGACTACAGGCGCCCACCACCACTCCTGGGTAATTTTTTATATTTTTAGTAGAGACGGGGTTTCACTGTGTTAGCCAGGATGGTCTTGATCTCCTGACCTCGTGATCCACCCGCCTCGGCCTCCCAAAGTGCTGGGATTACAGGCATGAGCCACTGCGCCCAGCCAATTTCAGCCAGTTTTTTTAATCTCACAAGTAGGGGGAGTTTCAGCGTCTCAGCAAGTTGTTTCTTTTTCTTACCTGCCATCCTGCAAACTCAAGAATTTCTGCTGGTCATTGGTTTCCTTAACTCTTTGGGCCTGGTTTCACCTCCTCCTACGCTCCCAGGATAGTGACTTTAATATCTTAATTAAATCAGTAGTCAGTGTTTAACTATTACAACAGTGTACATATTGTTTATGACAGAGCAATTCCTGTGCAGTGATTATATTTCCTTTCTTCCTTTGTTTGTCCTAGGATTAAGAATGGCCTCATCTAAAAGTTTATTTAGTGTTCTCTGAACCTTGCCTTATCTTTTCCCCAGTTGCTCCTGTAGCTTGGGCAAATGCCTGATGATCTTGTTTCTGCATGGCAAGACCTGTCGCTTCATGTACTGATCCCATATTCCCCCTGTGATCTTCCTCCTGCCCCAAACTGAGCAGCTTGCATTTGAGTTCTGAGCACAGCTGTCATCCGAGGTCTTGAATTCAATGCTCTGCTGAATCCCACCTCCTGTTTCCTGAGCCCCATCTCTTCTTTCTTGGTTTACAGCCTAGTTTTAGTGGTGTACAATCTCCAGCAGTTTCTTAAGACAGAGTGCATGGGAGGCTGGTCGATTTGTTGTGAGTCCCTGCACATCTGAAAAACATCTTTATTCTATCCTTGCACTTACTGATAGTGGCTGAATGTAGAATCTCAGGTTGAAAATAACGTTCCCTCCCTTTAGAATGTTGAAGGCATTGTTCCCTAGACTCCTGGCTTCTAGAAAAGCCAATGCCATTCTGATTCCTGGTTTTCTTCTTGTGCCCTATTTCAGCTCCCCAGAAGCTTTTTGGATCTTTTCTTCATCCTTGGTGTTCTGAAATTTCAAAATTGGTGTAGGTCTTTTTAAAATTTGTAGTGATGGGCCCAATTTCCAATCTGGAAATTCATTTCTGTTCTAGGACTATTTTATATACATATTTAAAAATTATTTCCTCCTGTGATGGCTAATTTTAGGTGTCAACTTGACTGGATTATGGAATACCTAGAAGTCTGGTAAGGTATTATTTTGGGGTGTGTCTGTGAGGGTGCTTCCAGAGATTAGCTTGGGAGTCTGAGTGGACGAAGTGGGAGATCTGCCCTTGATGTGGGTAGGCACCACTCAGTCTGCTGTGGGTCAGAGAGAACAAAAACAGACAGAAGGTGAGTGTGTGGAGCTGCCTTCTGGAGCTGGGATGCACTCTTCCTCTTCTGTCCTTGGACAACACTTCCAGGCTCCCTGGCCTTTGGACTCCAGGACTTAAACCAGCACCTCCACTCCCCCACCTCACCCTGGTTCTCAGGCCTTTGGCCTCAGGCTGAGAGTTGCACCATCAGCCTCCCTGGTTCTGAGGCCTTTGGACTTGGACTGAACCACGATACCAACATCCCAGGGTCTCCAGCTTGCGGATGGCCTGAGTGGGATTTCTCAGCCTCTGTAACTGCATGAGCCAATCCCTCTAATAAATCCCCTCTCCTGTCTCTCTCTCTCTCTCTCTCTTTATCCTATTGGGTATCTCTGGAGAATCCTAACTAATATACCTCTCATCTGTTTTCTTTTTCCTCCTTGTCTTTTAGTTCTCTTTTCTGGCAGATTTCCTTTTATTGAATGTTTATTTCAATGGTTATGATTTTTTAAATGTCCAAGAGTTCTTTCTTGTTCTCAGATTATTTCCTTTTCTGTAAAGGGCAAAGCTTTCTTTTATTTCTCTGAACAGTTCTCACTAGAGTTCCTTTTGAAATTTTCTTCTGGTCCTTGCACTGCTTCTGACATCCTTTGACACTCACCCCACTCCTGGCTTTGTTTGGATCTTTTTCATGTTGGAGTCCTTCCTCAAATATTTGTTGATCCTTGACTGTTCATATTTCAGAGAGGCCCTCAAAGCTGATCGGCAGCTCTGAATGCTTTCACAGAGCATGAGAACTCATGGGGCTTTTGACACTGGAAATTGCCAAATGTTAGTAGGTAGAGATCTTGCTCTCTGGGGCGTTCACCTACTCAAGAGAAGAACCCTGTAATCTCTTGCCCTGGGGAAGGTTGCAGGCAGCAGGAGCAAAACACGGGACTTTGGAATCCACTGTGAAATGTTTAGACTACTGTCCTGAACCTAACCTCCCCCCGCCCCCTGCCTCACTTTGCCAGGTGTCCTGAAGTTGGGAGTTCTCTCATCTGCTTCACTGCAGAGCAAGCCGTGGGCTCTTGTCTGGGGCATGGGGAAGAGAGATGCAAGCTGCCCAGCTGTGTGGGTGAAGGAGGGAACTGGCGGGGGGGTGTCTAGCTCAGCATACAGAATTGCACTTTAGCCCCTCTTCTCAGCCCTACACTTGACCTTAACTTCCCCCTGTACCTGTTGCCTCTGAGTTCCAAGCCCCTCCTTGGGCTTTCTGTGGGGCAAATCAGTTCCTGCTCATCTGGATCCCCCTTTCTAGGCACTTTAGCTCATATCTTCCTCTGCTAATGTTCCTCCTCCCTCTGCTTTCTGTCTTCCAGACTTTGCTGAAATCTCTATAATTGCCTCCTCTTACATTCTCCTAGTCTTTGGGTTTATGCTGTCAAAAATGCATTTGCTTTCATTTTAGTGGGGTTTTGGGAGAAAGGATAAACACAGGTAGTTACGTTTAGTAGGAATCTGTGTTTCTTATTGCTCCAGGCTTCTCCCCCATCTCCTGATGGCTCTGAGCAGAGGTTGTGCTCTTAAGGGTTAAGACAGCTGCAGTCCCAATCCTGGAGCCCTCCCGGCACTCCTGATGGTGTTGTGTCTTTGGAGTCTCATATCAGAAAGTTAGAACTTGTAAGAAATAAAACACCACCTCTTCTCCCACCCTGGGGACATTGTGACAGTGATGAGCAGAAGCCAGCAGCCTTTGCCTGTCAGGGCCACTTCCAGAGTGATGATGAGGCTGCTCATGAGTGTCTTTGCCTGGACTTGGTCTGGCCTGGAGGAACCAGACAACAGAAGCTGCCCCCAGAGCAGGTGACATGACGGATCCTGGCATCTGATGACAGCAGAGGCTGGGGAGGCAGGGCTGGTGGCCCTCAAACACGCAGCTGTCATGGAGATAGAGGCGCAGACAGCAGGCACTGAGCACTGGGTCAGGCACATATGGCAGCAGATGGGGCTGGCGGGCTGGGCTGACAGGCAGTTGGCCTCGCGGAAGTCCAGCCTCTGGTGGGGGGATTCAGCTCAAGGACTGGGGTCTGAGTCTGGGGGAAGGGAGGATGCCCATTCCCAGGGGATGACTCAAGGCAGGGATACATAGACAGATTGTGGTAATACAGGGGACAATTCTGGGGACTGAGATACAGGAGCAAAGAGGGACAAAGGGACAGGCAAGGGCCTTGGCATCTGAGCTGGAATAACAGCAAGTTGGAAAAGCAGGCCCCCGGGAGGGCCTTGGGACAGGGTTGATTCCCAAGCTCGGGTCAGAGCACCGTCCTGGAGCTGATGTCAGGTGGACACAAGGACATGGAGGCGGGTGATTGCAGAGGAGCCTCCTCCTCCACCAGTACCTGAACTTGAGCAAACTTGCATCTCACAGGGTGGAGGCTGGGGAGAGAACCAACTATGACATCTCACTAACTCTGGCAGGGTGGGCAGGAGGAAGATGCACCACCCTGTGCTGGGAACCTGATCTGTTTGGTGGTGACGCTGATGGTGTCGATGAGTTGAACTCAGGGAATGAGTTTTGTGGAGCAGGCACTTTACAGGCATAACCTCATGGAGTCCTCACATCAGGTCTCTGAGATGGTCTTGTCACCCCTGTTATACAGATGAGGAACCAGGGCTCAGAGAGGTTGAGCAGGTTGATCAGGATCACACAGCTCGAGAGTGGCAGAGCCAGGATTCAAACTGTGTCTGCCTGAAGCCAAACACAATCTCTTCTCGATCCACTTTACTGCCTCCCGAGAAGTGACTCACGTTCCTTCAAGATATGAGCAGGGTCCAAACCTTGGTTTCAGGATCTCCTGTAGAAAGACCCAAAGCAGCCGTTAACATTGCACAAGGCCTGGGATCAGCTGGGGGAGGGGTCCACTTCTCTGATGACACAGCTCACCCTGGAACCCTGGTGTGTCACAGGCAGCTAAGCACAAGTGCTGTGTCTGCCTGAGGATGTGGGAAGTGCCCTCAGTTCTTTGGAGCCAGTAACAGGATTTAATTTGCAAGCCTGTCCTGAGCTCTCTTGCGTCTGCCGAGTTAATTGGGTCTTGGGCATCTGTGAGCTGTGATGAAGTGTCTACATCGTGCAGGGAAGGCTGGTCCTGCCAGTCCTGTTAATATGTCCAAAGCCCCAAACTCAAATCTATCTCCAGCTGTTGCCTGGAACCACGTCTGCTCAGGCTGTGAGGGAAATTCAGATAGAGGGAAAAGCTATATAGGGAGATGATGATATAGATGTAGAAATAGAAATAGATATATGGATGTAGATGTAGGTATAGAAACAGAGACAGATATAGACATAGACATAGATATAGATATAGATACAGAAATGTGGATGTAGATGTAGTTATAGATATACATGTAGACATAGATACAGATATAGATACATAGAGATCACCAAAGACAGCCCAGGCAAAGGCACACTTTGAAAATAGCTACCACTTACTGAGCTCACTTAATCCTCATAGCAACCCTGTGAAGTAGGAGTTTGTTTTGTTTTGTTTGTTTGTTTGTTTTGGTAGAGAGGGGATCTCACTATATTGCCCAGGCTGGTCTCGAACTCCTGGCCTCAAGTGATCCTCCACCTTGGTTCTGCAAATTGTTGGGACTACAGGTGTGAGCCACCATGCCTGGCCAGGTAGGAATTTTTATCCCCTTTTCTTCGGATGAGGAGCTACGGCTCCCAGAGGTTGAGTGACTTACTGAAATCACATAGGGATGAAGATTAGGAGGGGGGGTCCTGATGGGTCCAGATGTCCTTGCGTGAAAGCCTCAGCCACGGCCGTAGCCTCCACTGCCCCCAGACCTCCTGCTGTCAGCCCTGCCAGCCTTGCTTAGCCTTCCAGGGCAGCAGAGAGGCAGCCCAGACTCCATCCTCTATGTAGCCTCAGTGAGGGAAGAAATGAGGTCCAAGGGGGAATGAGCAAAGTGAACCATGGGGAAAAGAGTTCCCAAAGGAGAGCACGTCCTAGCCCAGTTCTGCTTGTCACCCCTGCCCCTGTCTCCCCTTATTCTTTGGTAATAGAACTCTGATTTTCAGCCAGGTGCAGGAGCATTCAAGATAATGGCATTTCCCAGCCTTGCTAGCTGTGTTGTGACTGAGTTTTGGTTGATGGGGTGTAAGTTGCAGTAGTTTGGGCAAATTCTAGGAAGTATCCTTAAAGGGAAGTGTCTTTTTCTGCCTCTTTGTTCTTTTAGCTGCCTGGCATGTGGATATGATGGCTGGTGCTCAAGCAGCCGTGGAAGCCATGTGTTGAGGAGGGCAGAGCAATAAGAGAGGAGGGGCCTGGGCCCCTGGTGATGGTGCGGTGGCCATACTGCTCCAGGCTGCCTGTTTGCATGAGAGACAAATACAATCCTACCTTGCTGAAGCCTCTGGGTTTTCTGGCACAGTCAACCAAACGAATCCTAATATTCAAACTGTTTAATTCCTTTCACTAAAGCTGA
This sequence comes from Homo sapiens, assembly GCF_000001405.40. NCBI lineage: Eukaryota > Metazoa > Chordata > Mammalia > Primates > Hominidae > Homo > Homo sapiens. The sequence continues at coordinate 226,484,985 of NC_000001.11, forward strand.
CATCCCTCGTTACAGAGGTCCCATTGTTATCCTCTAAATTTCAAATTTGTTTGTTTCAGATCTTCTCTACTTTGTAGGCTAAATGAATGTGTTCAAGGGGGGTAGAGTTGGGTAGGAAGCAGAAAAACGGTTAGTTTTAATTTGGGAAAGCCAGAGTGTGCTGTGAAGATGCAGGAGGGGCAGCCAGAAGCAAGGGGTGCTCAAACTCCATCAGCCACTGCCTGATCCCTGGTATACCTATGGCTGCCTCTCAGTGGCCAATCTGCTGGCCCTCTAAAACCTGCCCTGCCTCTGGGCAGGAAGCCTGTGAGGAAGCCGGCCAGCTTAGGACTGAGCTCCGTGCTCCTTGCTGCTGTCCCTTAGCTGGTGCCTGAGCTGTGCCTGGCACAGGGTGTGTGTTTGGTGGTTATCTGTTGAATAAATGAGTGAATGTGAGGCAGCCAAGTAGAAAGGTGTCACTGGAGAACCTCCAACTGGCCTGTGCACTGGGAGGAGTGCACACTGTGATGGAGCCTCGGGAAGTTCCGCTATTTGCAGAGGGAGGAGCCTGGCCTCTCCTGTTGTAGGGTGGAACCTGGGATTCAATCTGTGGGGCGGGAAGCCCATACTAGCGGGACTTTCGCTACATGCATACAATGTGTGGTGAGCAAATCAGGGTAACTGGGATAGCCATTGCTTCAAAATTTTAACTTTTCTTTGTTAGGAACATTTGAATGATTTTCTTCTAGCTATTTTGAAGAAGATAATAAATTATTATTAATTATAGCCACCCTCCTGTACTATCAAACACTAGATCTTATTCATTTGATCTAACTGTATCTTTGTGCCCTTTAATCAACTTCTCTTCAACCCCACCTTCCCCCTACCCTTCCCAGCCTCTGGTAACCACCAGTCTACTCTCTATCTCCACGAGATCCACGTTTTTAGCTCCCACATGAGTGAGAACATGTGATACCCGTCTTTCTGTACCTGGTTTATTTTACTTAACATAATGACCTCCGGTTCCATTCATGTTGCTGCCAATGACAGAATTTCACTCTTTTTTATGGCCGAAAAATATGCCATTGTGAATAGGTACCACATTGTCTTTATCCATTCATCTGTTGATGGACACTTAGGTTGATTCCGTGTCCTGGCTATTGTGAATAGTGCTGGCAAAAACATGAGGATGCAGTTATCTTTTTGATATATTAATTTCCTTTCTTTTGAATTTATACCCAGCAGTAGGATTGCTGGATCATATGGTAGTTCTATTTTCAGTTTTTTGAGGAACCTCCATGCTGTTTTCCACAGTGTCTGTACCAATTTAACATTCCTACCGACAGTGTGTAAGACTTCCCCTTTCTCTGCATCCCTGCCAGCATCTGTTGTTTTTTGTCTTTTAGATAAAAGCCATTTTAACTGGGGTGAGATGATATCTCATTGTGGTTTTGATTTACATTTCTCTGATCATTAGTGATGTTGAGCATTCTTTCATGTACTTGTGGTTCATTTGTATGTTTCAAGAAATGTCTATTCAGATCTTTTGCACATTTAAAAATCAGATTATTTGTGGTTTTTTGCTGTTAAGTTGTTTGAGTTCCTTATATTTTCTGGTTATTAATCTCTTGTTGGATGGATAGTTTGCAAATATTTTCTCCCATTCTGTAGTTTGTCTCTTCACTTTGTTGATTGTTTCCCTTGCTGTGCAGAAGCTTTTTAGTTTGATATCATCTCATTTGTCTATTTTTGCTTTCCTTGCCTGTGCTTTTTGAAGTCTTACCCAAAATATCTTTGCCCAGACCAGTGTCCTGAAGTGTTTCCCCAAAGTTTTCTTCTAGTAGTTTTATAGCTTCAGGTCTTAAATTTACGTCTTTAATCGATTTTGATTTGATTTTTGTATATGGTGAGAGATAGGGGTTTAGTTTTATTATTCTGCATATGGATATTCAGTTTTCCCAGCACCATTTATTAAAGAGACTGTTATTTCCTTAATGTATATTCTTGATGCTTTTGTCAAAAATGAGTTGGCTGTAAATGCATGGATTTATTTCTATTTTCTCTATTCTATTCTATTCCATTCATGTCTGTTTTTATGCCGGGATTAGGCTGTTTTTGTTACTATATCTTTGTAGCATATTTTGAGGTCAGGCAATATGATGCCGCCAGCTTTGTTCTTTTTGCTCAGGATTGCTCAGGCTATTAGGGGGTATTTGTGTTTCTGTGCTTATTTTGGAATTGTTTTTTCTATTTCCATGAAGAATAGCATTGGTATTTTGATTGGGATTGCATTGAATCTGTAGATCACTTTGGGTATTGACATTTAACAATATTAATTCTTCCACTTCATGATCATGGAATCTCTTTCTCTTTTTTTGTGTCCTTTTCAATTTCTTTCATCAGTGTTCTGTCATTTTCCTTATAGAGACCTCTCACTTCTTTGGTTAAATTTATTTCTATGAGCCAGGTGTGGTGGCTCACGCCTGTAATCCCAGCACTTTGAGAGGCCAAGGTCAGCGGATCACTTGAGGCCAGGAGTTGGAGACCAGCCTGGCCAACATGGCAAAACCCTGTCTCGACTAAAAATACAAAAATTAGCCAGGTGTGGTGGCTAACACCTGTAATCCCAGCTACTTGGGAGGCTGAGGCACGAGAATTGCTTGAACCTGGGAGGCAGAGGTTGCAGTGGGCTGAGATCGCACCACTGCACTCCACCCTGAGTGACGGAGTGAGACTCTGCCTCAAAAAATATGTATATATATAGAGAGAGTTCTATGTATTTTATATTTGTTGTAGCTTTTGTAAATGGGGTTACATCTTGACTTTTTTCCAGACTGTTTGCTGTTGGCATATATAAATGCTACTGATTTAATATGTTGACTTGTATCCCATACTGAATTTGTTGATGCACTCTGAAGGTTTTTTGGTGGAGTCTTTAGGTTTTTCTAAATAAAAGATCATATCACCTGTGAACAAGAATAATTTTACTTCTTCCTCTCTGATATGAATCCCCTTTATTTCTTTCTCTTGCCTAATTGCTCTGGCTGGGACTTCCAGTCCCCAGCTCTTTATTCCCCCTTTTCCCCACTTGGGGCCACTGACTGCATTTTCTCTTCTCCCTTGCCTTCCTGTGTTGACTCAGCCCTACTCGGCCCTGCCCTGTGCCCCTTTGCCAACTATTGACCTCAGGCTGAAAGAATTTAAGTAGACCTGTCCCAACATTCTGTAACTCAGTATCGAGCCATTATTGGTGGCAATCAGTCCTAATCTGGGGCCCCACTTCTGACATGTGGGCTTCACCTTGTTTCCAAGACTCAAACCCTCCTCCAGCAGAGTCCCATTTTGGAGCACTGGACTCCTGTCTTGTTCTTGGGACCTGAGTCCCACCAGGGTGAGTGGCCTAGGCTGGGAGGCCTCTGCGATTTGTTCCTTCCTTGTTCCTGGCAGGTCCTACTCCCTTGGGAATGGAGTCCTGCTGCCCCCTGGAAGCCCTGCCTGCCCTGGACTCCCTGGCATCTGGCTCTGTCCTTCTCTTGGGGCCTTTCTAACACCAGTATTTTAACTTAAACCCTTCATTTATTAATGTAGCTGAGTCTTTTCTACATACCAGGAACTTCTGTGGGCACTGGTGATATAGTAGAGAATAAGACAAGGTGGTCCCAGCCCCTGGGGAGCTTATAGACCACAGTGTAGAACTATATTAAACATTATGCTGTATGGTGGTCAGTGCCATGAAAATCCTGAGGGCTGTGTGCATGACCACTCTTCAGGTAGCCTTGGCCAGAACCAGTTCCTCTTCCTTTCTTGCTTGTATTTCTCGAGAATAACTGTAGAAAGTGCTGGGAATGCAACATCCTGAGATAAGGAAGAACTGGCCAGAACAGCCCGGGATCTGTTCCTGTCCTTCCTAGAACAGGATGCCCTACAAAACTTTAACCCAGCAAATCAGGTTGCTGGTGGAGTTTAAATCCAGGTGGTCTGCTTTCTGAGGTCCCTTAGCTGTGGTGCAAGTGGGGACTTGTAGACAAGATTCCATCCACCCCGGGCAACTTTCCTGAGCCTCAGGGGACTGGTTCACCACAAATCCTAGGTTCCTACTGTCCCTTGCTGCCTGTGAGTGATAAAGTTGCTTTATTTAACTTGCTGTGTGAGTGGTCTATTTCACTTGACTCGTGCAAGTGGTAGAAATTGCGGCCCAAAACGTGGTGGGCTGAAGTGGTAACCAGAGCATAGCAAGGCTGCTTTGTATGGTGAGAGTGTTTTATAGGGGAACCTGGGCAGGTCTGAGGGGGTCAGGGAAGGCTTCTCGGAGGAAACGATGTGAAAGTTGAGGTCTGAAGGAAGAGCAGAGGCTCTAGGTGGAAGGGGAGAGTGTTCTCAGGAGAGGTAATGGAATGGGCAAGCTTCTGAGGCAGGAAGGTGGGTGGCAGAAAACCTGAGAGTTTGAGCACAATCAATGAGAGGAAGAAGGGTGCATGGTAAGGCTGGAACCTGGGCGGGGTCTTCTGATGGCCCACGGAGCATGCTTCTCCGGGCCTCCCCCTGGTGTGGGCCTGAGCCTTGCCCCTGCACACCCAGGTAGATCCTATCCAGGTCTTGCCACTTCCAGCCGCCCACAGGTACGGGGCCATGCCTAGCTGGGTCCCAAGTTCTCACATCTTATCTCTCCCTCCTCATAGACCCCTTCCTGTTGCCACACAAATCTTGGCCACACTCAACACTGCAGGATCCCAGGCCATAATTTAGAATCTCTTTTAGGAGGGTCAGCTGCTTGCCCTTAGAACCTCAGGACAAGAGAAAAAAACCAAAAAGCAAAAAAGGGCAATCCCCTTCAGCTATGCTTCAATGATAGGGACGGAAATTCTGGGTTTGATCTTCCCTGAGTTTTGTGGTGGCCCGGAGACTCGGCTGTGACTCAGCCCACTGCCTCTGCTACCTGTGAGCTGCCCACACAGAGGGGTGAGTCACCTGAAGCCCCCTCGTGGGCACAAGCCTTGTGGGGAGAAAAGCGCAAAGAGAAAACATGAGAGGGACATCATCACCAGGCCCTGCTGGGAGCTTCACTACATCCTGCAATTCTGGAACCAGATCGGCTCTGTTACTTCCTTTGATTAAACTTCTGTTTTCCCTCAACCCACTGGATCCATCTTTGAGTTATTTAATTCCAACTGTAATAAAAAATCCATTGAACCGCGCACTAATGCAATATGAGGCTGGGAAGCAAACAGCAGGCCTGGGAGGGTGGAGCTGAGCAGAGCAGAGTCTACAGGGCTTTGTCCTTTTTATGAGGTCTGCTACATAAAATCTGATCGCATTTTGACTCAGAATGTGGGCATAGGAGACATATTTGGTGTAAGCTGGGGGCTTTGTGGGTGGGAGGAGAGACCTGTGCTGTCCTTGCTGATAGCAAAGATTTGCCCTTTTCCTCAGACACAGCTACTCTCCTTGTAGCTTTACAGAGTGTGCCGGGTCCTAGGCCTCCACCCACCTGTGTCTTAGGGGCTGCTGGCTGTGTACCAGGCACCCTTACAGTATTCACATCTTTAAACTGGAATCACAGGCTCTGACCCACCTCCCAAAAGCCAGATTGTTCTTACTCTCCTAGCTTCTGCCTTTGAGGCTCACTTCCCTCTCTCCATGCCACAGACAGCTTTGACTTCTGACTTTTTGTCTTCTGATCCCTTCCAGCCACTGTAGAACTCTCCCCTGGACCATTCTTCCAGCCAGTCTGGCTCACCAGAGTACCATAACTTGCTGTAGGCACGAGTGGTGTTGCCTGGCCTGGTTACAGGAATCACTGAAAGAGAGAAGGCTGCCCCAGTGAACCCCTTGCTTTGGGGACCACTCCTTCTGTGCCTGTACAGCCTGACCCCACAGCCTAGCCCAGATGCAACTTTCCTCTGGGGTCTGCTTAAGGAGGACTGCCTCATCCAGGGTCCCAGGAGCTGCTTTCAGACCAGAAGTTTCCATGAGAGGGCTGGACCCAAAGGGAATTTCAAAACAATGAGAAACTGGTGTGCCTGGGAATGGACCAAGCTCTGGGCCATCTCCCTGGAACAGGGTCCTAGAGCCCCTTGCAGGGCCAGGTGTTAACCCTTGAATGTGGGACTGGGGAAGCTCCTGGATTCCACTGGAGGGTCCTGAGTGGTCAGGTTGATGGGGCCTAGGAGGGGAGATGTCAGGGTAGCAGCTACTTGCTAACTTGTGGGAATATACTTCAACATTTTATCCACAGGTCAGCTGTACAGGTGCACACCAGCTGATTGGCAGTCCTGGTTGGTTCTGCTGAGCATTTGTTGGGTAGAAAAACAGGTCTCATTTCTAGAGCTGCTTTCTCATTGGAACTGCATCCTCTTGAGGCTTCCCCAGGGGCTTGTCAGGTTGCTGACCTCAGATTCCTGTCCCTATTTGCTCTTTCTTTCTTTCTTTTTTTTTTTTTTTTGGTTATAAGGAGCAGAGAGTTTAATAGGCAAGAAAGATGGGGAAAGGCAGAAGATAGAAGCTCCCCCATACAGAGACAGAGGGAGGGGGGCTCCAAAGCCAAGAGAGGAAACCCCAAGTGGGGCAGAAACCAGCCAGGTGTGTATATATAGAGGCTGGAGGAGGCAGTGTATATATAGAGGCTGGAGGAGGTGGTGTCTGATTTGCATAGGGCCCAGGGGATTGGTTTGACCAGGCATATCATTCACGTAGCCTGCAAAAAAGCTGGCCCTCCCACCCTAGCCTTTTAATATGCAAATGCAGGGCACCAAGATATTCTACACACGTGGGGCTATGTGGGGGTGGCCATGTTGCCAGGAACATGTGGGGCAAGGGCAAGAAGGCCGAGGGAATCGCCATGTTGGGTAGACTCAGTTTCTAATGGACTTCATTTGTATATCAAAGGTTGCCGGCCTGGCTCTCAGAGCTGCGGCTTTACAAGAAACTTTTCCGCAGATGCTTTTAAAAATGAAAACTTCCCAAGGACTCCTTTCTCTCTATCTGCTTAAAATAATTTCTTAATAACTCCTACCACATTCCTCCCTGTGGCGATATCACACTAACTGCTGTTACAGGGTTTTGGATGATGACTCTTTCTGGCTACTTCCTGCTGAAAAGGGGTGTTGAATGGGGAACAGCAGCTAGGGCTTCTCCTGGGGTGGATCTAAGGGTCCCCAGAAGAATGGCGTGTCCATGTGTGGTTCAGTTTGCAGCACTATTTGGAGTTTGATTGCTTCTGTGAGTTGGGTGATCCTCTCCTCTTGAGGTTCCAAGATAAACTCGCAGCTTCCAGACCTGTTAGAAAGTGACATTCTTCACTGACCACAGGTTAGGAACCCTGTGTGGGGACTGCGTAGATAAGGTATGAGGCCAGTTCTCCCCAAGGGGCTTTTATTGGCTCTGCATGTCAAGCTTTGTTCCTTAAAGGGAAACACACACTTTCAGTCAAAGCCTTGGTAAAATAGCCAGTTTTTCCAATTGTGTCCTGTTGACAAAGAAAAATGATTCTTTTTTTTTAATTTAAATTTAAATTTTTATTTTTTTGAGACGGTGCTTCACTTTTGTCACCCAGGATGGAGTGCAATGGAGCGATTTCGGCTCACTGCAACCTCCGCCTCCCAGGTTCAAGTGATTTTCCTACCCCGGCCTCCTGAGCAGCTGGGACCACAGATGTTTGTCACCATGCCCAGCTAATCTTTTCTGTGTTTTTAGTAGAGACAGGATTTCACCATGCTGGCCAGGCTGGTCTTGAACTCCCGAACTTGGGTGATCTACCCACTTTGGCCTCCTGAAGTGCTGGGATTATTACAGGTGTAAGCCACTGCGCCCAGCCCAAAAAGGCATTTTAAACAAAAATTCTGATATTTAAAAACTGAAAATATGAGCCCAGGAGTTCAAGGCTGCAATGAGCCAATACTACACATTTGTACTCTCTCCTGGGTGACAGAGTGAGACTTGTCAGTACTGAAAATAGCAAAGAGGGCTTTTACAATGTTGATGATGTCATCTTAGAGTGCATGATTTATAAATACACAAATATCCATGTATACTTTTACAGTGATAACTACTGGAAAAATGAGAATGTTAAAAAAGCCAATCTAGACAGAGTCCTTCTCATTCCACCTGCCTCTTTATGTTGGTAATACCAGGAGTCTTAAGAGAGCTGCTGTGGTCTATGTCACATTCATCCCAGCCTCCTTTCTAATCCTGTAGCTGATGATGAAAATGTGATAAATCCTCTGGCTTAGCTTTGATGCTTTTTCATTAATTCACTTCTGGTAGTAAATTGTGGCAGGTCCTCCACTTCATTCCCATCAGCCATTTCCATCACCTTGTCTAAAAGGGCTTTATTGTAACTGCAGCCCAGGAAGAGGTGGTTGGCCCAGACCATGGAGAGGGACAGCAGTTGGTCCAGGCAGCCACCGCCATTGGGCAGGTCATGGTAGTCGGGCAGGTGGCGCAGGATGAATTCCATGAGGGCCTTCCATTGCTTCTCACTCAGTAAGTAGGAGCGAAACTGCTCCGCGAACTCGGCTGCCTGCCTGCCCGAAGTGGTTGCTAAAAGAGCTGGGTTGATCTCACAACGCTTGCAGAGGTTTAGTAGAAATGCCATGCTCTTGTGCAAAATAAAATGAGTTGTTTTCTTTAAAGTTCTGAGGTTAAGGAAGTTACAGCACTCCAGAGGGGTGGGTGCAAGATGAAGATAATTTATTACCCATTTAGAAAAAGAAGCGAGAATAAAACCATCCTCTTACTCCCCTTCCTTTCCATATGACCCAGAGTAGAGGAGAAGACAGGAAGCGTCTTCCAAATGTCTTACCTCCTTGGTTTCTGGATTCCGGAACTTTTTAAAATATGCCCCCCACCCCACCCCTCCCCGCCATGGTTGTAGGCGTGGTCCTCCAAGCCATGGAACCGGATGAACTAAGTGATGGGGCTAACCATGCGTCCCACGCAGCCTTAGTTTATCCGCCTTGTGTGATTTCCCTTTGACTTCCTAGAACCTGCGTGATTTGCCTGACTCCCTCTGGAGACACTGTGTTGCCTTTGGGCAAGGCTCTTTTAACGGAGGCAGTGTGCTAGATTGCCTGCTATTATAGCCCGTGCTAAAGCACTTACTCTTAAAACAGTTCTGGTTAACTTCCGAACTTAAAATTCCCTTACTAATTAAGTACTCTCTTAATCGGAGACAAAATAGATGCCTTAAAAGAACGTAGGAATCAAATGGCCGTTTTCCCACTGATGGGACAATACGGGGACTAAAATCTGGCTGCCAAACACATTTTACTCCTAACTGTTAAAAGCAGAAACTTCCCGTTCTCAGAAGAGGCCTAGATCCTGATTTAAGCACTAGGTGGCTTAAAAATACCATGTGCTTGCCAGAGAAACCGTAGAGAGAGTTATTGAGTTACTGCCTGCTGTGATTCGCGATCTTTTCTAACAGACCTATTTCCCTGAACTGTAAAGATTCCTGCGCATTAGACATACAGAGAGAGAGAGTAAGAGACCGTGGATAAAAAGAGAAAGAAAGTTTGGTGACAGGGTAGCTGGCAGAGAGCCTTGAGATTAAAGGAGAGATTTAACGTTGAAATCTGCTCCATATTCACCAGTCTGATGACTGAATTTCCTTTCCCAGCCAATGCACCAAAATCATACCGCTCCGATGAGTGGAGGAACACCAGGCCTCTTGTCTCACATTGAATTGGAAAAAACGACACGGACACACATGGAGTGGTTTTAAGGAGTGGAGAGTTTAATAGGCAAGAAAGATGGGAGAAGGCAGAAGATAGAAGCTCCCTCATACACAGACAGAGGGAGGGGGGCTCCAAAGCAGAGAGAACCCCCCCGAATTTGCTCTTTCTTTTCATTTCTTTCTTTTCTTTTTTTTTCTTTTTTTGAGACATAGTCTCACTCTATTGCCCAGGCTGGAGTGCAATGGCACGATTCCGGTTCACTGCAACCTCCGCCTCCCAGATTCAAGTGATTCTCCTGGCTTAGCTTCCTAAGTAGCTGGAATTACAGGCATGCACCACCACGCCCGGCTAATTTTTGTATTTTTAGTAGAGACGGGGTTTTGCCATGTTGGCCAGGTTGGTCTCGAACTCCTGACTTCATGATTTGCCTGCCTCAGCCTCCCAAAGTGCTGGGATTACAGGCGTGAGCCACGGCGCCCAGCCCCTATGTGCTCTTTCTAAGTGGAGGGGAAGGGAAGGGAAGGAAGAGAAGTATACGATGGTCAAGAACTCAGGTGCTGGGGTCAGACTATTCTGAGTTTGACAACTGGCTGTGTCACAAGCTGCGTGACCTTGGGAATGCTGCTGAACCCCTCTGAGCCTTGGTTTTCCCATCTGAAATGTGGCGCTGATAATGCTTCTTTCACTGGGGGCCTATAAGGGTTCAGCTGTTCAAAGTCTGTAAAACACCTGGCCTAAAGGATGCCCTTAATTAATGGTAACTAATAATATTGTAATTAGTTTGACTCTGATGGCCCAACCTGACTGTTGTTTTTTTTTTTCCCTCACCTACCTGACCATGCTCATATTCAGCCCCAGCTCCTCCTGGGACTTACCCTATGCCACACATTGTGCTAGACACAGATTGGGAAATGAATACCACCAGCTACACGCTAAGTGCTACCTAGAGCTTAAATAAATGCACAAGGTATTTGTAGATTACCACCCCTTCTCCCCCTCACATACCAACACCTCATCTGTCTTACATGCAGACACTCCTAACTATAATGACCCATTTCCTATATTTCCATAGAGAACCCAAGAGAAAGGAGGGCCTGTGCCACACCAGGCCTGTGTCCACACGAAGGCAAGGTGCTGCTGGCACAGGGAGGGGGCCTTTCGGACAGAGGCAGCAAACAGTGTGGGGTGGGACAGCAGGGTTCCCTGAGCCAGGACCTGGAACAGGCCTCCCAGTGACCAGGGCGGGGCAGGATCCAGTCCAGACAGGGAGGATGGGAGGGCAGTCTCTCTGGGCCCTGGGCGCCAGGTGCTTACTTGTAGTTTCTTTCTCAAGGTGAGTCAGACATTTACTGCACTGAACAGGGCTTGTTTCAAATGGGCCACCTATGTTAGAGTAGATATGCTTTATTTAAGAGTTCTTCAAATATATGTAGCTTAATAGACTATCCAGCTAATCTGAGTTTCCATCAAACTACCTATCTTGTGTTGAATCAGAGATCATGTCTCAAATCTGGTCTCCCAGCTAAAACTGACAGCATACGATCTGCCAAGCCTGGAAGAAGAAGGAATAGAAACCTTATTACTGGCATCATTGTTTGCACTTATAAACCCAATGCTATGAATAGGAATGGTGAAGAGAAGAGTCCTCACGCTTTTGAAATGGAGATAATTGATTGATTTTCTAATATTGATCATTTGCAAAACAATACGCATATATACTGCCCGAGACCGATGCCACAAGTCAACATGATAGTCGGCCACATCGCTTTAGAGACACCCCTCATCCTGCCCAGTACTGTTCCCTGTACCTGCACATTTGCCGTGCCCTTGGTGTGACGCACCTGCAGGAAGGCGAGCAAGACAGTGCAGATGCACAGAGCCCATATGTTTCTCACATTAGCAACACAAAGAGGTGAGGCTGCATTTCCTACTTGTCAAGCACTCAAGCTTAATTGGGCCAGAAATACTCTCTGGTTCCTGCTTCTGCAAGACAGATCTTGGCTGTCACTAAGCATCTGTGGTACCCGGAAGGGACAAATGGAGTTCTGTGGGCTGGAGGCTTTGAGAAAGAGCAGATTTTTTCCTCCATGCCAATTATGTGTGTGGGATTTGGTTTTCTTTGTGTGTCCCAACCTTTGGCCCCAGGGCTGACATTCTGAGCATGCCTGTGTCCCCGGCACTCTGCTCCCACCACGATGCACAGGAGGCCAGCTGAATCCCTGGCACTGCAGGTGTCAGAGCAAGAGTGTTCCAAGCAGGGAGGCGGGGAAGCTTCCAGAGGCAAGGGAGGTGGAACCTGAAGGGGTGAAGAGCATGGATGGAAGGGAAGAAGGGAGGGCAGGCAGGGGAGCTGTGGGAGCAAAGACAGGGTGGTAGCACACTAGTGCATTCACTTGTTCAATAGTATTTATTGAGCACTTACTGTGTGCAGCAGCGATCAAGGCAGACCCTGTTCCTGCTGTCAGGGAGAGAGAGGCAGACAACAAGCAAATGACCAGGTTTGATAATATCTGCAGTGAAATGTGCTCTGAAGAGAAACGGTGCAAGGTAAAGGGTAAGGAAGGGAACAGGGGGTTGGTTTGGATGGGGCAGGTGGGGCAGAGTGAACCAGACCAGCAGGGCATTTGGAGGACCAGGCAAGGGAGTGGTTGGCGAGATGCGGGCTTGGGGACCTTGATGTAGGCTAAAGAGTTTTGGTGGAACCTGATGGGCAGTCATCCTTGATGGTACCCACAGGAGTGGGGAGGGGAACTGCTAGATGTTTGGGCTAAGCCCTCTGCTCTGTGAAGGAATTCATTACCTTCTCCACGCAAATCCTTCAAGCCAGTGCGGAGGTGTCAGTATGTGGGAGCAACCAGTGATCCCACCACCATTTAACAGAGATGGGAACCAAGCCCAGAGCAGGGATGTGACTCACCCAAGGTCACTCACCCAGAGTGGAGGCAGGAACTCAGGTATCCTGACAGAGTTTTCTCTGCCCAGGGAGTGGGAGGGAAGGGTAGTGCTGGCCTGGCTGGCCTTGCTTGAGAAGGTAGAAGGTGAGGAGAATGGGCCGGCCCTGGAGCCTCCCATGGAGGCATGGTGTGGCATTGCCACCTGACCAGAAAGCAGAGGTGCTGCCCTGGTTCCCTCCCCACCTCCCATTGCCTTCCTCTATTGTTGCCTCTCTCTTTTCTCCAAAGCTCTTCCTGTATTTTCCATGCAGGGCAATACAGGTGTGATGCAGGAGCTCAGACACAGGACTGGGCTCCCTAGGCCGCCTCTGATGGAAACTCCAAGATTCTATGACTTCCCTGAGAGCTCGTCTGCCAGGAAATGCCAGCCTCAGCCTAGGGCAAGGAGGAGACTGACCCTGGGGGGGCAAGTCTGCGGGCCCCGCATGCATCGGTGCTGCAAGGGGCACTCCTGAGGCCAGAGGTTGTGCATTTTCCAGGCTGGTGGGTGATTTGACTTTCTCTGCTCATTGAGCCAAGGCCCGGCTCTGGTGGCAACTGCCCGCGTCATGAAGGGCCTACTCATTTCATCACAGGCCCGAGCCAGGCCAACACTGGCATTGTAGCTGCCTGCCAGAGTGATCCTTCAATCCACATGAAAGCCTGAAAGCCTCTCCTTAGAGACATTAATTAGCCCCCAATTAACGCTGGGCAGAAGCTCACCCGGATAGAGAGCAGGATCAGCTCCAGCTCTGGAGGCTGCCGCCCATTTATCTGCAAATTGCCCAGCAAACCATGAAGAGGCTTTGGTCCTTTCTTATCAAAGCAATGAAACAGCTCAATGTGGAAATTACAGGGTCTTTGGAGGTTTGCTGATTTCCTTGGCCTGTCATTGAGGACTGTCCCCAGTCCGGCATCCCCAGCTGTGTCTCTGGCTCTCTCCCACTCCTCACCATGGCCTAATTGCAGTGCCCAGAAAACTCACTCAAGAGCATCTTGGCTCTGATCTGCAGCTTTGGAACGCTCAAGAGAGTGCCTCCATCAATGGGATGCCAAGGTTTCCCTAAGACGTTTTCTCAGCAGGCTGTGCCAGGGTTTCTGAGGTGTGTGATGTTGTTATGGTGACCCCTCCATCCCTCTGTCCCCAAGAAGAGGACCTTATTGTTCAGGCAGCGGGGGTTTGAGTGGGGGTTGGGGGAAGAGCAAAGAGAGGCAGGAGGGGAAAGCTGGATGTGGTTCAGTGAGTGTGGGTGTCATGCCACAGGCAGCTCCCAGACACCCACACCTACTGCCCGAGCACTTCAAGGATGAAATGGTGTGTAAGGCATGCGCCTGGTCCTAAGGCTCACAGCAGAGGATGGCAGCCAGCCCTTCACACCACAGGCAGAGAACCACAGCCGAGCCGCAGGCTGCCTCTGCCCCAGGAGGAAAGCTGGACATTGGCCAGATCACTTAGCCCTCCTTTTCTTTATTTCAGCCCCAGGCACGCGCTCTTAGGAGGCCAGTATCCCAGGGTCTGTCCAGGGAAGAGGAGCAGGGGCAAGGGGCCCTCCGCATCATGGGCAGATGGTGCGAGCTGATGGGTGTCTCATGCATTCCGCCCCAGCAAACCCCAGACCAGGAAGATTCTCTTGAGTAGGGCAGGGCAGGGCAGGCGTATCTTTTTATTTTATTATTTTTTTTAAATTATACTTTAAGTTCTAGGGTACATGTGCACAACGTGCAGGTTTGTTACATGTGTATTCATGTGCCATGTTGGTGTGCTGCATGCATTAACTGGTCATTTACATTAGGTATTTCTCCTAATGCTATCCCTCCCCGCTCCCCCTACCCCACGACAGGCCCCGGTGTGTGATGTTCCCCACCCTGTGTCCAAGTGTTCTCATTGTTCAATTCCCACCTATGAGTGAGAACATGCGGTGTTTGGTTTTCTGTCCCTGCGATAGATTGCTCAGAATGATGGTTTCCAGCTTCATCCATGTCCCTACAAAGGACATGAACTCATCTTTTTTTATGGCTGCATAGTATTCCATGGTGTATATGTGCCACATTTTCTTAATCCAGTATATCATTGATGGACATTTGTGTTGGTTCCAAGTCTTTGCTATTGTGAATAGAATAGTGCCGCAATAAACATACGTGTGCATGTGTCTTTATTGTACCATGATTTATAATCCTTTGGGTATATAACCAGTAATGAGATCACTGTGTCAAATGGTATTTCTAGTTCTAGATCCTTGAGGAATCGCCACACTGTCTCCCACAATGGTTGAAGTAGTTTACAGTCGCACCAACAGTGTAAAAGTGTTCCTATTTCTTCATATCCTCTCCAGCACCTGTTGTTTCCTGACTTTTTAATGGTTGCCATTCTAACTGGTATGAGATAGTATCTCATTGTGGTTTTGATTTGCATTTCTCTGATGGCCAGTGATGATGAGCATTTTTTCATGTGTCTGTTGGCTGCATAAATGTCTTCTTTTGAGGAGTGTCTGTTCATGTCCTTTGCCCACTTTTTGATGAGGTTGTTTGATTTTTTCTTGTAAATTTATTTAAGTTCTTTGTAGATTCTGGATATTAGCCCTTTGTCAGATGGGTAGCTTGCAAAAATTTTCTCCCATTCCGTAGGTTGCCGGTTCACTCTGATGGCAGTTTCTTTTGCTGTGCAGAAGCTCTTTAGTTTAATTAGATCCCATTTGTCTATTTTGGCTTTTGCTGCCATTGCTTTCGGTGTTTTAGTCATGAAGTCCCTGCCCATGCCTATGTCCTGAATGGTATTGCCTAGGTTTTCTTCTACGGTTTTTATGGTTTAAGGTCTAACATTTAAGTCTTTAATCCATCTTGAATTAATTTTTGTACAAGGTGTAAGGAAGGGATCCAGTTTCAGCTTTCTACATATGGCTAGCCAGTTATCCCAGCACCATTTATTAAATAGGGAATCCTTTCCCCATTTCTTGTTTTTGTCAGGTTTGTCAAAGATCAGATGGTTGTAGATGTGTGGTATTATTTCTGAGGGCTCTGTTCTGTTCCATTGGTCTATATCTCTGTGTTGGTACCAGTACCATGCTGTTTTGGTTACTGTAGACTTGTAGTATAGTTTGAAGTCAGGTAGCATGATGCCTCCAGCTTTCTTCTTTTGGCTTAGGATTGTCTTGGCAATGCGGGCTCTTTTTTGGTTCCATATGAACTTTAAAGTAGTTTTTTCTAGTTCTGTGAAGAAAGTCATTGGTAGCTTGATGGGGATAGCAGTGAATCTATAAATTACCTTGGGCAGTATGGCCATTTTCACGATGTTGATTCTTCCTATCCATGAGCATAGAATGTTCTTCCATTTGTTTGTGTCCTCTTTTATTTCGTTGAGCAGTGGTTTGTAGTTCTTCTTGAAGAGGTCCTTCACATCCCTTGCAAGTTGGATTCCTAGGTATTTTATTCTCTTTGAAGCAATTGTGAATGGGAGTCCACTCATGATTTGGCTCTCTGTCTGTTATTGGTGTATAGGAATGCTTGTTATTTTTACACATTGATTTGGTATCCTGAGACTTTGCTGAAGTTGCTTATCAGTTTAAGGAGATTTTGGGCTGAGACGATGGAGTTTTCTAAATATACAATCATGTCATCTGCAAACAGGGACAATTTGACTTACTCTTTTCCTAATTGAATACCCTTTATTTCTTTCTCCTGCCTGATTGCCCTGGCCAGAAATTCCAACACTATGTTGAATAGGAGTGGTGAGAGAGGGCATCTCTGTCTTGTGCCAGTTTTCAAAGGGAATGCTTCCAGTTTTTGCCCATTTAGTATGATATTGGCTGTGGGTTTGTCATAAATAGTTCTTATTATTTTGAGATATGTCCCATCAATACCTAGCTTATGCTTATTTTAGCATGAAGAGCTGTTGAATTTTGTCGAAGGCCTTTTCTGCATCTATTGAGATAATCATGTGTTTTTTGTCTTTGGTTCTGTTTATATGATGCATTACGTTTATTGATTTGCATATGTTGAACCAGCCTTGCATCCCAGGGATGAAGCCAACTTGATTGTGGTGGATAAGCTTTTTGATGTGCTGCTGGATTCAGTTAGCCAGTATTTTATTGAGGATTTCTGCATCGATGTTCATCAAGGATATTGGTCTAAAATTCTCTTTTTTTGTTGTGTCTCTGCCAGGCTTTGGTATCAGGTTGCTGATATCAAATGATGATGCTGGCCTCAAAAAATATGTTAGGGAGGATTCCCTCTTTTTCTATTGATTGGAATAGTTTCAGAAGGAATGGTACCAGCTCCTCTTTTTACCTCTGGTAGAATTTGGCTGTGAATCCGTCTGGTCCTGGACTTTTTTTTGGTTGGTAGGCTATTACTTATTGCCTCAGTTTCAGAGCCTGTTACTGGTCTATTCAGAGATTCAACTTCTTCCTGGTTTAGTCTTGGGAGGGTGTATGTCCAGGAATTTATCCATTTCTTCTAGATTTTCTAGTTTATTTGCGTAGAGGTATTTCTAGTATTCTCTGATGGTAGTTTGTATTTCTGTGGAAATGGTGGTGATATCCCCTTTATCATTTTTTATTGCATCTATTTAATTCTTCTCTCTTTTCTTCTTTGTCTTGCTAGCCAGTCTATCTATTTTGTTGATTTTTTCAAAAAACCAGCTCCTGGATTCATTTATTTTTCGAAGGTTTTTTGTGTCTCTATCTCCTTCAGTTCTGCTCTGATCTTAGTTATTTCTTGCCTTCTGCTAGCTTTTGAATGTGTTTGCTCTTGCTTGTCTAGTTATTTTAATTGTGATGTTAGGGTGTCGATTTTAGATCTTTCCTGCTTTCTCTTGTGGGCATTTAGTGCTATAAATTTCCCTCTACACACTGCTTCAAAAGTCCCAGATATTCTGGTATGTTGTGTCTTTGTTCTCATTGGTTTGAAAGAACATCTTTATTTCTGCCTTCATTTCGTTATTTACCCAGTAGTCATTCAGGAGCAGGTTTTTCAGTTTCCATGCAGTTGTGTGGTTTTGAGTGAGTTTCTTAATCCTGAGTTCTAATTTGATTGCACTGCGGTCTGAGAGACAGTTTGTTAAGATTTCTGTTCTTTTACATTTGCTGAGGAGTGCTTTACTTCCAACTATGTGGTCAATTTTGGTATAAGTGGGATGTGGTGCTGAGAAGAATGTATATTCTGTTGATTTAGGGTGGAGAGTTCTGTAGATGTCTATTAGGTCTGCTTGGTGCAGAGCTGAGTTCAAGTCCTGGATATCCTTGTTAACTTTCTGTCTCGTTGATCTGTCTAATGTTGACAGTGGGGTGTTAAAGTCTCCTATTATTATTGTGTGGGAGTCTAAGTCTCTTTGTAGATCTCTAAGAACTTGCTTTATGAATCTGGGTGCTCCTGTATTGGGTGCATATATATTTAGGATAGTTAGCTCTTCTTGTTGAATTGATTCCTTTACCATTATATAATGGCCTTCTTTGTCTCTTTTCATCTTTGTTGGTTTAAATCCTGTTTTATCAGAGACTAGGATTGCAATCCCTGCTTTTTTTTGTTTTCCATTTGCTTGGTAGATCTTCCTCCATCCCTTTATTTTGAGCCTATGTGTGTCTCTGCACATGAGATGGGTCTCCTGAATACAGCACACTGATGGGTCTTGACTCTTTATCCAATTTGCCCGTCTGTGTCTTTTAATTGGGGCATTTAGCCCATTTACATTTAAGGTTAATACTGTTTTGTGTGAATTTAATCCTGTCATTATGATGTTAGCTGGTTATTTTGCTCGTTAGTTGATGCAGTTTCTTCTTAGCATTGATGGTCTTTACAATTTGGCATGTTTTTGCAGTGGCTGGTACCAGTTGTTCCTTTCCATGTTTAGTGCTTCCTTCAGGAGCTCTTGTAAGGCAGGCCTGGTGGTGACAAAATCTCTCAGCATTTGCTTGTCTGTAAAGGATTTTATTTCTCCTTCACTTATGAAGCTTAGTTTGGCTGGATATGGAATTCTGGGTTGAAAATTCTTTTCTTTAAGAATATTGAATATTGGCCCCCACTCTCTTCTGGCTTGTAGAGTTTCTGCTGAGAGATCTGCTGTTAGTCTGATGGGTTTCCCTTTGTGGGTAACCCGACCTTTCTCTCTGGCTGCCCTTAACATTTTTTCGTTCATTTCAACCTTGGTGAATCTGACAATTATGTGTCTTGGGGTTGCTCTTCTCAAGGAGTATCTTTGGGTGTTCTCTGTATTTCCTGAAGTTGAATGTTGGCCTGCCTTGCTAGGTTGGGGAAGTTCTCCTGGATAATATCCTGAAGAGTGTTTTCCAACTTGGTTCTATTCTCCCTGTCACTTTCAGGTACACCAATCAAATGTAGATTTGGTCTTTTCACATAGTCCCAGATTTCTTGGAGGCTTTGTTCATTTCTTTTTACTCTTTTTTCTCTAAACTTCTCTTCTCACTTCATTTCATTCATTTGATCTCCACTCACTGATACCCTTTCTTCCAGTTGATCGAATTGGCTACTGAAGCTTATGCATGCCTCACGTAGTTCTCCTGCCATGGTTTTCAGTTCCATCTGGTCATTTAAGGTCTTCTGTACGCTGTTTATTCTAGTTAGCCATTCTTCTAATCTTTTTTCAAAGTTTTTAGCTTCCTTGCGATGGGTTTGAACATCCTCCTTTAGCTCAGAGAAGTTTGTTATTACCGATCTTCTGAAGCCTACTTCTGACAACTCATCAAAGTCATTCTCCATCCAGCTTTGTTCCGTTGCTGGTGAGGAGCTGCGATCCTTTGGAGGAGAAGAGGTGCTCTGTTTTTTGGAAATTTCAGCTTTTCTGCTCTGGTTTCTCCCCATCTTTGTGGTTTTATCTACCTTTGGTGTTTGATGTTGGTGACCTACAGATGGGGTTTTGGTGTGGATGTCCTTTTTGTTGATGTTGACGCTATTCCTTTCTGTTTGTTAGTTTTCCTTCTAACAGTCAGGACCCTTAGCTGCAGGTCTGTTGGAGTTTTCTGGAGGTCCACTCCAGACTCTTTTTGCCTGAGTATCACCACCGGAGGCTGCAGAACAGCAAATATTGCAGAACAGCAAATGTTGCTGCCTGATCCCCAAAGCTTTGTCTCAGAGGGGCACCCGGCTGTAGGAGGTGTCAGTTAGCTCCTACTGGGAGGTGTCTCCCAGTTAGGCTACTCGGGGGTCAGGGACCCACTTGAGGAGTCAGTCTGTCTGTTCTCAGATCTCAAACTCCGTCCTGGGAGAGCCACTGCTCTCTTCAAAGCTGTCAGGCAGGGGCGTTTAAGTCTGCAGAAGTTTCTGCTGCCTTTTGTTCAGCTATGCCTGGGCAGGGGTATCTTTTACTACAGTTTAAGGAGATAGAAGTGGGAATAGGAAAGAAGAAAAGGTAAGGGCAGTGAAAAAAAGGGTGTGTGAGGTGGACATCCTTCCTCTCCTGACTCCTACCACCACACATAGATACAGACAGAGGGAAAGGAAGGAGAGAGGGATACTGGAAGAGGATGGAAGGATGCATATTGGGATAAACACACATTCCTTAATAATCACTCAAGCTTGAACCACAAAGCAAATTGTGGCCTCTTATCACCGTTTTTGAAATACCGTGATCATCGGCAAACATTGAGAGTCCTCTCTGCTGGCTGTTCTGCTAAATGCTGCAGAAGCAAAAGCTGCCTTGGGCACACTGGCCATCTCTTTGGGAGAGAACTGTGTTCAAGTGAGTCCACATCCACGGTGAGAACCGCACAAGGGACAAATTAGCCAGCCAAGAACATGACTTTCATGATGATAAATGACTTGTCTGTATTACAATATTTTGGCATTTTAAAAAAATAGAGCTCTATTTTCCAATTGAAGTCTGAAAAAAGGTTTAGGTTTAGTTAGTTTCTTTGGGCTGGAAGGAACTGGGTCATTTCCCCATCCATCATGACATGGCAGCTGCCCCAAGCCAAGAACTGGAGAGGGCTGGTGTGAGCATTCCCTGTCACCACCTTTAGGGTTCATAGTAGCCCCAAAGTTTGAACAGGCAAAGGGAACCACTTCATTTAGAGTGACCTAGGCTGTCTCATCTTGCAGCTGGGCAATTAAGTCCCCACATTATTTCATCTCTTACAATATTGTCAGCATGTGAGGCACGTCCAAACCAGCTTCTTATGCAACACATTCTGGTCCCCAACACTTAGACCACCAGCCTTGCTGCTCAGAAGATGTGGGGTGCTGAGCCATGTGCCTCTTTTCCTGGCTGGAGGCATTTCTACTTTTAAAAAGCTGCAAGCATATCATGTTGCAAGAAGCTATGCAAACAGATTGTTAAGGGAACAGAGATTACTAATGGAACTTTAAGACCCATATATAACAAATTTATTCGAATACATATTCAATGACACAGGAAATCATTTAAAACATCGTGTAAAATATTGTGAATAAGCAAGTTCACGCAAGTGGCTAGTCTTCAGTGCTTTAACCCTTACCCTGCATATTGCTCTGTCCCCGTCACAGGCTCCTGCCATGTCCTGCCCTCTGGAATTAGTTGGTCCTGTCCTGGGTTCAGGGATGTCCAGAGCATAGCCCAGCCTTTGGGGTGCCAGTGCAGTAGGGGCCCCTCCAACCTGAATCTAGAGTCTGGAGCCTGCTCCTGCTGTTCCTGAGCCCAGGGCTCCTCTTGCAACCTGATTTAGTGATGAAATCTTTATGACCTGTTGAATATCAGTCGTTCTAGGGAGGAGGACTTTCCTCACTATTGCCAGCTTCCTGTTTTGTCTTGAACCCCCCTTCCCCTCTATATTAGTCAGGGTTCTCTAGAGGGACAGAACTAATAGTGTATGTGTGTGTACATGTATATATATATACATACACATATGATATCTATATATATGAAGGGAATATATATATATGAAGGGAACATATATATATATATATGAAGGGAATATATATATATATATATATGAAGGGAAGTTTATTAAGTAGTATTAACTCACATGATCACAAGGTCCCACAATAGGCCATCTGCAATCTGAGGAGCAAGGAAGCCAGTCCAAGTCCCAAAGCTGAAGAACTTGGAGTCCAATATTTGAGGGCAGGAAGCATCCAGCACGAGAGAAAGATGTAGGCTTGAAGGCTAAGCCAGTCTAGCCTTTTCACATTTTTCTGCCTGCTTTATATTCTGGCCACACTGGCAGCTGATTAGATGGTGCCCACCCAGATTAAGGATGGGTCTCCCTTTCCCAGCCCACTGACTCAAATGTTAATCTCCTTTGGCAGCACCCTCACAGACACACCCAGGATCAATACTTTGCATCCTTCAATCCAATCAAGCTGACACTCAGTATTAACCATCACACCCTCCCCTCTCCCCTCAGAGCTGAGATCCTTGGCCAATGGAGGACAGCTTCTCTTTCCCAAGGATGTCCAAGTGTTGCTTGGCATTAGGCTCTGTCTCTTGCCAGAACCCCCCTTACCTCCCGATGCCAATCCCGTGACTGGATTACCTACCATCTGTTTGCAGTGACATTGCCTTCGGCTTCTTGGGATCCACCTGCTAGGCTGGGCTTCTATCTGTGGCTGGCCGCTGAGCTGTTCCTCCTTTCTCTGTCTGTGTCCAGCCACTGGGCCTAGAGCCTGGCCCTCTTGGCTGGCACCTGACCTGGCTTTTGGAGAATAGGATGCCACCTGTCTCACTCCTGAGCCCTTAACCAGGGTCTGATCATGACGATGATGATAATGATGACAATGATAGCTACCACTTGACACACATTGTCTTTATTCACTTTTCTTTTTTAACTTTTTGTGATGAAAAAATGTCAAACATATACCAAAAAAAAAAAAAAAAAGGGAGAATAGTAAGGAACCCTCATGTATCTATCCATCACCCAACTTCAACAATTATCAACTTTTAGCCCATCTTGTTTTCTCTATTCTATCCATTTTTGTTGCTCATTCATTTGTTTACTGGAGCATTTTAAAGCAAATCCTAGATATCTCATATTTCAGTTATAAATGCACAAATATCTTCAGGTCATTTTGAATTGATAATAAACACACATATATATAAACCACCAAGCTGTGATCACACCTAGCATAAACTAATTCAATTGTCTTTATGGAATTATCTTTTATCAGTCAGTTTGTCCAAATCAGGTGTCAAAGCCTACAGGTCCATTTAATTAAGTCTCTTAAGACTCTTCCATTCTTTCAGTCTGTAGTAGCCTGCTGTCTTCTTTTTCATGCCTATACTTTGTTAGAGAACCTGAGTGATTTGTCCAGTAGAATGCTCCACATTCTGGATTGGGATAAAAGCTTTCTTGTGATGTCATTTAACTTGTTCTTCCATATTCTGTATCTTCTTTTTAGCTGTTATTTACGTCAAGAAACTTGATCAGATCCAGGCAGTCGTATCAAGGATGGAGAGGCCCTGGAAACTGACATCCTGGAGGGAAGGGGTATTTTATCACTGACATTGTCTAGAGCTGCTGGTGCATGGCAATGATAAAAAGCAGACTGACATTGAATTGGTTTCATTATTTCTGTAGAATTCTCTACAAAATACCCTGCTATTGCCTATACACAAGTGGATCAGTATCTCCCCCAAACCCTCCTTGGTAGGCTGCTGGATTCAGGCTCCATTTTTAGGCAAGAATCCCATATAGGGGGTACTGTGTACCTCTTATTGCATTACTGCATGAGGCACAGGATGTCTGCTTTGTCTCTCTTTTTGTGATCAGGTAGGTTCAGGTCCTGCCAACCTGATGGTTTTGGCAGCTCTGGTTCATTATTTTCTTAGTGGTTGCAAGGTAGTGATATTTCAATTCTTTAAAAATTTTTTTTCTTTTAAGACAAGGTTTTTCTCTGTTGCGCAGGCTGGTGTGCAATGGTGCAAACACAGCTCACTGCAGCCTCAAACTCCTGGGCTCAAGAGATCCTCTTGCCTCAGCCTCTCAGGTAGCTGGGACCACAGGTGCATACCACTACACCTGGCTAATTTTTTGATTTTTTTGTAGAGATGGTGTCTTGCTGTGTTGTCCAGGCTGGTCTCAAATTCCTGGCCTCAAGCAATCCTCCTGCCTCAGCCTCCCAAAATGCTAGGATTACAGGCATGAGCCATCATACTTCCGACTTTTTACCTGACCATTATTTTCTATAAAGAATAAGTTTCTCTGCTGGGTGTGGTGGCTCACGCCTGTAATCCCAGCACTTTGGGAGGCTGAGGTGGGCAGATCACGAAGTCAGGAGATCAAGACCATCCTGGCTAACACAGTGAAACCCCATCTCTACTAAAAATACAAAAAATTAGCCGGGCGTGGTGGTGGGCGCCTGTAGTCCCAGCTACTCAGGAGGCTGAGGCAGGAGAATGGCATGAACCCAGGAGGCGGAGGTTGCAGTGAGCTGAGATCACGCCACTGCACTCAAGCCTGGGTGACAGAGCAAGACTCTGTCTCAAAAAAAAAAAAAAAGAATAATTTTATCTCCTTGCAGGCATTAGCTTGCTTGCTTTCTGTCTCTTTTTTTTCTTTTTTCTTTCTTTCTTTCTTTCTCTTTCTTTCTTTCACTCTCCTTCTCTCTCTCTCTTCCTTGCTTCCTTCCCTCCTTTCCTTTCCTTTCCTTTCCTTTCCTTTCCTCTTTCTTTCTTTTGAGATGGGGTCTCACTATGTTGACCAGGTTTGTCTTGAACTCCTGGTCTTAAGCAATCCTCTCACCTTGGCCTCCCAAAATGCTAGGATTACAGGCGTGAGACACCAGACAATAGCTTTCAGAGAAGGAGTTGGTACCATAGCAACCTAAAATATTGACCAATGCGTTGTATTGCTTTTAATATCATTGGGCACACAGATTTTTATGTTTGATTATGCTATAGGTACTCTCACATTTTTTAAAATGAAAAAAATTATGGGTTCGTACCAATGCTTCCAATTCAAATTTAAGATTACAGGGTTTTTACTCAACTTGGTTGGGTTTACATTTTCATTTTTTTTCTTTGCTGAAAAGCCTGGTTTTTAACAATTTTGACATAATTACTTATTTACCTTATTCTATAATATAACTATAATAGTTTCAAAATAGCTAAGTGAATATTGCTGCTAACAGTAAGATTACTGAACACAGTGTAAGATTTCTTTGTGGCTCATTTTGTCCATAGAACATATCCTGCTAGGACCGTGTAATCGAAATGTTTAATTTTAAAGTCGTGTGAAGTGATTATTTTCTTCATGTTGTTGTGCCATTGACCTCATGGGCAGTTAGGTACATTTCTTTCCTCTTACTTTCAATTTTTAAGACTTGCTTTTCTGCCTTTTTGATTTTTAAAAAATTTGTATTCAAAGTCAAAACTATCTAACAAGATATACTCAGAGAAGTCTAGCTCCTATTCATATCTTCTCCATCCTGTTCTCTCTCTCTTAATAGGTGGCCGTTTTTATGAGTTTTTGGCTTATTCATTCAGCAATTTTTAAAAATGTAAGCAAATTTGTATATATTCCTATTCTTTCCTCCTATTTTGTAGTTAATGATGGTAACAATTTTTTTGTCATTGTTTCCAGTTAGAGATGCAGTTTCTTCCTTCTTTTCTTTTCCTTTTTCCCTTCCCTCCCCTCCCCTCCCCTTCCCTCCCCTCTCCTCTCCTCCCCTCCCCTCCCTTCTTCTTTTCTTTTTTTCTTTTCTTTTGACAGACGCTCCATCTGTCACCCAGTTTGGAGTGCAGTGGCACAATGACAGCTCACTGCAGTCTTGACCTCCTGGCCTCAAGTGATATTCCCACCTCAGCCTCCAGAGTAGCTGGAACTACAGGTGCCTGGCACCATGCCCAGCTAATAAAAAAAAATTTTGTAGAGATGGGGTCTCACTATGTTGCCCAGGTCTCAAACTCCTGGCCTAAAGCAGTAGTCCTGCCTCAGCCTCCCAAAGTGCTGGGATTATAGGCATGAGCCACTGAGCTAGAGATGAAGTTTCTTTCTCCTCCCCTTAAACTGGGTGGGTCCCAACTGTTTTAACCACTAGAATGCAACAGAAACAGTGCTTTGCCAGTTCTAGGCCTAAGAGGACTGGCAGCTTTTGTTTCCTCCTTGTTATGCTCACCCTTGAGATTCAGGATTCATTTGCCAAAAAATAAAGCCCAAGCCATATGGAGACAGAGCGGTCCTAGCCTCTCAGCCATGCCTGCCAAGGCACCAGACATACAAGTGAGTCATCTTGGATGGTTCAGACCAGCCACCATTTGACTGCAGCAGCATGTTATGTGATGGATAAGAATTCAAACAACAAATTAAGAACTGATTTTAAAAGCATAGGAAGAGAGAGTGAGAACTGACTCCCCAACATTACAATAGTTCAGGAGAATAATTTTTAGAGGAGACTTTGCTGGAGGATCAGAAGGACAGTTGTTTTTACCAAGAATGCTTTGTTTAACAGCTTTTTACCCTATCTTCCTAAATTGGGAAAAATTAAAATATGTTAAGTGAGGGCATAGGTGTTTGCCAAAATATTAACATCAGTTGTCGCTGAGTAGTGAAACTATGGGTAATTTCTTTCTTTTAAAAACTTTTCTATACTTTTCTATGCTTTCTCTAAGTATTTATTACTTTTATCATGGAAAAGAGAAACATTATAGAAATGTTTAGGGATATGCTGGATCATTCTCTTTCCCACCCTTTGTTTTTGTTCTGATGAAGTCAGGTCAAAGAGAACACAAAACAGCACCCAGAAAGTAAAGAGAGATCCTCAGGGGCAAAATAAAATCCAAGGGCGTAGGGTGGTTGGGGTAACAGGACAGAGCATCAATCAGCCAGGGTCTATCCAGGAAACCAGGGCCCATAAAAAAAACTTCCATAGAAAAAACTCATCCAGCTCATCAAACACGAAACAACCATGGGGACTGTGCATTCAGCCATCCCTGGGATGTGTGTATGGGGCCCATGGCTTGGCAGCGGCTTGGTGCAGCTCCCATCTCTGGGGTGGAGTGCTCCCAGTTAGCTGCTGACTGTTACTGGCTTCAACCCACATGCTCAGTTTGCCTGGCTCTCAGGGCTGCCCCCGTTTCCTCATGTTAACCTGGTCAATTACTGAATCCATTTCCTATTTTCAAGGAAATTGAAAGATGTGTGGCTCCCTCCCACTCCCTCTCTCTCTTCTCTCTCCTTGCCTTTCTTCTTCCCTCCCTTCTGTCTTTCCTTTCTTTCTTCCTTCCTTCTAGTAGGGAAGGAGGGTAAGGGGATGTATTAGGGTTCTCATGAGAAAGAGAACCAATAGAATGTGTGTGTGTGTGCATGTGTGTGTGCGTGTGTGTGTGTGTGTGTGTGTGTGTGTATTAAGAAACTGGCCTATATGATTATAGAAGCTGAGAAGCTCCAAGATCTGCAGGTGGCAATCTGGTGACCAAGGAGAGATGGTGCTATAGTTCCAGTCTGAGTCCAAGTCCAAAGGCAGGAAAAGATTGATGTCCCAGCTTGAAGATAGTCAGACAGAGAGCAAACTCTCCCTTGCTCACCTTTATGGTTCTATTCAGGCCTTAACTGGACTGGATCAAGCTCATCCACGTTGGGAGGGCATCTGTGTTACTCAGTCCACCAATTCAAATGATAATCAGAAACATCCTCACAGACACATTCAGAATAATGTTTAACCAAGTATCTGGGCACTCTGTGGCCCAGTCAAGTTGACACATAAAATTAATCATCACAGGTAGGACAAGAAGAGGCAGGAGAAAAAAAGCACTAACGCTTTCTCTTTAGGTAACCAGCCACCTTATCTTATGATCCCTCTGACTCAGGCCTCAGAAATTCCTTGGGTCTTGTAGAGAGTCACTGTGTTTAATTCAAAGGATTGCCTGATTTGGCTTTGCCAGCAAAAGGGACCTAACTGTCTTTCCATGATGGAGCCAGGAGGGTCCCTATCTGGTGATTAGGCAGCCTGTCTGGCTTAGGCCTGTGAAGCCAGGATGCTGTGCTGGGAGGGCACTGGGCGGAGGTGTTTTTCAGCTTCTAAACTCCACAGCTGGACTTCTCTCTGCCCTGAAGGGTTCTGGAGCTCACTACTCACCAGGGGAGAGTGGGGCTGGGGGCATGAGCAGAGCACACTGATGGAGGCAAGGCTCTGCTGCAGTGGGAAAGCTAGCCACAGGGCACTCCTGCAGAAAATGACAATGATGCCTGGTTCCTAACTGGTGCTTCCTGGCCTCCAAATGCTCTCACATTAGGTCGCCTGCCCAGAAGCAAAGCTAGAAAGTTCTGTTTAAATGATAACAATAGCTGCTTCACCCAGGAACTCATAACTAGTGATGCCTTTGATGTACAATTATTTTTTTCTGAGAAGCTCGGAGCCCCACATGCTGTGCACAAATCCATGCATCAGACACCAGCCAGCTCTTGGGTTTCTTAGGAGCCACTTCCCAGGTTATCAGGTGTTGTCAGAGATGTGCAGATGTGTTAGAAGCACCATTGTTGGTCAACTCTGAGGAATTACGGTGAACAGGAAAGGTGCTGGAGGATTGGAGCTGGGCAAACTTACTCAGATCTTTATAAAATGAACAAGACAGATTTTAACATCTACCTTCTGGTGAATATGTCAACCTATAAGAAATGCTACAAAAATTATTAATTTTAAAATATCGAGGTAAAAAGCAGTCTTTACTAGGTGCTATTGGTTGTTTTTTAAAAATGAGCTCTCAGGGATTTCTCTGCAAAGATAACATATTAAAACTGGATTACAGCATCTTCCATTCCCAAAATCGATACCATAACCAGACAATGGATTTATGAGAAAAAAATTTTAGGCCTATTTTACTCATAAATATTGATGCAAAAACACTAAATAAAATATTAGCAATTAAAATACCAACATGCATTAAAAATAATACACTATCTTTTTTTTTTTTTTTGGAATCTTTTTCTGTCACCCAGGCTGGAATGCAGTGGCATGATCTAGGCTCACTGCAACCTCCGCCTCCTGGGTTCCAGCGATTCTCCTGCCTCAGCCTCCTGAGTAGCTGGGACTATAGGCGCACACCACCATGCTGGGCTAATTTTTGTATTATTAGTAGAGACGGGTTTTGCCATGTTGGCCAGGCTGGTCTTGAACTCCTGACCTCAAGTGGTCTGCCTGCCTTGGCCTTCCAAAATGCTGGGATTACAGGCATGAGACCAGCCTGGCCAACATGGTGAAACACCATCTCTACTAATTATACAAAAACTAGCTGGGTGTGGTGGCTCATGCCTGTAATCCCAGCTACTTGGGAGGCTGAGGCAGGAGAATCGCTTGAGCCTGGGAGGCAGAGGTTGCAGTGAGCCAAGATCATGCCATTGCACTCCAGCGTGGGTGACAAGAGCGAGACTCCAAATCAAAAAACAAAAAACAAAAAAAACACCAAACTATATCTATATCTATCTCTTTATATCTATCTGTCTGTCTATCTATCATCTGTCTATCTATCTATCTATCCATCCAGATATGTTTAAGACTGAACAGCGAAAGGTTGCTTAAACAAGAGACAAAAAAATGACAATAATGTAAGAGATAAATACATTTGACTGTAATAAACTTAAGAACATGTGTTCTTCAAAAGCTACCTTAGGGAAAGCAAAAGTAAAGAAACTAATTACAAACTGAGAAGAGATAGTCAACAACAATAGATCAGTGTCAAGAATACATAAAAAAATTCCACAAACCAATAAAAAAATAACAACCCTATGGAAAAATGATCAAAAGACATAAATGGGCCAGGCATGGTGGCTCACGCCTGTAATCCCAGCACTTTGGGAGGCTGAAGCGGGTGGATCACTGGAGGTCAGGAGTTAAAGACCAGCCTGACCAAGATGTGTAACCCTGTCTCTACTACAAATACAAAATTAGCCAGGTGTGGTGGTGCATGCCTGTAATCCCAGCTACTTGGGAGGCTGAGGCAGAAGAATTGCTTGAAATCGGGAGGTGGAGGTTGCAGTGAGCCGAGATCATGCCACTGCACTTTAGCCTGGGCAACGAGAGCAAAACTCTGTCTCAAAAAAAAAAAAAAAAAAAAAAAAGAGAGAGAGAAACATGTATGGCCGATAAACACAAGAGAAGATTTTCAACGTGTTTAATGATCAGAGAAACACATTATAATCTCTAAAATTTGTTTTTACCTCTGTTAATTGGCAATTAAAAATCTGACAACGTGAAGCTTTAACAAGATTATAGAGCCACAGAACCTCTTGGCTGGGTGTGGTGGCTCACATCTGTAATCCCAGCACTTTGGGAGGCCGAGGTGGGAGGATCACGAGGTCAGGAGTTCGAGACCATCCTGGCCAACATGGTAAAACCCTGTCTCTGCTAAAAATACAAAAATTAGCTGGGTGTGGTGGTGTGTGCCTGTAATCCCAGCTACTCGGGAGGCTGAGGCAGGAGAATCGCTTGAACCCGGGAGGCGGAGATTGCAGTGAGCCAAGATGGCACCATTGCCTGGGCGACAGAGTAAGACTCTGTCTAAAAAAAAAAAACTAAAAAAACCCTCTTATACTCATAGGGATGTATGTTTGTGAAACACATTGGAAAATGGCTTGGCCTTCTCCCCTAAAATTGGACATCCACATACCCTATTACCCAGCAATTCCACCATTAGGTTTATATTCAAAAGAAACTCTCATGCACATAAAACAGGAGATTTGAATAAAAACACTCCTAGCAGCATTTTTCACATTAGCAAAACCTGAAAATAACTCAATGTCCATTAATGGAAAAGTGAATGGATAATTGTGGTCTATTTACACAGCGAAATATTATCCAGCAATAAAAATAAATGAACTCAACCATAAACAATAATATGAATAACTTTAACAATAATACTTGCTGGAAAAAAGTAAGTCTGAAAAACTTACATACAATATCATATCCTTTTTTTGGGGTGGGGGGTCTCACTCTGTTGCCCAGGCTGGAGTGCAATGGCATGATCATGGCTCACTGCAGCCTCAACTTTCCTGGGCTCTTGTGGTCCTCTTAACTCAGTCTCCTGAGTAGCTGGGACTACAGGCACTACACCATGTCTGGCATTTGTTTTTTTTTTTGTATTTTTTGTGGAGACGGGATTTTGCCATGTTACCGAGGCTGGTCTAAAACTCCTGGGCTCAAGCCCTCCACCCACCTCAGCCTCCCAAAGTGCTGAGATTACAGGCATGAGCCACCAAGCCTGGCCTCATTTCCTTTTTATAATTTCTAAAGTAACTCAAGTTTTATGAAAACACATCTTTTAGAAGCACACATAGACGCAATAGAACTTATTTTGAAAGGAGGGCACAGAGCTGATGGACAGAGGATTAAGAATGATTATCTTGGTCAGGTGGAGTCAAGAGGATGTGATGGGGCGGGACCATATGTCAAGGTTATTGTCAGGATCCTCGTTTTTGTTTGGATCTGGTGCATTCACAGGTGCTTATATTATTTAAAATAACTAAGTAAAAACAAGCCATTTATAGACCAATAGTGAGGGTGTGTCATAAACCAAGGACAATACTCAGTCCAGTTGTGTGTACTTGAGTTCCAATGGAAAGAACAAAAAGTAGAAATGGAAGCTGGACAAAAGTTAGATGAAATTGTAACATTTTTTTTCAATTGATGTCATTTCAGTTCATTTACCACGTCTGTTATATCTCAAAGCACTCTGCCAATCAGTAACAATGGACTGAAATTCTCCTGGAGGGAGATGTCAATAGTCACTTGGTAGGTTGACTTCTCAAACTTACAGATAGCCAAGCTGGAAGGGAGAATCTTGTGGTAGAAATAGTCTGGGTCAGGTTCTTCGTGCTTGGATGAATTAACTGTGTTGCTTCTACCCATGTGGTCGCTTGCTCAGGATCTAAAGTCCCTAGAGAGAGAGAGCACCCATATGTTCAAGCATGGTGCTCCTTTACTTTGGTACTACAGTGGCTAGAGGAAGAGCCTTGCTGGCAGAGTCTCCAGGAATCACTTCGGCATCTATAGTGAAAGCACAGATGGAGACATTTACTGTATTACCACGACGTCACACCATGGGAAAGGAGAAGAGATGTTAGGTGGCCGAAGCACCTAACATATAATTTAAACATTATAGTATTAGTGGTAATAACAACACCTACCCTTTATGAAGTGCCTACCATGGGTCAGTCTCTTCAAAGACATTACTCTCTATCTTGACTATAAGCAGTAAGAGGACAGGGCTTCTGTCTTGTTCTAGGCATCTGGATCAGAGCCTAGTACATTGCATGCACTTAGTTAATATTTCAGTTGAATGGCCACCCAGCCTCCCAGCAGTGTCGTGAGGCAGGTATTATTCTTGAGAGAGAGGAATAGTAAGCGTGTGCCCTTCCCATGACCATCACTCACCATGCTCCACTGATTCTGCTTCCTCAGTACCTCTCAGGTCTGGTCTCTGCAGCTTCTCCTCATTGCCCCTCCTATCGGGCCCTTCTCATGGTTTGCCTGGAATGTTGCATGATCTCTCGCTCAGCTTCCTGGGCCCTAGCTTCCACATTTACAATCTATTCCTTGCGTTGCCACCGGAGTTTCTTTTTAAAAACGTATGACTTGCTGCTTCTATGGAGTAGGGCAAGTTTCCTAAAAGGGATAGGAAAACATGCGAGGTGGTCCAACACTATGGTTCACGACAGAAGGAAAGAGTTCTGTAGTATCGTGTGCGTGCTGTGTGCATCCTATATGTGTATTCAGGGAGTCGTTATTGGGACCACAATTTAAGAAGGAGGTTAATTAAAACCCTACCATTTATTGATCGCATACTTTGAACCTGATCTTGCCTATACCATTTTATTGAATTCTCACAATAATTTTTTGAGGTAGGCAATTCTGGTTCCACTTTACAGATGAGTACACCAAGGCCCAGAAAGGTTAGGAAGGGACAAGGTCACACAGCTAGTGAATGGTGGTGTTAGAATCTCCCACTCCCATCCCACCCCTGAGCTTTCTGGCCCCCGAGTCTCCTACTTACAAATAACTGCATCTGGAAGAATGTGTTCATGGCACTGGAGGATGCAATAGAGGAAAAGGGCTGACTGGACCCAGAAAAGAAAGACAGGAATAGTTTCAAACAGTGAGTTCCTGGACCCTAGGAGATCCCCCCACCTTCCCTGTGGAGTCAGAGAAGCCGAGGAGACTGCTCCTTCCTTGCATGAGAAGTTGAGGGAATGACTTGTGATCCCCACCTACTTTTTTTTTTGAGACAAGGTCTCAGTCTATCACTCAGGCTGAAATGCAGTGGTGTGATCATAGCTCACTGCAGCCTTGAACTCCCGGGTCCAAGCAATCCTCCCACTTCGTCCTCCTGCGTAGCTGGGACTATAGGTGTGCAGCACCACACCAGGTTAATTTTTAATTTTAGTTTTGTTGAGATGGGGGTCTTACTATGGTGCCCAAACTGGTCTCAAACTCCTAGGCTTAAGCGATCCTCCCTCCTCAGCCTCCCACAATGCTGGGATTCCAGGCATAAGCCACCATTCCAAGCCTGACGTACAGTTTCATAACTCTTTCTTTTCCACCTCCTTCTTTGCCATTTGTTTCTGAGCCACTCAATTCCAGTTAGCACTTCCACTGAGGAAGGGCTGTGAGAAGGGAGAAGCAGTGGCTAGAAAAAACAAATTAAATTAATTAAGGTCAGTTAATGAATTTATCTCTGAGTAGAGGGACAGAGTGACGGAAATGACCATTGCTGGGAGTGGAAGCAGGTGGGTTCCAGTCCCAGCCCTGCTATGGGCTATGTGGTCTTAGGGGTGGCACTCATCCATGCACTTGTCACCTGTGGAATGTGGGGCTCAGGTCAGATACTCGGTCCTTCCCTGAATCTTCAGTGAGTTTGGGAGAAATGAGCATAGATACGTGTTACGGTTTCCCTACAAGAATGTTCATGCAGCTTTACTTCTAAGAGCAAAACATTTGGGGGGAAATAAGGGCTTATGTGTTTTTTTTAGTAAAAATGATTAAAACTTGCCTGTGGCTGGGACTTGGAATGGGGAGCGACTGCAAATGGGCCCAAGGGATCTTTTTGGGGTGATGGAAATGTTCTAAAACTGGATTGTGGTGATGATTGCACAACTCTGTAAATTTATTAAAAACCATTGGATGCTATGTAAATTATATCTCAATAAAGCAGTTAAGATGATTATAAATGCGGGAGAAAAAGATCCCATATCATGGTGGTTGCCTTACAGATACCTCACTTTGTGGAAGGCATTCTGGAGGAGGCGATGATGAGCAAACTACACTCCTGTGTTTCTACAGAGCTGTTAAATTAGCCCAGTGTGGAGAGGGGCATGAATACAAATTGCTCTATCGCATGAAAGCATGTGGTTAAATGGTACCAAAGAAAGAAAAATCAGAATCAGGAGGAGGAATTTAGGAGAGCTTGATGAGATCCAAACGAAGATGAAAATCGAGGCAGAATCTGTGAGTGGCTAAAGACAGAAAAAGGAAGGCTGTGCGGCCCATGAGCAGTTCCACTGAACATTGGAAAAGGGCGGTGGGGGGACCAGATACTGCACCCAGGCACCTAGTGACCAGTTGGTCCAGGATGGGCCCAGAGTGGCTGTGGAGAGAGGAGTCTGCTGGCAACCACAGTCATTCAGCCATGTAGTTGTGGTGTGTGCCTGCAAGGCTGGGCTTTGGAACTGGGGAGGACATGGCTATCAGCTAGGAAGTGGCAAAACCAGAATCTGGGATCCAGAAGAATAACTCTGGTGCTTGGCCCTCAACCACAAAGCCACACTGGCCCTCAACAACAATGCCACATTGCCTGCCTTACTGAAAAGGAGACTGAAGCTCAGAGGGGCTGAGTGAGTTGCTCAAGGTCACACAGCAGGAAGTAGTAGGGCTGAGAATTAAATTCAGGTCTCCTGGTGCCAAAGCTGAAGCAGATCCCACCAGTCTTGCCTCTCCACTGCTAAGGAGGACACAAGGACACAGCTAGTCCTGCTTTCATCCTCCTGGGACTCTGCCTGCCTGGGGAGGGGCCGAGGTACAGAGGGAGGGCTGGGTTGAGGCTATTCTTTCAGCTGCAGTCATGTGGTTGGGGAGAGCCATATTGAGAAGGACTCAACATAGCTCTCTATAAAGAGGAGCCTTGGAGCTCCCCTAAGTTCTCCTTTTGGGGTGCTTGTCATTTGTCCTGGCAGGAAATGGCTTGACTAGATGCCTGCTCAGCATCTGAAAAGGCTGACAGCTGTGCACAAGGAGACAGCACTTTGCCATGTTCACCCAAGGAGAAGGGAAGGGCAAAGTCTTTCAACTCAACCCCTTCACAGTGTGCCTTTCTGCCTTACGATTTGCTTTAAGAGCTCTCATTATTTTATTTAATGCAATAACACACACTGAATTCTTACTAGAACCAGCATTCAATCACGGCTCAATGTCCAAATTTATCCCTGAGCTGGCAAGACTCCCAAGCCAGGTGTACGTGCGTCCCATGCAATGCTTGACTCTCTCTGGAGTGATCTTGAGAGGTAAGCCAGGGACAGTGCGGGAGGAAGGAAGGGGACACAGTGTGTCCTGGGTATTATCATCTGCTGCATTATGAGGAGACCTGGACTGAGAGAAGGGAATCCATTCCTCAGAGGCTGGAACGTGGCTTACCTTCTTTCCACTCCTGCCGTAACCACTTCAGTCCCAGGACAGCAGTGTCTGCAGGAACCGCTGTCCTACCACAGGGGGAGTCCCTGTGCCTCTGTAATTCCTGTGACTCCTGCCTTGGCTCCTGGTCTGCTGTCCATTCCCAGGGCACATGCTGGACCCTGTGTTTGTTCCCAGAGCAGCTCCTCTTCTGAAATCTTCACTTCCAATGCTTCACTTTCTGACCACAGTCCCACAATATGCCTTCATAGCTGAGCCCTGCTGGAGAAAAATCAAGTGGCCTGTAGATTGGCCTGGGGCCCAGCCTCAGCGGGGCATTTGGTGTCACTCAGCAACCACTTGACCTGGTCCTCTGAATGATTCCCCTTAATAACCGTCCACACCGTCACCATTTTCTTCAAGCTCTTCGCCCCAATGTTGCCCCCTCTGTCACCTACTTTAGTGAGCAAATTGCTGTGCGTTGGGTGCCCCATGTACTTGCCACATGGGTTTATAATGATTTATTTATGTATTTGTTTCCCCAACTCGACTGCATCCTTCTTTGGGTCAGGATCTGTCTCCTATTCATCTTCCTTTCCCTGTTGCCTGATCCAGCACCTGCAACCTCCTGTGGCTTAATCACTGTTGCCAAGTGAATAAGAATAGATCAAGGGGTCAAGGCAAAGGCTCATAGCGGAGGCTGGCTCAGGGAGATGACCCACACACTTGTTCCTGTGAGCTAGGAGGAGCTCAAAGGGCCTCCAGGGACCTCTATGCTGCTCAGCTGGCATTGAAATAAGAGAAGACCAGTAACTGCTCTCTGCATTCTAAAATCCTATGTTGGGAGATGAAACGCAAAATCTGAGGTCATTCAGTCCTTTACAGTGCGGTTTCCATGGCAACTGTGGCCAAGGCCTGGGTAGGGGCAGCTGTGCCTCCTGAGGCCAGGCCCAAGTCCCACCTGTGTGTAGAAGAAGGGCACCCTCGTCCTTTCTGCATCGGGCAGGTGTACATGGGTTTCCAAGTCTTTTCTCTCCCGATTCACACACCCCGAGCAGCAGTGGAGCCATGAACTTCCTGCAGAGTTGAGAGCTTGGGAAAGCGGGGCAGGACAGACTAACCCTGAAGGACTGAGCTGCACCCACACACCCTGGACTCCTCAGCCCACCCACAGGTGCCACCATCCAAAGTCACTTGACCTGGGTGGACTGGGAATAATTCCGCCTCTTTCTTCTGGGAGTGGGGGTTTGAGGGAGTTGTGTGAAGACAATTTTTGTGTGTTTCTCACCACTCTCCTGCCCCTCTGCGATATCACTGGGCTTTATGACCAAGAACTTGCTCTTCTGGGTCTCAGTTTCCTCATCTGCACAATGAAAGGGCCACACTCAATGTTAGCAGGTCCTGGCCAGGTGTGGTGGCTCACGCCTGTAATCCTAGCACTTTGGGAGGCTGAAGGGGGCAGATCACCTGAAGTCAGGAGTTCGAGAGCAGCCTGGCCAACATGGTGAAACCCTGTCTCTACTAAAAATACAAAAATTAGCTGGGTGTGGTGGCATGCACCTGTAGTCCCAGGTACTTGGGAGGTTGAGGCAGGAGAATCGCTTGAACCCGGGAGGAGGAGGTTGCAGTGAGCCGAGATCGTGCCACCACACTGCAGCCTGGGCAACAGAGCGAGACCCTGTCTCAAAAAAAAAAAAAAAAAAAAAAGAAAGGGAAAGAAAAAAGGAAAACAAAAATAGCAGGTCTTAAATACACTGCGTTTCTGTGTCTGCCAGCTCCTACCACCTTCTCTTCATACCCCCTCTTCACTTCCCTCTCTCCTCCTCTGTCTCTCCACCCCCTTCCTCCTCATCTCCCTCCTCATCCTCCTCCATATCTCCTCCCCATCCTCCTTACTTGTCTTCACCTGGTTCCTGGTGACCCAGACCCCGTCGCTCTGCCTGATGGCCTCTTGGTTTCTCTGGAGCAAGGTCCTGGGAGCCTCCTTGACTTTCTCCTGGGCCTTTGAACCCTGCCCTAGTCCATCCCTGAATAGAGATGGGAGTAGGGAGAGAAAGTGGCAGACCAGGCTGCTATGTGGCATGCTTGCCCCCACATTATGGAGCGGAGATCTCTGGGTCTGTTCTCCAGGTGCTCCCTGCACCCAGCCCAGCTCAGCCATGCCTCTTTCTCTTGCCTTCTGGGACTCATCTACTAGGCCTTTTCCTTATCATTTCCATAACAAGCTCTTTGCCTCTGCTTCCTCCTCAAGCTAACTTTCCTTCTCCCACCTTTCTGTCCTGGCTCTCCCTCCCAGCAGTCTAGCTCCACCTTTCACTCCTTAAGACTGCGATTTGGTGGACAACCCACAACTGCCCTGAACTGAGTCCTTTGAAGGAGATTTGAAGTCTACAAACTGCCAAACTCAATCACTTGACTCAGTTCTCATCCTTCCCATGGGGGTGGCATCTTGTTTTCATCACGGAACACTGTGTCACATAGTTCACTGAATGCTGGGAAAGTGCCCAAATGCTTTGTGGGGCCAGGCACGGTGGCTCACATCTGTCATCCCAGCACTTTGGGAGGCCAAGGCAGGTAGATCACCTGATGTCAGGGGTTTGAGACCAGCCTGGCCAACATGGTGAAACACTATTTCTACTAAAAATACAAAAATTAGCTGGGCGTGATGGTTCATGTCTATAATCCCAGCTACTTGGGAGGCTGAGGCAGGAGAATTGCTTGGACCTGGGTGGCGGAGGTTGCAGTGAGCTGAGATCATGCCACTGCACTCCAGCCTGGGTGACAGAGCTAGACTCTGTCTCAAAAAAAAAAAAAAATGATTTCTGGGATATTCTTGTTGCTATTCCATCCCAGGCTCATCCCATTCTTTTCTGCCTGTGGTTTTCACCAGGGCATTTTCTCTGGAGAACCGTGTCCTAGGAAACCCTGCTGGCTCAAGCCCACGTAGACCCTCCCGTGGACCACCAAGGCTCAGAGCAAGGACTTCTCATTCCCTTGTGCATCATTAAAAAGCACTGCTTTTCCTGCTACAGTCATTACAGGCTGAACTCTTCTAATTTTTTTTTAACATCTTGAGATATATTTACATGGGCCAGAGTAGTTTCTTTTTGTCTTTATCTCTTGCTTGATCTTTTACTTCTATATATGTTAGTTATCAAAACAATGAATTAATTCATTAGTATGAATTGATAGCCTCAACTGATAGCCAGTTAGGTTCTTTTAAAAAAAGTATCATTATAGACTCATGGATTTATATATATTTGACCTATTTCAATACACTGCTGTTACTGTCCTTATTGGTACTCACATTTTCACATCTCTGGCCAGCGGGAGCCTCTTCACCCTGGCTCCTGAGACCATTTTACGACTCTATCAAATCAAATTTGTCTTTGACTGTTTCCTCTCTATCTTCTGTGACAAGCTGCTCCAGGCTATATGATTTTCAGGGGCTCTGCTGCCAGTGATGGTTGGATGGTTGGATGACGAGTATTTTTTAAAGTTCCTTACATTATCCCTTTCCCCAGGGCAGGGAGAAAGTGTGGAAAGGTGGGAGGCAAATCTCTTCTGTGTTTCAGGCTTACCCAGGAGGATTGAGCTGGATTCCTTTCGACTGGGGAAAATGACAAGGCTCCCACCCAAAAGGGGGGCAAAGAGGGGTTTCCCCAGCAAAGGTGAAGGGTTAGGTTTGGGAGTTTCCAAGGGTGGCAGGGAACAAGCCATGTTTCCTTGTGGAATCTGGGAGCCGCCAGACCTCTGCTGGGGTGGCCTGCGGATGCAGGAGGAGGCTACTCTCAGCGAGCTGTGGACCTGGGCTCCTCAAGGGGATCCCTATTCTCACGGTTATCTGGGCTGCCCGTGGACCATCCCAGTCTTGGCAACAGGCAACTTAGAAACAATTCCATGATGGAAGGCTGGAGGCCTTTCCTGGTTTTCTACAAGTTCAGCTCTCTAATCTTGCACAGCCCTTGGGAGAGGGAAGCTGACTTTGATATCACGCTGGAAAATGGGACCCAGAGAAGGTTTAATTTAGTTTAAGCGAAGTCATGAGGCAGTTCTCATATCCAAGGACAGTTGTCTGTGGCCATGTCCCCAATTTTGAGACACACCCTTTAACTTAGGACATTTTGTTCCCTAGTCCTAGGTCTCTGGGGAACAGGAGGCTGTCCTTTCTCCAGATGTGGAGGATAGGGAGAGAAGAATCTGCTGTTTAAAGCCCTTCATAAATGCTAGCAATTATGATTTCCCTCTATGCCCCATTGCCCAAGAACTCCAGGCTCACCTCTGCTTCCCTTTCTTGTCCCACTCACCACCCCCTCCTCTGTCACACAGTTTATTGAGCTCCATCCACTCGGAACCATTTGCAGACTGAGGAATATGTCATGTGCTCTCTTACCTCTGGGCCTTGGCACATGCAGGTATATCAGTTAGGATTAGGTTCAGCTGCAAATTACAACAACAACAAAACAAACAAGTAGTTTAAATCTGACATTTATTTATTTGGCATGTGAAAGAAGCCAGAAGGGTGGCTCTCCAGGGCTGATATAGCAGCTTCACAGTTGTCAGGATGCAAGCTCTTCTTAACTTTCTGCTCTACCATACTTTATAGTTGGTTTCTATCTCAAGTTTGCTTTATGACACAAAATAGCTGCTGGCACTCCAGCCATCAAGTCCACATTCCAGGCAGAAAAATAGAGGAACTTGGTTGTGTCTCCTAGTTGAGTCAGAACTCCTTCCAAGAAACCCTGTAAACTTGTATTTATATCCCATTATTCATTGCTAGCTACAAGGGAGTCTGGGAAATGTAGCCCTTTAGCTAGAAATATTGCCTAGCAGGATAAAATGATGTTCTAATCATCAGGAAAAAGAGATAGATAGATATTGGGTAGAAGCTAGTAATCTCTGCAATCAATGAATGTCCCTTCTCTTTGTTCAACTTGCTCTATTGACCCTTTTGCTCTCAGCCTAGATAGAGCTTCTTTTAGGAGACAGGCCTCTTGTAGGTACTTTCCTTGTCCCAGACTTCCTCCTTATCACACTGTATTGCTCCTGCTGCTCCACCTGTCAGTCTCCTCCCTTGAACATGAGTGCCTGGAAGGCAGGGACTGTAGGTGCTCAATAAAGGCTTATGGAGTGAATGCTGGGAGAAGGCTGGGGCAGCCTCATCCAGGAGCATGTCACACTATTTCTCCCTGTGCAGAATGCTATTATAAACTCCAATTGATCTTGCTATGTTTTCATTTCTATGTCATTACCACAAATATGTACCCAAACCTTGTTTTTGAAAGAAAAAACATCTCTTCCCCAAACCACCTGGGATGGCCCATGATTTGTACCTTCACAGCTTTGGAGAATGGAATATAAAAAACAGCATAGCGTCCAAACGGATCTGGACGTGGTCTGTAGGGCAATAAAATAAAAAGTAATTTATAAGTGGCAAGAAATTTGAACTGAAGCATAATTTTATTTTGTGAGGAAAGCCAAGCTGTTCCATATAATTTGTCATTCAAACGGGGCTCTCTGACTTGCTCAAGCCAAAGGCTCCTAACTCCTTCCCATCTCCGACTGACTCCTTCTGATTTAATTCTAAGTGGCCGAGCTCCCGGTATCTCCAGTAAAGATGTTTGCTATCTCTTGGCTTAGGCAGGTTGTCTATACTCTTTGTAAATGGCTGATCTGAGATGAAAAATTTTGGCCGTATTATCCTAGAAATGTGCTCCTAGAAAAACTCTATCAGTAGTTTTCAATTCTCTATCACTGTTTACCAACCCATTCCAAAATTTAGTTGCTTAAAACAACAATTTATTATTTCTCAAGATCCTGTGGTTTGGCTGAGCTTAGCAGCGCAGCCCTTCTGTTCCTTGTGTATTGCTTAGGTCACTCCTGTGGTTGCCTTCAGCTGGGAGCTTGCCTGTGATTGGAACATCCAAAATGGCCTCTCCTCATACCCCATTTTCCATGGTGTGATTATTCCACATTGCATGCCGGTATCAAAACATCTCATGTACCCCATAGATATACACACCTACTATGTACCCACAAACATTAAACATAAAAAAATAAGGAAAAAATGGACTACCCTTTTCCAGGGCCTCTCTCCACATGGCCTTGCACCATTCAGTAGCCAAACTTGAGCTTCCTTCAGCAATGGCAGCTGGCTTCCAAGGAGGAACTTCCTAAGGGGGCAAGCCCAAATTTGCAAGTGCTTCCAAGGCTTCATGCCTGCTAATATCCCATTGGCCAAAGCAAGTCATGAGGATGATCCAAGAGTCAATGAGAGAGGGGAATACACAGTCCACAAATACTAAGTGACATGTTTCCTTGACCACCAATATAATAATCTACACAAGTGCCCTCTAAGGAGAATGGAACAGGAGAGGAGAAGACTAGCCTGGGGTGAGCTGCATTCCTTTTAGTATAAGTTCCACGACTTCATGACTTATTCTTTGAGCTCCAGAGGCAGAGCCAGTGGATGAGGGCTGCAAGGTAGCAGGTTTGGATTTTAATAGGAGCTGCCTAACAGTGAGACACCTGCTTTGTGAGACAGTGAGCCACCCATTGTGGGGAGTATTCAGAGAGAATCTAGATTGCCTCTTGGTGGGAATGTGTAAGGAATTCTTGCCCGAGCTAAGAGCTGGACTAAATAATGGATAAGCTTTCTTTTAACTCGGAGTCTATTTAAAGCTCTCCTAGGCAGGCCAAGAACATTTGTCTCACAGATAACAAATTCATGTCAAGCCACTTGCAAGGTGGGGCGAAGAACGTAGTCCTCCAGGTGGAGAAGATCCCAGCTGTGGAAGGGACTCTGTCTGCGGATTGGGAACATTCTTTGTGCTCTCGTTGATTGACAGCTGCACTGGGGTTGAGAGGGCGGGACTTCCTGGCCCAACCAGCCGTGAGGGAAACAAACAGGAAAAGGTGACTGGGTCCTGGTCAGCACCGTCCAAACACGCTTCCCACAAGTACTTCAGCTCCACACAGCCCTTCAGGGGCTGCCAGGGAAAGAGGAGGCAGGGGCGGGGGAGGGTAAGGGAGGCTGTCTGGGGAGAAGCCACTGACCTTGCACTCCATCAGAGCAGCTCCACTTTCGTTCTTGCAGACTGAGTTTTCTTGTGAGATTTTTGTTTAAGGAAAAGCTTCCAGGGCTAAAATTGAAAGCTTTAAAACTACTCAGAGCGATTTTATCCATGAGAGACATTAAGTCAGCCGAAGTGCCCTGCTGCAGGGGGGACCCTGCGTAGCGGTGGAGGACGGGGGTAGGGAGGCAGCCCTCCAGGCCTTTGTTATTGAGGGAGGGCAGTGGAGGTGCTCAGGGTGGGGCAGGGCTGGGGCCGGGGCCAGAGTCAGCTCCTGCACCGAGGTGCGGTCTCAGGGTACAGTTTCAGGGGGCTTGGCCCTTCTTACCTGGGGGTGGCCCCAGTCTATCTAAAGGCACTAAGACACCCACAGATGACAGAGCCAGAGCCAGGGACGCTGGGACGACCACTCCTGGGGGCACTGCGGGAATGTGAGGGCACCAGTCCAGCTCCAGGTCTGACTGGAAGATCTAGAGCTCCCCTAGATTTGGAGCTCGCCCTACACTCCCGGCAGCACCCTCTCTGGACAAGCCTGGGAGCCCGGATCCTTTTGCTCCAGAGCGCCTGGCACGTCCTCAGGGTGAGGCATCCTGGTGGTGTGCTGAAGGAGGATACCCTCCCATCTCAGCTTCAGGCAAGCATTCTTAGGGCTTCAGGTCCAAAACACGACCCCTTTCCACCTCCAGACAAAAACAGAGTGGGGCCAGCAAGGTGGTCAGGATGGAATCTTTTGGACAAAACCAGTGCCTCCTGGAGTGAGAAGCAGACCAGTGTACCATAACTGGAGCCTGTCTTCGGCACCTCCCACCTCCTGTTCCAGGACACCCTCCCCTCAACACGTATATTAGTCTTCTATTGCTTTGTAAGAGATTGCCACAAGTTTAGCAACTTGAAAAGACACCCATTATTCTATGGCAGTTTTTGGGTCAAGAGACTGTACGGCTTCACTGCATCCCTTGCTCAGAGTCCCCTGGGCTGTATTCCCCTCTGGAGGCTCACCTGGGGAAGAATCCACTCCCAGATTCACTCAGACTGTTGGCAGCATTCACTTCCTTGCAACTGTACCAAGGGATGGGGTCGGGGAGTGTCCCCCTGTTTACTGGCTTTGACTGGAGGCTTGCCCTCAGGTCCTAGGCTGCCAGCTTCCTGCCACAAAGGCCTGGCCACTGATTTCTTCTGCCCTCAGGAGATGAGGCAGTATGGTATTTTTGTACTTAAACATAGAAAAGGTACAGTAAAAATATGGTATTATAATATCACTGACAGTCTCTGCCCTCAGGAGGCCCTTCTCTTTAAGGGCTGCCTGCCTGATTAAGTCGGGCGCACCCAGGACAATCTCCCTTTAGATGAACTCAAAATCAACCAATCTGGGACCTCAATTACCTCTGAAAGTCCCTTCATTTTTCCCATAGTCCATTGGCTAGAAGCAAGTCTCAGGTCCCACCTAAGCTCAAGGGGAGGGGGATATACAGGGTGTGAACAGCCAGGGGACGGGAATCCTGGGGGGCGTCTCCCACACTCCTCTTTTGGAGACCTCAGGACCCAGTACCCTAATCCCTTCCTTCACTTGTGAGGACCCACACCCTGCGACCCCTGCCACCTGCCCCTACCATGCACAGCTCTTCCAGTCCAGACCTGCTCATAGCAACTCAGTTTTCTGTCCTATCCTAACACAAATTTTCTCCCAGCTGTCAGACAAGATAGACATAATTGGATCAAAGAAGTCCCCAAAGGGGACTCTGCATCGTCTTTGGGGGGCTTCTGCCTTATTCCAAAGAAGTGACCGGGAGAGACATGTTAGGGGTCCATGACTAGTGAATCATAAAAATGGTTTACAGTTAAGTGTTGCTTAATGACAGGGATTATGTTCTGAGAGATGTGCCATTGGGTGATTTTGTCCTTGTGCAAACATCACTGAGTTTGCCACCTAGGCTATATGGCATATAGCCTATTGCCCCTAGGCTACTAACCTGTACAGCATGTTACTGTACTGAATACTGTAGGTAATTGTAACATGATGGCAAGTATTTTTGTACTTAAACATACCTAAACATAGAAAAGGTACAGTAAAAATATGGCATTGTAATCTTAAGGGACCAGTGTACTACTCTGTGTGGTATGTTGTTGACTGAAACGCCATTATGCTGTGAGTCCTCACTATCTGGATGCTGGGAAGGTGGCTCTTAATCACTCTGCTTAGATCACCGCTTACTTTGCCACCCAATAGGGCCATCTTTTGTAGGATTTGGGGGTTATGTCTGCTCCTCCCACCACCCCAGAAGATAACTTATCTGATAAACCACCTACGCTTCGTGTGTTTGCATTTTGCAGGGGCTCAGTACCAAAAGAATTGTCCCAGTCTCTTCTATAAAGTGTTAATAATAATGATCATGGTAATAGTCCCATTTATCGAGCACTTACCATGTGTTGGGCACCGTGTTAAGCACTCTATGTA
Source organism: Homo sapiens (assembly GCF_000001405.40). Lineage (NCBI taxonomy): Eukaryota > Metazoa > Chordata > Mammalia > Primates > Hominidae > Homo > Homo sapiens. The sequence continues at coordinate 226,529,617 of NC_000001.11, forward strand.
GTCCTCATATCAACTTTACGAAGAAGGTCCTATTTTAGAAATGTGGAAGCTGAGTCTCTGAGAGTCTAAGCCTCTTGCCCAAGGTCACAAGTTGATGAGTGGCAGAAGTAGGATGGTCCCCTCCCTGGAATGTCAGAGTCCAAGCCCGTGTGATACTGCCACTCCTGATCCGAACACTTCCTGTCCTCAGTTGTTTGGTTTCCATGCCCTGCACACCTCCCTGGGCACAGCCATGGCTGGGGCTCTCTGAGTCGGCCCCTGACTGGCCTGGGAGGGGCTGAGCATGGAGCGAAAAGAATTGCCCTGGATACAGGCTGAGGGCCTTCAGGGAGCCCTTTGCCACACGGCAGCCCAGAGCCTCCCCTGAAGCCTCAGAGGTACTGCCATAAGTGAGAAACCAACCTACGCCCAGGAACCAAATGCCAACAGAGACCAGTCTGTGGTGCCTGCCAGAATAACAGAGCTTCATGTCCCCATGTGTCATCACAGGAAACATGAGACCACGCAACTAATGGATGCCAAAGCAGCCTGGGCCCAGTGTGCTGCCTCGTGAAGCGGGGACAGAGGGGCTGGGGAGCTGGAGCCAGGCTAGCTGGGTCAGGGGTCCCAGGGCTGGGCCTCCCGCTTTTAGAGCCAGAGGAAGTGTCACTGAAGGACTTGGAAACAGAACACTAAGAAGACACTGGGTCTTTGCTTGGGACCCATCTTTGCTGATTTGAGGATGTCCAGGACTGAGAGCACCTGCTTTCTTGATTGGCTTTGTTTTTGCTGTTGTTTTGTTTTTTAGTTCATGACTTGTTTAGTTAAACTGCAGAGTAGGGAGTATAATGGCACATGACTCACCTCGGAGGCCTAGTAAAGATGACCTTCAAGGAAAAAGGCATGATCTCTCTGCCTCTCTGTCTCGCTGTCTCTCTCCTTCTCTCCCCAAGTCCACTTCTCTCCTTTTTTCTCTCCCCTTTCCTGTTTCTCTCTGGATTCCTCCTGGCTTCTCCATCTTCTAGAGAGTCATCAGTTCTGGGACTCCCACTGCTTCCGAAAAGACATCAGTGAATTGGGGGATGTCTGGGACAGCTGAATAATAAAAATTTTACGTGGAGAGACAGAGATTGATTGGTGCCTGAATGAGTGGGCGAATTCAATTCACATTGATCGAACTCCCGGGATGTGCCAGCCTCTGTGCTCAGCCCTGGGTGTGGGCGTGTGTTGCAGGGAAGTGGAGTCAGGGGCTGGGGGAGGAAGCTACAGAAGCCTAACCCTGGCAGTAAGGATTCTTAGGAGGGTGGGAGGAAGAGTCAGCCTCCCTGCCTCAACCAGGGGTGCTTGTCCCAACTCCACCACAGTCTCTGGAGAGGGGGAAGCAGAGGAGATTGATTTTCAGTTTCCAGGGCACTGTCATCCTCTGTCCTTCTTAGCAAACGCCTCCCCGACCATCTTTAGTCCCCTCTGTCATGTTCACTGCTGCCTGCAGTCCCCTTCTGTTTCTGTCAGAAATAGCCCAAATCAAAGGCAGTCTCCAGACAAGTGAGGGGACTGACACCTCTCAGAAAGTCCTGTCCTCACCCACTTCTGTACCCAAGTGGAAGGAGAGAAACCTCATGAAGCTGAAGGAGGGAGCCTCATTACCCAGGACCCAGAGGAGACGGGGTTTTCATGAGTGGGACGATTAGAGCTCTGGAGGTTCCTTGCCCACTTACAGACCCCGTTCTCTAGCCCAAGATTAGAGGTCTGTTCTGGTCCTCACACGCTCTGTCTTGGGGCTGGGGAGGGGACTGCAGGGAGCCAGACATCTGAGGTCAGGGCCTGGCCACATGAACCATGGGAGAGAACAGATAGGGTGTTTGGAGGTAACCTCATGTTTTTTCTGCCAGTCAATTTGGTTTATTGTTCAGATCTTCAGCTGTAATTACAGGGAAACCCAACCCTAATCCTCACCAGGTTTAATCAGGAGAGCTGATTTATAGATTGATTACAACTTCATAGATTTATTAGGAGCTGAGTGGGGCCAGCGTGTAGTGGGCTGAGTGAGACTGGCCTGTTGCACTGGGAGACAGAAAAGAAGAATGAAAGCCAAAAGCCAGGGAGAAAGGGGAGGGAGTCAGGAGGTGAGCAGAGGGAGAGGTTGGGGAGAGAATCCAAAGAGAAGAGATGGGCCTCAGACAAGCAGAGGGGAAGAAGCAAGGGGAACTGAGTGAATGTGGAAAGAAAGCCTTTGGGACCAATCTCTCCAGCAATTCTTAGGAACTAGGCAGGGCTCATTATTTAACTTTTCTAAGCCTCAGTGTCTTTATCTGTAAAATGGGCGTAATGAATACCTACCTCATAGGGTGCTTGTGATGATAACATGAGACTGTGCATGCGAAAGAACTAGGTATGGTTCCTGATACCTGGGGTGGGGGTGTGTGTGCAGGGGTCAGTGGGATAAAAGGAAGAGGGAGGAAATAGGAGAGACAGCAAAGAGAAAGAAGACAAAAAAGAGAATATTGGCAGAAACGGATTCATATACTATACATAACTGCCATGGAAGAAACTGCTACACGCCCTCCCCAACCATTCCCTCCTTCCTCCATAGTAATGAGCTTTAAATATTTGATTTAGATTTTTTTCTTTGAGACAGAATCTCGCTCTGTCACCCAGGCTGGAGTGTAGTTGTGCGGTCTTGGCTCACTGCAGCCTTAACCTCCAGGACTCAAGTGATCCTTCTGCCTCAGCCTCCTGAGTAGCTGAGACTACAGCTATGTGCCACCAAGGACTCCTAGACTGTGCACTACTGAAACGTGGGCAGAATTCTGAACCACACCTGGAAGCCGAGGGGACATGCCTGGCTAATGTTTTAATTAATTTATTTATTTATTTTGTAGAAACAGGATCTCATTATGTTGCTCAGGCAGGTCTAGAATTCCTGGGCTCAAGCAATCCTCCTGCCTCAGGCTCCCAAAGTGTGATTTAGATCATTTATTTAACCTTTAATTTAGAGTAAAGTTTCCTAGCCTCTTTTGTAGTTAGATGAGGCCAGCGGATATAAGTGGAAGAGATCTATGCAGGTCTAGGGGATGCGTTTGAAAGGAAAAGATGCACTCTCTCCTTCCCTCTTCCCACTGGCTGGTGCACCACTTGAGCCATGCAGACAGCCCTTCCTGGCATCCTAGGAATGTCAGAGTGTCTAGATAAAAGGATCCTGGGTCTGTGACTCTGTAGCCACCACAAGAGCATAGGCAGTCCTAATGACTCTGGGGAATTAAGCTACTTTACTGACCTAAAATTTTAGGAAAAAAAACCAAAAAACAATCATTATCTTGTTTAAGCCACTTTGATGTTGCATCTTTTTAATATGCATCCCCACCTTGATTCTAACTCAGAGCTGTCCAATCAAACTTACTGAGATGATGAAAATATTCTCTATTTACATTGTCCAGTATGGCAGCCACCAGCCTCTACATGTGGACATTGAACATCTGAAATATGACCAGTGTGACTGAGGAAATGAATTTTAAGTTTTAATCAATGTTGATTAATTTAACTTTAAATTTAAGTAGCCACATGTTAATAACTACTAACTGAGAGGCTACTTGTTCTTCTCTGGAATCAACCCTCTTGCCCTTTAAGCGGCTTCTCCATGAAGGGAAGAGGCCTCTGGGGGTGTGTCCCCTCGGCTTCCAGGTGTGGTTCAGAATTCTGCCCACGTTTCAGTAGTGCACAGTCTAGGAGTCCTTGGTTCTTAAGAGAACGAAAGTCTGTCCAAGTTCAGCTGCTTTTAGACCAGAGAGGCCTCTGCTGGCTCTCGTGTTCTCTCTCTTAACAGCCTTCCACATTCTTCTCAGTAACCTGGTCATCAGCCCCAGCCTTATCTACTTTGGAAAGATGTAAATAAAACTGTTGGCATAAGAAATGTGACTTGCCAAGGTAAAGTGCTAGCTCTGAGTGTCTACTGTGGGACTCCTTAGATCCTAGACAGTAATCTCCTCCTCAGCCTTGCTAGAGCTCCTCTCAGCCTGTTTTTCTCAGATCATCAGCACTTTAAATTCAGTGTGGCAAAGATTCTTCCTTGGGTCATTAAAGGCTGTATAAGGTTGTCTGACAGTGACCCTTGTTGTTACTCTGGGTCCTAGGCCCCATCTTCTCCCACTCGGAATGCTGTGCCCAAGCTCACCTTCCCACAGGTTGGATAGTTTCTGCTACCCTTCATCCCTCTCTTCTGACTTCCTGGAAGCACTAAGTTTTCCAAATACTTCTGTAAACAGCTGGCATCTAAATCTAGACTGCCTGACCTGAGTATTGCTCTACTGACAAGGTTGCTTTCCCTTTGTTTTTTTTTTTTTTAAAGAAGACTTAAAGAGGAGAGGTCCCTTCCATTAGAACAGAGACCCACCCTAAGTCCAGCAGGGCACCCTGGCTCCAGCAGTCCTCTCAGTGGGAAGATGGGAGGAGGGGGGACTCATGCCTTCACTTCTCTTATCAATCTTGGCTTTAGAAGCATTCTTCTCCCTCATCATGTTCTTCTGCAAACATGATACCATTATGGCTTCAGGGGACCAGTGGGGAGGACAAATGTTACTTTAGGAAGGAGGAGGGGAAGCTCTATCCACAGAAGAAGCAGGAAATAAACCACCTGATCCAAAGAGCTGAAATAAAAGTACTATTCTAATTTATGATCTAATCCCACACTCCTGGTCTTTTGGAGTGGGAAGCGTGGGTGTGAAATTTGTATTAAACAAATGGAGAATAGAGGCACAGAGAAATGACTTGCTCTGACCACAGTCACGCAGCTGGGTGGAAGTGGAGGTGTGAGTAGACACCAAGCTGAGGCTCTGTCTTTAAGATCACATTTTGCACAAGTACGTTGCATCCAGAAAAGGCAACCAGAAGATTGGCTCTGGAAGTCAACACGTAGAGGGAAGCCCAAACATGAAGCTCATGCAGTTCAAGACCAGTGACTTAGAAGTTTCATTGCCAAGAGGTTCACTAGCTTCTTCTAGTAGACCTTGGTCATTACAGTTATGTCTGTCTAGCATGCATCCCTACACCCCTTTTCTGGTTGCAGTACCACCTATTTCTTTGGGAGTACTTCTATCCACTCCTTTAGGTTTGATGGAGGGTGTCAGTCACAGAATGCCACCCATTACAGGCCATGTCAAACTCAGTACTCAATCATGTTACCCTGGCAACAGTGACTGATTCAAGAGCTGGGCCCATTACCAAAGATGGAATGATGAGAACCACTTCCCTGTGAGAAAGAAGTCTCTTTCTGCTGGCCTTGTTTGGAAGGGTGTGATTTTGGGGTTTTCAGAGGCCATCTTTCTCACCACAAGGAGCGAGCCAGTCTCTGCAGACTGAAGCCACACACAGAGAGGAGCAGAGCTGAGAGCTGAGAGATGGGGGCGGGGAAGTGGGGAAGGGTGGAGATGGAGATATACATATAGAGATTAGAATATTTATAGACATAATTTGAGCCCTTCTATGGACTTCCCAGCCATGTAAGTCTAGGGTTAAACCAGAGAAGCAGAACCAGTAGAATAATATAGATAGGAGAGGAGGAGAGAGAGAGAGAAGGAGAGAGAGAGAGAGATGGACTTATAAGGAATTGGCTGGCACAATTGTGGCTAAACAAGTCTGAAGTCTGTAGGGCAGGTGTTCTGTGCTGGAAATGCATGGGGGAAAAAAAAGACGCACACACAAGACTTTTTTATTTTTATTTCTATTTTTTAGACGGAGTCTTACTCTGTCACCAGGCTGGAGCTCAGTGGTGCGATGTCAGCTTAGTGCAACCTCCGCCTCCCGGGTTCAAGTGATTCTCCTGCCTCAGCCTCCCAAGTAGCTGGGACTATAGGCGCATGCCACCATGTCCGGCTAATTTTTTGTATTTTAGTAGAGACAGGGTTTCACCATGTTGGTCAGGCTGGTCTCGAACTCCCGACCTCAGGAGATCCACCCGCCTCGGCCTCCCAGAATGCTGGAATTACAGGCATGAGCCACCGCGCCTGGCACACACACAAGACCTTTTAAGGGTGAACAACCTTTATCCCACGTATATGGCAATATAGATATAATAAGCAAATGATATAACAAGCAAATTGCAGTGGAAAGGAGTGAAGGGAAAAGATATGTCCATATATATTTACACCACCAGATTATGGAGGAAGCATCACCAGACTGGGAAGCAACAGCCTGGGCTCCAGAGTGGGCCGCCGGTCCGTGCACAGACGAGGAGAGGTCTCATGGAGCTTCAGTGCGGTCTGGGACCCTAGCTCTTTTGTAATGAATTGTTTGGCATGAGGCCCAGTCACGAGGGCCCTTCGAGACTGGGCTCAAGGGACACAAAAAGGTCTACTTGTTTTTGTGATTGTCTGTTGTTTCTCAGTAACTGACGTACAGGAGCAGATTTCTCTAAAACTTTGCTGGATGAATGCCTCAAGGGGCTCATGCAACCTGTTCCGGGAGTTGGTGACCATTGTTTATGTCCATGTTCAATTGAGTTCAAATTAAATATTTAACTTTTCCTCCACATTCGGCCTCAATTTGATACTCAGTTGTGGATAAAACGTGTAAAGATACATGGGGAAGGCATAGTTGATATAGATTACAGATACAGGGTAAACACAGGAGAATTAAAAGCACAATTAATAAAAACCACACCCACCACGGCCAACGCCAATGCCAGTCGGACAGCCAATTCACGATGGGGTGCCCATGGTTATATTCTAACTGCTTTGTTTTTGCATGTCTTGGGCAAGGAGAGTAATATTGTGAGAATTGTCAGGGATATACACACAACATTCAGCATGCAGTAAGGCGCAAACCCTTCCTTGGGCTGCTGTAAGGATGTGTAATGCCATTTGATTTTGCAACACAACAGTACGCCCCTGAGCAAATTCATCTGATAACAATGTAAGTCCAGTGCTACTAGCATTAAGAGCTTTTTCTACATGCAAGCTTAGTATTTTAATTTGTTGTTGAAGCAGGATTGTACCAGCAGTGATATGGTACCACCACCAGGGAGTCCGGCGCATTTGTAACCAGCAATATTTGTAAGTAACTAGATTACTGGGGAGGGAAATATTATCCCAGATAGTGAATGGAATTAATGGCCACCCCCAAGTGCATCTCCCTGTTCAGTTCGGGGGCAAGTATCACCACCCATAGGATCCGCATACCCAGAGGGCCCCCCAGGGAAGGGGAAGAGTTCTACTACAATCGTATTGCTGTAATGTGTAATTTAAGTAACAAAGGTGCTGTGTTTCACTGGGGGCACTGTTATTGATTTGGAATATGTGCTGACAACTGTCTGGTGGGAGAAACCCCAGAGTGTCATTGGGGAAGCCATTTAAGGCCCCCAAACAAAGGGGGGGCCATAAGGAGTCCAGCTACCAGTATGACAGGTTCCCCGTATACGCTGTTCCAGGCATATCAGGTAGGATACAAAAGCTTTTGACTCATTGCAAGGGTGGATTTCGCCTTTTGTTGAATTTGGGCAAGAATAGACTGTTTAGTTTGGTTAAAAGAAGTTCAGGTTGTACTACAGGTGCTATTCTCCCAACCCCATTGGTAGCGACATAGCCACTTGGAAATATTAGCAGAGATAATATTCTAAGGTAATCCATTCCCTGCAGCCTCTGGCAACTCGACACATACCAGCACTGACTGCGGTTGAGCTCTTTTGCAGCAGTGGCTACCAGGTAATAAATTCATTCTAGGCCTCAGACACAAAGACACAAGACACATCAGTAGATAGGTCATTCCCTGTAATAGCAAAAGTGGAGGGGAACATGATATTGTTTTTTCATATTTAGGAAATTGTACTATGCCTTCATTTTCTGCTCCCATAGCTACAAGGTCACCAGCCTGAGGGGTGGGATCTGATGGACGCTGTACCTATATTTTGGCTCCAGGATTTAAGCCACTAGTACCAGTGGATCTGAATAACCTGGTTCTGTATGTAGCCTCTGTTGGGGCAGAGATTTCCTACAGGGTTAATTGCTGACAAGGTACCACTAACAATTGAGCAACTGGTATCTGCAGTTTTATAGCAAAAGAATCTGGAGTGGTATTGTATAAAATGACCTTTAACTCTCCCCGGTAATCACTGTCAGTTATACCCCCGTGTACTGTAATACCCCGCATTGCAAGACCTGATTGGAATGTAATCCACCCATAATGTTTGCAAGGTATAATACCTATAATAACTCCTAAGCCGGTGGCTACCGTGTATGTACTTTGGGCGGGAATTATCCCAGGCTTTAAACTATATAAGTCCAAACTGGCAGCTCCTCTTGTACTCCTCCATGGGAGTGGGTGGATTTTCCAGCATTTCAGCAAGAGAGGGTGGACTACACCTGCACACTTAGCAATTTGTAAGTGTAGGATAAGCATTTGGCTCAGTGGGGTTTCAGATGTTGTTAATGGCCGATTATTTAAAATTTGTACTATCTCAAACAGGTGATCGTTCCATTTTTTTAACTTACCTTGCCCTAACACCTTTAGCTGTTTTTTCAATAACCCGTTCATTCTTTCGATTAGGCCAGCTGCCTGTGGGTGGCATGGGATGTGGAAAATCCATTCTATGCCATGTTGGGCTGCAAAGGTTTGTACAGCCTTACCTTTGAAATGGGAGCCACTGTCCATTTGAATTTGTATGGGCACACCATAATATAGAATTAGGATGTTTAAGGTTTTAATAGTGTTAGTTTGGTTAGCATTAGCATAAGCGCAGGCTACTAGGAACCCTGAGCAGGTGTCTACAGAAGTACATATGTATTGGCACCCTTTAGAAGTGGCAAAGGACAAGTATAGTCCATTTGCCAAATTTGTCCTGGCATTTTTCCCCTATGAATGTGCCCCAAAACCCTCTGAGGAACTGGCTTAGTTTTTAACTGTTGGCGTGTAGTGCGTTGGGATAAAGTTGTGTGAACCACATCCTTCGGTAATGATATCCCTCTTTGCTGTCCCCAAGCCATGGTTCCCTGGATGCCTAGATGTCCTCACTGGAGATGCACCCATTGCATGAGCGCAGCCCAATCCGGTTCTTCTGGGCCTGAGTCTGCAGTAATAGTGGAAATTTTAGCTTGTTGGTCAGCCTTCTGATTAGTCTGTCAAGAGAAAGCAGAGATGCATGAGCATCAACATGGAAAACGGTGATAATGATAGTGTGCGCCAGGATCCAGATATCTTCCCAGTATTGTTTTCCCCAAACATCTTTATTCCCAATTAACCATTTGTTTTGTTGCCACTGGGGCATCCAAGTAGTGAGACCATTTTCTACTGACCAGGAGTCAGTATACAAGTGACAAATCCTGAATAGCTCCAGCCTCCTCCTGAATAGCTCGGAGGACAGCCACCAGTTCAGCTAGCTGGCTGCTCCCACCCCTTCCTTCAACAGAAATGCTCATGTTTTTAACAGGATTATGAGCCACAGCCTTCCAGCATCGGGTCCCACCAATGTATTTGGCGGATCCTTCAGTAAACCAAATGTGTTTCTGATTCTCTGGGTTTAGTTCTTTAAAGGATTTGCCCCATTGTAGGTGGCGGGAGTGGCGGGGGACGGTGGCTCTTTCCTTATCTGCAGGACTTGCTTGGTGTGTCCTGGGTTGGCAAATTTTGTACATCCTCATGTAAAAACGATAGCCCCTTTGGCCCCAGCTTAGCACCACCTTGTATGTGCCATTTCCATTTGATGATGCAACTTTTTTTGGGTGTGCCCTATTTGGTGATTTTTGGGGAGCTCATGACCCAAGTCATAATAGGAATTTTGGGCCTCATAATGACATCACGGTTGAAGCAGGGGCACTCTGTTTCCAGCAAAGCCCAAGAACAAGCTAACAATTGCTTCTTGAAAGGGGTATAAGTTTTGCCGGCCTCTGACAGTTTCCCGGTCCAAAACCCCAAAGGTACCCTCTTCCCATCTTGTTTCTGCCAAAGACTTCAATTAGCATGTTGATCTAGGACAGTTACTTGCAGTTCTTCTGGCCCATCCTGCATGAGCCATAGATCCAGGGCCAGTTGCACTGCTTGTTTCACATGTGAAAGTCATAGGGTTTTCTAGTGACTGCATGCGGAGGTTGTAAAATGTTACCCAAGTGGGGAATATGATGTCTCCAGAATCCAAACAAGCCAATAAATTTCTGGGCCTCTTTTTTAGTGGTAGGGGTGGCAAATTCTAGTATTTTAGCCTTAACCTTTGGTAAAATGGACTATTTCTCTGCATTCCATAGGACACCAAGGAACTTTACAGTTTGTGCAGGTCCTTGAATCTTACTAGAGTTAATTTCCCATTTTGGAAAAACCCAGTTTGGAGCTGGGTTTTTACCTGCTCCAAACCCCGGCTGACTCGTTCTTCAGTTTCCCCCTGAATTAAAATATCATCAATATAATGACTGATTTGAAGTCCCAAATAATTTAGTTCTGGCCTTGTAGCATCTAAATGCTCAGCAACTTGCCGACGGCAAATGGTGGGGCTATGTACGTACCCTTGAGGCAAGCAAGTAAACTATATTGTCTCCTGTCCCATGTGAAAGCAAATTGGTCCCATATCTGAGGGTTTAAAGGGATGGTAAAGAAGGCATTGGCTAGATCAATTACAGCATACCATGTTCTGGGATGCTGCTGGACCAGTTCAACAATGGTTATTACATCGGGACTGCAGCAGTTAGAGGCAGAGACTTTATTTAAGGCCTGATAATCCATGGTCATATGCCAACTCCCATCAGATTTCCTAACAGGCCAAATAGGATTATTCTACTGAGTGGTGGTGGGCACTAAGACACCCGCCGCTACATAATTCTGAATGGTTTCGGTAATTTCCTTGTGTCCTCCCGGAATATAATATTGCTTCAAATTTATTATTTGAGTGGCAGCAGGAATATCTACCTCGTAATGCAATTTGTCTGTGGTAACTGGGCAGACTAACTTTAAGGACCTGACTTTGAAGGAGTCTTGGCCGTCTCGCAAGTAGAGTTCTCCCTTTTAGGATGTCAATGCCAATAATATATTTGGGGATGGGTACAATCATAACTTTATGTTTTTTTTTCCGTGGCTATTTCCTATTTTCATTTGTATAGCAGAATAGTAGGCAGGAATCTCTTTCCCTCTGAGACCAGAAATGACCACTTTGGGTCCATGAAATGTACTGGGGTTTCCATATATTAGAGTGGCCTCAGCCCCTGTATCAATTAGGGCTTTTAGGGTAGTAATAGTATTGTTTTTCCAATAGATGTTAAGCTTCACATATGGGTGCATATCTATGCACTTTATTTGCAAAGGGGCCTAGCCTTCCTGTCATAGTCCTGCTAAAGAATCCAATAATTCTTGGTAAGAGCCTCCCGATGGCTGGGTTACAGGGGTACTCAATGGAGGCACGCCAGGGGTGACTCCCGGCCCCAAACTAGAGGGCCCACCTGTTGTTATTTGGCGCACATTCCTCACTTTTTGTTGGTATAGTTTCCATAACTCTTTAGCTTCCTTGCCATCAATTTGTTCTCTGGGAACCCCTGCCTTCAATAAATCTGCAAACATATCCTTCTGACTAACCTGAGATTGGTCCCGGGTTTGTCTGCCCCACTCCTTAATCCTCTCCTCCCCACAGGGCATCCGATCCCCCAAGTCCTGTAGCTGACCTAGTTGTTCCAGTACCTCCCGTGTGGGAGTATCTGTATGGGAAAATAATAAAGATGTTAACACCATTCTATAAGCAGGTGGAGCAATCTTTAAAATCTTATTGCGGATTGTAGGACTTAAAGGTGTTGCCTCTATGTTATCAGCCATTCCCAGTACCACAGCTGTTTCCATGGCCTCCTCCTTTAACCGCATAGCATACTCCTTAAGTGTATGCCAGGGCTTTCCCCCATCTGGCCAGGCATCCTCTGTGGAATATTTCTGTCTGGCCACATTGATGGCCAATTGCCACAAAGATATTTCATCTAAAACATTTCCCTCATCATTAGTAGGGTGGGGTGCAGTAGCCCAATTTCGAAGAGCCAGCTGAATTTTGGGTACCCATGAGAGGGTAACAAACTTTAAAACATTCCCTGAGTCCACTCTAATGCCATTGGCACCCTGTTCATTAATTCGAACCAACCAAGTAATTACACTTTCCCCTCCCTTTTGTCGAAAGGTTTGTAAAATGTCTGTTATTTCCTGCTGGGTAAAGTCTTCTACAGCGTCTCTCCAGACCATCTGTCCATTCCGCCCCCACTCTATGGCCCGTGGCCGCCTCTGGGGTCTGGCCTCAGCAGGTTCCCTTTATTCATCAGGGGAGTAAGTGGTCCCTTCTTCATCATCATCCCATATATCTCCATCCCATGTGTCTGGGTCCCACTCAGGGCCTACTCGAGCAAGAGCTACCTGTACCTTCTGCCTATCCACCTTGGCTTGCCTGTTCTTATACTTGTACCAGGCCACCCAGACAGCTGTTTTGTCAGCAATAGCCTGGTAGCTTTGGGCTTGATCAGTCAGGACATAGGCCTGGCATTGGGCCAAAGCCAGCCTAGAAGTTAAGTCAGCATTTTCCTTTTCCAGCTTACTTTTTTATTGTAGCAACCAAGATAGGGATCCTATCTTGACACATTAACTTATAAGCAGTAAGCAAGCACCATCCATGCCAGATCTCCTTGGAATCTCCTTTGCCCACTGGAATCCCCTGCAGCACTTCACGCACAGCCAAAGGTTCAAATTGCACTAATTTAGATTCCCAGTTCTCACAAAGGCCAGTTCCCCTGGACCATTCAATTGCCAAGGGGGAAAACTGGGGGAGTTCCCATCCTGGGATATGGGAAGTCCCTGAGCTTCCATTCCTGTCCTTCCAGCCAAAAAGCGGCATACTTTTGTTTTCGAATCCTGTTCATGATGCCATAAAATGTTCTGTGCAGGAAACGCACGAGGGGAAAAGAAAAGACATACAATACCTTTTAAGAGTAAGCAACCTTTATCCCACGTATATAGCAATACAGATATAACAAGCAAATGATATAAAATGCAAATTGCAGCGGAAAGGGGAGAAGGGAAAAAATATGTATATATATATTTACACTCACCAGACTATGGAGGAAGGATCACTAGACCGGGAAGCAACAATCTGGGTTCCAGAGTCGGCTGCCAGTCTGTGCACAGACGAGGAAAGGTCTCATGGAGCTTCAGCACGGCCTGGGAACCTAGCTCTTTTGTAACGAGTTGTTTGGCATGAGGCCCAGTCATGAGGGCCCTTCATGACTGGGCTCAAGGAACACAAAAAGGTCAACTTGTTTTTGCAGCTGTCCGTTGTTTTTCAATAACTAACGTACAGGAGCAGATTTCTCCGAAACTTTGCTGGATGAATGCCTCAAGGGGCTCATGCAATCTGTTCTGGGGCTTAGTGACCATTGTTTATGTCCACGTTCAATGGAGTTCAAATTTAATATTTAACTTTTCCTCTGCAGCAGGCAGCCGCAAGGGAAGGTCACAGGTAGGCTGGAAGCCCATGGCAAGAGCTGAAGCTTGATGATGTCCTTCAGCTGCAGTCAGGAAGAAAGTTCTAAGGGGAAAGGAGAGCAATTGTTGACCCAGCAGCTACTTGGAGGATCTCCCTCAGAGAAGGCCCATTTTTAAGGAGCTCAAGTCAGGCCCACCCATGATAATCTCCCATTAATTAACTTTTTAATTTTTTTTCTTTTTAAGACAGGGTCATGCTCTGTTCCCAGGCTGGAGTGCGGAGCCACAATCATGGCTCATTGCAGCCTCCATTTCCTGAACTCAAGTGATCCTCTTGCCTCAGCCTCCTGAGTAGCTGAGACTTCAGGCATGTGCTACCACACCCAGCTAATTTAAAAAAAAATTTTTTTTTTGGCAGAGATGAGGTCTTGCCATGTTGCCCAGGTTCCATTGATTAACTTAAAGTCAACTGATTGGGAACTTTGTTTTATTTATTCATTTTTTTGAGACAAGGTCTGGCTCTATCACCCAGGCTGGAGTGCAGTGGCGTGATCTCAGCTCACTGCAACCTCTGCCTCCTGGGCTCAAACCACCCTCTCACTTCAACCTCCCAAGTAGCTGGGACTACAGGCACGCATCACCACACCCAGCTAATTTTTTTTTTTTTTTTGAAGAGACAGGATTTTGCCATGTTGCCCAGGCTGGTCTTGAACTCATGAGCTCAAGCAATCCACCTGCCTCAGCCTCCCAAAGTGCTAGGATTACAGGTGTGAGCCACCACGCCCACCCTGATTGGGAACTTTAAATCACATCTGCAGAATTCCTTCACGGAAACACCCAGATTTGTATTTGATTAGATACCTCAGAGAAGTGTGTGAAAACTACAAAATGGCTGCTGCCTCCCTTCTGCCTTCCAACTCTTGAGCAAGAATATTCCCATTGGCCCAACATAAATGGAAACTAACTAGAAAGGGAATTCTGTGGGCTAGAGTTGAGCCTAGCCAAGTTGATACATCAAAAAGACATTACATCCATACTTTTTTCCCCATAAACTAAATTTGAGTTGTGTTCCATCACTTGGCATGAAAAAGCTTCTGATTCAGTTGCCATTTACTTATTGAGTGCCTTATACGTATTATCTCACTTAATCCTCTTATACACAAATGAGCTAGGTATTATTTACAATTTTGAAGACCGAAGCTCAGAGAGGTTAAAAAACTTTTTCAAAGGCTCAGAGCTTCAAACAAAGTTTGTCTTTCCACTGCTGATGCTATGATGCCAGTCTTTGCCAAAAAGGAACCACCTGGAAGCTCTCTTCCAGGTTGGAATAGGAATTCCTCATGCAGTTTGGAAGCTGACTTCAGCAAATTTTTATTTTAGCTAAAAAATGTCCAAAACTTGATGTACTTTATTCATCTGATGACAGAACAAGGCCAAGAAATATATTTTTATCTTCATGACCCAGTGCTTGGCCCAGATGTATTATTTGGCTGATGTAATGAACTGTTTGGTCTGTTTCCCCTGTTGCGTTTGTGTCTGATTTTTTGAGATGATCATTTAAGGTTTTAACTTTTATTCGGAAGCCTCTTCCTCCCTGAAATACCTTAGATCTTAAACTCTCCTACAAACATCAGCTGCAATCACAATGTCAAGTAGATGCTGTATAAACCTCTTGCAAGAGCGGTAAGGAAAAAAGGAATGTACAGATGAACAATATAAGAAATGAAAGAGGAGACATCATTACAGCTTTGACAGACATTAAAAAGATAAGAGGAAAGTAGAAAAAGTTTTATGCCAACAAATTCCATAACTTCCACGAAATGGACACGTTCCTAGAAAAGGGATACATAGCATGTGAGACATTTTAGCTAGGATCTCAGAGAGTTAAATCTCCCAACTGCCAAATCTAAGGGCACTTTTGGGGTTTTACCTTACCCTTCAGTGAATTTGACACTGCTGACTGCATCCTCCTTAAAATCTTCCTGTTTTGGCTTCCATGAAACACTGTTAGTAGTGTTTCTCCATGTAAACCTCGTTTCCCTCCTTTTTCCTTTCTGCTTAATTACAGAAATTCTGTAACTTTTTTTTTTTTTTTGAGACAGAGTCTCACTCTGTTGCCTAGGCTGAAGTGCAGTGGTGCGACACGGCTCACTGCAGCCTCGACCTCCCCATGCTCAGGTGATCCTCCCACCTCAGCCTCCTGAGTAGCTGGGACTAGAAGTGTGCACCACCACGCCCAGCTAATTTTTGTATTTTTCGTACAGATGGAGTTTTGCCATGTTGCCCAGGCTGGTCTTGAACTCCTGGGCTCAAGTGATCCTCTTGCCTCAGCGTCCCAGTGTTGGGATTACGGGCATGAGCCACTGCGCCCAGCCTCTGTGACTTTTTAAATTCCACATCTGCATACAGGGCTCTAACTACCATTTGTATGCTGATGGCTCCCAAATCTGCAGCCCCAATTGCTTCCTTGATTCTCGATTTGACTCAATATCCAACTTTTATCAAGACAATTATCTATGCTGGCCATTTATCAATGAGTCCCCGCTACCTCTCGGATGTGTTCAGACCCTTCAAACTCATTTCCTCCTTGTCTGCTATTAATACCCAGTTTTCATTTGGGAACTGTCCCTACCCCATTCTCAGTCCTTTTCAGTCAGGAAGAGTCCTCCTCCCCCTCAGCCTCTATATAAGCATGTGACCTGATTTTATCCCCTCCAGCCCATCTTCCACACTGTGAACAAATATATCTCATAATGGTGGTGGTTTTAAAGCCTAGGCCCAAGTCTTTGACACCCCTCCATAGAGAGGCGGGGTGTCCCCCATGAAATCTGGGCAGGCTTGTGACTGCATCGACCAGTAAAGCCCTGCAGAAGTGACACTGTGTGACTTCCAAAGTTAGGGCAGAAAAGTCCAAGTCCACACAGCTTCCACTGGTCCTGCAATGTTCATTCTCTGGGGGCCTCCTCTCAGGAAATTCCCTCTCAGAAGCCAGCTGTCATAGTGTGAAAAGTCCAAGTCACGTGGGGAGGCCATGTGTAGGCGCTTTGCTGACCCATCCTAGTTGACCCAGCTTTCAAGTTACCCCAGTCCAGGCAGGCTGAGATTCCTGAGAATCTTCTCAGAAGTGGATCCTCTAGCCCCAGCTGTTCCAGCTATCAGCCATTTCAGTCTCCCGAGCTGAGGCTCCAGATACAAGGAGCAAAGAAGAATTATCTTGGTGTGCTCTGTCCAAGCTCCTGACCACAGAATTTGTGATCAGAAAAAAATGGTTGTGTTAAGCTGCTAAATTTGGGGGTAATTTGTGACACAGTGATAGTAACTGGAACACTTATGCCACACCCCTGCTTAAAATGTTCCAGTGATTCTGCATCACCACCACCGAGATGAAGTCCAAATTCCTTTGCCATTCAGTACTAGATGCCTGTCCACCCCACCAGATCCATCTCCTGTCTCTGCCCACACAAGCCCTAGTGCCAGCCACACTGCAATTCCTGGAATCATCCCTACTTCCCTGGGCTCCCATGCCTTTGTATATTTTGTTGCTCTGCCTGGATGTCTTTCTGACATCCAAGATATTCAGCAAATCATCTGGAAAACTGGGGGATGCAAATCCACTGACGTCCCTGAAATCCTTTTTCTCCAGGAGGAATGATTGACTGGCCCTAAGACAGTTCAAGTGCTCTGCAAAAGAATATTCACAGAATGTGGGTTATTTTCTAGGTCTCTGAATAAAATACTGGTTATATAGAATTGATTCTGGAGCCAGATTGCCTGCATTCAGCTGCCAGCTCTACCACTGATTAGTGGGGGACTTTGTGCAGCCTGTTTAACTTCTCTGTGCTTCAATTGCCCCATCTGTAAAATGGGGTAATAAATAATCCTTACTTTGTAGAGTTATGGTAAGGATTAAAAGAGTTAAAATGTGTAAAGGGTTTTTAGAATGATGCCTGGCAGAGAGTGCTTGGGTAAATAAGTGTTTGTTGAAAATAAAACAAATCTGCAAATAGTTAACTGTAGTCATTGCTCAAGTCCCTTTGAGTATCGCCTTCTTTGGGACACCTCCCCGAGGCCTCCCCCACGCTAGCTGGCTTCACAGATAGGTCCATGTTGTCGCAGCACCTCCAGCACATCACAGCTGCAACATTCCTCACTGTTTCTGTAAGTCTATCTTTGTAGTTGTCAGTATCTCTCAGCTCATTTCTTAGATTCTTGAAGGCAGAGGCTGGATTTTACTCATTTCTCTCTCCCTGGAATCTAAGTCTTAGTAGGCCTTCAATAATTGTGTATTAAATGGAAGCTTGCTATGATTTTAACCAACACAGTAACTCCAGGCCAGAAAAGGCTAAGCGAGTTCTTCTAAGCCATACAGGTTTTAGTGGCTGAACAAAGACTAAAATTTTTAACCCTGTTCTTCTGACTGCCAAACCTAAGCTAATGACTCGTGTGTGTGTGTATCTGTGTATGTGTACACACGCATGTGTGTGTCCACCAGTATCATCACTAACCCCTGGCCATTTGCTTTTAAAATTATTTTATTCAGAGACTTATACAATAAGTATAAGTATACAATAACCCATGTTCTTTTAGCCTCTTCTGAGACCCTGGGTTGTTTATAATAATAATCACTATTATTCCTGAAGGGAGGCTATTGCACCCTTCCAATTATTCAGACGATTTGCTGACTGTCTGGATAATTCCGAAGCCTTTAACCCCTCCCTAACGTTAGAGGCGGTAACTTTCATCCGTTTACTTTTTCCAGGTGCGGAGGCGAAGCAGCCTTATTCAGAAAATCGAATTCAAACAGGACCTCAAGCTGCCGGCTGTTGCTTCTACCAACTGCCCCATTATTAACGCCAGACGGCGCTGTGTCCTCACTGGCTCTTTAACCACCACGTCGGGCTCACAGAAGGCTCAGGTTTCCTCCAGTATAGTTCAGGGGATGGTGAACGCTTCCCAACAAGCCTGCAACAGGCGCATTTCTTTCTGCTTTTGGTGCGTGTGTGTAGGGAAGTGTCCCATCTTTTAACTAGTCTTGCGGAGACCTGGCCTGGTGTTTGCAAATCTGTTTCCTCTATTATCGATCCGATCTCTGGATTGCTTTTTCTCTGACACTTGAAACAAATTCACTCCTATATATTTTTTAAGTGATTTTTTTTTTTTTTTTTTTTTTTTACAAAATAGAGCTGGGGCGGGGGGGGGGGGGTCTCGCTACGTTGCCCAGGCTGGTTTCGAACTCCTGGGCACAAGTAATTCTCCCACCTTGGCCTCCCAAAGTGGGGAATACAGACGGGAGCCACTGCGCTCGCCCCAAACAAAATCATTTAAATCACAATGCACTGAAGGCCGACTAGGTGTCAGGCGCCGCGCGGTCCGTCCCTTGTCCCCATGTCCCTGGCCAAAGGCTTGCTCTAGATCAGGGGACTCAGCCTCGAGGCTTTCCCGACGGTGTCAGCCAAGCACACACTCCCAGTTCGCAGGGCTTCGTGGTCAAGGTTCCTAGTTCACCTGTCTGGGAGGGCGAGGTGTGTCCACCCCTTCCAGCACCTGGGCAAACAGCTCCCTTTGCGGTCCTCTTCCACTGCTTTCCCTCCGCCCTGATTTTCCATTCCTTGTGAGCGGTGGTTTTGGTTGGGGGGAGGGGGCGGGGAAGGGGCCTGGCGAGGAGGGGCGTCAGAGCGCTGTCACCGGGTGTCGCGCCGCCCTCCCCGCCCCTCCGCCGGGCGTGTGGGGACGCCGGAGGGCGGGAGTCTCCGCGAGCCGCGCGGCGCACGGAGCACGGCGGCCGCCTGAGCTCGGCGCGGAGCCCGGAGCCCGCAGCCGACAGTCTCCTGCTCCCGTACGCTGGGCGCCAGCTCCGGCCGTGCTGCCCGGCTGCCTGAGAGCGCGCCCGGCCATGGAGCCCTCGCACAAAGACGCCGAGACGGCGGCGGCGGCGGCGGCGGTGGCGGCGGCGGACCCCCGGGGGGCGTCCTCGTCCAGCGGGGTGGTGGTGCAGGTCCGCGAGAAGAAGGGCCCCCTGCGCGCCGCCATCCCCTACATGCCCTTCCCCGTGGCCGTCATCTGCCTCTTCCTCAACACTTTCGTGCCGGGACTGGGTAAGACACGGCTGCCGCGACCCTTGCGACCCCCACCCCGCCGCGGGAGGGCGTGGGGGGAGAGAAGGGCGCGGCCGGAGACCTCCTGGCGGGGCCGCGCGCTCCAAGTGCTGCGACCACGCGCCACCGCCCGCTCCTGGCGTCCCCGGGCAGGTGGCAGAAGCGCGTGGAGTGTGCACCCCAGAGGGGAGAGGCTGCGCTGGGGTCTCCGACCCGCAGGCGGGGCCCCAAAGAGCCGGAAACTTTGCGGCCAATGTTGGAGCCCGCAGCGGCGGCCGGAATGGCTCTGCCGGCTTCGGAGTAGGGCTCCCGTCCCGGCGCCCCGATTTCTGCTCCTTCTCTCCGTCGTGTGCATCCGTCCGCGAGCCCACTTCCCCGAGAGGAATGGGGTCGGATCAGAATGAGCTCTAGGGCCTCGGCGGCGAGGATCAAACTCCCGGGCGTCGAAGTCAGCTGAGCCGGGGAAAGAGGACGAGCCGGGCTAGATATACCTGCAGCCCCCTTTGGTTCGCGGAGTGCGGACCGCGTGGGGACGAGAACTCTAGCCAGAGTCTCCTCCGCCTCATTCAGGGGTACCTGCACTTCCGCCAGCACCCCGCAGGGCGCCAGGGGGATGGGGGATGATTTTATTAGTTTGGATGCATGTGGCCAGAGATGAACCCATAGCTCCCTCGGATCCCTTCTGTTCCTGAGAAGTAGAGAGTGCGCCGATGTAATTCTGTGCAGGACTCCGGCAGCCGGCAGGGGTTCTGGTGGCATCTATGTCCCACGTTTTAAAGCAGAGGCCCCTTACAGAGATGGTGCAGGAGGGTGAATGGAGGCAGGGAATGAGAAGTTTTCCTGACCCTCCCTCCCTTAACTCCACCCCCAGGTCTCTGCCTGCACGCCCCTCCCCTCCTCCAGCTTGGCACTGGCTGCTCCTGCGTGCTGGGAGGTGCCCCCCTCTCCCGTGCCCGCCCGAAGAACCAGGCGCCCCAGTGCCCTCTCCGGGAGAAAGCGTGCCCCTGTCGGCGAGCCTGTTGCCAACGTATGGTTCCAAGTTCCCAAGAGCAGAGGCCAGCTGGAAGGGGTTTTCAGTTTGACTTTGGCCTTTCTCACGGTCTCCTCGCTCTTCGCCTGCTTAGCAGGGGCCTCTGCTGCGGTGACAGCCAAGGCCACAGCCACCCACGCAGGACCCGTTCACTTTCCCCTCCGAGCTTACTTGTCTTTCTACCCTAAGGGGCTGCTGCGGCCAGAGCAGCCTATCTGAGCAGTAAGTTAGGTGGCCTTTAGTTGGGCTTCTCTCTTCTGGGGTGCCTCCAGCAGCCTGTCCCCCTGGCTGGTGTCATCAGATCAGCTCTCTTTGCACATTTAGACACTGCAAGGAGGCCAGCTGGTGTTAATCTAGTTTTATCAGAAATTCTCACCTGCTGGAGTAAAAAGAGACTGCCTGCCCCTCCCTCTGGCGGATATGAAGATCCTCCTGAGCCAGCATGCATCTTGATCCACCTTTTTTTTTTTTTTTAAGTGGTGAGGTAAACGCCACCCTATGGTCTTTTGAGGAAACAAATGCATTGGTGCCAGGTGAGAGGGGCTGCACCAAGTCACTGCTGCACGAGGAAACCACCTTGTGGGAGACCAGCCCCAGGAGACAGCAGCTGCCCACGCATGTACCTGTGTGTACCCTCCCTGGTCTCCCTTCACTAGGTGCCTTTCCCAGCCTTAGCCCTGCTGCATTGACAGCATCGGCTGCAGGGCACCGTCCATTCCGCTGACCCCTGGCTCCTTGCCCTGGGGATCCAGCTTTTCCCTTTGTGAGATCAGAATCCTATGGGATTTTTGTGAAACAAACAAATAAACAAACAAACAAAACAAACCATTATAAGAAACCAGGAGAAAATAAAGGGAAGATATGCAAACCACAAAAGTAATAAA
Source organism: Homo sapiens (assembly GCF_000001405.40). Lineage (NCBI taxonomy): Eukaryota > Metazoa > Chordata > Mammalia > Primates > Hominidae > Homo > Homo sapiens. The sequence goes on from NC_000001.11 coordinate 226,551,021, forward strand.
ACAGGTGAGCTGTAGGTGCACAGATTTCTGAATTTTCAGTGACATAATCCTGGCTTTTTTTTTTTTAATTTTGCTTTGGTTGCTATTGTACAGTTTACTGGGTGCACAGGCTCCTGCTCCTCTCCACACGGAATGAGGGATTCCTGATCCTTGGTGGTGGTTCTCATCTGTAAGTCAGGCACACCTGTCTCTTGGCGTTGCTGAGAGGATGAAACGTGATTACATAAAGCCCAGCGTCTGGTGCATAGGAAGCTCTCTGGGGATGGTGGGTCCATCTTGCTCTTCTGCAGAGCTGAGCACTGGTCCCATCTCTGGGTGGGGGTCGCTGCAGCCAGGGCAGCACTGCCCTCTGGACCACTCAGAAGCAAAGGCTCTTTGAGTGCTTTTGATCCCTCTGCTCCCCTCTCCACCTGCAGTGGAGTCCCAGGCAACAAAGCAGCTCAGACCAATCTTGCAGGTGGTTTTATTGCCCCCCTTCCCCAGGAGTGGTTTAAATGGCCCCAGCTCTTGGAAATCTGCCACTTGGCCCAGATCCACTTCTCCAAGGCCTCCTGGCTTATCTGAAGCTCCCGGGACAACTGAATATTCATGGCTGATTCTGCTCTTTGATGAAATGCAGCTTCTTTCAATTCACTCATTCATTTGACCAACACAGGCACCTACCACATGCCAGGCATTGACTGGGGTTGTGATGATGAATAAATCAGTCAGGATGTCATAGACTGCTGAGGAAAATTGAGGCCAACTTTGTCTGAATTTGATAAGTGCTAGGATGGCAGCAGGAACAGAGTGTTGTAGCAGAAATTCTTCCTGGGGGCGAAGGAAGGGGGCTCAGAGAAAGCCTCCCTGAGGGAGTAGTGTTAGGTTAGAACTTGCTGAGAAAATCTATCACGTGTCCTCAGCACTTGCCATCCTCACTAAACTCCCATTCTGGAAACTGCCCAGACCACTGGCCCAAAGATCTTTTCTTTTTTTCTGGAAACTTCCTTCCCTGCAAGTCCTCTCCTGGATTGCAGATTGGATGAGAGGGCAGTTTTTGCTGAATGAAGGCTCGTTTTTTATTTTTATTTTTTCCCTTTGATGTAGGTGTCTCAGGTCCATCCAGTCTGCAGGACCAGCTGTGGAGAAGCCCCATCCTTAAAATTCCCCAGTGCCTTCTCCACCCAAGCAACAGTGCTCTCGGGATAACACTCATATCATGAGTGGGATGTGCTGTCTCCTAGGGAGTGGCTGGAAAGGAGAAGTGATTTATGATCACTCCAACTCCTCACTGAAACAATGAAAAACAATTTTTACAAGTGGACATTAGTAAAGAGAGTCACCTCTAGTCCTATTCAGTGAAACTCTACTAATAAAGACCACCGTTGGTACCTTCATGTTCCAACAATTAGGGTGTTTATAAGTATATACACGATTATTCATACCTGTAATGAAAGTTCATTGTTATGCCCCAACATGGCCAGAGAGTTTGTCTAGTGGTCAGGGGTATAATTATACTTTTATATTTAAAAATTATATCTATCTTGATTTGGTGAAACGAAAATGTTGATATCTCAGTGACACGGAAAGTCGAAGGGAGGAGGACCTCCATTGACCTTTAACCACTCCATTGGACTCAGGACATCAGATAGGGACAATTTATCCCTAACACACTGCCTACTCTTTGATGCTGCTAAAGTCTTGCTTGCTCAATAAAAGCACCACAGGCTGGCTCTGCTTCTTCTCTCTCTCTTTCCTCTAGACCCAAGGCTCAAACTGATGATTAATCATGTCCTACCTCCTGGCATCTTTTGTATCATAGATTTTTTGTTGCTGTTTTGAGACTTTATTCTTTGTCTATCTGAGTAGATCTTAAACTCCTGGGGAGCAGCAACTATTTTAAATGTCTTCTTGAAAGAGCATGTTATCCACAAATACATATAGACTAGAATTATACTCCTGGAATAGGCATTAGAGATCATCTGGTCCAAAGCCTTTATTCAATATAAAAGTGAAGTAGGCCTGAGGATGCAAGGACCAAGGAAGTTTACAGCCTACTAAACCTTTTGAAGGAAGTTCCTGAAGATGTTTTTCAACAAAGTAAGGGAGTAAACCAAGAAAGGAGATATGAGATTCAGGAAACAGTGAATCCTATACAGAGTAGCCATGAAAAGCCACCCTGGGATGAAATTGTTCAACAGAATGAGAGAGTAGTTACTTTTCATTAGAGTGGAAGGAAAGAGGTCTCCGAAGGTGACATGAGAGAAGGACATTCTAGAGAGTAGAGAGTATTATTAGGACACTGCAAAAAATTAAGGTTGTAATGAAAAGCAGAAAGCAAGCCAAAAAAACCACCCAAACAAAACAGAAAGCAATTAGTAATTGCAGTAAAGACAAAGAGCCATGCAAAAGCATTAAGATCCAAAATTGAAGCAGCTTGCCCAATCAGGTCAGAAGGTCAGCAGGCTTCAAAAAGAAAAAAAGAGTCCAAACAATAAATGGAGTGGGAAGAAATTTGGAGGTTATTAGGGATATGATGTAGAAGGCAAATGTTTCTTCTATCAACAAGAAAAAAGAAACATAATCAGAAACTTCTGGAAAAACAAAACATTTCTTATGAAAGGGATAGCCTAAATATGAAGCAGTCCAAAATGTGGCCTGATTTTGAGCATGTGGTGGAATGTAAGAAAGGCTCTAAGCGCATAGGGTCTGTCATTGGAACAGTGGTGCATGATATGGACTGTTTGGCTCTGCAGTAAAGAATATTTGCTTAGTCATAATAATGTAAATGCTGCTTAGTGGCTTTCAACTTCTAAAATCAACAACAAAGCACTGAAGACTACTTAAGAATAGCTATAAAGGAGTACGTAAAGAGTTTCTGGCTTGACAACATAAAAGAAGTTGGAAAGTAGAAGAAGAGAGAAGAGGAACTGTGATAGATTAAATTATTGTTCCCAATTATTCACTGTTCTCCCTGAAAGAGGATTTCACACCCCCACCCGATGCCATATGGCTTGCCTGCCCTTGTAGGAGAATACTTCCTCCCCTGTCCACTGATACCCGGTTTGGCCACGTGACTCGCTTTGGCCAATTGAATGTGAGTGGAAATGACATATTCCATGCCGAACAGACACGTTAAGAGGTGGTGTGAAGTTCTGACATTGTTCTTTTCCCTCTCTCCTGAAAATGGCAGGTCTCAGATGGGGGATGCCCTTCAACTAGTTCCCAGAATAAACAGCACATCAGAAGCAGGCCATGGCATGGCATGTGAATCAGAAATAAGCCTGAGTTGCTGAGATTTTGTGGTTGTTGGTCTTGTTATTGTCCCAGCATGACATATGCAAAGCTGACTAACAGCAGATGGTAGGGTAGAGGCATGAATACCCCAATCATATAAAACGGGAGTCAAGAGATGCTGTCTGTAGTTAATAGACCAAGAAATAAAAGTCACCAAGGTGACCAATAGATGAACTGAAATAGTTGATGTGTTGGGACAGTGGGATGAGAGTGAACTGCTGGAATCATCTGGAAACAAGAGTAAAAGTGCGCTGAGGGGTGATATAAGCAAGCTGGCTTGTGTGTATTACAGCAGAAAGTGGATAGGTAATGTCTGAATTTGATAAAACATGAAAAAGCAATATAAGTGTACTCTTTGGAGACTGGGGAAGCATCAGAATTCCCAGTCTTTCTGGCATCATCAATTTTCCTGTCTACTGGCTCATTCCCAGCAGCACACATCCATGCTGAAATTGTCTATCTTCTAAAAATAGCCTCTCCTGATCCATTATCCCCTCTGACCTGTGCCCATTTCTTTGCTCCCTTTCACCGCAAAATTCCCTGAAAGAGCTGTCTGTATTTGCTATCTCCAATTCCTCCTCTCTCATTTTCTAGTGAACTCACTTTAATCATGTTTTTGCCTCCATCACTCACTTACACTGCACTTGTCAGGGTCGCCAGTCTCCTCCAGGTTGCTAAATCCAGTGGCCGGTTCTCTGTCTTCCTCTTCCTGGACCTATCAGCAGCACCGGCCATAGGGGCTCACTCCCTCCTCCTGAAATGCTTTCTTTACTTGGCTTCTACAGCACTACTCCCTCCTAGTTTTCTTTTTACCTCAAGGCTCTTTGCTTCCTTTGCCTCTCTTGACAACCTCTAAACTTTAGAGCTCCCCAGGGCACTTGGTCTTCTTGACCCTGATCTTCTCTTTTCTGCCTGTATTCACACCCGCAGTGATCTTGCCCAGCCTCTGGGCTTTCAATCGCATTTTTATGATGATGACTCCCCAGTTTAGATCCCCAGCTCAGGCCTCTTCCCTGAACTCTTGAGTCATATATCCAACTGCCTTCTCAGTGTCTCCACTTGGAAACCAAAAGGCATCCTAGACATAACGCATCCAAAACCAAACTCCTGGTCTTCTTCCCCAGACCTGCTTCTCCCTCCTCTTTCCCCATCTCAGCAAATGGCGACCTCCCAGTGGCTCAGGCCAAAAACTGAGACTCAACTTTGACTCTTTTCTTTTTAACCCCATGCCCAATCTGTTAGGAAGTCCTCTTGGTCTGCTTTCCAAGCCTGATCAGTATCTGACCACTTCTTACCACTCTCTGATTCAAGCCTCCACGTTCTCCTGTATTACTGCAGTAGCTTCCTACATGGTCTGCTTGTCCGTACTCATGTCCCTTAGAGTCTGTCCACAAGATGGCAACCAGAGTGCTACTTTTTAAACACGAGTGAGTCGGATTGTGTCACTTTTGAGCTCAAAACTTTCTAATGGCTCCCATGTCACTCAAAGTAAAAGCTCGAGTCCTTATAATGACCTGTAAGGACCTAAGCCAGAACTTTCCAACAGAAATATAAGTCACATAGAGAATTTAAAATTTTTCTAGTACATACCTATATCATAAAAAGTAAAAAGGAATAGGTGAAGTTAACCTTAATAATACGTTTCATTTAACCCGATATATTCAAAATATTATCAACATATAATCAATATGAACATTATTCATAAGATATATTTTCTTTTTTGCATAGTAAGTTTTCAAATCCGGCGTATATTTTACACTTATAGCACATCTCAATTTGGACCTGTCCCATTTCAAGGGTAATTTGAAGTGGATGTGTTAACAGCATCCGAATTCCTTCTGAGAAATGGCAAGGGACCCAGCTGCCATGGGAGTGGTCAGTTAACGATGATACAGAGGAAGTTTGTGTCTCAATAAAGTGTAGATAGCTTGCTAAGCAGAGGAGGGCTTCCTTCTGAGTGCCTTCAGCAGCATTTCACTCTTAACATGCTCCTACTGTGTGCCAGGTCTATGCTAAGAGCTGAGGCACAAAGTCAAAGAAGATGTGGTCCCTGCCCTCAAGAAGCTGACAGTCTAATGGGAAGGCAGGCACTAATGAATACAGACAGTAGTGTGTGCTTTAATGGAGGAAAGGATGGGCCATCGGGGCCCATTTCATCCAGTCTGCAGTGGTTAGGCAATGCTTTCCTGGCAAACTTGGCCATCGGGGAGATGAGCAACAGGCTAAACAGAATGACCTGGATGGTCTAAATTAAGTGCCGTTTCGAGTTCAACATTAGGTTCATGATGCCACAAAGCATCATGAAAAGGGAGATGAACTAGAAGCCAGGAGGTTTCAGACCTAATTCTGGCTCCTCAGTAGCATGGAACCTTGAGCAGGTCACTTAGCCTCTCTGAGCCTCAGTCTTCTCACTTGTAAAATGAAAATAATAATCTCCGCTTGGGCATCTGACAAAGTCATGATGCCCTGTTAACTGTAAAGCACTCCACAGTCAGAACAGGTTATTGTTACCAATTAATATTAGCAAAATCCCCTTTGCACTTTTAAATTGTAAATTGACAATTTCTAATTATATAAATTTGTGGGGTACAAAGTGATGCTATAATTTATGAATACAATGTGGAATAATTACATCAAGCTAGTTAATGTATCCATCATCTCAAATACTTAACACTTTTTGTGGTGAGGACATTTGAAGTTTACTCCCTTAGCAACTTTGAAATGTACGATACTCTATTATTAACTATATTTACCACACTGTGCAATAGAACTCAAAAAAGGGAAAAAATCTTACTTCTCCCATGATTTTGTACCTTTTGACCACCATCTCTCCATTTCCCTCGCCCACCTCAGTGCCTGGCAACTACCATTCGACTCTGTTCTTCTATGACTTTGATTCTTTTAGATTCCACATGTGAGAACATGCAGTATTTGTCTTTCTGTGCCTGACTTATTTCACTTAGCAATAATGTTTTTCAGTTCCATTCATGTTGTTGCAAATGATAGACTTTCCTTTTTTAAGGCTGAATATTTATATACCGCCTTTTAAGGCATATATACCCCCTTTTCTTTATCCATTCATCTGCTGATGGACACTTAGGTTGATTCCATAACTTAACTATTGTGAATAGTGCTATAGTAAACATGGGGTGCAGACATTTCTTGGATAAACACATTTCAAATTTTTTGGGTAAATACCCAGAAGTAGGATTGTGGGTCATATGGTCATTCTATTTTTAGCTTTTTGAGCCATCTCCATACTATTTTCCATAATGGTCCTATAATTCGCATTCTCACCAACAGTGTACAAGGGTTCCCCTTTTCTCCACGTCCTCACCAACACTTGTTCTCTTTCATCTTTTTAATAAAAGCCATTCTGACATGTCCAAGAAGAGAAAATTATAGGCCCATATCCTTAATGAACATAGATGCAAAAATCCTCAACAAAATACTGGTGAACCAAATTCCACAGTGCATTAAAAGGATCATCCACCATGATTAAGATTTATCCCTAGGATGCCAGAATGGTTCAACATATGCAAATCAATAAATGTGATACATCACATTAACAGAATAAAGGACAAAAACCATATGATCATCTCATTAGATTCTGAAAAAGCATTTGACAAAATTCAACATCCTTTCATGATAAAAAATCTCACCAAAGTTAGGTGTAGAAAGGTCGTACCTTAACACAATAAAGGCCATATATGAGAAGCCCACAGCTAACGTTATACTCAACGTGAAAAGTTGAAAGCCTTTCCTCTAAGATCTGGAACAGGACAAGGATGCCCACTTTTGCCACTTCTATTCAACATAATGGAAGTCCTTGCCAGAGCAATTGGGCAAGAGAAGGAAAGAAAAGGCATCCAAATAGGAAAGGAAGAAGTGAAATTGTCATTGCTGATGACATAATCCTATATATAGAAAACCTTACAGACTCCACCAAAAAACTGTTAGAATATGTTAGAGTATAATACAATTAAGTTGTGCAATACAAAATCAACACACAAAAATCATTAGCAAAATCCCCTTTGTTCCCAGGATCATTCCTGGGGTATTTCTCTGAGTGGCAACTGGGGGTGGACAGGGTGACTAACAAGCACTTCCACCTTTTTTCAGTAGCTCAATTCCATGCAGCACATGGAGCTGAGACCTAGGAATTCCCACTGGGCACCCAACCAGACCTCCCACACGTGACGTGCTGGCTTGAAGGGGAAGGGCACACGTTCTCCAGGGCTTAGTTCAACACACCAACTGGAAGCTTTCTCCACTGTACTCCCCAAACCCTGGGCCTGTGCGAGGGATGCGTCTCTGAGGCTAACTTTACAGTTTGGTAAAAGGCTGTGGGGAACATCAAAGTGTGGACTGAATGTGTGTGTGGGTGGGTGGATGTGCACCTGTGTGTTTGTGTGCACAAATGTTCCATAGACTTTACCTATAGTTATTTTACAATAAAAATTAGAGCATCGTTAATTTCTAGGTCTGGGTTTGAAAATCTCTGTGTCCATATACCTTTGAGGCACATACTTGGTGGTGGTTTATAGCACACTTGAAGCCCCACAATCTGGGGCAGGGTAGGGTAGCAGGTGTGTCTTCGGCATGGGAACTTCCCAGTGAGAACTGGGTGCTGGGTTTCATTGGCCCAGGCCCAGCACATACTAGAAATGACATTCCTAGGGGAAAGCGGAGGCAATGGGAAGGAGACCATATTTTCCTAATCAAAAGGTAGGACACGGGGATTCACCATGCATTTATTTTATGACAGACCATAAATTACATTGATGAAGTAACTTTTCTTGAAAATAGTAAAATGAGATAAGGCCAGGACTGCCCTTGAACCTGGAATTTGTAGGGGCCATGGCCAGAGCCCCCTGTTGAGCAGAGCACTCAGTCCAGCTCTGGTCTCTGTTGTGTGAGAAGTTTGACCCTGAGGCCAAGAGCAATTTGCTGTTTGTGGAGAAGAGCCTGCCTTGAAACCTCAACAATGAAAATGGTTCAACTTTCCAAGGGCCAAAGAACTTTAGGGCGGCTGCAACCCCTTCAATTTACGGACAAGGGAAGAAAGGAGGCCTCCTACCACGTCGAAGGCTCTGACCCACAATTTCACCATCAGTTACCCTGGCTTCGGGGCCTCCCTGCCTGTCACAGTGCCTGGCTTGTCCTGGAGGGTTAATTCATATTTGTCCAGTTAACTGAACACACCGCTGTTAATGAAGACCTGGTGAGGACTGCGGAGGACAACTGCACAGCCACATGACCTGTCAGTGACCACATCAATCAATGCCTGCCACCAGGACCCTCTCCTCACTGCTCCACCCTTGTCCCTCCGGAACAATGTTATTGAGATGTGTTTACATACTACACAAGTCACTCTTTCAAAGTGTATGATTCAGCCAGGACGTGATGGCTCACACCTGTAATCCTAGCACTTTGGGAGGCCAAGGTGGGAGGATCACGAGGTCAGGAGATCGAGACCATCCTGGCTAACATCGTGAAACCCCGTCTCTACTAAAAATACAAAAAATTAGCCGGGCATGGTGGCGGGTGCCTGTAGTCCCAGCTACTTGGGAGGCTGAGGCAGGAGAATGGCGTGAACCCGGGGGGGCGGAGCTTGCAGTGAGCCGAGATTGCACCACTGCAGTCCAGCCTGGGCAACAGAGCAAGACTCCGTCTCAAAAAAAAAAAAAAAATTAGCCAGGTATGATGGCGGGCGCCTGTAATCCCAGCTACTTGGGAGGCTGAGGCAGGAGAATCGCTTGAACCTGGGAGGTGGAGGTTGCAGTGAGCTGAGATCACGCCACCACACTCCAGCCTAGGTGACAGAGTGAGACTCTGTCTCAAAACAAACAAACAAGACAAAAAAACACACAAAGTATATGATTCAGTGGCTTTTAGGAAATTGGCTATAGCCTTTTGCTCCTTCCTCAGCCCTGGCTTCCAACCTCACTACTTGACCACTGTTCTTCCAGAACCTTGGAAGTTTAATGTGACAGGAACACCTTAATCCAGGTGCTCTTGGGGAAGGGTGATCGTTTGGGAACCTTTTTGCCGTTGCTGTCTCCAAGTTCTGCCAGTGCAGGAATCCACGTCTCAGAAGACAAAGCTCACATCAGTGTTGCTGGTTGGCAAGACGCGAGCAGCCTCCAGGCTATGGAACATTGTTTCGATGATTGTCATCTTCTATTTTCTGTTTCATTTGAAAAAGAAGCATGTCACCGAGCAGAAAACATTCTCAATGAAAATGGAATAGCACAGAGACAGTGGCACAGGTTGAAATGTGGGGCATGTGTGTGATGGAGTGAGTCACTCTCTCTGGGATGGATAAGTTGTGGCCCTGGTTGGAGATGTTGCATTGGTTTCAGAAGTGTCACTCTTAGGCCAAGCTGCAGAAGGGAGCGCCGACAGCAGATCAAATGGAAGTGGGTCCCCTGGGTCACATCTCAGAATGGCTGTGGTATAATGCTCCCATTTTGATTTTCTCTGTTAGCAGACTAAGCACATTTCTATTCATGTCTCAGCTCTGATCATTAGATTCTCCTCCCCTGAAATTTTTCAGGAGCTCTCCATTGTCCACTGAACCAAGTTCACATTCCACATTGGACCCACGAGGGTCCAGCGAGCTTTACCCATTCTTTCCCTCGCTTTATGTAGGCCTTTATTTGGGAGCATTGTTGCTCCTGCTATACCCTCTTCCTGGTACACCTTCCTCCATCATCACTGTCTAACTCCTAACCAGCCTTCAAGACCCAACTCAAATGCCCTCTTCCGAAAGCCTTTCCTGACCATGCCAGTGAGGTGGGCTCTTCCTTCCTCAGAATGGTCAGGTCATGTAGGACGTTCCTCTTGCTCTCCTTGAGATTCTGGTTCTTTGGTTGTCTTAATCCTTCTATGGGAAATCGTCTCCTTGAGGGTAGGGGCTGTGCTTTACTTATCTTCTATTTCCAATCGCAACTAGCACCTTTGTAGTAGGTGTTTGCTGAAGTGAAGGTATGTTTGCATATTAACTACTGGTAGGAAAGGTGGAATCAAGAGCAGGTCCTTGTTCTTTTAACCTAGTGGACCCTTCCCCAGGAGACACAGGCTTTCCTGTCACTTCTTGGCCTTCCTAGCTCAGAGTTCTCAGGGCTGCATGCAGAATGAGGGCAGATGTGTTGTCCTGCAGCGTGTGTGTCTCTGAGGAGTCCTTGGTCCCCGACCACTCAGGGAGGAACTGGAACAGAGGAGAGTTGTTGCTAGGACAGATGGCCTGGTCTGTGGGGGACTTGTTGGAGCAGTTATGATGTTACTGAGAAGAGCGGGGCCACCAACTCTAATTACCCTGTGAACTTTCCAGTTGTGTAGCTAACCACTGATGAGTGTCAGAGGAGTGGTGGAAGGGATCAATCTTAGTAAACCTTGTTAATAAAGATTGGTTTGGTCAATAACCATCAAATCTAAGTCTAAGGGGAAGTTGGATGAGGAGCAGGATATTTATTTGCATGATTGTAAAGTGTCTACCCTTGGAATGCTTCTAACTTACACAGGGAACATGAGAGAGTGCAGGAACCAGATAGCATCTTGACTGAGTGAACGCAATTAACATCATCTGAATCCTGAAAAATTGCTAGGTGAAAGAACTCAGTCACAAAAGGCCATGCATTGTGTGATTCCACTGATATGAAATTTCCACAGTGGGCAAATCTGTAGAGACAGTATGTCGGGTGGGGGGTGAGGTTGGGGGGAAGTGGGGAGTGACCATTAATGGGTATGAGCTTTCTTTTGGGGGTGATGAAAATGTTCTAAATGTTCTAAAATTGATTGTGGTGATGGTTCCACAAAGCTGTGAATATACTAAAAGCCACTGAATTATTCAGTGGGTGAATTTTGTGATATGAACATTGCATCTCTGGCCTGGTGCAGTGGCTCACTTCTGTAATCCTAGCACAGTGGGAGGCCGAGGTGGGTGGATCACCTGAGGTCAGGAGTTTGAGACTGGCCTGGCCAGCGTGATGAAACCCCGTCTCTACTAAAAATACAAAAATTAGCCAGGTGTGGTGGTGCATGCCTGTAGTCTCAGTTACTCGGGAGGCTGATGCAGGAGAATCACTTGAACCCAGGAGGCATAGGTTGCAGTGAGCCGAGATTGTGCCACTGCACGCCCTCTCGAGCCTGGGCGACAGAGCAAGACTCCTTCTGAAAAAAAAAAAAAAAGAAAAGAAAATTGTATCTCAATAAAGCTGTTAAAAATTAACATCATCAACAAGGGACCGACATCATGTACCTCCTGATATGATATCCTGAGAGGAACACAATAGCACTTTTGTAGTCTTCTAGCCAGGGGTTCATAAACTGGATCTGCTCATGGGGAAACATCAGACAAACCCAAATTGAGGGGTGTTCTACAAGGTACCTGGCCTGTATTCTTCAAAAGCATCATTGTCATAAAATATTAAGGGAGTCTAAAACACATGACAGCTGTATACAAAACGTAATCTTGAATTACATCCTGTACTGGAAGAAAAGAGAATCACAATAGGACATTATTGAGACAATTGACAAAAATTAGAATACAGATTGCAGATTAGATGAAATATTGTATCAATATTTAGCTTCCTAAGTTTAACTGTGCTATGAATATATAAGAGAATATCTTTGTTCTTTGGAAACACATTGAAATATAAAGAAATAAAGAGCCATGATGTCGGCAGCTTATTCACAAATGGTTCAGAAAGAAACAAATAAGAATGTGGAGAGAAAGAGAATGGCAAGACAAATGGAGTGAAATGTTAAAAGTTGGGAATCTGGGTAAAGCGTAGACCAGAATTCTTTGCATTATTTTTGCAACTTTTCTGCCAGTTTGATACTATTTTAAAATAAAAAGTTAAAATATTTGGCAAAAAGCCAAACACACTCATACGGTTCAGACATAGTGATTGCACCTAAATCCAAACTACTGTACTCTAAGCCAGTCACATCCTCTCTCTTATCACTTCCATAAGGTCTACCAGCCATAAGTAAGTCAGGGGCTATCTGGGGACCACAGGAAAAAAGTCAGGGCACAAGGTGGCATTGATTTGCAAGGCCCAGGCCCCCAAAGGAGATTTTTCCAGAGATCCTTACTATTAAAACCCTAAGGGCACACAAAAGTTTATTGCAGCCATTTGGGAGTATGAGGTGTTTTTCTGCTCCATCAGCATAGGCTTGATGAACTAACTCAGTTAAAGTGAGTTCCAGGAGGCCGGGGTCATTGTGCACACCCAATTCCCTTCAGTGGCCCATGGATCTGAGCAGGCTGCCTTTGCAGGATTCCTTTGGGGCTGATCAGGAATCTGAATGCTTCAGCCAGAGCAGATCCCAATGCTGCAGAGCTATTTTGGAGAAGTCTTCATTTTCTTCGTTATTCCTCTTTTTGACTTAGCATGGAGTCCAGAAGTTGTCCATGGACCTCAAAGAAACACCTCAAATCAACAACCAGTGACTTTGCCATGCCGAGAGGGCATGAGAGAACTGCCCCTTTGCCTTGGCTGCTCTGAGAGGTCATGTGGGTTGAACGTGCAAGTGGAATCCTTCCAGGAATTGCCCTGTGGCCTGACTCAGAAGGGAAAAAAGTAAACATTACCATCTTAGGCCCAAATAGCTGGGGTTCTGAGGCTCAAGGCAGAAAGGGTGGTGAGCTCTGATGCACCCTCACTCACAGGTCAGGCTTGGCCAAAAGGCTCGGGTGGTCTTGCGTCCGACTGCCCATGGCTGAACTCTGAGGCTGATACATCCTGAGCACAAGGCCCTCAGTGCTTGGGAATTGATTGGGGCTAAAGGGAAAGAAAACTCAGGAAAGTCTTGAGTCTGGCGAGATACCCAATTACTTGGGCCCACTCTTGGGTGAGCCCACTGTGTGGTTTATTTTTCCTTTTAGTTTCCCTTCTGAGCCCAATACATCTCATGCCCAGGATGTTCTAGATCTCTCTGTGTGAGTTTCCCTGAGGACTTAGGAGCTAGGTTACCCTGTTTCAAGATGTCGGTCCTCAGGAAATGCTTGGAGGTCAAGCAAAGCACTTCTTGAAGGAGGACTTAGGGAAGGGAGTGGGTGAGTGGCTTTGTCTCCCAGGCCTATTTCCATCTCATTGTTTCTTATTCTTCATGGGGTTCCCTTCCCAGCATCATGGGAGCGGACTGCCACCAATCATGGGGGGAAAAGAGTGTGATTCTTAACATGCATCTGAAGACAGTCAGCAATGGCTGGGGTTGGTGGTTGGGTGATGGGTAGAACGTGCATTGGAACCAGGCATCTACTCTTGGATTATCTGGTCTACCTGCCACTCTAATTTTGAGTTTTCTAACTTAGCATGTGGGTTACTCTTATCTCTTTGATTATACCTTTTTTGTGTGACTTCCTCTAGTGGAGGGCCCACTGCAGGGCACCCAGTAGAATCCCAGCCCTACTTGCTGGGTGATAATGAGCTGGGAAACGTGCCCCTTTCTCAAGGAGAGTGTGGCTTCTGCTGGCTGAGATCTGGAATCCTGGCTTCTCATTCCAGCTCATCCTGTTGATGGGAGCCTCAGCGCTTAGCCTGATGCATCTCATGCATTCCGGTTCTGAATGACTAAGAAGCCTTGCCCTAGCAGAGGTGGGCAGGGGAGGAGGCTTGACAGGTAGGCCAGTGGCTCCCACTCCCCTGCCCTCCCCCATGCATTTTCTGCTCTTCCCTATCCTGCTCTGGACCCGAGGAGGCCGACCTCTACGGCCTGCATCACCAGTCCCCTTGCCCTCGAGCTTCCAGGTGTCTTAGCCAATGGGAGGCACTGGTAGGCATGGAGGAAAGGAGGGAGAGTTTGGGGTATTGGTTTCCCATTCCCTCCAACTTCCTGTCTATGACCACGAATTCCATTCTACAGCCCCCTTCTACTACCCCAGCCCTCTCCGCCCAACAACAGCCTTCCCTCTCCCTGCCCCTCAGGCCCAAGGGTGGGAGTGGCCTCCTGCTGTTGCTGGGTACCAGCATTTCAGCCTCCCATCCTGCCCAGACCTCTGTGTATAGTTCCTTCATGAAGACCCTGGGGGTGGGAGCCTTTGCTTCCTGCTGGGACCCCCTGGTCACACAGAGATGTTTGTTTTTAGCACCCCTGACTAGACTGTGGGGTCCTGAACCACCAGCCTTGGCATACTACTGCTCCCCCACCGTCACTTCTCATCCCACCCACCTCCACCTGGTTTTCCTAAAGATGTTGGTTTCTAACACAGTCTTCCTCCTAGAAGCTCTGAAACAGCCAGTACATGGAGCCAGGGCTTCCTGCCGTCTGAAAAGTGTGGGTGTCCAGCTTGCAAATGGCTCTGGTGCTCAGGAGATGCCTCAGCTGGGGGAGGGGTGGAGACTTGAGAAGGTGCTAGGCGTGACTCCCTGCCCGGCTCCTGCCTGGGTAGTTCTGCATACCCCCCATCCTCCCGTCTCTCGCCCACGCTTGGCTCAGAGATCTCTGGGCTGCACCTCCTGCCCAGAGGATTCCCCAGCAGCAGAATCCTGGTTCTGCCTGCTCTCCTCCCAAGAAACCCAGATGGCTGGAAGCATCGCTGCCTTCCCGGAATGTCATCTCCCTCTTTCACCTGGAGCCTTCATTTTGGAAGGTGCAACAGCTGCCCAGCCCATTGCTTGTGCCTGGGCTTACCAGCGATTCCTCCTTACTCTTTCTGTGATAAACAGAAGATATTGAAAGCAAATCGCTACTCAGTCCAGGGTACTCCCCTCTCCCTAGGACCTACCGTTTTGCATTTTTGTCCCCCACCACCCTTTCTTCTGTTCCTCTTCCCTTGGAGAATGACACTTGCTTAGGAATGGAATCCTCAGTTGCGTGGTTTGATTTCTCTTCCTCCACTCACAGAAAGAACCTCCACTGTTTGAAATGTCAAAGCCCCCAATGATTTCTTGTTATGAGAAGTCATCAAAATACGCCTATTATGTTTTAAGTCTTTACAAAAGACACCAAAAATTAGTGCATCATCTACTTGAAAGAATCCCTTTTGATAGCCATGCCAATTACATTTTTAAAAGGCATAAAGGTTCTAGTAGGGTTCTTCTGATTTTTTTCCCCCTCTTGTGTGATTTGTGTGCAGACTTCTGAGAAGCAGGTTTTATAATAGAGATTCAGCCAGGCTAAATCACAGCGGCAGAAGCTTATGCAACTGCTAAAAACCTATGAGTTAAAAATGGAATAGTCTTGCAGAGTGGGGAAGGTAATAATATCAGTGATGAGAAAATAGAAAGTAATAAATTAGTATTTCAGCAATTCAGGTCTCTTACCCACATTTTTTTTTGTACCAGAAGGTCTTGGTGCCATTTTTCCAGAATAAATTCAAAGTGCAACCTCTTAATAGAAAAAAATCAAACTTTGCTTTCACCAATTCAACCCTCTGTCCCAATTATTCCAGGATCAAGAGCCCTTTTAACTGACTTTTTGCCACCATGTCACAAAACACATCTTATATTTGCTGGACCTTGTATGATCAGTAATTCCTACGAAGGAACAGATTTTAGATTTTTATAAGTGGGTTTTGTTAATTTGCTATTTTAAAAATACTTGTGAGACCTTTACAGTTGCCATGGCAATATAATTTCCATAAACATGATTTTTGTGGGGATTTTTGCACATTGAAGGCTGAGGTTGATATGCAGTGTTGGGGGGAAGGTAGGTGGTGAATTTGGCAGCAACTCCATTGCTGCTTCCCGCAAATGCTGCAAATAAGATTCCAAGAATCCATGTTAGGACAGAGACCTGGATTTCTAAACAACACACTTGACACAAAGGGCTTCTTGGAAGTAGATCTGGTTGGGGGAGAAGGAGACCAGCCTGTTCCTAGGATGAAGCCAGTAGGGTGGTGAGGCCGGGGCACCTGCTCTGCTAATCAACAGTCCTGTCCAGGCCAGATTGACCTGAAATCTCTTCCCGAGCCTTGCTTTCAAAAAGCCTTTGAAGACTGTCCGTCCTGGAGCTATCCAACGGGTGGTGACGGCCCCGCGGGCTCTTTTCTCAAACCAGATTCGTTCAAAAAGCCCATTTACCACACTACACTGCTAAAATGCTGAACATTTGCAGTGGAAAATAACGGAAAATAGAAACACAACAATATTAGCTATTAAACAAAGTAAGGAAACATTGAATAAGAAATAGTTTTATATTCATCCTGAATGCCAGTGGTTGAGGGAAAGCAGATTTAATGAGAAGAGGTAGATGGTCCCGATGGCCCTAAACAGCATCATTTTTCTCAGTGATGCCAGACATTTGTTATGGCTCACAAACAGGGGCTTGCCAGTAAACTTTATTTCCCAGAGAATGAGCTATACAAAGAGATCGAGGGAGGAGATGAACAGGTAAGACAGAGAATTTTCTAATAGCCAAACACACATTGGAGAAGAAATGACAAATAAAAGCATTTAAAAGTGGAAGCGTGCCAGCGTGAGATGGATGATTCTGCCGAGGGGTCTCTAGTGAGCAGGTCACGCATTTGGCACCAGATGCTGCCTAATTGAACACCTGAACACAGCTGAGGGGCTTGAATCATATAGAATTATGAATCATAAAGAATTATGAATTACTAGAAAGCTATTGTGTTGACATTATTATTTATGTATTGTCAGAAATGCGAACAGGGCACCCCGAGGAGGAGGTACCAGACTACCTGTCTGGCTGAGCACTGATCTCCATTCCTTGGAAGCCAAACCTGAGACACCCGGGAGAGGTCATGTGCGTGCCCGGGAGCCTGCACACCGGCATCCCACATGTGCCTAAGACAAGTGCACATCCAGAAGTTTGCACAAATCAGAAAAACTCAGAGCACCAGCTCCACTATGCACAGTCTCACACTTCACACCAGTGGGAAAGGTCAGGAGACTGTCCATTCTGCAGGCTCTGGCAACGGCCGGCAGCTGCTGCTGATTTGTGATTTGTCAAGTGTGTTTATTGAAAAAGAAAGAGTTTGTGCTTCTAGAGTAGTGAGGTTTCGGTGGGCCTCATTCCGAGGGTGCTGAGGGCTGTGAGTCCCACTGCGGGTTCAGGGCTGCCGTCAACCCTAGGCGGGGTGGGTTGTTCAGGGCCTATCAGCACTGCTCCAAGGGCTTCCCAGGCATTTTTTCTTTGCCCTGAAATAGTCCAGAGGAATTTGGCAGGGACAGCTTCAGGAATGTGGTTCATCGCCCCATCCAGAGTGGGAATTGGAACCAGAACGCTGCCTGCAGCGCAGCTCCAGCCTCTTCCTTCAACACACATTTAATTTTTTTAAAAAAGTTTAAAGCATCAGTAGCAGGCAGCTTGACTGAGGCTGGTGGGTGGCCAGGAGGAGAGGGAAGGAGCCTGCTGAGCAAAGAACAGCCAGGTCTGGTGCCTGGCTGCCTGCTGCCCCCTCTGGCAGCCACTGTCCCAGCTGTGGGGAGGAGCAGGCATGTCCCTTGTCCCTTGACTTTGGCTTTGAAAGGAGGCCCAAGGCATGAAATGCAGTGAGGAGCTTCGCCCCTGCGACGTTGCTCTCTGGAGGACACCTCATTGCTCCAGGGACAGACCTTGCTCCTGGTGCCAGGAATGAGGGTGGCCTCTCTTATTCTCTAGAAGTAAGGATAAGCAGAAGCAGAAACGCCGACCACACTGTTAAGAGGAGGTGGGGTGGCAGACAGAGGTCCTTGTAGGGTCCCTAGCAAGGGGACCTTGCTGTGCCCACACACAAGGGGACCTTGCTGTGCCCATGCATGTGCCCACACGTGCATGCTTCCCCAAGTTTTGGTGTCTCTTTTCTGGGGATGACTTTTTTTTTTTTCTGAAGGAATACCTCCTGGATCCAACGGTATCACATGATGGCTGTATGACCTTAGGCAGGTGACTTAACCTCTCTGTGCCTCAGTTTCTTCATCTGTAAAATGGGATCATAATCATACCTATCTCATAGGGCTCTCTTGAAGATTGAATGTTATTACATATAAAGTCTTAGAATAGCACTTTGCACATATATATAGTGAGGCTTACATGTTGTCCTTATTATTATTATCCTTAGAATTTGTGCTGGGGTGAAGCCAGCCCTCCCATTCCAGCTGTGAGAGGCCCAATGCTCTGTGACCCAGCAGGGCCACTAGGCTGTGAGCCTGTTGAGCACAGGGTGAGTCTTCACTCAGCTCCGCACCTCCATGGCTGGTACAATACCTGGCTTGTAGCAGGTGCTCAGTAATTTTGGGGCCAAATAGCTTGTCAGGGACATGGCTGATGTGCGGTCCCACACTGCAGTTCTCAGACCTCAGAATCCCTTGGGACGCTTGGTAAAAATGTAAAACCCCAGCTTCTACCCTCAGAGATTCTGACTCAATATTAGCAGAAATGGAGTGGGGCCAGATAACTTGCATTGTTTGAAAAGCACCCCATTTGAGAAACACTCCTGGGGAAGCTCAATGTAACGTACCCCCAAAGCCTGGGATTGAGGGACAAGAGGGAGAGCCAGGAGTGGCTACTCCCAGCTGTGGCCTGCCTGCGTGACCCTCTTCTGCCTTCAGGACTGGGAGGGGATGGTGGGATCTGCGCTGTCTGGTAGAAATACTGAAGAGGGGTAGAGCCTGGCAGGGAGATAAGTTAGGGTTAGATTTGGTTTGAAGCATTTTTAATCTGGAGCTGCTCTGCAGTAAGGTGAGGTCAGTGGTTCTTAGAAATACTAAAAAAGAGCCTCCAAGACAGGCCCACAGCTCACTGGTCCCTCAGGGTGACTGCCACACATCAGGGCTCCTCCTGTCCTCAGCTCAGCCCCCAACCTGAGCCCCGCCCCTCCCTGGAGGCCCTCCTTCACAAGCCCCCTGCTGGATGTTTGCAGGGCTCCAGGCTGGAGTGATGCCCTCCTTTCTGCTCAGGGCTGTCACCCGGAGCTCTGGTGGCTCCTCTGGGTAAGCAGAACAGTCAGTGAGATTTCCTTGAGGTTCAAAATGTGGCCTTTGGAAAACAGCTGTTAGTGTAACCCAGCAGCCCAAGAAAAGACATAATGGAGTTGAGTCAGGAGGCGTGTGCTTTTATGGAGCTGTGTGTTTAAAGATACATCTGAGGTTTGTTTCTTAGCAACAGGGATCATCCAAAGCACATTGGCAGTGTCAGAGCAACCAATGATGCCCAAAACCACCCTGTAAAATACAATAGAAATCTACAGAGTAAGAGGGAAGAAGCTAAGCACAGTTCCTCCAACAGGTGGAGAAACTCAGAAGGCTGAACAGATGCAGTCGCCATTGTTTTAGACTAGACAGCACCAGGGTGAGAGAAGTTTCCACCCCACAGGGGCCAAGCCACCTCCCTCCACCTGGCTTCCTTCTGGCCAGAGCAGGCTTTTCTTCAAGGAGCATCATGCAGAGAGCTCTTGCCTCTTTGAGCTCCCTGCTTCCCCAGCACCTGGAGCTGCAGCATCCAAACAAATGATCATTTATCCTTCATATGTGAAGGGTGAGGGCTGAACCTGGGAGAAGATATTAGAGACCTAAATCCAGAGGTTCTTAACCTTGTTTTTGTGCCATTGGACCCTTTAGCGTTCTGATGAAGCCTTGGACCCCTTCTCAGAATAATGGTTTTTTTAAAAATGCATTTTTAATGCATTTAATACATAGACTTTAAAAGCCCCAATGATATTGAAAAAGACTTATTAAAATATTTTTAAAAGCAAATTTGTAGGCCAGGCACTGTGGCTCACACCTATAATCTCAGCACTTTTGGAGGCCGAGGCGGGAGGATCACTTGAGGAAAGGAGTTTGAGACCAGCCTGGTCAAAATGGTGAAACCCTGTCTCTACTAAAAATACAAAGATTAGCCAGGCATGGTGGTGGGCACCTGTAATCCCATCTATTCGGGAGGCTGAGGCAGGAGATTTGCTTGAACCCGGGAGACGGAGGTTGCAGTGAGCCGAGATCACATCACCGTCCTCCAGCCTGGGAGACAGCGTGAATGGGACTGTCTCAAAAACAAAACAAAACAAAACAAAACAAAAACTATAGAAAAAAATTTGCATATAGAAACACTGTGCTTCTGTATTGATGTATTAAATAAGAAGATCCAGTGGAGGGTCTAGGAAGTACCATAACTTCGAAATAGTGATAAGTGCCAATGATATTTTGAGAAATCGACTTCTTGACCGTAGCAGGAATATCTATGGTTTCCTGCTACCTATTTGGTGATGAAGACCAGGTTGTGTTAATATTACTTTGGTTATTGTCTGCATTTATAATGAGAGGGAATGCTAAAATTGAGTTCAAGGTTAGTGAAAATTAAGATGCAAATTTTTTTTTTGCAGTTATAGTTCATGGATGCCCCAGGGGGTTTGTGGACCCCAGGGTTACCCCTTGGAACCTTCTCCCTTCTTCTTCTTCTTCTTTTTTTTTTTTGAGATGGAGTTTCACTCTTGTTGCCCAGGCTGGAGTGCAATGGCGTGATCTTGGCTCACTGCAACCTCTGCCTGCAGGGTTCAAGGGATTCTCCTGCCTCAGCCTCGTGAGTAGCTGGGATTCCAGGCATGCACCACCACCCTCAGCTAATTTTTGTATTTTTAGTAGAGATGGGGTTTTTCCATGTTGATTAGTCTGGTCTCGAACTCCTGACCTCAGGTGATCCACCCACCTTGGCCTCCCAAAAGTGCTTGGATTACAGGCGTGAGCCACCACACCCGGCCCCTTTTCCCTTCCTTATTCTCCTACTTCGCACTTCTGAGTGCCTGGAGGCCTCTTGAGCAAAGTTGCTTAGAAACCTGTGTTGTCAGAGCTGCTACACTGGCATGGACAGGTGGTCAGAGCAGAGAGGCAACAAGACACTGTCGAACAAGCACAGCCAATAAACAAGAATTAAAGGGCATGATGATGATACCGGCTGCGGTGAGAACCTGCCACCCTTGTCATCAAAGAAACAGGCACCATCACCTTCCTCCACAGAGGGGCATTCACAGCACAGGTGTTCTGGGTCAAGGTCATTGAAATGTAATTTGACCTTGGAAAGGTGAGAGCCATTGACTCTGAGATTCTCAGGGCTTTTTTCAGTCTGTTTTTCTAATACCTACTACATTCATTTAACAACTTTCAACAAGTATGCATTGTTGAAAGTAGGCACTTGGCCAAATCCTGGGTCTACAGGGATACTGTCATGAAGCTGGGCTTCAGTGGAAACCAGGAAACCCGAGGTGGGAGAGGCTAACAGCCCTGTGCGGCTGGATGCCTCGGGGAGATGGAAAGGGGAAAGTGGAGCTGGTCACAGTTTTACGATGAGCAGACGGAGCAGAGGGGAGCACGCTTTGTCTAAGAACTCCCAGAGGGCAGGGCCTCCCGGTGGATTAAGCAGGCCAGGGAAGCCTCCTGAGTTCCCCAAGTCCCTGAGTCGGCCTTTGGGCAGCATTCCTGGGACTCAGGTACTCTGGCTGCTCTGCCCCAGGGAAAGTGCCCCAACCTCTGGGGAAATGCCTGGAAGCCCCTCAAGTGCTCCTGCCATGGCATTGAGCAGGAAAGTCAGGGTCCGCGGTACTAGTTCTGCAGGAATGGCTTCCTTCTGTTTCACGGGACCAGGCTCATGAAAAGTTAGAGCTGGAAGGGTCCTTGAGGAACACACAGTCCAAGCCTCTCATTTTACAGACATGGGCACTGAGGCTCAGAGGCAAGAGGGACTCTCCCAGGTCCCATGGTGGCAGAGCCAGGGCTAGAACCCAGGCCTCCTGACCCTGATCCCCAGAGGGAGGTCACATGGGAAGCAGTAGGATGAAGATCATGTCTGAGTCCTGGGCCTGCCGCAGGTTTGGGGTTTGGTTTGTTGTTGTTTTCATCCAACTTTCCGGAGTTGGTCCAGCACCTGCTGTAGTGTTACCTGGGCACCTGGATCCCTGCATAGGTTAGTTACCACATACAGCAGATTTTCCAAAGTGGTGCATCGGTCTGCCATTCCTGACCGGCCCTTTCTAACCTTGGCCAGGTCAATTAAGCATTTTTTGCTTCAGGTTTGATGAACCTGATGTTAGTAGTACCTACTTCACAGGCTTGTTGCCATAAGTGAGTTAATGCACATAGAGCTTTTGTAACAGATGGTGGCGGGTTAGTCACGACTCTTTCAGTTAAAAGTGTTAGAAAACCAACTCAAGCTGGTTTAAACAGAAGATGGGATTTATTGGTTCACAGAACAGTAAAATCCAGGGCACAGTGGATTTCAGGCCTTGCTGGATCCAGGTGCTCAAAGATGTCCTCAAGGCTCTGGTTTTCTTTCCAGCTCTTGGCCTGACTTCCATTCCTCTATATTGCTTGATTTTTAAGTGGACTCTTTTTACATGGTGACTCATAGTGATCCACAGTGACAATGTCTTTTAAACTAGCAATTCCAGTAAAAAGAGGGGGTTTTATTTATTTTTAATTTTTAAAATAAAAATTGTGTATATTGAAGGTGTACAGCATGATATTTTGATATACGTAGTGAAATGAATACTACAGTCAAGCAAATGAACATATCCATCTCCTCACATAGTTACGTTTTTGTGTATGTATGTGGTAAGAGCACCTGAAATCTACTCTCCTAGTGAATTTCCAGTGTACAATATACTTTTTTTTTTTTTTTGAGATGGAGTCTTGCTCTGTCGCCAGGCTGGGGTGCAGTGGTGTGATCTCAGCTCACTGCAACCTCCACCTCCTGGGTTCAAGCAATTCTCCTGCCTGAGCCTCCCGAGTAGCTGGGATTACAGGTGCACACCACCATGTGCTGCTAATTTTTTGTATTTTTAGTAGAGATGGGGTTTTACCATGTTGGTCAGGCTGGTCTCAAACTCCTGACCTCAAATGATCCTCCAGCCTCAGCCTCCCAAAGTGCTGGGATTACAGGCATGAGCCATAGCCCCCAGCCTACAATATACTTTTAATAACTATAGTCCATATGCCATATATTAGATCTCTAGGCTTGTTCATCTTATGTAACTGCAACTTTGTGCCCTTTGACCTCTGTCTGCTGATTTCACCAGCTATCTGACCCTGGTAACCACTGCTTCTACTCTCTGTTTCTGTGTATTTGACTTTTTTAGATTCCACGTATAAGTGAGATCATGTAGTTTTTATTCTGTATCTGGCTTATTTCACTTAGCATAATGTTTTCCAGGTTCACCCACGTTGTTGCAAATGACAGTATTTCCTTCAAAAAGAGGGCTGTTTTTCCCTAATTGTCCTGTAAACCTCCTGGAGTTGAATGTCGTTGGCCCGGCTTGAGTTATGTGCCCTTCCCTGTGTAATCACTGTGACAGGGCAATGAGACGCTTGGATCGGCCAGACCTGTATCATGTGCCCACCTTGGGAATTGGGGGCCAAGGTCAGTCCCACCCAAATTCATGGCCTGAGCATGGGGGAGACGAGGACCCCAAAGGAAGCTATGCGCACTGTTTCCAGAAGAGGAACTGATGCGAAGTAGGCCAAAGTGACGGGTGACCAGGCCTGTGAGAGATGTGGAGACCTCACATAAACAAGTGCACCTCAGGGAGCCCGAGGTGGGGACGTTACCGTTGCCAACTCTCAGAGTGGAGACAGCTTTGCAAGAGAAGTGATAGGACTCCTGAAGCCCAGAGGGCGTGTCTCGGGGTCAGCGGGGCCCCAGGGCTTTGGGTCTCACAACCCCTCAGAGGAAAGGCCCACCCCAACTCATGGGGAACAAGCAAACCGCAGGTGTGGACCGCGGTCAGTTCCGAGCAGGGCTGGGGTCATATGTCTGGGCTCCTTGCTGTCCGGGCTGCTGGCTCCATCCCAGAACTCTGCATATGTGGACTCACTGGCTGCTCACAGCAGGCCTGTGAAGTAGGTGCTAGCGGGAGGAGAGCCTTGGGCACAGAGAGCCTGATGGACCTGCCCAAGTTAGGAAGGGGCAGAGCTGGTGGGCTCAGGCAGTCGGGTACCAGGAGCAGTCGCCTGACCACTGCTCTGCACCTCACAGTGATTTGTGAGGACTAGATCAGGCCTATACAGAATGGGCCAGGACAGCAGAAGCCCTCAATAAGGTGAGTGCTGTCACGCTGCCCTATTGCACAGATAGATAGTGTGGTGGGAATGCAGAAAAGTGACTTCTCACCCGAAAGTTGACAGTCAGCTCCAGCTGGAGGCTGAAGGTTCCCAGAAAGACAGATTGGCCTGGTCTGACGCTCCAGCAGGCTGCCCTCCAATCCCTGCCGGCAGGCACCCAGGGTGGGTGAGGCAGGAGGCAGGTGATGGTGGCTGGCCAGGTCCATGGACTGGGCCGCGAGGCCTGGCTGGGCTCTGGGTTGTGGGGAACAGAGTGGGGGGTGGCTAAGTGGCAGTGGGACTTTCTGAACAGGGTTGGGGAGAAGACGGGGCAAAGGCCCAGGCCAGGGCAAACATGAAGGTGTTTCTTGGTGTTCAACAGGACAAGATTTCCCAAAGTGCCATTTCTGGGAGGACAAAAATAACTAACACCATGTCATATCTGGTCACCCATTTTTCAGCTCCTTTTAGGCATGTGGAAGCCTGCAGTGGATAGTCTGAACCACCAAAATATCAAAGGCAACTGCACGCCAATAGATAGTCAGCCTTTCACATCCGCAGAGCCTTCTTTCCCTAATAGGAAATGTCTGCTGGTGACTTTCTCCCCAGAGCCTGCGTTGGCATCAGGCCAAGGGCTGAGTCCTGCCCTCCTCATCTCAGGGGCTGCCACCCCTGTCATTTTCCTGTTTGTTTAGACTGCTAGAAAGAGAACGTACTGCCCTAGGTTTCAAAGCCTCAGTTAAGTCTCCCTGCACCTAATGAGTTCTGCTTTGAAAATCCATCAGCCTCAGACGCGGCTCTGTCTGACCCTGTGATTCTCTCCTTGGCTCAGTAATCAGGTGGGGACCACCAGAATGGAGCACGACTCCTCTTCCGGCCGCTCCCTGGCAGGTGGAGTGATGGTCTGTCCTTACTCCAGGTTGCAGGAGCAGCTCATTAGAGGGAGTGACACACAGTCTCCCAGAGCTGCTGGCTGGGGCTGTTGCTGGGCAAGGGGCTAGGGGGACAGAACTGGTATTATGGGCCTGGGATGGCTGGGTATTCTGGGGTTCCCAGCCAAAAGTCTCCTGCAAGGCCAGTAGCCCTGAATCACAGCAGAAAAGAAAAAGAAATTCCCCCCATTCTGCAAAAGCCATGATGAAATGAAATTCATTCGTGGAGAGATTACATGATTGAGGCTCCTGAGTGGCTGCTGTGTGGAGTGTATGTGTCCCAGGTAAAGACCCATCTCTTGCCAAGGTTGCCAATGACTAGTGAGTTAGTGGACACCCAAAAGGCATTTTTTTTTATTGTGGTAAAATGTGCATAACGTAATATTTACCATTTTAGCCATTTTTAAGTGTAGAGTCCTGTGGCAGTAAGTACATTCACAATGCTGTGCAACCATCACCACCATCCATCTGCAGGACATTTTCATCTTCCCAAACGGAAACTCTGTGCCCATTAACATGAGCTGCCCACTCCCCCCTCCCAGGCCCTGGCAACCACCAGAGTACAGGGCAGCAGAAACCCACAAACACAGCTTGTCTAGTTCCGTGGACACACAGCTCTTTGGGCCTTGGCTGATGCCTCTCTGGAGAGCTATTCATTTAATAAACCCTTATGAAAGGCTTGCCATGTGCCAGGCATTGCACTGGTGCCTAGAATATAAAGGGGAGTAAATGCAACCCTACTTTCTACAGCAAACATAGCTACCCACACACTTCCTTAGTGACCACCGCTGCTCCCTCCTGGTCTAAGCACCTGTTACCCCTCTACTGCTCACAGCCACATACAGAGATAGGCATTACTGCTCTTATTTTCAGGTGAGGAAACCAAGGCACAGAAAGGTTAGGTGACTTGTCCAACATCACACAGGTAGGAAGTGGCAGAGCTGAGTCTCAAACTCAAGCAGTCTGGCTTCAGCATTGGTGTTGGTCTTCTTAACCTCTTGGCTGTGCTGCCTTTGAAGGGCTCACAGCCAGTGCAGGGAAGAGAGTGTCCCTTCTTGGGACTGCTCTCCCTTCAGGAATTGTCCTCATTGTGTCGGGTGACATGATTCTAGTAAATAGGAAAGCAAAAAGCAAAGCAAACCCGGTTAAAAAAAAAAGTGAAATTGTACCCAGAAATCTAGTACAGCTCGAGACCATGGAGAAGACCAGGAATGAAGCCTCGGGAAGTCTCCAGGGCTGTGGGAGGCTATCTGCTGTCTCACTCACCCTGCCAGCTCTTCACACGAAACAGTTTCTCACACACACACACACACACACTCACACACTCAGGCACACATAGACTCGTGCACGCATGCACGCCAGGGACTGATGATGATGGCTGAAAGTCCTTTACCCATGGTGTTCTTCGCTGCCAGAGGGAAAGCTGAGAGCCCCTCGGGCCCCAGGGCCATTGTCTTCATGGGAGTAAGGGCAACTGAAAGGGAGGGGGGGCCAGCAGCAGCCGCTCTTACTGTGACAGCATGCACTGCTTTTGGAGGCTTTAGTCAGATTCCGACTCAGGGGCTGTCCTGCAGTCTTCTCCCCAGACAAATGGGTTGTTCTGTGGGGGGGATGGTTGTTCTATGGGATGAAGGAGACAGAGGCTGCACAGAGGAGACAGTAGGGCGGGGGAGAGTGAGTGCAAAAACCCAAAGTCACTGCCTTGCTTCCACCACTAGCCCAGGCAGGTGGGAGGGCCTGGCCTACCCTTTTCTTTGGGGGAGGTCTGCCCCCTCGGCCTCTTCCCTGACACGCAGCCTTACTTTTTCATTGTGATGAGATAGTATCATGAGAGGCGGCCCCAGACTGCCCTCCCCGTGGGCCCAGGATGCTGGACCTTGTTGGACCTTGGTGGAGGATGATGCCGTCAAAAAGACATTGCTGTTTGCACCTTCTCAATATCTCACCATCTTGCTTCTGTGTGCTTTCTCAAAATGTCTTTACGCGTCATCATGGTCATGTAGTCTCTTTTCAATTTTTTCTTTATTTTTAATTTTAAAAATGTTTTTAAAAAACTGAGATAAGGTCTCACTATGTTGCCCAGGCTGGTCTCAAACTCTGGCCCTCAAGTGATCATCCTGCATTTAGTCCCCCACACCACCGCCCCAACCCCCAGCTTTTTTTTTTTTTTTTTTTTTTTGAGAATGCATCTCTCTTTGTCACCCAGGCTGGAGTGCAGTGACGCAATCACAGGTCACTTGCAGCCTCGACTGTCTGGGCTCAAGTGATCCTCCCACCTCAGCCTCCAGAGTAACTGGGACCACAGGCATGCACCACCATGCCTGGCTAATTTTTAAATTACTTGTAGAGACAAGGTCTTATGTTGCCCAGGCTGGTCTTGAACTCCTGGGCTCAAGCACTCCTCCCACCTTGGCCTCCCAAAGTGCTGGGATTACAGGCATGAGCCACTGCACCCAGCCCCAGTCCCTTTTTTAAAAGGCAGCCATAACTGGGCTGAGTCTGACTCGGTGAAGGCCAAGTTTAAAGCCCACAGCCACCCCTGCAGCGGCTGCTTCCCTGGGCAGAGACAATGAGTGCAGCTGGGCCTTGGAAGGCCTCTCCCCTCCCATCCCTGAGTCTTGATCAGCTGCCCCTCACACCCCAGGGTTTTCTCTTGCTGATTTCTCTCTCAAGCAACGAAATAAAAAAAGTCACACTGAAGTATTAGAGACTTAATCAAAGATAAAGTTGCATTTTGAAGGAGAATCTTGGGGAGCTAAAAGTTCATAATGACAAGAAGTGAGTGCTGCGGCTGGAATTTCCTTTTCCAGTGGGGCCCATACCTCTGTGCATCCCTAAATTTGATCAGGTTCATGATGCACTTGACCTGTATGGATGGTGGGTTCTCGCCTGGCCCATCCCAGTGCCATTTCTTAGGATCTGCAGCTGTGAAGCCGGCTATGTGCGCTAATTCTTTGAGAGAAGCATGGTGTCCTAATCTCACACTGTCCCTTTGGCAAATGATAGAAGGAAACTATCTTATCTTGGCAGCATGGTGGAGAGAAGCCACTGTGAGGCATTAGCTGAGTGATGGGGGAAGGATGGGGCATGGGGATGCCAGTCCATCACGATAAGGGATGCCAGCTCCCAACACATGAGTGCAGCCTTCATTCAGTTCTGTGCCAGGTGCTGGGCTGCGTGCTGGGAATACAGTGGTATCAGCAAAATTTACTTGGTCCCTGTCCATGTGGTGCTTCCTGTCTCTTCGAGGAGATAGACGTTACATCAGATAATCCCACCCGCAAGTGTGAGATGAGGAGGTCTGTGAAGGAGAGGCATTCAGAGATAGGAGAGTGAGGGGCCGTGGAGGCCTCCCCAGGAAGCCTCACTGGCCGAGAAAGAGTTCAGTGGGGATCAGGGAGACCAACTTGGGAAGGCCTTATTTCTTTTTCTTTTTCTTTTTCTTTTGAGACAGGGCCTTTTTCGCCCAGGCTGGTGTGCAGTGGTGCAATCATAGTTCACTGCAGCCTTGAACTCCTGGGCTCAATCCATCCTCCCACCCATCCTCCCTAGTAACTGGAACTACAGGCACATGCCACTGCCCCCAACTAATTAAAAAAAAAATTTTTTTTTGTAGAGATGGAGCCTCCCTGTGTTGCTTGGGCCTCAAGCAAGCCTCCAGCCTCGGCCTCCCAACGTGTTGGGATTTGAGATTACAGGCGTGAGCCACCCTGCCCTGCCCCTTTGTTTTTATTCTATGAGCAATGGGAGCAGCCGAAGGATAATCATATCTGCATCTTGAAAACATCCCTGTAGCTGTTGTAGGCAGCACAGCTGTGGGAGACCTGTAAGGAGGCGGCAGTCCAGGCAAGAGTTGATGGGAACTTGAACTAGGAGGCGGTGTTAGCAGAGACAAAGTGGGTGGAGGTAAGAGACATTCAGAAGTAAAAAATGACAGATTTGGTCTCAGATGGGCTGTGTGGGAGGAGGAGCCATGGGGAATCCTGGGTTCTGGCTGGTGCAGGTGATGGGAGTGGGTGTGGATCTCTGAGATGAGAAAGGGCCAGGCTTAGTGCAGGGACAGGTCAGGAATTTGTTCTTGTACTTGTTTTTGAGAGGGTTTTGAAATATCCCAGAAGAGGTGTCAAGTAAGCCATTGTCAGTGGTCTGGAGCTCAGAGGCAAGGTCTGTGCTGGAGAATGAAGTCTTCAATCAGGTGCCCTGGGTGGAGGGGAGAGGATCTTAGGAGAGGCTGTGTGCTGGGGAGAGGAGAGGTCTAGGGCTGAGCCTGAGGGCTTCAACATTTCATGGTTGATGAGGGGGAGGGCAGAGGGGGACAAGTCATACCTTAAGTGTGCCCCACTCTCCCTGGCATATATCCCATCTTTTCTACTTGGAACATTCTTCCCCCTTCCTAGACTCCCCACTCACCCTGAGGTCTCTCCTTCCTCTCAGAAGCCCTCCTGTGCTCTTATGCCTGGGTCAAGGGCTGCTCTTGCCCCACTGCTCCCCATGCTGCCCCCTCACAGCCTTTATCACATTGACCAGCAAATACCCAGCTGTGTGTCTGGATCCATCACTAATCGAAGGGTTCTATGTCTGGGTCACCATTGTGCCCCCAGCACCAAGGACAGTGTCTGGTGGATCTGTAGTTAGAGTAGAGGCTCAGCTGCTATAACAAAGAGACCAGAAACACAGTGGCTTAAATGCATTAGAAGCCCTTTCTCTCATGTCAAGCTATCAGGCTGTGCCAGGCTGGCAGGGCAGCTCTCTTCTACGAGGTCATTCATTGGAATCATCTTGGTGAATAGTCTTCTGCCAAGGCCCAGGGTGCGGCCCTAGTTCCCATGGTTGAAGTTGGGTTACCGCCATGTCTTCTTTCCAGCCCATAGGAAAGGAAAAGAGCAAAGTCTGGGGAAAGCAGCTGGATTTAGTTTGGAGATGACCCAGACGTTTCACACATGTATCACTTTCGCTCATAGCTCATTGTCCCAAACAGTCTCATGGCCTCTCTTGGTTGCAGAGGAGGCTGGGACATGCAGACTCTAGATGAGTAGCTAAATGCCCAGGAGTCAAAGGGAAGGGATTTGGGGGACAGCTAGCAGTCTTCCTACTCACTGGGCAATGAATATTGAATGGACGGACAGACAGTTGGTTTGTTGGTGTCTTAGTCCATTTTCTGTTGCTATAACAGAATACCACAGACTCGGTAATTTATAACAGAATGAAGTTTATTTAGCTCACAGTTCTGGAGGCTGAAAAGTCCAAGAGTATTGTGCCAGCATCTGGCGAGGGCCTTCTTGCTGTATCATTACGTGGCAGAGGGCATCACTTGGTGACAGGGCAAGAGTGTATGAGCTTAGCTCTCTCTTCCTCTTGTTTATTTATTTATTTATTTATTTTTCTTTTTTGAGATGGAGTCTCACTCTGTTGCCCAGGCTGGAGTGCAGTGGGCAGGAGTACACACAGAGATGATGGTGGGGGAGGATGGACAGCCAGGTAGTGGGTGGGGAGAAGAACTGGAAACCAGCAAAATGAGCTGAGAAGAGTCAGTGGATGAGAAGATGGGCACATCAGGGAGGAGCCAGTGGTGAAGGACCGCCATCCTCTTAGTGGATTTCATCCTGAGCCAGGCCTGCCCTAGCCGGCTTGTGTCACTGAGATGCTCTCATCCTTCACGGGGACCCATTCCAGGGACATCCTGCACCCATCCACTGTGGAGTGTTGTAAGTCCTCTCTGCAGCTGCTGCAGTTTATCTGAGATTTGACTAAAATCTTCCTTTCTTCCATTCCTAACTGCAGCCTTCTGCCCTGCCCCTCATTGACATGTCTGGCCCTCCTCTTCCAGCTCTCCCTCACTTAGTCACCCTGCAGCCATGCTGCTACCAGAGCTGTCCCCAGCCTCCTCCTGGAAGCCCTGGTCCCAGGGAGCCTGACCACAGCTCCACTGATACGGAGGCAGACGCTGCTGCTGCTGTGCCGGCCCCTGCCCCGGGAAATGTCAGTGCCATCCTTCACCATTGGGATGACTGGTTTTAATCCTTGGTTCTTTCCTGAAATCAGTTTTCTTTTAAAAAGTAGGTTTCTCAAATCCATTTGGCTCTTTGCTCTTTTAAGACACCAGTATGGGCTGGGCGCAGTGGCTCATGCCTGTAATCCCAGAACTTTGGGAGGCCGAGGCAGGTGGATCCCCTGAGGTCAGGAGTTCGAGACCAGCCTGGCCAACATGGTAAGACCCCATCTGTACTAAAAAGTACAAAAAATTAGCTGGGTGTGGTGGCGGGCACCTGTAATCCCAGCTACTGGGGAGGCTGAAGCAGGAGAATCACTTGAACCTGGGAGGTGGAGGTTGCAGTGAGCCGAGGTCACACCATTGCACTCCAGCCTGAGCAACAAGAGCAACATGCCATCTCAAAAAAAAAAAAAAAGACATCAGTATGTGGACCCTGAAGGGTCACCCCAAAGTCAATCTCATCTGAAAGCCAGTGCACAGGAAGCCAGGCCACTTTTGTTTGGCTCTCAAAGTCCTGAAAAGGTTTTCCACAGTCCCAGGGTAGGCTGTCTCCTGAAGCCCCAGTACCTGCTTTCCCTCTTGTTCTCTGATGGAGCTGAGGGGCCACAGACCTCAGGCCTCTCCCTCTCCTTTCCTGGTAACCAACAAGTTTGTGAAAACAGGCACGGGCTGTCTCAGTTAGCTTTTGCTGCATGACAAACCTCCCTAAAACTTAGTGGCTTAAAACAATAGTGTTTATGGAGTTCACAATTCTGTGGGCTGGGCTCAGGAGGGCATTTCTTTGGTCAAGCTGGGCTTGGTTATTCTTAGCTGGGATGGCTAGATGGCTGCGGCCATCCGCATGTGGTGTCTCATCCTCCAACAGGCTAGCCAGGGTTTGTCCATGTGGTGACAGTGCAGAGCTCTATGAGTGTGGCCTCAGCTCAGGAGTGGCACAGTGCCACTTCCCCTGCATTATATTGGCCAAGGAAAGTCCCAGGGCCAGCCTGGATTCAAAGGATGGGGAAGCAGATTCTACTTCTTAATGGGAGGAGCAGCAAAGTCACATTGCAAAGGCTATGGATACAGGAAGTGGAGAACTGGGGCCATTTCTGAAATCTGCTGCCGTTGGTTAATGTACCATTCATTCTAGGCCTGTTCTTGTCTGTTAAAAGAGAATAAAGACTTGGGATTGTTGTAGAAATCAAGTGAGGAAATATGGTAAAATGCTAACTTCTAATGAGTGCTCGGTGCATTACAGATTGATTATAATGATAATGGTTTTACCTTTGCCAGTTGGAAGGCTGGGAAGGTACTTTTTGCTAGACAAGCAAGCACACATGTCTATCCTACAGGACAGCATAAAGCAATTCTGTTTTTCCTCCTCAGTGCCTTATTAGTCCATTCCTGTCCACCTAGAAAGGTCCTCAGGGAGCTCCTCCTCACAGGCCTCTTCCTTTTTCTCTTTCCTCACAGCTCTGTGTCCCCTAGAGTCCTCCTCTCTGTCACTGGCTATCTTTTGATAAACTTCTGGACTTCCTATAGCATGGCTGCAGTGCAGTGTTACCCTAACAGATTCTCTGACTTTTGTCAGTTGTCCTGGCTTGGTGAGGCAGGGCTCTGGGACGGGGGATGGGAGTAATTGCCCCTCTGCCCAAGAGCCAAGCAGTACAGGCCTTTAGGATTCTAGATGCTAAATGATTGCTGTAAAAACCAAACATCCTCGCCCACTTCTTCTATTCTTCTTCCCCCTCCATTGACATGTTGCCCAGTGACACTCTTGTTCCAACTATCTATTGTTGTGTAGAAAACAATCTCAAAATTTAGTGGTGCGAAAAAAAAAACCATTGTGTTATGCTCATCTTCTGTGGGTAGGGATTTAGATAGGACACATTCGGGATATCTTGTCTCTGCTCCATGATGTGTGGGGCCTCAGCTAGCAAGACTCAAAACCAGGGTGACTCGATGGTTGAGGACTGGAATCATCTGGAGGCATCTTTACTCACATGTCTGGTAGCTGAAACTGGCCCTCAGCTGGAACCTCACCTGAGCTGTTGAATGGACCATCTACACGAGGTTTCTCCCTGGAGTTTCTCACCTGAGCTAGTTTGGACTTTTTTATAGCGTGGTGGCTGGGTTCAAGAGTATGCAGCTGAAGATGCAGGAAGTGAAATCCAGCAGTTTGTTAAGGCCTGAGCCAGGAAACTGGCACAGTGCCACTTCTGTTATATGCTGTTGGTTATTAGAGTTCAGTTTTAAGAGGAAAGTATATGGGCCCATCTCTTGATGAAAGAGTGTCAAAGAATTGGCCGCCTGAGTCTACAGTGGCTCCTGAAGGTCTCTTGGGACTGGAGTCCTTTCCTGGCTTCCAACCCATAAGCCTCAGAGTCTGGCCTCTCATCTCATCTCCAGCAGGTGAGCCCAAGCCTGCCATTTGACTGAGAGCCCCACTCTGCCTGGTTAACTGGGAACAACACCGTAGGATTGGGAGCTGCATTCCAGGGGTGTTCCTGGAAATCCAGGGGCTTCTGTCACAGCCTTGCAGAGTCCCATGGCATCATTTAATTTTTTTGTGTTAGACATCTGTGTGCATCTGTCCCCTAGTTTACTCAACCACTCCATTGCCTTCTCTGCAGCTAGTGAGGAGCTAACTGATAGACATCCTTGAAGAGTTAGATCTCAACAGGTTGCTTAAAACTTTGTTTTAACCAAAATGAGAATTTGTTTTTGAAAAAAGAGAAAAGCCATGGCAAAACCATTTTTACAATATTTTGCTTAATACACTCCAGTCTTTGTCCACATAAATAAATATTTTAAAATAGTCCCCCACACAATACACTTTCTATTTGTGTAAGCTCACTCGAAGCACTTGCCCATCTTGCTGTGTAGTCATCACAATTATAATTTTTACTGGCTGTACCACACTGCGGCATAGGGATGAGTGCCTAGCCTCAGGCTTCATGAGGCTGACATGGTGAACTTAACAATGATAATAATTTTTTTAAAAGGTGGAGTGAAGAATAGTGCCATTGGCCACAAGTCAACGTGAGAGCAGGATTCATTGAGATCTTCAATTTTATTTTCCTAGTCATAATTAATAACTCCTGTCTGCCAAGATTCTGCTCCAGCACTGCCTCCTCAGAGGACAGTCCCCATCATCCTCCTTCCTACTCGATGTGGGGCCCTCCTCATGCCCCAGCTAGGCCTTATTGGTTTCATGCTGTGTTCTAAGTACTTTACCTGCATTAATTTAATCCTCACGTTTACCCTTGTCTACTATCATTGTGCGTTTCGTAGATGGGGAAATGAGAAGTGCTGTTACCTGGAGATGAGGTCTAGAGAAGTGCCATCATTTGTCAAGATTGCACAGCTTATCTGTGATGCAGTTGGGATTCGGACCCTGGCATTCTGATGCCAGAGCTCACCTTTGTATTCACAGTGTTATCCTGCCTGCCCCGCCTCAGTCCCCACTCAGAGGACTGACCACACAGCATTGTGTTCTGTGGGTTATTTGCCTCTCTCACCGCCCCGTGGGATTCTTGAGGGCCAGGACACTGAAGCACTCAGTAGGTACTTCGTAAGTGCCAGCTGAATACATGGAAAAATGAATGAATGAAATGAATTCGGTATGATTTTAAGGAGGGGACATGTCTTAGTTCAGGCTGCTATAACAAGAATACCATAGACAGGGTAGCTTAAATAGCAGACATTTATTTCTTACAGTTTTGGAAGCTGGGAAATCTGGGACCAGTATACCAGCGTGGTTGGGTTCTGGGAAGGGACCTCTTCCTGATTTTCTCACATGGTGGGGAGGGAGAGAGAGAAAAAGAGCTTGGATTATAAGGGCATCAATTCCATCATGGAGACTCCAACTCCATGACCTCATCAAACCTTTGCTCGATGGAATGCAGTCTTCAGGCCTAGTGACTGGAGATGTTCTGCTATTACCTGCTATGTCAGAGGCCCACTGAGGCTTTGCTTCTGAGGGCTCAAGGACTTAAGGGTTCAGGGTGCACTGTTCTCCCACACGCCCAGTGTGTGTAGCCACAGCTCAGGGACCTGGGGACAGCTCTTCCCAGCACTCCCAGGGGTCACCCACGCCTGGCTATGAACTCCCACTGGTGCCTGGAACATTTGAGCTCACACACACTGGGCTGCCGAACGCTTGGGGCAGTCTTGTTCCCAGGCTTGCGTTTGGTAAGGAGAGAGTGCCTCAGCTTTAACAAGCTCCATGCTGAGCACATGGTGGGCACGACATCCATGTTATTTGTTATTTGGGCAATCAGATGAGGTCCGGGCATTAGCCTGCATGTCTCATGTCTCATGTCTTAGCCTGTGGATTAGTGGCACCATTATGGCAAGGGGTCAGCTCAGGGATCCCTGTTCTCAGTTGCTGCAGCATCCCCACAAGAGCTCCTTTTGGGTCTCATCATGTTGTAGGCTCTCACTGCCTTTGATCTCAGAGAGGCTCTCTGGCTGCTGCAGCCTTGGGCAGAACCCCTCTCGGTTTTTAATCTCCGTGTCTACCCATCCATGGAAATGTCATCTTGTGAGGTTGCAAATTCTAAGGAGATGGTAGCCGTGTTGTCTCCTATAACAAATGTTGCCACCGCTGCCCTCACCCATCTTTCCACCAGACTGGCCACCCTTAACACCGACCTGCTGGAAGGTAGGAAGGACGAGGCTAAGCCCTCAAGGGCCACTGCATTGTCCTGGGCTCCCCTGCCCTGGCCATTACACAACCACCCTTCCCCGTCCCATCCCCGTCTCCTCAGTTCACCCTCTAGCACTGAAGCCTAGACTCTGTCATGGCAGGCTCGCAGTTAGGGAACTGAGAAATTCCATGTGGTTAAATTTCTGCTCCAGCTTAACATCCTGGGAAGACCCCTGAAGAGACCTATGGTGTCCAGTTCTGTAGCGCAGCTCCCCAGCCCCGCCACAGAGTGCCCAGGCTGGGAGCACATCAGAGGTCTAGGAGGGGGCAGGCAGAGGGCAGAGGAGGTTTGCTAATAAGCACAGGGAAGCTGATGCACACCCGGCGCCACTAAAATTAATTATTAGCTCCAGTCGCCTTCACCCCCAGCAGGATGAGAACTGATGTCACAGTCAGGAGACTGAGGGGGATGGAGGAGGGAGCTGGTCTCATTTTCCTTCTGTCCTCGGAAGGAAGGACACCAGATGGATGTGTGGCATCCAAGAAGGCTCCTGTCGTCTTTCCTTTATGCCAGTTGGAAAATCAAAGGCACACACTAACAGCTGCAGCCCACCTGATGCCGCAATACACCTGCAGACTGTGACTTACCAGGGTCTCACCTGTACACCCCTTGTCTGCCTGAAGACTCGCACCCCACCGTGTTCCCCTGACCCCCTCAAACCTCACAATCCCAACGCATTTGCCGGAGAACCCTTAGCATTTACCCGAGACCCTGGGAGGAATGAAGAGGGTTTGTCCCAAGCTGGCACTTTCTGACTGGGGAGAGAACAGAGGGCCTCTGGATGTGGGGGAGCAGCTGAGGCTAAGGGAGAAGTGGTTCAAGATGCCATACACCTTCTCTCTGCTGGGAGACAGAAGGCCACCTGTCCACTCTTCCTCATTCTCTTCCATGAAACCCATGCATGGAAAGATTTAAGCCATAATAAATCCACTCTCCCATCTCTAGTTGATCAAAGGTGGGTTATTGGCCACTGGGAACTGCCGATAGCAGGAAAGACCCCTTAGTTACTGCATTGTGATGGGATCACAATGAAATGCTGGCAAGTTCGGCTTTCCAATGGGCAGTGTGACCTCACTATGGTGTCTGTGCTTTCTCTAATGTTGAAAGCCACTCACAGACCCTTTGCTGCTCCAGGATAGAGGCATCGAGGGCACTGGCAGATTCATTCTGCAAAAGTGTGTGGATGTTCAGGATGATGAGGATGCTAGAACTGTTCATGTTTTACTCTGCACTATTCCAGATCGGTTTTATGTTCTGAGTCCTCCTTGCAAATTCCTTGCTGGCCAGGACATGAGGCTGCACACAGTGCTGGGTCTACAAAACACTTTCTAGGGGAATGACTCGGTGCAGTTCTAGGGGAAGACACAGCCCCTCCGCAGACCTGCTCAGCTTCGAACCCTGCGCTGATATGCCCTTTGGTTGACACCTTCCTCTCCCACCTAGTGTGGTCTTCTTGTGCTCTGTTCTGGAGTGGCCGAGCTGAAAGGATGACACTGCCTTCCCTCAGCACATATGAGCACAGGATATCCCATATCTTCTGCTCCATTTCTTGAGAAAACAGAACCCAAAAGAGTTGCCATGAAGAGCATTTGAGTGGCCCAGGACCCTGGCCTTGCTTTCTGCAGCCTCCTCTGGTTTACTCAGGCCACAGCCATATAGGCCCCATTCACATTCAAGGCTACGCTGATTCTGTGTCCCTGGGACTTGTCCAGAAGTATTTGTGAAACTTGTAGTCAGTTCTCTTTCCTTTCCTTTTCTTTCTGGTTGAAATAATTGCACAATGAGGCAAAGATGATGACTAGACCTCCTGAATCAGACTCTTAGGGTGGTGGGGCCCGGGAAGGTGTATTTTTAGCAATCTCTGATTTTGACCCTGAACATAATCTCCCATTTAGCTTATTCTGGCCTTGAACTAGGCAGCCCTTGGCAATGGGTCCTGTTTCTTAGGGTGTGAAGAACCTGTTTCTTTGGCTTTCAAAATCAGCTGTACATTTCCTTCCTGACCCCCAAAGCTCACATTCAGGGTAAGGCCTTGAAAAAAGGCCTTCCTCAACCAACTCCTCCGGAGAAGTGAGGGAGGGTGTCCAGGTGTAAACCACAGCCACTGAGGAGCAGCACATCATAATGACTGCAGAGCCAGCTGGAGGTGACATCTGGGATCAAACAACTTGCTGGCCTAGGTCCTGGGGGCAGTTTTTACTCTGAAGCAGCTGCTTCGGAAGACAGCTCTGCCTTTCTCCCACTGAGTTCCAAGAGGCTTTAAGATCCCCTCTCCAGACCCAGCACCTCCCAAAGCTCCCACGTGAGTCATGCGAAAAGCTGAACCCGGTGAGAACTCCAAGGACACTTCCAGCTCTCAGGCTCTATCTCGTGGGAGCAGAGCCGCCCCCTTCCTGATGGGAGACTGTACCAGCCACTCCTGGCTGCTTCTCTTCTCGTGCCTGACAGCCAAGCTCCAGGAACTCTCCCCAGAGGACAAGCCCAGAGAATCTCTTTGGGGCTCCCAGGACGGAAGTGGAGGGACCCTTTTCTCTCCCTACTGCCTTGTCTTGGAGCCTGGGCCCGGAGCTCCTTGGGGAAGCTGAGAGTACAGAGACCACAGTGATGGCAGCCAGGGCTCAGCTCTGCTTGTGTTTTTGCTGCAACTCTCCGTGGGAGGACTTCCCCAGGCCTCTGCTGCCTGCCTTTCTTCCCAGGATCATGGTAGGACGTGCAAACCACATGTCTGTGCCTAAGTCCCAGGTATCTTACAACACACTGATTTTGGTGGTTGACAATACAGTTCATTACCATCATTTTCCTTGTGCCAGTTAGTGTTAGCTGGGACCTCCAGGAACAGCATGCGCAGGGCCAGCCTCAGCCTCCCTGTCCCTGCTGCAGAGGACCATCTCCCCGCTCCAGCCCTGAGTCATGTGGGGGAAGCCGTTGGACAGAGTGAAAGGCCAGAATCATGGACTCATTTCTGATGAGGTTGCGTGATTTTCTCGTTCTGTATCTGCCAGGCTAATTCCTCCACCCATCAGAGCGAGGACTGGTATCAGCTGGAGGAATGTTAATTTTTTTTTTAAACAAGCAATTCCTAGATCCATCCCTGTGCCTGTGGCAGTCTAGAGGTGGAACCTTAGTATCTGCATATGAACCCCAGTTTGAGACGTTTGATGCACACACTGCTTCGGAAAACTTTGCTTTGGATCCCTTCCCCCCACCATCCCCTTCTCATTTTACCGAGAACCTTCATGTCCACTTATCCCCTACTTGGTTATGTCTTCACCCTGTCCCCCGACCCCTCCCGGCAGCTTCTCCTCAGCAGATAAACAAGCTTAAGTTTCTCCCACTTAAGGAAAAGTGGTCCTCACCCACACCCTGGAATCCACACCTCCATTCTCTCCAAGCCCCCTGACCTCCTGCTCTGAGCCCTGCCATTCTCCCGACTCCCTGTAGAGCCACTCTTGGCCTAAGCGAGTCTGCGATTGCACATGGCCCCTCTCACTGAACCTTGCTGAAGCAGGTGACCTGCCCCAGCACCTCTTCCTCCAGACGGTTCTCTCCTGTTTCTGGGACGCCCTCCCCTAGCCACTCTGATTGGACCTCCCCTGTCCCCTTTGTGGTCTTCTTTTCCCTTTTTGCTCACCACTAAAATCTTGGTGTCCCCTAGGGTCTTTCCTTGAATTTCATGCCCTCCTGGGGTGACCTCATTCACTTCCAACCACTACTTGAAATTGACACCTCTAGAGTCCTTGTCTCTGACTCAGCTCTCTTCAATCAGTGGGCATTTTAATCTCCATGTGAACGGCCAGGCCAGCCTGTCTCCAGATGCTCTTCCCTCCTCTGAGTCCAGTCTGTGTACCACTGAGCTCTGGACTGTGCACCGCTTAGCTCCAGATGGCCAGGACGGCCTGTCTGCAGATGCTTTTCCCCTCCTCCTTCCCTCCATGAGTCCCCATCAGCTTCCCAGCTCCCTGCTCCATCGCCTGCTCTCCTGTGAAGTCTTTCCTGCTACGGCCAAACAGAATTCATCACTGTTCCTGGTGTGACCCAGTGTCCTTGCCAGAGTGTGAGCTCCCGGGCGGGGGTGGCAAGTTCCCATCACCTGTCTGGGCTCCCATTCCTAGGACTCAGCATTGGCATATGGCTGGCGCTCAATAGAATAAATTAGAACCAACACATTGCTGTTGGGTAGAGCGTTTTATTTAACTGGTAAGACTCATTTAAAACAATTAACACCTCTTCGTAGGAAAATGTGCTAAAACCATTTTTTAAATTTACTGCTGAAGAGATTAAAACAGTTTTTATATTATAAATCCATTCACTTAATCTCTACCTTTTATGGCATGTGGTACCTTATACGGCAAAAGGGACCTGTTGTCATAGTTTCCTTATTAGTGATATCTGAGTTCACACAACTGGACAATATGTGTGCACATGATAGAAGTCAGTATGTGTATAAGGTTATATTTTTACATGGCTTAGAGTTATCATGAGTGTGTCAACATGAGTAAAAGAAGGAGCAGAGACCAAAAATCCCTCTGACACCACACACATGCTAAGGTTGTCTCCTCCTTTAAATAAAGTGTGGGCCAGCCCAGCTTTTCCTAACATATAAGCCAAAGCCTTTGCTAAGGATCATTCAGTTTGCACAGCCCTGCTCATCTGCAGAGCACTGGGCTCACCAGGCCTTCCCCGCTCCACCAAGAACAGGCAGGTACTCAGCCCACTGGCCTCTAATCACTTTGGCAATTCCAGTGAGATTTCATCTTTTGGCCAGAGATAGGCTTGACGACCTTCTGACTCTAAGAATCTCTGAGTTCAAGGACAAAGTTTCCTTATGCTCAAAACTTTCATATACACATTAGGCTTTCATTAGTCAGCTACTCTTGACCTGCAGAAGTGCCAATTTCCTATGGTTCAGCCTAATAAAAACATGAAAGAACATGGAATGCTGTTCCCATTTCCTAGGCTGAAAGAGTGAGGTGAGGCCACAGCCACAAAGAGGGTCACTGGGTCTCAGCTCCCACCGAGTCAGGACACTGCAGTCCAGAGATCAGAACACCATCCAATTCAGGGCCTTCCATAAATGACACAGGGATGGGAAGGAGTGGGTTCAAGGATATTTGAAAACCATTAAGCATGAAGGTTCTTTCCTTATTATTATTAATTTTTTTGTTGTTGTTGTTTTATGATGGAGTCTCACTCTGTCACCCAGGCTGGAGTACAGTGGAGCATTCTTGGCTCACTGCAAACTCTGCCTCCCGGCTTCAAACGATTCTTCTGCCTCAGCCTCCTGAGTAGCTGGGACTACAGGCGTGCACCACCACACCCAGCTAATTTTTGTATTTTTGGTAGAGACAGGGTTTCATCATGCTGGCCAGGCTGGTCTTGAGCTCCTGACCTCAGGTGATCCACCTGCCATGGCCTCCCATGAGTGCTGGGATTACAGGCGTGAGCCACCACGCCCAGCCTTTTTCCTTATTTTTTAATGTAAGGATGCAACACCCTAGACTGAAAAGAACTCAGCCTTCTAAACTAGACAGATTGACTTTAAGTCTGGGTTCTGCTGTGAGGGCAAGTCATTTAGCCTGTCTGAGCCTCAGTTTCTGTATCTGTAAAATGGGGATAATAATAACTACCTCCAGTGGTTTTAAGAATAAGAGGTAATGTAGGTAGAGAGAGGGCTGCACAGTGCTTAGCATGCTATAGGTTTGCAGCAAATGGCACCTATGTTATTTTCACTTCACATTTTCCACACATATTCTTATTCATCTTCAACCATCTTTCCACTTTGGCAGCGTTCTCTTTTGTAATAGTGTCCACTTGTGTGCATCTCCTGTCTCACATGCATGATGCACTGGCAGAAGCAAAGAATGGTGGCACACACTTCCTAATAGTCCCTAAGTCCCCTGCATCTTCCTGTGTCCACTACCAAGCCCTGAGCCCACATCTCCCCCATTCCTCAGCTGCGGCCTTCTCATCCCAGTTCATCTTTCCCATCTCAGACACTTTAAATCCACCCTGCCACTTGGGCGCGGTGGCTCGCGCCTGTAATCCCAGCACTTTGGGAGGCCAAGGTGAGCGGACCACTTGAGGTCAGAAGTTTGAGACCAGCATGGCCAACATGGGGAAACCCCGTCTCGACTAAAAATACAAAAATTAGCCGGGCATGATGGTGCATGCCTGTAATCCCAGCTACTTGGGAGGCTGAAGCAGGAGAATCACTTGAACCTGGGAGGTGGAGGTTGCAGTGAGCTGAGATCACACCACTGCACCCCAGCCTGGGGGACAGAGTGAGACTCCGTCTCAAAAAAAAAAAAAAAAAATCCACCCTGCTGACAAATTAATTTTCTTAAATCCCTGCTTCCATTGCATTGCTCTCCTGCTCAGAACTCTCTGTGAGAGCTCCGTTTCCTGCAGGTTGGGGGCAAACTCTTACCCATGCATTCAAAGCCTTCCACAAATGGCCAGAGTCAGTCCTCCCTCTTCATCCCCATCACCTTCCCCTTGTCACCACCCTGCCCCCTGCACCATCCTCACCCTTCTCCTCCCAGCAGGAAGAGGCTAGAGCTGAAGTCCCAGCTCCATCACTTTTACCCTTACAGGAGCCCTCAGCCTCCTTCTCCTCTGTCAGGTGGGGTGATGAGTTTGCCCAGTACACTGTGAGTTCTTGAGGGCAGGGGTTCAGTTAGGTTCTTGAATGAGTCTCTACAGAGACTCCAGAGTTGCACCCCAACCTCATCCCCCAGAAAGGAAGCTCCAGCCAACACTCTGTGCCCCTAGCTGGCTGTCCATCCGGCGAGAGTAGAAGAACAGCTTTGCCTCTCTGGATCTCCCACAGGGCCTCTGGAGCTCTGTGCCAGGAACACAGTGGGGGTAGTTAGCGAGTTGTCTGATCTTGAATCCGTGGTTTTCACACTTTAGTGAGCCTTATCATTCCTATTCCTTGGAGGGCAGCGGGGAAGCTTGTTGGGAAAAGCAGATGCCAGGTCACCCTTTAGAAATTCCGTAGATCTCAGGTGGGACCCCGCATTTTTAACAAATGCCACAGGCGATGAGGCAGGTGGTAGGAGGAGACACTTGATGTTGGGTGTACTTCTTTGAATGCCACAGGCCACCTACTGTGTACAAGGCACTGTGCAAGGGGCTGGAGGGATGAAGGTGAATGAGATGCCGCCTGAGACCTCACATCGGTGGCAGTGGTTACGATGAGGAGGAGGAAAACGAGGCAGGGTCAGTTTCAGAAATCAGCATGTGGACTCAGGCTTCAGCCTTGGATCTGAAGCACAAAGGTGTGGGTGAGAGCAAAGGCCACACCTGGAAACTGTAGGAGCCAGCGAGTTGGGCAGGGAAGGGCCAGAAACCAATGAGTTGCATCCTGGGACCTCACACTGGTGGCGGTGGTTAAGATGAAGAGGAGGAAAATAAGGCAGGGTCAGTTTCAGAAATCAGCACATGGACTCAGTTCAGAGTGGGAGGCAAAATAAAAAACAAGGCAGCCTCAAAGAGCAGGAACTGAGAGAATCGAACGTGAGGAATGTGACAATGGTCACCAGTCTTTTGGTCAATTTCCCAAATGCCCTGCTTTCTGGTCTGGGCCCGCTTTTAACAGGCCATCTACACCTGGGAGGCAGTGCAGAGGGGCGTGGCATTGGCATCTGACTCTGGTGGGTTCAATGCTCACCTGTCATTGTGACCTTGGACAAGATGCTTAGTTCCTGAGAGTTATTAGTCAGGGTTCTCTAGAGAGACAGAACAAGTAGGATATATGGAAGGAGATTTTTTTTTTCTTTTGAGATGGAGTTTCACTCTTGTTGCCCAGGCTGGAGTGCAATGGCACGATCTTGGCTCACTGCAACCTCTGCCTCTTGGGTTCAAGCGATTTTCCTGCCTCAGCCTCCTGAGAAGCTGGGATTACAGGCGCCCGCCACCACATCCTGCTAATTTTTGTATTTTTTAGTAGAGACAGGATTTCACCATGTTGGCCAGGCTGGTCCCAAATTCCTAACCTCAGGCGATCTGCCCGCCTCGGCCTCCCAAAGTGCTGGGATTACAGGCATGAGCCACTGCGCCGAGCCCTGGAAGGGGACTTATGAGGGGAAGTTGGCTCATGTGATCACAGAGGTGGAGAAGTCCCACGATAGGTTGACTGCGAGCTGCAGAGCTGGAGAAGCTAGTAGCTGGCTCGAGCAGGCAGCATGGCACAGTCCAAGTCTGAAATCTCAGAACCAGGGAAGCTGACAGTGCAGCCCCCAGTTAGTCCTGAGAGGTCCCCAGGGGGCCGCTGGTGTAAGTTCCAAAGTTCAAAAGCTGAAGAACCTGCAGTGTGACGTGTAAAGGCAGGAGAAGATAAAGCGTCTCACCCTGGAAGGAGGAAAGGAAGCAAAGAGGACATTCCCCTTCCTCTGCCTGTTTGTTCCTGCTAGGCCCCCGACCAATTGGATGGCGCCCACCTACACTGAGAGCGAGTCTTCCTCTCTCGGTCCACTGGCTCACACATCAGTCCCCTCTGGAAACAGTCTCACAGACACACTCAGAAACAGTGCTCCACCAGCCGTCTAGGAACCCCTCAATCCCATCAAGTTGACACCTAAAATTAACCATCACACTGAATCTCTCTCTGTGTGTGTAAGAGTGTAGTAAGCCAAACAGTGGCCCCTAAAGATGTCCACATCCATATCCCCAAACCTGTGAATATGCTACTTGATGTAGTAAAATGCACTTTGCAGATGTGATTAAATTAAATGGATGGGGAGAGCATCCTGGATTACCCAAGTGGGTCCTGAATGCTATCACAAGGGTCCTTACTACAGGGAGGCAGCGAGAAGATATAA
The DNA here is from genome assembly GCF_000001405.40 of Homo sapiens. Taxonomy (NCBI): domain Eukaryota; kingdom Metazoa; phylum Chordata; class Mammalia; order Primates; family Hominidae; genus Homo; species Homo sapiens. The sequence goes on from NC_000001.11 coordinate 226,595,712, forward strand.
AGACAGAAGCAGAGGTCAGGGAGAAGGTGCTACGCTGCTGGCGGTGATGATGGAGGAAGGGGCCACAAGCCAAGGAATGTAGGTGGCCTCTAGAAGCTGGAAAAGGCAAGGAAGTAGATTTTCCCCTGGAGCCTCCAGAAGGACTCATCCCTGAGGACCCATTGCAGACTCTTCTAACCTCCAGAACTATAAAAGAATAAATTTGTGTGGCTTTTAACCATGAGGTTTGGGTAACTTGTTACTGACGCTGTAGGGAACTATGACAGATATAGAGAATGCTAATTCTCTGCACGGTTGTTGTCAGGAGGGCTCAGAGCCCATGTAGGAAAGGGGCCTAACTCGGTAAAGGTAGTGATGTTACCCATAGGGGCTGAGTCTTAGACAAGGTGAAGAATGTGACCGCACCCACCACGTTGCTTGGCACCTTGTGGATGCTCAATAGAGCTTAGGCTCCCTGTCCCTCCCCTTACAGGTCAGGGTGTCTAGGGGAACCCCATCAGGGAGGGGCTCTGGGACACCTGTCCTAGTCTGCGCCCTCTACACTGCACAGTGTACTACTACTACACTGTAGGCTCTTGGCTCCTGTCCCTTAGCGAGCAGCATGTGTGCTGGGTGGTCATTTCCTGGCCCTTCCCCTCTCCTGAATTTACCTCTGAGGTTGCTTCTGTGTTAACTCAGACACATCAGCTTCCACCTCAGAACTCTTTGGCTCTTGGAATCTTTGCCACATAAAGTTGCCTTTTCCAACTGCCTGTTGTCCTTGCAAGTGGCTTCCTGATTGCTCCTTCCCAGAAGGGACTGCTTGTCCTGTGACTTCCTTGTCTCCCCCAGAGGTTCCAAGACTGTATGGGGCCCCTGGCAGCCCCGTGCAATACCTCCTCCAGGTGGCCCACTGAACTCTGCAGTATGGAGATGAGAGGTGGGCCAGGGTCTGGGCAGGGGTGCCACTCAGAGGACAGGGTGCCAGACATCGGTGGTTCTTCTCTGAGTTCTTGGAGGGTGGACAGCTGGGCCCCAGGCCAGCAATGAGCACACAGACCCCTTTGTCTCCCAGTGCCCTCAGAAGGCTGTCCCCTCTGGCCTCTCACAGGGACATTCGTCTCGGCCTTCACTGTGCTGTGCGGGGCCCGCACCGACCTCCCGGACAGGCATGTGTGCTGCGTCTTCTGGCTGAACATTGCAGCAGCCCTCATCCAAATCCTCACTGCCATCGTCATGGTGGGCTGGATCATGAGCATCTTCTGGGGCATGGACATGGTCATCCTTGCCAGTGAGTAGCTGTTGGTGCTGCGCCTCCTGGGGGTGGGGAGTGGCCAGGGACAGGAAGGGCTTGGGAGACCTTCATGTCTGGCCGAGGTCCTGCTCACCCGCTAAGCACGGGCTCTGGAGAGGGCTTGCCCGTGTCCTCTTCACAACTCCCTGGGCTGCTTGGCACTGGGGACCCTCCCCGCCAGGCCTGGCCCAACACCTGCAGGGAATTATGAGTGGATGGCAGGAGAGTTCCATCATTTAATGCAAACTTGATTCAGACACAGAATGGTTTTGTGAAAGGGTTTAAAGTTACAAAATCAAGTTTACCAAAGACAACTCAGTTACCCTTTCTAAAATAACCTAGCAAAATCTTAAAACAGACACCACCCATTTTAAGCAGCTGTGCATGTCTCCCATACCACCATCCACGTTCCCTGTATTTTCCCACGCCCATCTACATGTGAGGCCACAGTTCCTCAATAATTGACCTCACCTCTCAGGCACTTTGCCTTCACTCTGTACCCCATGCCCCTCATTGTGTCCTATACCCCCCAAAACCATTCATAGCTGGGATCGTCAGTGTCAGAGGTAAGCTGAGCCAGGTAAGAGTGGCAGAGGCAGAAGGGGAAACTCAGGGTTCAGGGGCCCTAGAATTATGTAGAATGATCTATAGTCAACTCAGCCTGAGTTCAGGATCCTGTGAATATTCAAGACCCAGGGCACACACAAATGGCAGGACCAGGGTCAGTGACCAGTTAGGCCACCAGGCCAGAGAAGATGCAGGTAGATGCAGAGCCTGAGGGAGATGCAGTGGAGCGTGGTCAGATGGGCTGCCCGGAAGTGGCTCCTCTGGCAGCAGAGATCACAGGAGGAAGTGGGTCAGCTGCACTGCCAGGGTCTCCCAGAATCAGAGCAAACCAGGCAGATGCTGGCTACTGGGGCAGCCAGAGCAGGGGAACCCCAGGCTGGACCAGAGGCTGAGCAGTGAGCTGCCCCAGGGAGGAATGAGCTGGGAAGCAGCAGGGAAGCTGCTCCTTCCTCCTGGGAGGGGTGTGCTCAGGGCAGGGGCTGCCCTGTCAGAGGAATATTGTGAGGTAAGCCCAGCAGGCAGGCCCTTGCATCTCCTTCATGGGATCTCATCCTCTGGGCATGTCCAGGGGCGACTTTCATTTGTCTGGAGAGGTGAAGAGCATGACTGATAGGAAGGAAGTGCTGCCAGCCCTCAGGTGACTCCTAAAAATTGGTCCCGACAATTCCACAGAGGAAATTTGCTGCTTCCCCAGGGGCCTGTGCTCTGCAGGCTCCTGACCCTGTTCCCAGCTGGAAGCTGGGAGGTGCTTCTGCCCTCAGAAGGTTGAAGGCTGCCCAATTTGTGCAAGATGAGCCCCTCTTACTGGCTCATCTTCTCTCAAACTGAGCATCTGGCCAGGCACTGGGGACCTGAGGAAGGAACCTCTGCATTAAAGCGGAACATGACTGTGTCACAGGGTAGGTCTCAATAATGTATGTTGATGCCTCATCTGATCTCTAGAGCTTTCTGGTACACTTGTCTTTGATCTCCTTAATACCCAGGAACGAAGAGGTTGGAACCTTAGAGATAAAGAACTCCCTTCATCATGCCTAGATGAGGCATTGAGGCCCCAGAAGTGCAGATGGGGATCCAGTCACTTCCTCACTTTCCATTGCCCCAGGCTGTTGACTTGGCCAGAAACTCCTCTGCTGTGGCTGGTGTGGGGCACTAACTGGTCTGCAGGATAAGCAAGTGCTAGAAGCTGCAGCCCCTACCTTTGCCATGCAGCCTTCACTGGGGGTCAGCGTCAGCCCCTTGGTTGTCTGCACACTGTTTCCAGGGATGCTGTCTTTGCATCAAACTTTTGAGAATGCTTTTGGGGGGTGTATTAGTTCATTTTCACACTGCTGATAAAGACATATCCAAGACTGGGAAGAAAAAGAGGCTTAATGCACTTACAGTTCTACATGGCTGGGGATGCCTCACAATCATGGCGAAAGGCAAGGAGGAGCAAGTCACTTCTTTTGTGGATGGCAGCAGGCAAAGAGAGTTTGTGCCGGGAAACTCCCATTTTTAAAACCATCAGATCTCGTGAGACTCATTCACTATCACAAGAACACTGCAGGAAACACCCATCCCCATAATTCAATCATCTCCCACCAGGTTCCTCCCACAACACATAGGAATTGTGGGAGTTACAATTCAAGATGAGATTTGGGTGGGGACACAGCCAAACCATATCAGGGGGATAGACTTGAGGGCTGAATACAAAAACCAGTCACACCTCATTCTTGCCCACTGCCTGACTGCCAGACTCTTTCACCCAACTCAGCAAGGGAAGCCTTTGCATTTTTTTCCCACAACTAATCCCACCCCCAAAGGGTGAACAGTTGCTACTCATGAGATGGTGCTATAGGTGGGATTACTCCCAGCAACCATGGAACTTGTGTGTCTGAGAGTGACTCCTTTGAAGGGAATTATCACAATGGACTTTTCTATCCTAGAAGACAGTTGGATAAGGGACTCTTCTTTCTGGTGTCAGTCCAGCCCCTTGCTATAAAAACAGAGGAAACTTTTCAGTTGTAACAGTACACTTTGGCTTTTCGCATGGCATTGCCTGGGGTGTCATCAGCAAACACACTATCATGAAAAACTCCTAAGAGGGGAGTCAGAGAAATCTAGATGAAAGTGGGAGTTAACATCAGGAAGTTGCAAGCATGTTGCTTGATTTATATGAATAACAACAAATAACAAACAACAACACCCTGTCTTGGTCATGGGTCAATAAATACTTGGTAGCTCTATGGTGGGCTCTTTCTACTGCCATGCCCATGGCAGACATTGCTAATCAATCATGACACTTTCTGGTGACCAGTCTCACATGTTCTCAGCACAGGGCTTCAGGCAGTCACTACTAATTGATCCAAGAGGTCTGCAAGATAAAATCTGTTTGCCACCCTCTGGCCTGGGTCTTCCCCAAAGTATTTTTATATATGTGGCTCCTCTCCATAGAAATGGCTAAGCACATAGCTCAGACAGAGCCAGTGTGGGGCCAGGATGGGGCACATCAGCATCTTTAGATTGCTGTAGTCAAAGCTCTAGCTGTCCAGGAGCTGCCACTCCTCATGTCCATCTGGAATTTATCTGGAGGAAGGCATGAGCTGAGGATGAAAAAAAAAAGGCTAGGTGCTGTGGCTCATGCCTGTATCTCAGCATGTTGGGAGACTGAGGCAGGAGGATCACTTGAGACCAGGAGTTTGAGGCTGCAGTGAGACATGATCACACCACTATACTCTAGCTGGGCAACAGAGTGAGATTCTGTGTCAAAAGAAGACAAGAATAAAGAATGAAGGCAGCAGTGTGGGCATGGCCAGGATATGGAGGGCTGGGGAGGCAGTGGACCAAGCTCCCTGGCAGTGTGAGAGCCCCTCGCTGTGCCCCTAGCCACACCCACACGCCTGGTGGGCAGACCACTGGCCACTGTGGCTGTCACCATGAGTACTGAGCACTCCCTGCCTGGGGATGGCGTCTGAGAAGCCACTGGCATGGCCCCTGTCCCATCTCCCAGGCCTCACCATGGATCTGCTTTGTTTCCTGTGCCAAGCGTTCCCTGTGGCTCTGTTTTCAGGCTGTGTTTTCTCTTCTTCTCTCTCTCCTCTTCCTCCTGCTGCCTCCCACTCTGTGCTGCTGCAGTTTCCCAAGGTGAGTCTGCGGATGGACGTGCGGGCCTCGTGCTGCTGCTTGGGGCCCTCCCCTCCCCCGAGACCCCCACTCCTGCACACAAACACCCCACCCACTCTCCCAGTGGGTCAATGGGCTTTTATGTTTAGCTTGAACTTTTGGTTTGGAAAATGCTTAAACATAGACAAAAGTAGAGCCCCTAGTAAAATGAGGCCCTAATGCCCACACCAGCCTCAACTGCTATCAATTCATGGCCAGCCTCCTTTCCTCTGTCATTCGCCACATCTCCCCTACCCCAGCATGGGTTATTAGCACCCAAAATTGAGAAATACTCTGCTAAATGAAGAGAAAAAAGCAGCTCAATACACCAAAGCTCCTCTTCAGACTAAGTTCACTGGCTAATAGGAATAACCGCTCGGCAAATTCTGCTCATGTAATAGCAGCTGGGAATATTTCAGTAGGTATCGTTTTTTTTTTCTTCTTCTTCTTTTGAGACAGAGTCTTGCTGTGCCTCCCAGGCTGGAGTGCAGTGGCGCAATCTCGGCTCACTGCAACCTCCGCCTCCTGGGTTCAAGCGATTCTCCTGCCTCAGCCTCCCGAGTAGCTGGGACTACAGGCACATGCCTCCACGCCCAGTTAATTTTTTGTATTCTTAGTAAGACGGGATTTCACTGTGTTAGCCAGGATGGTCTCAATCTCCTGACATAGTGATCTGCCCGCCTCGGCCTCCCAAAGGGTATCTTCTTAAGAAAACAAACACAATACCCTTTCACACCTAAATAAAGCAGTAACAATTCCTTACTATCCACAGAGCTCACTTTTTCCCAAAGGACTCATGATCAACAATGTTTTAAAGGTTTAGCCTTCAGGCGCCCTTTCCTGCCGTAACCGTCCAGCAGGTTGGACGCACACAGGGATGGCTGCTCCCCTCTGTATGCCATCTTCCTCCTTTCTTCCTCCTTCTATCCACCCATACCAGATGCCCAACCTTCGGGGAAGCCTGCCTGGCACCTGCTCCCAAGGCTCTGCACTGGGAAAGCACACCAGACCAGTCTGTAAGCGGCTTCCAGATGTGGGTTCAGGAGCATGTCGATAGCCTTTTAGCTCCCACCCCAAATGCCCGCCCGTCATACATTCCCAGTAGACCCAGTACTCCACATTTCCTGATTCATTCTTTTGTTTCCCATTAGAAAGTCAAAGCCCTTGGGAAAAGTTGTGCTCTGATGGTAGCAGTCATTTACACCTTAGTATAAACAATGCCTCCTGTGTGCATTCTGGGCTAGGGGCACCTCCTGGAGAAATCCTGAAGTAAGCAGGTGTCTAACCATCTCTCCTTTGCTTCTTCCTCACAGGCTACAAGGAGCAGGGCATCCCACAGCAGCTGTGAGCCCACGGGAGCCGCTGGGGAGATCCAGGGGGGCCCTGTGAGGGCTGCACCAGGCAGCTTTGGGCACAAGGACCTTTACATGTTCTTTTCTGCCATTTTCTGGACTGGGGGTGGAAAGGGGGTATTTTTAAAAATATTATTTATTTTGAAAACGCATCTGCTTTTCTCAGCAGGTTGTGAGGGCTGCCAGCCCCTCCTGCTCTGGAAAGCACTGTGGGCGCAGGCACCAGAGCATCAGAGAGTGGGGTGGAGATGAGAACGCCCACAGAGAGGCTGGGATGCTCCGGCAGGCTCCAACTGGCCTTGCTGTACCCACTGCCCACCGCAAAGGCACGCCACGTCTGCTGGGCCGGGCCACACCGGGCCCTGTCTGGGTGAGCAGGGGCTCACCAAGGGGACAGGACTGTGGTAGACCCGTCCTGTGGGACCCCACCTGCCTCAAAATCTGGTGCCCCGAGTGTTTACTGTGTGGTCTCCTGGGGGCAGCACCAGGGTGTGGGTGAGGATGGCCAGGCTCCACCCTAGCGTGGAAAGGCCCACTGTGCCCACAGCTGGCCTGAGGCCTCGGGGAGAAGACCAGTCCCACAGGCGTCTCCTGGGCCTGCCTCCCTGACCGCACCCCCCGCCTCCTCGCAGCTGAAATCTGAGGGCTGGGTGTGTCGTGACCTGTGTTTTCCTGGGAAGGAGAGGAGTAGCTCCTTCCCTGGGGTGAAACTGCCAGATGTTTATACACAAAGTTATTAGACTGAAGCAGGAGTGGGCAGACTAGCAGGCTTTCACCCAATACTTAACAGCATTTCTGGCCCACATTCCTTTTTCTGAAGTCATTGGGGCCAGATGTGTCTCCGAATTGAGAAATTTTAGATTTGAGAAAGACAATGCGATCCATTTATCGTACACTTTCTAACTTCCCGGCAGAGTGTGGAACATCTCGCCTACCATCAGGCACGTGAATATTTCTGCAGAGAAACATGTGACTAGTCCCATTAACTGGGAGCTATACAAACTGTAAATAGCCTCACCTCAGTTCAGTCTAATTTTGCCACTAAGTAACTTAGGGAAAAACTTACCATTTGAGAGCTTTTAGGGTTTCAGAATTGCAAGAACAATTGTATGGGGTTGTGGACCTTGATCTGAAAATCCTGCTTGCAAACAGATGTGTTAGAGGGTGAAATTGTCGGCATTACACAAGGACTCCTTCAGTTGCCAAAAGACCATGGGCCTCTTTAAGGAGCCCCTCTGTAAGTGATTGGGACAGGGCTAGATCCCTAATGGGGGCTAGGGGTGGGGAGAATCTAGCAGAAGTTGTCCAGGATACTGTGGATCAAGTATCAATCTGAAATTAAGAGAAATTAGATACTAAGAGGATGGACATTTACATGTCTGTTTCCTTTCCTTTCATTTTCATTCTAACATAGGAAATGCTAACAGATGGGGCTGGCCCAAAGTCAAGCTTCTGACTCCACTTGACACAGTGCCATTGGGCATGTCCCTCTCTGAAGGGCTTGTTTGTCTATCAGAGACTGTCAGAACTCCATGAGGGCAGGAGAAGGGATTTTGCAGGATGAAAGTGCTTGGGAAGTAGTGGCCACCGTTCTGGGGGTTTCAGCCCACCTACCCCATCCACCGGGCTTTCTAATCACAGTCCTGCCTGAGAAGCGGGCCCTGCTGCCCACCCCTTATCATGGATCCCTTAGCTACTGTCCGTCTTCCATTGCTGCCTGGGGCTGGGCTGCCGTTTTTGAACACCTGGCAGTGTCTTTGTCGCGTCCTGTCCTCTCTTCTTACAGACCCCAACCCAGGCCTTTGCCTTCTTCTCTCCTGTTTGGAAGCCTCTGTATCTTCAAGGTGTGGGAACAGATTTGGTTTTCTCTAAAAAGCTAGAACCTTCTGCTGTGTGCAGCAGGCATCCTCCAGGCTGGTGCTGGCTGCTCTCGAGGAAGCTGCGTCAGAGTGGAGCTGCCCCTCTACTCAGATAAAATAGCTTCAGCTGCAGGAAGCCGCCCCCTCCCATGCCCACCAGCCCACAGCCCTTCACCCCACACAGCCCCCAGAGTTTGCCCGACACCCCCTGAGTGATGACAGGTCTCAGGAGGGGGCCGCCCCCACAAATGGGAGGCGGAAGCTTATTTTCCCCGCTTGGGCTGGGGGCGGCTGCTGAGGGGGTGAAGAAGAGATAGCAATTTATGTCGCATGTTTAGTGACACAATCCAGATGCAGGTGGGACTTTCTTGAGTGGCAGGTGTCACCCTGGGTCCCGTGTGGGATGGTTTAATACAGGGGTTTGTGTGTTTGTGTGTGTGGAGGGCCACTGCGCCCCCAGATCCTCCTCTCCCCCGAGGGCTGCGTCTCTAAACCTGGGAAAACATCAGCCTCAGGAGGAGGCCCCTTTCCGGGTAACTGATGTGTGGGAGAAGCCAAGAGGCCCCTGCCTGTCTCCTGAATGAGGCTGTGAGGGTTGCCATGTGGGCGGGACCGGTTCAAAATAGCGCCCCCGCCCCTCTAAATTAGACCGTGGTCTCAGCATGATCATCTTCAGTAGATAAGGGACAGTGGCTGATTTACTCCAAATAGTTCCAGCTGGCCACTCAGACCAGGGCCAGAGTTAACTTCTCAAACACCAGCCAGCTGAAAATTAGGGTTCTCGTGCAGGCAAGTGCATGGTTGACACACAGCCCTTTGGTGACAAAGCTGGGCTTTGCCTGCATAGTGCAGACAAGGCTGTTGGTTCAGAGGCTGCAGGGCACATTCCAGGTTGGGGCCTTTTGTCGGTCGGAATTCAATAGGACATTCCCTGGCTGTGGGTGTTTAGGGCAGGAATTACAGGCTTGCAGAGAAAGTCAGAGGCAATGAGATGCTCCCAGTACCAAACTGTGACACTGGGATCAGGGTGGTCATTCCCTTGGGTCAGAGTGGGACCCTAGAGCCAGAGTGAGCTGTGGGTGGCCTGGGTGTGTCCTGTGGACGGCGGAGACTGTTGATTTGGATGTTGAGCTCTGAGTCAGTTTCAGAACCAAGGATCTCAGGCTGAGAAGGCCAGGTCCCCATGGGAGCGGCAGGAGTCTGATGGCTCTGCTGCCAGAGCCTACCCCAGCCTGCCACGCCGCTGACCTTCCCATGGTAAGGAAGGGGCAGGCAGCATGGTTCCCACCCTCAGCTGCCCCAGACCCACACATCCAGCCCCAAGAGCAGCCTCACCCAGGCACAGTGCAGGGCATTTTAGCTCCTGGGAGGGGAGATGCCTTTGTGAGTTTCAGATGTCAGAGGAGAAGCTCCGAGAGAGTAAGTCATGTGCCCCCAAACACTCAGCTCCTAAGTGGCAGGACAGGCAAGTGGCCAGGTTGGGCCGCCCCCACAGCCTGTGCCGTCCACACACTCACTACAGCACTCCCAGAAGAAGGAGCAGAATCGCATGCAGCCCAGAGCAGGTCCTGTGGAGGGGTCCTCACCCCTCAGGAGTAATAGGGTGATTATGTCACATGTTTAGTGATACAATCCCACCTGTGTCTGGATTGTGTCACTAAACATGCAACATAAATTACCATCTCTTCTCCATCCCCTCAGCAGCCGCCCCCACCCCAAGCTGGGAAAATAAGCTTCTCCCTCCCATATGTGGGGGCGGCCCCCTCCTGAGACCTGTCATCACTTAGGGGGAGTTGGGCAAAACCTCCTAGGAAGGTCCTGGACGCCTCCACCCTGCCCCACAAGGCTCCGTACTCCCACCTGCCTGGGCAGCCCTCACACCCATGCTCCCTCCTTTAGGCAGGCCCAGAAAGGTGCCCCTTCCTGAGGGTGTTGGGGGATGGCGGCAGAGAGACAGCTGGTATTAGGAGCTTCCCCATCCTAATGTGCAGGACCAAGTTGCCCGCTCTGCCAGCCAGGGGCTCCAGCCATGCTGGCACAGGCATCTCAGAGGTGTGAGATGAACTCCGCCTCATGCAGGATGCCCAGGGCTCGGAAGCAGTAAGGAGGATGCTACAGAAAGGAACTGCAGAAAGAAAAAAAGCCACATGGTTAACTTTTCCCCTGGAGGGCAAAGGGGTCCGGCTCTCAAAAAGAAAAGCCAGGCACAGATCCCAACACCAAGTGTAAGGCAGCACAAAGTGGGTCTGAAACCCCAGGACCGGGTCAAAGGCCTTCCGAAGGCCCGAGGTTCTTGAGGAGGGGAAGCTGATAGGGCCCTGGTCTTTCTGCACCAGCGTGGCTCTTTAAAATACAAAACACCCACAAAGCCAAAAACCCTGAAACATGTTCTTTAGCTAACCCCTTCCCTGCCCAGATGCCTGCAATTCTGAGAATTCACTTCAGTTTTGCCAGATCCAACCCCTAGGCTTGAGGGTGGAGAGCCAGGCCTCCTCAGGGTCCCTTCTAGGCTCCCAGGCCCACCTTAGGCTTTAATTGCATTGGCTGTTTCTTATGGTGTTAGTGAATTTTGCAAAGAAAGCCCTGAGCATTGCATAAATGCTTGGGGGCGTGTCATTTAAATGGAAGTTCTCCAATAGTGGCTGAAGGCAGAGTTTACTGTTATCCCTCCCTCTTGCTGGCTTTGCTGGAGGGCTTTTATCAGAGAGATTGGAGGTGGGAGAGCACTTTTAAAGCACACCCCACCCCCTGCACCCGAGCGGCACCTAAGCTTCCCAGAGACCATGACCTTGTATGTGGCTGGAGGCCTCAGGCTTAGGGAGCAGCCTGAAGCCTTTGCTGTCAACCCTCCCAGGAAAGAAGCCGGGCCTCAGGCTGAGGAAAAACAGAGTTTCCTCTCCAGAGGGCTCAATGAGCAGCCAGGTAGTGGCCTCGGGCAGTCCTCACCAGGGGGACACCTCCCTGCTTTGCATTAACTCATCAGCAAGCTCATCGAGAGCTAACGTGGGCCCAGCAGTCCTGTGCTTGGAAATGATGCCGTCACCTCCACACTCCTGCTGTTCCAGCCTCTGCAGGTGAAGCTGCAAGGTGAGCAGAGGCAGGCGTGGGGACACACTCTTCAAGGACTGCACTGCCCCTTCTCCCTCCTGAGAGCTCTGTGCACTGGGTTTGGGGATGAGGCGCCAGCCTGGTCAGGGGAGGTGACTGTGGTCCTTCTGACCAGCTTGGATCTTTAAAATAATCACAAAAAAGCTCAGCCTGAGCAGGTGGGTGCAAGGCTCAGGGGCCTGTGTTTTTCATCAATCAGTTTTCTTCCTGCAAGATTCTTAGAGCTGGATGTTCACGGGATCATGGGGCATGGAGGTGGTCACGCTCAGACAGTCATGCACCACCCTCAATCCCAGGCCCTGCAGAGATAGGAAGAATCCCAACCAGAGGGATTCTTCCCCAAACGTTCCCTTGTGGCCCAAGAGTGAGTTCCGGCCTGAGTGCTGTTATGACTGCCGGCGTCTCTCCGACTGCCTCTCGCCTCAGTTTAACCATCTATAGGTTAGGAACAAAGAAGGGCTTAGGCAGCCATCGTTTCCCCATTTCTGTCAGAGCCAAGGGCTTGGAGGCCCAGCCCCATCCGGGCAAGGGCTGTCCGCTCCTGCCCAGGCCTCACCTCCTCGCTGCAGCTGGCAAGATTCTTTCTAGCAGAACAGAAACACTGGCCCCCAATTCCACTCTCCCCTCCTGATGCTACCGCAGAGGGCAGAAAGGTGCCCTGTAGCGTCCACCATGTGTGTGTCCTGAGTTTCCAGTGCAAGTCATCTGGATTTGCATTTAGCTAGGGAAACTCGGCCCTCAAACCCTCTCCCTCTCTGCCTGAATTTGCCAAAATGCCAACCATCCGGGCAGGTGTGGATGCCACAGTCCATCCCCATTGCATTTCACCCCCACATGGACAGAGGCACACACTCGCACACATTCCCAGCACCTTTGACTGCTGGGGGATGCAGGCCAGGGTCTGCCTGGAGCCTCAGGGTTGGGACTTATCTCCAAAGGAGCCCACACCCCCTCTTCCAGGATGGGCACTGGCTGGCAGCACTTTTTTCCCTCATCACATCCCTGACCCCTGCCCAGCCCACATGCACATGCTGTTTCCTGTCTCCAGGGCCCTAGCCTGTGGATCTCTTCCTCCCATGCACTCCTAGGGTGAATGGGCTCAGCACCAAACCTGGCTGTGCCCATTCCCCACAACCCCAGCTTGGCCTCCTGTGGGAAGGAGAAGGCAGACCTGCCCAGAGGAGAGGGGCAGTGTTCCCACCCACCTGCTCCAGCACAGGAACCAGGGAGGAAAGAAGGGAGAGGGAGGTTCCATTCACCGTTTTCTGGGTTAGCGCTTGATTGGATGTTTCAAGCAAGGGACAAGGTGATGGTGGCTGTAATAGGCTCCTCGTGGGCACCGTCACCCCAGAAGGCCTGGGCACCCATGAGAACCTGTGGCCAGCCCTTTTCATTGGCTGAGTTCCCTGCTGTTGTGCGTGGTGCCATTTTTTTTTTAAACAACATATATAAAAACAAAACAACTGGTTCTGTGTGTATCAACTTAATTTGCATATGAATGAGTGTTGTGTTGTGATTTGCAGTGTTTTGACACCGTGATTGGCTTTGTTTGGGTCTCTCTTCTTTCTGTGAAATTAACTGCTGTGCGTTTTCACTGTTCTTAGAGAAGACCCTGAGCTCCTGGGGTTTTCTTGTCTCACTTCTACCCTGACCTGCTGGGAGCCCACCCCACCCCAGTCCAGCCATGAGGGTATTTCCAGCCTATTCCAATGACTGAAACCCTTCTTGGAAGAAAACGTCTAATGTCGGGGACGTAGGGACGCTTCCAGACTTGCCCTGGCCGGAACCCTGCAGCCTGGGGCCCCAGCCCGCCTGCAGCTCAGCTTTCCCCAACACCCTCAGGACCCAGCCCCAGCCCCGGCAGACCTTCCCTGGGAGCTGCTTAGGTGGTCTCCACAGCGCCCTCTAGGGGCCAAGCAGGGTTCCAGATTCTCCAGCCTTCTGCCAGCTTTAAAACCCTTCACTCAAGCAGCATTACTGTACATGCAATGAAAAATACTATATATGACAGTCAAAACCTGTGTACATATTTCCATGTACATATTTATACATACACACACCTTCCTATTATAAATATATAAAGCATGACATCTCTTTGGCATTCCAAGTTTGTGTTTTTTTAAATCCTTGGAAATACGGCTTTGGAAACCTTTTTCTTCCTTTCCCTCTTTTCTATGTTGTAATAAACATTCATGTGACCTTTCTGGTAGTTTCTCAAATCCCTGTGTCCTCCCGTGTTCCTAATCGGACAGATCTCTGGGACAACGCGCCTTCCTCCCCACCTCTGCAGCCTTTGCTATTGGTTGGCTTTCCGTTATGAAGGCTGTCCTCCCCCAAGGCGGGTCTTGAGTTCTTTCAGACCTTTTTCCCGAATTCCCCTTCTTCCGAAAGGCTTGTGCAAGTTACTCTTCAAACAGCCTCATCTTTGATAATCTGATCCCTTTGCAACCAGGAATTTGCGTGCTAAATCAAGCATCAGGCCCCAGATTGAGTTTACCAAGAATAAGTGTACAGATGCAGCTCATTTCCTGCTGTTAATTGTTAGACTGGTTGATGAGGGAAATGTGGGCAACATACATATTTGACAAAGACTTCTGAATAAATGAGAGTCTGGGTAAGAGTGGTTAGGAGAATGTATAACTACCTGTTCAGTTACAACGAAGGACAGGTTGCACCTGGGAGAGAATTGCATCCACAACCCAGCCAATGCCTTTACTCATAATGGGATGAAGACCTACAGAACTGACCAAATTTGTGGATAAGGAGAAATAAGTATATTAGACGAACAAATCAGAATCCCAAAATCTCCTGACGGGCAGAGGCAATCTAACTCGATGAAATCTAATAGCATTCAATGAAAGAGTTGTGCTTGACATGAAGAAAGCTCCGTGCTTTCCTTCATCCCTGGGGAGTTACTCAACAGGCAGCTCAGTGTTCTTCACGGCATGCTGGGGCTGACTACACAGGCCATCTGGTTTCAGATGCACGAGGAGCTGCAGGCTGGGGTCCGGAATGAAACCGCATCTGCAGCGTTGCATTCAGTACTGGGTGCCATGGGGGAGCAAGTGCTCTGACAACGAGTGTCCAGGTGTCATTCCTGTCACTCACACCCAAGGGAAGGGCCCCGCCCTGCCTCCTGCCATTTCCTCAGGCCAGCCCAGCACCCTTAGGGTCCACTTACCCCAGGAGAGGCTGCAGTCTTAATGGCCTCGATGCTGCTGTTGTCCAAAAGAGTGAATCATCTTCAAAGCACAACCTCTGGTGAGACTTGAAGCTCTACTGCGATGGCCCCTCCAAGGCCCCAGAAATGGCATCTGTGCCTGAGGATGATTTCAGTTGCTGCTAAGACCAGGACCTAAAGCCCAAGGCAGTACAATGACCTAAGGCACTCTCAGAGTCCCCCAGACACTCTAGGGAGCATTTTGTGATCACTTGCATTGTCCAAACACTCGATGTGCTCAGATTAAACTGGAATGCCCCGGCTGGAGGATTCTTCTGCAGTCACTCAGTTTCAGAGGGGCTCATCAGAAGGCACAATGGGAGATAAAGTTAGCTCCCCTTCCAGCACTGCCAAGTGAAGGGAAGATACCATTTGAATGTACTAACTCACATTCCTTCTCTTCTCCCAGCACCAAGCCTCTTAACCTCAGGAAGGGTCACGTGGGTTGAGCCAGCCACTGCCTCTCTGCTGGGGGGTGACAACTTTGACAGAGTTCTCCTCAAACCCAGAAGGAAAGGGCTGTGACAAACATGTAGGCATCTGCTCCCCGCAACTCCCTACACCCCAGACCCTAGGCCCTGGGAGAGGCTCATGCTTGCCAGTGGCCAGTCACAGGAAGGGACACATGAGGATGTGCAGGGGACGAGGGGCTCGAGGAGATGGGAAGGCAGTGCTTGGGTTTGAGGACGGGGTTGGCGATGCATTCCTCAGAGGAGGAGCACAGCCCAAACCTAGTGCAGTGAGAGTCCCAGGTGGGGGACCCTGGGAGGCACATCAGTGCAGGCTGCATGTTGGGCCACCGAAACCAGAGGATGGGTCTTCATTCCCAAGAGGACCAAGATGGACATTTCTGGGCTCCTAATACCAAGTCAGCCTCTGAGTAAAGCCTTAGGGAAGGGTCATGGGACCCAAGATTCAGTTTACATAAAACACGTCAGGAACAACTTGGGGTGATAAAGTTGCAGGACTTTTCCTTAGTTCAGCCAAGAAAATTCAGGCTCACAGACAATTTGAATGGTGAGTGAGACAGGGTTTTATTGGGTGAAAAGGAAGAAAAGGGGGAAACAGGGAGTCTCGCTGGGCCAGAGACCCTGCTAGAGCGCTTCCTGCCCACAGCTTGAGTCCCAGGTTCCACATAGGAAAGGGGGGGCGAGGCTCCTCCCTGCTGCAAACGTCATGAACTTCCCAAGGCTCCACCTCACTGTGCAGGCCGGTTGGAGTTTCTGCAGTGACCCCCTCCCACCTGGCTGTCCCATTCCCGCCTCGAAAGAAGTCCATCTAACTGCCCTTAGATTAAGGATAAGGATGAAGACTGATCTTAACTGCTTCCTGCTGACAGGGGGCACTGTTTTTGGGAAATGGCAGTCAGAGGTCCCTCAGATGCCTGTCTAAGGGTCCCCAGCAGAAGAGGCCATCATCAGAAGCTCCGGTTGCATGACTGTTCAGAGTTTGATGGCCTGAAGGCAAGAACAGACAAACGGGGTCATTAGAAAACATGTAGCAAAACAAAACAGGCCAGGCGCAGTGGCTCACGCCTGTAATCCAGCACTTTGGGAGGCTGAGGCGATGGATCACCTGAGGTCAGGAGTTTGAGACCAGCCTGACCAACATGGCGAAACCCCGTCTCTACTAAAAATGCAAAAATTAGCCTGGCATGGTGGTGCACGCCTGTAATCCCAGCTACTAGGGAGGCTGAGGCAGGAGAATCACTTGAACCCGGGAGGCAGAGGTTGCAGTGAGCCAAGACCATGCCACTGCACTCCAGCCTGGGCAACAAAAGCGAAACTCCGTCTCAAAATAAAACAACAACAACAAAAACAAAAACCCAAAAGGAAACACAGGGAGACAAGGGGAGGGGTAAGGACAGCTCAAAAATTCTGAGGCCTTTTACCAGTTTGCACAGGGAGAGGGAGGCCAAAAGCCCAGCTGGCAGAAACTGGACCCTTTTGCTGGCACGTTGGGCTTCTGAGTTCCCTTCCCCTGAGCCTAATCCTAAGCCAACCAGTTTAATGTTTGGGAAATTAACTCTTTCCAGTTTGGAGGATGCATCTGAGGGAATCGTCCCATAGTACGGAGACACAATTACCTATCAGTGAAGAGAGGACAGAGGAGAAGAAAGGAAAAAAGAAGACACCGTCTGAAGGAGTCCCAGGGGTTCAGGGTGCATTTGAAAGGGGCACAGACTGCAGATGAATGGCTACCCATCTGGAAAGAGGGGAGCAGGTGTCCCTGGTTCCCTTCTCTTCCTAGCAGATACCCACGGTACATGAGGGAGAGAGGAAAGAGTGTTCTCTTTCCCTCTTCCATCCTTGCATCCCCGAGTCCCGGTGACCTTGGCAGGTGCCGCCATGAGTGCCAAAGTGGCTTGCACCCATGAAGCAGGGAGGGCCTAGAGAATAGGAATTATCCGCTCTCATCTATGCCTCTATCTCCTACTGTCAGTAGCCTTGGAGTTCCCTAGACCTCATTTATGCCATGGATATTTATGCCGTGGGTTTATCCATGAAACAAGAAGCTTGGGTTGGCTTAATTGGCAGGAATGAGCCATGCTCACCTGCACCGTGCCTTTTAACCTCTGTTGTCATTTGTCTCTGGATCCCTCAGATCCAGTTTTCCTTCTTAGGACTTTGACCCAAAGCTTGAAATTGAGTTTGGGACAAAAATGTGTCTCGGTGGGGGGTGGGGGAGGTGCATGGACTCCTTATCATAAGCCAAATGCTAAGGTGAAACTGTGGAATTGAGTCCTCCTCCAACAAGGGGGAGAAAAAGATGTCTTGTGACACAACCAGATAACTGGTGGCTATAGTTATGCTTGCGAGGGTTTGGGTGCATGGTCCTTGGCTTTGATTAGCTTTCTTGGTCTTACTTTTCCAAAAAGGAAACCTCCAAGTGATGGGCATCCTATGTATTCAAATCACCTAGCAGGACTTGCAGGATAATTGCCCAGAGCTAGAATATTGATCCAGATTTCTACATTACCCATCCCTTTTGTCCTTTCTGAGCTGCAGCTGGAGATTGCTGGTTGGTTCACAAGAGCAAGCAGGGTTAGTCTAAAATGTAGGTGAAAACTTAAAAACAACCAATGAGTTTAGAATTTAATGACAAATGTATAATAAGTTTTGAAACATGATTTCTCTCTCTCCAGTCCTCATTTTTGTTAAAAAATCATCATAGGACTGAATGGTTTGCAAAATAGACTTTAGTCTTATACTTGGCCTGATTAATTGCATAAAGTGCAGCAAGAATAATTATTTCTACATAGGCCTCTTGGATTGGCTTTGATGCAAGTTTGTTCCACAAGGAATCTCAGATAAGACCGTTTAATGCTGAGCCCAACCATGGGTTTGTATCCTCAAACAACTGTGAGTTTACCTTAAGGTCCCAAGATAAACTTGGAGCTCCCGGACCTGTTAGAAAGTGACATTCTTTACCTGTACAGGGTAACATATGATGCAAACAACCATATTACCGTAAGAATACTCACAGATAGTTTCCAAATCCTAGAGGAACCAGGCAGAGAGAAACAAACATGCTCCAAATTTTTGTTCATAGGAGTAAACCTTACTCAATTATTAAAGGCTGTAAATAGTTCCAAGTGAGTTTCCTTAACTATGAAAAACAAAACAAGAATCAACAATATTCCAATCAAAAGTCAAAAAGATTGCTTCAGCTTTCTGAGTTCAGTTCATTTAGTTAACTCTTCTTTTGTTTGATATTTGTGAACATTTCAACTCTTCACGAGTCCTGTATATTTTCCTTTATTCTAATGTTACAATCTCCAAAGTTATCAGAAGCCTGTATATGAGAGCACCTGTTAAAGTTCTATAGCTTATTATAAACCATCTTTTGAAAAGAATCAAAACGAGACAACAATTGTCTGTGAATAGCAAAATGTCCAGGATAGTTACAGTTAGAAACACAATTGACGAAGTTTGGTTATCTTCGCGGTTTACGATAACTTAACATACCAACCTTAATTATGATTGATAGCATATACTCAGACATTAGAATCTTAGAAATCCCATACAATTTTGGAACATATGTTTGTATTCACAAAAGTACAGCCTAAAGAAGACTGAAGATCATTCTGGCAATTCCATGTACCTAAACATGCCAAATAATCCTGTTTACCTCTTTTTTTGGGATGTTTCAGGGACCCTCTGAAACATCTGAAAAGCCAGGTATCAGAAAAGACAATTTTGAAACTTAAGTTTGATTTCCAGAAGCCTTTTAAATATGTTTAAAGCACCTGATACTATGAAATAGAGTTCCAGATTACCACAAACTATTTATTTTCTCAAAATCATGACTCAGAAATTTTGAAGAAGCAAAAGCTTTTTATAACCCTTTTGCATTTAGTTAATATGTTCACACAGAGAACCTCTTCTACAAAATTAATTTCCACAGCTTTTCCACCACTTGTTTGAACCTTCAGCTTTCCCTATCTAACTCAAAATAATCCTTTAACCCTAGGCAAAAGTTTACATTTCCATGCCTTCTTATAACCTTTTACATAAAAATCACATTTTATTCTTCTTACACCCCTTGCATGTAAATCTATTTTCGCTAGTTTCAATTACATGTCATAATTGTAACTCCTAGCAATTTTTAACTTAAAGGTAAAACTTGGTAAGTTGAATTGTGTGCTAACTGCAGCCAATGTTTGCCTTCTTACTTAAGGGCCTGGTTAGTTCCACATGTCCCCAAGCCCTACCAATTACGAAGCCAGCAAGTCAAATAGTTCTCAAAACCCAAAAAGCAGTTTGTAACCTGAAAACACTTAGCAAACTTTGCATCTGACCTGCATTAATAATCTTCACGGCTGTTTTTATTTCTCAAAGATTAAAGTCACATGAACTGAAAGGTACCACGGATTTTATATTGCCTTTAAAAAATATTTGATCCAGGCCGGGTGCGGTGGCTCATGCCCGTAATCCCAGCACTTTGGGAGGCTGAGGTGGGCAGATCACCTGAGGTCAGGAGTTCGAGACCAGCCTGGCCAACATGGTAAAACCCCATCTCTACTAAAAATACAAAAAAAAGAGCCAGGCGTGGTGGCGTGCGCCTGTAATCCCAGCTACTCAGGAGGCTGAGACAGGAGAATCGCTTGAACCCAGGAGGCGGAGGTTGCGGTGAGCCGAGATCGCGCCACTGCACTCCAGCCTGGGCAACAAGAGCAAAACTCCATCTTAAAAAATAAAAATTTTTTTGATCCAAGCGCTTTTCTTGAGGCAAAATTAATTAGAGCTCTTTTTACAGACATCACACACAGTACATACACAGATAGGCACAAGAAAACCCATTTGCTGGGTGGGGCCCTTTAAGGGACAGGACTAGGAAAGAGGAAGATATCCAACCAGAGACGGTCATCCCCTAAGGCAGGATTGTTAAATAAAGCCTTGCCAAGTGGTTACTGGCCATGCCCCAGGATGTAAAACAAGATGGAGGCTTGCAGCACAAACCATATAGACCTGCAAAGCACACCAGATTGGCCACAGCCCAACGCTAGCCCCACAAATCCTTTTTCACAATTAAAGCTTTACAGAGAATATAAACAGGGATTCTTATCATTCCTAGCCTAGCAAAATGTCTTCTAGAAAGAAAAAAAAAAAAAACAAAACTTGCTTAAACTTAACTGCTGATGGGGCGGAGAAGAGGAAAGAAAAAAGGTTTAAAAATCCCTGGGGACGAACCTCTTATTCTTATACAAGTGGTTCCTCCATCAGGGAGAAAAGTTTACTGCCTAATGAAGCTCAACCCCTTGGCTGGGGAAGGGGACGGCTGCTGTGGTGGTGCGTGGCTTGAAACAAGCCAGCCAGCTGTGTGAGACCCTTGGGCCATGCATCCCAGCTTCTGCACAGAGGGGAGAGGGAGCAAGGAGCCCCCGCTGGCCCGTCCTTCCCCCAAAAGGAAGGACCTTTCTTCTGAACTCCGGAGCCCCCGGATTTGGGGGGCATGTCTTGCCCACCTTCAGAAGTTCGAGGATTAAAATGCTTAGGAGCAACAGTGAGAGGTTTTGAGTCCCCATTTCACTCACCACTTCTCGAGCCCCCAAATGGGGCACCAAAACTTTTGCAGGACTCTTCCTTAGTTCAGTTAAAGATGGGGTTCTTTGTCCCATGGCCAGGAAAATTCAGGCTCACAGACAATTTGAATGGTGAGTGAGACAGGGTTTTATTGGGTGAAAAGGAAGAAAAGGGGGAAACAGGGAATCGCGTTACGCCGAATCCCTGCTAGACCGCTTGCGTCGCAGCTTGAATCTTAGGTTCCACCCAGGAAGAAGAGGGGCCAGGCTCCTCTGCTGCAGACATCCTGAACTCTCCGAGGCCCCACTTCAGTGAGCAGGCTGGTTGGAGTTTCTGCAGGAACCCCCTCCCATCTGGCCGTCTCAATAATAATAATAACCATTGCCATTTGTGTCATGACATATGTTTACAAGGCACTTTCCTCCATCAAGAAGAGATTCCAATTGAACCTGCATTTATTGAGTGTCTACCACATGCCAGGAATGTTCATCTGTGCTATTTTATCTTCCCAAATAGATAAGATGGTTGAGATGATTGTCTCATTAATATCTGAAGACACAGGCTAAGAGAAGTTAAGCAATTTGTCCAAAGACTCACAGCTGGGTAATGGTGGAGCCACGACTCCAAACCCACCCCTGCCTCCTAGCATCCAGTCTCTTATGTCCCATGGGGCTTCTCAGTCAGGGACTCCTCCTCCTCTCCCTTCTTGAAAGACACCTTCTTGAATCCCTGACCAAAGATGCTTCCAGAAATGGTAGTTGAGGTTTCTTGGCCCCCTTTGAGGAGAGGATTAGGCGGCTCTTTCACCTGCTGCCTTAAGTACCTGCTCTGGGCATGTGGATGGACCTGCTTGAGGTAATAGGGCGACAGCAAGAGTGGAAACCACGCACATTCACTGAGCCATGGGGCCTGGATATTCCTTCATGCCCATGATCAAGAACCAGAAGGAGGGACAAGAGGAGATAGACTGTCTCCACGTACGCATAGCTGGGGAGCTAGGACAGAAGTGCCACCCCCAGCGCAGCCCTCATGTTTCCTCACTGCCTGCTAGAGAAACACAGAGCTGAAAGTGTCAGTTCAGCCACCGCAGTGTCACTCAACCAAAGCAATGGTGAGCCTTTGCCCAGGAAGCAGCAGGCTGGGCTGCTCTTTGAGCAGGGTAGGCGCGTTCCCTGCATGGGGCTCCCCTCCCCAGGCCCCAGCCCCCACCCCCAGCCAGCAGGCAAACCCTGAGGTGCTGGGATGAAAAACTGCCCAGGAGAGGTTTGCTGTCAGCTGGGTCATGCAGACCTTCTCACATAGTGGCTGCTAGGAGCTGAATTATGCCCCCTCCTAATTGTTGAAGTCCTAATTCCCAGGACAGAATGTGGCTGTGGTTAGAGACAGGCTCTCTAAAGAGATAATTAAGTTAAAATAAGGTCATTAGGATGGCCCTAATCCAGCATGACTGGTCCGTATAGGAAGAGATGATACTTGGGAGGCTGAGGTGGGAGGATCACTTGAGTCCAGGAGTTTGAGTCCTGCCTGGGCAACATAGTGAGACCCTGTTTCTGAAAAAAAAAGAAAGAAAGAAGAGATTCGGACACACATACACAGCACACAGATAAAAGACCAGGCCAGGTACAGTGGCTCATGCCTATAATTCTAGCACTTTGGGAGGCTGAGGCAGGAAGATCACTTGAGGCCAGGAGTTTGAGACCAGCCTGGGCAGCATAGCAAGATCCCATCTCTAAAATATATATGTATTTTTATTATCCAGGCATGATGGCACACACCTGTAAGTTCTCAACTACTTAGGAGGCTGAGGTGGGTGGATCTCTTGAGCCCAGGAGTTCAAGGCTGCAGTGAGCCATGATCACACCACTGCACTCCAGCCTGGGTGACAGACAGAGTAAGACTGTCTAAAAAAACAAAAAACAAAAACAAACAAACAAACAAACAAAAACCATATGGAGACATAGAGAGAAAACACCCATCTACAAGCCAAGGAGAGAGGCTTCAGAAGGAACTGACTCTGCCTACAACTTGATCTCGGACTTTTGTCCTCCAGAGCTGTGACAAAATAAACTTCTGTTGTTTAAGCCACCCACCCTGTGATTCTGTGTTGTGGCAGCCCTAGCTAACTAACACAATGATGTGACACACGGATTGCTGAGATATTCACTTGGCAGGCAGCAGGAGGAGAGGGGGATCCCCAAAGCAAGGTAAGACACAGCATGGCAAGTCACCTGAGTGTGGTGGCGCTTTCATGGCTCAGGGCGACAGCATCTCCTGTGCCCTGGGTTGCCTCAGATACTTCTAAGGCCCACTTGCTTCCTGGTTGTTGGGAGGCATGGCTGTGCAGCTGCTCCTGGGACCCTCACCCCCGCCAGTATCCTTGGGATAACCTGGAGACCTGAGTGGCCAGGGGAGGCATTGTCCTCACTGGAACGTGACTGGCTTGTGAATAGCCCCTTGGGCTGGTGCCTCCTGTGCCTGCTGGACCTGGAGTTCAGGGCCCCCAAAAGGGACTCAGTCTGGAAGAGTTCTCAGAGGAGGAGGAGGAGGCCTATCTGTGCCCAGAGCAGGAGCCTACAGCTGTCTCGCAGTCAGAGGGGTGGATATTTATATTTTCATCAAAAATAGCTATGCTAAAAACAAAAAACAAAAAAACTCTAGAAAGCAAAGAAACTTCTCAAACTAAGAATGCCATTAATAGAGGAAATAAGCACTTTCAAACTCCCAGAAGCTACCCCATCTTCTGAGGTTCCAAACCAGGAGGGGAGCCCCGGAAGTCAGGGGACAGAGGATCCACCTCTGCTGTTGGCCTCTGGGAAAACCTGAAACCCATCCAGAATCCTTTGAAAAAGCCGAGGTGGTGATGTATGGAATTTATTACAAAGAAATCCATGTTGTTGCTTTGAGCACCCGGTCCTCCAGCATGACGGTGTCCCCACAGTCTGCATCTGCTGTCCCCTGAGTGGGATACAGCCCTTCACACTTCCCCACCAAAACCTTGCCCGGCTTCCAGGTCCAGCCCGAGAACCATGTCCACCGGTGTGAGACAAGGCTGGTCTCTGCCCTCCACCCTGTAATCCAAGAGCCAGTTCCTCCCTCATGAGCCCCATGGGATTCTTGGGGAGGCTGCCGGTCCCAGAGCCCACCCCTCCCTGAGCAAAGGTGGGCCTGTGGCCCCAGCCAGACCAATAGCATGTCCTTCTCCGTGGGCTAATATGGAATGATCGGGGTCTTCAATGAGATCTTTCTAACTGGTATTATGGGAAAACGATTTTTCCTCCTGAAGCTACCCATAACCAAGGTTCCCACCTCATACAGCAAGAGGCCAGCATGCAGAGGAGAGCAGAGATGAGAGATGGAGGGAGAATGTCTCATGCCGTCATCCCCAAGGCCAGTGCTAGCCCTGTTTCACCCAGAGTTTAATCGCATGAGCTACCTGCTCCTCCCTCCACAATTTTGAAAACTGACATCTGAAGAAGATTGAGTCTCCTCATTCATGACCATAATTTATCATCCCATATATTTAGCCCCCCTTTGATTTCTTTCATAAACATATCATAGTTTTCAGCATACAGATTCTACACATATTTTGTTAGACATATACCTAAGTATTTTATGGTTTGGGGTGCTATTTATTACACATAATATTGTCTTGAAAATATCAATATCCATTTGCTCATTGCTGGTATATAGAAATATGATTGATTTTTGTGTATTTACCTTGTATCCTGCAACCTTGCAAAGCTCGCTTGTTTTAGTTGCTTTTTTTTTTGTACAATTCTTTTGGATTTTCTAAGTCGACCATAATGCCATCTAAAAATAGAGAAAATTTTACTTTTTCCTTTGCAATATGTATTTTTCATAAAAAGTTATTTTTCTTGTCTTATTTCAGTGGATAGAACTTCCAGTACAATGTTGAATAGGAGTGGTGAGGGGAAATACATTTTCCTTGTTCAGATTAGGAGGAAAAGAGTTAATCTTTCACCATTAAGTATAATGGCAAATCCAAGTATTCTTGCTTTTGTTTTTTGTAGAAACTCTTAGCACATTAAGGAATGTCCTTCTATCCCTAGTTTATTGGCATTATTACCATGAATGTTGCTTTTTTTTTTTTTGAGACAGAGTTTTGCTCTGTCACCCAGGCTGGAGTGCAGTGACACTATCTCGGCTCACTGCAAGCTCCGCCTCCCAGGTTCACACCATTCTCGTCTCAGCCTCCGGCTAGCTGGGATTACAGACGCACGCCACCATGCCCAGCTAATTTTTTTTGTATTTTTAGTAGAGACGGGGTTTCACCGCGTTAGCCAGGACGGTCTGGATCTCCTGACCTCGTGATCCGCCCACCTCGGCCTCCCAAAGTGCTGGGATTACAGGCATGAGCCACTATGCCCAGCCGCATTTTTTAAAACACATTTTCTGCATTTATTAATATCATGTGTATATTTTAAACTGTTGATATGATGAATTACACTGATTAATTTTCAATCTGGAACCAGTTTTATATTCCTAGGATAAACTCCATGTGGTCATAAGTTATTACCCTTATTACATATTGCTGGATGTGATTTGCTAATATTTTGTTAAAATTTTTTATTTCTATGTTCATGAAAGATACTGGTCTGTCATTTTCTTATAATGCGTTTGTCTGGTTTTGGTATTAGGATAGTGCTGACCTCATAAAATGGATTGGAAAGTGTTTCCCGCCTTCTACTTTCTGGAAAAATTGGTATAGAATTATATAGAGAATTATAGTATTTTTTCCTTCAATGATTAGTAGAATTTATCAGTGAAGTCATCTGGCCCTGGTGTTTTTTCTGTGGAAAGATTTTTGACATAACTTCATTTTCTTTAATAAATACAGAACTATTCAATTCATGGATTTCTTCTTGAGTGAGTTTTGGTAGTTTGTGTCTTTGTCCATTTTATCTGAATTGTTAAATTTGTGAGCATAAAGTTGTGTCTAATATATCTTTATCATTCTTTTTAGGGCTGCACTGTTATTCTTATTGATAGTCACCATAATCAATTTTAGAACATTTCACCACCCTAAAAAGAAACCCCATACCAATTAGCAGTTACTCCTCATTTCTTCATAACCCCCCAGGCCTAGGCAACCACTAATCAGCCTTCTGCCTCTATGGATTTGCTTATTCTGGACATTTAATACAAATGGAATCATACAACATGTGGTCTGTTGTGTCTGGCTTCTTTCACTAGTGTAATGAGTTCTAAGTTCATCCATATTGTAGGATGTATCAACATTTCATTTCTTATAATTCCCAGATAATATTCAATTGTATGCATATACCAGCTATATCTACCCATTCATTAATTGTTAGATATTTGGGTTGTTTTCACTTTTTGGCTATTATGAATAATGCTGCTAGGAACATTTGTATACAAGTTTTTGTCTGAACATCTATTTTCATTTCTCTTGGGTATATATCTAATAGTAGAATTGCAAGATCTTATGGTAATTCTGTGTTTAACCTATTCAGGAACTGCAAGACTGTTTTCCAAAGTGACTGCACCATTTTATATTCCCATCAGCAGTGTATAAAGTTCCAAGTTCTCCACATCCTGGCCAACACATTGAATTTTCTTGGCACCCTTGTCAAAAATCAATTGAACATAAATGTGAGGAATTATTTTTGGATCCTCAATTCTATCCCATAAGGATATACATTGGTCTATATGTATATCCTTATGCCAGTACCACTTGATTACTGTAGCTTTGTAGTAAGTTTTGAACCAGGAAATGTAAGTCCTCCAACTTTCTTCTCTTTTCAAGATTGTCTTGGCCATTCTGGGTCTTTTTGTTTCCATGTGAATTTTAAAAACAGTTTGTCAATTTCTGCAGTGAAGCCATCTGGGATTTTGATAGAGAATATATCAGACTTGTAAGTCAATTTGACATATATTGCCATTTTCTAACAATATTATGTCTTCCAATCCATGAACATGGGATATCTTTTCATTATTTAGGTCTTCTTTACTTTCTTTCAATAATGTTGTATAGTTTTCAAAGGTAAGTTTTGCACTTCTTTTGTTATATTTAGTTCTAACTAACAGCCTCATTTAAAGAATAATTAATGCCATTTTATCACAAATTCTTCCTACAAATACAAAAGGAAGAAACACTTGCCTCCTGCAAGAAAGAACTGGCCTCTGCTGTCCTTGGGCCCATAATGGTCTATCCA
This sequence comes from Homo sapiens, assembly GCF_000001405.40. Lineage (NCBI taxonomy): Eukaryota > Metazoa > Chordata > Mammalia > Primates > Hominidae > Homo > Homo sapiens. The sequence continues at coordinate 226,622,455 of NC_000001.11, forward strand.
AGTCAGAGGGTCCACCCAGCACCCTCTGCAGAGTGACCCCTCATCCAGACCACAGGACCCTTGGCTCACTCTCATCTTTGCTCCTGTTCTTTCCTTCTGGAGTTTTCTCATAGACCTGAGCAGGGCTGGAGACTCCTCAGCTCCCAAGTGGACCTGAGCACCACTCTGCCTGCTCTATTGCTCTATCCCAGCCACACAGAGGACATCAGTGGGGCTGATGACCCCCACTCCAGTTGGTAACCTGCACTCCAGTTGGTAACCTGCACTCCAGTTGGTAACCTGCACTCCAGTTGGTAACCTGCACTCCAGTTGGTAACCTGCACTCCAGTTGGTAACCTGCACTCCAGTTGGTAACCTGCACTCCAGTTGGTGGCAGCCCAACTGATCTGCCCGCCTCGGCCTCCCAAAGTGCTGGGATGCCCAGCCCATCTTAACTTTCAAGAGAATCGGTTAAGATACAACAAACAGGCTGGGCACGGTGGCTTACACCTGTAATCCCAACATTTTGAGAGGCTAAGAGGAGAGGATCACTTGAAGCCAGGACTTCAACACCAGCCTGGGCAACATAGTGATACCCCCCATCTCAACAGAAAATAATTTTTTAAAAATAGCCGGGCGTGGTGGCTTGCTTCTGTAGTACCAGCTATTGTGAGGCTGAGGCTGGAGAACAGCTTGAACCCGGGAGGTTGAGGCTGCAGTGAGCCATGATTGCACCACTACACTCCAGCCTGGACAGAGAAAAAAAGATAGATACAACAAACAGTTGTGTTGCTGCTAGAGAATGAGAGAGGTTACTTCTTTTTTTTTTTTGAGACAGTCTCACTTTGTTGCCCAGTCTGGGGTGCAGTGGCACAATCATGGCTCACTGCAGCCTCGACTACAGGCTCACCACTAAGCTCAGATATTTTTAACTTTTTTAGAGATGGGGCTCTCACTATTTGTCCAGGCTGGTCTTGAACTCCTGGCTTCAAATTATCCTCCCACTTTGGCCTGCTTTGGCCTCTCAAACGTTACTCCTTCTGAGCAGAACTTTGTTTGAAAGAGGAAAACATACCATTGATATACAGTGGTTTACTATGCATCTTTGGCTATAGCCTGTGATAAATTGTGTCTCACTACTATTTATCTTACTCTATTAATTTTTTCATAAAGGCAGTACCTAGAGTTTTGGTACAAAACTAAAAGTAACAGAAGGACCCAGTTTTGTGGGAGGAACTCCACCTCCTTCCTCCCCAATCTACCGATGGGTCTCCTTTCCAGATACAAGGGTCCTTACTAGAGAATTCCTTGCCATCACAAACTGTTACCAACCTAGCTTTTTTCCAGTTAACAGTACAACCTGGGGAGTGCTCCTTCTCAGTGCTGATAGCTGCTTCATTCATGTAAGAGCTGCACAAGGTGTAGGTATGTATTTAACCAGCCCCCACAATGACACAGAGGTCATCTTCAATCTTTTACTGTCCCAGAAAGGAACATTCTTGTACCAATGTCATTTGACGTGTGGGCCATGGTATCTGTAAATAAAAACCTGGAAAGTTTTGCTGGGCCCTTGAGTATGTGCTTAAAAAAATCTGGAATGCTGGCCGGGCGCGGTGGCTCACACCTGTAATCCCAGCACTTTGGGAGGCCAAGGTGGGCAGATCACCTGAGGTCAGGAGTTTAAGACTAGCCTGGCCAACATGGTGAAACACGTCTGTACTAAAAACACAAAAAAATTAGCCAGGCATGGTGGCAGGCGCCTGTAGTCCCAGCTACTCAGGAGGCTGAGGAAGGAGAATCGCTTGAACCCAGGAGGCAGAGGTTGCAGTGAGCTGAGATCGCACCACTGCACTCCAGCCTGGGCGACATGAGCGAAACTCTGTCTCAAAAAAAAAAAAAAAAAAAAAATGGAATACTTATTGCCAAATTGTCCCTTACAAAAGTAGCATAGCTTTTTTAACAAGCTCATTGATGTATGTGTTGATATATTATTTGTTATTGCTCCTTATTTCATGAGTTTTAGCATTTACAAATAGTTAGATTTGTTTTTTTATAAACAGATTCTACTAAGAATTTGTGAGCTCCATAAACAGCAAGTTACTGCCCCTGCCCAAGCCCAGGTGCTGTTCTAATCCTGACAAGGGCACTGTCATGGATCCTGGGTGGTGGGGGATGGGGGTGGTCCCAAGGTCTCACCTGCTCACTGGGGTGCATGGGCTGTGGTAGGCCCTCTAAGTTCTATTTTTCCATTCCTTCAACTAACAGGTTCCAAGTTGCCACTATGTACCAGGCCCCGGGCTGCAGCTGGGGATGCCAGGATGATGACAATTCACAGTGTGGAATAAGTGCCAAAAAAGAAGGGCTCGGGGACACGGAAGGGGAGCCCATCTCTGTCAGGAGGATTCCGGATGATTTAGTCACAAAACAGTGACTAGAACAAAATCCTTACGCATGTACATACTTCTGATTATGAAAGCCAATTATGCTTGTTGGGAAATTTTTAAGTAAGCAAAAAACTGTAAGGTAGAAAAGAAAAACCTTTGGGAGGCCAAGGCGGGTGGATCACAGGAGGTCAGGAGTTCAAGACCAGCCTGACTAACATGATGAAACCCCATCTCTAATAAAAATACAAAAAATTAGCCAGGTGTGGTGGTGGATGCCTATAATCCTAGCTACTTGGGAGGCTGAGGCAGGAGAATCGCTTGGACCTGGGAGGCGGAGGTTGCAGTTAGCCAAAATCGCGCCACTGTTCTCCAGCCTGGGCAATAAGAACAAAACTCTCAAAAAAAAAAAAAAAAAAAGAGAAACCACTCATTATCCCATCACTCAAACCAATCTCTGTTAATAATCTGATGTTTTTCTTTTAATTCTGAAACTTCAGGACTCACTGGCACATCCACTTCTCAATTCTGCATTTCTCACTGAGTGCGGCAGTGTGTGTCTGCCTGCCTGCTGCGCCCCAGCAATCCTCTGATGCTATCCCCATGACTCCTGCCCAGGTCTGGTTCCTGAACTCCAGGCCCACGTGTCCAGTTGGCCTCAGATGTGGATGTCCCACAGCCACCTGTAACTAGATGTGTCTCAACTAAACTCATTCCCTGCTCCCCTGCCCTCCAGTCCTGCCTGTCCTCCCATGCTCCCAGCTCAGGGTGGGCCATCCCCATGCTTCTGGCCTACCAGCCAGTCATTCTCGGGACACCCAGGCCCACGATGTTACAGCCACAGTGGAAGGGCATCCATGCAACCTCATCGTCATCTCTCCTGCTCATGGCCTTGACCTCACTTCAGGACCCCATCATCTCTCCTCTGCTTCACCTGACCTCCTCCTAATGAATCTCCTCGCATTGTCTTCCCTTCTTTAAGCCACAGGCAGCCAGAGTGACCCCATCACATGCAAATGTGATCTCATCATGCCCCACCTTGACAGCCTCCAAGGACACCTGCTTGTCACTGCAGGAAAGTCCATGCGCCTCACCCTGGCTCCCCAGGTCGTGATCCAGCCCTGACCCCTTCACCAGCTCCACAAGGGTCCTCTGCTCCCACTGCCTGGAGTGACTCCAGATGAAGCATGCTCTGGAGGTGCCTCTGTGACCTTCATGTTCTGCTCCATCCTCCAATCTCCTGGTGCCACGTCCTCTGCAAAGCCTCCCTTCAGTGACCTTCTTGTCCCTCTCCTGGGTCAGGCCTCCTCTGTACTCCGTGGAGCCCCATGTTTGCCCCACCACGGCCCTCTTCACACTGCATGCCATGTGCCTGCGAACCCGACCACTGCCACGCCATGCCCTATATCTGGGTTCTAATCCTGGCTCTGGCATTCACTAGCTGTGCAAACTTGGTCAAATTATTCAATCTCTCTGAGCATGTTTCCTAATTTATACATGTATTTATGATAACACTAATAGCACCCCCCTCAACTGGGGGTGCTAGTAGTGTACAGATGAAATAAAGTAACCGGTGTACAGTGTGCACCACCCTGCCCAGCACACAGGAAGCCCTCCCTAACCTTTGGTTTTGGCGATTCCTTCATCATTGCCATGGTCACTGCCTTTCTGCCAGGGCAAAGATGTAGCCAGGCTGGGAGAAGCCATGAAAGAAAGGGAGCTTTCTCTTCTCCAGGGCATTCCTGGGGGTACAGGATTGGACGTCGCTGAGCTCCTGACCCGTCTTCCTTTTCTTCGGGCACCTTGTAATGCACCCGACCGTCCAGAAGGGGGCAGCCTCTGCAGGCGGCGCCAGGCTATTTCAGACGCCTCTGTAGGCGGCCCTCTTGATCTCACTCCAGCACGTGTTCTCAGAAAGCATGACTAAAATTGGGCATTTTTTTTTCCATTGAAATAAAAACAGGGCTGCTGTCGACAGCAAACTGGCTCTGTAAGATACTGTTTGTCCATAATTTGCAGAAGCTATTTTTAAAATAACCCAAACACATGTTGCCACATTGAAAGCCACAGAAATTAGCATTGCACTTTTTCCCCCCAAAACTGCTTTACTCATTCACAAGTTTGAAAAGGTACAGGTTGGAAGTTAGAAACCGTCCAGGATGTTAGTTAGCAACAGATGCACCGTTATCGACCCCAAATTCAAATGTTGAAGCCCTAACCCTTCATGTGTATTTGGAGATAGGGCGTGTGAGGAGATGGTAAGGGTTGAATGGGTCATAAAGGTGAGGCCCTAACCCAATAGGGCTAGTTGCCTTATAAGCAGAGGAGTGTGCTCTCTGCAGTGTGAGGACGTAGTGAGAAGGTGGCTGTCTGCAAGCCAGGAAGAGAGCCCTCCTTAGAAACTGAACTAGCCTGGCCTTGATCTTGGACTTTCCACCCTCCAGACCTGTGAGAAAATACATTTCAGTTAAGCCATGCAGTGTGTGCTGTGTTTTTATGGCAGTCCAAACAGACTGAGACAGGTGTCTGATGGCACTTTGACCCTCTCTTGTATTATTGTTGTCATTATTACATCAACTCGTTATTTTCTTGTTTAAAAAAAACCCTGCAAGCCCTCATGTCTTGCTAAAGCATGAAATCCATCTTCTCACTCCTGGTTTGCCATTCCCTTTCTCACTTGCTTGTTGAATTTGTCATCTCAGGCCCATGCATGGCACTTGAAATGCCAGGAGCGGGCCACAGCTGTTGCAGTAAAACAGCAAGAAAAATGACTTGTCCACTGTTTCGAGGTGTTTGTGGGAACTAGGATAATATTCCGTGTTTCTGTGGGAGGGCATGGGAGCCAGCCTGTGAGCTAAAGAGTAAACTTGGTTCTGCACAGTCAGTCTGCTGTGAGGAGAGAGGACTGGGGTGTGGGGGGTGCCTAGGTTGTGCTCCCCTGAAGGGTTTCAGAGAGCCCAGAACAAAAACAGTGCCTCCTTAGAGAGACCCAGGGTCCCCACCTGCATTAGTCCATTTTCACACTGCTATAAAGAACTACCTAAGACTGGGTAATTTATGAAGAAAAAAAAGGTTTCATTGACTCACAGTTCTGCATGGTTGGGGAAGTCTCAGGAAACTTACAATCATGGCAGAAGGCAAAGAGGAAGCAAGGCACGTCTTACGTGGTGGCAGGAGAGAGTGAGCGAGGCGGGGAAATGCCAAACACTTTTAAAACATCAGATCTTGTGGGAACTCACTTATATCATGAGAACAGCAGGGGGGAAACCACCTCTATGATCCAATCACCTCCCACCAGGTCCCTCCCTCGACATGTGGTGATTACAATTCAAGATGAGATTTGAGTGGGGGGACACAGAGCCAAACCATATCCCCACCCCACCCCAACTCCCCCAGTCCTGCTGGAGAGCAAGTCCTGCCAGTTGATCTTGGGGGCTAGAGCCAAGGGTTGCTGCAACTCAGCTGTCCATACTCCACAGGGCCTGGCCAGGTCCCCAAACCAGGACTCAGCTTGACAACGGCTGTCTCAGTAGTCCCAGAATAGTGCTGGTGCCGGGGCAAACCCCGCTGCTGTGGAGACCTCCTGGACTGCTCAGGAATAGGGCGCAGAGTCAGGGAAAGGTTTTGAACCTTGTTTCAAAGCCTGCATCTGTTGCCTACCAGCTGTGTGATCTTAGATGAGTTACTCACCCTCTCTGTGCCTCTGCTTTCTTACCTACAAAGTGGGGTCGACGAAGCTGATCATAGACTTTTTTATAAAGATTAAGCTACTTAGCTTTAATCACCTGGTATGGTGCCTGGCACAAAGCAATCTTTAATTGCTACTGGTTGCCATTATTCTCAGGCAGGAGTTGGCAAACTTTCTCTGTATAGGGCCAGATGGTAAATATTTTAGGCTTTGCAGCCGCGCGGTCTCCGTGACAACTACACAATTCAACTCTGCTATTATAGTACTAAAGCAGTTACAGACCAAACATAAATTAATGGCATGGCTGTTTCCAATAGACTATTTAGGAAATCAGGTGGGCCATATTTCTAAGGTGACGCCTGTTCAGAAGCTGGGCGGTTAAGGGAGTGGAAAAGAGGGGGCCAGGGGCCAGGCAGGTCTCTGACGCACAGAAATGTCACACACTAGAGGCAGCAGGCGAAGGGGCCACTCGTCCATGATGTCTTACTGGGCAGGGTTATTACAAGCCTGGGCCCATACACCATCTGGGCATTTACCAATGGACTTTGGAGGCTGGGGGGTGTCCGTGGGTCCCTAAATTTGTACATAGAATCATTTGTGTACATGCATATGAGTTGTTCTGGAGAGATTTACAGCTTCCTCTAAATTATCTAAGGTATATGTGACCCAAAAGGTGAAGAACTACCATGTTAACACAAGCGACCATCTGGACGTCAGTGAAGACCTCCCAGAGATTGTGGTGCCCTAGCAGAGGTGGGGAGGAGAGGTCGCAGGGCTGACCCGGCCCACAGCTGCTTAGAAGCAGGCCTCTCCCAGTGCCTCTCGCAGGGTCTTTCCCTCATCGCCAATTCTCAGACTGGTTCGAGGAGTATTGTTCTGGTGTGCCCTGGTATGGAGACGGTCTCCTCTCACCAACACTGCTGAGCACTCCACAGTCAACCTACCGTGGCACCCTGCGGAGCTCCTTTATTCTCAGCTTCTCTCCCCTACCCAGACCAGAATTGGGGGGCAGTCCCATGTGACCCCAGCCTCCTGCCCAATCGAATAAAAGGGTGAAGCCCTCAGTCGAGGACATACAAGGGGCAGAGAGGACCGGCAGGGGCTGGGGGCTGGATGGACGCTGCCTTGCTGGCGTTTGCTGGAAAAAGGTCCCATCCAAACTTAGTTTACACAATGTGCCAGACTGCAGCCACCCAGCCATGGCCAGTACGGTGCCTGTGGTCTTGGAGCCACATCACCAATGCTGCCACCACCGCAGGGACATGCTATGGAGATGTGACATCTGTGCACAGGCTCAGGGGCTCCATGGTTACTGGAGAGGCTGACGGTGCCACCCCAGAAATCACACCCTCTGGGAAGACTGACCACTGGGAGACAGAGCCAGCGGGAGCTGGCACAGATATTTCTATCCCTGCCTCCTCTAGGAGGACTGTCCCCAGACACGGCAGTTCACACAGTGTCTCTGAAGACATCCCATGAGACTAAGGAGTCAATCACACTTGCTGCCAAGCAGTGGCCACAGTGACCTGTTTCTAGGGGGCCCAGGCTAAGGCAATTGGTGCCAGCAGTGGTCCTGGAAAGCAACTGGTGACTGACCATCCAGGTTTGCAAGGACACAAACGGGACAGCTGGTCTCCTTAGAAAACAGACCGCAGGGTGGAATTCTGCAGTTGGATGGCCCACCCTTCTCAAGGCAATAAAGGGCTCCATTGCTGGACATTGCTTGGCACCTGCAGAGCTGGTTGCTGTAGCATCACCAACAATACCATGTAAGTGAAGGCACAAAAATCTGAAGGAAGCATAGTTACCACATGCCAGCCTGTGGAGAGCAGGTGCAAAGGCCCTGTGGCTTTCATCATCTGTACTCACAGCCTATCACTTCTCAGAGTGATGATAAAGAAAGGATGCAGCTGGGCGCGGTGGCTTATACCTGTAATCCCAGCACTTGGGGAGGCTGAGGTAGGAGGACTGGTCGAGGCCAGGAGTTTGAGACCAGCCTAGGCAACATGGTGAAACCCCATCTATACAAAAAATGCAAAAAAATTAGCTGGGCGTGGTGGTGCATGCCTGTGGTCCCAGCTACTCAGGAGGCTAAGTTGGGAGGATCACATGAGCCCAGGAGGTGGAGGCTGTAGTGAGCCATGATCGTGCCACCGCACTCCAGCCTGGGAAACAGAGGAAGACTGTTAAAAAAAGAAAGAAACAGAGAGAGAGAGAAGGAGGAAGAGGAGGAGGCAAAAAGAAGAAAGAAGGAAGGGAGGGAGAGAGAGAGAGAGAAAGAAGAAGAAAGAAAGAGAAAAGAAAAGAAAAAAGAAAAGAGAAGAGAAAAGAAAAGAAAAGAGGGAGGGAGGAGGAAGGGAGGAAAGGAAACAAGAAAGGAGAAAGGAGAAGAAGGAAGGACCTCCACCTCCAAATAAAGAATTCTGAGTTCTGCAAATGAAGCCCCCAGCAATCCAGAGCTAGGGAGAGGACTAAAGGAAAAGTGTACGGTAGCAGATGGTGAAACCATCATGATGTGTGGCAGGGGCTTCACCCCCAAAGGTCTTTCCTGGATGCCCCAGCCAAGTAGCCATGAACTAGTTCTCCAGACCCTCCCTGGGCTGCTACCGTGTGCCAAGTCAGAGGCTTAGAGCCTGGGATCTGGGACAAAAATAAGACAAGCTTTCTGCCCTCCAGACACTGCTCCCCACACCCCCCCACTGCCAGTTAGGAGGACGACAAAATTGGTTTTCAATCAAGGCACATTCTAGATTCAAATCCCTGCTCCCCACTTAGGTCAAGTTGCTTCATTTAAACCTCAGTTTCCTCATCTGTAAAACAGACTATAAATCTTTGTTCAGGGAATTGATCTGGGTAAAACGGGAACTCCGATGGGCGTGTTCAGCCCCAGTCTAGCTTAGAGTAAGGCCCCAGAAGCGATCGCTGCACCGGAGACCCCCCTACTTGGGGACAGTGCTTCTTGGTTGATGTTCTAGTCTCTGAGCTACTATTTCAAAGTTTCATGAGGGTTGAAAAGACTCATTTTGGAGAGTGGTTTATATTCTTTACAAATTAAAATGTTACCCAGTCTGACACCCACTCCCCTAACAGCCCCCATGTGGGCCCTCTAGCTTCCTAAGACTCCCCAGCCTGCCCCTCAGCCAGGTCTCAGGGCTGGGGGCCAGAAGGATCACACCACAGACAGCGCTGGTCTCCAAGGCTTTATTCAGGAAGGTTTGCATCTGTTTGACAGGCACTGTGCAGGGGTTTGTAACAGTTCAGTTTTCTCCAAGGTCCCATGGGGAGAGGGGTGCAGAACAGGAAGAGAGCCTCTCGGCAGGCGGGGGGGGTCCTCTCCTCCAGAACAAAAGGCACTGACGAGGTGACCACCCCAGAGCCAGGGGCTGGGTTATATACACATGGGGTGGACAGATGCAGAGAAACTCAAAGCTAAATACAACTGAAGGATGAAAGAGTCCATCTTACAGGGCCAGGGCTGCTTCTGGGCTCTTTCTACCAAGTGGGAAAGGAAGTTCAAAACAAAGGCAAAGCTTTCAAGGAGAAACAAGAGTCCAGCCTTTCGGTCTTAGTGTTCTGTGCAATTTTAAAACCCAACAAAATAAATATAACTTAAAAATGTCTTACATGACACTAAAGGCAAGCCTGGGAAAAGCAAGCAGTTGAAGAAACCTTCCGAGAATGCTAAGCAGTGCTGAATGCCAGGAACTCGTGGGGCCCCCCGCAGGACAGGGCAAGAGGACCCTGCGCCCATTCACCTGGGCACAGGTACACAGAGTTTGTCCTGCCTGCTGGCACATGCACTGCCAGGACCCAAGGAGTCCCTGTGGTGACGAGGGCTGGGCAGGCACGGTCTTCCAGGCTGCCAGGGCAGGGGTTCTGGGAGATTCCATTTCACAATCCATCTATCCCACTGAGACAAAGGGAAGGGCCAGATGGCAGGGAAGCGAGTGGCAAAATGGCTTGAGAGACAGAGTAGGTGTAGAAGAGAACTAGCACGGTAAATACAAAAAAAGAGAAAAAAAAAACAGAAAACAAAAACCCTAAGTAACAGAATAACCCTAAAATGATGCTACTTCATACTATGTTCACATATTTAATGTAACCCACAGCCAAGTATTGCCAATAAGAGGCCCCATGGGCCTCCTTTAATAAGCACATCATTTGCATATTAGCACATTGTTTGCAAACAGCTGGTGTCTGCCTAAAGTGCTTGGAACATTTTGTTCTCTTAAACAGGTCCCCTGTAATTTTTGTTCATATCATGATTTGCTTTAGCAAACTTCTTTCACAGATGGAGTAAGGATAACTTTTGGCCAGTCCATATTCATAGAATCTTTACGTCTGAATTAATGATGCCCCTGCCCTGCAAATGGCTGAAGCACAGACCACCAGGGTCCCTTCTAGCCCAAAAGTCACTATAGCTCCAGAGGCCCAGAGTTGACTTTGGCTCCCCAACGCCCCCGTCCTGCCTGCCTTCCAGATCACATGCTGCCACGAGGTCTCTCGTGCTCCACCGGGCGCGTGTGTGACCTTTAGCAAGTCGGCCCACACAGGAGCTCACCACTGTTTTAAACAAGAGCCAGGAAGTGTAAGTTGATTTCCTTTTTTAAAATCTGTACTTATACATCCTCATGTGTCCCACCCTCCACCCCCAGCAAGTGTCACTCACACTTCCAGCACAAAAGGGGAAATGTACATGTCCCGTGGGCAGGTTGACAGTTCCCCAGAGACCCCGGGGTGGTGGGGTGGGCAGTGGTTCCTCCAGACACACACACCTTGGTCCATAGTCTCCCTCTGTGTCCCTAGCTCCTGGACTCTCCCAGCTCCTGTACCTCTGACAGCAAAGGAGTGGGTGGCAAGCCCCAAGGAGCATGGGGCACAGAGCTGGGGGTTTTGTTCTTAAGAAGTCAGGCAAATTTTACATTCCCTTCCATATCAGACTCACTGGCTTTCAGTTAAAATTGGGCTTAAATAGGTTCTCCACGAATCTCCAAATGCAGAGACTTCAGGAAGAGGTGCCTGGAGCACGCCCTGGCATCCACCACATACCCTACAAGATACCCACACTACATTGGAGAAGCAGGAATCTAAGCCCTCCAGGCAGTAAGGCTTGTTTCAGAGGCAATAACAAATGATGCCAGGAGGCCACCGCGGCACCTCTGGAAGCCAGAAGCCTGCCTTCTTCCTGCCTGGCGCAGACCTGAGCTCCTCCCCTATTTCTATATCTGCAAGGGACTCTGGGCCCCATGACAGGAGCCCATGTATGCAGGCAGGGTTGACCAACTAGCACCAGGTAGGTGAGGGTCAAGAAAAATGTGCTCCTCCCTGGGGCCAGGGCCCAGAGACTCTATAGATCCCATCTTCCCCTGGTAGCACCCTTGGAGCTCAGCATGGCAGAGTGTGCCTTCTGAACTCATGGGTTGCAATTCCAAGTGGCACAGCTTCTGCTCGCCTCCTCTGGGAAGGCCTAGATCAGAGAACACAGCCAAGCTGGCTTCAGCCTTCTCTTGGCTCCTGGGTCTGGCCTGGAGCCGGCAGGTTTCCATACCAGATGGGTGGGGGGCCTTGCCTGAGCAGCCCTGGAGAGGCCACCAGGGCATCCCTGAGGCTGCTAATCGGAAGACACTTTGCTCACAGTCAACATGTGGTTCCCCGATGGTTTTGTGCCCCAACTACCAGAAAGCCCTGCTCCCAGCCAGGGACCAGGAACCCGGCCGGCCCCCTGGGCTCTCCGGTGGGGAGGCCCCGGCAGAAATAAGGCTGTGCTTGGCAGCACTCTAACAGCACTGGCCGCCAGGGGGCAGCAGGCCTCCGCAGGTGGTAGGTCCAGGCTGGTGCTTCCTAGGGGGCTCCCAGAGGCAGGGCTCATCTGGTAGGGTCCCCTCAGCAGCCAGGGACCCCCTCCAGCTCTACACCTGACCCACCTCTAAGACTGGGCATTTCTCTTCTAGTAGGTGACCCTCTCTACAAAAAGCAGTGCAAACACCACCTCCAAGCCCTGAAGTTAGGAAAATGACTAGAAACTCTCATCTCCTCTTCTACAAAGTGTCTTGTAGTGCAGTTCAGGAGGGTCAGTCAGGTGTAAGTGAAGGAAAAGTTAGGAACGAGAAAGGAAGCACAGGAGGAGGAAAGGAGGCCCAGGCGGGGGCCAGGGAGGGCGTGGGCAGCTCAGGCGAGTGGGGCATCCTGGGACATCTCGGTCAGGATGTCGACGAGGTTATTGAGCCCCGAGAGGTAGCCATCCTCCCGGTTCCCCTCCTGCCAGGGGACGTCATGCTGCAGGGTCTGGCCCTCAGGCAGGGGCGTGGTTTTCCCAAAGTCGATCATCCACACTTTGGCCTGTTCCTTCTTGTCGTGGATGAAGAGGAGGGAGCTGCCAATGACCTGAGGAGAACATGGGGGTGAAGGGTGAGCTGAAGCCCGGGCCTCGCCCTCCCCACTGCGGCCCGGGGCCTGGGTGACCAGGTGGGGAGGCTCGCTCAGGCCGGACAGTTGGGTGCCTGCAATTCCAATCCCCATTTTCAGACAGGCAGCAGAGCCGGCCCAAGAATGGCCATGCCTGGGCAGAGGGCATCGGGTTCCAGGGTCGGCGACCACCCTTCTGTGTGGGCAGCAGCAGGCACCCCTTCACCCCCTGACTCTGGCCTGCACACTTTCCACTCCTTCCCTCCCTCTTTCTTTCCTTCCTTCCTGCCTTCCTTCTTTTCCTTCCTTTCTTCCCTTCCTTCCTTCCTTCCAGACAGGGTCTTACTCTGTCGCCCCAGCTGGAGTGCAGTGGTGCAACCTCAGCTTACTGTAGCCTTGATCTCCTAGGCTCAAGCGATCCTCCCACCACAGCCTCCCGAGTAGTTGGGACTACAGGCATGCACCACGATGCCCGGCTAACTTTTTGTTTTTTATTTTTGTAGAGACAGGGTTTCACTATGTTACCCAGGCTGGTCCCAAACTCCTAAGCTCAAGCCATTCTCCTGCCTTGGCCTCGGAAAGTGCTGAGATTACGGGCATGAATCACACTGCACCTGGGCAAACTTTCCACTCTTTCTAGACCACAACCCAATCTGGGGCCTCGCCCTTCCGCCTCCTAGAACCTGACTCCTCCCAAACACTCTGCAGGGAACCACAGTGAAGGGGAAGGTGCCCAGGAGCGTCCAAACTATCCCGGGGCGGGGGTGGTGAAGAACCTGTTTCAAATGCACACAGCACCCCCACCCCAGCAGCACAACCCCTGCAGATTCAGCGTGGGCAGACCCTATAGGGCCTTCCCAGCCTGGCCCAGGGATAGTGGGCACCAAAGAGCCTGCCCCTCCTGGGTGAGCTCAGAGCCTCTGCATGGGAGCGAGGCGCTTTCCCAAATATGGCCACACATACCCCTGCATCACCTCAGTGGGGCCAGAGGAAGGCCGGGGGCACAGAAAGGGCTCAGGTGACATTCCAGCTTCCAGCAGTGCAGGGCAGGTGGGGCCCCTGGCGAGGCTGAGCCCAAAAAAGGGGCTTCCTCTTCGCAGGTGGAAAACAACAGACCCAAGCTGATTTGGCCTCTTTCTAGACCTTAAGGGAGACCCCAAAAAGTGTAGAACAAAATGCTTTTCCAAGAAATAAAAGCAGAAGTGTTGAAGAAGGGTGGGAACGGCTTTGAGACAGAGCTCTGTGGCCTTAAGTTCTCCCAGGCTTGGCCCCTGGGGTCAGGCAGCCAGGCAGCACCCCCATCGTCCAGAGAGGCAGCTGGGGCAAAGGGGGCTCTGGCAGGTGGCAGGAGGATGCTTCATCAAGTGGAAAGGAGAGGCCACAGGAGGAGCTGAGGGTCTGGGGGACAAGGAGAGCAAAGAACATTCCGAGAAGGACCGAGCTCCCTGCTAGGGGCACAGCAAAGCCTGAGTCTCCTCTCTGGGTGTGCCACCCCCTCCTCGCAGCCATCCTCTCCAGGCGCCCCGCAGGGAATGACATGCAGAGCAAGGTAGACCATCTGCCTGAGGAGGCCTGGTGGTGTAGTTTGCAGAAAGATGCACCGCCCTGCTGGCTGCCTCAGGGCTGACCCTATGAGTTCCTCCTGCTGGCTCCGCAGCCTTCTCTGTGGGCATAGGCTGAGGCTGAGGCCACCTCCATGTAAGACCCCATACAAGAGGACCTCCACAAGAGAGTCCCTACGAGAGGGGCTGCTTTCCTGAACTACCTACACAGCTGCAGGGAGCCGCAGGATCCCGCTTCACACCCACCCACCCATGGGATTAGCCAGCCCCAGGACTGCAGCTCTGTGTGTGTGTGTGTGTGTGTGTGTGTGTGTGTGTGTGTGTGAGACTGGGAAAGGCATGCATGTTTGTGTATGAGTGGGTGTGCACACAAAAATGTGTGTGGATATATGAATACATGTGTGTGTTTGTATACGTATGACTTGTGTTAATGTGCTGTATGAATGTGTGTGCATGCATGTGATTGATCTGCATGTGTGTGAATGTGTGTGATTTGTGAATGTGTGTGCATGTAGGGTTTGAGTGTGATCTGTGAAGGTGTGTGCATGTAGGGTTTATGAGTGTGATCTGTGAATGTGTGTGGTATAGGATTGATGAGTGTGGGATCTGTGAATGTGTGTGTGAATGTGTCATGTGGCTGGGGACCTGGACTCCCCATGTCAGGGTCTCACACCCCTCCAGGGAACCTGCCGACACCTCCCAGAGCCTCTCTCAGGTGTCTCAGTTCCCCACCTGCTGCCTGCTGCCCCTGCCAACCAACGTATGCAAAGTTGGGAGATTCCAGCCCTGCCCGAGAGTGGCACCTGAAGACCTGCCTGCCCTCCTCAGGGTCTCATCTGAAGATGTAGGTGGCGGTCGGCGGGTGCCTGGCTACTCTAGCAGCTCAGAGAGCTTCTGCCCTGAGACCACGGGTGTGTGGGATATGAGTCCTGCCACCACTGCCCAGAATGGACAAGACTCTGGAGCTGGAAGGACAAGGGAGGAGAAAGGGGGCAATAGCCAGGGGTCTCAGGCAGGACAGCCCGTGTGGTCACCCCAGGAAG
The DNA here is from genome assembly GCF_000001405.40 of Homo sapiens. Taxonomy (NCBI): domain Eukaryota; kingdom Metazoa; phylum Chordata; class Mammalia; order Primates; family Hominidae; genus Homo; species Homo sapiens. The sequence goes on from NC_000001.11 coordinate 226,637,513, forward strand.
CATTGAGACGCAGCTCCCCCGTGCAGCGAGGGTCTGGTCCCTGATGGCCTGCCTCTGGCTGCACCACCCTGAAAATGCCCGATGCCCCGGGCTTCTGGAAGGAGAAGGAGAAGGCCTGTTGGCACGCGCAGCATTCTGCTCAAGAGGGCAAAAGCCCAGTATCTACCTCGTGGCACTTGAAGAAGGGAGAAACTTCTAGAGTGGTTCGAATGGCCTTCAGCCGGTCCCGATAGGCGATCTGGGAATAGAAAGAGGACCAGATTTTTAAGCGCCGCGTGGGGAAGGGCAGTGTCAGAACACCCATGCGGCCTCTAGTGGTCCCTCCCGTGAATGTGCTTTACCCTAAACGCCGGACATCTAGAGGCAGCTTCCTGCGAGCAGGGCTGCTGTGGCGTCTTTCTCAGCATAAATGTCAGTACCTTTGACTTTTGAAAGGACAGGGTAAGAGAGAGAACCACAAATATCTCTCCCAGTGCCCTCTCCATGGAGCCCTATAAACCCATGTCAAGCTTTGCTGGCCTTGGGGGGTGCCCCATCTTCCCCAGAAGCCAGCTCTGTGGGTCTCACCCCCGGGCTGCCTTGGGAAGCTCGTCATACACAGGTACACAGAGTTCCTCAATGCCTGCTGGAAAAGAGTGACAGCTGGCCGGGCCAGCCGAGCAGCCCCCTGGAGTCTTCAGCACCAGGAACAAACCCCAGGCATAGGAGGCATGTTCCATGGTGGCCACTGCTTAGGGGCTGAGATCCTCCCCTGCAAGGGACTCAGGAATTGGAGGACTTGGGCTACGAAAGAGTCAGGCACATTCCCCCTGCCTGCAGCCTCAGAGCTTGCCAGGAGCCAAGGGAAGCCTCCCCAGCTGGAAAAGGAAGATTTCCCAGTTCCAGCCGGTACTGAGTCTCCTTGGAGAAACGGCTGCCTGGTCCGCCCCCACTTGCTCTGCAGCTGCTGTGGACTGTTCAGAAGGTGCCATTCACAGGGGCTCCAGGGCCCGTGTCCCAGATGTGCCTGGATCTCTGACTGTCCCAGGGAGCCGTGCACTTGGGGCACAGTGGCACAATATTCCCTGACTCAGCTGGAAGGGTCAGTGCTCTGGTCCCTGTGGGCAGAGCATCTATCCAGTCTGCGAGCCGCTGCAGCAGCAACACACAAGACAGAACTTTGTCATGAACTTGTACAACCCACACTCCTGGACTCGGAGACAGCTCGCCAGCTCTTGCTGGCAGGGAGCAGCGTGACCTCGGGCACACAAGATGGGGACAAGCAGGTCTACCCACAGCAGGTCTGCTGTGAAGATTTGCTGCACGCTTGGCATGACACCTGGCAGACGGCGGGCACTGTTCTCTCTCTCAGGGCATGGGAAATGCTCTCTGGAGCTATGGGGCCGATGGCTAAGGGAGAGTCAGTGAGTGTCCGCCAAGCTTCCCCGCCTACCCGCCGCACGCCAGGGACAAGCACATCGCCTTCTTCTTTACTTTCCAAGCAGAAGCCTGGGGCCAGGATGGATACAAACCTTCCTGGGTACTAACTTCAGTGCCCTTGACTTTTTTTTTTTTTTTTTTCCCAGACAGAGTTTCATTCTTGTTGCCCAGGCTGAAGTGCAATGGCAAAATCTCAGCTCACTGCAACCTCCGCCTCCCAGGTTCAAGTGACTCTCCTGTCTCAGCATCCCAAGTAGCTGGAATTACAGGCATGCGCCACCATGTCCGGCTAATTTTTGTGTTTTTAGTAAAGATGGAGTTTCACCATGTTGGCCAGGCTGGTCTCAAACTTCTGACCTCAGGTGATCCACCTGCCCCAGCTTCCCAAAGTGCTGGGATTACAGGCGTGAGCCACTGTGCCCGGCGTGCCTTTGACTTTTGAAAGGGCAGAGTGAGAGAGCCACAAAAGTCTCTGCCAGTGGCCTCTCTACAGAGCCCTACGAACTCGGGCTGGGGTGTGCTGTCCCTGGGGGTGCCTTGTCCTCCCCATGGGCACCTCCAGAGTAGACACAGTTGTCCCTCCCTGGCTGGCTGGAGAGACCCTCTCTGGAGGTGCCAGACTCACCAGGATGTTATGGTTTCCTTTAGTGAACTCTCTGAAGGCCTCGGTGACCTGCTCCCTCGTTTTGGTCTTCTTGAAGTCCCGGTTCACGGTGCCGTCTTCTTTCTGAGAAAGAGAACACCCCACCCAGGAGGGGGTCAGCAGGGACCCTCGGGCAGAAACTGTTCTCACCCACCCAACACCACAGAGCAGGCGAGCCCCATCTGAACCTGGGGCAGGGCCAGTGGAGGCACCCAGGTGTCCACGTATGGCGCATGGAGGTGGCGTGCACAGCAGAGGGGAGCCTGCCCTGTGCCCAGACACAGGAGAACGCAGAGGGTGGCGCTGACATCCCCAGGCGAGTGAACAGTGGTAGGAAAGGCCCGGAGGTGTGAAGGGCATCCAGGCTGAGGATGGAGGAGCATGACCCGGGGCTGGCCTGTCCTGGGTGCAACAGCAGGGCCAAGAGAGAGGGTCGGCCTCGACTTCCCACTCTGGGGCCCGGGCCCTGGAACCGGTGCCCGGAGGTCCCTGCCCGCCAGAGGCACCTCCCCTCAGCACAGGGAGGAGAGACTTGCTCCCGCCCTGAGCTCAGCTTGACTTCCTTTATAATCTACCATCTCTTCTTTCACGTTTTCTGAAAGCCAGGATCCAATACAGCCCTGCCCATCTCTGCTCCCTCGCCCACCCCACTCCCATCTTCTTGGCCCCAGCACTATCTCTGTTCAGGCTGTCCTGGGCCCTCATGTGGGGCTTTGCTGACCTATGAGGAAATCTGTTCTTTAGGGACAAAGGGAATGCTCCACCAGGAGTCCCAACAGTGGGCCGTGTCTGCCCTCAGGCTGGAGAGTACTTCAGCTGTGTCCTCACTGTGGCTGCCTTCGACAGGACTGGCAGGACCTGGGGCTGAGGGAGCAGCCCTGGGTGCAGGAGGGGCCGAGAGCCGGGGGCTGTGGGCAGTGCACCCCAGGCAGAGCCTCTTAGCTAAGGGCGGGGCAGGCAGGTGATGGTGAAGACAGCTGGCTTCTCTCTGAGTGGGAAGACAGGCTGTCGGCTGTTCTGACGGCTGGACAATAGACAGAGACCAGGAGCACATCCTGCTCGAGAGGGAGAGGTGAAGGGAAAGTGGATTGTTTCTAATAAAGAAAGGAAAGCGAGCGTTAAGGAGAAGGCGGATGGGTACGGAATTTGCATCCAGTCTCAGAGCTGGATGCAAAAAAGAGGGAAGGGCTGGTTTCAAAAGACAAAGAAGGGGGCAAATGCCTTTCTCAGCCCAGAGCTCGCAAAGCAGCTGTCCCGGGGGAAGGTAAAAACTTCCCCACATGCCACCGTGGGCAGCGAGCCATTGACAGCTGCGGAAGCTACGTCTAAATGCCATCTGAAAGGAGGCTCAGGGGACCCTCCCATCAGGACCATCGGCTGCCCAACCCTGACTCCAGGCTGGACACTGGAGATGATGCAGACCATGACTGGACAGAGAATGGGAGACCCGACAACCCCACAGGGACTGCCATCTGCTCAAGAGGGACAGCTTCTGAGACCCTGAGGGGCCGGCGCCCCAAAGCCCGGCTCTTGCAAATTTAACAGCAAGGGTGCACACAGGGGCCCAGGGACAGGGAGATCATCCAGACAGTCACCAATCCAGACAGTGCCAGTTCCCCAATTTATTCTGGGGAAAGTAAATCAACATTTGAACATAATCATGTATAGGAAGCTTCTGTGTGCCCATAGCCAGAGCTAAGAACTTTCCTGCCAGATACACATAGGTACAAAGGGATAGAAGGGAAAGAGCCATCATTTTGTAAACCACAAACACAAAGTAAATATATTAATTAGGGGAAAATTACATTTACTTATAAAGTTTGTCATGTTGTTTCTTTGGAGCTTATGTTTCTATTTCTGTTCCAATAAATATTTTAAAATTTCCAAAAAAAGATCGAAGAGCAAAGCAGAGAGAATGCAGTTTCTCAGAGACCCTGGCTCCAACATCAAAGGCGGTCAGCATGCTCCTCCCTTCCCCGAATTGTCTGCCAGTCCCAGTTTGCAGCCATGGCAGAATGAACCAGCTACCCCACAGGCATCCCGCAGGTGCCTCTCGCCTGGCTTTCGGTGCCAGGCACCGTCTGGGCTAAATGGAGAGTCCTCGGCAGAGGGCTGACAGCTGGGCAGGGCTAGAAGCCACTCTGCTCTGAGGCCTGAGCCCCCTACACAGCCATCCCGCCTGAGGAATAGGCTGATGTCTCCAAATGTCTGGCCTTGGGGCGGGCCACCCACATTCTGAGCCTGTGCCTGGAGAAGCTTACAGCTTCCAAAGGGCGCTGAGAGAAGCCAAGCCCCCTGAGGTGGGCACGGGTGGGGCCCGAGGCTGCCCTCACTCGCCGGCCTCACCTTGATTCCCTCGATCCTGAACCCCAGGGTGGCCGTGGAGCTGATGGTCTCCCGCCACTGCATGTACCGTGGCTTGGTCACAGCCCGCTGTGCTTTTTCCTCCTCGGTGGGGGCCTCGGGGTCCACCTCGATCATCTTCTGGTACATGTCCTTCCGCAGGCTGGGCTTCTTCCGGGCCTTCGTGAGCTCCTCCTCCAGGTAGGTCCTACGTGGGAGGGAAGGCGACATGAGGGCCGAGGCCTGGGGCAGGGCTCACCAGCAGCTCCTTTCCTGCCTGGTGGATGAAGGTTTGGGGCGTGTGTTGCCCAACAGCTGCAGTCAGCTCAGTGCCCTGAGTCAAGGCACGTCTTTCCGAGGGGACGGCAGACTCTGTTCCAGCTGGGGCTGGCTCTAATTTTTCTTTTCTTTTTTTTTTAGACAATTTTTTTAGTAGATAAGGGAGTCTCGCTATGTTGCCCCGGCTGGTCTCAAACTTCTAGCCTCAAGTGATCCTCCCACCTTGGCCTCCCAAAGTGCTGGGATTACAGGTGTGCACCACCACCCAGCCTGGGGTTGGCTCTTGATCCAGGAGAAAAGGTGCAGCCTCACTGAATCGGACTGCCTTCACTTTCACTCCAAGCCCATCGGCTGGCCTCACAAAGCCCAAGGAGCTCCTCCTCGGGAGACCCCCACAGGAACCAGCAGAAGAAGGAAGACGGAGGCAGGGCAGCAGGGGGTGTCGGGGGTGGCTGGTCCTGATCCTGCTGCTACGGTGGAGCTAAGAGAGGGGACTGGGGGCAGGGTCTACTCAGGGCCCCACTAGATCCCCTTGGCTGCCTCGGCCCTTCCATAAAGCGAGGGCTTCCAAAGCCAGAACCTGTCCTGGTGGGAGAAGTGGTCTGTCCTCAAGTCCCCATCTCTGCTGCTCTCAGGCAGCCTGAAGGCTGAGCCTGCCCATAAGTGTCTCTGGCTCTTTCCAAAGAGGTGAAATCTTCTGGAGCACAAAGTTCAGGTCAGAAAGTGGCCTTGGAAGGGGTCCCAGTGTGGATGGAGAAGGCCGTATTGTGGGGGAAAGGCAGGGGGCTCCCTCAGCCTCTGCTCATCCCAGAGACATGCCTGGTGCACCCCACCCCATCGACACCAGGCCTCCTCATAGGTGAGCCCCCAGTCCAAAAAGCCTGAGAAAATGCTTCCAACTCAACTGCCTCACGGCCCTGGCCTCCACACGAGCAGCTCCAGCTGAACTGGCGGGGACCACCTAGACACTGGGGAAGGTAACAGGGGCAGGGACAGCAGAGCACTTGAGCAGCCGGGGGCTGAATCGCTGGCCCTGAGCTGCCGGGACACGCCACCTCCCCCAGCACACAGCTCTGCGCTTCTACCTTCTCCAGAGCAGAGGTGGGGTGAGTCATCCCACCCCCGCTCCTCTGCTCTCCTTTTAGAGCCCCAGTCTCCCTACACAACAGGCTCAGAGGCTGCCCACAGCCCTTGAGGAGGCAGAAATCAGCAGTGTCAGTTGCAGGATGGGGAAGTTTTCTCCCCTTTGCCCTGTGTGGGCGGGAGCTGCCCACAGAGGCCCCGCCCGCCTGCCCTCCACCTGGCCCTCCACTCTTCCTGCATCTGTCTCCCAGGCCTTGTTCCAACACTGCCCACCAACTTCTCCAAGTTGCTGGTTTGGGACCCAGAACAGACTAAACAAAAACTACAGCCTCTTAAAAATGACAGGCTTTAGAAACCACTGTATTAATTGAAATTTGCACGGAAAGAAAAGGGAAGAAAAAAACAAATCCTTTGGGTGTGAACTTAGGCCTGGCTGGTTAGGACCTTCCAGGAGGTGATGAGGGCTGGAGGGGGAAGTCAGTAGCTTTGGGTTGGGCCCTTGCATGCACACACAACCATGTGCGCACATACACACACATGTGCTCATGCACACACATGCACATAAACGCGGACTCCTGTGCACCACTGCACACACACAGGTGCACCCATGCAGGACACGCACAGAGCACACCCCTCACATGCAGAGCCAGGTCAGTGGTGACGGGGGCATTGAGGCAGGGGCTGCGTGTGCATCCATGTGTGTACTGTGTAGAAAAGGGGCAGCCAGGCTGTGGGAGGGACTCCTGAGGGCGCTGTAGGGGACCGCATGGTGGGTGGCTGCACTTCTGCAAAGAGCTCTCAGCACCCCCTTAAACAGGAAGCAGACCTCAATGTGAAATCCCTTTTCACATGGCCTTTCTCCAAAAAGGGCCCCCGTGGCTCAAAGCGGGCAGTCACTCACTGCCCAGGAGAGGAAAGAGGCTGGGGGGAGATGTCCACAGGGGGTGCCAGCTGGATGGTGGGGCGGGATGCCCACAGGAAGGTGAGGCTCAGCCCCTCCCCACACTCCCCTGCCTGCCCGAGACAAAGTCGAAGCTCCAAGCCATGCAGGGAAGCAGAGACCTGCTCGCCCACTCACAGGACGCTGGGGGAGGAGGGGACTCAAGATCAGGTGGAGGAAGTGCTCCTTTGAGACAGGCCAGCCCAGGGAGCCAACAGGTGGCAGGCGAAAGCCACCCAGAGCTCCTAGGTGCTAGGGGCGGGCTCTCACCTGCACTCCCCAGGCCCCTGGTCCCAATGTCAGGAAGACAGTGTTGACTCTCCAGGACAAGTCACAAATCTCAGAGCATGCCCCAGAGCCACTGAGCACATGTCGGCGGGAGCCAGAGTCCCAAGAAGCCCCGACGTGCAGACGCCACCAGCAACTGCATCACATTCTCCTTAGTGCCACCCTTCTGCCCCCGCCATGCCCAGCATTGTTTGGTGACCGGCCCTTCCCTTTCTCTGTGACATGTCTCAAACTCTCTTGCCCTGGGACTCAGCATGTGAGGTAACCCTGGGCTCCAGCCTCCTCACCCTGTCATGGAAAGGCCACATTCTAGAGGTGACCATGAGCAGCCAGTCTTGGGAGAGGCCCTGCAGCCAAGGGTTCTGGATGAACGCATTTGGGGGAAGGCACAGTCCATGGCCCAAATGGAACTAGCCTGGCACCCCAGGGAAATGCCATGGAAGCTGGGTCCCACACAGCCCCCTTGGGAAGGGCTGGGCTGCAGCTGGGGGCCTGATTTGCAGTCAAGCAAGCCTGGTGCAGAACTGCACCAAGCTGCTGCCTGGCTGGGTGGCCCTGATGAGTCACTGAACCTCCTGGTGACAGAACCCTCCTGCTTACACTGGAACATGACCCATCTCCCAGAATGGCGGTGAGAACGCAATGGGATAAATAATGGAAGCATCTAGCATAGCCCTTGGAACAAGAAGGGTCCTTAGGATTTGTGTGCAGGAAAGATCGGGCTGGGTGCACCCTGCTTCTGGGGAGACCTTCCTCTTCCCCTCCACACATACTCCTCTCTCATCCTCTTCCCTCTGCCTGCCAAGATGGGTTACATGGGTACCAGCCACGGTCACTCTAGATCTCTCTTGAGAGCACTAGGGTGCAATCAGAGAGAAGCTGCGGAAGTCAAGCGGCTGGGTGGGGGCAGCCCTGGGGCAGGAAGCGGGGCTCCTGTCCCCAGCAGGAGCAGGCAGGTTCTGGGGCAGCCTGGCCCTGTGCTTGGCTGGCTGTGTCTTTGGGACAGCCGACTTCCAGAAATGCCCAGCCAGTGTTCTTCACACAGGCCGTACTTTTTTGGCCAGGTCTGAGTGGACACCACTTGGATTATTCTCCATGTGGTCACCTGCGAAGTCCTGCTGCTGTCTGGGTTGGAAGGAAGGGCTGGGCCTCCCCTGAGAGGACACATTCTGGTGCACCAGTGGATGCCATCCTGGGTCAGAAATCAGACTCGGGAAAAGCAAAGGCCTCGGGCTGGCTGGGGGCATGTTCTTTCTCCTCCCTGCCCTATCCCAGGTCCCTGTGGGCTAAAGATAGTAAGGAACTTGGATGGTGGGAGGGAGGTGGCCAGGGATGGCTCAAGAGCAAACAGTGGGGCCTGTGCTTCTCCATCCCCCATTCTTTCCCTGTGAGTGATGGCGAGAGAACACAACAGTCAGTGGCAGGGTGTGATTTTAGGACAGAACTCCCAGGAGGAGAGAGAAGAAAGGAAAGAAGGAAAGAAATGCTGGCTGGCTTAGCTCTCTTCTCTCCTGGCCTCTGTCTCTGTCTCTCTCTCTCTCACACACACACCCCTCTTTCTCAATCTGCTCTTATGAGAAATAATCCGGTTAAACCAGTCACAGTGGACACAGCCTTCTGCTCTGAGCTCTGAGTCTCCGTGCCTGGCCTCCCAGACAGCCCTGCAAGGAAGCATGGGGGGGCTTGGCATCTGGCCGTCCAGCCCGGGTGCTGCAGTGAGGGCCAGCCCCACAACATGAGCACCGCACGCTGGACACCATGGGGGCCGACAGCCTTAGGGAGGTTCACCAAGCCTGCACAGGGGAGAAGGAGCCGTGCTGTGGATGACTCAGGGTGGAAGGGCAGCAGTTTGAGAGGTAATGAGAAAACCCGGCTGCCTAAAACTGAGCCCCGAGATCACAGCAGCCGGCCTCAGGCATCCCTGTCTGCTCTCTGCCCTGCCTCCTCAAGCCCCCTCTTCCTCTCTCCTCTTCCCTGGAGTCCTCTCCAGGCTTATCCCCTGGGCAGGTGTCAGGGTGAGCCTGAGCCCCTGTCAGGAACCTGGGGGTGGGAGCCAGTCCTGCACACAGGCCCAGTGACTGCTCCGGGCTCACCTGGGGCCCTGCGGTGACCTGCCATGTGGGTTTCTTGAGTTCCGTCAGGGGCTTCCTCCTCCTTTTAGGCAGATACAGGTCTTTTTTGGGAAACCAGCATGTTCTACTAGCCACTCTCTCTTCCCACTCACCAGGGCTGGGGAAATGGAAAGACCTCGATTCCCATCTCCCCTGCAGCTCACACAGCAGGAAGTCACCATCCTGCGACCTCCCTACCTGGTGGCTCCCCGCACCCCCAGCGATCCCACCTGAACCAAGGGCAGCTCTCTCTTCCTTCTCTCTAGGGGGCCTCAGAACCCAGCCGGTGCCCTTTTTCTGGTTCCGCCAGCCCCTGGCTTCTGCTCACTGGAGAAGGAAAGGGGCCATCATGGGCAAAGCCCAGGTCCCGGAACCCTCTGCAAATAATGGGAGATGCCTGGGGATGGGGAGGCTCTAATTGGTCCAACAGCCTCCTCAGCCTGCCCTTGCACCTGTGAGGCCTCCGGGAAGCCCTGAGTGCCACGCTGTGCACCTGCCATGTGGCTTGCACTGAGGCAGGCATGTGGGCTGCGAGAAGCCTGGCTCACCTGATTCCCATCTTGCAGTCCATCACACAGGGCGAGTCGAAGTCGGCCAGCAGGTCGTCCATCTGGTTGTAGCGCTCCCCGTCCTTCACCACATCCCCATGGTAGGCAGGTACGAAGGGCCTCAGCACATCCACCATCAGCCGGTCCAGGCAGCGCTGCTCTGACTCACAGTGCTTCTTCAGGATCCTGCCATTGGCAGCTGCCTTGAAACTCCCTGGAGAGCAAGTGTAGAAGGTTCCTGGTCTCCGGCTGCAGGTAGCTGGCAGAGGCACCCTCCCCAGCACAGGGTCTGGGCCTCCCTGGGGATGGCTAAGCCTGGGGCTGAAGGTGTGTCTATGTCCCTGCTATGGACTGAGCACCTTAAGGGGAGTGGGTTCAAGACCTAGTCCCCACTCACTAACTGTAATTCTGAGCTGGTTCCCCAGCTTCCTTGACTCCAGACTCCTCCTCACCAGTGTTCCCTGCTGGAAGGGTACAGAGCTAGGTGAGAGACTGAGGTGCCACGACCCAGTCATTCCTTAGTGTTGCTATTTTCATCCTCACCTCCATCATCAGCCCTGCTTCTCGGCAACGAAGGTGTCTCCTGGCCTCAGTAGAGAAACCCTGATTGGACAGGATTCAGAGCCAAGGTGGGGAGATACAGCAGGCTGAGAAGCTGGGGGGCCTAAGGCTCAGCCCACCTGGGTGGCACTTCTTCTGAGCCAGACCAAGTAAGTATTCACACAGGCTGTCCATCCATGTGCCTTGAGTTGGGCCAGTGTGGCCAACGAGGTAAGCGAAATGCGGGACCTTGTGCTGGCCTGAGGAGGCTGGTGAAGTCACGAAGGCCAAGTCCACAGGCAGCCCCTGACATGTCTCCAGATGACAGTGCTTCCAGAGGGTCCTACATGTGGGCTAGATGGCTCTGGGGCCTCGGCTCCAGATGTCCCTTCTCCCCGGCACTGCCTGGACTCAGCTCCTAGCCACCTTCCTCCCAACACCGCACACCGCCCTGCAGTTATGGGGTGGCTTGGCCGCATCTTCCACCAGCTGCAGGCTCCCTCAGGGCAGAAACTACATCTCCATTAATGCCGCAACCCCCAGGACCATGGCAATTTAGGCACACAGTAGGTGCTCAATGAAGGGGTTAGCTTTGCCTCTTTGTCCAGGGTGACAAATGGCAGGTAAGCTATAAAGACTGATGGCTTCATCTGTCTTATTGAATACAACGGGAAGAGAGACAGAAAGAAAGAGACTGGAAGAGACAGAGATAAGAGCCAGAGACCGAGGGAGGGGAGGATGCATGTTTTGGAGGATGGGGTAACACAGACTCCAGAGAGGTCCGTTGTCTATGGCATTTACAAGGCATTGGTAAGGCCGCAGCCTGCAAGTGTGGCTGTGATTTCAGACTAGAAAGTCTTGGAGGGAACTTGCTCTGGAGCTTTGATCCCCAGAATGCAGCGTCCAGGGCACCTCCCCAGAGGGCTGAGCACCATGCTGGGAAAGTCTGGGAGAGCTGTGTCTACCTGCGTGTCCTGCCAGCTGGATCCAGGGGTACTTCTTCTTGAAGGACATGACGAAGGGAGACCAGTGCACCATGTTTTTTATCTTCCTCCATGATTTGCTCTAGAAACAAACAAACAAAAAGCTCTACATTAGAAAGACAACCACTAATTTCTGGTTAGGACAAATTCAAAGCAAAGGCCCTCATTGCCTGTGGCCACAAGATGGGAAGGGCCCTTGACGGGCTCTGAGGACCTTGCCACCACCATCACCTATGCGGCACATGGTGGGAGGTGGCTTTACCCCATTTAACAAACAGCCTGAGCAAAATGCTCAGGGGAACTCCCCTGTCCCAAGAGCAACGACCCCTCCAAGGAAGGCTGGAGAGGACACAACCACCCAGCCGCACCACATTAGTTCATATTCAATTCGTAGATGCGGAGGCACCAGAGGCACCTCTTGCCTGCGAGTGGTTTGAAGAGAGACTTTAAAGAAATTCCTCAGAACAGAACCTGCACCGATGGCTTCAGGTCACACAGGAGGGAGCAAGCCCACAGCTCTCTCCTCTGCACCGCGCTCCGCCCTCTCAGGATGTTTCTTCAGTGAAAACAGCCAGGACTGGGAGTGTGCATGTGTGTGTGCGTGTGTGTGCATGTGTGTGTGCATATGTGTGCATGAGTGTGTGCGTATGTGTGCATATGTGATATATGTGCATGTGTGCATGTGATTGTGTGCATGTGTGCATGAGTGTGTGTGCATGTGTGATATGTGCATGAGTGTGTGCGTATGTGTGCGTGTGTGTGCATGTGTGATATGTGCATGTATGTGCATATGTGTGCATCAGTGTGTGCATGCGTGATATGTGCATGTGTGTGATGTGTGCATGTGTGTGCATGCGTGTGTGATATGCACATATGTGTGCATGAGTGTGTGCGTGTGCATGTGTGTGCGTGCATGTGTGTTTGGGGAGAGCAGGCCCTTTGGGCAGAAAGGAGAACTAAGGTATATTGAGCATCTTATTTTATTTTCTCAATGAGCATGCAAGTCAATTCTTTTCTATTTCCATCTGGTGGAGCCTGAGCCTCAGAGAGGTAAATGACGAAGCTGGGATTTAAACATTCATTTATACAACTACTTGAAAATAAATAAAATTAATAAAATTCTTTTCTTCCCCAGCAAAAACAAACAAAACAAAACAAAAAAACAAAAAAAAAACATATTTTTAGAAAAAATATCCTTAAGTGAACTTTAATAAGAACAGGCTGCAGAGATGAAGATCAAGTGTCCCCAAAATACACCCGTCCTCAGGGGGGCGATGAGAACCTGAATGAGAAGCATTGTGAGTTCCTGAGAAAGTGGATCCTGGACCAGCTAAACCACGGAGAGCAGAAGCCATGTGGCTTGCAGAGGAGATGAGGGTGGTACTGCCTGACAGGGGGACACACTGAAGATGTGGTTCCCACTCCTTGCCCCGAAGCGCCCAGCTGCAGCCCTCAGGGGTCAGCGGCGGCTGCTGGGTCCCCAAGGTGAAGTCAAGGTGAAATCGGCCTCCTTTGTTTTTTCTCTCTTTGCTGAGACTCAGCCGCTTCTGTCATCAGGTTTTCAAGTTAAAATCTATTTAAGGAGAGGAATTCTTCCTTACTAAACCTGGTAATTCTTATCCCCATCCCAGAAACTCTCACCCCACCGCCAAGACCAATTCTATTCTTAAGAGAGGGCAGCGCCCCATGAGGCCATGTGACAAAAGGGCCGAGGCTTTACTGACAAGGATGTTTTTCCTAGATCCTTCTGATGGAGATCGCCAAAGAAGGCTAGAGCCAGCGGAGGCATTTCTTATCTAAGCACCCAGAAGGCTGCATAAACAATCAGGGCACACAATGCATGAGGGCAACAATGGAAAAACCTCATTACACAAGATGAGCCCAGCAGTGGCTCGTGGGGACGCCCCTGCTCAGGGGGAAGCCATTACGGTGGGTCCAGGGGGAGAGTGCACAGCCGGTCACCACCCGTGGGTCACATCCCTGCAGCAGAGCTCAGAGAGGACAGGGGCTGACAGGCTTCAGGGGTGGTGTGGGAGGAGGGGAGCCCAGAGTGTCTCAATCCAGGGCTCGCCCTAACCCATGCCATGTCCCTATCAGGGGAGAACACACATTGCACTGTTTCACAGTCCCTCCTGGGGCCTCAGTTTCCTGTGTCCGGTGAGGGACAGACAGCTGGTATACCAGGCTCCTTGGATGGATGGACACTCTAGGGCCCTGGAAAGTGACCTTCCCTCATCCCAACAGCAATGGCCCCTCCGAGGAAGACTAGAGAGGGCTACTCTCCCAGCTGCAGCGTGCCAGTTTATATTTTATGTATACAGGAGGAGGCAAATGAGCATGCATGGAGGAAGGGTCCCAGGACCCTAGAAGGCAGCTCACTGTGGAGAAGGAGGGAGCTTACGGAGGCTGCACCCACCAGAGACAGCTGGGGGCCAGACTCAGTGGAGAGAAAGAGAAGACTACAGCTGGCAGCGGGAGTGTGGGGACAAAGGCCCGGGGACTGGAACTGGGAGTGGTTGGGAACCAGACCTGCTATGGGCATGGGGGCTGCAGACAGAGGGAGATAGGTGAGCAGGCGAGGCCTCGGGAGAGCGTGGGGCGTTGAGGCAGGCCAACCTGGGCCCGAGTCCCGGCTCCCCTTTTCCTCCTCAATGACTGACCTTGAACAAGTTCTTAGTCCTTGTTTGTAAAAAGAGCGACACATAGATTCCCATTCTCCCAGGAGATAAAGCTGTCAGGAGATGTGGGTACCAGGGTGTCTGTGGGAGGGTCTTTAGCCCTCTGTGTTCAAGGAGGGGACCCAGGTGTCTCTGAAGTTACTTCAAGAATGGTCAGTCCTGTGCTAGGTGGAGTTGCTGGCCTAGGTTCTGAACAATAAAGACCTCGGAGCCTGGGGCAGGGTCATGCCCATCCTGTTGGGGTGCAGCTCTCCAGAGACCCACAAGACACAGTGAGCAGGGAGCCTGTGACCCAGGAAGGTGAACAGATGCTGGGCGAGACAGTGTGGCTTAGCCTCTGCAAGGCCATTTGAAGCTAAGAAACTTCCAGTTCTTGGACCTCTCCCAGAGGCTAAAGACCAGGGGTCTAGAAAGGAGGGGGTGCTCCAGGGTGGGGGTCTTCTGACAGTTCAAAGGATCCACAAGCCTCTCACATCGCTGAGCTCTGACCAAACCAGGCACCTTTACCGCTTGGCTCCCCTCTGCCCACACCTCCTCCATTTCTTCACCATGAAAATAGGTCCCACGTGGCCAAGGCCCTGAGAGTCCCCCAGTCCCAAGGCTGCTCTGCCTGGATGAGGGCCGTGGAATATTCCACTTGTGAGAATGCCATGCACTTGCACTGGAGACCTCTTTTCTCTCTGCCAGCAGCAGCACACAGGGTTTCCCCATGGTTTTTAAATAGCAGCACCCAGGCAGTGCCTAATGTCACTGCCAAGCAGTAAACAGAAAAAGCCATTTCCAGGTCCAGGCTGGGGGAAGGAGGGAAGGAGGGCTGCAGGGTGACCCCAACCACTCCAGCCTAGCCCCTAGGAGCAGAGATGAACTAAAGGATGGGAGGAGATTCCAGAGAATCAATGTCCTTGTGATGGTCGGGGAGACCACAGCATCTGCCTCAGGAACCAAATCCACTCCAGGCACACGCCGCTTTCCAGGAGCGGACAGGCTAACAGCCCTCCCTCCAAGCACTGGCTGGAGGAAGCCCCAGTCCTCAGAAATGGACTCCAGGCCTCATCCCCCAGATAAGACAGGTAACAAGGCAAGAAAGGAGGACAACCCAGAAGAATCCCACCCAGAGGGGTTTATCCCGTGCCCCTCCAGCCCTCCCTTGTGGGAGATATTCAAGAGTGAGCTCTCCACAGCAGCCTCTGTCTCTTCTCTGTCTGAAATCAGACCCCGTCCCAGGTCTCCAGCCTCTCAAGCCCAGCTCTAGGAAATACAAAAGTGGCCTTCAAATGCCTTGAACGTGGTGTGGCAAAGGGTACCTGGTCCCCTGCCCAGGGCAGAGCTGGCCACCTGCTCCTGCATCACCTCCCAGTCATCAGGGGAATCGAGACATCCCTTGTGGACACCTCCCGGAGTGCTCCCAAAGCTCCCTATGTGTGGCAGGTCCCTGCTGGCCTCCTGGGGCTGTGAGCCTCTCTTTGGCAGACCTGGGGCAGGTGGCCAGCTCTGCTGTGACCCTTACTTCCTCACACACAGATGTGGGGTCGGCCTAGCCAGTGGATGTGCTGGGTTTCTTCCTAAGCTGGCTGAGTAGTACTGTGCAGGGGGACTTGCTGCTGGCCGGCATTGCTTTTGTCATCTCTCGGGGAGATAGGAGGGCCCATTTCTGCAGGCGTGCACCAGTACCATGGCACGGTGTGTACACTCATACCTGTTACCACTTATGGGGCTCTCGCTATGTGACAGGCCCGGGTTAGAGAATTATGGCCTTGTTCCTATGTTCTAGTTAGGAGTGTTTTCTCCATTTTACAGATGAAAGAGTCTGAGGCTCAGCAAGTTACTTCTCCAAAGTCATCCCATTCTATGCCCTGCCAGTAGGTACCATGCACATGGGGAGCCTCTAGCCAGTTCACCCACTTCCGTGCCTATCAACGAGTGAGGGCCCACCTCCGAGTGCCCCTTCCAGTCTCGAGACAGCAGGATGAGGGGACAAGAGGCAGAAGACTGGGCAGGAAGGACAAGAGCAAGATTCCTCCAGGGCGGTTCCCCTGGACAGCCAGGGTGCCAGCCCAGTGAAGTTTTCTGGCTGCTCCGTTAGCAGAGGAGCCCAGGGCCCCTGGTGCCCCTAAAGCTGGCCACCGAAACCCCAGATACATCCCTCCCTGGGGCTGCTCAGGTGCCACTTCCGGTGCAGCTGTCAGATGACACAAGGTTTAAGCTCTCCCATGTGTCAGATCAGAGCAGCCAGACACTTCTAGACTCCGGATGGAGTTCTGCACTTGTGATGTTCTTGAGGACACTTCGGTGGAAAGGAAAGCACCACAACGCAGGGGTGCCCCTGGGTAGGTAAAGGGCAGTGGAGTGGGCTGGAGACACACGGCTTTTACTTTGATTCTGGGCAGGGTGGTTAAACCAACTGAAGACCAGGCATGAGGTCTTTCAGGTAACCCCCGGCCTCACAGGCTTGGATGCGAACCAGCTGGGGAACTCCCTAGGTGGCTGCACTCCTGGTTACAAGAGCACTGGTCTGAGCTTTGCTTAGCTGCTCCTCTGCAGGCAGGGTGGGCAGTGCCTGCTGCTGACATTTGTCACCCCTGCCTGTTGCAACCTGGACCCTGCTCTGTAAGAGAGTCTCGTGCTGAACTCCAGAAGCGCAGGGAAAGATGGAGCTTCAATTCACTCAGAGAAATGTGGAAAGAAAGGATCAGAAAACAGCCGGACCAGGGTGAGGGAGGGGTGGTGGTGGTGGGGAGGGGAGTGATTCTTTGAAACTCAAGAGAGGCCTGGAGACCTCTGGTGTGGTTTTGTCCCCTGGCACCCGACTTGAAAGAGCTAAAATATTCAGAGAATGTGGAGAGAGATTTGTAGTGGGAGGGAAAAAATCTGACAACAAAACCCCAACCATCTTTGCATTGGAGGAGACAGGAAGTCAGAGGCGAAGGGAGCTTGAGGAGCCGGCAGACAGCAGCCACATTCCCCTGCAACAGAGAGAAGCCTGCCCCAGCTCCCGATTCTGCTCCCCACGTCACCTGGGAGTAGGAAGCCCTCGCCTTGGGGAAGCTCAGGGCATGCCACATTTTGTCTCCCTTTTCCTCTTCCCCTTTTCCCAGAAGTTCCTGGTCTGAAGAGCAGATGGGAATCTACTCCCTGGGGGCCAAGGCCTACACAGAATGATCTCCTCCTGCTCAACACACAGAGCCATAAAACAGACCCAGGGTTCTGTGGCAGGTGGGTGTGGAGCCTTCCTGGGCAAGCAGTTACTCCTCCCCACCTCCAGCCCATCCTTGGAGCTGCCCCGAGCCAGTGGGGCTGCCTGGGGAGGGTCTGATTCTGTGTGTTTTTCTGGATCAAGTCCCAACCCTCCCGTGATGCTAACGGTTCCTGGGTGACGCCATCCTCCCCGGGTCCTTCCCATCAGGCATCCTCAGTCATGCTGTACGGAAACACTGCCTTCAACAAATCAGAGGGCAAACGGGCATAACCTCCAGGTCTAGCCTTTGTCGTTCATAAGGCAGGCAAAAAAGGACTGCTGGGGACAGGGGAAGAGGAGGAAGGAGGAAGAGGAAGAAGAGGAGAAGAGTGAAGAGGGGGAGGAGGAAGAGGAGGGAGGAGGGAGGAAGAAGAGGAGAGAGAAGGGAGAGCAGGAGGAGGGTACGAAGAGGAAAGAGGAGGAGGAAGAGGACAGGGAAGAGGAGAGAAGAAGGAAGAAGAGGAGGTGGGGAGGAGGGGAGGAGGAAGAGGAGGGCAGGAGGAAGAAGAGGGAGGAAGGAGGGGAAGGAGAGACCCAGGTTTACCCTACTCTAGGCTGTGGGGATGTGTGGGCCTCTGGCCACCCCACTTACAAAATGCTTTAGCTATCATCAGGATCATCTACATAACATGCAAAATGAAAATGAGGGGTCCCTTGTCCAAAATTCAGTAAGAATGTCATGATGGGGAAAGCAGAACTTCACCAAGCTCGGGGCCCTTCTCATGCCCTGTGACTGCTCAGCCAGGAAATGGGCCCTGCCTCCTGGGGAGGAAATGGCCCCCGTTAGGAGACAGCAGGTGACCCCAGGCCTGCAGGCCTCTGTGGCCTGCTCACAGCCAATGACCAGAGGCTCCTCAATCCTAGGGCAGGGGAGGGCTCAAGGCCACCGGCACCTGTGGCTCTCTTTTTGGGGCTCAGAGAAGTCCCCTGGAAAGGCCTGGCAGGAGCGGTGAGGATGCAACCAGACCTCAGCCTTCTGCATGTTGTTCAGAGTCTGGCCTTGCTTCCTGTCCCTGCAGTGCTGTCTGAGCCAGTCAGTGGCCACTTGCCCTGCCCAGCCCAGCCTTCTCCGCAGGAGGCCAAGCCACCCAGGGCCAGCACTGTCTGATCCTCAGCTCAGCCCACATGCCCCCTGGGGTCTGCTTCCTGTCTTCTTTCCAGCCAATTCCCGCCCCTCCAAACCAATGTTATATTTCTCAGTGCAATTTGGGGTGGGTAGAAGAAAGGGTTGTGACGCTGGGGGCAGACACTTGTATGTCGTGAGGACTGCAGGTCACTGGCAGCCCTGGTGACCCCCACTCCCATCCACACATGGCACCATCTGCAGCGCACCCGGGCTCATATTCTCTCAGGCCTGTGGAGTTCTGCAGGCAACTTCTTGCTCCACACACCTGTCCCCACGCCACCTTAGGCCCGCAAGGGTGTCAGCTTCTGCTATTAGGGACTTTGCAGAAGAATGACTGAGGATGCTCAGGACTTAGCTAACTCCTGTGTGTATTTTAAAATGCAACCCAGAAACCCTCTTCCCAGGAAGCCTTCCATTGCCCCTCCTGGGTGCTTCCAAAGAGCCCTGGGCACGCTTCCATCCCAGTTCTTCTCTTTAACACAAGAAAGGGACCTTGGTTTACCCTGGTGGGCGCTCAGAGACCCCCAGCAGGTTTCCTGAGTGCCTGGCTGGGCAGGTGCCAAGCCTCACAGCATCCAGGAGGAGGGAGATCAAACTCAGCAGGTGTGGGAGGGGCTGCACTTGCCCATCTGGAGCCCGGTCAGAGGCTGCTGAAGAAATTTCACATTCTGGGCAGGTGCGGGCTCCACTTCATTTCCTTATCAGGGCCCTGACATTCCTCTCCCGGAAGCCACAGCTGTGCTGGGACAACTTCAGAGAAGCAAGGAGGACTTCAGGAAGGCAGCTCCTTCCAGTCCCAGTGTACCCCAAGACAGCTGCCCTTCCTCCAGCCCCCTTCTTGCTGATTTGGCCAGGCCCATAGTGGTTTCACCACCTTGCAAATTAAGGGCTGAAGCAACATACATACTCCTCTCCCCCTCCATCAAGATTTTAAAAGGCAGCCCACGGAGTTGGATGTTGTTCTAGAAGGCAGGATGATGACGCAGAATGCAATTCAAGTGTAGAGGTTGGAACGAACCTTTGTTCTGCAGCCTTCCAGCTGCAGCATGGGCAAACCTCGGCGTACACTGGGCACGGCAGGTATCAATGCACACACCCTGCCCTCCCCATGCAGTCACCGTGAGAGCCTGAGCAGGTGACAGGCACAAACAGCTGCTCTGTAGACTGTCACAGACAGGCAAACCTTCCAGGCTCACTTTGGTTTTTTGCTTCTGTGTCTATTTTCTTAAATTGAAATGATTTTTTCCTCCAAGGCATAGCAGATTGGCAAGCATCCAACTAGGCACTTTCAGAGGGCCTGATCGTGGCCAGTGGTGATCAGATGAGGCTAACTGTGTGATTAATTGCTTACAAAGCTTCCCGTCCCATGCCCATCGCAGCTCCGGGAACTCATGGGGCAGTTCCTTAGGCCCCCAGATGTGTAACTTGGAAAGAGTCAGAGCCCAAGTGAGTCAATATCAGTTTCTGGTTCAAGTCACTGACGTTGCAAAAAGAAGAATGATTTCCCAAAGCATCTTATTTCATGTATGTGGAACTCTGCTAGGCACTGCCAAAGAAAGATATTTTCAAGGTGAATAATAAGATTGCTTGGCAAATTTCATTTTCTAGAGGGGGTTTACATTCTCTTCTTAGCCTCTTTTTCACCTGACTTGTTCCCTCAATTTGCTACTTTTTCCTCCAGCACTTCTCTTTTTATTTAAATAGTTTGATCACTTGGCTTTTATCTTTAGATAATCGTAAAGAAAGAGTCTCCCTTTGTTGTTGTTGTTGGGTAAAAGAGATGAGGGGAAATCTCTAAAATATCAGAAATGGGAAATGATCCCTGGACCCTCTAACACTCCGAAAACGGTATTGCCAGCCGAACTCTGCTGCGTGTGTGCAAAGAGATCACGTTACATGTCTAACATAGTGTTAGATACTAATAAGCTAATAGCTCAGGTAACTCTCACAACACTGATATTGTTGTCTCCATTTTGCAAATGATGAAACATGTTGAGAGGGGTTTAGTAACTTGCAAAAGGTCACACAGCTTCCAGGTTTGTGCCACTTAATTCCAAGGATTTTGTCTCAGCCAACAGGATTACTGGGCTCCCATCATCTCTCTCGGACCTGGGGCTATCTGCTTCCCCCCTATTTATAAAATAGCCTCACATAAACAGCAAGGGCTTTGTCAGAAGAGTGACCTTTCAGATGGGGGAGGCCTGAACAAAGGCCTACTCTCCCCTCCCTCCAAGTCTGTTCCCAGAACGTCCTTACTGACACACGCTCGGGGAAGGCACATCTAACAAAGCGTCGAAAGTGGATGAAGAACGCCCCTGCCAGGGGAGAATTTGTTCTGTGTCAAAGCCTTTGTTTTGCTCTTGCAAAAGTCTGAGTGAGAGTCATTGAGTTTTCCATGTTTGGAAAAAATCCTTTTTTCCTTCCTTCTTCATTTGGTCTTTCTAAAAAAGCAGTTAGGGTTTCCCTAGTGATCATTATTTCCTTCACTGGGGAAAAGCCTGGTGCTTCTCCTAGGCTGCAGAGTGGAGGCGGTGGCCAACTTTGTTCATTGTATTCCCCCTGGCAGGGCCCAGCTGGGTTGGCGGCAGCTGGGTACAAGCCCAGGCAGGTAGGGGCCCCTGGCTCAATAGCTCCCTCCTGTAGCCCTGGTTAGAAACCTGGCTGGGGCCAAAAGCGAAACCTGCCCCTGCCAAAAAGGAGCTGGGAGGGAAGGAGGGGAAGGGCTTTCAAAACCAAGACACCAAGGATCGGAAAAATTAAGCCCAAGGACTTGGCAGGACAGGTAGCTCCAGCTAAAAATAAAAGTCTGGATGTAAGACTAACTGCCTTTCCCCCTTTAACAAACAAGAAAATCCCCCTAAATGCCAAATGCAAAAGCACTTTCAGAAAAGACCCGAGTAAGGCTTTATTTCATCCCCCGTCTCCACCCGCCGTGTGATGTTCCCGCAGGCTGGATGGCACCGAACATCCTCCACAGCGCTGCTCACCAGGCACGAGGTTCTTCTCCCCCGCCCTTTATGGAACCCATGAGCGTAGGGTAGGGATTACTGAGCGCTGTCGGGTTGGTGAAGTCCCTCCTTCAGAAGCAACTGCTGGGCCTGGGGCAGGAGAACGAGGATGATGGGTCCTTACCAGCCCCTGCAGACCGGGACCCCCTGCAGGGGCTACACGAACCAGCTCAGTGAACTAGCTAGCTAAACTAGCTCCAGGTGAGCGCTCTGTCCCCTCCACACCCAATCAGGCTGCGAGGGCTGCCGGGTCCCTGGTTTGCAGTGCGTAGACCTGGTCGGGCTGAAGGCTGGAGCTCCCAACCTGGCTGACTCTTTTTGAGGGACGCCACCATGGTCAATCGACCCCTAGCAGCACATTCTGGCCAAAACCAGGAAAACCCTGAGTGACTGCCCAGCTGTCTCCTGATTAGCTGCCTTCTTCCTGTTGCAACTAGAGGCCTAGTTTCTAGGCCAAGGGCAGCACCCAGACTGGCACCCAGGGGCCCTCCATCATGGCCACTCTTCCTCTTCCACCATAAGCCCTAAACCCTGCCAAAGGAGGTTGCCCAAGGCCCAGACGGCAAGGACAGGGCTCCAGGAGCAGCCCAGGGCCTCACCAAGGCTCCCTGACCACCCATAAGAGGGAGCAGGGTCCCTCCGGGATACAGAGCCACCCCCAGATACGGCCCCACACTCACTCTCTGGCGTGCCCACTCCAATCCGTCAGGGCAAGCCATCCCATACCTGCCCCACCTCCAGGTCTGCTGTGCAGGTGCTCTGCCCAGAAAGCTCTCCCTCCTCCCTTCTGTGTATCCACATCCTACCTCTCCTTCCAGCAGATCCCCTGGAATCTGCAAGCTGGCCCTACCTTGTCCCTGAAGTCTCTCAGGCCACTCTAGCCCCACGCCACTCCTGGAATCCTCCCTGAAGCTGGAGGGAGATGCAGGATGTGGATACGCAGAAGGGAGGAGGGAGAGCTTCCCAGCAGGGCACCTGCACAGCAGACCTGCAGGTGGGGCAGGGAAGGGAAAGGAAGCTGGGGTGCTTCGTGATTCTTGTGTGCCATACCATGTCTCCCAGTGGCAGGAAGGCTCCTGGGGAACTGGGGATCTGTCCTAACCTTCTCTATGTCCCCCAGGCTGCACAGCCGGCAGGAATCCAATACTCCCGGCATCTGGCTGATAAGAGGACCCTGCGGACCCAGCACATGCTAAGGGCCCAGGCCTGGAAGATAAAGCACACCTACACCAAGGCTCACACTGCTTTATGTTCACCTGCTCACACCTGGATTTTTCTAGAGACTTCTCCAAGTAACAAGAGGGGGCATATTTGTGGGAATTTCCTGTTTGGTCTGCTTGGGTTTCTCTCCAGGACCCCACGGCTGGCAGCCTGGCTGGCCCCAGGCCCCAGGGGTCTTTTTCACTCAAGGGTTTGGAGGGCAACCTTTCACTCAGGTTAGTCACTGTTTGCTCACTCTCCCATCCCTCAATCTGTGATGCCCTTGCTGGCAGGCAGGGGACATCTCTTCGTGGGCATCCCCAGTATCCTGCAGGAGCCAGGGACACTGGAGACACCAGCAAAGAATGCTCTTCCTTAGCGACTCTTTCAGGTCTGCACTCCTTCCCTCATCCACACTCTATAGGAGCTGGCATCAAAGGGGCCTGCAATCTTGCTAAACCAGAGTCTTTTTTTGGTTACTCAAGAATCGAGGTGTCCTTCACCCAAAATGGAAATGTTCCTAACCCTCCCTATTGGGCAGGGCCCAGCAAATGCTCCATCTCTGGTGAGAAGGTCATTAACTTGGCTCTTCCCTCCTCCTCTCTCCTGGATTCCATCCTCTTAAGAACTAAAAATAATGAAGGGCTAGAGGAGAGAGGCGAGAGAGGAAGAAGGCACAGGAAATGCTGTGCTGAACAGAGGCCTCGCAGAGCTCACACCAGGGGCCTCGCAGAGCTCACACCAGGGGCCTCTCCAGGCCTCAAAGGCTGCTGGGCCCGGAGGCTAGGAGGGGACCAACAATAGGAGGAAACAGGGAGTGGCCAAAGGGGCTGGGGAAGAGCACGAGGCGGATGGGCAGCCTTTCGAGGCTGACTTCCTAATGGATAAAGCCCAGAGGACAGAAGGGCTCAGCCTTTCCTCTGGGAAAGGGCGCCTGGGCTCTGCCCAGCTGGTTAAGGGCCACCCCTGCAACACGCAGCAGATCCTCTCCCGCCCTGCGCTCATCCACTCCTCCCCAGAGATTTTATTTTTACTTTGGTAAATGCAAAACAACAAGGCCAAGTTACAGAGGGTGGAAATTTACCAAAGGCCTTCACTGATCGGCAGACAATTGGCACTGAAGTTCTGGAACCTCCGAGCACCCGCAGAGTCCATCTTGGGCCGCTCTCTCAGAGGCGCCAGCCAGGGGACTCAGCCCCATCTCCACCCCCAACACACCTTCTTGGGAACAGCTTCCTGGTCTGGGGAGCTAGAGTTGCTTAATCCTTCCTTTATAGCCCACAGAGAGGTAAGGCAGGGCAGGAGCGCAGCCCATAGCATGCGAGCTGTTCTAGTGCCAGTTCAAGAAATAGCTCGTGTGCTTACCAGAGCCAGACACAGGGCTGAGTATTTGCTATGTGTGTGTGATAAGAGTCTCTCAACCCATCACAGAGGTGCTGTCACTGTCCCACTTCACAGATGGGAACACTGAGGCACAGAGTCATGAGACAACTTGCCCAAGGTTCTGTACATGTGTAGTCAGGCAGGCTGGCTGCGGATCCAAGCTCTTCATCACTCTGCTGGGCTGCCTCATTTCCTGTCATGTGGAACAGGTAACATTATAGCCAGATAAACTGAGATTTAGATCCTGCCACTCCTGGCTGGTGGCACTAGGCAAGTTACCAAACCTCTCTGAGCTTCAGTTTCCTCATCTATAAAATGGAAATACCATGTATCCTAAAGTATTGTTTTCAGGGTTAAATTAAATTCTCTGTGTGCAGTGCCTGGTACATACACAAGAGCACTCAACAGAGGCAGATACATTTTGCATACCTCTCACGTATACTGTCTGGTCTGACCCCCTCAAGGTCAAGAGCCTATGGATCGGATGAACTGTATGGGAGACAGCTCTGTATGAGCCCAGCAGATGTTAGCAGTAGGGTCTGACCACCTCCTCTTCTATCCCTAATCCCAGCCTTGAATCCCACCTTTCCACAAGGAAAGGGCAGAAGGTGTAGGCCACAGCCAGGAGGAAGTGGATCCCCAATGAAAAGTCCTATTCCTTGACAGAAACAGAGTCTTTCTGGAACTCCAAAATGCCCAGGAGCTACTTTCTAGTCGGGTGTGAGAGGGAGTGCACGGACGATGAGGCAGCCTGGCAGGAGAGCCACTAGAGGCTCTCGTGTTTCCTGAAAATCCCCCCACCCAAACCTCCCCCAGGGACCTGGGATCTGAAATAAGTAACTCTGCCTGTTCCCCGGGAGACTGAGCTGAGCAACAGGGACACAGGCAGCTCTGCCAGGTGGCCACAAGTGGAAACAGACTTCTTCATCCCATGCTGGAGGATGACATTTACAAAGCCAGGAATCTAAAACGAAGTTTTCTGCAGAAAGTTCAAGAATCTAAAATGCCATCTTCTCTCCCCAAAGCTCTCCCAGGCACAGCCCTGCTAAAGGAAACACACTTACTTCTGTGTGAACAGCTCTTTAGTAACCCCTGGTTCTTTTTCAGAGATTCCTGAGATTGAAAAAACTTCAGGTTATACATTTTAAAACCTTAGGATACTACTGGATATAGTAGAAGGGACAAGATTTCCTCAACCTCCAATTGCTAAAAGTTTACCTCTCTAGGCCAAGAACATTAATGGACAAAACACTGCCTTTTAATTAGTTTCTGGGAATGCAAAAAAGACCTTGTAAGAGATTTGGTTAAGGGGGTCATCCTGGTCTAAATCCAAAGCCAGAGTTTTGGGAACTCCCACTTAAGGAATTTCCAACAAGGAAACTTTTGAGGGAGGACTTGAATACCACATGACGGCTTATAAGCAGTTATCAAGCTACACTGGTGCAATTCATATTTCTGACAGATTATGCTGATGTGCCTGTGGCTAAATGGCACTCAGCAAGTGAGAATGCAGACTCGCAGAGAGAACCAGAAACCCCAAGCTGCTTTCCAAAGAAGCATCTGCAGCCCTGCCCCAGCAGTGGCCAATGCGCAGCTCTGAATTCTGCTATGAGTCACCCAGCTTCCCTCTCCTGACCAGAGCTGTTCAGGGTAGAGACCCTGTGTCTCGGTTCAGCAGTCATGCATCTGTTCACGTGCAGACCTCTGGAAGCACAGGAAACGGGTTGCCAAAAAGGGACACCAGAGAACCCCCAAGTATGAGCAAGACTCATCAGCTCTCAGGGCTCAGCTGTCCCCCGGGTCATCTTGACGGTATGTGTGACGATATGTGTGATTTTCATAAACAGATTGACTCATCGCCCTTCCCCGTGCATCTCTGTCAACCAGGCCCTGCTAGTGGCAGTGGGTGCTTACTTAGCACTTTCCCCACGTGACAGGAGCCTCCCAGGGCCCCAGAAAGGCAGGCACCAGTCTCGCCTCCTATTACCAGAGCAGCAAACAGAGGCAAAGGTGCGCTCCTAGGTTTGTGTCCCAATCGGGGCAGACCTTGGGGTCTTGCCCAAACTCCTACCCTGGAAGCCTGCACGCCCTACTGCAGCCAGGTTCTCCCGCCCACCGGGAGCAGGGACACCCTGAAACTGTTTCCTTCACTTCTTGCTTTAGGCTACAATGATTCAACATTTCTTTCTTTTCTTTTTTTTTTATGAGACAGGGTCTTGTTCTGTCACCCAGGCTGGAGTGGAGTCAGTGGCGCAATCACGGCTCACCTACAGCCTTAACTTTCTGGGCTCAAGCAACCCAGCAATCCTCCTGCCTCAGCCTCCCTAGTAGCTGGGACTATATGCATATACCACCATGCCTGAATAATTTTTGTATTTTTTGGTAGAGATGGGGTTTTGCCGTGTTGCCCAGGCTGGTCTTGAAGTCCTGGACTTCAGGTGACCAAAGAAGTGATCCACCCCCCACGGCCTCTCAAAGTGCTGGGATTACAGGCGTGAGCCACCACGTCCAGGTTAACATGTCTTTTATATTGAGGTATTTTGCAGCAGCTTTTGGGATCATTACAGACAGCATGGGTTTTCACAAAGTGAGGTGAGGATCTCCTATGAGACAGGCAAAGAAGGGCTGCACCCCAGGTCCTTCCTGTCTTCTCCCTCAGATTTACAGAGAAGCAAAACCAAGAAACAGAGCATCGACATCCGTAGAGGCTGGTCCAGTTTTCTATCTAAGAGATCTTAAAGCTTGGCCCCCACAAAAGTCACTCTCTTGCCTGCACAGCTTACAGAAGGCTCCTGGTTCTCTTAGACTTGTTTCATCTCCTTCCTACTGAGTTAGAGGAAATGAAACATTATTGAGGGAATGCAAGCAGGTTATCTGAAAAATGTATTCTGGAATGATAGAGGCTGAAGAACGGGCTTAAATGACTTCTGGGAGTCCTTCCAGTCAGTGAGCCTGAACACAGGCATGAGAGAGGCACTTGGAGGAATGGTCTGCTTTGTGCAGTCAGGATTTAGGTCTCACTAAGCTTGGGGCCTCTAGGCTCAGGAGGCAGGAGCTGAACGAGAGCCCCTGACCATCTCCAAAGAGAGCAAACCTCCTTTGCAATGTCCATCTGCTGTGTGCCGGGCAGTACACGTATCGTGGTGGGACGAGGGGAGAGCCTTGGGGACTCTGTCCCAGGGAGAAGGACTCCAGACTCTCACAATGACCACGGCCTCTTGCAGGCTCAGCCCCTCCAAGGTCTCTGGGGAGAGCTCACATTTAGGAACTGTTAACATCATTTCTAGGGAACAGAACCAGCTGGCTGACTTATTCCCCTTAACTTTCAATGCTATTATTAGGGCACATCTGTCTCGGAGTGAAGTCACCAAGGAAAAACCCAGCTGAAGAAAATATTTTCAGGCAGTCGTCATTTGAATCTTCGGAAAAGGAAGCGAGCCGATAAACTGCCAAAGAGCCCCGGGATTCAAGGTGGCCAAAGAGGCGCATGGAAAGTATTTGCCTTGGGAATGTGGGCAGCTGAGCTATTTACACAGTGTGTGGCCAGCACGACGCAAATGGACCAGAAGCTCCTAGAACTGTTTCCTCTTCCCTTTCCTTTCCCCCTTTCCCTTAACAGGATAGCCAGCCAGCAGAGGCTCCCTGTAAACCTGAGTCAGGAGGAAAGGCCGTGGGTGAGTGACTAGCAGCCAGGTGATATAGGGCAGAGGCCAGCAGACTCACCTTGTTTGGCTACATTTTTTTTCTAAATTAGTTGCTAACATTTAAAAATCAGATTCCACACAAAAATCCGAATTCCCAACTTCTCTTTGAAATCCTGGGCCTGTAATCCCGGACAGCGGCCCCTGCCTGGGGCTGAGCAGCAGCCACTTAAGATGGGACCTTCTCTTCCCCTGTCACTGGGTCCCGCTGACACAGGTCACCTGCCCGGCCCCTGGTGGCATTTGAGTTTGAGCCGCTGGATTTAGAGACAAAGGGGAAAGTGCTGAGGAAAGCCAAAGACCTCCACTGTAGTCTACTCACTGGCCATGTCAACGCGGGCAAGTCACCTACTTTGCTGAGCTGCTGTTTCTCCCTCTGCAAACAGAAATGAAAATGCACAGCAAGGCCTCATCCCCAAAACTGTAGGGAGGACTAGGTAGGAAAACACGGGACATGCTTGAAAACCTGAACACACACCATGCAAGTAAGATGTGGCCCTTCGGGTCTGAAAGATGAAATAGAACACCAAGACAAAACGGGCCTCTCTGATGAGATGAGTAGCGGAGGAAACGACAGATCACACAAAAGCTACCTCGGTGGTCACCGGCGGGGGCTGAGATGGAAGCCAGGATTTCTAAACCACCCAGCCCCACCAACCTGGCCCTGCCTGCGGTACCACCTCCCCACCCAGAGAAGTGGAACATCACTGTGGTCGTGGCTGAGCAGTACCTGACTCTGACCAACCTCTGCCTCTAATTAGTTACAACACAATTTAGAACCCGGGATGGTTGGCGTTTGGGACTTGCAGCCACGGCCCAGCCCAGGTGAGGCGAGGAGACACTCACGGAAGCACCTGTGGTGGGGCCAGGAGGAAGCCTAGCATCCTGGCAATGAAACTCAACACTCAAAATGCTAGGAGTAAATCACAGGGCACTGTGGCCTCTGGGGATTTCACAGTGTAGCGGCCAACTGCATTTTGAGGGGTGACCCAAAAGCTCCTGGCCATCTGCGGTCTTCCCCACCAGCCTGCCTAAAAATGAAAGAAATGACAGACATGACCGCAGAGGGCTACCAATGGGCTTCTCAGAAGATAAAGAGAGGTTTAAATGATAAAGGCATCAGTCCTATATCTGCCCCAAAGCCCTCCTTAAGGCCACATGTGGAGAGCGAGCAGCTGTGATACCAGAAGGGAGCACATGGCACGGTGGGATCTGGTGCCTGTCGTGGCAGCAATGACTCAGGCCACCCAATCAGGGCAAGACTCAGCAAGGTCTGCCAGCTCCCATCAAGCCAGAGGCGCTCAGAGGGAGAAGCTGTAAGTGCTTGCTGCTCTCAGGAGCAAGAGGTCATCTTGCTTCTTACCAGCTCCTTACCAAGGCATCATATGTGACGGACATGGCTCCCTGGTGTCCAGGGGCTCCAGGGGCTCTGGGAAGATAGAGCATGTGCAGCGTCATGCCCCAGCACACTGACCCCACAGATCTAATGGGACCATGCTGAACATATGAGGATCACAAATTCCATGGGAGACCCTAAGATCTACCCTCAGGGACAGCTAAGGCGATTCTGGAACAGGGCTGCCAAAACAGCCAGTCAATCACTAAAGTTCCTAATTTACCACCCTGACAACTCTCCCTACGGCTAGCACCCCTTGCTCTTCCTATCTCTCCAGGATCACAACAGCCTGTCCTGCCTTGGGTGTGCCTTCCTGCAACCCACTCTCCACTCATCAGCCTTGCAGATCTTTCTAAAACATCAATCTGATCATGCCAATTTCATCATGTCCCTCCCCTGCTTTAAACCTTCTGTGGCTTCCCTAAAGCCTGCAGGACAAAGACCACAGACCACACATGGACTCTCAAGGGCTCTCGCCTCTCCCCACCAATGCGTCCCTTCACTCCCTGGGCTGTTGCAAAACTGATCTGGTTGTGTTTGCCAACACACACCACACTGCTTCATGCTCCTGAACCTTTTGTGCTGGCCCCTCTGGCTGGAAGACCCTTCCCCTAACCTACCGAGAGAACTCTTCTTCATTCTTTACCATGCGCAATTATCACCTCCTCTTTGCACTTTTTGCCCAATGCACTCAAAAAGGCTAATCGCTTCTCCCCTATACCTCACACACGCATCTGCTTCTCTGCTGAGAGGACATTCACGTGATCTGGTGATGACATGAGTGTTACCCCCACTAGAGTGAGCATTCCTTGAGGACTGGAAATGGCCAGTTCATTGCTGAACCCCTAGGCCCTACCTGGCACACTGCTTTCCCAGAGTTGGGAATCGATAAATATAGGCTAACATAAACATGTGGGAACCCCGCCAAGACCCAAGAGTCTGGTTGAGAAAGCGGAAGAGTGCTCAGAATGCCTAGCCCTTACTGTGGGGTCTGGCTTAAGGGCGGGGTTTCTGAAGCAGAAAGGTAAGTTAAGTAAGGGTTGCCTCACACCCAGAGGCCAAGAACCAGAGGCAGCAGCATCCAGACTCAGTGAGGTCCCACAACCAGGGCCAGCCCATCAGGGAGAGAGGCAAACAAGAGGAGCTCTGGAACCAGGACCCAGGCAGGTAACCTGGGCTGGCTCCTGGACTCCTTTGTCCAATCAGACCACCCACATTTTCTGACATCAGTGCTGTCCCTGGATGCACTGGGCACAGCTGTGAGTGCTTTCTCCTGCAGATCTGGGATAGGGCTACAGGAATTCAGAAGAGGAAGCTATTACTTTGGGAGAAAAAGGGAAAAAATTAAAAATTAAGGAAGCTTCATGGAAAAGGTGACATTTAAGCTAAGTCTTAAAAAGATGAGGAAAATGTGTGTGTGTGTGTGTGTGTGTGTGTGCGCGCGCGCGTGCGAAGTGGAGGTTGGTATTTCAGGATTGAGAAAAGCATAAGCAAAAGCCTAGAAGCAAAAAAGCACCAACAGCACAGCCAACAGCACAGCCAACAGCACAGCCAACAGCTTGGCTCAGCTCAGCACTAAGGGCCTGGCACGGAGCAGTTTGCCCCAGAGGGAGGCAAAAAGAGGGAAAATTGTCTGTAAGGAATTTAAAACAATACTGAAACTGATGGGCTTTTTACCATGACCATGAGCTGGCGATTCTGATTTAAACATAATCCAACACCTCCCCCAACAACCTTTTGTCTAATTCTGAACAATTGCTGCATTATTCTTGACTTTTAATAATATATGTAAGCTTCAAATTCACACAGACTAATTACCTTTTCATAAACATTACATTCTCTATGGAAGTTAATTCAAATAACTCATATTAATAGTTGCAAAGCCAGCCCCTGACACCCGTGGACTCAGCTACCCATGTTTCAAGAGCAAGTTCACAGGATTCGGTATCAGTGGCACTCACTTTGGGGTGGCTCGTCCCCCGAGTCCTGTGGTACGATGTGTTCCTAAGCTTGAAGACCAGACCAAAAATAAAGGCTGGAAGCACAGTCATTGTAAAGACAAAGAAATAGAACCTGGGCTATTCCATCCTCTCATTCTACCAGACCACTTGGGAGTTTCTATTTATGTTTCTGACTTTTCAACAATGAGATGTTAATCAATCCTGAAGAACTGAAGAACAGGACTTTGTTGCAATGTCTGGAATTTACTGTGAAATGGGATTGTTGTGAATTTCTGCCAAATTTTATGTTTAAGATTTATCCTATTTGTATATCTGCTGTTTCAACCAAAAGAAATTTTTCAAAATTAACAGGAATAAAAAGTGCTCTGCGACCAGCTTTGAGGGAAGATAGACCAACAAATGCGGCTTTGTCTATTGATCATGATGAATAGGGAAAGATCAGTATTTACGAAGTCTGATCAATTTACAGAAGACTCAAAACCAGAAACTATAGTTTTTATTCATTACTGCTACAGACCACTATGAAAGTGTAACCTTTCCCCTTTTTCAAAATAAGCATTAGCGTCATTAAATTCATTACTCCCTGCCCCCCTTTTTTTATTGCTGGCATCATATACACAAAATTCAATAATAGAAATGTTTAACTGTCTGAAATTATTTTCTGGCCATTATCATCATCATTATTATTTATTTCTTAATTATTGAAATAATTTTGTTACTATAGAAGAGGGGAGTATTTTAAAAAATCTACTCCTGAGCTGGGCATGGTGGCTCACGCCTGTAATCCCAACACTTTGGGAGGCCGAGGCGGGTGGATCACCTGAGGTCAGGAGTTCGAGACCAGCCTGGCCAACATGGTGAAACTCCGTCTCTAGTAAAAATACAAAAATTAGCCGGGCGTGGTGGCGGGCGCCTGGGCTGAGGCTGGAGAATCGCTTGAACCCAGGAGGCGGAGGTTGCAGTGAGCGGAGATCGCGCCATTGAATTCTAGCCTGGGCAACAAGAGCGAAACTCTGTCTCAAAAAAAAAAAAAAATGTACTCCTGGTGTAAAATATGCTAGATGCACCACTGATTCAGCTTCCCAACAAGAAGGTCCTAAGAGAACAGAAGGTGAGTCTTCTGGAATAACAAAGCCAACATCACCACAGGCCTCAACTGCCAGGCTAATGAACTTGGACTACTGTCTCTAGGTAAATAACAGAGAAAATTACCAAGAACTATGACTATCCAAAACGTGAAAACTCAAAGTATCAAAAGCAAAGACACCTGCAAACCAAAGCAGAAGTCAAATAAACTGCAGAAAATATTTTACAAAATAAAGTATGCTTGAAGGGTTAAGTTTTATATACAAAGAACTCAAACAAATGGGTAAAAACAATCTCAGGTGCCAGTAGATAACCTGGCAACATACATATAATTCAACATACATATAATGAAATAATAATATATGTTTGCCTATTAGCAACAAAAAAAATGTTTTTTTGGTTTGTTTTTTTTTTGTTTTTGTTTTTCTGAGATGTTGTCTCGAACTGTCGCCCAGGCTGGAGTGCAGCTGCACAATCCCAGCTCACTGCAACCTCCGCCTCCAGGGGTCAAGCAATTCTCCTGCCTCAACCTCCTGAGTAGCCTGGACTAGAAGATGCACGCCACCATGCCTGGCTAATTTTTGTATTTTTAGTAGAGATGGGGTTTCACTACTTGCCTCAGCTGGTCTCGAACCCCTGACCTCAAGTGATCCGCCTGCCTCGCCCTCCCAAAATGCTGGGATTACAGGCGTGAGCCACCAAGCTCCGCCGCAAAAAAAAAAAAAAAAAAAAAAAAAAAAATTTCAATAGTGAATCCTAGTGTTGGTGAGGAGGAGAGTAAGGTGTGATACATGCCAACCCACTGCTGGGAGGCATCCCCAAGACACATGACCTTTTGGGAAAGCAGCCCAGGAATATTCTGCAAGGGCCATAAAAATGTTTCAACCTTTCAGTTATTTATTTTACCTCTGGAAATCTACTTAAGGAAATACTCCAAAAAACGGAAAAAGTTACATGCACCAAGATGTTAATTATGCCATTGTTTCTAATAACAATAGTAGTGAAAATAGCCCAACTTCCAACAACAGAGGATGATTAAACAAATTAGAGGCACATCCTTGGGATGGATCGTTCAGTCCTTAACTATCAGGGTTAAGAAAGAAACGTGGAAAATGTTGCTATAAGATTAAGGGGCAGGGAGCAGAATTAGCTACGGAAAATATACAGACTTAGGCTAAGAAGAAATATACCAATTTATAAGAGTAGTTGTACTAATACGCATTTCTGCACATTAACTTTATACTGGCTTTGATCAACGATTTAACCCTTTGCTCTCATTTCTCAGTTATTATATTCTATTGCACTACATGCATATTTGTAAGTATCCACAAATCTTTTGAATAAGGTAGAATACAAATTAACCAATTAATTAATAATGCATAGAATCAAGCTGTTTCATCATTATGATCGTAGGGTTATGATGATACCTATTCTTTTTATTTTCGAAATTTCTGTAGCCTGGTTAGTTTGCTTTTACAATGTAAAAAATATACAGAACACCAAATAAACAAGTAACATAAAGAAACTGCTACCATATCTTACACCTTCAGTGCTCCTTCCTATATTTGATCTGAGAACACAGCACTCTCCAAAATGTCCCTTCAGCTAAGGGAGAAATAGGGCTTTCTTCCTGTAGGTTCTGTGAGCTCAGGACTGAAAACTGTTCCCTGAATGGGTTGACTGCTCCGTGAAGACCCCAAGGATCTCTAGAAGCCCAGGAACATTAGTGGAGGACCATTCGGATGACAGACAGCAGCTAGACTCCTAGGGTGGAGGCGCCTTCCCAATATTCAAACAACATGGGTAAGAACAGGATCAGAAAAGAGACTGATGTGGGAAACCCTTCCACAAAGAACAGATCAAAGGAGTGAGCCCCTGAGGGCAGGGACCGTGGAATCCATCTTTGTACTCCTTGCTACAAATGTGATGCCAAGTAAAAGAACCCAATAAATGCTGTTGCTAATGGATTCACGCATGCATGCACACATGCATTCACTGTTGGACAAATATTTACAGATGTGCCACTGTTCTAGCCGCAGGTGATTTAGCAGTGAACACAACGAAGTCCCTATCCTTAAAGCAGCTTACATTCTAAGTGGGGACAGGCAGATGATAAACAAATA
Organism: Homo sapiens; assembly: GCF_000001405.40. Taxonomy (NCBI): domain Eukaryota; kingdom Metazoa; phylum Chordata; class Mammalia; order Primates; family Hominidae; genus Homo; species Homo sapiens. The sequence goes on from NC_000001.11 coordinate 226,671,587, forward strand.
AAGACATATTGCATCAGGCAGCTATGAGCATCCTGAAGATAAATAAAGCCAGGTAGGGGAAAAGGGAGAACCCCAGGGAGGCGGGGAGAGGGGTGTGCTGGCTTAGTTGGCCATGGTCTTTCTGCAGGAAGTGAGGGGCTGAGCCATACACAGGCAGAGGGTATGGCACTGCAGACAGAGGGAGCGGTCAAGTGCACAGGCTTTGAGACAGGTGTGTGGGCAGCTTCAAAGGCCAGCAGGAACAGCAAAGTGGCTGGAACAGAGTAAACAAAGAGGAGAATATATCACATATGAGGTCAGTTCTTGCAGAGTTTTTTAGGCTGTTCTTAGGACTTCGGATTTTATGTCAGTGAGATAGGAAGCTGCTGGAGGGTTTTGAGTGAGGAGTGTCATAGTCTGGCTTATGTTCTAAAAGGCTCACGCTGCTTCTGTGTGTACACCTGGGGAACAGAAAGCAGGCGAGAAAGGGTGAAAACAAGAAAGATCCATTTTGAAGCTGCTGTAATTGTCCAAGTGAGAGAGGAAGATGGATTTTTTTAAAACTCTCCATTTTAGACTGAGAAATAAAAATTTTTTATCTGAGAATCCAAGCCCCCTTTAATTATCAAACCCAGAGAGGCACCGAAATGTGACAGCGTGTGACAGCGATCACGTCTCACTCCCCGCCTGAGCTAAATAATCACCTCTTGAAGCCACTTGCTATGTGGGCTCAAGACTAACTGATGCTAAGTAGCCATAAAATGACATATGCTTGACACCATCACTCGTACTCCATAGTTCAACAGTGTAGAGCAATCACTATCCAATGTTATCTCTGTAAACCAGGGAGGATTCCTGTCAAACAACTTTGTATCAGCCCACTTCCTTGTTCCTTTTGCCTTTGAAAACCTGCTTGTAACAAAGGCCAAACAGAGCACTCCCCAAGGCAACTTGGAAGTGTGTCCTGGGCAGCTGTCCTCCACCTTGGCTCAGATATTAGGTCGACAAGACCACGGCTGTCTTTCGGTGTGAGGCATATGGCTTCTTCTCACTCCCACTCTAACCTGGAGCTGCAATCCCTGCTGAAAGAATTGCCCTCTAAAGGCCTAAGGATCTCAGCAACAGGGAAGTGGGAGGAATCTTCATGCCAGAGATAAAGAGCTGGTCCATGGGCATGTGTGGGAAGCACTGGGGTAGGGCGAAGAAATCTATCTCCTGGGAGGTGTTATCACTACATAAATCCCAGATTTGATCAGGCAATGTAGCCATCTCACTATTTCAGGCTGCAGCTGCTAAGACAGGTGTGAAGTGGGCAGACAAACAGGAAGAAGGTCCCAGGTGGAGAACCTGCATTTGGCTTCTGTACCCCAATTCCAGTAATTAACAAAGCAAAAACCTGCCACACTGTGAATGATGGCCCTTCCCAACCAGAATCCTGTTTCTGACAAGTGGTGAAGACACTCTAAAATGCACCGAGTGTATGACAAGGACAATCTTCTGGATATTCCCATTTAAACAGGGATGGGCCGGATGCAGTAGCTCATGCCTGTAATCCCAACACTTTGGGAGGCTGAGGCAGGAGGACTGCTTGAGGCCAGGAGTTCAAGACCAGCCTGGGCAACATGGTGAGACCCCTTGTCTCTATAAAAAACACAAAAATTAGCCAGGTGTGGTGGCGCGCACCTGTGGTCCCAGCTACTCGGGAGGCTGAGGCAGGAGGATTGCTTGAACACAGGGGTAGAGGCTGCCATGTTCGTGCCACTGCACTCCAGCCTGGGTGACAGAGCATGACCCTGTCTCAAAAAACAATAAATAAAATAAAACAGGGATGAACTGGAGAAACTGTGAAGGTATAGGTGCTGTCTTGCTTAGGGGTGGGGATGATTTACGGAAGGCTAACACAAGGGCCTTGGTTAGTCTAAAGATAATCACGGCAACTAGGTGGTGGTACCAGGAACTAGTCCACCAAATCCCAACCTGCAGCCAAAAAGTCTCAACTCTCACCTATAAAGGGATCCTTCTAAATTCTCTAGATGTATGGAAATCTTTGACAGGTCTTCTGAAGCCTAGAGTCATCGTATAAACATAGATAAATAGTGTAGATATTGCATAGCTATAGATTGATATGTACATATACCATATACATTAGATATATGCTATATATTTACACTTCTTGGCCTTTCGGCTTTATTATCTATCTCCACAAAGTAGGACAAGACAAGCTTGTTTCCCATTTAAGTTTTTCTATCTGTACTGTTTTGCAAATCCACCAGAGAGTTGCAGGACACTCCTGCTACAGAAAGATTTCTGCCAGGCAGGCTCAGAGACCTGCTCTGTTACTGTTCTATTTAATAACACAAACACACAAATGGGGGCCTTTCTTCCCCATGACTTTCATGGCATGGCTGGGGGCAGAGCTGGGAGGTTTTCACGGCCCATATATCCTCAAACTGCTCCATTTCCCCCCGATCTCAGTTGCCACCCCACTAACTCCGGGGTGATCAGCTCCATACCACAATCATCTCCTGGTGATAGAGTTCCATGGATTTTAAAAGCTGTAAGAAAAACTGAGACAGATTCAGAAGAGATTCTAGTAACCCCAAACCAGCAATTACAAATATTTTTTAAGTATTTATATATACACATTTTTTTTTGAGACAGAGTCTCACTGTTGCCCAGGCTGGAGGGCAGTGGCACCATCTCGGCTCACTGCAACCTCCAACTCCCAGGTTCAAACCAATCTCCTGCCTCAGCCTCCGAGTAGCTGGGATTACAGGCACCTGCCACCACACTTGGCTGATTTTTGTAGTTTTAGTAGAGATGGGGTTTCACCATCTTGGCCAGGCTAGTTTTGAACTCCTGACCTCGTGATCCACCCACCTCAGCCTCCCATAGTGCTGGAATTACAGGCGTGAGCCACTGTGCCTGGCCTAATTTTTGTATTTTTAGTTAGAGACGGGGTTTCACTATGTTGGCCAGGCTGGTCTCGAACTTCTGACCTCAGGTGATCTGCCCGCCTTGGCCTCCCAAAGTGCTGGGATTAAAGGAGTGAGCCACCACACCCAGCCACAAGTTTTAGATACTTAAAATACTTTTAAGTATCTAAAATTAGCACCTCTCTTTAAACCTTTTACTCACCCTTTCCTGACCCTTTCCTTGTATCCCCCATTCCCTTTCGATTTCTTCACCATCCCTATTTGCCTCCTTTTCCTCACTATCTACCCACCAAGTCCTGCTCTGCTCCCATCCCACTTAAGATTTTCGTGTCTATTCTGTATCACCCTTAATGATCCACTGAGGCTGTGAGCTTCCTGTTTACCCACAAGCGTTCAGCGGATCCAGCCATCCTACCAAGGGTTAAAGATGCTGTAGTCCTACTGTGCTGCCTCCGACCCAGTTCCTTCCAAAACAAAGCAGGATGACAAGGTGACTCCACGAGAACTGCGTTTGACCTCTGTGTGGGTTTTCTGTTTCCAAGGCCACAGCAGGGTACTCTGAAAACTCTAAACCAGAAGGAAAGGAGACCTAGCCTTCAGAACTCTGTGTGTATGTGCTTACAGGCAAAAAAAAAAAAAAAAAAAAAAAAAGGAACCAATGAGGTTGTCAGAAGGGGATACTCTGCTGTAACTGGTGTTTACCACGACCCACCGGGTGCTGAGGAGGAAGTGGTTGCTATAACCCCAAGGGGGAAACGCTCGCTTGAAACAGGAAAATAGAACTCTTACAACTTTCCATTAGCAGCGTTCAAGAAGCCGGCCACACTGGGAAACACTTGCACAAGCACTCCCCAGAGTCCTGAGACGAGTGTCAAGACAGTCCAATCACGAAGCACAGATCAGGACACAGATACAGGTCCATGTTTTTTCCAGAACGTCTCAGCACTGGAAAAACTCTCATGATCACTTCCCTTACCTCCAGCAGGCTGAACTTGCAAGGAGCTGTGGGGAGGAGGAAGGAAGGGGAAAATGGCAGGATGACATATTGGAAAGAACGCTGGGCCCAGTGAGGGTCAGAAGACCTGGGCTTTAGTCCCAGTTCTGCGATTTACTAGTGGTGGAACTTTGGGCAAATTACCCAACCTTCCTGCTTCTCGATTTCTACTTCCTCTATAAAACAGGGATATTGTTTACTGCTCTGCTCACATCCTTGGGCTGCTGTGAGAATCCTATGGAATCCTTCATAGGATGAAACTCGTATGTGCTACGCAAATGCTTGTTATCAATGTAAGATTCGAGTCTGCATAAAGCCTTCTTGAGTCCCAGCCTCTTGCTCCTCAAACGCATCCTCTCGGCTACACTTCCACCTGTGCACTTCCTCAACCCACCTTACTTGTAATTCTGCCCACACTTCTGTAGAATTTCTGTAGAAGATCCCATAGTCTGGTCAGAGGAGTATAAGCAAGTCTAAATAACCAAAGTGGGGGGATCTCAACCAAATCATTTGACTCTGGGCTCTGTGCTCCCACATTCTCTCCTCTCCAGAGGTGAAGACTTCATCCTCAATGGCTAATTTGCCTGCTTGGAGGCTCAGATTGGCCCGTGTTCTGAGTCATATTTTCCATTTAGTAAAATGAACATCTGGCTGCTGTATGATGCCTTTTGTGTACCATCACCTAAGCCACAATTACCTGCAAGGTAATTCATACCACTACAGCACGGTGCAAAAACAGGGTTGGTTTGGGATGGTGAAAGTCAGCCATCTTAGTGTCAATCTTGCATGCAAATTCTAATGAAGAAAAGCCACTACCAGCAGGTCCACACACACTCACAAAGAACTCATAAATTATTTTAATCCAAGCGTTCAAAGGGATCCTGGGTCCCAGGAACCATCCTGCTGTTTCATCTCAGTGAGAGGCAAGATGGTTAAGGAAAAACAGCTCTAGTTTCCTCCATCCCCCCAATTCCCCTACCGGTGTGACCTTGACTAGGCCACCCAACCTTCTAAAAACCTTGGCTTCCTCATCTGCAAAATAGGGATAATAACAAGACATGCCCTTCCCGGCTCCCAGGGTTATTATGGCAACCAAGTGAGAAAACAGATGTGAAAGTGCTTTGCAAACCACAAAACACCGTCCAAGTGTGAGGTATTGTTATCTAGCAAAAGTGCCTTGAGAATAACACAGAAATCTGGAAGTATTTTAATTCGTTAATGGACTTATACCACACCTTGACTTAAAAAGGACGTAGGGTAACTGCCTGGAGGAATTCTGAAATAATTTCTAAATAAGTTTATCCAAGCAAGTTGCCAAAACAATCCACTGAATTGGGTAGTAGGCTTTTGGATAATAGGAAAACTGCAGATCGCTGTTCTTTATTCTTATTTCACCTTTTGAGCTCTAAAAAGAACTGGAAGGACCATATTGTGTTGTCTTTTACGCAAGAACTAAACAGTCTCTTTGTACCCTCCACACCCTCCCTATTCTCACTTCCATCCCCTGAGCACCTGGGAAGCAGCTCCTTCTCCAAACCTGCAAACCCTCCTCCCAGAGCCCAGGCTAGCTTGGAAGCCTGGAGCAATTTGAAACGCCGTCCTAAGATCTTGAGGCCAAAGGCATCCCCATCATCCTTCCAAGAGGGTGTTACCCCCAGGGACAGCAGGAGTTTCCAGAACACACAAAGACTTATTCTGCTCACAAGGATATTTACCGAATCAGCCCACAAGAATTTGCCAGGATCAGGGCAGAAGAACAGAGCTGGGACAGCCTTCTGATTCACTGCCTGGCAGATTCACCCTTCTCTATTATTAGCAACCCAGGCACGATGCCACCAGGGCTGGGGAGAGACCTTGGTGTCAGGGTAGAGAAGGCAGGAAGAGGTGTGTGTGCAGAGGGGGAAGTACACAGAGCTGCCTGAGGTTTCCTCCAGAGAGAGACAGCAGAGGGGTGGGTTAAAGCCTTCTCCCCTTCCTCCTTAGTTCTCTAACCTCCTGTGAATCTCAGACAAGCCCAGCCCCAGGATCAGAAGCCCTGGAACCCACATCCACCCTGAATATTGCTGGAGGTACTCCCTCTTCCCCTTAAGGGCCCAGCTCAGAGCTGCACAGCACTGCTTCTGCCGGATACCACTGGACTCTGGGCTGTGCCAGAGGCTGCAAGATGGAGAAGCAAAGAGAAACTGACGGGAAAGGTGGAGAATTTCTCTTCCCATGGCAAAAATGCAACTTACTGCAGCCCTAATGCACATGTGTTCCCTCCTCATAACAATGACTACCACTGAAAGAGCACCCATTACATACATCACAGGGCGTTCGCCTCCTGTTATAGGCAGGAAAACAACCATGTGGAGGCTCAGCAGGCTGCCCTGGAGAACGTGGCTAATGCTGATTGAGAGGGACAGGACTGAAGGAGGAGACGAGGAGCTTCACCTTCATGCATCTTGTATTATTTCACTTGTACAGGTATTTCGCGTGCATTATTTAACGTGCTATATCAAGCTTGTACAGGCATTACTTGAATACATTGAAAACCATGAAACGAAGGAATTAAAAAAAAGAAAGACATGTTGCCAGTCAATAGTAGAGTCTAGATTTGGATAGATTTGTCCAACTCCAGAATATACTCTCTGGCCACACCTCCACAATTTGTCCAAATACCAAACCAGGACATGGACGCTAACAAAGACTATTTTTCTAATGTTATTCATGTGAAGAATTTTACAAAATAACCAATAACCAAATAACATTTGGTTATTAAATATGATAAATGTGGCCTATGGAAAATAAAACGACACAAAATGAAAACTGGCTGCCATGCAAACTTAGGAGAGGGCAAAGGAGCCACAGTGACCCCAGACTTGCTTTCCCTAAAGGGGGAGGAAAATCAAATCCCCTGCAGATGGCTGCAGACCTCAAATAGAGTGCTGCCACTGAGGGCAGAGGCCGAGCCCCTGGAGCAGGCTGATTAGTCTAGTCTAGTGGTTAGGAACATGGTCTCTGGAGCCAGGCTGAGTGTGAATTCTGGCTCTGTTCTTCATAGCTGTGACTTCAGGCAAGCTTATCTGTGCCCCATTGGTTTCCTCACCTGTGAAATGAATTTGGGACACTGTGTAGATTAAAATGTAAAGTGTCTAGCACTAAACACTACCTAAGTGTTCATTATTATTATCATTATCAGTCCTGGCCAGAGAGAAAAAGGGAGAATTATCTATTCCAAAAGGAGCCAGGACTGGGATAAGGCTTTGGTGAGCTTTTTACGTGGTCTTGACAACGGTGTTCATGATAGGCTTATTCTAGGCCGCTCTCTGCTGTCAGGAAGGAGGTTTCCTGTGTGAAGAGAAGGCCTCCCAGGAAGTGACAATAGAGGTATCAATACTCCCAGCAAGAGAACCACAGGCCCAGAGTGGATGTCAGAAAGAGGGGCATCTCAGGGAGCACGCCTCTGCGGAGGGCTACTGATGAGGAAGAGACCACATGGTTGCCTAGAAGGCAGGCCTGCGGGGAAGCACTGACGCCAGCACTCAGGCTAGGGGAGTCCCTGGGGTCAACTTGTGCAGAGACTGGCGCTCATATCCCAAAGAACTGGGTGCCTCTCTAAGATAGAGCTCCCTGCCTCCCAGTATCTCTTCCTGCAGGTGTTTTGTTCCAATGGCTGACAGCGTCTATTCAGAATTCTTAAAAATGTCACTTTGTTTCCATCTGTAAAAAGGAATTAAAATGTACCAAAATTCCAAAGAAAATTGCCCCTTTTCAGATGTGGCTCCCTGTCTCCCCTCTTCCCTTTTCTGCTTTTGATCTTATTTAAAATCTCTGACCTAAAAGTGAACTCTGATATTCCATGCTCCTGGAGTTTTGGGAGGACCCTGACTTCAGAAGCAGAACTCTTTGAGTTCTTCTGGTTCCAGCTCTGCAGCTAATTTGGAAACCCCAAGAAAGTTGTGTCACTTCTGTCTCAGTCCAGAAAGTGGAAAGATTAACCACATAAACTCAAAAATACTATCTGGCTCTGAAATGCTGTGTTCTTGGGATAGTCTCAAAAAAGCTGAGTTGTGGGGACTAACCTAAGTCGATATTCTACCTCCCTTTTGAACTGATGTTGAAAGAAGAAAGACGATAAAAGAAGGTTTTCCTCATCAGTCATTCAAGACTATACTTAAAATTACATTTTGCAGAAATAAAAGCAGTATTTTTAATGTTAGGAAAAAGTCTAAAAGGGTGACTACGGGTGATTTTCATTTCTTTATAGTTTTCTGTATTTATCCAATGATCTGTAATGGACATGTCACAGTTTAAAACTCAACTTAAAGGTTATTGCTCTAAATTCGATTTTGCTGGGGAGAAGGTTAGGAGTCTGGCTTCTGAAAGCGTCCTTTTCACCAGTGAAACTGCCCTCACTCCCAACCCTGCAGCAAACCCGGGAAGAGTTAAAGCGCAGGCCAGGCGGAGAGGGCAGGGAGAAAAGGGAACTGCAAAAAGCCTCAACACCCAGTAGATTTCCTACTGCTGCTGACACTTTGGCCCAGCGTCTGCGCCTCCGACCAGCTTACGGAACCAACCACACCTCGATCCTAACACATCACCTGTGAGAGCAGGGTCAACTCTCCAGCGGCCTCAGATGGCCTCAAACTAAGCTTGGGGAGGGGTTTTCAACCCTGAAAGCCCAGAACTGAGCCTCCAGGCAGCGCAGCGCCCGCGACCACGTGAGCACGGACCCACCTCCCCAGCCTTTCCATGACGTGACTGCTGGGGCGGGGATGGGGCGGGGCACACCCAGCTGCCCAAATCAGCATGACCCCAAAAGAGCAAGCGAGTTCCTGAAATTCCTTGAGGTTTGAAAGACAGCTTAGAGATCCTAAGTCCCTTTTGGCAGAGAGGGGGGAGGTAGGGAAGCCTGAGGGCATCCCAGAACCAGCAGGAGGCACAGAAATGTGTCAGCTCTTTCCCCAAGAGAGGAGGCAATGCTGAATGTGTTAGGTAGGGTCCTTTTCCGGGACCAGCTGGTGAACCGATGTGAAGAGTCGGCTCTAATGATTACTTGTATTAAGTTATCCACGATTCTTATGAAAAAGGAAAGCAAATATCCCACAGTACAAGAAGGAAAGAAAAGGGGGCCCCAGGCTTTTCAGCAAGGGCGTTTGGAAAGAGATGGATATTGATGATAGGGACTTTTCAGAGACCAGGCTCAGCCCAGTTGGGATGCAACTCAGGAAAGTCAGATCGAGGGAACTAAACCAAGGTACTGTTGGCCAAGAGACATTTTAAACGCTTTTTCTCACCAGGATTCATAAAGCCCTTTTGCCTTGAAGCCCATAGGGCACAGGAGAGCTACCCTGTCCCTGGGACAAACGGGAAAATGTTCAGCCCCATCCTGGGTGAATGCAAGACCTCTGCCACCCCCAACACACACACCCTGTGACTACCCTAAGTGGATGTGTTCTTTCACGTTGCTAAGAAAAAGTCCGCAGCTATGAAGTGGTCAGCCTCTGAGGTCCAGTCATTGCCCTGACAAGACTTTGAGATGCATGCTCTCTGAAACTCCCCTCCCCTCACCTGGCAAAAATTATTCATGCCATCCTTGATAGCCTTTCAGCTGAGCGCCTTGGTCAGAAAACTAACCACCTGCCTCTTCTCACCATGTCAAACCCAGTCGTCTGGTGAGAAGACCTAACGTGGGGTGCTTCTCAGTCCACAGACAGTGTTGCTGGTTCCGAGGCCAGATTGTTCCTTTCTTCCTAGCCTGTGAATAACACTCCCACCTAGAACCAGCCCTTTTGCTCTTAAGGGGTTACACTTCATTTCCCTTTGATTTAGCCAGAAAGTTTACCATTGCAGACACCTCCATCTGTAAAATTGGGCAGAGAAGGCAGGGAAAGCAATTAATATGTGTTGAGTGTGTTCTCTGAGCCTACCATTATGCAAGACAGCTTGTGTGTCCATTCTCTAAGTTGGTCTTCACAACCACCCTGGCAAGGGCACAGAGTTGGTAAGTGCAGAAAATTTGATAAATCCAGAGCCCAAATCTAACCCAGGATTTCCCTATGCCAGGCTGCTTTCCTGCAATCGCCTGGGGCATACAGAAAAATACCTATATTGAGGTAAAAGGTTTGATTTAAAAATTAAATATAAACATTTTCTTTTAAAGCCCAATTTGCATATTTTTGCATTGTGCAGATTTGGATCTGTGCTTCATCCTCTCCCACCTGCAACAACATTTAAATGCCTCAGCCTGGGCACTAAAAAAGGGAGCAAATGCAGGTCTACTAGCTGGCCATGTTTTTGGCAACCCTGCAAAACAAAATTTCCAACTCTCCAGATGATACCCCTGCCTCCTCCAAAACAAATGCCTGTACTCCAGCATCTGTCACTCAGGAGTCCAAGCTGGGAGTTCAGACGCTGCTTATAAGCTCATAGGCTGAATGAGGGCATTACATAAAAAGGCTCAGAGCTATGTGGAAGCAGTGTAGAAGCAATGTCAGCAGTCCACCTAAAGGCCTGGCTGAAGAATTTCTCAGCCTCCTAAAGGATCCCCAGGCAGCTGCCACCATCTCATCTCCAGTAGTCAAAGGACCACCACTAGCTGAAGGCTGGGAGGGCAATGCAGTGGTCCTTGACCTTGGCTGCACATCAGTTATCACCTGGGAGTTTTACAACCATTGTTGCCTGGGTCCCCCCCCGCCCCGAGATTCTGGCTTAGTTGGTGTGGAGTGTAGTCTAGCACAGGGATTTATTTGTTAAGCTCCCACATGTTTCCAAAGTGCAGTCTTGGCAAGAACCACTGGACACCATTGGTCAAAGTGGCCCAAAAGAGCTAGGAAAATATAAATAACATTCAGCAGGTCATTCAGGGTTCTTGAGAACAGAGAATGACCGAAGGGACTTCTGTGTACTGGCAGTGCAAGGCAAGGTAGCAACATAGAGCAAAGGGTTTGGAGCAAAGCAAGCAGAAATTTGAGTCCTAGCTCCAGCATTTTGCCCACCATGTGACCTGGGTAAAGCCACTCATTCATTCTGAGCCTTAGTTTCCTCACCTGTAAAATGAGGCTGCTTCCCTTGCTGGACTGTGCTAGGAATTAGCTGCACTAGGGCATTGCCTGGCACATACAAGGTCTTCCATAAGTGACACTTATGATTGTTAATAAACAAATTACACCTGGGATTGACTGGTGTTTGGTATGAAGAGAGGCTGTGGGCTGACAGTACCCTTCAGAGGGGACCCCTTTAGTGAATGAGATTCAGACTTCCTTGGGGAGGAGCTGTGGAAGATAAAAGAAGCTGAAAGTGGTATAGGAGACAGGCAGGGCAGCCACTCCAGCATCTGGGGCACCTCCAGCCTTTGTTCTCCATCTCTAGTCCCTTTTTCTCTGCAAGTTGAGCCTCAGGAGGAGGTGTATATTTACAGGGAGAGTCTAGCTGTATTTGGCCACGTTCTACCTACCAAAGTGGGTAGCAATCAGACTGGATTGTGTCACCCTGGATTGTGTCATCCGAAGCAGCTCTGCCCAAGACAGGTCTGTCTGCCCACAGACTCACACCTGCCTTTTCCCTCCTACTTTACACCATGATGCTCTGAGGGAAGCCAGGCCCTAGAGGGGCAGCCAGCACTGCAACCTGTCACTGTGCTGTCCACGCTTGCATAAACCTGGGTGGAAGACACAGACCCTGGGAATGTGTGACAACTGTCCCAAGGCAGAGAGGGCTGGGGAATCCCAACTCTGCAACACCTCCCCCTTCGTGCTTTGAGCAGCCCAGCATAAAGGAACCCACTGCCTACATGATTCTTTCTCCTTTTCCTTTTCTCTCCTTTCTCCCCTAACACCTGTAGAGTTGATGGAGCTCTTTCTCATCCATTATTTCTTATGATGTTCAAAACAGCCCTGTGAGGCAGCTGACTGCAGGAACTAAGATGACCTGGATTCATCGGTAAGAAAACAGAGGCTCAGGCAGATGCCATGACTTGCTCCCAGTCACAGAACTCATCAGAAACAGGATTTGAACCCATGTATATGTACCAAGAACCCATTCTTCTCCACCATGCTATGCCCCATGACCGCCTACCCATGTCAAAGGCCCTCCTGCTTGCTGTGTAGTATAAGACATCTGTGAAGTGGAGACGGTGGCGGGGGAAGGGGAGTGTAGACATGCAACTAATCTAAGCTCTAGCTGAACTCAGAGTCCCCCCGACTTGATGCTCCATTCTAAAACTGAGTTTGAGCAACACATCATTCCCTCTTTTCTATGCCTCTCTCCTTTCTTCATCTGAGAAAATGGCAAAGCCAGCTACCCAAGGACAGGCTGGAGGAGGACTCAAAATCAACCACCAAACATCTTACAACATCTGTGCCTCAGAACACAGCTTTCATCTTACCAAACTTCACTTTAAAGAAATGAAGGTACCACAAGGTACCTTCATTACAAAGAGATTTTGTTCAATTGCTGGGCCAAAGTGGGAAATATTAAATTCCAGTCAAAGAAGGTATGGATATCCTGCTAATTCCCTGAGGCATGTTCCATACTGACAAACCATCTGACTTTCTGAGTGTCAGGGAAATTTCCAATCCAAAGAGTAAATGAACTTCCGTGAGTAGAAAAATAGCCTCTTCACAGCACCCGATTCTCTCCCACCAAGAATTCTCTCTCACCTTTCGCATGCAGTACTGACGTTGGGGCCATTAGGAACAAAACGAAGGGGAAGGAAATGGCACCAGTCCAGGTGTTACCAGACGGATATGTGAAAGCAAGTGTAGAATCACCCCCAAGAAACTCAAAGTAGGAGAAGCACTTGCTCATCTGTTACCAGATACTCACTGTCCAGCTGGCCAGCCTAGTGCATGCTTCCAGAAGGAGACCAGCACCAGCCAGGGAGCAGAGCAGTCAACCTGTGCACCCCACCATCCTCCCTCGAAAGCCTGCATGGAAGGCCTGCATTTGGATTCACAGAGCAGCCATTCTTTCAATGAGCATAGCAGAGCAGGATAGAGCAACACTTTTTTTTTCTTTAACCAGGGAAGGGGACCCACAGAGGCAGTACATACAAACCTGAAATCAGACTTGTTCTAGAACTGGGGTCTCTTAAAAGCCCTTCTTCTCAGGCACAGGGTCCTTTCCACAATAGAGAACACTGGTGAACCAGCTCTGGGAAAGGTCAGCTACCGAAATGCAGATGATTGCATGCAAAGATCTCAGGCCTTGTGCTTTTCAAATGATATCCTCATATGTTCTTTCATTTGCTCTGCATGGAGACTCCAGAAGGTTAAGCAGTCACTCATATATAACTTACAGGTAACAAAACCCAAGTACAGAGGGCCCCAAAGACGTCCCTAGAGGCACACAGGTGGGACCAGAGTCCAGATCTGCCAAGGCCACTGAGCTGCTCTGCCCATCATGGAGGGCCCCTGCCTGCCTCCAGCGCTCCACCGTTCACACCCCTGGGTCAACATTCCCAGGGTGGCAGATGCTGAACCCACAATCAGCCAACTCACAGGTCCTACATGGGGAGAGTGGAATGGGGTCAGGAAAAACCATTGCTTTCCTTTTCCCTTTGAATGCCTGAGTAGACATTTAAGCCAAGCTGGGGAATGAAGGAGTTGGCCTCTGCCCCAAGAGGGAAACAGCCCTTCAACGGGAACAACACAGTAAGAGATTCATCCAAGAGTCCCTGTCTTCAGAGCTACCTCCCTACACCTCCATCTGCGGACGCCCCTTTCAAAACTCAACCTGTCCTCTTGCCATCCACAGGATGTTTTAATTTCCTTAGAATGTGGCACTTCAAAATTCAGCTCGTGCTGAGCTCAGTGTTCAGCACCCTGGCTCCACGCATGCCCGCTCTGCCCCACCCCTGCCCCTAAGTCCTGGCGACATTGACCCACTCACCATTTCCCGGTCCCGCCACATTCTCTCGGGTTTCCTGGCCATTGCTCACGTGGACCTTCAACTTGGAATCATCTTTCCCTCCCTGTCCAGCCACTGAAGTCCAACTCAACAGTAAAGATGTTATTGACTGTCCCCTCTCCCACAGAGCCTCCACAGATGAGCTCTGGGCCTCCCAGCAGGCTCCAGGGCAGTAGCTGTTCTTCCCTGTCTGCACCCACACGGCATGACCCTGCCCTCACAGGCCTCCCTGCAGCCTCTACCCAACGACTCTGTGATCTGACTGCATGTCTCTGTGACCAGTGACACCTCCACGTCCTCAAGGGCAGGCACCAGGGCTTGCTGGGCTGGAATGTTCAGCATGTAACAGGTGTTTAGTTCATTGTTTATAAAATGGACACATGAGTTAACTAATTAAAAGCTCCACAACATTGTACAAGGAAAAAAAATTCCACTTTCTCATCCATGAAGCTCTGGAGCTGGGGAAATGAAGCGGCTGGCTGCTGGGTGCCGCGGTGAGCTGTGGGGCAGCACGAGGAAGGTTCTGAGCCAATGAATGTGATGCAAGACAAGAAACTGAGGATGGGGGAGGAAACGAGAAAGAGTGAGGGAGAAGAGGAGGGGGATGATGAAGATTCCAACCTGAGACATTATTGCAGAAAGCAACCCCAGGTTAACAAGGCAAGTTGCTAAAGGAAAGGGAATGGCAGATAAAGCGACCCCCCGCCCTAAAAGGCTTACCAGGGCACTTCAGCAGAACCCAAGGGAAAGCCATGTGGGCCAGCAGGCTTCCGAACCAGTTCTGTCTGCTCTAATGAGGCCATGGGGGTGGATGGGCAGGGGGCAAATCACAGAAGCATCTGCTCTTGAATCAACAGTGAGGCTCTGGCTGGCTGAAGAATGTCTCCAACTCCCTAGTCACCCAGTGGGCCTAATTTCATTCCTGGACATGTCTAGTATAGATTGAAAGGGAAGCCATAGTCAGTTTCAAAAAGAAGTGGAAAAGTTCCCTGGGGTTCACTGAGATACCATTATTAGATTGGGGTTCCCAGGAGCATTTCTTGTTAAGTGTCAAGTCCAGAGTTTGACCTTTGGGGAAATGGGGGAAATTCAAAAGGATCAAAGCCCCCAAACTCCCTTTAGCTCAGTGGGAAAAACCCAAAGCTCCTGCCCTGCCTCTGTGCATCCTCTGGGGCCCTGAAACTGCGTCAGCGTGCGGTGTAACGTGCCCTCCATCCCAGCACAGACATAACACAACGTAAAACTCATTAAAGACCAGAGGACTCTGTACCTATCTGGCACTAAAAGGAGATCTCCTGCCACATGTCTCCCATCTGGATTCTTTCATGAAAGATCATGTGTAGCTGTGCACAATGTCGAAAAAGGACATCCCAAAGGGTTTAGGTGTGTGTCCGTTTTTCCTAAGGCTTGTCCTGGGGTGCCAAGTGTGCACATGCCACTGTGCCCTGGGGGCCACATATGGCTGACTTATCTGGCAATGGGAGGGGACAGAGCAGAACTGGAGGTAGAGAAAAACGTGCAGGGAGAGTGAGTTATTGCCAAGAGGATTTGACTGTGCTGTGACAACAGAAGTCCCCTGGGTCTTCAAGCCTCAGGCTGGGATGCTATAATCTGGAACCTCCAGGGAGTAACATCACCAGGTGCTGGCAGGGACTAACGTCCTGCCTCACTGATGTGGCACAAGTCATTTGCTGCCTTGGGTCTCTAGTACTGTATATTTGTAGTCAGTGAGCAAAAAGGAATATTTAAAAAAGGAATCTTTCTATAGCGTCATTTACACTTGGGCCAAAATAAGATCAGAGTGGAACAAAATAAAATCTGGTCAAGAAGAGAAGGCAGAAATAGTGCAGAATGCTGCCAAATATTTCCACCATGAGATATAGAACCGTAAGTTATTCATAAGAGAGCTCTTCAGAGTCATGAGTCTATGGCTTCCATCCTCGGGATGAAAACAAAAATCTCACCCACTGTCCACAGTGAAACAACCAAAAGTGGGCCTTAAAGGGGAACACTAGGGTTTGGAGTCTTCTGTGCCATCTGCCCTCCCACATCACACCCTGATCCCTTGTTTCCAGCCTCCAGCTCAGAGGCCAACATAGGAACAGCCTCTACCCTCTGTCCCTGGAACAGCTTTTTCCACTGAGACCAAGGGTGCTGCCCGCTGTAAAGGAACATGAATGAGCTCAGAAACCACATCTGCTTTTGCACTTGTCAACTTGAGGCTGGCAAAACTGAGGGGTTCCATGAAACTGCAGCCCCAGCAGTTCCAGCACTGTAGGGAGCACTTACCTAGAGACACAGTGCCCTCCTGCCCTCCTGTGGCCTTGCTTGGCACAGAGGGGCCACACAGATACCAACTGTGGGAAGGATCTCTAGCTGGGCAGCATCGCCATTGCTCCTCATTGTCCAGGGGCCTTTTGTGTGTGGCTCTCTACTCAAGACCATAGGGATGGAGGTAAAAAGATTAAAAAGATACTGCTTCCGAGTTTCCTCAAGGAGCTCACCAACTTCCCCAGGTGTCTGGGGAGGAGGAAAGAGCAGCTCCTACAACCTCAAGAGTCTTTGCCAGGACCAGCCAAGGGAGTGTCTGTAACAACTATTTTTAAAAAGAAACCAGGATAAAGCTCCCAATTGCCCTACGTTTTCCTTAGGAGAAATACACCCAAAGTAGAAGCCATACCAAGTCTCAGGCCCAAGCCTCTGGCAAGAAAAAACAAATGGGCTTAGCACTTCTGATAGGGTTCACACTTCTGATAGGGTTCAGCAATGATTAAGCCCCTATGAAATGGCAAATAGTGACATTATCATACAAGAGATCCCTGCAGCCCTGGAGGGTTCCAGAAAAGAGCATAGCCTTTTAAACTGCAGCTGCCTATATATGGCAGGTACCATGCTGGCACTGGAAATGCAAAGACGAATTAGACAACATCCCTTGGGGAGCTGTTTTGCAGAGCTGTTCCGGGAAACTCAGAATGTAACCACCCCCACTCCTGACCGCCCCCCATCAGGATTGTCTCGTGTGTTCAGGGTCCCACAGAACCCAAGCCAAGAGTCACCCCCACTCTGTATCTTTGGCATTAGATAGTAATGAGGGCCAAGAGGAGAGGACAGAAAAGGAGGTCTTCCATCTGCAAAGCAACTCTTGACAGCAGCAGCCCAGCTGCTCGGGGCCACTGCCCAAAATGCTAATGAAGCCAGTCACAATTAGCAGGCTACTCAGGGGCTGCCCAGACCACAGAGCTGCTGCCACAGTCAGCTGTGCCAGAGCAGCCTGCCGGGTCCCAGGCAGAGCTTTTATGCTAGCACTTTCTCCTTCCCCTTTCACCTGGCATTTGGAATCCACCAACAATCTTTGTACCCTTCTCTCTGCCTGACCCACAAAACCACCCAAGGACGCTGGTATGACTCTCACTGATAAAGTCAAAGACAGATGGGTAGGGATAGGGATGGGAATTGGGAGAAGGGTCCAGAAAAAATGATTTGGACTCTTTTTGCTCCCATTACCAACCACTCCATTTTCCCCCCCAACAAACAAGTGCTTCCCCACTTTACTGACATCTGGATTCCACTGGCTAGTTCCACTAGCTTGGGAGCAAGTTTGCTCTCCGACCTCTTTAGAGTATTCAGCAGATGGTGATCAACACAGCCCTCTCCAAGGAGAGACGTTTAGCTTTATGAAAATTCCTAAAGAAAGCCACTGGGATATGTTTTCGTGCCAAGACATCTGACAACTGGCCTATTTTTAAAGTTCCAACCAATAATCTCTCAAAAGCACTCTACCCACAGACAAAGGGGCAATGACGAAAAAAGTAATGAGGCCAGTATTATGTTTTTGTTTTTCAAACAATCCAGAATTTACCCATCCAAATAAATAATATTCTCTTCAAAGCCTACCCCCTTAGAAAGCTCTGTGCTGATTCCACTGGGGCTGTGTTTTCTCAGAACATTTTTGGAAAGTCCTATTGTGGAGCAGCCTTTGTTTCCCAGAGAGTGTCCAGGATAAAGTTAATAAGCATCCAACCAGCAGCCGCTGCTGCGGGCCAGGTACTGTGGTAGGCCCAGGGAAGGGGAATCCTATAGGTAAATACAACAAGGTGTCTCCCTGGCAAGATGCTCACTATCCGGGTGGAGAAAGGAGGAGAAGGTTTTTGTGGGTTTTTTTCCTTTGTCGGAAGGTTTTATTTGTGTGTGTGTGTGTGTGTGTGTGTGTGTGTGTGTGTGTGTGTGCATGCATATGTGTTTGTGTACTTTTAAGTTCAGAGGTACATGTACAGGTCACATAGGTAAACTTTTGTCATGGGGGTTTGTTTTACAGATTATTTCATCACCCATGTATTAAGCCTAGTACCCATTAGTTATTTCCCCTGATCCTCTCTCTCCTCCTACCCTCTACCCTTCAAAAGGCCCCAGTATCTGTTGTTCCCCTCTATGTGTCCATGTGTTCTCATCATTTAGCTCCCACTTATAATAACATGCAGTATTTGGTTTTCGGTTCCTGTGTTGGTTTGCTGAGGAGAATGGCCTCCAGCTCCAACCATGTTCCTGCAAAGGACATGATCTCATTCCTTTCTATGGCTGCGTAGTGTTCAATGGTGTATATGTACCACATTTTCTTTATCCAGTCTACCACTGATGGGCATTTGGGTTGATTCCATGTCTTTGCCATTATGGAACAGTGCTGCAATGAACATAAACATGCATGTGTCTTTATAATAAAATGATTTATATTCTTTTGGGTATATACCCAGTAGTGAGATTGCTGGATTGAATGGTATTTCTGTCTTTAGGTCTTTGAGGAATCGCCACAGTCTTCCATAGTGGTTGAACTAATTTACACTCACACCAACAGTGTATAAGCGTTTCTTTAAGGAAGAGAAGGTGTTTTGAATACATACCATCAGCCAGGCACCGGGCAACAGCTTTTGACATGTTACATTTAATATGGATCCCAAAATCCTCTTAGATGTAGACAACCAGGCTCAGAAAAGTTAAAGTGACCTAGCCAAAGTCACACAACAAAGAAATTCTGAGACTGGTCCTGATCTGGGGCTGTCAGGCTCCCAAACTGGTCCTCTCATCCCCACAGCAGCCTGCAGTAAACACACTCTCCAGGACAGGAGGCTGAGGCAGGATAACTCACTCCTCCTACGTCAAGCACTCACCTCCTGTTTACCCTTTCATCAAGAGGCTCTGACAAGCCAGTGGGCAGGGAGAGTTTCTTCAGATATAAAACAGGACTTTTCATAACCCTAGTATTTACGTCAACTGAGAAGGACAGACACTCAGACACAGTCGCACACACTTCACTCACACACAGGACCGTCAATTCAACGTGTCCACCTACCTCACAAGCAGGCAGGGAAATCAGGCCTGCATCTCAACACGTCAAAACTAGTTTCCTGCAATAGCCAAAAGGTGGAAGCAAGCCAAGTGCCATCGGCAGATGACTGGATAAACAAAATGTGATATAGACACACAATGGATTATCATTCAGCCTTAAAAGGGAAGGAAATTCTGACACATGCTACAACAGGGATGACCCTTGAGCACATTATGCTCCATGAAATAAGCCAGACACAAAAGGACAAACGCTGTATGACTCCACTTATCCCAAGTACCGAAAATAGGCAAATTCACAAAGACAGAAAAGTAGATTAATGGTTGTAGGGGCCTAGGAGAGAGGGGAGAGGGATTATTTAATGGGTAGTTTCAGTTTGAGAAAATGAAAAAGTTCTAGAGATGGATGGTGGTGATGGCTGCGTGACAGTGTGAATGGATGTAATGCCACTAAACTGTGCACTTAAAATGGTTAAAATGGTGAATTTTATGTTATGTACACTTTGCCACATTTAAAAAAAAAAAAACCTCTGTTTTTTCTCTTTGGAAATATGGATGTATAATCTCTTCCTCAAACAAACTCTGGGCACATGCATATGACCAGTGTCTTCTATTCTCTTCCCAGCCTCAGCCCATGAGGCTTCAGATGACAGAGGCAGGAGCCGTGCTGGGGTGGGGCCTGGCTGGGGGGACTCTGCATGCACAGTAAGCAAGCATTCTAAAATCGGCCCCAGAAAATCCCCCAAATGCAGCACAGAACGCCTTAGACTGGCCTGAGTCAACAGCAGGAAGGGGAGGGCCCACAATGAGCAGCCGCATCCCCTCCCCTGAAATTTGCAAAACAGTATTTTGGCTGGTGCATTTGGCCCAATATAGAGCAGAGCAAAACATTTTTATGGAGGAACAATGAAAAGAGACTGCTAGTCCTAAGACTGAGGTCTTTAGGAAAACTTCATTCTCTGACCCATTTCAACTTTCCCTAATAAATAACAATGCTGTAATGCCAAGCAGTCTATCATGCCACCTTAGCAGCTGTGCTCTGCTCCCAAATGTTCTGTTTATGTCTCCCCATCATGTCATTGTGATGGATTCAATTTTAAACTACCCCAAGCTAATAGCAAATCCCCCAGAGCTCTGGAAGCAGCTCTGTGTTGCGTGGGCCCTGATCATGAAGGTGGATTCAGTGGTCACCCAGGGCCCACCTGGAGTCTGTAGCACTCTTTTTCCTCTGGGCTCCCAGGTACCTGCTGAACCCCAAATGGGTGCCTACAAAGGTCCAGTGAGGAAAAGTTAAGAGCCCCAGAAAAAACAAAGATAAAACGCCTGGGAGGGAATCAGTATTTATCAAGGGCCTACTACATGCAAGAGCCTTCAAAACCCTGTAACTTTCAAGTTTTATACATGAGGAAATGGAAGAAATTCAGCAATATGTCCAAGGAGCAGAGCTAGGATTCAACTCTAAGTCATCTGACTCTAAAGCTTACACTCTTTCCATTACACTAGGCTGCCTCTCAAAATCATGTGGGTTTTTTTTTTCCCCTGGTTCTTGTTTTTTATAATCCTGCTTGCCTGGCTTCTAAACTTCTCCAGCTTTTCCATAGGCCCTAGCCCAACCCAACTTTCCATTTGGGTAAAAGGAAGATCATCCCAGCTGCTGTGTCCCAAGTCACATGAAATGGCGGGAAGACATTTCATAAACACAAGTTCAAAAGCCCCTTTAAATAGATAGGAAAGTGGAAATTATTTTTAAGGGGGTAAACTTCTAAAGAAAGCATTCCCATTCTGCAGCCCTGGACTTCTTAACATAAACCACCAGGTCCAATTCTCACCCTACACTGCCACAGAACAGCTGACGCTAAACTTGGGCTCCAAAGCCTCTGTCTTCCTCCAGAGAGCCTGGCAGTCTGTGTAATAAGTGTGCTGGCTATTTCTGAGCCGGCCACTAAAAGGGAAAGCCACCCCCAAATCACCACTCAGCTTAGTCCCAAGAATGAGAGCTGAAGGTAGCATGTCACGCAGGGGATTTATTCTTCAAATGTAGAATTGTTAGTGCTCAAAATATAAATACTCAGGTTTGAAGAACATACCAACTTCTTTAAAAAAAGAAAAGGGTAAAAAACTCCCCCATGCAACTGTGAATATACTCTCATTTCTCCTCCTCCTCCTTTCCTGACAAGAGCCAACAATCAGCAGACAACAAAATCTCAACATCTGGCTCCTAAGTCCACAGCTTTCAGCTTTTTCCTGGGCCTGGGAACTTTTGCCTCAAACAAATCCCTGATGAGCTGCTTCAAGTGTGATGGTAATAAGGTTCGGCTGCTCAGGGAGCAAGGCAGGCATGTGAGCCGTGGCTTGGGTGCTCTGTCCTCCAGGGTGGTCCAGAAGCCCTTGAAGGTAGCACATTACAAGAGCCACTTCTGGTCAACTTCGGTGAGCAGACAGCACCCAGCTCTGCTTTCTCAGGAGCAGGACTGCAGTTTCTGTTGGGAATAGTGACAGCCAAAAACTCAGAAGCAGAACACACAAGACACTGAGCTGAGATCTCTTCGGGCTTCTGGAAGCAGTCAGACCCTCCACCATGCCCTTCCTTTCCCTAGCTGGTCTAAACTGCTGTCGAGCGATGATGGGCAGCTCTTTGCACACAGATATTAGGAAAACCCCTGCCTAAGAGTCACTGCTTTAGAATTTAATTTCTAGACTTTAGAACCACTTCCTACTGGGTCCGTAGAGATCACTGCCTGTCCCCCTACTGACATGTTTTATTGTAAGCAATCTAATTTATGGTGTGCTCAGTATATTCTTCATATACCCAGACACATACAACTGAAAACAAAAGTTTCACACAACAGTACTTACCATTGCTTTGTGCAATGAATGCTGTTATTTTCTATTCTACTCTATCATATTCTATTTTATTAAAATCTATTGGTTGTAACCATCTAAATTGATCCCCATTTGAAGATCACAATCTGTAGTTTTAAAACTGCTGTGGTCATAGGAGCCAGTCCCACGTTTTTGAATTAAAGGCCTGTGCTGACACCATGGGTCAGAGGGAAGGTGATTTGTACCTTATTCCCCTTTCCTGGATAACTCAAGTTTACTCAAAAAGCTCCACATCAACACTTTTAAAAGAGAATTCAAATGATCCATGCGGCCCTACCCACAATGGGTTCTCACAGCACACCTTGTCTTCAAGGATAGCTCTGAAAGAACTCAACTCTGCATTCACAGAACCATTGCTAATAACCTTTAAGAGGTGTCAGAGGACTAAAGATGGGTAACTATTTGCCTAACATTTTGCCAAATTGGATTCTGGAAGCTTCAGACTGGCAAACATAGGGCTGGATTACCTAACAAGTGATTTGTGAGCATTTACAGGGAAAGATAGAAATCACTAAAAATATACATGTGTTCATTAAGAAAAAGTTTCAACAAACCAATCTCATTTCTTCTTTTGATGCAGGATACAAAATCAGGAAGAATGCCATAAAGAATGTGTTCAGATTTCACCAAGGTGCATGAAAAGACAGAAAAAGAAAAATCTGTGTCAAAGTATGGTTGAACAGTTTTGAAGCTGTTAGAACAACTATACCCCTAGAGGCTACTGATAACAGACCCTTAAGAACATTGGAAATTGCTTTTATTAGGACCCTAGAAGGTTCTTTTCTGAGACTGATCCTAGTCAACCTTTCTATCTATGACTTCTTTAATTAGTGACAGCAACATTACCAATTGGTATGGCGTGTCCTCAATAACAACTGATCAACTGATGAACTGGGTACCCACAGAGCACTTTGCAGTTTTATCAGGTACTTTTACACATCTTATCTCATTTGAGCCTCCAAGTCAAGGAGCTAGGTATTATTATATTCATTTCATAGTAAAGAAACTCAGGCTTAGCCATCAGTGTTTCTCAACCTCAGCAATATGAACATTTTGAACTGGGTAATTCTCTGCTGTCCTGTGCACTGGAGGATGTCGGCAGCATCCTGGCCTCTACCCACTATGTGCCAGGAGCAGTACCACCCTTACAGTTGTGACAACCAAAAATGTCTCCAGACATTGTCAAACATCCCCTAATGGCCAAAATCACTCCTGTTGAAAACCACTGGGTAAATCAAACTTTGATCTGGCTTGATCAAGGTCCACAGTTAAAAAGTTAACCAGGGCAGTATTTGAATTTAGGTCTCCTCATTCTTCCAACTCTTTCAAAAAGCTGGAAGGTATTGGGCACCGTGGCTCACGCCTGTAATCCCAGCACTCTGGGAAGCCAAGGTGGGTGGATCACCTGGGGTCAGGAGTTTGAGACCAGCCTGGGCAACATGGTGAAACCCCATCTCCACCAAAAATACAAAAATTAGCCGGGTGTGGTGATGCACGCCTGTAGTCTCAGCTACTCAGAAGGCTGAGGCAAGAGAATTGCTTGAACCCGGGAGGCGGAGGTTGTAGTGAGCTGAGATTGTGCCACTGCACTCCAGCCTGGGAGACAGAGGGAGACTCTGTCTCAATAAATAAGTAAATAAATAAATAAATAAATGAAAGCTGGGAGGGATAATGAACAGGATAAATTACAAAAATCAAGAGTCAAAATTATCTTGATTGACATTCTAGGCCAAAACCAATAATAAAAGACTGAAGGTCCATATTTTGGTTTTAAATAAATCAATTGTGCAAAGTGAGACTGGCACTCATGGCATTTTATGGCAGTTAATGTATGGAAGGTTGGCAAAGGGGGTTGGTTAACCTTCAGCCCAGAGACTGGCAGTCCTGCATGACTCCACAGATGCCAACATAATCTTGGCTGCACTGACAGGGCAAGCAGTCCAGGCATCTCTCACACTCCCACCCAGGCCAGCTGCCCGAGCATTGAACCCCGCCATCCTCTCTCTCTTCTCACACCTGCCGCAGACCTGACACTACCTGTGGGGCCTCCCCCTCCCCTACAGAACGTGGCTCTGCTCCATCCTCACTCTGTCCTCTGGCAGCCGCAGCAAGAGTCGGTGTGCAGCAGAATTGGAAGACAGATGGCAAGAGGGAAGAGAAGAAGGACAGGAGGGAGAGGACACGGGGGAGAAGACAAGAAGGGAAGTGGAGAAATTATGGCAGGGCCCACAATGTCACTGTGAGCCCCCCAAACCCAGGGGGCAAGACAGTAAGATGAGGGAAGAGAGGGAAGCGGGGAGGAGGGGGAGGAAACGGATGCAAGGCCAGCAAAGGGAAGAGGATAAGAAAAAGGCAGAGCAGAGGGAAAAGACTAATTACTCCCAGCCCTCCAATATTCACTTACATGCTATGCTGCTTCTTCTTCCATTCAGTTCCTTCCTGCTACTTGCCCGGGGCACCCAGCTTGGCCCATTACCCACCCATTAATGCCCCTACCTGGGAATCTCTGGAATTCACTATGCTGGATTAAAACCCTGGCTCTACTAGTCACTAGCTGGGTGAATTTAGACCAATTACTTAATCTCACTAAGCCTTAGTTTCCACATCTGTGAAATGGGGATAATAATATCTATCTCATAGTTTTGGTATGGGATTAAGTGAGACTTAATTTGAAATATATACACACATATATATACACATATATAGATCTACGTGTGTGTGTGTGTGTGTGTGTATATGTATCTCTCTCTCAACACAGATGCTTGGCCCATAAAAGGTGCTCCCTGGTAGCTAGTTTTAGTTATAATGTACATCCCTGGCACGTAGATAGCAACTTATTTTACTATCTTGGACACCGGCTTCCACTTCCGACAAGGCCAAAACTTAGAGACGAAATGGCACATGCCCGGCCCCTGTATTTTCTACTGTTTTCTGAGAACATAATTTCTAGTTGGAGTATTAATTACTAGCTTGGAGCATTACTAGCTGCTGCTATTTCTCAGGGTCCCCTTGGAGACCAAGCAACCGCTAAGATGGCTGGCTTTCTCCATAGAACTCACAGCTAGCACCAGCAATGAGGAAATACGCACACGCGCACACACACACACGCAGTCTTTACATCTGGTTAGGGCTCCAAGTATTTCCTAAGTGTCTCATCACACTTACTAAGGCCTGAGAATCTCAGAGCTGAGACACTGCAGAGGTGATGTAGCCCAAGCCATCCCCTGAGGCCTGAGTGTCCTCTGCAGCACCCGACTAGGGGCCGGGGGGTTAGCACAACCTGTCCCCATTCCCAGGAAAAAACCCAGCACACAGCTCACACTCAATGATGTCAGCTTCCTACAGGAAGGACAGGTACAGCATCACTAATTAAAAAGAGGTCACAACCACGAAGTTCATTCATCCAGGCCTCTTGGGAACAAATCATATCAACAACCACCAAACAAATGGATTCATGTTAATTTGGAGGTATTCTTATCTGAGAGCAATAGAATATAGTTCACCAAAGCAGAAACCTGGGCAAGCGTCAACTAAATGTTGGTGGGTCCAGGAAGAAATCCACTGATTCAGGCTAGGTGCCTGTCACAACTTGGTTAGCCTTTCTGAACCTGTTTCCTTGTCTGAAAGATGAAAGTAGCAATAGTTGCTGTGAGGCGTGATTAAGGCATGATGCATTCAGAGGCATAGTACAGTGTCTGGCAAAGATTCAAGAAACTTTAGACTCTTTCCCCTTTCTGCACCAATAAGCAAATCTGAAAAGATCATGAATACACAGTGCTGCAAAATGAGAAACAGAATTTCCCCCTTTAGACAAGAGAGCACTGTGATGCAGACACAGCCCTGGCATCAGCAAGGAAGGCCCTGGTTCCCCTTCTCATCATCCCTGGAGAGATGGGTGTCAGAGGTCAGGTGAGGGAATCTCTTTGTGCGTGATTCTCCAACTCTGCAAACAATAGCTGGCCATTTCTTCTGAGGAATAAGCTGAAATCAAACATACCTGATAGGCGAACTGGGCTTGATGCAGTCCCAAGCACTCTGCTGAGCACTGAAGCCACTTTTCCTCACCACAACTATGGGAGCTAGAGAAGGGAGGCGATTAGTGGTGAAGACAGTGGGGACCTGCCCCAGGTGGCATTAGTGAAATAGACAATTCTCTAGGGTCCTCTGCACCAACCCAGAACTCTCCACATAAGAGCTGCCCTAGGAACACCACAGTTCTGTGGCCTGCCCTGGCAGATGTGCCCTCACATCTGGGTGATAAGGGGTCCCCAAGAGGAGCCAAACCCCCTGGGGGCAGCCCGGTCACAGCCACAACTGGCTGCCCACAGGCTGGGAGCCACTCAACTCAGAGGCAGAGTCCTATGCACTGCACTCTCCAGACAGATGGAAGGACACTCCCCCCGGGGCAGAACAGCACTGTAGACTGAAGGACAGCTTTGAATCTGTCTGCCCAACCGGTTCAAATCTTGTTTTCTGTCCCCTAAATGTCACCAGTGTAACTGTCAAGGGGCCAAGGGGAATCACCCAAATTGGACAGCACCTTCAGGGCAGAAGCTCTGTTTGATTTATCTTTTGTTTCCACAGCACCTAGCCTACTGCCTGGCACAGAGTGGATATTCAGGAAATTTCTGTTCATGTGAAAGATGAGAAAGGTCACAGACTCCTTAAGATCCCTAAAGCAGCTACGACAGCTCATTTCTGGACTGAGCAGAGCTGACCTTAGAGGCCAGAAGGGCAGGGCTAGGGATGCTGACTGCTAGGGGGATGAGAAACCTCTCTTAAATCAGAGTATGGAGGCACTGGGCCAATTAGAGGAGGACCAACCTTTCAGAATCGTAAGACTGGAAAGTGTGTGCCTTCACGTTTCATTTTGCCTCTCCCCAGACTAAACCAACTAAACCATCTCTGGAAAAGACAGAGGCCAAGGTGACAGGAATTGTTCATTTATATATGAATGAGGCGTTGCTAAGTCATCAGAGGCTGGAGAAAAATGGAAGACTCTTTTTCCCAGGTTGCCAACCTCAAAGTTAGGTAACTATTGGCAGAGGTCAGACTAGGAAGAGGACAGGCATGATCTGCAGGAGGTTATGGAAAGCAGCATCCCAGATGGGGCAGCCCTCCCTGCTCCAGGCCACTGGGCTAGAGCTCAGCTCTGGACTGGCTTCTCATCCTGTCCTGCTGACTGCATAGTCACAGATCTGCTGATAGTCTCCAGACAAGACTAGCTCTGCTACCCTGGTCATATCTCAGGCTGGTACCCTCTCCAACCTGTTGCACCTATTTGCTTAAAATTAAGAGGGCTGAGCTGGGCAGTGCAAGAAAGAACTAGAAAGCCAGTCTCACCTGGAAACTCTACCAACTGCTATGAAGGACACAGGGAAGAGGTGGCAGGCAGGAACAATGCCTTAAGTTTTCCCCAGGTTCCTTGAACTCTCCATGGCCCTCTGGCCTCCCCTCACCCCCACTACCTCTCATAAGGAAGCAGCCCTGGCTTTCTAGTATGCTGATAATAAGGTCCTATCAGGCCAACTGAGAAAAGTCTCATCTAGAAGGAAAGTACTCAGTGCGCTATCTGTTCTGTAGGAAGGCTGAAGGCAATGCCTCCTGGTCACATCAGCAATGCTATAGAGAAAGGAAAGGTGCAAGAGCAGGACAGAGACTGCTCTGGCTGTGTACCTGGAGGATGATCTCTGAGGATCTCTGCACCGCCAAGCACCCTCCGGGCTGCTGACGACACGGTCAGATTCCCCAGTGCGTGAGCCTATACTACAGCAGTGTAGACTACAGCAGTTAAGAGCCCAACAGTGCGGCCAGGCAGGTCTGGGCTCTGAAGAACTGTGTTCACATACTAGAATTTTCTTGGACAACTGAGAAGTCATTTAACACCTCTGGAGTCTCAGTTTCCTCATCTGCAAAATAGATATATTAATAGCACTTACCTCACAGGGTCATTAGGAGGACTAAATAAGCCAAAATATTCAAACCACTTAGAACAATGCCTGGAGCATATTAAGCATTCAATGAACGTTAGTCAGTATCATCTTTACTGTCAGCTTTTTGAGAATAGCCCTTTCTGGGATATTCTTCATAGCACCCAGTACAGCAGAGCTTCATTAATTAAAAAAGAAAGAAAGAAAGAAAGAAAAAGAAAGAAAGACAGACAAACACTAAGCTATTCTATTAGTCAGGGTTCTCTAGAAGGACAGAACCAATAGGATAGATAAATATATAAAGGGGAGTTTATTAAGTATTAACTCACATGATCACAGGTCCCACAATAGGCTGTCTGCAAGCTGAGAAGCAAGGAGAGCTGGTCCAAGTCCCAAAACTGAAGAACTTCAGAGTCTGATGTTCAAGGGCAGGAAGGATCCAGCAAGGGAGAAAGATGTAGGCTGGGAGGCTTGGCCAGTCTAGTCTTTTCGCGTTTTTCTGCCTGCTTTATTTTCTATCTGCACTCGCAGCTAATTAGATGGTGCCCACCCAGATTAAGGGTGGGTCTGCCTTTCCCAGTGCACTGACTCAAATGCTAATCTCCTTTGGTAACACCGTCATAGACACACCCAGCATCAATACTTTGCAACTGGCCAGACACGGTGGCTTATGCCTGTAATCCCAGGACTTTGGTAGGCCCAGGCAGGCGGATCACAAGGTCAGGAGATCGAGACCATCCTGGCCAACATGGTGAAACCCCGTCTCTACTAAAACACAAAAAATTAGCCAGGCATGGTGGCATACGCTTGTAGTCCCACCTACTCGGGAGGCTGAGACAGGGGAATCACTTGAATCCGGGAGGCGGAGATTGCAGTGAGCCCAGATCACGCCACGGCACTCCAGCCTGGCAACGGAGCAAGACTCCGTCAAAAAAAAAAAAAAAAAAAAAAAAAAAAAAACCCAGAACTTTGCAACCTTAAATCCAATCAAGTTGACACTCAGTATTAACCATCATCACAGCTATTAATACGATTTAATATATATGTGAGGCGCTTTACACACATTGCTGAGTTCCCACATAAACCCAATGCCAAAAGTGTTTTCACAGAAAATAGCTTGCCTAGAATGATATTAGTGATTGGCCAGGCTAGGATTGAAACTCAGGCTCTGACTCCAGAGCCTGCTTCTTCTTCCCAAAGGTTACACTGCCTGCAGAACACCACCTTCTGAGCCCCTCTACCTTTATCAGAATGAGAAGGGAGTGGGGGCCCAAACAAAATTCAAGCAAGAGAGGAAGAGAACACAAAAAGAGATGCTGGGAAGCTCAGAAGAAATTCACCACCTTGTCAAGGCCTGTGTCTTTTTCTGGATCTGGGTTTGTCATCATTTGCAGCTTTTGCTTTGACTCTGGATGTTAGATTACGTAGAGCACTACATGGAGCACACGGTGCCTTCAATGAGAAACCAGCAAGCAGTCAGTCTGAAACTGTTTCTATAGACGTGGACAAGACTTCTCACAATGTCCCAGCTACCCAATGACACTGATTCTAATGCTAACACACCTCCAGGCACTTCAAATGCTTTTGGCACTCTGACCAGAAGCTAGCCACGCAGGGTCTGTGTGAGCCGCAGCAAGGCTGTCTGCTATATAAGCTCAGAACTCCTGCTTTTGGAAGAAGTATCATTTCAACAGAACAGAAAGTGACACCCCAACAGTAGAATTCCTACAAATTCTAACTGTGCTAACATCTTCCTAACAACAGTCCTACTTAAAAACTTCACTTTGGCCGGGCGCGGTGGCTCACGCCTGTAATCCCAGCACTTTGGGAGGCCGAGGCAGGCGGATCACGAGGTCAGGAGATCGAGACCATCCTGGCTAACACGGTGAAACCCCGTCTCTACTAAAAATACAAAAAATTAGCCGGGCGTGGTGGTGGGCGCCTGTAATCCCAGCTACTCGGGAGGCTGAGGCAGGAGAATGGCATGAACCCAAGAGGCGGAGCTTGCAGTGAGCCGGGATAGCGCCACTGCAGTCCAGCTTGGGCGAAAGAGTGAGACTCCGTCTCAAAAAAAAAAAAAAAAAAAAAAAAAAAACTTCACTTTACCCATTTTCTCCAAGGACTTAATCTCTTAAGCTCCACAGAGCCATGGAGACGCACACAGCAAACTGTCAGCACACAGGGAGTAGGAGGGGTGGGACAGTCTTCCCAAATTCTGCTGCTGGCTGCGCCTGAAATGAGTACACACACTTCAGGGGCGCTCACTAACCCACCCAGTTGTGACTGCAGATGTCATGATGACTGAATCCTTCTGACTCCTTGTCAGCATCAGCACTCCCTAATTCTGCAGAATAACTGGTACCAAATAGCCATTTCCTGCTCATTCACGGCTCCCTTAACAGAAAACTCCCTCCTCCTTCCTCCCCTAAGTCCCATGCACACACAGAGAGGGAATCAGAAAAGGCAGGAAATGCTTGCCTAAGACCAGAGAAAATGCCAGGGAAGAGAGAGACAAGAAAATTCCACCAGGTCTATGTTGAGCAGGGAAATTATTCCCCCAAGAGAAAAGTTCAACTTGGCCCGGCACGGTGGTTCATGCCTGGAATCCCAGCACTTTGGGAGGCCGAGGTGGGTGGATCACTTGAGGTCTAGAGTTCAAGACCAGCCTGGCCAACATGGCAAAACCCCGTCTCTACTAAAAAATACAAAAATTAGCCGGGTGTGGTGGTGGGCGCCTATAATCCCAGCTACTCGGGAGACTGAGGCAGGGAGAATTGCTTTAACCAGGGGGGCGGAAGTTGCAGTGAGCGGACATCACGCCACTACACTCCAGCCTGGGCGACACAGTGAGACTCCCTCTCGGAAAAAAAAAAAAAAAGGGAAAGTTCAACTTGACGGCTACCCCTATTTCATCATGGTGAGGTACAGAAAAAGGATTCCCTTCTGCAGCGCTGCCTATCCTCTTCTGATGACCTCACTGTGGCTATCTGGTTACAAAGGCAGGCAACAACTGGCACTAGGCCTAGAGAGAGATGACCAAAATTGACTACGCTTGCACAGTAAGGGACTAGATTTAATCCAATCATTTGGCTCCAAGAAATGCACGAAATACAACTACTGGTATTCTCTTTATTCGGCAGATGGTAATGAAGACCCATTGGGAGGGTGCCTTCCCATTTTGTCAGTCTAGGACCTGAGTGGAGTCCCAACCGGGAAGCCTGGGGCAGTGTGCTAAACCAGCAGCCAACAGATACTGCATTCCAATAGTGGCTTCTTGGTCCCCTGGCATTTTTTGTGCTTACCTTTAACTAACTGTTCCTTGCCTAAGCTCCTTCCAACCTCAAGGAACTAAGAGAATTTCATTCCTTTCTAATTAAATATTTTTCCTCCAATAGATAATCCACACTGACCCTATCGAGGGAAAATCTGAGCTGGTGTAACTGCAGGAGGTGGTTTATTTTCATAACAGTAAAACATCTAAACCAAATATGCCCTGTGTTTCAGCAGCTTAAACATTGAGGTCTGACAAGAACCCGAGATTCCACTTTGCCTGCCAAGGGCTAAGTGTGTATGCTGAAGCGAAAGAAAGTGATTATGAGGAAAAATGGGGAATGTCTGAGTGGGTGAAGGAAAAAAAAAGTGCAAGATATTACTAGAAAAACCTGACTGCACACACAATCCTATCCCCTACGCAGGAGAAAGACCGAGTGCTAGCACCCGGGGTGTGAAAGCCTGCACCAAGGGACCCAGGAACCAGGCGTGCCTCCATTTCTCACTCGATTTGTTTACAATGAACGGACGGCGCCGGAGTCCCTCCGCCCTCAGCTCAGGCCCGGTTCCCACCGCCCGACGCTGGCTGGCCGAGGCAGGGGCGCGGCGGGGGATTTCGGGCAGGGCGGTGAAGCAGGGCCTGCTCTACAGGGGGCTTTTCTTCGCCGCGGTTTCTTCCCCTGTCGCTGCCCGGCCCCCACCTCCTCTCTCCTCCCGCGCGCGCTCTGCCCGCCGCCCACGCGCGGAAGCCCGCGGCCGGGGAGGGGGCGCCGTCTCCCGGCATGCTCGGCGGCGGTGCCGGTCACGTGACGGGAAGGCGGCCGCCCCTGTCGCCTTCGCCAGCGCTAGCGGGCCCGCAGCAGAGGCAGTAGCGGGGCTTGAAATGCTGACCTGCACCCCTGGCTTGCGCTCCCCCAGGCGGGAAAGACAAGGGGGCTGCTGTTGCTGCTTACGAAAAGAATCTCAGCGCTGCTGGCCGCCAGCTTCCGGCTTGGGAGAAAGGATGTGTTTCAGTCTGGGTTTCCTCATTTGCAAAATGGGTATACTTTTTGTAGGGTTGAACTGTAGGTCAGCAGGCTCCCAAATCCTGTCTTTCCTTGTCCCCCTCACCCCCAAGAGTAACAACTTTTAATTAATTTTGTTCAAGAGCTAATAAAAAAAAAATCTTCATTTCTTTGGATGACACTGTGCCCAACTCCACGGTCAGCTTGCAGAGCGTAGCGGTTCTGCCCGAAACCCATCCGCCCAAGGCTTTTATTTTCCTAGATCTCAAACAGTGGGAGGGTCGGACTCTAAATACTATTTGTTTAGACCCCTGAAAATTTTTGATAATTCAATCTTAAGCCGAATTCCGTTTACCTTTACAGTATGAAAAAAGAGTGACTACGAAATAAAGAATATAAACATTAATAGTACAAGCACTTCAGAAAAATGTTTAGCATGCCGTAAAATACCAATTACAAAGCATTGTTAACTCTCAATAATTAGATCTCCGATGTAATTATACATGACCAATAAAGTAATAACACTACTTATCTTTAAAAACATTAATATAACCAAGACTACCCACATTGCAACAGGTTATCATACCTGGTCAACACGAGAATTCCCTGTAAAAAAGCTTCTCGTGTGTGCTAATGAAGATGTGTGAGAATGGAGAATAACTCAGCTAGTTTATTTCCTGGGCATTTATGAAAAACTGAATTGAGCGGGCAGCAATGAAAATTGTCATTCTGGGGAATGCAATATTTTTCCGCTTTGGGGAAATGAGCAAAAACATGTGACAAAAGCACTGGAGATAAAAGTGACACTGGGAAAGACAGTTTACAGTGGCTTGAAACAAAGCAGTGCATCATTCTGCCAACTTTACAGCCAAGCTTTTTTCAGAGATCATTGGCTACTTAAACAGTAAGTAATGGACGTTCAACAATGCTGTGCCCAGTCTAAAACTAAGAGGCTTTTATCTCTACCGATGACATGAGAAAACCTGTGACTACACACAGCCTCGACTTCATTTGAAATCTTGAGCTGGAATGACTTTTCTTAAAGTCAGAGGCTCCTTTGCACAGTGGAACAAACTCCTCATAAAATTTACAACTTGAAAGAAGTACTGGCAAAAGCTTGTACTTTTTAAAAGAATCACAGCATTGCTCTTGCTTGGCCAAATGTATTAAATGTTCAGAGATGAATTCCAGAATAGATAGGAGATAAGAACAGCATCAGTAACTGGGATAAAACCAGAAGGGCCTAAGAAAAGTTATAGGTCAGTTACTCAAAGGCTCCCCACATTCAGGCCACTCTCCCACAGAGCAAAATTATCCTAACATTATGTAAAACATTTAGGTGCTAATTCCTTTATCCCTCATCTCACATTTTTGATGTGAGAACATTCTGATGGCCAGAGGAAGAGAGGAGAGTCCAGAAACATACAACTTGATGTCGGTCAGGCACAGTGGCTCACACCTGTAATCCCAGCACTTTGGGAGGCCAAGGCGGGCAGGTCACCTGAGGTCGGGAGTTCGAGACCAGCCTGACCAACATGGAGAAACCTCATCTCTGCTAAAAATACAAAATGAGCCGGGCGTGGTGACGCGTGCCTGTAAACCCAGCTACTCGGGAGGCTGAAGCAGGAGAATCACTTGAACCTGGGAGGCAGAGGTTGCGGTGAGCCAAGATCGCACCATTGCATTCCAGCCTGGGCAACAAGAGCAAAACGCCATCTCAAAAAAAAAAAAAAAAAATGATGTCAAAGCTTCTGATTTTCTCCCTCCTTCCCCAAGCTTCCTGGGTCAAATCCAAATATGCAGATGTGCCTATGGGCACATACGGGCCTGAATACCTTCAATTTCCCACCAAGGAGACTTGTATCTGTGACTGCCTCCACCCCATTCCGGGAGGCTAGGCTGGCCTCCACAGTTGGAGGTTGCAGGCATCCCCTCTCCAGCTATATCAACTTATACTGCATGTTTTCTCCTGACCCCTGAGGACAGATCTTTGAGGCCCGAATCATTTCTTAGGACTCCCTGTCAGGCAGGTCATTTGAGGAATTAGAAACTCTGAAGTCCCTGGGAACCATGCAAGCCCAGAGTGCTGGGAAAGCACTTGTAGAGCCATCAGAAGGGATTCCCCTCACATCTTCCAACTCCCAAGCACCCATATGTTCACATAAACATCAACCCAACCAGTTTGTTGCCTCTTATTCCAAGCTGCTAAAGGGCTGGAAGAGGAGGCTGAGGGTCAGCAGGCAGAGGCTAGTATCTGCTGGGAATTGCCAGAAAGATGATCCCCCTCCTGTGAGGTGAAGGTCAAAACCAAGTAAATCCCATTTCCACTCCACAAACCTGTAAGAGTTCAATTGTTTAAATCAAAGGCAGTACGAAATTTAGAAAGATTAAGATGATGGGAAAGAACGTGGTACCACAAGTTGAACTCAATCCTGGAAAATAATAAATGATAAAACAATAAATAAAAATACTTGATAGTGAAACCCATTGGGCTGGACAGTGGTTTCCTCCAAGTTAAGTACAAGAGACTCCCTTTTATCCATTTCCATACCTAGGGTTCTTGACAGAAAACTTTCTAGAATGTGGGTTTTCTGAGCTGAGAGGGACTTCAGAGATCAACAAGTCTTTGGGTTCCAAACCTGAAGACTGTGGGCTAGGATCTAGACAGGCTTCTTGTTATCAATGTCCTGAAAGGGCAACATGGCCTGTGAAATGTGCCTCTCTCTGGAAAAAGGGTGTGTGGCTTTCTACCACTTTCCAAAATGGCATAAGACCCAAAAGGGGTTAAAAAACACTGATTTGGTCCAGCTCTTGGATTTCACAGATAAGACCCAGAAAACTCAGTTGAGTGCTCCAGGTGACAGGGCAAATTATATGTCACCTTCTAAAGCTGGTTGGGGCCTGTGGGAGGAGGAGGAGGATACCACTCGAGCTAACAGGTCTTTTCCATTTCTAATTACAAGGATTCCATGAAGTTTCCAGCCGCCAGTCTGTCTGGCTTTCTGGGCCTGGGTGTGTCAGTCGCCACTCTGTTGCCGAGGTGCACAGATGGCCAGGGGACTGGGGTGGCTGGATATGGCCAGCAGCCAGCTGGCTAGCATCCAGGCATCAGCTCTCAGCCAAATTTCTTCCTGGGGGCTCAAAAAGGGGTTTCCAAAAAGTCCAGTCCACAGAATGAGGCACAGTTCAATCCTCTAGGGACTCATCACTAAGGGTGGTTGCATAAGAAAAATTATGAAAAACCATCACCCTCCAGTACCATATGGGCTCTATTTCCAGGCCAGCGCAATTAAGAACAATTTCACAAGGAAATAAAGGGACCTAGTAGAATAATTCAGAATAAAAACATTATTGCCAAATAAAGTACAATCTTTTTTTATTTTTTATTTATTTATTTATTTTTGAGATGGAGTTTAGCTCTTTCGCCCAGGCTGGAGTGCAGTGGTGCTATCTCGGCTCACCGCAACCTCCGCCTCTCAGGTTCAAGCAATTCTCCTGCCTCAGCCTCCCAAGTAGCTGGGATTACAGGTGCCCACCACTACACCTGGCTAATTTTTGTATTTTTTAGTAGAGACGGGGTTTCACCATGTTGGCCAGGCTGGTCTCAATCTCTTGACCTCAGGTGATCCGCCCGCCTTGGCCTCCTAAAGTGCTGGGATTACAGATGTGAGCCACTGCGCCTGGCCAATAAAGTAAAATTTTAAGAGAAAAACATGGAATGGAAGAATATTTGTACATTAAGTAACTGACAGCTTACTATATAAAATGCCATCAACATGTTCGGGCAGTGGGGGCTCAATGGGGATAAATAGGCAGTGTACACATGAGTAACTCAAGGCCATCATCACAAGGAAACATGTAGAGTCCCTCTTGAAAACTAAAGAATTACAAATTACAACTTCAAGGGACAGTAAGACAATATCAAACTACAAACAAAATCCAATGGTCGTAGGGAAACTGCAGCACTTAGACTTTACAGATG
The DNA here is from genome assembly GCF_000001405.40 of Homo sapiens. Lineage (NCBI taxonomy): Eukaryota > Metazoa > Chordata > Mammalia > Primates > Hominidae > Homo > Homo sapiens. The sequence continues at coordinate 226,707,793 of NC_000001.11, forward strand.
ACCCCGTAATTGGCTCAGTCTTTCCAGAGAGTAGTGTAGGAAGATGAAATATGCTATACATCATTCTTGGTATTGGACGTTGCCCCAGCAGTACCACTGAGGGGAACACTTCCCAAGAAGTCACTAAAGGGAGAAGAAAAGAGGTCATTTTAACAAAAATACTCATGGCTGCATATGGCAATAACTGCAACAAAATATGGAAACTACCCACCAAAGGTAGGAGTAAGATGATGTAAATGATGTAGTAGCTCAAAGTTCACACTCAGGAATCAGACCACACAGTTGATTACTGTATGAAATGACGTTAAAACAATAAAAGATAAAACTAGTACAATCAGATTGCAATTATGTAAAACAAAATTAGGCAATTGATCAAAGACCAAATTGGATTTACAACGATTGTAAATACCTAGAATGAGTTAAATCATTCATTTAGTCGTGGTTATCATTATTTAGTCATGGTTATCATTAGCTTCTTTCTCTGTAATGTTTAAGTTTTTGTTAAAAACCAAAAAGAACAAAAAATAAATCAAACCTGCCTCAAACCGTTGGTAGAATAACAGCTCAAGGGACCTAACTGAGACCCACCCAAATGTATGCTCTTTGGAGCTACTCCCAGAGTCAATACTAATTGTTATAAGCCACTCCCATGCCAGAGGCTGACTTAGGCACGAGTAACTCGAGACATTCTGGTCAATGAGACACAGGGGATATCTGCTGGGAGCCTTCTGAAAAAGATGTCTCGGCCTTAGACACCATGAAGAGCCATCCCCTTTTTCCTCCAAGGGATATTATCATTTCCACACAGGACACGAGGCCCTGTAGCACCCATCTGGCAACCACGAGGAAAGATGAGTCAACACGTTGTGAGACAGGGCAGAGAGATGCAGAGGACACAGGTCTTTCAGTAACTCTGCTATGCTGATGAATTAGCCAATGCTAGAACTGCCTGTGCTGGGACTTACTGATCAAGGTGAAAGAATGTGTTTTCTTTATTGTTCAACTCTACTGGGTTGCAGTTTTCTGATACTTGCAGCTGACAGCATCTTAACTCGTGAGGCAGCAAGCCTGAGCAGCTTTCTGATGCAGGCCTGGCAGGCCATGCTGCCCTAGGCCAGTATTCTGCCAGGCCCCTCACTGTATTCCATTCTGGGGGAGAGCCTAAGGGAGACGGAAGAAGACACTGGTGAACACGAGTTACACCAGGCCTCAGAACAACTCCAGATGGTACAGCAAGCAGGTGGCAGCAGTGGGCAGCAGAGCCCCAGACGTCTGGCCCCTCAATAGGGGACCTCCAGAGGCCTCTGGGCCACCAGCTGTCTCCTTTCTGGATTCACCCATTTCACAAAGGCTGTGACAAAACTGCCTTCTGGGTTAGAGCTGCCAGAAAAAGTACAGGATGCCCAGTTACGTTTGGATTTTAGATAAACAACAAGTGACTTTTTAGCATGAGTATGTCTCATGCCTTTATTCTGGCTGCACCCCCTCCCTGGCGAGGCACCAGGCTAGCAACATCCAGAAACAGAGATGGCCTCCCCTGCCCTGGGCTGCCTGTCTGGGCTGCCGTGGGTGTGTCTGGCCCAGTGGTAGGAGGATGTCCAGTGTCTGGCCTCTCCAGGTCTCCGATGGGTCTAGGAATGTCTGATGTGCATTTTATAGTAACAGACAAGAAGTGGCTAACACTTAAAATGTATGGGTGGGGTGGGTGTCACTGCGGTCCTGGGACACTTGGAAACTATGCAGCAGGCTGTGGAGGGGACTAGGGTAGAGGCAGGCACAGTGGCTCCTGACATCCAACTTCCCCCCAACAAGAACTTCCTAGGTAAAGCAGAAGACGTGATACTTCCCTGACCTTCCTTTGTCTAAATATGAAACTTCCATGACTGGGGACCAACGGTGAGAAGCGGCAGTGGGCAGGGCCTAGCCCTCACCTGTCCCTGTCTACAGGCCCACCTGACCTGCAATTAGGTTTCCTCACTGTCATTCTCTCTTGGGCCATGTCTTACGGCATGATACTCCTGCCCAAGGACAGTGCTTAACTTGTTTGGTGCAGCACTATCTCCCTGCTTGAAGAGAGTCCCTTAGTAAAGCTTGCTGATGAGAGCAGAGCCTCATTTCTTGCAACCTTGCTTTATGGTTCCCTGTCTAGTATCCTGACAGCATCCTGCCTGGGGCCAGCACTAGCTCATAACTACCTGGGAAGAAATCACTCCCTAATGGGAAGATTCACAACCCACCCACCACAAAATTCAGCCACATCCCAGTGACAGATAAATCTGTCTTCCCTGCCCCTGTCTCCTCTCCCCTGACTCACGGCCTCCTTCAGAAGGTGCCGTGCTAACAGGTAGCATTGGAAAAGAAGTCTGGGGTGGGGCAGCTGGTGATTGGCTGGTGATAATGTCCCTCAGAAGAACAGAAAGGGGGAAACAAATGGAAGCACCTGTGTTCATGGTGAGCCCTTTTAACTAGTTATTTCTTTTTAGAAACGGGAGACAGAAAATAAACAGAAACTGCAGATAGCAATGAAGTAAGCAAGTAGGGGCCAGCTACGTAAGTTTCAGGGCCCAGTGCAAAGTAAAAATGCAGCGCCCTTGTTCAAAAAGCAGGAAAAAAGTGCCATAAAACGTACTAAAATAAACCGTTTCCTTCCTTTCTTCTGCAGGGTTTCTCTCAACTTGATACAGTGTTTCTTATTTGCTGTTTAATGAGTGCAGAGTCTCACAAGATGCTGGGATCCCGCCCCTTGACTCTGGCCACTCTTAAGCGTCTACTGCCGTCCTCTACCAGGTGCTGGGCCAGGAGCAGAGAGGTCCCCTCTTCCCACACACCTGCCTGGGCAGACCCAAAGCGATTACACACTCATGCTGGGACACGCTTGGTATTTGGATCTGGAGTGAGCTGGATTCTCATGCAGTTGTCCACTTTTTGGCCCTGCCAGCCTGGGGTAGGGATGGCCACCACACCCTGCCTTGGGACACCAGTGACGCCAACTCTATCCCTCCCTGAACCTTCACCCAGGCCCCTGATGGGATCAGAAGAGTCAGTAGTTGCCAGGGGTGGGGAGAAGGAAGTCAGGTGGGACTGGAGCCCAGAGAATTCATGCTTCATTGTCCCACTGGACTTCACTTACAAACACCAACTCAAAGAATTATTAAGAATTTCAAGGCAGCAATGGGCCAGGCATTCAACCCCAAAAGCAGGGCCCTTCTGAGCATGCGGCCTGTGCAACTGCATTCATGAAGCTGGCCCCACAGGTAATAGTGCTTATTAAGAGACATCTTATTAAGACATTCTTATTAAGAAAGAATGAAAACAAAGCCAAACAAAATGCACAAGATTCTCCAATTAACTGAGGGTGCTCAGTCAATTGGGTGCTCATAAATAGGACAAAAAAAATGAAAATTCTTCACTTAAAAAAATTTGGCCAACACCATGTCCAAGCTGACAGGACATTTCTCAGCCTAACATCCTCTACCTCCTTCCTACTCCACCTCCCCAAAATCCTTTGACTCCAGTTCGATATCCTCTTGAGATGTTGCCAAGGTAAATAATTCCTTGCAGTGGTTCCTAACCAGATGCAGTACCTGCCTCCAGCCCTAGAGGGTGTTTTGAAAGAGAGAGAGAGAGAGAGAGAGAGAGAGAGAGAGAGAGTGTGTGTGTGTGTGTGTGTGTGTGTTGTGTATGTTGCACAATGGCAAATAGTGCTCCAAGGCCCAGATGCCCAGATGCTCAGTGACCTTCAGTGTGCTGGACAGTCCCAAACAATGGGGATCGTCCGACCGAAAATGACAATCATGGGTTGTTTGAAAAAACTACCCAGGGAAATTGCAAGGAACCAACGCTTAAATGGAAACCTCCCAACCTGGACCTCCCATCATTTGTCCTGGCGATGACGAGTGCTGAACAGAAGTTCCTCAGGAGTGTTGCCCATCCCCATCCCCTCTGGAGTTTGAGCTGAACCCACTAGGGTGTCTGCTCATACTTAGCATCCCTCACCACCGTGTCCATCCCTGACCCAGAGACTCCATGTTAAAAGGCAAAAGGGGGAAGATGAGGGGCTTCCCTGTAGGCTGGTACCATGTTGGTCCCCAGCTCAGCTAGTGGGAAGCTCACTAGGGTGAGGTTGGGCATTTGCCTGGACATTTTTATTCTCCTCCCTGTTCTGCAAAAGGCCTCCCTGCGGGGAAGGTTTTCTCTCTCAGAAGGCGTCCCTCACCCTGGCCTCAGAGCTCCGGGAGAAGGGCTTCAGGAAATGTTCTCCCCGGTGGTGTACAGTAAGCCGCGAGGGTGGAAACTTAGCAAGAGTGAGATAATAGTCTTAGTTTTATATATAGCACCTGTGTCTTCCGGAGACCTCAGAGCATGGGGTAAGGGCAGGGTTTAAACCACCTTCCCACCGCACGAGAGATGGGCAGGGCTCACTGCGAGGCAACCCCTCTCTCTGAGTCCTGCTGCTGCCCCCTGTCCTGGCAGCCCAGACCCCCTTCCTGGGAACTGGCAGGCCCTCGTGAGGTCCATAGCCATCTGGCTCCCCAGCCTTCGTGGTCACTGCAGGCACAGTCCTGATCCTAGGATACGTGAAGGGTAAGTGGGTGTTCATAGCTACTCCACCTGAATGGACAACTGACAAGGTGAAGAAAGCCGAGGCTGTGTGCGCCACTGACAAAGGGCCTTCTTTACTCAAATTCCCAGAGCCTGGGCACTTGCAAACACTTCCTACATAGCTGTATGCAACATGCCCATTTTACAGCCGGGAAACAAAGACGTTGAAGGGAAGGTGGTCACCGTGAAGGGAGCGCTCGGCTGGAAGGAAGTGGGCTGGCATTGCCCTAGCCCTGCACTCCCTGGACGGCCTGTGACCTTGTTCAGGCCCGTCTGTCTGTTCTGGCCCTGAGCATTAAGGCTCCTCTTAAATTATCTGGTCCTGTGTTTCCTGCTTAAGCACCCAGAAGGGCAATATTGCTCTCCGAAGGAGAAAAGAACAATACAGATTGCAGGTGTGAAAATATTAGCGTCCCGGTGCATCACGGAGCACCCTGAGTGTCTGCTTGGGGAGGGAGGAAACACACAACCCAGATTAAGCAGCTATCAGCAAACCACAGGATGGTCAGTAACGCTCACGCAGCTGCACACAACTTCCATCGCACCCCTCCAGTGGGTGTACGCATGTGCCCACCCACACTTATCTACACACCCACATATCTACACCCATACATGCATGCATGCACGTAAACACACACTGCACACTTACCCATATACACACATGCATGCACACACACATACACACGTGCATATGCGCAAATAAATATACACACATATACACACACATACATACACACTCATGCTCCGCTAAGACACCAGAGGTGAGGAGACTCCGGACCCAGCTGGCTATTCGACCTCTTCGCATTTCTAGAATGCCCCCGCCCCCGGTTCCCAGACGGCTACTAATTCTGCCTTCCTTTGAGTTGCTGCCTGTGTCCCCTTCCTCCCACTCCCACATTTACCCTGGCTTCCTACACACCATGGGGCGAAACAGTTCAGAAATAGAGTGGAAACCAGGTTTGGAGAGAACACTTTATTAGGGAGGGAAGTGGCAAACAATTGCTATTTTTATTTTTGTTTCTCTAAGGCCTCTGTGCCCCCTCTGTCAAGGGGCGACAAGGACGGCGTCCTCCCCACAGGTTTCCGGTGTCATCCCGTTTTAGATCCACTACGGCCAGGCACCCTATCTCCTCACCCCAGGGCCAGGGCCAGAGTCGTGGTCTGGAGGAATTTCTAACAAGGAGAATGCTCCTTGGTGTATAAGGAATTTGTTCGGGGTTTACTAAAATCATCCAGAATGTTCTCAGTCGCTACTGTTGGCATCTCTTCGCTCTCAGACTCAGCCCCATAAATTCAGAGTTCACGAAGGACACCCTCCTGCTGCTTGACACTTGGCTCAGGCTTTAAAACTGTTCTTTTTACTACAGTGACAGCCAAAGAAAGCATCCTGGGTGTTCAGATAACAATCAGTGTCCTGAACAACTACCCCTCCACATAAAACAATCTACCACATCCAGGCTATATTGACTTCAATCAGTTCTATCACTCCCACCCCAACATCCTGACTCTAAAAACTGAGGGCTTGTGACCTGGTCCCACAAGGACTTTCCTTGACTTACTCAGATAATTGATATTTTTTAAAATCTTGACCGTCTATGGCAAAGGGCCCTTCTTGAAAGCCAAGCTAGGAGGCTCTCAGAGAGCAGACAATGAGTTGTGTGTGCTTGAACATTTCAGGTATGAGCCTCTGACATCTATGGTACACCTGAGTGCTGTCCCCAAATATTTCTAGTTCTCCTGGGCACATGGTAGGACTCTACTCTCTTGGCCCCTTAAAATTAGGTGAGGACAGCAGACTTACCTGGCCAATTAAATGTGAGCAGAAGTGGTAAGTGTTGCTTGTCTGGAATGTAGCTTTACAAGTCAGTATGTGATTCACCATGTTCTCATTCCCTCTGTACAGTAACCAGCACCATGAGACCACAGCTGACCCAGATCAGGTATGTGGCATGAGCAGAAAATAAACCTTTCTTGTTTTCTGCTGCCAATTCTGGGGCTGTTTGTTACTGCAACATAACCTAGCTCATCCTGACTAACACAACACCTTTGATTTGAAGTAAGAATGACATGAAGAGCTGCTGTAACCCTGGCTTGCTGTTTGAACAGAGGAAACAAGAGAACAGCACTGAAGAGTAAATTAAAGGGTCTATAGAAAACTACCTGTCATCCTCAAGGTTGCCCTGCTTCCTCCTGCTGCCATGCTTTTGTGCACACACATCCCTTTACTCCAGATAGTCTTCCTTTTTCTCTGACTACGTGAATCCCTTCAAAATTCAACTCCAATGGCACCATATCTGAGAATATTTCTCTTCTCCACCACCCTAGGTAGTGTTGGCATCTGTCCTCTGCTGTCAGCAGGAATTGGGACTTCACACTGTAAACATGCTTATTCTCTCCCATAGCATTCACTCATCTGGGAAGACAGTACAGAGTGGTGGGCACAAGAGCAGGCTCTAGAGCAGTGCTTTTCAATCAGGGGCGATTCTCCCCATGGGGGACATTTGGCAATGTCTGGAGACATCTGGTTGTCACAAATGGGGGGAGGTGCTACTGACCAGAGATACTGCTAAACATCCTACAGTACACAGAGCAGCCCCACACAACTGAAAAGTATCTGTCCCTAAATGCCAACGATGAGAAACTCTAAGAATATCTTGGTTCATAGCCTGACTCTTCTATTACTATGATTTTAGACATGTCACTTAACTTCTCCTTCAATGACTACCACATAATAAAAGCATAATAGGTATTAGGTATTACAATCTGCCTCCTCTACTAAACTTCGAATCCCTAGAAGGTAGGAACTAAGCTATGCTTGTACATGTATCCCTACTGCCAGTACACCATGAACGTTTGTGAACTCCATGGGTAAAGCGTTAGTTCACTCTTTTCTGAAAGCTAGTTAGTCGCAGGTAGTAGATAAAACCCTCTACCTTGCACCAAAAAGACAAGGCCTGTGCGTGCATTCTCTTTAGCAAAACCTCTGCTGGTTTTAATAGAAAGTATTTATTCTAGTTCATTGCGAAGCACAAATGCAAGTATAGTAACTCTGACCCAGAAGATTTAAGAAACCAGAAGATCAACACACACAACCATCCTGGAAGAATGTAAGTTCACGGAAATTAAATTTTATAACAATGATGCCATCTGGAGAAGTAACTTGAATCAAAATGAACTAACTACTCACCAATGGCCATAATATATTTTATGTATTCAAATAAACCAAACACAAATATCAGATTGAGTCAGGAATGTAACAAGAGGTTTTTGTATAGCAATATTTTGTTTTATTTTTCCCATTCAACGTCAATTTTCTAGGTATTACAAGTTTTCTTTCTTTATTAAACCAAGTCATTTGAAACCTTCAAAACGTGCAAGATTTCCTGATTCACACTGTAATACTCTATTGCTTTTATTTTTATGTATTTATTTTTGAGATGAAGTCTCGCTCTGTCGCCCAGACTGGAGTGCAGTGACAAGATCTCGGCTCACTGAAACCTCCGCCTCCCAGGTTCAAGTGATTCTCTTGCCTTAGCCTCCTGAGTAGCTAGGACTACAGGTGCCCGTCATAATGCCCGGCTAATTTTTGTATTTTTAGTAGAGATGAGGTTTTGCCAAGTTGGCCAGGCTGGTCTCAAACTCCTGACCTCAGGCAATCTGCCCACCTCGGCCTCCCAAAGTGCTGGCACTACAGGCGTGAGCCACCGCACCTGGCCCTCTATTGCTTTTACATGCCATTTTCTGAGCTTATAACATGTTCATACACTTCTAACCAGACGACTTAAAGTAGTGTGGTTGATGTGGAAAATACTAAGAAATCCCAAGTTGTGGCATGCAGTAAAAATGCGTAAGAATAGTTTTGTATATCTCATATAAACCCAAATCATCTTCTGTCAAAAATTGCTCTACCCAGAGAATTTCTGTTCTTCCCATACTCTAAAAAGAGATTCTGTGGCTCTAAAATCTTTTTCTTTATTTTTTTCTAAAAATCTTCTCTTTTTATTTTCTTTTTAAAATGTTTTTATTTTATTTGAAGTTCTAGGATAAATATGCAGGATGTGCAGTTTTGTTACATAGGTAAACAAGTGCCATGGTGGTTTGCTGCACCTATAACCCATCACCTAGGTATTAAGTCCCACATGCATTAGCTATTTATCCTGATGCTTTCCCTACCTCCACCCGCAAAAGGCCTCAGTGTGTGTTGTACTCAAAGTTTTTTTTAAAAAATCTGTTGAACAACTGCAACCAGCATCAAACCTAGGTTTTCAAAACGTACCAAAACGGAAAAATATTCTGAACCAAACCATCATTTGATTCAGTTCCAACTTTGGTCTTGAGCCCAATCAAATAACCACTGAAACATGCTGGACAATTCTAGTGGGCCACGGGGACTGGGTGGAAAGCCTGTGGTCATCTGTCTCCATGAGATGATTTCCATTCCCCAGGCTCAGGGAATACATGGGAAAATCCTCTGCCCATTTTCCAAAAATCCTTTAAGCCCATATAGAAAACAATACTTTCTTTGTGATAGATTGTTTATACAAATTCACCAAAGGAGATTTTGCAAATATTATATAGACTTCATCATACCGAGGGAGAAATAACCATGCCTTTTAGTTTCTTCTGATTCACTGAAATGAGGACTAAGATGCTTTATTTCACACACTACCGGGTTCATGTATATCACCGGGCAGAAAAACAAACATAAATACCTTCTTAAGCAGATGACATCTTCCCCTGTTTCTCGATGGAGACCAAATCCTCCCGCAGGTACTCAAACTAGTAGCAATCCCATTAACTCTCAAGACTACTTTCTGCTGCCCCCTCCTGAGACAGGAGTTAAAAGATGGCAAGGACATGGGCAAGTGGCCTAGGGTGCAAGGTGAAATCTAGTGCTAGCTTTAAAGAGAAAATTCCTTCCATCTCTGTGGTTATGAGTAGTTCTAAATTACATACCCCATGTTTCTTTTTTGGCTTAATTACAATAAAAAGGGGAAGCATCTCTGGGACCTTCAGCATGACTATGTTGCAAAACTAAACCCAAAGCACAGGCCCAGGCTGCAGAGAGACAAAGGGAAGCACCAGTGGCGGAAAGGAAGCCTCACCCAGAGTGGGGCCTGGTCCTCAGCCACCATCTCGGAGGCGCCCAGAGGGAGGTGGCAAGGAGACACTCTGCATCTGCTTCTTTGTTTTTCTTTTTATTTCCAGGCCCCAACAATCAATAAACAACTTTCCTTAAATAATACAGCACCTGTGAGTCAGCCTGGGTAAGCTCCTGTGGAGACGGAGCTGGGAGGTGATGGCATGTGGGCAGGGGCCGCCGTCCGGGCCTCCTACACACCACAGCTCCCACCGGGCTGCCCGCCAAGGGGCATGACTCTATCCTGGAGTCAGAGGACACTGGGAGCAGGAAGCGACCTCAGAGATGACCAAACACCTTCACCTGAAGCCCTGAGAGGCAAAGCCCAAACAGGAGGCCAAGGCTTTTGACACCCTGCCCGTTTTTATAGCACCTCTGTGGAATTGTTCATTTTCTAAGCCAGATCATTCCACAGAAGGAGACGGTAAATAAGCCAGTGAAAAAATTAACATCGCCAGCCATTAGAGAAAAGCAAGTTGGCCGGGCGTGGTAGCTCACGCCTGTAATCCCCAACACTTTGGGAGGCCGAGGCAGGCGGATCACAAGGTCAGAAATTCAAGACCAGCCTGGCCAACATAGTGAAACCTCGTCTCTACTAAAAATACAAAAATTAGCCAGGTGTGGTGGCGGGCACCTGTAGTCCCAGCTACTTGGGAGGCTGAGGCAGGAGAATCACTTGAAACCAGGAGGCGGAGCTTGCAGTGAGCCAAGATCGCACCACTGCACTCCAGCCTGAGCGACAGAGCAAGACTTCTCAAAAAAAAAAAAAAAAAGAGAAAAGCAAGTTAAAACTGCAATGAAGGCTGGCGTGGTGGCTCACTCCCATAATCTCAGCACTTTGGGAGGCCAGGAGACTTGAGACCAGCCTTGGCGACACAGCAAGACCCCATCTCTACAAAATAATTTTAAAATTAGCTGGGCATGGTGCTGCATACCTGTTGTCCTATAAATCGCTACTTGGGAGGCTAAGGCGGGAGGATCCCTTGAATCTAGGAAGTCAGGGCTGCAGTGAGCCATGATTGCCCCCTGCACCCCAACCCGGGCAAGCTACAGAACAAGACCCTGTCTCAAAAAAAACAAAACAAAACAAGACACAGAAAGAACCTACAATGAGATGGCCTTGCATACCTGCATACCTACCAGAGTGGCTAAAATAAAAGTAGCTACTTAGCTACTAAATAAAACGCTGGCAAGGATGTGGAGAAGCTGCAGCACTCATACACTGCTGTGGGATGTAAAATGGTGAAGCCACTCTGGAGAGCAGTGTGGCAGTTTCGTAAAATATGAAATGAATGTGCAACTACTGTACGACCCAGCAACTGCACTCCTGAGCATTTATCACAAATAAATGAAGGCTTACATCACACAAAAATGTGTACACGAATGTTCACAGCTGCTTTATTCAAAATAGCCAGACCTGGAAATGACACAGATGTCCCCTCCTAAAAAGTGAATCGGGGGCCGGCACGATGGCTCGTGCCTGTAATCTCAGCACTTTGGGAGGCCGAGGCAGGCAGATCACTTAGAGGCCAGGAGTTTGAGATCAGCCTGGGCAACATGGTGAAACCCCGTCTCTACTAAAAAACACAAAAAAAGTAGCCAGTTGTGGTGGCGTACGCCTGTAATCCCAGCTACTCGGGAGGCTGAGGCACTAGAATCACTTGAACCCAGGAGGCAGAGGTTCCAGTGAGCCAAGATCACACCACTGCCCTCCAGCCTGGGCAATAGAGCGGGACAAAACAAAACAAAAAATTGAATCTGAATCTCTGAGGGTAGCATAGCAGAGACTGAGGAATCCAACTTTGGTAAGGAATCCTGGTGGTCGCTCCCTGCTGACTTACCGTGCCCTGTGGTCGGTCACTTGCCGCCCCACATGGCCTTTACGATGGAGGCCACAGCCTCACTTGGTGACCGCAGCTGTGCTCCTTTCCAGGGAGGTGCCACACCCTTCACCTCTATCACCTATTGAGAATATCACCTATTGAAAGCCTGGGCATTCTGTGTCCTGGCCCCTTTAGGCCCTCACCCATGTCTCCTAATTTAAATGAGGATTTAACTTAATTTACCTGGAGGCAGGTAACTCAACTCGATTGCATTCAATTCCTGCTTAGGTGCTGACATTATAAGCCCACAACAGCTTGTACCTGTTGGACTCATGCGCAGGCCGTGCAGCTCCAGGCTGCCTGGGTGCTTCACAGTATAGCAGTACCTAGCAAGCCCCACGCAGCACAGAGGCCCACGATGCTCTCTCTGGGTGGCCTGAGGCATCTGGACACGTGCAGATCCATGCTCTGTATCTGCTGAAACCCTCTTTCCCGTGGGCAGATCTGCCCTTCTCCCTGTGGGAGGCAGGCTGAGTCCCTGGGGACCCGGATTACAGAGTGAGTGCCTTGGGGTGCTCCCCTTTTCTGCTATCAGGGGCTTATTGCCCTGCTATGTCTGCAGCAATGAGGAGCTTTAACCTTTTCCTGCCCTTTAGGGTTAAGAGTTCTCTTCCAGTTCATCAGCCTAAGGAGGCAGCTCCAGGAGCTCACTTTTGCTGCAGTTGCATCTATTACATCCCTTTTTTAAACAAAGGCCCATTCATTTATAAGGAAAAGAATCCACTCTTAGTTCCACCTCCTCAAGTAGAAAATTTTTAACTAGACTAAAACGGTACTCCAGGGGACCTATGTGAACACACTCTCTTTCCCCCGGGGTCCAGTATTTCCACGGCAACAACCAATCCTAATTCCCTCAGCCACCTCCCAGGGCTGTGGTTCAGAGGCCCCATTGCTCCACCCATCCACCTCTGCATTCAGTTCAGTTAGTCCCCAGTCCCCCTAAAGCACAAGGCCCAGAACTAAATTCAAAGCCACCTTCCTCTGTTCTCCAGGCGACAGCTGATGGGTGGCAGAGAGGACAGGGTAGGAACTTGGGAGATTCAGATGAGTTAAAATCCCAGTCCTGCCATTGATCAGCTGTGGGCTTGGGACTAACAATTTATATGTCTCATCCTCATCTCTAAAAGGAGGAAAATAATGAATGCCCTGCAAAAATTACATAAAGTATTTGACGGAACATGCCTGGCACATAATAGGCACTTCTGAAATCATTGCTGCTATTATTTTTATTATTATTGTGCATCCTAAGACTGTTTAGTATTTTTTACAGCCGTACCACCTGTTAATTCATATTGAACTGGTAGTAAAATTATAACTCCCAGTGAATTTCAAAAGAAATATTGGCCGGGCGCGGCCGGGCGTGGTGGCTCATGCCTATAATCCCAGCACTTTGGGAGGCCGAGACGGGCAGATCACGCGGTTCAAGATCAGCCTGGCCAAGATGCTGAAACCCCATCTCTACTAAAAACACAAAATTAGCCAGGCATGGTGGCACCTGTCTGTAATCCCAGCTACTCAGGAGGCTGAGGCAGAAGAATCGCTTGAACCCGGGCAGCAGAGGTTGCAATGAGCTGAGATCATGCCAGTGCACCCCAGCCTGGGCGACAGATCAAGACTCCATCTCAAAAAATAAAATAAAATATTGGCCGGGCGCAGTGGTTCACGCCTATAATCCCAGCACTTTGGGAGGCCGAGGTGGGTGGATCACCTGAGGTCGGGAGTTCGAGCCCAACCTGACCAACATGGAGAAACCCCGTCTCTACTAAAAAAAAAATACAAAATTAGCCAGGCGTGGTGGCACATGCCTGTAATCCCAGCTACTCAGGAGGCTGAGGCAGGAGAATCGCTTGAACCCAGGAGGCGGAGGTTGCAGTGAGTCAAGATCTCGCCATTGCACTCCAGCCTGGGCAACAAGAACAAAACTCTGTCTCAAAAAAAAAAAAAAAAAAAAAGAAATAAAAGAAATATTGATGAGCCAGGACTCCTCCATCCTATCCTTTGGGCAACTGACTTTTAAATACCTTTATGGGGAACTTATGTTCCCTTTTATGACATCTGGTCATGGGGTCATACTGAACTATTTTCTTTTTTTTTTGAGACGGGGTTTCGCTCTTATTGCACAGGCTGGAGTGCAGTGGTGCAATCTCAGCTCACTGCAACCTCTGCCTCCCAGGTTCAAGCAATTCTCCTGCCTCAGCCTCCCAAGTAGCTGGGATTACAGGCGTACGCCACCACGCCTGGCTAATATTTTGTATTTAGTAGAGACGGGGTTTCACCATGTTGGTCAGGGTGGTCTGGAACTCCTGACCTCAGGTGATCCACCTGCCTCAGCCTCCCAAAGTGCTGGGATTACAGGCGTGAGCCACCGCACCTGGCCTTTTTTTCTTTTCTTTTCTTTCTTTTTTTTTTTCTTGAGATGGAGTTTTGTTCTTGTGGCCCAGGCTGGAGTGCAGTGGCACAATCTGGGCTCATTGCAACTCCCGCCTCCCGGGTTCAAGCGATTCTCCTGCCTCAGCCTCAGGATTAGCTGGGATTACAGGCGCGCACCACCACACCCAGCTGATTTTGTATTTTTAGTAGATACGGGATTTCACCATGTTGGCCAGGCTGGAATCGAACTCCTGACCTCAGGTAATCCACCCACCTCAGCCTCTCAAAGTGCTGGGGTTATAGTCATGAGCCACCGCACCCAGCCATAAACTATTTTCTGAAGTTGCTCAAGTCTTCTTTGCAAAGTCAGTGTTCCCAAACTACAGTCAGAGGCCAGGCTCAAGGTTCCTAGCAACCTGCCACCTGGTACATTCAGGGCACTCGCCCTTCAAGCACAACATGGATCCTTGGGGCTCCTTGCCACTCCAACTCCTAGGAGACTCTCCTGCCTTCCCCTGGGAATGTGGTATTTGAGGCCAATGGTGACTGACCAGAAAATCTAGGCCAGTTCAAAATGCCAAAGACAGGATGCCAGGAAGGACCCAGAACCTGCAGGGCTCCGTTCAGCTTCTTGGGGTTAACCAGCAGTCTGCAGAGGCGGGAGACGGCTCGGCTCTCAGGAGAGAGCAGCTGATTTTTAATGTACAGTGTAATACCGCAAGGTAAACAGCATCCCAGACGCTGCTCCATATGGCTTTACCCTGAGATCGAAACTAATTACCATTCTGTGTATATTTCCAGGTTGGGGCAATAAGGGAGTTACTGTCCAGCACATTCGCCATCAGACCACCCCTGAGGTCAACACTGCCACGTGCTAACAAGCTCCTTTCGTGGTTTCAATCCTCCCAGACATCAGTCCCTTCATCCTGCAAAGGGCAGAAAGAAACTGGGGCTTGGGGAGGTGTTAGGGCAGGCTGAGCCTGAGACACATATGTCTAGAAAGGGGCAACGTCTCAAAACTGCACATTCAGAGCCTGGAAGCTCTGTACAGATGCCTAATGGGTCCTGGGGCTAGAAAAGGTTTGAATAGATCATCCTGGACAGAAAAGATGCAAACCCCCAGGGGTCAACCCTGCAGGCTACCTGCTCCCCCTGCCCCCCACCCATTACAGCTGAAAGGAAGGAGAGAGTTCCATTTCACACATCCTGTGTGTAGCAGAGTAGAGACCAGGGTTTGGCAGGCAGGATGCCCAGGGCTGTGGTGACGCCAGTCCGTGCTGCTCAGATGGAACCTGTAGCCATCCAGCCCGGATCCTGCATGGGTTCCAGTAGGCCCTCCTGGGACTTGGAAGTGAGCTGGTGTGCTCGGGGTTCATCAGCTCCGTCCAGTCACCTGACTGGCTTTTCCTTCCACTCCACCATCCCAGCCCAGATGACAAGGGCACAGTATGGCCTTGTGACTTGGGAAGTCCTGGGTAGGTTCTCTGTGGCTCACTTCAAGAGGAGGCCAGGGTGACGCACAGTGTACTTCAGAGACCCCAGAGCCACCTGGACCTGAGTCCCTGTGAATGGACACGTGACGGGCCTCACTGGGTGTGCAGTAAGATAAAACATCTCCTTAATCTCAGAGAGAGCCTGTGTTAATAAGCACGTGCCTGGCCTGGCACCAGATGCGGCACAGAGAAGAGACGAAGACTAATTAAATCACACACGTCCAGAGACCTCCTTGGTAAGAAAAGCCACACCGATACAGAGTAGTGTTGTTCTACACACACACGTGTGTGTGGGTGTGTGTGTATAGAGAGATATATATGTATATATTTCATTGGCTCTCTTATGAGCTACAGTGACTCTAAAAGATGCACCAAGAAAGCAGAGGAACAAGGGGAAGGGAGGGAAGGGACAGAGGCTTTCACACCCCAAATGCTGGGCATTTTGTGTCTGGATGACCTCAGCCAGTTTCCACCTACAAAACAGAATAAAAAGAGGCTGGTCCCCAGGGTGTGTAACCTGACACCTCTTGCCGGCAGCTGAATACAGGGGATTGTTTTTTTAAACTTCAAGTTCCAATCCCTAGTAACAAAGTGAGGCCTCTCCTGCAACTAAAGAACCTCCCTGGAAAAATAAATCCTGCTGCCTGTTTTGTCATCATCTTCGACAATTAGCTGTACTTGGGACAACGTGACTCGAGCCAATTGGTGAAGGCGATTAGGGCATCCACTTAAAAACGCTCTTCACAACTGGTGGAGGGGTGTCCTCTATTCCACCCCTGTTCTGCACCCGGTACTTGAGCTGCATTATCTCCTTTCATCTTCACAGCACCCCCTGAGAGAGGCTCATTATCCTCATGTTAGAGATGAGGACACTGAGACTCAGAGATGTTCAGCCCACGCCAAGGTCTAGGACAGAGTGAGGGTGTGGGTTCAGGTCTGGCTGGCTCGGGCTCCACACTCCCCAGCAGACCATCTTGCTTCTGTGCTCAGCAGAGCAAGCCTCCCCCAGCACACACTTCCTACAAACCTCAATGTCAAAGAGCTCCCAGACCCCATGACTTCTCCTCTTCCAAGGGAAGAAGTCAGCAACACTGCCTCAGACACCCTTATTCACTCTCACCCAATCAAAGAGAATGGTGGAGGTCGCAGGTTCGGCATAAAATACTAACAAATGACACCACAGCTGCCTCTGAGGTCCATGCTATTGTATCGAGCATTTAGTATGTCCAGACGCTGTGCTAGGCATTTCCCACATTACCTTGTTTAAGGCTCACAGCCTTAAGGTGGGTATTATCAGTCACATTTCACAGATGATGCAACTGAGGAGCAGAAAGTTTTCTCTAGGGTCACACAGATAGGAAGTAACAGAGTTTAGACTCAACCCAGGACTACACCTCAGGGTTCTTCCCCTCCCCCTAGAGCTCTTCCATAGCTAAGACTCTATAACGTGTACTAAGCAGAAAAACCCCTGCCGAGCTCTCCTGACCATGTCCTTCTGGTCAATCGGGGTCCTCCCGAGAGCATAGCAACAGTGCAGCTGACTGGGCTCTGCACCGTGCAACTGCTGAGCATCAATTTGTGCAGAATCCAACGCTCCAAATCAAGTACTGGGGCAGGGGTGCCCTCTTTCATTCCAGCCTCCGTGAGCCTCTGGATCCAGAACAGTCTCTTTGATCTACCACTTCTAACAGAGGGAGCAAATTCCTCAAGACCTTTACCCCAGACTCCTTCCCTAGAGGCTGTTGCCCAAATCCAGTTCCTTTACTCCCTGTTCCACAACATGTACTGAAGCTTTCTGCATTGTGCATGCCAGCACCAACCCATTATTTGTTAACTCATATTTAATGAACATGCTTGCTCAATGGCCGTACAACTTGTTCTTCAGTTTCACAAATTTCCAATATGTCTATTGGCATTAACTTTGTCTTAGAAGGCAGATCCCCAAGGACAGGGACAGCATCCGTTAAGCCGTTCTTCTCAGCACAGGTGTCTGCAGACAAGGGTATTAAATAAATGCCTGCTATTTGGGCTGCCACTGGGTGCAAAGTGCACTTCTCAAAGTGGGCAGCCACCCGAAGGGAAATCCAGCTCCGTGGAAAAGGAGGCAGTGGTTGCCAGACCTAGCCCAGGGCCTGGCCATACAGAAGAGGCACCCAGTATATATCTACTGAATGTAATATCTGCTCAAGATGTAATTAAAAGCTCAAGACTTTGCTGAATTCCCCCCTTTCACTTTCCATGACACAGAAGAGAAAACCACTCAAGGTACTGGAAAAGTCCATGCCCCCATTAAGTACCCTCAAACTCTAGAGTGCAGTGCAGTCTCCCTATCATGATTCAGCAGCTGGCAGCCCTGTTCAGGGAGCATGAGACCCCTGCTTTGGGGCCCCCTCCTTGCTCACTCCAGCCTTCCCTGGTGTCTGTTACATCTGCATGCCCACTGACGAATGGGCAAACCACAGCCGGAGGAGGCTGCGTCCACAGTCTACAATGGCCGAGATGGTCACACAGGCAAGAGGAGACGATGCTGCGGCTGAAGTGAAACCGGGGCGTTATCCAGAATATCTCCTCATCCCAACCCGACCTCACTGCTCCGTCCACCTCAGAACTGGCTCTGCTGTGGACGCAGAGATTGCTTTTAACATAGTCCTTAGCAATTTCTTTTCAAGCAACAAGGTCAGAATACTCTTCATGAGTGAGTGCTTGCCCTTGTCCATCCTCTTTTTGTAAAAAAGCAAAGTCATCGTACTCATAATTAAAAACTCATTTAGGCAGGAAATAATTCACTGTCCCCAAATGACTGTATACACGTCTTATTTGGACTCACAAAGACCACATGAGGTAGGAAGACTATCAATATACCCATTTTACAGATTGAGGATACCCAAGTCCAAAGAGGCCCAATGAGGTCAAGTGCTGGATCTGAGAGTCACAAGTCTTTCAAGCACGTTCACTTGTTAAGCACAAAAAACATTCTCAGAGGAGGTCTTGAGTCTCCTCAACTACTTGCAATTAGCCAGATGGTCAATATTAATGAGTGTTTAATGCTGTGATGACTATGATGATGATGAAGGAGAAAGGTTAAGAAAAAGAGAAGGCCAGGCTCAGTGGCTCCCAGCTGTAATCCCAACACTTTGGGAGGCCAAGGCGGATTGGGAGGCCAAGGTGGAAGGATCGCTTGAGCTCAGGAATTCGAGACCAGCCTGGGCAACATAGCAAGAGATGTCTCTACTAAAAAATAAAAAATAAGCCAGGCATGATGGTACGAGCCTGTAGTCCCAGCTACTCGGGAGGCTGAGGTGTGAGGATCTCTTGAGCTGGAGAGATCGAGGCTGCAGTGAGCTGTGATCACACAACTGCACTCCTGCCTGGGCGACAGAGTGAGACTCTGTCTCAAATTCATAAATTTTTTTTTTTTGTAAAAGAAAAAGCGTTCAGCGGCCGCATATAGACTAAAATATCAATTATAACACATTCAAAATGTCCCCTACACTGGCGAATGTTTAATCCATAAGGTTTTTTTAGTAGTTTGTCAAACAGTGACCTTCTCACTTCCCAGCTGTAACACATAGCAAAACCAATTTTCCTACCCTTGGCTCAGCAATCTGGGTCTCAGGATTATTTGTGCCCAACAAAATCTCTTAGCCATTTCTTAAACTACTGGCAGGTAGTTAGATTTTCCACTTGACATTGCTAAGAGATTAAAATTGTTTATCTCATTGTCATACACAGGCCTTTTCAGTTTCCTGCTAGCAGATTCAGGTTAGATAAGGATTACAGAAGTGATACTCCCAAGTTCCTCTCTATAACAGTCGTCATCCTTTCCCCATAATATTATGAGGTATATTTTATTAAATCTATCATTCAGATAGCTAACGCGTAAGAGCATTATATAACATATAAAAAGCATTATACCTCATGCATAAGCAGAGGCTTAGACAAACACCAGCTCCTATTCAACTGGGGAAGAAGCACTTCACAGGAGATCCTGCTGAATTACACAGTCAGTCATCAATTGCCATAGAGAAGTTGAAAACAAATTGAGTTGAGCCCGGAAAGAATGTCAGTGAAATTGGAAAAAACACTTGCTGGGAACTGCCTGGGGGTGCAGTGACCTCCCTTGTAATTGCCCAGGTCCCACCAACTCAGCAGCATACCAAGAGAGATTGCAGATTGAGCTGGGTGGATGGCCAGTCACCAGGGAACCAAATCCTTCTCGCGGCAGGCTGAACGCTCCCTGTAGTTCATGAAAATATTAAGCACTGGTAATATAAAATGTGTTATGCCTTCTTCTTGGAAAACAGTAAAATCAGTTTATTCGTTCTCCTTTAATGGATGGGGGCAGGGAGGGGGACAGAATGCAGAGAACCCTTTAGAAGGGCCAAGAAAGAAAACTGCTGTCATTGCCCCAAAAGCCAGAGGTAAAAGCACCTCGTTTGCACCCCCAC
Organism: Homo sapiens; assembly: GCF_000001405.40. Lineage (NCBI taxonomy): Eukaryota > Metazoa > Chordata > Mammalia > Primates > Hominidae > Homo > Homo sapiens. The sequence goes on from NC_000001.11 coordinate 226,727,729, forward strand.
CCCTCAACGCCCTGAGACCAACTTTATAAATGTGAGCAAATGGCCCACCCCTTCAGAAGAGTTCTCCTTGGCCAAGGGCCGGCCGTTACCCTTCATCATTAATACGTATTATCATCTCTGGGTTAGGCAAACCCTAATCTTGGTCACCAGGTCAACGGAAATAATCTTGATGCCTATGTTTGAGATGCTGTATCATTTCATTTTCCCTTTCCACCCAGAATCTTACCACAAAAGTAAAATGCTAGATTAACAGGATAGCAGTGAGCTTCACGAGGAAGGATTCCCTTCAGCTGAAAATTCACCACCACCACCCCAGGTTACGTGAGATGTTTTTCTACTTATTCAAAGATGGGGAAAAAAAACATCTCCTCCCACTCCAAGTGAAATCATACATAAATATGAATTGCAGAGGTTCATTCTGCTTCCTTATTGTCTATAGCTCCTACTTTTTGCTTACTTATAAAACTTACCAGCTGATGTGGGGCAAAATAGAAGTAAAAATCTCAGCAAATAAAAAATGCTGTATTGACTAGTGGCCTGAAGAGATACCTTTTGTTGAATGGGTTTCTACTAAGTGATATCAAATCAATAAAATGCCCAAGTAAAGCTCAACAGAGGAGAAAAGATCAGATTTCTAACAGTGAATTCTTAATGGAGTTGTTGAGAAACACGCCAGACAAGTTAGTCAAAAGCCTGAGTGTTGGCTTGCCTGTGAAATGATTGTAACAAGTCATTCCGTATCAGACAAAGTTGGAAGACCCTGCCTTTAAGTAAGAAACATCAGAGTGGTCTTCCCCGCACAAACACTTTGCAAACGTGTCGTGGTTGACCTTGTCCCTTGAGGCTGGTGTGCAGTGTGCACTTCTGCTGACCAAGCAATTCATTCCTATCGCTTTGAGTCTAAGCCTTAAAGTAATCCCCAACCCTGCAACTGAACAAAAGGAAACCACTACTACTACACCCCTACTATGTACCAGGTACAGTGCTAGGCACTTTTATAAACATGACATAATTGAACGCTCACCACTCCATGAGGTCACACTTACTCTCCCCATTTTTCAGAGAGCTTGCTAGCCATGTGTAGACTGGAATTTCACCCAAGTCTCCTAAACCCAAGCCTAGCACCCTTATCCCTGTGGCAGCAGTCACAGGAATAAGCAACAAACTTGCATTCCCAGGGCTTGATTCCCTTTCTTTGTTCTTCACCTTCCAGATGGTTCTGTATTTCTTTTATGGGTAGATAATGCAGCAGGGATTTTTTCTCTCCTTCATTCATTCACCCATTCCTTTAACAAATGCTTTAAAAGCATGCACTGTGTTCAAAGCTGAGGTGGATCTGCAAAGGCGAGTAAGGAGCTTATCCACTGAGGAAGTTTGTTAGTTGAAGGGTGTAACCATGGGTCCTGTAATGGTATTGACTATTTTCCACCCTTGCTTTCCTCCTCTGTAAAATGTGGATATTAAAGGAAATGAGGCCAGGCGCGGTGGCTCACGCCTGTAATCCCAGCACTTTGGGAGGCCGAGATGGGAGTATCACAAGATCAAGAGATAGAGACCATCCTGGCCAACATGGTGAAAACCCATTTCTACTAAAAATACAAAAATTATCCGGGCATGGTGGCATGCGCCTGTAGTCCCAGCTATTCGGAAGGCTGAGGCGGGAGAATTGCTTGAATCCGGGAGGCAGAGGTTGCAGTGAGCCGATATCATGCCACTGCACTCCAGCCTGGGTGACAGAGCGAGACTCCACCTCAAAAAAAAAAAAAAAAAAGGAAATGAGCTCTAAAGCCTGTCCCAGACCCAGATTTCGATACTGTTAATTATGGAAGCTATCGAAAAGTTTTTGTTTTGTTTTTGTTTTTGTTTTTGAGACAGAGTCTTGCTCTGTCACCCAGGCTGGAGTGCAATGGTGCAATCTCGGCTCACTGCAACCTCCAACTCCTGGGTTCAAGTGGTTCTCCTGTCTCAGCCTCCTGAGTAGCTGGGATTACAGGTGTGTGCCACCATGCCCGGCTAACTTTCGTATTTTTAGTAGATTTAGTATTTTTAGTAGACGAGGTTTCACCATGTTGACTAGGCTGGTTTCGAACTCCTGACCTCAGGTGATCCATCCACCTCAGCCTCCCAAAGTGCTGGGATTACAGGCATGAACCACCACACCTGGCCTAGTTTTTGTTATTTTTTAATAGGAAGCACAGAGGCCTAACTTCCTAATGAGATCATATATATTTATGGTGTCTGTCAACCAAGGAGACTTGAACTGTATTTAAGATAATAGTTTACTCCTGGAAAAATGGATCAGGGCTGCTGTCTTCACCAGAAAGTTGGGGTGAATGAAGGGGGCCCAGTGAGAAAATGAAGAGCTGTCTGGCAGAACTTTAGCTAGTCAAATTTGACTACAAGGTCAAGGGACCAGGTCAGCAGATTCTTCCAGATCACCAAGGTAGCCCTCCACAGTCAGATGGACCAGACCCATGGGTCTGAAGGAGATGCTGATTGTTTCTGCTCCATGTTGTTTGGGACTGCCTGTAGCACCATCGTCACTTGGTTTGGTAAGTTAACACAGGAAGGGCAACCATCTTAGAACTGGTAATACAAAATCCCAAACAGGCAGCTGCCACTCCACTTTTCAAATTACCAAAGAGTTCATAGTTGGGTTTGGTGTGACTTTTGTTAACAATGAGCTCCCCTGATGGCTGAAAAATACATCTTTCATGATGCCAATTCTACCCAGTGAGGAAAAGAAAAATCACAGCAAGGCCTTGTCATGGAGTTGAGAGTACCATATGCATAAACCTACCATCCCAAGGTCTCCTCTCCCACCAAAATCCACAGAACCTTCTACCCTGAGGCTGCGATCACAACATGCTTTAGAAGACTTCCCAAGTTAATTCTGAACCACCTCCTGATTATCCAAAGTCTGTAGTTTTTTTTCCACCAAGATATAAAATTCTTTCCATTAAATACCTTAAAATTCTACCTTTAGATAACTAAATTGAGACCTGACAAAATAAAATAAGCCTAAACAATGTTGTCAATACTCCTAGGAATATAAATAAACTAGCCAGTACTAATCTAATCTGGAACTGCATTTAACAGGTATGTGCCAACAAAATCAGAAAAGTGACTCTGTAGCAATTCAGCACTTAAAAACAAAAATTCTGAAAATGACTTATGTAACACCTCAAATATATTTCTCTAAAAACACCGACTGACTGGTTTAATGTTTTCTTGTAGTACCTAAAAGCGGGTGAGTCTTGAGCTGTATGTTTTGCAAAGTCTAAGCATTTGCATGATAAGTAGCAACGCTTAGAATCAATCTCTCTTTGTCTGTATACCTCACCTTTACTTGAAAATGTTTTAAGCTGGCTGAATACTTTTATCTTTGATAAGACAAGGTCTTTGAAGTGATGTTTTGGCTCTGTGTGGGCAAGGCCTCAGTTTCTAGACTTCAGTATCTGAGGGGGGACAATGCCCTGCTTTTTGTTTTTAAACAGAATGAATCTTTTACTGTTCAGGTTAATGTTCTGGCATCCTACCAGCTGTCTCTACCACCAGACTAATTATTAATGATAATCTTAGGTATGGTACTGATGATTTATTTTGATGATACTTTTTCAGTATGAAATTACAAAGAGCCTTTCTTATGGCAAAGAGATAGAAGATAGGCAGATCAATCAATTGGTCTCAAGCAAAAGCACAAAAGTAAAAGTGCCCAGTTTTGGCCTCAGTGCCGGAAACCCACACCTAAGAAGTCTTGTCGCATTTTCTGATACCCTAATACAAACACTAGGCTTTAAATCAGATGTCTTCAATTACATAGTCACAGACAGAACTAGATGACCCCATGAGATCATTCCCATACAATACCCACATTTTCAGAGGAGAAAACTAAGCTAGAGAAGCAGAGCCCATGAGTGTGTCCTTGGTTCCCTTTGACTTTCTGAGTGTTTATTTCCTCATCCCCAAACAGATCAGTCATACCCAGAACCCAAAATAAATGACTCGGGGTCCTCCCAGATCTCAAAGCTGCTGAGCCCTTGCCAGAAAGATCCTCTCCATGTACCTGAGAGAAGAAGGGTACCCCATCTTCAGAAAACAGCATATGCAACCTGAGCTCATAACCCCACAAATCTGAGCTTTCAACATTCTCATCTAGAAAAGAATTTTCCACTTAAAAGTATTCACCAACAGATGCATTTTTTAAAGTGCCCCTCTAGGCTTTTAAATTTTAGTTTGGTTTACCCCAAACTAAAATTTTTACACACTTTTCAAAACCACATAAAACCATGTTAAACTGTTTGGATTTTTTACTATGTGTATGAGTTCGTTTTTCACTCAGAAAAAAAAAAGACAACAAAACTAGTCAACATCAAAAAAAAAAAAAAAAAAAGCGAAGGAAACAAAATTCCAATGGCCTTTAAAAAACAGTAAGCACCATGAAGCCAAGGGTTTTGTATTACACTTCTTTATACACCCCACAGGTAATTAGGCCAGTGTTTTTTGTTTTTGTTTTTTGTTTTGTTTTGAAACGGAGTCTCACTCTGTAGCCCAGGCTGCAGTGCAGTGGTACAATCTCGCCTCATTGCAACCTCTACCTCCAGTGTTCAAGCAATTCTCCTGCCTTAGCCTCCCAAGTAGCTGGGATTACAGGCGCCCGCGACCACGCCAGCTAATTTTTGTATTTTTAGTAGAGACGGGGTTTCACCATGTTGGCCAGGCTGGTTTTGAACTCCTGACCTCAAGTGATCCACCCGCCTTGGCCTCCGAAAGTGCTGGGATTACAGGCATGAGCCACCGTGCCCAGCGTTCTTTTGTTTTTTTTTTTTTTGTACATATAACTGACAGAACAATTTTGAAATAAATCAATAAAAATCTATTTTTAAAGTAAGGTACTTTTATATCTTAATACAACATTTTAAGCCTGGTGTCTCAATGGTCCAGATTCTCTTAAACAGAATTATATAGGGAAGTAAACAACCGCTGGTTAATTTTTAGTTGTCAGAAAGAACAAAAGATTGAGCACTATCCTTGCTCAGTGCAATTTGATTTTGTTCAGATCTCAGAGAACAGTAAGCATGAATGTGCCTGAATTTCAGCCATTGCACACTGGGCGTGTAATGCAACTATTTCTGAGCAAATTTCAAGTGTCTGATCCCTACTAAGCAGATATACTGTCACCCCCTGCCTGCACACCAAGTCATACACACTCATTCCTCAGCAAGGATGAAGAAAGCGCCACAGGAGGCCCGAAAGGCTTAACTCTGTGGGAAGGTAGGGCAGCACAGAAACAATCTCAGTGTCTAGTGTGGGTCTGAGGGCCAGGGGTTGGTTATGTGACTGGAACGCTGAACATGCCATTTCAGACCTGTGTGAGTGGGGTGAGCAAGGGGGAACCTGTGTGAGCATAGGAGGGTAAGTGTGAGCATGTGTGAGGGCATGTGTGAGGGCAAGTGTAAGCAAGTGTGAGCAAGCATGAGAGTGTGCAGCTATAGCGTTGTGCAGTAGCTGGACAGACACAGCAAAGTCCAGAAAAGAGAATGCTACATCAGTTTGGTAGAACCTCAGACAGAGCTGGTGGGGCTTTTATCTATCAAACACAGAAAGGCCCAGCCAAAAGACTCACTCCATCAAGATGTCTGGCCTTCTGTAGACAAAATATCTATTGCAGGTAATCAAGTGATTTTTGACCCAATGAGCTGATGTTTGGGTGTCACAGATAAGGCTCCAGCGTAACAATCTGTACAAGAAGAAAACTTTGCTTATCGTGCAAGCACTCAACCAAAGCTCAAAAGTCCCTAGGATCCCATAATTTCCAGTTGGTTACCCACCCTTACCCCCCTACACACACACACACACACCCACCCCACTTCCCACCAGTCTCATGTGATTCAGAGAGCAAAGCCGGCAGGGGATTTTTCCCTGGCTCTGCTCTGCGGGTGTCTGAAAACCTGTTTAAAGGTGGGAGGTAGACTGGACAACAGGCTGGCCTCGTTTCTACCTCTGGATATGTTCACTAACTTAAAAACACCACTTAACCCTCTGGTTTCTCAAATGGCATCGTTCTGGCAAATGGAAAAAAAAGTCACCTGTCGTTATTGATCTCCCTGTTAATTCTCTTCTAGACAAGAGCCGTTTTCAAACATCGGGACACAAACTGTTTTGACAACCAGCCAATAGAAGTTGCTAATCTACCACTAGAAAGGGTGAATGGACAGTCAGGGAACAAGTTAAAGTGACTTTGGCTGTTTCAGCTATGCTTCAGGAGTTCAAAAGCAACTGGGAGGGATGGGACGGGGGACCATCTCTTATTCAGTAGACCTCTAACTGCTGGGCAGAAAGAGAAATCTGGCCCATGCCTTCAGAAAGAAGTATTTCCCACCTGCCCTTGACCACCATCCCCTTCCAGGTGGACCGCTTCCCCCTCTAAAGGTGGTGCGCCTATGCCTGACAGCAGGTGCATAATGCCCAGGGGCCCTGTCCTAGCCACAAAATGCCAGGCTGATTGGGGCGATTTTGCATACACATTTGCCTCCAGATCATCAGCAAAAAGCAGAGTTTCATGAAAAGGAATGCCTGGTCTTCAAAAATCCAGACTGTGATTCGTGAATAGGGAATCAGAGAGGAGTATGTTTTGTGGTCCAAAATACCTTAGTGAAGAATGCAGAGTAGAAACATAAAGCTCCCAGTCGTGGTGGAGAAAGTTATTGAGGTACAGTGAAGAGTATTTGATATTCAAGATGAAATCGGAAGGCTACCTACTATAATAAAATGCAGACTTTCCCCCAATATAGCACAACCACCCCTGGCACACTGAACTAGGAAATTCCCCATGCTCTCTGGAAAAGCTAAGAGAAAGCCCAGACCTTTTCAGAAGTGCTAGCTTCAACTCCTATGTCTTCTGTAAGATACTCTGATCCTCCTAAGAGTAAAAGCAGCCTACAAGTTCGATTAACCATGTAATAGAAATAAACTCCTGTCTACTGCCATAACCAGAACAAGATGTCAGTGTGATGACCCAAACCAGAGGCACGTGAAAACATACCTGAAATGTCAACCTGTACCAACTGACATGTACATCCATTAGGAGGTACCTACTCCGGAGATAACACTCAGGTGCCTATGATACTGAAGAAACCATCTGCTTAGCTCAAAGTATGGTTTTCATTTAATTCATACATCAAACTGCACCTTGGTTACACTGACCACACAAATATTGCAATGGTCTGGCTTAACTTACTGAGGCTCAGTGATTCCTCACCCAGTTGACTGGCCACAACCACATCTACAGGTTTCAGGGTCCTGTCATAGATTCACATCACTCATTTTCCTGGCTTATTAGTAGAGGCTAACTTAATTTGATGATATCCTTGTCAATTTTCTTTGGCCTGAATGAAACACAGAGTTAAGTGTTTCACCTGATCAGACAAAAACTACACTCAGTAGCTCAGTTCACTATCTTTGGGGATTAGTCCAGAAGTTTTTGGTGACATTTATGAATATTATTTTCCCAAGAAGCGTGGTGACCTACATGAAATACTTTTAAAACTTGTTTTTTAAGATATGCATGGAAATAGTAGAAAGACTCAGATTCACTGTCCAAGCTAAAATGCATGGTCAGTGCCTCTGCTTCCACCTCAGCAAACACACCTGGACAGAATTATTCACTGTGACTGTCCCAGGGCCCTGGTCTGAGTTTTCATGACTGTGTAGAAAGTTAAGAAAAAGGGATGCATAGGGCATCAAAAGTCTGCTGAAATCAGCATGAGTTCTGGGCAAATCTCAGAGCAAGACTTACCACTCTAGGTTTCTGCTGGTCCAGGGTATGCAGGAAGGCTGAGTTGGGGTCCAGGGTGCGCTCAGGGTCACTGGAGATGTCCTCCTCTGAGTCTTCGTAGGATGAGGAGAAGCCCGTGGAGGAGGCCGAGGAAGAGGACAGTTTCCTCAGGGGCAGGTTGCCCCGAGGGCTTCCCTGCGTCTCCTCCAAGGCCCCATCCTCCTGGGTGCCCATGTCTGTAATGATGACAGCAGGTATGTTGCTGGGGCTGCAGGCCTTCCTCAGGAAAGGCTTGTCCGGATCTTGGGGTAGCAGCTCCGGACTTGGGAGGGCATCACTGTCCTGCCGCTGGCTTTCCCAAGTCCCCTCTGATTGCACCCCTGTGCCACGCGTCCAAGCCAAACCGGCTTTCTCCATGGTGCCCTGCCAAACCCTGGAGTTCCCAGGCTGCACACCCACCCTGTCCCCAGGAGGGCACTGAGGTTCTTTCAGATCTTTCGCAGCGTCCCAACAGGGCAAAGGCTCCAGCATTCTGCCAGAAGGAATTCCCGCCTCCACATTCCCGGTCCCCGGCTGTGCTGAGGGGCTGCCCCCAAGCAAGCCCAGCGTTGGGGACCCTCCCTCCACTCTGTCGGAGAGCTGCCAACGCCCCCCGCCCACGGGGGCCCCACTTCGGGCCTCCTCAGGGCCTACGGAGGCCAGGGCCCTGGGCAGCCTGGACCAGCTCAGGGAATCAGAGGACTCTGCGCTTTGCACGCTCACAGTCGTCTCCTCTGGCCTTTTGCCCACTTCAGGCTCCCCAGAGCCCGGCATGCCACAGGGCAGATATCCTTTCCCCATCTTCCCAGGGGGTTCTCCATCGCGGGGCCCGCCCCTTTCTGGGGCTGGGCTTGTCTCACTGCCCAGAAACTGCCCCTGCCTCTCCACCAGGGCCTCTGGGGGCTGCAGGTCCTCAAGCTCACGGGCTCTCCCAGACGGCTCAGTGAGGGCAAGATCCTGTGGACGGTGTGGCCCAGTGGATGTAACTCTCGCTGCCACTTCCGTGGCCATCGTTAAGCTAGCTCCGAACAGCCCCAATGAGGGAGCTAGGCAGCTCCGAGTTCCCGGGGTAGGAGAGCCCCTTTTGTCAATTTCCATAGCTGTGGGTGAGCCACAGCGGGGACTGGCAGGGATACCCTTCTCCATCCTTACAAAAGCGGATGGACCCTGAGCCTCTGATCCTGTAGGGGCAGCCCGGCCGGGAAGAGGTGGCATTCCTTTCTTCACCTGCGAGGAGCATAGGCTGGGCCCTCCTTTCCTCCCGGAGTCGGTTCCTGAAGTCTCTGGACATTGCTCCCCCCAGGACTTTGTCCTCCGTTCCTCGCTCCGGGCGCCCTGAACCAGGACCCTTCCAGGGGGCTGACTGCTGCTGCGGAAGGGGCACGGGGAGGGCGAGCGAGCCCTGCCCAAACGCGGGCTGCGGGGCGCTTGAATGGCGGAGCTCTGTGCCTGGATGTGCGCCTCAAACATGCCCACTTTCTGGTTCACCTGCACGTTCTGCAACTCGCGCTGCAAGATCCGCAGCTTCCTCTTGGCCTCCTCCGGCCCTGGCGGGGAGAGGGTACCGGCTGCCACCACCTGCTGCCGGTCCCCTCGCAGGCGACCAGCCCAACTTGGGCTGCTCACGCTACTGCCGCTGCTGCCGCTGCCACTGCCGCTGCTACTATTCAGCCTGCGCCGGCCGCTCCGCCAGCCCCCGGGGCTCCGGGGCTCCTCGGGGGACAGCGACTCGGCTGGGGGGAAGAGGAAAGAGGCGCCTCTCCCGGGGCTGAAAACGCTGCCGGGGCTCAGCACTGCCCTCCTCGGGGGCGGGGGCGTCTCGCTGCCACTGGGCCCCGGGCCGCCGCCGCTCTTCATCTCGTTGGCGCTATTCATGATCACCAGGCTATTGAGCGCATAGCAGTACACAGCCATAGTACTGGGTCCCGCGCTGCCCGCCGCCGCGGCTCCCGCTCCTGCTCCGCCGCCGGCGCCTCCTCCTCCCGGCGCTCCCGGCTCAGCCCCGGAGGCCCGGCAGCCGCGGCTCCGCGCGCAGATGGGGCGGCATGGCCTGGGCAGCGGGCTGGGGGCACGACCGCGGGCTCAGCCCCCGCCCAAAGCTCCATAAACAACCGTGCGGCTGTGGAGATACAAGGAGAAAAGTCAGGACCCTGGAGGGCGCGCGGGGGGAGTTGGGGGTCGCCTGCAGAACCCAGAGAGAGCCCCGGGAACACAATCTATCCGGGACCCAGCGCCACCGGACATCTCACCTATGGGGACGGCGAGGCTCGGCGAGGGCATGCCCCGGCTGCCTCGGTCGCCAGCGCGGTTTCGGGTGTGCTTCCCCGCCCCCCACCTCGCCCCAGGCTGCGATGCGCTTTATGAGGTCCCTTCAAATCCCAATCCTAATACTCGTCTCGCGGACCGGCGAGAAGCGAGGTCCAAGTCCTTGGCTCCTAAGTATGCTGTGTGCGGGGCGCGGCTGACTCAGCTCTCCCGGGCTGAGGACACCCCAGCCACCGTCTCCGGGTCTCCCCAGCCTGAGCAAACATTGGCTATCCAGGGCAACCCGGCAGCCCTCGCCCTGGGCTTCAGGGTCTCCCTGCTCCACCCTCTCGGGGCATCAGAGACCGACCGGCTCGGAGGGAACCTAAGCGGGACCTGCCTTGCCCGAGCCGCTGCCAGCGCCCGGATCTGGGAGGGCGCCCGCGTGCCCGCCGTTTACCTTCCTGACCCTAGCCTTGGGGCTGTGTCTCTCGGCCTACGAAGGCCTGGGCGGGCAGCGGGGCCGCAGCCGAAGCATTTTTCAGGGCTAGCCTTGTCGCCTATCCCTAGACAAGTGTTTTGTGAGTGTGGGCGCACCGAGGTTCTACACGTTCTCTTTACCGGAACCAGTACTTGCTGCCCCCCTGCCGTCGTCCCCTATGGGGGGGTGTCTGTGAGTGTGTGTGTATACACGCGTGTGTGTATACGCCGCACGCGCGCGGAGCGAGTCCGCTCTCAGCGCGCCCTGTTGCCGAGGACGCGACTGCCCCTGCGGGCTCCCGGACCCGCGCCCACTCGGAGGAACTTAGGGGCGTGCATGGCTGCAGCCGGGCAGCAGCCCTAGGTGCACAGAGCCTCTAGCTCTGCAAACCTCCCAGGAGCCGGCGCTCTAACACCCCAGGGCAGCGCCGCGGAGCGCAGGGCTTCTCCGCATCCCGGGCAGCCTCGCCCGGCGCCAGCAGAGCCGCCCCGAGACCCCAGCCTGGGGACTCCTGGAGCGCGCTGAGGGAGGCGGCGCGGAGTGAGCGGCCCGGAAGGCGGGTAGGAGAAATGCGGAGACCTCGTCTCTCCCTATTTTCTCCCCACCGCCACTCCATGTCACCCTCCAAAATCAAACCCCCTTCCCTGCCTCCCCAGCCCACCCCTTTGCCCTGTTTCGGAACCAGGAACGCCGAGATTCGCTCCAGAGCAGAAAGTGAGGGAAAAGAGGGTTGTTCAGAGGCGAGAGCCATTAAAAGGCCGCCAAACTTACCTGCAGTTTCTCAGATTCTCAGGTCCTGTGTAGACTACATGCCCAGAGGCGCAAACCTCGTAGGGACGAGATGGCTTTAAAAGTAAAAATGCTCAGAAATTATTTTCTCACAAGCTATGGAAGACAAAAAAGAGGAGTGCGAAAGAGGGGGGAAAGCTCTTCGGTTCAGGGGCCCGGCGATCCCGGCAGTGGCGACGCCAAGCCGGCCCTGCACGCCCTTTTCGACCGTGGAGATACTGCCCCTGTCAGTGTCTGCTCCGGGCTACTTCAGTGTTTGTTCAATGCACGATTAAAAAAAAAAAAAAGAAAGAAAGAAAAGTTGTTGGGGGGGGGGGTAGTGGAGGAGGGAGGAGGGAGAAAGGCGGAGGCTTGGGGGAGGAAAGCAGGAAGGAAGTTGTGAGCCTGTCTGGGGTTGAACTCAGCGGAACAAGTTTTTCTTTTCTTCTTTTTTTTTTTTTTCTATTGCTTGGCAAGACGAGGGAGGGAAACACTTAAAAAAAAGTTTCCATTGTTAGCTAACAACAACAAAAAAGGCTTTTAACTTCTGCGGTTTAAAGATATACAATTCATTTTCCACCCCTCAATCGAGGCTTGCTGATGTGTCTAGCTTTATGAAACTATTTTTGAAAAATGTTTTTAATAAAGTTTTGAGTGTATGTCTTAAACAAAGCAAATCATGGGGACCTTTTTAGCATTTAAAAAAGGCTACAATCCTGTATAAACAGTTTGTGTTCTTGTACACAGTTCTGCAAATTCAAAGAAGGTACATTGAGGTCACCTTCCTGCAGAGTTGCAGGTTTTAAGTGCATCACAGTAGTATTTTGGAAGACTGGTTGGTCTATGAGCTGGGGATGGTTTTGCAGTGCAATTGGTAGATATATAAATACACCTTTACATGTCACATTTATTTATAAATGCACACGGCACATGTGACATTCGCATATTTTTGCACTTAATTCTCAGAATTATTTTAAGAAAAAGCATAGTCCTGAAACTAAGAAGGCTTGGGTAACGTCTGAAACCCCTCTTGCTCCTGTAGACCCTTGTAGACTGTCTCCTGTAGACTGGATCATTTTCAAGAAACTTTCTCCCCTACTATCAGCAAAAAAGGGAGAAAGAACATCAGCCAACATTACTGGGCAGGGGATCCTACCCCTTCTAAGCCCTGGCACTGCCAGTGTGTTTTACATAATTCTCTAAATCTTAAACTACAGCATTTAGTGAAAGGAGGGAAAACACAGCTGCACGGCTCAGGAGACTGAAACATCCAAAGCCTGAATTGGTCCTTATATCATGATTAGCTGAAATTCAGATGGAAATTTTGACTTTACTTGTAGCACACAGATCTCTTGCTTGTTTATGTAACAATACTGTTAAGTGAGCAAAGCAACCTGCTGCTCCATCAGGAAGAGGCTCATGCTAAATCTGAAATCAAGAGATCTTCTAGCCAAGAATACCTGAGAATCACACACTGTTGAAAACTTTATAATTTTTAAAAATTAGAAATGGAAGAATTGAACCTAATTACCCTCCTACCCTCAATGGGGCTTTTTTAAAAAAAAGCCCAATCCCAGAACTTTGGGAGGCCAAGGCAGGCAGATCACAAGGTCAGGAGTTCGAGACCAGCCTAACCAACATGGTGAAACCCTGTCTTTACTAAAAATACAAAAATTAGTAGGTCGTGGTGGTGCGCTCCTGTAATCCCAGCTACTTGGGTGGCTGCTGAGGCAGGAGAATCGCTTGAACCCAGGAGGTGGAGGTTGCAATGAGCCAAGATCTCACCACTGCACTCCAGCCTGAGCGACAGAGTGAGACTCCATCTAAAAAAAAAAAAAAAAAAAAAAAAAAAGAGCCCAGAGTTATTCAGGTCTCTGAGCAGTTATTCAGGATCTGAGCAGTTCCTAAGAAAGAGAAGCCAGCCCTCTCCTTGACCCTAATTTGGTTCCCTAGGGGCAAAAAAGAGGAGTTGCCAGTTTTCAGGAGACCCAGTCATTGGAGTTCATGTCTGAGGGGCCTTTGTTCTAGTAGAGGCCAATACCCATGTCAGGTGTCATGGTGGAAGAAACTGAAGGACCTAGCAATGCATACATTAAGCACAGACACTTAGCTTCCCAATCCCTGGGAAACCTCACTGCCACCTCACAGCCTGACATCATCAGGCTTCCGTAGCTGAGAAACTTAGACTTCTTGAATGTGCAGTCAACCTGAAGAATTATTGGTCAGAACGCAGCCAGCAGCTGTCAGGTGTGACATGCAGAAGGGGTTTCTGCCTTGGGCTCGAGGTGGGGCTAGCTGATGATTCTACCAGTCTAAAATTCTAACTGTGCCACCAAGAGCAACAGGGGTTGGGGAAAAGATGGAATAAAACCCATGTCTGGAAGCTAGCATAGTGAGCTTGCATCCTGAGAGAGAATCTAGTTGTCTTCCATGATTGTAAATGAACATGAGAAGAATATTTTACATAGTACTTATTTGCGAGACACTGTTCTAGACACATTATAAATATTTATACATTTTTATCCTCATTAAAAACCCTACGAGGCAGGCATCATTATTATCCTTATTCTACAGATGAGAAAATGAAAGCGCAAATGGGTGAGTAGTTTGTCCCCAAATTCCATTGCTGGTAAGTGGCAAAACCAGGATTTGAACCTGTGTAATCTGGGTCTAGAATCCATGCTTGTCACTACTTCTGCATATTGTATAGTTATTATCTATAACCATAGGGAAGGTGTGCCTAACTTTTCAGTTTTCTCTATAACTGTAGGGAAGATTTGCCTAACTATTCAGAGTACCCATTTGTCTGCTTTTGAAATTGAAGTTAAAAAATCAAAGCTATGAAACTAAGAATAAAAGGAAACTTCCTCAACTTGATAAACAGCATCTGCGAAAAACCTAAAGTTAATATCATACTTAATGATGAAGTACTAAACACTTACCACTAAAATTAGGAAAAATGGCCAGGCGCAGTGGCTCATGCTTGTAATCCTAGCACTTTGGGAGGCTGAGGCGGGTGGATCACTTGAGGTCAGGAGTTCAGGACCAGCCTGGCCAACATGGTGAAACCCTGTCTCTACTGAAAATACAACAATTAGCCAGGCGTGGTGGCACGCACCTGTAGTCCCAGCTACTCAGGAGGCTGAGGCAGGAGAATCACTTGAACCCGGGAGGCAGAGGTTGCAGTGAGCCAAGATAGCACCACTGCACTCCAGCCTGGGCAACAGAGTGAGACTTCATCTCAAAAAATAATAATAAAATGAAACAAAATTAGGAATAAGGTTAGCATGCCTGCTCTCACCATTTTTATTTAACACTGTACTTGAAGTCCTAGACAGTGCAATAAGACAAGGAAAAGGAATAAAAAGGCATCAAATTGGAAAGGAAGAAGTAAAACTATTTATTTAGATTATATAATTGTCTATGTGGAAAATCTTGGGTCTATGAAAAAGCTATTAGAACTAATAAGTGAGTTTAGTAAATGTATTAGTTTGCCAGGCTGCCATAATAAAGTACCTCACACTGGTTGGCTTACAACAGAAATTCTGTTTACAACAGAAATTTATCTTCTCACAATTCTGGTGACTAAGAATAGTTTCAGTCTGTAGATCAAGCTGTTGCAGGGCCAGTTTCTTCTGAGGCCTCTCTCCTTGGCTTGCAGATAAATCTCTCTCTTTTTTTTTTTTTTTTTTTGAGACGGAGTCTCACTCTGTCGCCCAGGCTGGAGTGCTATGGCGTGATCTCAGCTCACTGCAACCTCTGCCTCCCGGGTTCAAGCAATTCTCCTGCCTCAGCCTCCCAAGTAGCTGGGACTACAGGCACCCGACACCACGCCTGGCTAATTTTTGTATTTTTAGTAGAAACGGGGTTTCACCATATTGGCCAGGCTGGTCTCAAACTCCTGACCTTGTGATCTGCCTTCCTCGGTCTCCCAAAGTGCTGGGATTACAGGCGTGAGCCACCATGTCCAGCCGATAAATCTCTATGTATCTTTATATGGTCTTCTCTCTATATAGGTTTATGTCCTAATCTCCTCTTCCTATAAGGACACCAGTCATATTGGATTATGGCCCATCCTAATGACTTCATTTAACCTTAATTACCTTTTTAAAGACCCTACCTCCAAATAGTCATATTCTGTGACATCATGGGTTAGGACTTCAACATATAAATATGGGGGGAAACACAATTCAGCCCATAATAGCAAGGTTGCAGAATACATGATTAATATACCAAAATCAATTGTATTTCTATATACTACCAATAAATAATCAGAAATTTTAAAAAATCAAATAATAATATCTTTACAATAACATCAAAAACTATGAAACACTTAGAGATAAACATGACAAAACATTTGAAGATCTATAATGAGAAAATTATAAATCACTACTGGAAAAAAAAAGACCCAAGTAAATGAAGAGATATACCATGTTCATGAATTGGAGGACTCAATATTGTTACAATGTCAGTTCTTCCTCAAATTTATCTGTAGATTCAATGCAATCACAGTCAGTATTTCAGCAGGTTTTTGTTTTTGTTTATTTTGTTTTGTTTTTATTTTCTAAACTTCATAGGGAAATGCAAAAGATCTAGAATGACCAAAACAACTTTGAAAAAGAATGCAGTGGGAGGACTAACACTATCTCATGTCAAGACTTATTATAAAGCTACGGTAATCAAGATAGTGTGGCATTGGCATAAAGTTCAAAAAATAGATCAATAGGACAAAATAGTCCAGAAATAGACCCATGTATATATGGACAATTGATTTTTGACACAAGTGCAGAAAAAGTGGAGAAGTCTTTTAACAAATAGTGCCATAACAATTCAACATCCATATCTAAAAAGAGGAAATTCA
This sequence comes from Homo sapiens, assembly GCF_000001405.40. Taxonomy (NCBI): domain Eukaryota; kingdom Metazoa; phylum Chordata; class Mammalia; order Primates; family Hominidae; genus Homo; species Homo sapiens. Next base: position 226,743,899 of record NC_000001.11, read on the forward strand.
ATGAATATCTTATCAATATTGTACAAAAATTACTCAAAATGGCTCACAGATCCTAATGTAAAGCCTAAGACCAAGAAACTTTTATAAGAAACATAAGAGAAAATCTCTGGGAACTTGGGTTCCTGTTTCTTAGATATGATACCAAAATTAATTGGACTACATCAAAATTTAAAACGTCTCTTCAAGGCCAGGCACAGTGGTGCACATCTGTAATCCCAGCATTTTGGGGAGGCTGAGGCGGGCAGATCACTTGAGCTCAGGAGTTTGAGACCAGCCTAGGCAACATGGCAAAACCCCATCTCTACAAAAAAAAAAAAAAAAAAAAAAAATTAGGCCAGGCATGGTGGCTGATGCCAGTAATCCTAGCACTTTAGGAGGCAACGTGGCTCACACCTGTAATCCCAGCACTTTGGAAGGCCAAGGCAGGCAGATCACTGGAGGTCAGGATTTTGAGACCAGCCTGGCCAACATGGTGAAACCCGGTCTCTACTAAAAATACAAAAATTAGCTGGGCGTGGTGGTGAACGCCTGTAGTACCAGCTTCTCAGGAGGCTGAGGCAGGAGCATCACTTGAACCTGGGAGGCAGAGGTTGCAGTGAGCCGAGATCACACCACTGCACTCCAGCCTGGGTGACAGAGTAAGACTCTGTCTCAAAAAAAATACAAAAATTAGCTGGGCATGGTGGCACGTGCCTGTATTCCCAGCTACTCAGGAGGGTGAGGTGGGAGGATCAATTAAGCCCGGGAGGCCAAGGCTGCAGTGAGCCATGATCATGCCACTGCACTCCAGCCTAGGTGACAGAGTGAGACCTTGTGTCCACACACAAAAAAAACAGAAAACAAAACACCCCACTTCTCTTCAAAAGATACTGAAAAGAATGAAAAGACAATGCATAGACTGGGAGAAACTATATGCAAAGCATACTATTCATAGCAGCTTTATTAGAATTAGCCAAAAATTGGAAACAACTCAAAAGTTCATCAGGTGAATGGATAAACAAATTGTGGTATACAATGGAATATTATTCATTAATAAAAAAGAAATGGACATTGATGTACATACAACATGGATGAATTTCAAAAGAATTATGCTGCCTGAGAAAAATCAAACAAAAGAGAATATCTACTGTATGATTCCAAATATGGAAAATTCTAGAAAACACAAACTCATCTATAGTAACAGAAAAAAGACTGGGTGGCTGCCTGAACATGGAGGCTGTGGAGAGGGGCAGGAAGTAGGAAAGATGAAGGGACATGTAGGACATTGTGAAAGTAATGGATACGTCCACTGTCTTAATTGCAAGGATGATTTTATGGGTGTATACATACATGAAAACATATAACACTGTAAAACATTAAATATGTGCAGTTTGTTGTATATCACTTATAACATAATAAAATTTTTTTTTTTTTTTTTGAGATGGAGTCTCACTCTGTCGCCCAGGCTGGAGTACAACAATTGCGCCATCTCGGCTCACTGCAAGCTCCGCCTCCCGGATTCACGCCATTCTCCTGCCTCAGCCTCCGGAGTAGCTGGGACTACAGGCGCCCGCCACCATGCCAGGCTAATTTTTTCTATTTTTGGTAGAGATGGGGTTTCACCATGTTAGCCAGGATGGTCTCGATTTTCTGACCTCGTGATCCGCCCACCTCGGCCTCCCAAAGTGCTGGGATTACAGGCCAGAATTTTTTTTTTTTTTTTTTTTTTGAGACATGGTCTTGCCCTTGTCGCCCAGGCTGGAGTGCAATGGTGCGATCTCAGCTCACTGCAACCTCTGCCTCCCGGGTTCAAGTGATTCTCCTACCTCAGCCTCCCAAGTAGCTGGGATTACAGACAACCGCCATCATGCCTGGCTAATTTTTGTATTTTTAGTAGAGACGGGGTTTCACCATGTTGGCCAGGCTGGTCTTGAACTCCTGACCTCAGGTGATCCGCCTGCCTTGGCCTCCCAAAGTTCTGGGATTACAGGTATGAGCCACTGTGCTCAGCCAATAAAGATATTTTTAAAAACATAGCTATGGATGGATATAGCCTTTGATGAGGATATTATGGGCCCCATTCCTAGTGTCAAGCACAGTGCTTGACATATAATCTCTCTTCTGGGTGAAACGTTCTGGGTAAGTTGTTCATTTTTTCATTCACATGTTTCATGGAATAACTATGTGTCCCCTTTTTTCAAATATAACTTTGTTAAATTATCACAATCGTTCCAGCTGTCGCATCTATCCTGCAATATCATCCTCTTAGGAATCCTCCTCTGATGGCCCAGCCTGAAATGACCTCCTCCTCCTCACATGTGGAGACTCTGTATCAGCACCCTTCACTCAGCATCCCTCCTTCTGCCTCGCACTGTTAGTAAGCTTTTCATGCTCTCTCCCATAAGGTCCTTGAAGGCAGAGAGCAGCTATGGCTTTTCTATGAACAACCCCCACCTCCCCTGGCCACTTAATACCTTGTCTTACATATATTTATTCATGATTAATTCCTTAGTCATTAAAAATACTATTTTTTAAAAGACAGACTTATTTATGTAAACATATACATACACAAACACAGTCTTGCTACCCTCTGCCACTACTCATGAGGCATATGGTCCGGAAGAGCAAAATGAAAACAGCAAATGTTATGATTCTAGATTGATACAGAAAAGAGAAAGTCCATTTTTACGTTCCCTATACACCTGAGCTTTAGCCCTAGTTTCATGGCTTCCTGGGTATACTTCACTGTTATAACAGCTTATTCTTCATGTATTCATTCATTCATCAAACGCTTACTAAACCCTTCCCTAACTCCATGCTATGTTATAATGTGCTACCTTTTGTCTCCTCCTCTTTGAGGACTTAGTCCCATTTGCATCTGCTATGTCTGGTGTAGGGAAGGTATTTGATCATATTTATTGAAAGGTCTTTGTCCCCAACTCAGGCACGAGCAACAGAAGCATTTTCTGCCTCTCCTAAATCCAGACGCTGCTTTGTGGTGGGACTGGAAGGAGAATACCAAGCTGATTAGGATGATTTCTGCAGCAAAGTGTAAGATACTTATAGGTATGTTCCATTTACATGTGGATATTGAAACAATTATCTAGTTTCAAACTGACTTTTCCAGCCATCTAAACAACAGATTGGGTTGGCTCTGTTGCAAATCTATTAATAAGTTATGCACAGAGACTCAAAATCCATAGAATAGCCATGATCTGAGCCAGTGGTATAAATATATGTATTCACTCAGCATCAAAAATGTATATATACATTTTTTCATTGTCTGTAAACAACCATAAACTGATAAGAGATGGACTGAAAAAATGCGATCCTGCTTTTCCTACCTAAATGTGACTTAGCTAACTTAAACACTCATGTTGAAATGTTGTGTCAAGCCCAGGTGCAGTGCATTAGCACTTTGGGAGGCCAAAGTAGGAAGTTTGCTTGACGCCAGGAGTTCAAGACCAGCCTAGGCAACATAGCGAGACCCTGTCTGTACAAAAATTTAAAAATTAGCCAGGCATGATGGCGTGCACCTGTAGTCTCAGCTACTTGGGAGGCTGAGGCAGGAGGATCACTTGAGCCCAGGAGTTGAAGCTGCAAAAAGCCATGATTGCACCACTGCACTCCAGCCTGAGTGACAGAGTGAGACCCTATCTCAAAAGAAAAGAAAAGAAAAGAAAAGAAAAGGAATGTGGTGTCAAGACTTTGTTTTAATTGAAACCAAGTCATTTGCTGTCAGTTTAAGATGCTGACTCTATATGGCTTTGCACTAAACCTCTTCTCCAGGGATCCCCTCCTACACACTGAAAAGGCTGCCTTTGCTTTAAATCCTAAAGAATGAAGCGTGGGCCGGGCATAGTGGCTCCCACCTGTAATCTCAGCACTTTGGGAGGCCGAGGCGGGCAGATCACCTGAGGTCAGGAGTTCAAGACCAGCCTGGCTAACACGGTGAAACCCCGTCTCTACTAACAATACAAAAATTAGCCGGGCGTAGTGGCAGGTGCCTGTAATCCCAGATACTCAGGAGGCTGAGGCAGGAGAATCGCTTGAACCCGGGAGGCGGAGCTTGCAGTGAGCGAGATCACGCCACTGTACTCCAGCCTGGGTGACAGAGCAAGACTCTGTCTCAAAAATAAATAAATAAATAAATAAATAAATAAATAAATAAATAAATAAAAATAAAGAGTGAAAGGTGAGGAGCGGCCTTAGCACCTTTCTCTGGATAACTGGATTTGTATGACATCTGCGGACCCTTAGGACAAAAATAATTGGTGAGAAAGAGCATTGGAAACGCGTGAGTTACAGGACATTCACAAAATGTTTTCTCTGAGGTTTTGATACAGTGGGCCTTGTGTTTGAATAGCCTCCATTAGGAAGTTTAGGAGAGCCAGAGAAGGACTTTGAGTCAACCTTGATCCATCATTTAAGACTTTAGGAATGAAAAGAAAGTGTTAAGTTTACGTGCTTGGTGTGTAAGAACAGAGTCTCAGAAAAGGTCACCATCTAATGTTCTAACATAGAATAGACGGCTGTCTTTGGTAGAAGAGGGAAGTTTCTCATGCCTCCCATTTCTCCTTTCCCTTACAACAAAGGGACAGCACCAGCAACAAGAGATTATATCTATACTGGTTGCAAACCACACTCAGTCCATGCTTCAGGTGTCTACAGAACTTCTGCTGGTACCCACTAACGCAGCCTACCTCACTGCTGTTTAACCCATGAGCATCTCATTTCAGCTTTGGGTATCATTAACGCCATTCATTTACTCTTTAAACTATGACTGGGTTTTCTAGGCAAGGGGAGAGGGAAGAGAAGGATATGAAGAGGAGTTGTACTCATCTTTAAAGTACTCACAGACTAGAAGGGGAACCAAGTGTTAAAATAGTTATAATTATTTTTATTTTTATGTGATATATGGTATAATAGCACTCAAATGACCAAGAGAGAACAGTGGTAGGGGTGGCCTTGGGCTAGGGGAGGAGATGGGAAGGCTTCAGGAAATGGTTATCTTTTGGTGGACTGTAAAGGATGAGTAGGAGTTCACCAGGAAAAGAAGAGAGTCTTCTAGGCAGAGGCACAGCAATCACAAGTCCCTTGACCCATGGAAGAGCAGGTTTGAGGAGTGTTGAGTCCATGTGGCCAGAGTATATGGTGGTGGTGAGTGGGGGGCAATGGGGGGGGAGAAGAGCCTGGAATAACAGTTTGGGGACATGTGGTGAAGTTCCTTAATTACTATGCTAATTAGCTTGGATTTTCATTAAAAATGATAGGCAGCCACTGAGGAGTTTTAGGCAGAGTGACACAATTAAATTAGCATTTTAAAAAGATATCTCTGAGGCAATACAGAGGATATATTGTAGGGGAAATAGAGACCAGGCTCAGTGGTCTCTATTACAGAGCTCCAGGGCACCGGGCCCTCAGAGATGGGTAAAACACTGCAACACAGCCCTACCTTTCAGGAGCTCGCTACTGCGGAGGGAGCATATTAATTACCTGTTGCTATCCCAAATTACCAGAAACTTAGCAGCTTGAAACAACATGTATTTATTATCTCACAGTTTCTGTAATATGCAGTGTGGTTTAGCTCAGTCCACGGCTTCAGACTACACTTAAGGTGTTGGCCAGGACTGGGCTTTATCTGATCCTCAATTGGGGAAGAATCTGCTTCCAAGATCACAGTGTTGTTGGTGAGATTCAGCAACTTGCTGGCTTTGGCCAGAAGCTTCTCTCGCTTTTTTGCCACGTGAACCTCCTCAACATGGCTACTTGCTTCATCGAAGCGTGAAAGCTTAGAAGGCAACAAAGAGTGTCTGCTGACAAGACGGAAGTTGCAATCTTATGTGACATAATCACCTCCATTGCTTAGAAGATTATAATCCTATCACCTGCGCTGCTTAGAAGCAAATCGCCGAGCCCACTCACACACGGGGCCGTGGATGCCTGCAGGCAGAAATACTTCAACCCATCTTAGAGTCTGTCTCTAAGGATAGAGACTGGTCTTGAACTCTCTCAGAATAATAAGACAAAAATAAGGTAGCTGTATTCTCCAGGGGCTATACAGTCAAAGAGAGGTTATCTGGACTGATCTGTGATTAAGGGAATACTTCCTCAAGGGGCTCAATTAGAATGCCACTACTGTGGTCCTGGAATAAGATGTTGAAGACCTGAAATTTCCCTATTCATCAGTTAATTAATTAATTATTTATTTATTTATTTTGAGATGGAGTCTTGCTCTGTCGCCAGGCTGGAGTGCAGTGGCGCCATATCGGCTCACTGCAACCTCCGCCTCCCGGGTTCAAGCGATTCCCCTGCCTCAGGGTCCCTCGTAGCTGGGACTACAGGTGTGTGTCACCACACCTGGCTAATTCTTTGTATTTTTATTAGAGATGGGGTTTCACCATGTTGGCCAGGATGGTCTCAATCTCCTGACCTCGTCATCTGCCCTCCTCAGCCTCCCAAAATGTTGGGATTACAGGCGTGAGCCACCGTGCCCGGCCTCATCAGTTAATTCTTATTATCCATTGGGTCCTTTGGTTAAGAAGTCCATGGTGGACAAAGGTTTATTTAGTTAGTCTTTTGTTTGTTTTCATTTTTGTTTTTGAGACAGTCTCGCTGCAATGCCCAGGCTGGAGTGCAGTGGCGCAATCTTAGCTCACTGCAACTTACGCCTCCCGGGTTCAAGTGATTCTCCTGCCTTAGGCTCCCAAGTAGCCGGGACTACAGGCACCTGCCACCACGCCTGGATAATTTTTGTATTTTTGGTAGAGATGGGGTTTCACCATGTGGGCCAGGCTGGTCTTGAACTCCTGACCTCAGGTGATCCACCTGCCTCGGTCTCCCAGAGTGCTGGGATTACAAGTGTGAGCCACTACACCTGGCCTGGACATGAGTTTAAATCCCAGTTCAGCCACTTAGAGCTGTGTGAACTTGGAAGTTAGGTAGCCTCTCTTCACATCAATTTCCTACTCCGCAAGATGGGGATATTGCTGCTTACCCTATAGGGATCTTGAAAGATTAAATGACATGGTGTATATGAAAGACCCTAGCATGGGCCCTGCCACATTGGAACTTAGCCAGTAACTTAGGCCACATCCTAAGCAAGACTCACGAGTGCAGAAGGACCTGGATCGAAGTTACAGGCAAAACCGGCTGTGGAAGAGCCTGGTCCTCAGGCTTCTCCTTAGAGGGCAGCCAAGACTGTCACAGACACATCCCACATCAAGGCCCGCTCAGTGGTAAAAGCAAGAGGACCTTGCATCTCCATGTTGTGGACCCTCCTTTGATTTGGTGACCACCTGATAAACACTTGCTGACCCGCCGGGACTGGGGTTCCAGGGCTACATCATCCATCTCTAGCAGCTCTCTAGGGCCCTGAAATGGAGTGTTTCCTCCCCTTCTGAGCTCTCCCCCATCATCCAGCCAATGGTTTAGCACTCGATTGCTTTTTTTTTAAAAAAAAAAAAAAAAAAAGGATCTTGCTCTGTGGCCCAGTCTGGAGTACAGTAGTGTGATCATGCCTCACTATAGACTTGAACTCCTGGGCTCCAGTGATTCTGCCGCCTCAGCCTCCTGAGTAGCTGGGACTACAGGCATGCACCACCATGTCCAGATAATTTTTTCACTTTTTTGTAGAGATGGAGTCTCCCTATGTTGCCCAGGCTGGTCTCAAACTCCTGGACTCAAGTGATACTCCCACTTCAGCCTCCCAAAATGCTGGTATTACAGGCATGAGCCACTGTGCCCAGCCTAGACTGCTTTTAAAGGTATTTATTATGTGCCCATCTCTGTGCTAAACTAAAACACCCGATTTAAACAGGTGTTAAAACAGGTGTTTTAAACAGAAGCAGGGGTGAGGGGAGGAGCTCATCTTGGGCTGAGGCTTTGTTTTTCTGTCCTAGAGGCCATGTGCTCCCTGCTAAGTTGGAGCTGAGAAGCTGGGAATAGGCTGAGATGCTCTTCCTTCACTTGTTCTCCTGAGTACAGCCTCCGTGCTTGTTGTTACATAATTTCTATTAAAATTCCTGGAAATGCAGCTAGAAGAGTAGCTCCCAAAGGAACCCTGAGGCATGAATGCTGAGGTTGAAAGCTTCCCATCTAAACTGTGTCTCCAAGTGCTGACAATGCCAACCCGACTCACATCGTCATTGGTGACAATGCCAACCCAACCAACTCACATTGTGTGCAGGATTCCCAAATGCCCAGCAGCTTCAAAAATAGACATCTTCTCCAAAGAGAGCAGACACGGTGAAAAGCACAAAGATGAATGACTTCAAATTATGAGATGCAAAGAATGCCAACTTGCTCACATTAAGGTAAGGTATAATAGGTTGTAGGAGGTTAGGAAGTCATCTATGAGGCCACCGCTTTTCCAGTGGTTCCTGCATGCCCCCACCCTGCTGTGCTTATTGCCATAAAGCATCACAGAGCACGGCCCGACAGTGGTCAGGGTGCTCAATGGCAAGCAACAGAAACTGTGTATTGCTTCTATAAGCACAAGATAAAGTTATAATAAAGATATGGGGAGCTCATAAAATCATCAAGAATACCAGAAAATCAAGCTTAGGAGATGGGGCAGGAATGGGGGAGGCTCCCCAGGTCAAATCACTCCTGAGGGTTTGTCCAGTGCCACATAAGGTGTTGTCAACACAGCTCCTGCTGCAGCACTGATACTCCTGGAACCTGGACGTGGCCATGCTGCTGGCACCATTACCACAAAGATGGCTTCTCCATGGACCTGCTTCTCTGTGTCAATGTCCAGTGGGTGTGTCTGATTGGCTGAGCTGAGGTGTGTATCCATACCCACCCCCGGAGGCTGGGGAAGCAGGCATCTCAGGCTTGGAGGCTGCTCAACTAAAGAGCCCAGAGGGTCCACTGGAGCCCCAGGGCTGACTTCCAGGCAAGTGAGCAAGTGAGTTCTCACAGCATCTTTTTCTTCTTTTTTCTTTCTTTCTTTTTCTTTTCTTTTTTTTTTTTTTTGAGATGGAGTCTCGTTCTGTTGCCCAGGCTGGAGTACAGTGTCACAATCTTGGCTCACTGCAACCTCCGCCTCCCAGGTTCAAGCGATTCTCCTACGTCAGCCTACCGAGTAGCTGGGATTACAAGTATGCGCCACCATGCCTGGCTAATTTTTGTATGTTTAATAGAGACAGGGTTTTGCCATGTTGGCAGAGCTGGCCTCAAACTCCTGACCTCAAGTGATCTGCCCGCCTCAGCCTACCAAAGTGCTGGAATTACAGGTGTTAGCCACCGTGCCCAGCCATCTTTTTCTTTAAATAATTAAAAAGTGATTAAAAACCGGGCATGGTGGCTCATGTTTGTAATCCCAGCACTTCGGGAGGCTGAGGTGGGCGGATCACCTGAGGTCAGGAGTTCAAGAGCAGCCTGGCCAACATTGCAAAACCCCGTCTCTACTAAAAATACAAAAATTAGCCTGGCGTCGTGGCGGCCACCTGCAGTCCCAGCTACTTGGGGGGCTGAGGCAGGAGAATCACTTGAACCCAAGAGGTGGAGGTTTTGCAATGAGCTGAGACTGTGCCAGTGCACTCCAGCCAGGGTGACAGAGTGAGACTCTGTCTCAAAAAAAAAAAAAAAGTGATTAAAGGTAAAAAGGGAAGAAGACAAATTCATTCAAAAAATGTTACTGAGCAGTTATATGTCAGGCAGTATTCTAGACTGTGAGGATAGAGCAGGGAGTCACACACAAGTCCTGACCTCAGAGAGGCTTCACAGTAATGGCAGATAGGGAGTAACAAGCCTGTATATGTGTGTGTGTGCGTGTGTGTGTGTCTGGTGTGTGTGATGTTGATAAGAGCCGTGGAGAACATGGAGAACAATACAGGCAGGGTAAGAGGGCCTTGGGAGTGCTAAGTTATTTTGTAGAGGTGGTCAGGGAAGACTTTCTGCCTAAGATGATGTCTGAGCAGAGATCTGAAGGATGGAAGGAGGGAGGACGTCATTCAGCCACCAGGGAAGAGTGTTACCCACAGAGGGGACAGCCAGAGTAGAGGCCCTGAGGCAGGAGCACACTTGCAGGGTCAAGGAAGCAAACAGCCATTGTGGCTGAGGCAGAGTGAGAGAAGGGAGCATTGGAGAGAATAAGGTCAGGGAGATAGTCAGGGCTTTTCCCAGGGCAAGAAGAGACACTTTTGGAAAGTTTTGAACACGGAAGTAAGATGACCTGACCCACATTTTAGAAAAAGCCCTCTGGCTGCTGGTGGAGAACAGAGGGTGGAGGGGCAAGAGAGCAGGCAGGAAAAGCATTCAGGGGGCTCCTGTGGGAGGCCAGACTGGAGGAGCAGGGGTGAGGCCAGGCGGGAGAGCAGAGGTGCTGAGAAGGAGGCAGGCTCTGGATGCATTTGAAGGTAGTCACCAGGTTTGATGCATCGGATGTTTTATACTCTTGTGCTCTCTCTGTCTCTCGCTCTGTCTCGTTCTCTCTCTCTCTCTCTCATACACACACATGCATGCGTGCATGCATATACAAGAATACCTACTTTTATTCTACTTCACAGATATTGTTTTTGACAAATTGAAGGTTTGTGACAACGCTGCTTCAAGCGAGTCTTTTTTTTTTTTTTGAGATGGAGTCTCACTCTGTTGCCCAGGCTGGAGTGCAATGGCGTGATCTCGGCTCATTGCAACCTCCGCCTCCCAGGTTCAAGCGATTCTCCTGCCTCAGCCTCCTGAGTAAGTGGGATTACAGGCACATACCACCATGCCCGGCTTATTTTTGTATTTTTAGTAGAGATGGGGTTTCACCATGTTAGCCAGGCTGGTCTTGAACTCCTGACCTCAGGTGATCTGCCCACCTCGGGCTCCCATAATGCTGGGATTACAGGCGTGAGCTACCTGTTGTTTAGTGTATCCACCTTCATCACTTATCTCAGCTGGATCTTCTGGATAACTTCCTGCTGCTTTTTCATTAGCACTTGCTGCTTCTCCTTGCACTTTTATGTTAGGAAGGTGGCTTCCTTTCTTAAACCTCACGAACCAACCTCTTTTAGTGTCTGACTTTTCTTCTGCAGCTTCCTTATCTCTCTCAGCGTTCACAGAATTAAAAAGAGTTAGGGCGGGAGCCACCACGCCCAGCCGAGCAAGTCTATCTTTGCAATTTTTCCAACAGCATGTGCTCACTTGGTGTCTCTGTGTCCCATTTTGATAATTCTTGCAATATTTCAAACTTTTTCATTAATATTATATCTGTGATGGTGATCTGTGATCAGTGATCTTGGATGTTCCTACTGTAATTGTTTTGGGGGTGCCACGAACGGCACCCATAAAAGTCAGCAAATTTAATCCATAAGTGCCGTGTGTCCTGACTGTTCCACCAACCAGTATACCCCATCTCTCTCCCTCTCCTTGGGCCTCTCTAGTCCCTGAGAAACAATAATATTGAAATCAGGCCTATTAACAACCCTACAATGGCCTCTAAGTGTTCAAGTGAAAGGAAGAGTCACACATCCCTCACTTTAACTCAAAAGCTAGAAATGATTAAGCTTAGTGAGGAAGGCAGGTAAAAAGATGAGATGGGCCAAAAGCTAGGCCTCTTGTGCCAAACGGTTAGCCAAATTGTGACTATGCAGGAAAAGTTCTTGATGAAAATTTAAAATGCTACTTGAGTGAACACACAAATAACAAGAAAGCAAAATAGTCTTACTGATGACACAGAAAAAGTATAGTGGCTGGGATAGAAGATCAAACCAGCCACAACATCCTTGTAAGCCAAAGCCTAATCCAGAGCAAGCCCCTAACTCTCTTTAATTCTGTGAATCCTGAGAGAGATGAGGAAGCTGCAGAAGAAAAGTTAGACACTAAAAGAGGTTGGTTCATGAGTTTTAAGGAAAGAAGGCACCTTCCTAACATAAAAGTGCAAGGAGAAGCAGCAAGTGCTGATGAAAAAGCAGCAGCAAGTTATCCAGAAGATCCAGCTAAGTGATGAAGGTGGATACACTAAACAACAGGTTTTCAATGTAGATGAAACAGCCTCTATTGAAAGAAATTAATAAGTAGACTTTCATAGCTAGAGGTGCAAAGTCAATGCCTGGCTTCAAGGCTTCAAAGGAGAGGCTGACTCTCTTGGCAGGAGCTAATGCAGCTGGTGACTTTAAGTTGAAGCCAGTGCTCATTTACCATTCCAAAAGTCCCAGGGCCCTTAAGAACTATGCTAAATCTACTGCCTGTGCTCTGCCAATGAAACAACCAAGTCCGGATGTCAGCACATTTGTCTACAACATGGTTTACTGAAAATTTTTTTTTTTTTTTTTTTTTTTGAGATGGAGTCTCGCTCTGTCACCCAGGCTGGAGTTCAGTGGCGAGATCGTGGCTCACTGCAAGTTCTGCTTCCCGGGTTCACGCCATTCTCCACCTCAGCCTCCCGAGTAGCAGGGACTACAAGCTCCCGCCACCATGCCTGGCTAATTTTGTTTTTGGATTTTTAGTAGAGACCAGGTTTCACCGTGTTAGCCAGGATGGTCTCAATCTCCTGACCTCGTGATCCCCCTGCCTCGGCCTCCCAAAGTGGTGGGATTACAGGCGTGAGCCACCACGCCCAGCTGGTTTACTGAATATTTTAAGCCCGCTGTTGGGACCTACTGCTCAGAAAAAAAGATTCCTTTCAAAATATTACTGCTAATTGACAATGTACCTGGTCACCCAAGAACTCTAATGGAGATGAACGAGGAGATTAACATTGTTTTCATGCCTGCTAACACAATATTCATTCTGCAGCCCATGGATCAAGGAGTAATTTTGACTTCTAAGTCTTATTATTTAAGACATACATTTTGTAAGGCAATAGCTGCCATGGGTAGTGATTTTTCTGATGGATCTTGGCAAAATAGATTGAAAACATTCTGGAAAGGATTCATTATTCTAAATGTCATTAAGGACATTCATGATTTATGGAAGGAATCAAAATATCAATGTAAAGAGAAGTTTGGAAGAAGTTGATTCCAACCCTCATGGATAACTGAGGGGTTCAAGACTTCAGTGGAGGAAGTGCCTGAAGATGTAGTAGAAATAACAAGAGAATTGCAGTTAGAAACGGAGCCTGAAGATGGGCCTGGATTGCTGCTATCTCAAGATCGAAAAACTTGAATGGATGAGGAGTTGCTTCTTATGGATGAGCAAAGAAAGTGGTTTCTTGAGATGGAATCTATTCCTGGTGAAGATGCTGTGAACATTGTTGAAATGACAATAAAGGCTTTAGAATATTACCTAAACTTAGTTGATAAAGTTGCAGCAGGGTTTGAGAGGATTGACTTCATTCTTGAAAAAAAACTTGTACTGTGGGTAAAACGCTATCAAACAGCATTGCGTGCTGTAGATATATCTTTTGTGAAAGGAACAGTCAATCAATGCAGCAAACTTCACTATTGTCTTATTTCGAGAAATTGCCACAGCCACCCTAACCTTCAGCAACAATCATCCTGATCAGTCAGCAACTATCAACATTGAAGCAAACCCTCCACCAGCTAAAAGATTATGACTTGCTGAAGGCTCAGATGATTGTTAGCGCTTTTTAGCAATAAAGTATTTTTAAATTAAGGTATGTACATGTTTTAGACATAATGCTATTTCACACTTAATAAACTATAGACTACAGGACAGTGTAAACATAACTTTTTTTTTTTTTTTGGAGACAGAGTCTCACTGTCACCCAGGCTGGAGTGCAGTGGCGAGATCTCAGCTCACTGCAACCTCCGGCTCCTGGGTTCAAGTGATTCTCCTGTCTCAGCCTTCTGAGTAGCTGGGATTACAGGCGTGCACCACCACGCCTGGCTAATTTTTGTATTTTTAGTACAGACAGGGTTTCACCATGTTGGCCAAGCTGGTTTTGAACTCCTGACCAGGTGATCTGCCTGCCTCGCCTCCCAAAGTGCTGGGATTACAGGCATGAGCCACTGCACTCAGCCATGTAAACATAATTTTTATATGCACTGGGAAGCCAAAATACTCATGTGACTCATTTTATTGCAGTGGTCTGGAAACAAACCCATGATATCTCCAAGATATGCCTGTACATACACATTGTGTGTATGTTTGGGCAAAACAAGAAAACTGTAATTCTAACCAGAATGCTGTTTAAAAGTTATCATTACATAGTAAAATAAACATAGATTAGAAAGAAGAGTGAGGTCAATTTCATTATTAAGCCGTAAGTTGATTTACACAATCCCCCAATTTCTTGCTATTAATTAATAATAATTATAACGATAGATAAGTGCTTATGAGGTGCCGGGTACTGTTCTGAACACTTTACATATGTCATTTACATGTATTGATCATTTAATTATCACAGCTAAGCCATGAGGTAGGTAATATTACTGTTCTCACTTTAAATGCAATGAAACTGAGGTATGGAAAGTTTATGTAAGTTAAATAAGAACCATTTATAGAGAAATAAAGTTTTGCCTATAGTAAAAGATGAAATAAGCCAGGCATGGTGGCATGCACCTATAGTCCCAGCTACTCAGGAGGCTGAGGTAGGAGGATTGCTTGAGCTCAGAAGTTTGAGACCAGCCTAGCCAACATAGCAAAACCCTGCATCAAAAAAAAAAATGGAATAGGCCGGGTTGCGGTGGCTCACACCTATAATATCAGCACTTTGGGAGGCCAAGGCAGGTGGATCACTTGAGGTCAGGAGCTCAAGACCAACCTGGCCAACATGGTGAAACCCTGTCTCTACCAAAAATACAAAAATTAGCTGGGTGTGGTGTCACATGCCTGTAAGTCCCAGCTACTCCAGAGGCTGAGGCAGAATTGCTTGAACCCGGGAGGTGAAGTTTGCAGTGAGCAGAGGTTGCGCTACTGCACTCCAGCCTGGGTGACAGAGCAAGACTCCGGCTCAAAAAAAAAAAAAAACACAAAACAGTAATCATTAAACAACCACCTAAACATATGCATTTCTCACTGGGATCAAACAACTCACCTATAAAATGAGGGCATTAGAAAGGTGATTATGAAAGTCCTTTTACCATAACTATCTGTGACTCCTTCACTGCTAGCAGAGAAAATAGTCCCCCTTTTCTCCTTTGATTATAAACAATAAATACAATCAATTCATGTTTTCTAAATGCCTATAATGAGCAATTAAAGATTACTTGAAAGAATAGCTTGATTTCATGAAGTACTTATGTTGTTGCTTAAATAATTGTTATTGATAATATTTAGTTTGATGAAGTGTTCCTTTGTTTAGAAAAATTGTACTCTGGCCAGGCGTGGTGGCTCATGCCTGTAATATCAGCACTTTGGGAGGCCGAGGAGGGTGGATCACCTGAGGTCTGGAGTTCGAGACCAACCTGGCCAACATGGTGAAACCCCATCTCTACTAAAAATACAAAAAATTAGCCGGGCGTGGTGGTGGGCGCCTATAATCCCAGCTACCTCGGAGGCTGAGGCAGGAGAATCGCTTGAACCCAGGGGGCAGAGATTGCAGTGAGCTGAGATTGCACCATTGCACTCCAGCCTGGGCAATAAGAGCGAAATTCCATCTCAAAAAAAAAAAAAAAAAAAAAGAAAGAAAGAAGAAAAAGAAAAATTGTATTCTTTCACATATACAGAGCCAAATATTCCTCGAAATGGATGAAAAGTCAACAAAGAGTGCTATAGTTCAAGGGACAGCTACATAAACCACTCGTCTACCCACCCATCCATCCATCCATCTGTTCATTCTTAAAAGACATATTTATTGAGCTCCTAATATGTGTTAAATTGTGGCAAGTTAAGATGTTACGAGACAGCAATATTCTCAATGTTGGATGGTATAAAAGCATAAGGACTTTGAAGTCAGGGATGCCTGGTTTCAAATCCTGGCTCAGCTGTAGTTTTGGCTTCTGTGTAACTTTGGGCAAAGCACTTAACTTCTCTCATCCTTAGATTGCTCATCCGCACAACGGAGACAATAATACCCACTTTGATGTGTTGTTGTAAGGATCGGAAACAACACATATGAAGCCCATGTAGCCCTATGCTTGGCTTGGAGTAAACTCTCAATAAATGATGTCTCTCAGGGTCACCTCTCTGGGACAGCTCTTCACGCCTTTGAACTCTTTGAACCCCAATGCCCAGCATCCTGCTATGGCTGCACCACTCCCGCAGAGCCCCCGTCTGCTCATTGCTATCATCATCAGGGGTATAGTCAGGGACACCTTGGGCAGCTCCCTGCAGCAAAAGGAGCCAGGTAGAAGAACCAGTGTGGGTGGGCTGGGAGCTGGAGGAAGAGATGGAAGAGTCCAGAACCTGCTCTTTCTCACAACCCACGTCATCTTCATGGACCCACAGGCATCTGTCACCACAGCCCTGATCCATGCTCATCGGTTATCCTGGGGCCACCTTTGAAAAGCGTTCATATTTATTATACACTAGGATGCAGGTCATTGTAGTAGTTCAGATCATTAACTTTGGTATGAAGCATTCATTCAACAAATATTTATTTAAATGAATGTCAGGCATGTGCCAGGCCTGTATCTCAGCATCTAGGAATATATCCGTGAACAAAATAGATTTAAATTCTGTGTTTTTTTAAAAAGACACTATATTGCCCAGGCTGGTCTCAAACTCCCGGGCTCAAGGGATCCTCACCCATCAGCCTCTCGAGTAGCTGAGATTATAGGTGTATACCACTGTGCCCAGCTCAAAATCTGTCCACTTGAAGTTTACATTCTAGATGGGGAAGAGTGTAGTAAATAATAAACATAATTTGAAGCTCAGTGATTTCAGGGATACAAAAAAAGAATAAGTATAATAAATACGTAAATTATATAGTATGTTAGAAAGTGATAAGAGATGTTGATGTAGAAAAAGAAAAGCAATGGTAATTCCCTGTACAGGGAGATTAAGGGCAGGTTAGGAAAAAGCTTATAATTTGTAATAGTGTGGTCAGTGCACGTCTCCACAACATTTGATTCATAGTTGTTCTACTTCATAGCTCTATGACATTGGGCAATTTACTCAATCTTTTTTTTTTTTGAGATGAAGTTTCACTCTTGTTGCTCAGGCTGGAGTGCAACGGTGTGATCTCGGCTCACTGCAACCTCCACCTCCCGGGTTCAAGCAATTCTCCTGCCTCAGCTTCCCTAGTAGCTGGGATTACAGGCATGCGCCACCATGCCCAGCTAGCTAGTTTTGTATTTTTAGTAGAGACGGGGTTTCTCCCTGTTGGTCAGGCTGGCCTCGAACTCCCGATTTCAGGTGATCCACCCGCCTCGGCCTCCCAAAGTGCTGGAATTACAGGCGTGAGCCACCGTGCCTAGCCTACTTAATCTCTTAAAGTCTCAGTTCCTCATCTGTAAACATGGAGAGAATGGTAGTACTTATGGGGTAGGATTGTTGTGATGATTAAATGATGTAATATGTAACAGCTTTAGCATCTAGAGAGCACACATTACCTTTTAATTCTCTTTGAATATATTTAATATATTCTGCTTTAATATGTTGCAGAAAACTTTAATATATTGCTTAAAGCTTAAAAACAAAGCAAGGCAAGAAGAAAACCAATAATCCTGCTACACAGAGGTAACACTTAATATTGTCATAGAGACTTCCAGTCTTCTTTTCTCTGCATAAATCTACACACTTAGCAAAAAATTGAACTATACACACCGTCTTCTACACTGATTCATTTTGCTGAGTAATATTCTGAAATGAATACCACAGCATTTAAAAATGATTAAGAGAGTGGATTTACAACTAGAACACAAGGTTAAGCAATTCACTGTTCCACCTTTAAAGGAAAAGTATTCTTGAGAAAGTGCCTCCCAGTACTGACAAATTACTTTTTATTATGAGGTTACTTAGATGTGTACAAACACAAAATGCATGTGTGTAAGCTCCTCATTATTAAAAACAAATTTTGGAATAAAATCTCCCCTTTTCTCACTGGCTCTTACTCTGTAGACAAGAAGCTTTCAAACCTTTTTAATCTGATGGCCAGAAAGAGATCCATTTTACATTATTTTTCAGTATATCCTCAGGTCTACCATGAAGTATCTATAGAGATAGATATGACATAGATACTCTATAGATTCTATCTATGCATAGACAGGATCATAAATTCGAATCAATTCTTCATGGAACTTACTCTTATTAAGTGTGAGGCACTCAGATACTTTCTTTTCATTCCTTTAGATTTTTTTTTTCATAATGCTGGTCGGATCCACTAAAGTTGTTTTCACCACCCTCTAATGAGAAGTTATAATCTTTAGAAAATCTTGTACCTCTGGAGGCAGAAACTGCGCCTTTTTTGTCTCTATATCCTTAGCACAGAGGCTAATGTTAAAGTTTATTGAAAGAAGGAAGGAATGAATGAAACTCAGTTATATTATTTTCATTTTTAGAAATTGATCAGAACAATAGAATTCAGAGAGGTTAATTGACTTACTCAAGATCACACAGCCACAACATATTCGAACTCAGGTCTGCCTGGAACTAAAGTCTATACTCATTCCAATGTGGTAGGTGGAGTTCACAAGAAACAGAACGTAAGACAAGGTCTGCAGCACTTCATTTATGAACAAGGTATGCTGGAGAGAAACGGGTGTGGGAGGGAAGATAGGACAAGGGAAGGATGTGAGGGAAAGGCTGTCGTCTTAGCTGGAGACTGGTTTCTTCAGCCGAGTCCCATGGGGCCGAGTCCCTTCAGCCGAGTCCCAGAACATGACGACACCACAGGGTTTGTCCCACCTCGAGGCAAGAAGGGAGCCAAGTCGGTACCTCTATGTGTCAGTGAGTCATTGGCTATGGGCTGCAGACATTTTCCATTATTTTTCGGAATATCCCTAGGTGGGGCAGGGAGAGTACCCTCCCATGTGAAGCAGCTACCATTTGGCCAAGGGCAATTCTCTGGAGAAGAGAGGCAGCTGTGAACAGTAGCAGCCAATGGTCATGGCCATTGGAGATGAGTCCACGCTGTGGGAAGGGATATGGGTGGGACATCAACAAAATCTATTGCTTTCACATTGCATCCCCAGCCACTGACTGAATGAATCAATGAATATACGTGTTTACTCAGTAATAGAAGTGGTAATATGTGTTTCAGGGGATCATTATGAACAGGAAATGAGATAATGGGTATAACTTGTTTATTTTAGTGCCCAGCGCATTCTAAGCACATAATTAAAAAATTATTATCAGCTACAGTAAAAATTAGTATTAATTTAGCAGTAATTATCCATTCATGCTATTAGCGATTATAATTTTATTTTTGTGACAATTGGCAATAAACCTTATTCTGAAGTCTCAGCTAGTTGACTGAAGAAAGATGAAAATTTGTAAAACACAAATTCCTGTCTGCCTGAGGGGGGCAGTCCTTTCTGGCTCAGACCTGCATGCGGCAATTCAGTCACTAAAGCCCCTTGGAATCCAAGGCAAGTCCACTTCAACCTAAATTCTCCAATGTTCTTTCTTTTTTTCTTTTTTTGAGACAGGATCTCACTCTGTCATCTAGGCTGGAGTACAGTGGTGCAATCATGGCTCACTGCAACCTTGAACTCCTAGCTCAAGTGCTCTTCCTGTCTCAGCCTCCTGAATGGCTCAGATTATAGGCATGTATCACCACACCCAGCTAATTTTTTTTTTTTTTTTGAGATGGAGTCCCGCTCTGTCACCTGGCTGGAGTGCAGTGGCATGATCTCGGCTCACTGCAACCTCTGCCTCCTGGGTTCAAGTGATTCTCCTGCCTCAGCCTCCACTGCACTCCAGCCTGGCAAGAGAGCAAGACTCCGTCTCAAAAATAAATAAATAAATTGTAGAGACAAGGTCTCACTCTGTTGCCCAGGCTAGAATCAAACTCCTGGCCTCAGGCGATCCTCCCATCTTGGCCTCCCACAACACTGAATTGCAGGCATGACCCACTGAAGCAAGCTCTTAATTAATTCCTATGACAATGCCTAGGGATTGTGGTGGTCAGTGTGCCCTTAGAGAATGAACTGGGAGATTCAGAACGAAATCATCACCCCAGCCCCCAATAAGTCCAAGGATGTTGGATAGAGGGGTGCAGGTGGGGAACAGGGGTACCAAGGGAGATCATGGAATGTTTCCCCAGCCTGCAATCTCCCCTCCTAACCAAGAAGAGAGCAGACGCCATCTCAAATCTCATGATTTATGTTGATGTCATTGTTTCCAGACCCTGCGTCATCACAGAGGGTAACCTTCCCAGGCTCTTCCTTCGGGCTACTGTCTGACACTCAGCATTTCCTGCTGGTGCTTGTCTGCCCCCATCCCCCTTGGCTCTACTGGTTGAGCTATTCAAATGCCTATGTAGGTTCTGCTGAATTTTCAGAACTTCACATGACTCATCCCATGCATTTCAGTGACTGCAAAGAAAAGTAAACCATTCCCGCTGCTAAAGACAGTTGTCTTTATGCTTACTGAGATTATATAAATCTGCATTTTATTTTTGCAACTTCGCAAAGAAACATTTGATGGGGGAGTAATGAGGGTAAGGGCAGGATGGGGAATAAGGTGAAACAGAAGTTACATTGCGCACAAATGCGACATGCATCTGCAGATCTTTTTTTGATTTATTTCTAAAAACATTTTCTGGGACCTGGAGCCTCATGCAACCAGATTTCTTTGCCTGTGACCCCTCTTCTACTTTAAATATGGATCAGTACCTCACTTCTCTGCCCCATTCTCTTGTCTTCTCTACTCTTCTAATTCCACTGCTTCAGCCTCTACCTTTGCTGATGCCTCCCCAAACTGCCCAGCTCTCTTCTCTCCTGAACATCAGCCTTGTGTTTAAGACAGCCCAATGTTACCAAAGCCAGCAAGTCCAAATTAAACCCAGTATGATTGGCCCCTTTGGTGTTTCGATTCTCAGTGAAGGACCTAACCACAACACCTGTTCATCAAGCTACAAACCCCAGAATCTTCAGTTTATCTTAAGAGTCTGGCTTTCCTTCTTATTCACTGTTCCTCACTCCACCTGAGTTAGCAAGCTCTCTCCATTCTACTCCAACTTCCAATGTGCCTCAAAGTCACCACTTCCTCTCCACTGCTGCCCCACTGCTTAGACCCACACTATCCCTGCTTGAACTACGGTGAAAGCCTCCTCATCAATTTCTTTGCTTCTTCATCCATCCACTCATCTGTCCTTCACATACTTATTGAGCACCTGCAATATGCCAAGTACTGTTTTAGCATCCAGAGACACAGGAACAAAACAAACCAACAAGACCCCTGCCCTCATGAAATTTACATTCTAGTGAGGTAGCCAGATAACATACAATAAATAAAGAACTTCCTACCTAAGATGGCAGTTTGAAATTTTCTCACAGAGTTTGATATGGTTTGGCTCTGTGTCCCCACCCAAATCTTGTGTTGAATTATAATTTCCGGTGTCAGAGGTGGGGCCTGGTGGTGGAGGTGATCGGATCATGAGGGTGGTTTCTAACGGTTTATCACCATCCCCCATGTCCTGTCTCATGATAGAGTTCTCATGAGATCTGGTTGTTTGAAAGCGTGTAGCACCTCCCACTTTGCTCTCCCTCTCTCTCCTGCAGCCATGTGAAGACATACTTGCTTCTCCTTCACCTTCTGCCGTGATTATATGTTTCCTGAAACTTCCCCAACCATCCCTCCTGTACAGCCTGTGGAACTGTGAGTCAATTCAACCTCTTTTCTTTATAAATTACCCAGTCTCAGGTAGTTCTTTATAGCAGTGTGAAAATGGACCAATACAGAGTTTTGGTCTGCCAATACCTCAAAAATAGCCCAAAGAAGTAAAAATAAACAAGGCCGGGTGCAGTGGCTCATGCCTGTAATCCCAACAGTTTGGGAGGCTAAGGCTGGTGAATCACTGGAGGTCAGGAGTTTGTGGCCAGCCTGGCCAACATGGTGAAATCCTGTCTCTACTGAAAATACAAAAATTAGCTGGGCATGGTGGCATGAGCCTGTAATCCCAGCTACCCAGGAGGCTGAGGCAAGAGAATTGCTTGAACCCGGGAGGCAGAGGTTGCAGTGAGCCAAGATCACACCACTGTACTCCAGCGTGGGCTACAGAGCAAGACTCCATCTTAAAAAAAAAAAAAAGAGGTAAAAATAAACAAGAGAAATTCACCAACAGCAATCAAATAAGCAAAGAAGCAATGAACTTTGAAAATTGTTAACCATGAAAATAAGCAATATTCTGGGGTAGAGTGGAGAAGCCTGACAGGACTTGGCTCCTCACCTGGTTCCCACGCCCCCTGAATCTGCAGTGGAGACCCAACAGAGTCCTGACAATTCTCATGAATACCCACAAAGCCGAGAGAAGCCAAGCACAAAGGTTTATTTATCCATTTCCTTCTCTGACAGTAAATAAAGCAGCAGAAATACCTGTTGGGGAGAAATAGGTAAACTGGAGGAAGTGAACAACTGGGCTGATTCTGACCATAGTGAAGACTCCAGGGCTACAAACTGAATTTCAGCACTGATGCAAAGCCTAAGGTTCTACCCTCCATGGGACTGGTGTGTACTACCTGGCCTGGAGGAGTAGATCCCGACACATCTCCTAAATCTCGCAGTGGGCAGAGCGGAGCCCAGACATGCTAGCTCCTGACACTCTGCCCTCTGAGCCTTCCCTGCCCTCCCCACCTGGTTCCCTCAACTCTCCCAATGAAATCAAGAGAAGAAAACAAATAGAAGAGGAAGATCGTCAAGAAGTCACCCACACGCTATCAGAACAAATAAAATGAATGGCTGAAATTCCCCAAACACGAGCAAATGAAAAGAAAAAGCATAGCAACTGTAAAACTATCCTGCAGGGTGGAAAAGGCAACGGATGAAGAAAATGACCAGAAACCCAAATGAGAGGAAACCTGACTCAAGCAATGAAGGCAATTCCTCCCAATTCTGCACGCTCTACTGCTTAATTAGAAAGTGAATTAGGTGAAACAGGAACTCAAAGAAGAGATAGTAAAATTGAAATGAGATGAAAAGAGAGATTTCAGATATAGGGAAACAAATAGAGGGCAGAATTATTATAGAGTTAAAATATAAACTAGAAATAAGAAACAAAATACTGTTAAAAATTGAATTATGATGTAGAGGAAAGGCTTAAGACAATCACAGTGAATATAAATGATAAAGAAATGGGTATGAAAGAGAGGAAAATGTGACTGAATATAAGGATAATTGGTGTCCCTTAAGTAGAGAGTCCAACACATGGAACAAAAGATGTATTCAAATGTATAATCAAGGGAATTTCCATGAAATGAAGGACTGAATATACAAATAAACGGAATAGACTGTATTCCAAGAAAAATGTAATACAGAATGTTAAATACTAAAGTGTACTCTAGGCTGGGCACGATGGCTCAAGCCTGTAATTCTGGTGCTTTGGAAGGCCAAGGTGGGCAGATTGCTTGAGCCCAGGAATTTGAGACCAGCCTGGGCAATGTGGTGAAATCCCATCTCTACAAAAAATACAAAAACTAGCCAGGCGTGGTGGTGCAAACTTGTGGACCCAGCTACTCCGGAGGCTGATGTGGGAGGATTGCTTGAGCCCAGAAAATTGAGGTTGAGGTGAGCAATGATCATGCCACTGCACTCCAGCCTGGGCAACAGAGTGAGACCCTGTCCCAAACAAGAAACAAAAAACAAAACAAGAAAAAATGTACTCTAATTAAATTAGCGAACTTTAGTGATAAAAAATTTTTCAAGTATCTTAATAGAAAAAGTGAATCTTGCCAGGGGTGCAAAACCCAGGGAGGATTCAGCCTTCTTCACAGCAACATTCAAGACCAGGATACAGTGAAGACAAAGCGCAGCCAGGTAAACTCATGCCCCAGCGATGGGAGTTACATTTGTTTAACAACTGTAGAAAAATACTTGGCATTAGCTTGTAAAGCTGACCATGCACATATCCTACAGCTCCAGCAATTTAACCTGTGTATATATATCCTACAAAACTTATTGCTCCATATACTAGGAGACAAGCAGAGGTATGTTCATGACAGCATTGCTCATGATAGGAAAAAACTGGAAAGAGCTGTAATTGACAGGAGAATGGATAAATGCATTGCAGTATATTCATAAAATTAAAATTCTCAACTACACTGAAAATAAATGAACTACAGCTATAGACATCAAGGTGACTGAATCTTAGGAACATACTGCATTTATCGTGTTTAAAAACAATAAAAAATAATTAAACATCTAACAATTAAATCACATATTATTTACGAAAAATTGGCTGGGCATGGTGACTCACACCTGTAATCCCAGCAATCTGGGAAGCCAAGGTAGGTGGATCACCTGAGGTCAGGAGTTCAATACCAGCCTGGCCAACATGGCAAAACCCCATCTGTACTAAAAATACAAAAAAATTAGACTGGCATGGTTGGGGGGCGCCTGTAATCCCAGCTACTCTGGAGGCTGAGGCAGGAGAATCACTTGAACCTGGGAAGTGGAGGTTGCAGTGAGCCGAGATTGTGCCACTGCACTCCAGCCTGGGCGACAGAGAGAGACTCTGTCTCAAGAAAAAAAGATAAAAGAAAAAATTAATGGTAATTCTACAAAGAAGCCAGGATAATGATTCTCTCTGAGGGTTGGGGTGGGAGAGGGCTTGGGCAGGAGCATAGGGAGCTGCAGTGGCAACGTTCTAGTTCTAAAGGGGGCAACGAACTTGCGTTTATTTTATTTCGATAATGTATAATATATTGGTTCTACATGTTTTTTGTAGGTATCAGTATTTCATAAGAAAAAAGGAAACAAAATTCTAAACTTTTTTCTTTTGATTCAGGGTCTCACTCTGTTGCCCAGGCTGGAGTGCACTGGCTCAATCATCGCTCACTACAGCCTCCACCTCCCAGGTTCAAGGAATCCTCCTGCCTCAGCCTCCTTAGTAGCTGGGACCAGAGGTGTGCACCATCACACCCAACTTTTTTTTTTTTTTAATACAGAGATGGGGTCCCACCATGTTTCCTAGGCTGGTCTCAAACTCTTGGACTCAAGAGATCTGCTCATCTCAACCTCCCAAACAGCTGGGATTACAGGCATGAGCCACTACATCCACCCTAAACGTTTTTAAAAATATTTTTATCACTAGGGAATAATTAAGGAAGACAATAGCACATTGTCTGTAAAAAAAAAAAAAAATGTGACTGAGAAAATGAGACCCAGACAAGATGCCATTTCAGTATAAAGGCCAAGGCACAATCCCAAACATGAAAACACGACAAGGAATGTAACACCCGTGAGTGCTTCTTGGGAGAAAAAAGCCTGCTTGTTTTAAAATCTAACCTGTAAGGAGAATGAATCACATGAAAAACTCAAGAATGGAGAGAGCACTGTAGAAAGACTTAGAATACTGAATCCATTTAAATGTAGAATTATGGCATTAAAGAGAGAAAACAGTGAAATTGTGACTTCAAAATAAAATATACATGTTATAAACTTGAACAATATCCTCATCATCACAACATTTTCTTTCTTTCTTTTTTTTTGAGACAGAGTCTCCCTCTGTCACCCAGGCTGGAGTGCAGTGGCGCCATCTTAGCTCATTGCAAACCCTCCCTCTCAGGTTCAAGCGATTCTCTGGCCTCAGCCTCCCAAGTAACTGGGATTACAGGTGCTCGCCATCACACCCGGCTAATTTTTGTATTTTTTTTAGTAGAGACTGGGTTTCACCATGTTGGCCAGGCTGGTCTCTAACTCCTGACCTCTGGTGATCCACCCACCTCGGCCTCCCAAAGTGCTGGGATTACAGGTGTGAGCCACTGCGCCTGGCCCACAACATTTTTTTAATGAAAAATAAGAGATGAGTTTTCATATCTGGCCATGTGGCAGCGACTGATATTCAATGGGTACTCACCTGCTTTAAAGAACTGTAAAAGTGGGCAAAATAGACAATACAACTGTTTCCAGGAATTAGACCCCAAGGGACACAGGGCTGATCCTTGAGAGCCGGGAAACCCACAGGTGACCCCACAACCACCCCTGGGGGCACTCTCTGGACCCCAGTAAGGAGATGAAGAGATGTGGTCTCGCTGAGCTGGGAAGGAAGAGCTCAGAGAAGATGGAGGCTGCTGAAGTCACTGGAATTTGCGGGGGCAGGGAACTGGAGAGGAGAAGCTGCCCAGAAGAGGAGCCCAGGACTGTAGGTGGGGGTCTTCTGGGGGAGGGCTGGACAGGGTAAGACTCAGAAGGCCCAGCAATGAGAAGCGCTGTGCAGCTGACAGCTGCCTGGAGACCCCAGGAGCCTGCTGGGGCTGAAGGATGCTGGCCTTCCCATGACGTGGAGTGGACGGGTCTTGCTAAACCCCCGGGGTGTCCAGCTCAACCCCAGCAAGGAGGAAACCTAAAGAGAAGATAAGGTGGGCATGGGACACTCAGACATGAAATCAGGAACAGTCTAAAGTCGGAACTAGTAAAACCTATATCGATTCCAGGACAAAACCAAAATCAGGGCAAGGAGACAAACAGTTTCATCATTAAATAAAAAACCAACTTAGAGGAAGCAACTTGTACCCTAATGCCCAGCTGGAAGATGCTTTCAGACATGTACTCTTAATTCAACCTGTGTCAACACAAAATGAAAGGCATTTTTCTCCCACTACAGTATTCCCCATGAAACAAAGATCAAGATTATCGTGTAGGGCAATTAATGCTGTGTTTAAACGTCTCCTTTTGAGAATAATGCTTTAGTGTTTGTGAAAGTGTCTTTCAACTTTTAATGACTTTTATTTGTTGTTTATTTGGTGTTAATCTTCTCTTTTAGTTTTCTGTTATCAAATGTCTTTATCACGTAGAGATTATTTTTATGTTATTGAAATAATCTATAAGTACCATACATTTTCTCATAACAACAATTATGATTATTATTTTAAATAGAAACAGAAAACTTTTGAAACATTTATGATAACCCTGACACAGGAACATGATTCACTGTTTCTTTTTTTTTTTTTTTTTTTGAGACGGAGTTTTACTCTCATTTCCCAGGCTGGAGTGCAGTTGCGCGATCTCTGCTCACTGCAGCTTCCACCTCCCAGGTTCAAGCGATTCTTCCCGCCTGTCTCCCAAGTAGCTGGGATTACAGACGTGCGCAGCCACCCCACCCGGCTAATTTTTTTGTATTTTTACAAGAGACAGGGTTTCACCATGTTGGCTAGGCTGGTCTCAAATTCCTAACCTCAGGTGATCTGCCCACCTTGGCCTCCCAAAGTGCTGGGATTATAGGCGTGAGCCACCAAGCCCAACCTCATTATTTCTTATTATGGTCACTCTGTTATCATTTAAAAACATGTAAATCGGTGGGGTTTTTTTTGTTTTGTTTTGTTTTGAGACAGGATCTTGCACTGTCGCCCAGGCTGAAGAAATCATAGTGATGAAATCATAGCTCACTGCAGCCTGGATCTCCTGGGCTCAAGTGATCCTCCCACCTCAGCCTCCTGAGTAGCTGGGACTACGGGTTCACATCACTACACTTGGCTAATTTTTTGACTTTTAGTAGAGACAAAGTCTCACTATGTTGCCCAGGCTGGTCTTGAACTCCCCCACCTCAGCCTCCCAAAGTGCTGGGATTACAGGCATGAGCCACTGCACCCAGCATAATAGTATTATAAAAATACAGAACAATTTATAAGTTTTGAGACATCCCAAAAAATCCTGGGAACTATGATTTGTTCCTGAATCCCAAAGATTAATATAGAACTTTTTTGACTGGTGAGCATGTTCTTCAAACTCTAGCTCACATGTCCTATCTTCTTTAAAAAAACTTTCTGTATTAGCCAAGGCTGATGGTTGCAAATGCCAAAAATCTAATACAGTGGGCAAAGGGGTACTTTATTGATTCATGTAACTGGGAGTGGTTGTAGCTTCAGGCACAAGAGGACCCAGAGGTTCAGAGTGTCATGGCCTCTCTCTCTCTCTCTCTCTCTCTCTCTCCAGTTTCTCCTCTGACTTAGATTTAGTTTTCCTCCACCTAAAGCTAAAGTTAGTCACACTGGGAGCTCCAGATGTGTGTTATCCTTAAGTCTCATGATCCCAGACAAAGAGAGAGTGAACGCTTCTCTAATAGGTTTGGTGAAAGTCCCCAGGAGCTTTTGGATTGCCCCAGCATGTGCCCCATGCACATCCCTGAGCCCGTGACTGTCAGCAGGAAGACAGAATACCCTCATGGCCAACCTTGGACCACCTGCCCTCCTCTGGGATCAGTCCTACCTGACTCCATGGAATAGATCCCCCATAAGAAAGATGGATTCTATGTGAAGAAGGCAGGGCTGTGATGCTGGGTACTGGGAAGTGACAGATGTCCCCCTCACCCTCCATTGTTTTCTCCTTCCCCGAAGAATCAGTACCTCCCTCACTTGCATGCCCATGGCTTTGGATTCTTCCTGTGTTGTATTTCTTCTCACAGCACACTCTTGTAGGCACATCCATCTCACAGATCCATCCATCCGTGAGTTCCTCCAGGAACTGGTCTTGCTCCTGTGGCACTCCAGCACCTAGCATGTACCTGGCATGTAGTAGGTACTCCATAGCTAATATTTATTGGAATTTATTACCTGTCATGCACTATTCAAAGTTGTATATGAACTAGTTTACTCTTCACAGTAATACGATGAGGTAGATATTATTGTCCTTCATTAAATATTTATTGACTAAGTTAATGAAAGTAAGCCATGATTTAAAGAAGCTACCCACTGAACCCCATGATAGAATTCAAGGGCTGTCTACCATAGTTGAAAAGACTTCTCTCTGTCAAAGGGAACTATTGTCTTGTGACTACTTCCCTGAAGGTAGCATGTCTGACCACATAACAAGGGTGGGATGACCTCCACCAAAGAGGCTGGGCCAATGCTAATGATGCAGGCCGGAGGCAGAGGGCACCAGCCACCAGGCACTCCTTGCCACCCCCATAGCAGGGACATCATAAAATGTCTGGGTTTCCCCGGAGGCCAGCAAACAAAGGAACAACTGCCTTTTGGAGTAAGTAATCCTGATACTGCATGTAGTCCAAGGCACACAGAAGGAATCCCTCTGGCAGATAAACCGTAGAGTTGCACAGCAAGAGGGACCTTACAAATGATCTAAGACTGTGCTTTTGTTTTCAGGATGAGGAAACAGAAGCCTGTAAAGGTGAAAGGAATTGTCCAAGGTCCCGTGGTTAGTACAGAAACTAGAAACTGGAAGTAGAACCCAGATCGCTTTCTGAGTCCCCTGAGACTTTGCATATGCTGAATGATTATAAATGATTATAAATAAGTCTTTGTTTGTTTGTTTTTTGAGACGGAGTCTCCTGCAGCAGCACTCTGTAACCTATCTCGGCTCACTGCAACCTCCACCTCCCAGGCTCAAGCGATTCTCCTGCCTCAGCTTCCCGAGTAGCTGGGATTACAGGCATGTGCCACCATGCCCAGCTAATTTTTGTATTTTTAGTAGAGACAGGGTTTCACCATGTTGGCCAGGCTACCCTCGAACTCCTGGCCTCAAGTGATCTGCCACCTTCAGCCTCCCACAGTGCTGGGATTACAGCCATGAGCCACTGCACCCGGCCATAAATAAATCTTAAATCTGATTGAAGGACCCAACTTCAATACTTGGAGGTGATGTCATTAACCTTAGCAGGTGGGCTCCACATTTTATCTTTAGCTTCCTATAAATATGCTCTAGAGAAGCTTTGGTTTGGGGGTAATCAGAGGTGGAAGCCTCAGGACAGACCCAGCTTCTGTTGCCTGGAACCCTCCATGCTCAGGATGGGCCCTGGTGCCCGGGACCTGGATGCAGACCCATTGCAGAGGTCTGCTGCATTTCCTCCAGAGTAGGACAGCAAAATGAGTTGATTTCATGTTCTGTTCATCAAAACAAGTGGCCTTCTGAGCCCATCAGCTTCTCAAGGATTCTCTCCCTGTAGTGGTTGTCACGGCCACTGTGCATTTTCTGAATCTCACCACTTCCAGCCACCAGTCTGCTAGGGTGGCCTTTTCCAACCCTATGACAATGTTTAGCACTATTATTGGAGAATTTCTAACTGACTTGATGCTGTTGCCATCTGTTTTTCTGCAATTTGGGGCTAGACCTAATCAGAATATCAGAATATCTGCTAAGCTGGGCTGCTGATTTTCTGGGATACAGACCCCAGAATACCGCCTATGCCCTCAATCTTCACAGAGGCAGGTCCACCAAGATGTGGTCACAGAGGCAGGTCCACCAAGATGTGGATGGGTCCTAGTGCAAGGGCATGAATGGAACTCCACATACCATGTGTCTAAATGTGAAGAGGTAATACATCAAGCCAATAAACTGTTAAGTAGCCAGGTGCAGTGGCTCACACCTATAATCCCAGCACTTCAGGAGGCCAAGGCGGGTGGATGACTTGAGGTCAGGAGTTCGAGACCAGCCTGGCCAACATGATGAAACCCCATCTCTACTAAAAATACAAAATTAGCCGGGCGTGGTGGCAGGCGCCTTTAATCCCAGCTACTTGGAAGGCTGAGGCTGGAGAATCGCTTGAACTCAAGAGGAGAAGGTTGCAATGAGCTGAGATCACACCACTGCACTCCAACCTGGGCGACAGAGCGAGACTCCATCTCAAAACAACAACAACAATGACAACAAAAAGTTAAATAAAATATGTTTTATCCTCTACCTTGATACAGTTATCTTTGTAACAACAAAAATTTTAAATATGTATAGAGCTCTGACTTTTATATGACTGCATGTCAATAAACTATTAAAGACATCTGAATTTTATTATTTTATTTATTTATTTTTATTATTATTTTTTTGAGACACAGTCTCGCTGTGTCGCCCAGGCTGGAGTGCAATAGCATGATCTCAGCTCACTGCAACCTCCGCCTCCCAGGCTCAAGCGATTCTCCTCCCTCAGTCTCCCATGCCCAGATAATTTTTGTATTTTTAGGGGTTTCACTATGTTGGCCAGGCTGGTTTCGAACCCCTGGGCTCAAGCAATCCACTGAGCTTGGCCTCCCAAAGTGCTGGGATTATAGGCGTGAGCCTCATGCCCGGCCTCGATTTTATGATTATAGGACATGTCTGGTCTGCTGATGGGCTGGCAAGATCTAGCTGAGTAACAAAATAAAGACGTACATAATTCATATGTTATCACAGCTTTTGTTCCATAAAACTAATTTACTTGCCTCGATTTTAGCAACATTATTAATTATATTATTGTAATAAAGTATTCACTTAATTTTCTTTTCCTTTACAGCAATGATATAAACAATTAAATAATGAAAGCGTAATCTGTCATGAGATTAGAGTTTTTTTTAAAAAGGCAAATATAGCCGGACGCGGTGGCTCACGCCTCTAATCCCAGCACTTTGGGAGGCTGAGGCGGGTGAATCATCTGAGGTCACGGACCAACACGGAGAAACCCCATCTCTACTAAAAATACAAAATTAGCTGGGTGTGGTGGCATATACCTGTAATCCCACCTACTCAGGAGGCTGAGGCAGGAGAATGACTTGAACCCAGGAGGCGGAGGTTGCAGTGAGCTGAGATCTCACCATTGTACTCTAGCCTGGGCAACAAGAGCAAAACTCTGTCTCAAAAAAAAAAAAAAAAAAAAGCAAATATATTCAAAGTACACAAAATTTTAATATATTTTCACAAAAATATAAAGAAATGTAAAAAATTAAATGTTTTTGAATTTCTTCTAAAATATTTAAGTTTTTCTATTAAAAGTAAAAGCCAAATTATGTTATAACTAGTGAATATGAACATTTTAGACCAAAATTATTCAAAAAAAGATGAAATTTTTCATTTGTTTATTGAAAATGTAATTAAATCTTATTATATCTTTTTATTAAAAAAAGCTATTTGGGCCGGGAACACTGGCTCACACCTGTAATCCCAGCACTTTTGGATGCCAAGGCGGGCAGATCACGAGGTCAGGAGATCAAGACCATCCTGGCTAACATGGTGAAACCCTGTCTCTGCTAAAAATACAAAACAAAATTAGCTGGGAGTGGTGGCGGGCACCTGTAGTCCTAGCTACTTGGGAGCCTGAGGTGGGAGAATGGCATGAACCTGGGAGGCAGAGCTTGCAGTGAGCTGAGATGGCACCACTGTACTCCAGCCTGGGTGACAGAGCGAGACTTTGTCTCAAAAAAAAAAAAAGCTATTTACAATTTTAGTGTTCCAATCCCAACTAATTAATGTAACATAAAAAGTTGATATCATTTCACACAAGTTGCATCTAGATCCACACACTGGTTATCCTCAGTATTCACAGATTCCATATTTATGAATTATCTTCCTTAATAAAATTTCTTTGCCACCTCGTAATCAACACTCAGTGCTTTGGAGGTCATTTGCTGGCATGTGCAGAGCAGTGAAAAAGGTGTCACCCTACCGAACATTCCTAAGCTGAGGTCAAACAACGTGACACTCTGCCTTCCTGCTTCAGCTCTCCTACGTAAAGTGTCCTTTCCTCAGTCTATTTAGTGTCATGATTTTTTAATTTTTGTATTTTTTCACTGACTCACTGTTTGAAATGGCTCCCAAATGTGGTGCTGAAGTGCTATCTAGTGTCATTAAGTGCAAGGGGCTTTCATGTGCTTTACTGAGAGAATACAGGCTATTAGATACGCTTCGTTCAGGCATGAGTTACAGTACTATTGGCTGTGAACTCACTGTTAATGAATCGACTATATATATGTTTTATTTATTTGTTTTAAGTTTTATTTTATTTATTTTTTAAAGATAAGGTCTTCCTCTGTCCCCCAGGCTGGGGTGCAGTGACAAGACATGGCTTGCTGCAGCCTTGACCTCCTAGGCTCAAGCGATCCTCCTGCCTTAGCCTCCAGAGAAGCTGGGACTGCAGGTGCACACTACCAAGCCTGGCTAATTTTAGATTATTTTTTTTTTAAGAGACAGGGTATCCATATGTTGCCCAGCCTGCTCTCAAACTCCTAGCCTCGAGCATTCCTCTCACCTCAGCCTCCTAAAGTGTTGGGATTACAAGTGTGAGCCACTTGTGCCTGACCTATTTCATTTTTAATTGACACATAATTGTACATATTTATGAGGCACAATGTGATGTTTTAATACATATACACATTGTGTAATCACCATATCAGGCTAAATAGCAAACCCAGCCCTTCAAACATTTATCATTTATTTGTGGTGAGAATATTGAAATTCCTCTCTTCTACTTGTTTTAAAATATACAATATACTAATATATATTTACTAATATAAATATACTAGTATATATTTATTATATATAAATGTATATATAATATATACATATATATACTAATATATATATACACATAACACATAAAGTGAGGTTATGTATTGATTAGTTGATGAAATGTGACCAGATGCTCACAGGAACCTAGCCGTGTATTTCCCTTAGGAACAATGGTTCATTATTTGCTAATTCAGTGTTCTTGGTGGCTTTTTTTTAGAACATAACTACCTCTAATAATGAGAATTGATGGTATGTACAAATTGAAGAGTGATGTTTAATACTGAAGAACAATCCAAGGCTGCCAGAGGCCCTCCCTGGTGCAGCAGTGGCAAGTACTGCACCAGGGAGGGCCTCTGGAGCCACATATGGGAATCCAAGGAGAAGTAAGAAAATGGATGTTTGACAGTACTGGGGAATGGTGCTTCATTGTACAAGAATCCATTGCATTCACACTGAGAATAAGAACTTGTTAACTGATTTGTCTTTCATCTAACTTCTTCCACTACTCAGATCTCCCTGCACCCCAAAAACAGTGTCCATCCCAGTTTGGGCAGTGATACAACCAACAAACCATGGCTTTCAGATATAGTCATTTTTTTGTTTTGAAAATATAGAGCAAGAGATATGGAGAAGCATTTCTCTGGGGCCTGAATAGTGTTAGTCAATAGAGCAGATGTTTTAGGGCTACGAGTTGGGCTATGCCAGCATTGAGCACCAAATACCAGTGACCAAGCCTTCTTTGTGTTATTTGACATGTGCATTTTGGTGTGCATATGTTTAATATATAGAACCCTCCAAAGCACAGGCCCAGGGTGGAATAGAGCACTGTCTAAGAGTTATGCTCCACGGCAGCCTACAGCTCAGCAATCTTGAGCTCCGCCTGGGAGGCCTCCAAACCAAATCCTCTAGTAATATGGTTCTTCCTCTGCTCTTATCATAATCTAACTCCATCATCACTGAAGTTCCAGTAGGATTTTGAAACATTGTGTGTGCTTTTCCAGAATAGTGTGTTTGTATTAAATTGTTATTGCAGGCTAGGTGCGGTGGCTCACGCCTGTAAAACCAGCACTTTGGGAGGCAGAGGCTGGCAGATCACTTGAGTCCAGGAATTTGAGACCAGCCTGAGCAACATGGCCAAACCCCACCTCTACAAAAAAATACGAAAATTAGCTGGGTAGGGTAGTGCATGCCTGTAGTCCCCGCTACTCAGGAGGCTGAGCAGGGAGGATCACTTGAAGCCAGGAGGCAGAGGTTGCAGTGAACTGAGATTGCACCACTGCACTTCAGCCTGGGCAACAGAATGAGACCCTGTCTCAAAAAGAAGAAAAAAAGTGTTATTGCAGTCCCCTTTTCATAAGAGAAAGTTTGCTTATTGTTTTGGAGGAAGGACGACAGATAGTTCTATTTGGTCACCCAATCATTATATTTAAAAACCCACAGTATTTTAAAAATTATTATCATAAAATGTACTTTGTTTGGCATGCAATCCTTTGCATGGCCTCTTTGCTCCAGATTCTAAATCAGGATTGTTAGGCAATCCCAAATTTTTTTCCAGGAGTTGTTACTCTGCCAGTCTATAACATTTCCCTCATTCTTCCAACTTCTTTTCCCTTGTTTTTTTCTTCCTTTAGGGGTTAGTGTCCAAGACTGCCATTGCCAGCTACGTGACCTTGGGAAAGTCCCTCAGTGCCTCCATTTCCCTGTTGACAGACAGGGCATGACTGTGCCGAGCACATGGAATTGTTGTGACAGCAAATGAAATCATCTCTGCGATGTGTGGGAGGCTGAGCTGAGTGCTGGGCAAGTGCTCACCGCACATTCCTGGTCATTGTTGTTGTTATCGTGGCAGGAGGATTTCATTGAGTTTGGAGCCCTTCCCAGGGTAACAAAGCAAGGAGTCATTTAAGATTAATGTTGCTCTTTTATGATCTAGATAGGCCCTTGGGCAGAGCAAGAAGAAACCAAAGCTGCTTCTCACCAGCCATGTGGGCTCACTGGCTAGGAGAGCTGATTGGGCTCCTTTTTAAACTTGGAAAATAATTCCTCTTTAAATATGGTTTTGGACAATAAAAATGAAACATATGTACCTGTAAAAAATGAACATGCGTCTTACTCCAAAAGCTTCTCTAGATTTCATGGATGGGAACACTAACAAGGAAATCCCAATCCTGCTCTCCCCGAAGCTGGGCAGCTTCCCTTGCTCCCTTGCTGGAACTGAGCGAAGCCTCGTGGTGCAGCTACAAAGATGGGGTACTGGGGACCCAGTGACTGCTCAGATCTGGGCACTGATCTGATGTGTGTTGGGGGCAGGGTGGGAAGCCAGGTAGATTCCATTAAGGGGTGGGGCCGTGAGGATGAAGATCTAGTGGGTGAAACGGGATGAAGGGGCCTGTAGGGAAAGGAGCAGGAATCGGGGACAGGAGTGAGGGCAGGGATTGATTGGAAAGGTATCTAGGAACTCATGTAATTGACAAGGAGCTGGGGAACCGGGCTCCAACAGAACCCAATTAGACATGGGCTAGACAAGACCCCCTCTCAGGAGCCACCTGCATAGGCCACTGCTGTAATCATCACGACTGCACATTCATTCCTGCTCCCCTGTCCCCGGATGTGCTCACCTCTGTCCTACTGGACGCTGTGGCCCTGGACACATCCACCGCACCACTAGACTGCAGGTCCCACTGCAGCTGCTGCTAATTGCCTCTAACTGGCTCTGCGTCCTAGTTTCCCTCCTTTCAGGTTCGAAGTCCTGAGTGACACACTTCCTCTACCCGCAGAAAGGGAGGAGTGTCTTCCCTCCCACCTGTCCTGTCTAGGAGGGGTTCTTGGCAGCTGGGTAACCAAGAATGACATGTGTTCACTCTCAGGCCCTTAAGAGCAGTACAAATGGACCGACTCAATTAGATGAGCACAGCTCAATGAAAAATCGCCGTCAGAAGGTCGAAGGGAATCAATAAATCTTGGTAGGGGACAGGGGCTAGAGACCTGGATGGCACATGTTGGCTGAGTCCATCTGCCTGCCCGATTTTATCAAATATTTACGGAGCTCCTACTCCCTATCAGGCGCTGAGTTCATCTCAAGGAATGTATCACAGCTTCTGTGCTCAAAAAGCTTGCATTTGGAGGGGGAGAGAAATTAACAGTAACTTTCGGCCGGGCACAGAGGCTCACACCTATAATCTCAGCACTCTGGGAGGCCAAGGTGGGAGAACCACTTGAGACCAGGAATTCGAGACCAGCCAAGCCAACATGGTGCCGATTTTTATAAAAAAAATAAAAATAAAAATTAGCTGGGTGTGGTGGTAGCACACTTATAGTCCCAGCTACTCAGGAGTCTGAGTTGGGAGGATCACTTGAACCAAGGAGGTCAAGGTTGCAGTGAGCCAAGATCATGCTACTGCACTACAGCCTGGGTGACAGAGCAAGACTCTGTCTCAAGAAATAAAATGAAAAACGAAAAACAGCCACTTTTCAAACTGTGAGATGCATGCAACGAGAGAGGCAAGCGCGGGGAGAAGGGGCTCCTGTCACCCGCCTCATGGATGGGGGTGAGGGGCAGAGTTCTAAGCCAAGCCTGCAATGGCCCTGGGGCAGGAGAGAAGGATGTTGAGGCAAAAGGATCTGCCTGTTCTGGATTCACAGGTAAGTGATCTCCTGTACTAACTCCTGTCTATGGGAGGTAGCTGCTTCTAACATTCTGATGAGAAGAAATTTTAGACTAAATCCCATTGCAATGGAAAATGGTGCTGTACTGAACTAATGGCATCTGTTATAGACAAGGGAGTGGGGACTGGCAGGACATACTGCATGGGCTCATCATGCCAGCCCTAGAGGTGAGGAGGGTCACCAGAGGAGACATAGTTACTCAGATAGGAGGTGCTCACAGCAACAACCACATCTGAGAGCTGTATTTATCAGCCCTATCTGACCTAAAGTCCCGTCTCTCTAAAAAATAGTTTGTATCTCCTGAAATGGAATTAGTGCATAATATAACCTACAGGCATCCATATTTTCCACAAAGAAAAAGAAAAAAGAAACACTATGAGGGTCTAACTAGGTCATAGAGGTCACAGAGGAAGAAGGAAAGGAACATATTTGTAACAAAATGATGAAAATGATGTGTATTTTAATATGTAAATGTCTGAGTACAGCTACTCCAGAAGACAACATAAGGGGTGAGATGTTCACATCCATACTCAGAATCCCCATAAGCATGACTGTGACAAGTGCAGGCCAGTACAGGGAGGTGGGTCCCAAGTAGCCTTGGCCATAGTTCATGTGATTTTCTCATGGAATGGGAATGACTCTTGGTAAACTTTGGAATAAAGTAAAGCCCATCTTCCCTGGAAAACATTGTCTATATTTGTGAAAAAAAGCACGCTGGGTCTATACGTAAAACAGAGCCAGGGGCTAGCCTCAGTTAATTATAGCAATCAAATGGATCAGCTGCCTTTCTGGAGGTGATGACCCACGCACAAAAACATGCCCCTTGCAAAAGATCTCCTGCATCCCTTTCCAGAAGAGAGGAAGAGGAAACAGAAGAAGTGCCTGGTGCGGAGCCCCAGTTCCCACTTCATGATGTGAAACGCCCAGAATGCTATAAAATCACATTTGTTAGCCATGCACAAACAGTAGTTTTGTGTGATGGCTTCTCCACCGTCCTCTGCCAGCCCACAGGAGGAGAAGCAAGACTTCCAGAAGCCTGATCCCTCAGGAGGAAGCAGCACTGGATGCACTCTGCCTCAAGATGAGTGGGAAAACATCCCCATAAACACATCTCCCATTAAAACAAAACAAAACCTGCTGCCTTGAGTCTTTCAGGCATAACTTTGTATTAGTTTCCTGTGGTTGCTATAACAAATTACAACAAGTTTAGTGGCTTAAACCCACACAGATTTATTCCCAGACAGTTCTAGAGGTCAGAAGTCCAAATCCAGTTTCTGTGCTAAAGTCAAGGTGTTGCCACGGCTGGTCCCTCACAGAGGCTCTGAGGAGAGAGGCCTATTTCTTACCTTATTCAACTTCTAGTGGCCGCCTGCGTTTCTTGGCTTGGGGCCCCTTCCTCCATCTTCAAAGTACATCACTCCAATCTCTGTTTCTCTCACCATATCACTTTCTCCTCTGACTCTGATTTCTCCTGTGTCCCTTCTTTGAGGAGTGCTGTGATTACATCAGGCCCAAACAGATAATCCAGGACAATGACTGCTCTCAAGATCCCTAGTCACATCTGTGCAAAGTCCCCATTGCCACGGAAAGGTACCATTCACAGATTCTGGGTGAGAACGTGGACGTCTCTGGGAGCCATGATTCTGCCTACCAGACTTTGATTCCAGTTCCTGATGCAGTGTGCACACCAACATTGATGTTGGGTAAGACATACACAAGTCTGGCAGGACTGTGGACAGTTCTCTGCCACACATTGTAGAACGTCTAACATTCCTGACTGTAGACTAAATGGCAGTAACATTCCCAGTCACCATGACAAACAAAAGAACCCCTTACATTTCCAAAATGCCCCAAGGGGCAGTACTGTCTACCTACCCCCAACCCCAAATTGAGAACAATGTTTCCAGAGGAATCATGCAGGCTTCAGGCATGGCTTGATCAGGACTTCAGACCTATTTTATGATTTTCTGGGCTTGGCCTTCCTCTGTGTGTCAGTGTCATCCTCATCTTTCCTCACTGAGGCAAATTGGCTGCAGCTGTTTCAGAAGAAAATCCACATGCTGCACAGGTCAAAGGAAGACAGAGCACTCTCCCCATAGTTCCAATAAGATCCCTGAGAGCCACCCTGACTGGGTCAAATGAAGTCACATATCTGGCCCTGATTGGTGGTTTACCTGAGGCATGGAGTTTGTAATGGACTCTTTCTTTTTTTCTTTTTTTTTTTTTCTTTTTGCCACCCTGGAGCAGGAGCTGGGAGTGAAATCAGTGTCCCTGAAGCTCATGGTGTGTGTGTGTAAGATGCCAGGAGAAAAAGTTGAGCATTGTTTGTTAGGAGAGGAAAGAATGCCGGGTGGGGACCCAACAAATGTGCATAATGGAGAATGTGGCACATTCTCAGAAAAGCAAGCTCCCTGGTGCAACTGTGGTGTGAGGAACAGGAGAATCCCGGGAGATGGGCTAAAGGAGTAAGCAGATAATAGACCATTTATTTAATCAATTTAATCAGTTTCCCTTGTTCCTTAGCCAAGCTTCCCACATACTCACCCATTGACTTGGAATGCCCTGACTGGGGAAGGGAGTCTCTGGTCCTCTGAGTGACTTGGTTTCTTGCTTTGAATCAGTGACTGGGCACTTTGGTTTGTACGTCAGTCTCTATAAGCCAGGTTAATGTTAATTGGACCCTGAAAAAAATGGTCACCCTCATGGTGTGAGACATCAGATTCCTGAGCCTGCATGACTAAACCCAACCGTGACAAATTTGCCAAGTTAACTGTGGCCCTGAGAGGCTTCCTGCTGGCTACCAAACCAGCCTCTCCCTAGTGACCCCTCTCCACACTGCCATGTTCCATTAGCCATCTACCTCCCATAGTGAGGTTTTTGTTGTTGTTGTTCTTGCTTTTTGAGACAGGGTCTTGCTCTGTCACTGAGGATGGAGAACAGTGGGGTGATCACAGCTCACTGCAACCTCAAA
The DNA here is from genome assembly GCF_000001405.40 of Homo sapiens. NCBI lineage: Eukaryota > Metazoa > Chordata > Mammalia > Primates > Hominidae > Homo > Homo sapiens. The sequence goes on from NC_000001.11 coordinate 226,783,656, forward strand.
CTCCCGGGCTCAAGCAATCCTCCCACCTCCACCTCCCAAGTAGCCAGGACTATAAGCATGTGCCACCACACCCAGCTAATTTATTTTTATTTTTATTTTTTGTAGAGACGGGGTCTTTCTGTGTTGCCCAGGCTGGTCTCAAACTCCTGGCCTCAAGTGATCCTCCTGGCTTGGCCTTCCAAAGCACTGGGATTATAGGCGTGAGCCACCGCGTCCGGTCTCCTATAATGTTCTTCATCTGATTTTGCAAGTGAAGAAACTGAGGCTCAAAGAGGTTAAATAATGGGGCACACAGCCAATAGGTGGGGGAGCCAACAGTTGAACCCAAGTTTATCTGACCACAAAGTTTCCCATTATTACCACCCTGTCTTTTTTTATATTAGTGACATCTAATGGGATAAACAGGCTCCAAAAGGCCCTTCTCATCAAAACAATAGCCAACTATATTCACACAAGCGGCTGTGCTTAATCACACAGGAACAGAGATCATCACACACACACTCATCCCATGCCTTTGTGTTATTGTTTGAGTCTTTTGTCCCCTGGTCCACAGCCTCTCACGTCCTTCTCTCCTCTATGTGCCCTGTACAATAGGAGCGCTATGAATCAGCAGGGAAGTGTCCTTTGCCAAAGCCAAATAAGGGGCTGGGCCCTAAAAACAGCAATAAACCCCATGAGGCTTTATTAATTCAAACAAAGTGTAATCCGTGGTAGGGAGGATTTCTAGGGCCACAAACAAGAGCGAATATGACTTCCAAAGGAAAAGAAAGGGAAAGCCGGGCTGCCCACCTGTTTATTGGGAACAGTTGTTCCTCTAGCCCAAACCACATCTCCTTAATAGGGAAGAGGAGTGCAGCCCTATCAGGGAGTTTTTATTCTTAGGGCAGGAAAAGAGCAAAAGATGTTTCTTTAGCCTGCAATATGTCAGCATCAAATTTCTCATTTCCCTCTCCTCTCCTCTCCCTCCACCCCACCCCCAAGCCCTCGTGTTTGTGGCCTTTTGCTTGCATGAGAATTTATTTCCCATCTGACACTGTTGAAATAATCCATAGCACCTACTTAGGGGTGAGATGAACCGGAAGGTGTGGAAAATGCAATCAAAATTTCCACTGTGTCTCAGCAGCTAAGCTTCTGGAAAATCAAAGGAAGTAATCTGGACCTTGCCTTGCGGGCCCACATGGTCTGAGAGGGGCTTTGATATCCGGGGCGAGTCCTTAGCATCGCGGGAGCCCTAATCACAATAGAGAGGTGAAGCTGTCTTGCTGCTGGCCTTGGGGAAGGAAGCCTCCGTGGTCCACGGCCCTGCCAGGGAGAAAGATTAAAAAAATGGTTTTCTACCAGGCGCGGTGGCTCAGGCCTGTAATCCCAGCACTCTGGGAGGCCGAGGTGGGCGGATCACGAGGTCAGGAGATCGAGACCATCCTGGCTAACAAGGTGAAACCCCGTCTCTACTAAAAATACAAAAATTAGCCAGGCGTGGTGGCGGGCGCCTGTAGTCCCAGCTACTCGGGAGGCTGAGGCAGGAGAATGGCGTGAACCCAGGAGGCGGAGCTTGCAGTGAGCCGGGATGGCGCCATTGTATTCCAGACTGGGCGACAGAGCGAGACTCCATCTCAAAAAAAAAAAAAATGGTTTTCCGTTTGAGAGTCTCCAAATTATGAAGATAGCCATCGACGGGTTTCATTTGCCACTTGACAGTTTTTTCTTCCCGAAAAGCTTCCTGGTGTCATTTTAAGTACCCAGGAAAGAGCTCTTGTTGCAGGTGGCTGTGACATCAATGAATGCCATTTAAGGCCGGCTTGCTCCTGGGCAGTCAGGGCTTGGGCTTGGTTCAAGGTTCTTGATGGGTACCTAGGCAAAAGTTGGGCCAGCCTCGTCCCCATCCCCTATTTGTTACTAGGGACCCACCCCAAAGGGATATAGTGGATGATAGTGGTGGTGGTATGTGTCTGTGTGTGTGGTGTGTGTGTGTCTGTGTGTGTGTGTTAGGGGCCATTGGTATACTCCCTGAAGTCAAGTTGAACGGTCAATCCCTGTGTTGTTAGAAACTTTTCTAAAAACTCCACACTTTTATTGCCCGCTATGTGAAGCTGAGCATCTTGTCTTAAATTTATTAATACATTTTTTTTCAAATGTCAGAGGAGATAACCCTGTAGGGATTGAGCGTTCATTGTACACAGACCATCTGTGTTTGATTTCATCAGTCTCAATGGTTTTCCCTCCGTCTTTCACCTTTCCAGACTGAGGGGTCCTTCTTCCCAAGCAAAAGTCTGTGCTCATCTTTACCCTTCAAAGTTGACTCCCTTCCATGTGGGGCTGGGCAGGCCAGGGAAAAAAATGCCAGCTAAATAGAGAGGCCCTTCTATCTGGGCATGGATGTGAGGCTTCTATGCTACTTTCTAAAAATAAACTGCAAGCATGTAGGTGGTGAGGGAAATGCAAAATCAATTCTCCCTTTCTTCTAGGGCACACAGGTAGACTACATTGTCCTGCCTTCATTGCAGTAATAGTAGTATGGTTATGTGACAAAGTTCTTGCCAATAGAATATGAGCAGAAATTATATGCATAATTCTTACTGGCATTAAAAGAATGAGCATTCCTCCTTCATGCTTTTGTTCTCTTTTCTCCAGCTGGACAGTTGGAACCTGCAGCAACCAAGCCTTTTTTTTTTTTTTTTTTTTTTTTTTTTTTGAGATGGATCCTTGCTCTGTTGCCTAGGCTAGAGTGCAGTGGTGCTATCTCAGCCCGCTGCAACCTCTGCCTCCTGGGTTCATGTGATTCTCCTGTCTCAGCCTCCCAAGTAGCTGGGATTACATGCACATGCCACCATGCCTGGCGAATTTTTGTATTTTTAGTAGAGATGGGGTTTCGCCATGTTGGCCAGGCTGGACTCAAACTCCTGACCTCAGGTGATCCACCTGCCTCAGCCTCCCAAAGTGTTTGGATTACAGGCGTTAGCCACCATGCCTGGCTGCAACCAAGCTTTGACATGCAAGTGACAATGGTGTCACAGAGCAGTGACTTGGAAAGAAGCAGGGTCTCAGAATGACCAGGCAGAGCAGAGCTTCATACCAGCGTGGAACGCTCACCTGGAACTACACATGAGAGAGATTGAAACTGTCTGTTCTAAGTCACTGGCATGTTGGGGCCTCTTTGGTACAGCAGGATAGCCTCACCCTAACTAGTTTACATAAGAAAGTTCTGCTCCCCTTCCTCCCTGGAGGAGGGGGAAAGGCACAGACATTGAACTATTGATGGCCAGTTTGATAGAGATTTTTGCTTTTGTTTTCAATGCAAAGGTTTCAAAAGTGCTTTGAACCATCTTCATTCATTCATTCCACAGGGATTGCCAAAGTACCTCTACATGTAGGGAGGCGGTATATTGCCTGCCTCCCATACCAAACATTCTCTGCCCACCCTATGCCCACCCTATGCCCACCATATCCAAGGAAGCCACCTTCCCAGGTTTTCAGGAAACAGGATCCATAGAGAAGAAATGTGAATTGCTGGTCAAATGCCTTGCTGTGTGGGCAGTAGATGGAGGACAATGAGGATGGAGTGTTTAGGTCAAGAAAAGCCTTCTCTGTCTTTGGGCACCAGTCTCATTCCTGCTCTCATAGACTTGCAATTGTTCACTTCCATTTATTCACCACTAAATTTATTCCTGACACACAAGTCTCCCTCCTACCCGAGTCTGTGTCTTTCAATGCAGTTATTGTCAATGATAACTGTTTAAAGGAGGCAGGGGCTGTGTTTGGTCAGAAGGCTTGGGGGCGTCCCCTGACTCTTAACACTTCCCAGCCAGGGTATTTAACTTCTAGTCTCTGGAATTCAGGTTTCACATCTATAAAATGGGACAATTTCTTCTGTCCTGATTGTCTCACTTAGTTGTTTTAAAGTTGAGACGCAAATATGGAGTTTATGAGTTTTTCTGAGTCCCATCATTTGTAGCCCTAAGAGCACTTAAGTGCACTAGACACCCCCAAATTGAGGATGATACAATCTGACATGGTGACCCCCAAATGAACCACTGCCCCCTATTTATGAGGCCCAGTCTATAAATTTCCAGATCTGCAAATATTTCCTTTTACAGAGGCCTTAGTGAAAGTAAAGGGATCGTCCAGATGTCCATCAATGGATGAAAGAATAAACAAATTGTGTTATAAGCATACGATGGAATATATTTCAGCCATAAAATGGAAGTACTAACACACACTATGATGTGGGCGAACCTTGAAGGCATTCTGCTACATGAAAGAAGCCAGACACAAAAGGTCACGTATTGTTTGGTCCCATGTACCCGAAATATTTAGAATAGCTAAATCCATAGAGACCGAACACAGGCTGGGGTTGCCAGAGGATGCGGAAAGGGGAAAATGAGGAGAAACTGCTGATGGGTATGGAATTTTATTTTGGAGGAACTAATTTATCTAGTTCCAAATTTTATTTGGAACTAGAGAGAGGAGGAGGTGGCATAGCATTGTGAATTACTAAATGCTACCGAATTGTTCACTTCAAAATGCTTAATTTTATGTTATCTGAATTTCACCCCTATAATTATTTTAAATAAAAGGAGCCAATGAAATGATAGTGTTTCACAATGGAACCTCAGGAGTGGCTGCCTGTGAATCTTGTGATGAGTTATTCTTTAAGCTCTCTGAAGAGAGTCTCCTCCATTCTCTCCACTCAGAACCCTTCTGGCAGATCCTCAAATAATGTTGTTTCATTCAATGTTGTTGCATTACAACAGTGATAAGAGAAAAAATAGATTCCCAGCTGGGGTAACCGTCTGTGTGAGTTTACTGTCTCCGCATGTCTGCGCAGGTTTTCTCCAGGCACTCCGGATTCCTTGTACATCCCAAAGCTGTGCACACGAGGTTCATTGGTGTGTCTATGTGGTCCCAGTGTGAGTAAGAGTGGGTGTAAGTGTGATTGTGCCAGGGAAGGAATGGTGCCCTGTCCAGGGTTGATTCCCACCTTGTGCTCTGAGCTCCTGGGATGGACTCTGGTCACCTCTGACCTTGAAGTGGAATAAGCAGGCTGGAAAATTAATGAATGAATGAATACAAATTATTGTCCAATAAAAATCTGTAAAGTAGACAATAATCATAAAAATGCAAGACAATAAAAAACATAGTACAAAAATGCTCAACAAGCCACCGTATTCGTTACCGTTTCTTTTTGAACTTCATGGTGGTCAGAGATGGTCCCAAAAATTTTCCCTTTGCAAACATTTATTCATTGGTGTAACCCACCACCAACCACGACCATTGTCACTCATTGATTACTTATTTTCCAAAGTTGGGTAAAAATCGTACTCATTTTGATTAATTTTTCATATATACATACATATATACCTCATATTTATTTCATGTGGTTAATAGTAGAAGTGTTTTGGGTCTCTATTTACAAGTTTGGTGACATTTTTATGACCAGAAATATAACGGAGGAACTTTACTCTTATTAGCCTGTGGGAAAATTGCTTTCATTATGCATCATTTCACTGAAAGTTGTAGTTTCTGAGAACCCATCTGACATTCAGTGGGGACTTACCATACCTGTAAAGCACTAACTGCTCTTGGAGTTACCGTGTCTTTGATGCAACAAGGGCTGAATCAGGACTTGATTAACTTCACCAACTTGCTGCCTGCCTTAGCTTCTGGGTTCATGCTCAGCCAGCTTGAGTCGGGACACTCTGAAATTTATATGTATATATTCACTACATCCTACAAATATTGGAACAGCCATTTCAGAGAAATTAGGCAGATCCAGGTTTCCAGGACAGACTTTAAAAAGTGAAAACTATCTGTGTGATGGGGAAGGTGGGCAGTAAAATATTCATGGTGATTGTGTCTTATCTGTGGATGCTGAAAATATTAAGATGTGGGCTTTAACTCCCGTTTTTATGTTTATCTAAGTATTTTAGAACCATTCTACAATAAACAGGATTTGTTTACGTAATTTTAAGGAAAATATAGATGGGGATGATTTGTTTAAAGATGTAGTATATGCACTCATCAGAAATGATATTCATTCATCAGACTTTTACTTATTTATTTATTTTTGTTTTTTGAGAGGAAGTCTTGCTCTGTCACCCAGGCTGGAGTGCAGTGGTATGATCTTGGCTCACTGCAATCTCCGCCTCCCAGGTTCAAGTGATTCTCCTGCCTCAGCCTCCTGAGTACCACCATGCCTGGCTAATTCTTGTATTTTAGTAGAGATGGGGTTTCACCATATGGCCAGGCTGGTCTTGAACTCCTGACCTCAAGTGATCCGCCTACCTTGGCCTCCCAAAGTGCTGGGATTACAGGTGTGAGCCACTGCGCCTGGCCTCATTAGACCTTTAGGAGTCCACATAACAAATGTTTCTGGAGCTCTGGTAGGTATGAGGCTTATAAAAATGAGAATGGCTCTCTATAAGAGAGTTCATGGTATCATCACCCTCCTGTACTATGTGTGATATTAGAAGCATTCAGAAAGCAATGTGGAAACACAGTGGGGAAGATGCAGTAATTCTACCCAGAGGAGGCAGGAAGAACTTAACAGACTTCCGTCCCAGCCAACTGATCTACCCATTCCCTTCATTTCTCTAGTCTTCATGGTTGTCTTTCCTCCTTTGCTTTTATCATACCCTGTCCTTCCTCCACTTCTGAATTACCTATCACTTGCTGATTGTATCATGCTTAATAAACACGTTGTATGCTACTTATCCTTTCATGTACGTATTGCCCCAACAAATAATAATACTTTTTAGGACAGAAGCTGCTATTTTATACCTTTCAGGAACCATAGCATCCTTTAAAAAAAGTGTGTTATTGATGGTTATTATATCATACATATATTCTGAATCCATCAGTAATATAATAGGACTAGGCACAGTGTCTCACACTTGTCATCCCAGCACTTTGGGAGGTTGAGGCTGGAGGATCACTTGAGCCTAGGAGTTCGAGACCAGCCTGGACAACCTAGCAAGACATCGTCTCTACAAAAAATAAAAAAATTAGCTGGGCATGGTGGCTGAGGAGGGAGGCTGAGGTGTGAGGATCGCTTGAGCCCAGGAGGTAGAGGTTGCAGTGAGCCGAGATTGTGCCACTGCACTCCAGCCTGGGTGACAGAGCAAGACCCTGTCTGAAAATAATAATAACAATAATAATATTAATAATAACAATAATAATAATGCAATGGGCATGCCAGAATAATCTTTACTATTTGGTTTGTAAAATGCTTAAGATGCATTTTTAAAAGCATCACTGTCATAAATTAAGAGCTGGTGGGCACAAAGCCAGGCCACTCATAACGTTCTCTATCTTTAGGGGACATGAAAGTAGACTGAAGAAGTAGCTGAAAAAATGAGAGTTTCATAAAGCTATTAAGTTCATTAGTTGTATCAAAAATGGAAACTCTGAATAAAATATGTTCCCACACAATTCAGTTTTGTTTAAATGCTTAATACAAGGTAAGGCATGAAAAGAATCATCGTCTAGGTTGGAAATGATTCTTTCTCTAGAATGAGGGATGATTTCTGAAAACTCTTTAGATAAACAAGACCCTTTTCAATGTATCTTCAGAAAGGCTTGTTGCATTCGTTTGATTTCAAGCTGATGGTAAGTAACAATGAAGCCCAGAGTAACAGTAGCTAAAGTGAAATAGGAGTTTATTTCCTTCTCAGATTTAAGTAATCTGGAGGTAGCCAGCTCAGGGCTGGTGCAGCCCTCCATGGTGTCAGGGAACCAGGTCTTCTATCTTGTTGCACTGTTTTCTATGGCTTCCATTTCCAAGGCTCAAGATAGCTACTGGAGCTCTAGCCATTATGTCTGCAGTCCAGAAGGCAGAGAGAATGAAGAGAGAAAGAAGGATATACTCCTCCCTTCTTCTTCTTCTTCTTTTTTTTTTTTTTTTTCCCTTGAGATGGAGTCTCGCTTTGTCTCCCAGGCTGGAGTGCAGTGGCACAATCTCGGCTCACTGCAAGCTCCACCTCCTGGGTTCATGCCATTCTCCTGCCTCAGCCTCCCGAGTAGCTGGGACTACAGGCGCCCGCCACCACGCCCGGCTAATTTTTTGTATTTTTAGTAGAGACGGGGTTTCACCGTGTTAGCCAGGATGGTCTCGATCTCCTGACCTCATAATCTGCCTGCCTCAGCCTCCCAAAGTGCTGGGATTACAGGCATGAGCCACCGCGCCCAGCCTACTCCTCCCTTCTGAAGGACTCTTCAGGCCAGGCACGGTGGCTCATGCCTGTAATCCCAGCTATTTGGGAGGCTGAGGTGGGTGGATCACCTGAGGTCAGGGGTTGGAGACCAGCCTGGCCAACATGGTGAAACCCCATCTCTACTAAAAATATAAAAATTAGCCAGGCATGGTGGCGCACACCTGTAATCCCAGCTACTCAGGAGGCTGAGGCAGGGAGAATTGCTTGAACCTGGGCGGCGGAGGTTGCAGTGTGCTGAGATCATGCCACTGCACTCCAGCCTGTGCGACAGAGTGAGAAGCCATCTCTAAATAAATAAATAAATAAATAAATAAATAAATAAGGACTCTTCAGGGAAATTGCATAACACCACACTTGTCACGTTAGACTGAGGAGTGTGATCTCTATCCTTGGCAGCAATGTGCCCAGTTAAATATTGGAGTGCAGGGATTTTTAGCCTTTTTTGGTACCATGAACCCCTTTGGCAGTCTGCTGAAGCTTATGGACTCCTTCTTAAAATAATGTTTTTAAGTGAATAAAATAAAATACATAAGATTACAAAGGAATCCAATTATACTGATAAGTGGTGCTGTTGACAAAGCCTTTGAAATCTGTAGACCCCAAGTGAAGTACCCCTTCTACAGTATAGAAAAAGGGAGAGAGTTATCAGTCTCTGACATGTGACATAGAAAAACCTTTCGGAATGGCTTTGTTCATGATTCAGCAATTGTTGAGCTCCTATTTTAAGTCTAGCCCTGTGCTGTGGATTATGATGGATACAAGAGAAGAGGTGGGCTCTCCTCTCAGACAGTTATTCTCTAATTCACCTACATCATTAATAAAAGAGAAAATATTCAGCTCATAAGGTGAGTAGACATATAGGCCAGATCCAATATACCAGCATTTAGGGAGTTCAAAATAAGGGAAAGATCACATGGAGTGGGCCTTGGAGGAAGGGAAGAAAGAAAAGTATAAGATTTATTCTGGGGCAGGTGCAGTGGTTCACCCCTGTAATCCCAACACTTTGGGAGGCCAAGGTGGGTGAATCACGTGGTCAGGAGTTCGAGACCATCCTGGCCAACATGGTGAAACCCTGTCTCTACTAAAAATACAAAAATTAGCCAGGCATGGTGGCTGGTGCCTGTAATCCCAGCTGCTCGGTAGGCTGAGGCAGGAGAATCGCTTGAACCCGGGAGGCAGAGGCTGCAGTGAGCCGAGATCGCGCCATTGCACTCCAGCCTGGTAGAAAAGAGCGAAACTCTGTCTAAAAAACAAAAAAACAAAAGAAAAAAAATATTCTGAAAGAAAGGAGAGGAAGGAGAGGCAGCATATTTTGGGGAGGGGGCAGGAGTATGTAAGGGGTAGAGATGGGATTGGCAGGAGGATCCTAAGGGGTTCTAGAGAAAATGGCTTAAGAGAAGTGGCTGGCAAGGGGAGCATGTGGTTGAGCTGATTTGAAGTAGAGAATTACTATTAGTTATTGGAAATAAACGGATGAAAAGGAGTCCAGAAATTTCTGTGTGTAGAGAGGTCAGTATGAAATTAAATAGAATTAAATTAGATAGAAGGAAAACCTTCACTTTTCTGACAGTGGGTGTTTCTGGGGAGATGAGCGGGTAGTAGTTAGAAGGACTGAAGTTTTATCTGTAATATTTTATTTCTTTAAAAACAGAAAGAGGCCGGAGGCAAATATGAAAAAATGTAAACTGTGAAGAATAGGTGTTTGTTATGTCATTCTTTGTGATTTTCCTCTCTATCTTTAAACATTTCACCAGTTTAAAAATGGTCATCATCACTTTTAAAAGTTTAAATGAATTTTTACTCTCTCCTTGATATGATTTAACTTACCAAATAAATTCAAGCTACACACATTCTAAAGTGTTATGTCTACTTTAAAGAGGCTGCTCTCTTCCCAGTGCCCTGAAACGTGACATGATTGTTCTTTCCTTAAATTCTTTCCTTAGTCTGGAGTGTGCTCTCATTTCCTCCCTGCTCAGCCATTGTCTAGATTCCACTCAGGACCAGCTCATATCCCTTTTTTCCAAAAATCTTCCAGCCCATTTTGATTTCTTCTTGCGGAACTCCTATAGTACCACTCACATGTACCACTTAGCATATGTCATTTGACTTTGAATTTAACTTGTCTTTCCCATAGAAATCATGCAGCTCCTTGAAGGCTTAGATTTCTTATATTCAGGGATGGCAATAAGAGCTTCCATTCCCCCATTCCCATGCTATCCCCCCAGCAGACATCACTAATCAACCACATCACTTTTTCCCACTGAGCTTGGACATGGTCTCAGAATCCTTCTTAACAGAGCTCCTGGGGCTGCTATAATATTGCCAATTGCAGATTGGGCATGCAGAAGAAACCTCTTTCCATCCCTGCCTATACCTCTATAGTTTCCAAAGTACCAGTGTTATTCCCAGGAGAGACTCAGAAGGAACTAGCATAATCCTGAAAATGCCAAAGTTATAAAAACCTATGACAGCTTAGGTTTTGAAGAAATCTCATAGCTCATTTTAGTGATAGGCTGATGGCTGATTCAACTGTTTGAAAGTTTCAAGAAAACCAGGGGACTACGAAATGTTGGAAAAGGGATTAATATAATCCCAAACACCCATGCACCTGATATCCATTTAGTAGGAAAACATGGCTGCCAAGCTACAGGTGAAAGACTCAGGTCCAAAGGCATTTCATCATTTCATTATGAAGTGGAAGAACGAGCCTTTCCAAAGCTCTCCAAGGCCTTGGGAAAGCCCTAGGCCAGAGAGAGAGGAGAAGGGTAGGGGACTGTCTCCTTGGTATCCTTGAGAAATAAGGCAGCTGGGACAGAGGCCTGAGGAGTCCTCACATGGACATCCTTGAAGTCCTATTTACCCCTGAGTGTGTCAGAGTCCTGGAGAGTCCTATGCCAACAAGCCGGTCAAGGGAGCCTCTTCCTGCGTGGTTTTTTCCAGCTTCATTGTGGTTTTTTTTCCTACATTTTAAATTTTCTATAATGACCATGTTTTATTCTTACGATCAGAAACTGAAAGAAAAAAAGAAAACATATCCCAGAGGAATACCACTCTTTTTTCCTAAAGTGGTATCTACTATTACTCTACCTTTGAAATCCGAGAGAAAGAGAAAAGCAAAGTGTATCATTTCAGCCAGCAAGAAAGTGGGAACTGGAAACTGGAAGGGAATATAAAATCCCTTCATCAAAATACTCTGTATGGTGACTGGTCATTTATTCACTCATGCATTCATTCTGTCTTTCTTTCCGTCATTTGCTTAATAATCATTTATAGAGAGGCTACTACGTGCTTGGGACACAAGAGAACAAATTAGATACCACCCCTGCCCTCATGAAGTATTCAGTCTGCCAGGGGGGTGAGGGTGGAGTGAGCAGAGGACAGGCATTTATCAGATACCACACATAAGGATGTTCAATTATAACCAGGCTAAGCGTTGTACCATAAAGGTATGTGATGGCCTGGGCTGGAGGAAAGAGGTAACCTCATTGTCATTCCCAGCTCTGTGCTGTCTCCACCATCACTGCATTGGCTGCGGACTGTAGCAGAGCCTCCTTCCTGCCTCTCCCTCTCCAGTCCATCTTGCAGCTCCTTTTACTACCGACCTTCCCACAGCCCTGCTTTCTGTACTGGGTAGCTCCGTAACACACGATTGCTCAGTATTGTCTATTGTCTTTTACTTTCTTTTTTTTCTTTTTCTTTTTTTTTTTTGAGACGGAGTCTCCATCAGTTGCCCAGGCTGGAGTGCAGTGGAGCAATCTCGGCTTACTGCAAGCTCCGCCTCCCGGGTTCACGCCATTCTCCTGCCTCAGCCTCCCGAGTAGCTGGGACTACAGGCGCCCGCCACCACGCCCAGCTAATTTTTTGTATTTTTAGCAGACACGGGGTTTCACCGTGTTAGCCCGGGTGGTCTCGATCTCCTGACCTCGTGATCCACCTGCCTTGGCCTCCCAAAGTGCTGGGATTACAGGCGTGACCCACCGCGTCCGGCCTTCTTTGTTTTTTTTTTTTTTTTTTTGAGACAGGGTCTGGCTGTGTCACTTAGTCTGGAATGCAGTGGCAAGATCATAGCTCACTGCATCCTCGAACTCTTGGGCTTAAGCGATCCTCCCACCTCTGCCACCTGAGTAGCTAGGACAACAGATACACCACCATGCCCAGCTGAGTTTTGTTTTTTGTTTTTAATTTTTGTAGAGACAGGGTCTTGCTATGTTGCCCAGGCTGGTCTCAAGCTCCTGGGCTCAAGCAGTCCTTCTGCCTCAGCCTCCTGAAGTGCTAGGATTATAGGCATGAGCCATCATGCCCAGCTCCTATTGCCAATTGTCTTAAGGTTAAAGAACTCTGTCTAGCTTGGCCCTCCTGGGGGATCTCACTTCTCCCAGGGTCTCCACTAGCCCATATGGCACCTTTGGTGCAGATTTTTAAAAGGTGGCTCTTGCTGGGCGTGGTGGCTCACACCTGTAACCCTAGCACTTTGGGAGGCTGAGGCGGGTAGATCACAAGGTCAGGAGATCGAAACCATCCTGGCCAACACGGTGAAACCCCGTCTCTACTAAAAATACAAAAATTATCTAGGCGTGGTGGCAGGTGCCTGTAATCCCAGCTACTCAGGAGGCTGAGGCAGGAGAATTGCTTGAACCTGGGAGGTGGAGGTTACTGTGAGCCAAGATAGCTCCACTGCACTCCAGCCTGGCAACATAAGGGAGACTCTGTCTCAAAAAAAAAAAAAACAAAAAACAAAAAAAACAACAAAAAAAAGGTGGCTCTTCCAGCCTTTGACCAGGGCATACAGCTTGGGGACCCAAGCTCAGGTTGAATTTCAGTCCCTAATTCTCTGCTTTCCTGTTTTACCTCCGCAACTAGACCACATCTGTCCGGAGCAGAAATTTTCATCTTTTTTGTATTTTGATTCTCACAGCTGTCAACTAAGCCCTGGACACAAGGCACAGTATCTTCCTGGGGATAGATATGACCAACTGACTGATTCTTTTTTTTTTTTGAAATGGAGTCTCACTCTGTTGCCCGGGCTAGAGTACAGTGGTGCGATTTCGGTTCACTGCAACCTCTGTAACCTGTGTCTAAGCAATTCTCCTGCCTCAGCCTCGCTGGTAGCTGGGATTACAGGCACCCACCACCACGCTGGGCTAATTTTTTGTATTTTTAGTAGAGATGGGGTTTCACCATGTTAGCCAGGATGGTCTCGATCTCCTGACCTCATGATCCACCCACCTCAGCCTCCCAAAGTGCTGCCATTACAGACGTGAGCCACCACGCCCAGCCAATTTTTGTATTTTTAATAGAGACAGGGTTTCGCCATGTTGGCCAGGCTGGTCTTGAACTCCTGATATCAGGTGATCCATGCACCTCAGCTTCCCAAAGTGCTGGGATTACATGCGTGAGCCACCGTTCCCAGCCTGACTGATTCTTAAATGACAGCAGCTTTCAGTGGAATCCTGTTCAGCCTCCACATGTGCTCTTGGAAAGTATTCACCCAACCGGAACACCACAAGACGTCTTGGAGTTTCCAGGGCAGTCCTGATTTTGAATCTTTGAATCTCACTGTCTAACCATCATCATGGAAAACTTTCTCACTGCCTTAAGGCCTCCATTTCTCCATCTGCAAAGTGGGAGGAATAGCTGGGCACTTTGTATACAGACAACTGGGAAGAGAGGACAAATCAGGGCACATTGAAACCTTCAGTGGCTGAGGGGACACAGGAGGAAGATGCGTGGTGGAGAGAAGGAGGAGGTAATGGGTCCTGTCTCTCCTGATCTTCACAAGGAGGAGGTAATAGGTCCTGTCTCTCCTGATCTTCACAAGGAGGAGGTAATGGGTCCTGTCTCTCCTGATCTTCACAAGGAGGAGGTAATGGGTCCTGTCTCTCCTGATCTTCACAAGGAGGAGGTAATGGGTCCTGTCTCTCTTGATCTTCACAAGGAGGAGGTAATGGGTCCTGTCTCTCCTGATCTTCACAAGGAGGTAATGGGACCTGTCTCTCCTGATCTTCACAAGGAGGAGGTAATGGGTCCTGTCTCTCCTGATCTTCACGAGGAGGTAATGGGTCCTGTCTCTCCTGATCTTCACAAGGAGGAGGTAATGGGTCCTGTCTCTCCTGATCTTCACAAGGAGGAGGTAATGGGTCCTGTCTCTCCTGATCTTCACAAGGAGGAGGTAATGGGTCCTGTCTCTCCTGATCTTCACAAGGAGGAGGTAATGGGTCCTGTCTCTCCTGATCTTCACAAGGAGGAGGTAATGGGTCCTGTCTCTCTTGATCTTCACAAGGAGGAGGTAATGGGTCCTGTCTCTCCTGATCTTCACAAGGAGGTAATGGGACCTGTCTCTCCTGATCTTCACAAGGAGGAGGTAATGGGTCCTGTCTCTCCTGATCTTCACGAGGAGGTAATGGGTCCTGTCTCTCCTGATCTTCACAAGGAGGAGGTAATGGGTCCTGTCTCTCCTGATCTTCACAAGGAGGAGGTAATGGGTCCTGTCTCTCCTGATCTTCACAAGGAGGAGGTAATGGGTCCTGTCTCTCCTGATCTTCACAAGTGAACCGAGTTTACCACAGGAACTGTGAGCAGTTGGGGCCTACTGCTCTGGGGAGAGCGCCTCTCACCAGTGTGGCCCTTATCTGTTTGCAAGAGCCGCCTCCTTCCTGGGCCCCAGCCACCTGTGGTTGACTGAAGCTCTCAAATGAAGTTTGACCCAACCACACAACACCCAACCTGAACACCACAATAGGTCTTGGATTTTCCAGGGCAGTCCTGATTTTGAATCTTTATCTCACTGTCTAAAAATGGTATGTTCCAGTTCAGGGCCCAAAAACCTGATCAGCTGCACACTGGGAGTCCTAGGTGAGAGGTTAAAGTGGAGACCTTGCCTTGTTTCTCACTGGCACCCCAGGCTCCCGCCTCTGAACTGTGCCACATGGGAGCACCTCTCCTGCTGCTCCTCCGTTTCCTGAGCCTGGCGCCTGCCCTCCCACTGTCCCAGGACTCATCTGACCGTCATGCCAATGGCGGGCTCACTGGGGTCTCGGGGAGATCAGGCCTTCACTGTCTAATTCATCAGGGACTAGCAGTGGGATGTGGGTTGGGGATGTTTTGGGGTGGACGGGTCTTTTGATGGGTGGCACTCAGGTCATGTCAGAACAGGGGCTGAAGGCAGGTAGAGGCAGGAGAAGCCCCGCTTCCCTCGGCATCCTGCGTGGGTGAACAGAAACAGGAAGCAGAGGAGTGTGACGGGGTTGGAGACACCAGAGCACAGTGTGATGTGATGGCTGCTCTGCGGCTCGTCAATACTGAATCTTCCAAGGGGGCCATTTCCTCATCTATACAAAGGGCCCGTAACTGGACAGGATGTGTGCTGAGTGGCTGCCCAGCTGCGGCTCCTCTCCGAGAACACCAGCCCCTGGCAGTTTCCTGAACGCAGTGACCCCGCTGCGTACCTGTGACCCCACCCCTGACCAGGCCTGGGAGCCTCTTCTGTCTGAGGCAGCCCTGTGGGAGCTGGCAGGAGGAGAGACACATGGAGGGGACTTCTGCGGCTGAGGGACAGCCAGGAGAAGGGCAGTGGGGAAACTTGTGAGTAAGCAGAAGCCACGAGGCAGGGCGAAGGCGCGTGAAGACAGAGCCGCAGGGGCACAAGGAGCAGCTGCAGACGCTGCAGGGTCCCTGGGAAACTGAGTCACGCCTTGGGCACAGTCACTCCGTGGGGCACAGCGTGGGCACTGCTTCTGAAGGCACACCTGCTGCTGTGGGATCCTGAACAACACTCCAGTTCTCCTGAAGATCTGATTGTCTTGATGCCAAACTGATTTCCAGTGTTGCTTTACTTCTAGTTTATCCCTACAATTGTGCTCCCCGGCCTGTGGGGACCAGCATTGATCTCTGTCCCTTGCAACCTGAGACAGTCAACAACTGGTCTCAGTGGTTCATCTGAACCCACTTTACAGAGGAGAAAATAGAGTCATAGAGGTCTGTGTCCAAGGTTGTGGCTGGTAAGTGCTGGAGCCAGGATTGATTCCAGCTTCTTTCCCACTATACCCAGGTATTATTGCTGAAAAAAAGGGAAACCTAGAATGTTATGCCTACAGGGTAGGCGTGAGCTCCCGCCATGGCCGGAGTTCCAGCTGTGTCCTGGTTCTCATCACCCAGACACGCTTTGAACCTGAAGGTGGAAAGTGGAAAAATGCCAAACTGGTTTGAGAAGAAAGGGGGAGAACGTCAAGTGGAAAATATTCTGTTCTCTGCCTCATCATTAGAAGAAAGGAAAGGGGTGTGTGTCTCATTTTTCTTAACAAAAGCAACACAGGAAGAAAACTGTTTATTAAACCAGGCATAGTGGCTCAGGCCTACAAACCCAGCACTTTCGGAGGCCGACGCGGGTGGATCGCTTGAGCCCAGGAGTTCGGGACAAGCCTGAGCAACATGGTGAAACTCTGTCTCTACAAAAAAACTAAAAAATTAGCTGGGCAGGATGCTGTGTGTCTGTGGTCCCAGCTACCCAAGAGGCTGAGGTGGGAGGATTATTTTGAGCCCAGGAGGTTGAGGCTGCAGTGAGCTATGATCACACCACTGCACTCCAGCCTGGGTGACAGAGACTTTGTCTCAAAAAAAATTTTTTTAAAAAGAAAAAGAAAAAGAAAACTTTAAGACACTGCATACTTTAGCAAGTAAGCAAAGATGCAGAGACACTCATTTTGGCTCTAAAGCTCTTAAGAAATCTTTGCAAAAGAAGAAGAAAAAAAAAGGTAATCAAAAGCCTTTTTTTTTTTTTTTTTTTTTAAAGAAACCTGAAATGGTTCAGGTGACTTGAGGGCATGTTTGGGCAATTTTGTTTTACTTGAGGTCATATAGATAGCTATAATAAGCTGTCAGCTTATTCTACCTGTACCTTGGAAGTGGCCAGTCAGGAAGGAGGTGAACATTATGGGTCTTTCAAGGATTCTAGGGGCCCTGTCTGATCCCCCACTGGCTCCATTCTTGCCAACCTCTCCTAAACACTCTGACCTAGGGCACCTGACTCAGTTGTTAGATGTCAAAGTGAGAGGCATATCCATTCTCATTCATCTTTCAAAATTGAGTTCCACTGCCTCCTCCTCCAGGAAGCCTTCCTTGATTCTCTGTCTCATTCCCACTGCTCTTCCCATTCAGGATTAAATCCCTCTCCTCTGTGTCCCCACCTTTTCCTGTGCAGTAGTGCATCTCTCTGTCCTGGTATTCATCATACCACATTATGATAATCAGTTCACACTGTCAGGCCCTCAGGGTAAGAGGCAAGTCTTCTTTAACTTCGTATTATCAGTACTTAGCCAAGGGCCTGGCATGTAGTAGATGCTCAATAAATTTTGCTGAATGAATACAAGAAAAGAAGGGAAGTGGGGAGGACATTTTGGGAAATATGAAATTTTCTTTTTGAGATTTATCTCAAAAATACGTGTCTAGTACTTGTCCACAGATAGCAATTAAAGTCAGGATTCTATTTGCTGCAAATGATTGAGTTTCTTCACTCCCAGTTGTAACTTGGGCACCTAAGGCAGGAGGAAATTGGGGTAGATTTAGAGGGATTTGGGAACATTGTGTCTGAGGAGTATGTGTGTGTCCTAACACATTTCTGAACTAAGTAGATGTCTCTGAACCACATACAAAAGGCAAACATGCCACATTTTGTCTCCCTGGAACTTAGTAACTTAGCAATTTCACCTTTGGGACCACGGCCACCCACTAGCATTCAAATCGCTTAGTGCAGAAGGGGGCTTGTTCTCTTGTTCACTATTGCAGCCTCAACCCTAGAAAAGGCCCTAGCAATGGGTAGGTCCTCAATAAAGATTTGTTGAATGATTAAATAAGTGAGAAAAGGACCTGAGAGCAGCTTAGGTGCCACAAAATTTCTGCCGTAGATATCTTGAACTTCACTCCCAGGAGAACCCTCATATTCTCACTCAAGACAGTTTACAAACAGTTCTATCAGATTTCATTATCTGATTCTATCTTCGCTGGAGACAAAAAATTGGAAGAAAGGCAAAGAATTTTTACTCTACCTATAGAAATATGTTTTCTTTATTACTTAGGAAGAAGGAAAAGTAGATACAAGACTTCAAAACACACAGTAGACAAGGGCCAACTGTGGCAGCTATAAGCAGCTTTCAGTAATGCCTTGGTTCCTGGGAGCATGAACACACAGCATTAACTGACATGCAAAATGATAACCCAGTCATGAAATACAGAAGAAGTTCATTTTGGCTTAATTGTCTAAGACGACAGGCAAGTCAATAAAACACTTCTTTTTTTTTTTTTTTTTTGAGACAGGGTCTCCCTCTGTCACTCAGGCTGGAGAGCAGCAGCACAATCAACACCCAGCTAATTTTTAAGTTTTTTGTAGAGACGAGGTTTTGCCATGTCGCCCAGGCTGGCCTCCAATTCCCAGACTCAAGTGACCTGCCCACTTCAGCCTCCCAAAGTGCTAGGATTATAGGCCTGAGCCACCACGCCTGGCCCAGTGAAACATTTCTGAAAGGTCTCTATTAATGATGGATAAAATTGAAAAAAGTGAGGTGCTTAAAGAATTAATCCAAAAGCGTTTCTATTAGCTGGACTATTGTGGTATCTTTAGGTATTTTTGATGATCAGGTTTGTTGCTAATTATCCCTCTGTGGCTTCTCCCATCACCGGATGCCTTGGGGTCCTGTCCCTGGAGGAGGTGGGAAGATGTGGTCCCTGGGAGCTGCCCTGTGGACATCCCGGAGTTGGAGCCCACAGTCTAAACCAGTCCTTACGGACTTATTTCTGATTTTCTTAGACTGTGAGAAAAGGCTTCTCTAGGGAGCATGGAATACGATGCTGATTAAACACGATTGTAGTTAAGTTTAGGATTAGTGGCAATCGGGGAGAGAAGACAGTAGAGAAAGCCACCCAGGGCTGAGCGGGGAGGAAAGGGCCTTGGATACCTTCCCCCTGCCCCGTGAGTGAGGGGGGCTGATGTGCAGGTGGCGAGCATATGTGGAAGGTGGCACTCCCCCAGGTGGCACTGGATAAGAGAACACCTTTGCTAGGGATGTTTGCTTCCCCCCACAGTTCCTATGTCGAGACCCTTACCCCTACAATGTGTATTAGGAGGTGAGAACTTTGGGAAGTGATGAAGTCAAGAAGGTGGAGCCCTCACGCAAGGGAACTGTGCCTTGTAAAAGAGACCCCAGAGAGCATGTGAACCAAGAAATGGCCCTCACCAGACACCAAATCTTCTGGTATGTCGATTTCAGACTTCTTGACCTCCAGAACTGTGAGAAGTACGGTTGTGCTGTTTATGAGCCACCCAGTCTAAGGTATTTCATTAAAGCAGCATGAACATACCCTTCTTCCTCCAGACCCCCGTGGGCAGAGCAAATGCCTGCAGAGGAACTGAGGCTGGACCAAGAGGAACCCAAGGAAAAGGTGCTGCCATGTGGCTTGGACAGGGCAGCCTGGGGGTAGTCGGTGGGGACAAATGTGCTCATGCTGCAGAGCACAGGGAAGAGTCGCTCAGCTCGAGGAGACTTTATTTATGTATTATTTGTTTATGATTATTTGAGTCAGGGTCTCACTTTGTTGCCCAGCCTGGAGTGCAGTGGCACAATCATGGCTCACTGCAGCCTCAACCTCCTGGGCTCAAGCGATCCTCCCACCTCAGCCCCCAGAGTAGCTGGGACCACTGGCATGAGCCACCACGCCCGGCTAATTTTTGTATTTTTGTAGAATTGGCGTTTTGCCATGTTGCCCAGGCTGGTCTTGAATCCTGCGCTCAAGCAATCCATCTGCCTCAGCCTCTTAAAATGCTGGGATTTCAGGTGTGAGCCACCACAACCAGCCTCGAGGAGACTTTAAAACACCTCCATCAATCCTCTTTGAGAATCCACCCAACACCCGGTGGATGTTCAGTGGCCTCCATGATCCCAACTTCAACAATCTTGAGGGGGTCTGACAGCTCCTGGACAGTCGCTCTGGAGGGCTCCCCAGAGGGAGGGGCAGAGCTGCACCATCCCTCGGATACCCTCCAGGGGCTGGTAACCACATAAAATCCAGCTGGTGGTCTCACCCAGTAGGAAGACTTTGACTAGTGGAACTAGCACAACAACAAAACAAAAGCTGCCAGCATCTGTTAGTTGAGAAGAAGGCCTGTCCTGAAGCAGCCTTTGCTTCCTTCTTAAAGGTAAATATAAGGCTGGGTGCGGTGGCTCAGCCTGTTATCCCAGCGCTTCAGAAGTCCGAGGTGGGAGGATCGCTTGAGCCCAAGAGTTCCAGATTAGCCTGGGCAACATAGCAAGACCCTGTCTCTAAAAATAAAAAAAAATAAATTATATATATATATATATATCTCCACGGATGATGTTGCACACCTGTGGTCCCAGCTACTTGGGAGGTTAAGGTGGTACAGGGTTTTGGAACCAGGTCTGTCCCTCTGCTGGCAGGGCTGCTTCTCACCTGTGTGAGGAGTACCAGCATCTGCCCAGGCCCAGCTTCTCACCTGGGACCTCAGCTGCTCTTCCCAGAGATCCAAAGTAGCCTAGGAAGCCTTGGGAAGGGGCTCCAGGGTGAGACTAACTGACCATCCCATGCCCATCAGAGGTGAGTGCCAATGGGTTTCAGCCCTTCCAGGTGGCACTTCCTGCTGACAGAAGCAGCTGCTGGCCACCTGCTGTGTCTGGGGGAGCTGAGTCCCACCCCAGGGTATCCCCACAGGAAGCGGAGGTGACTCCAGGGGTCTGGGCTGGGGTCTCTGTCTCATCCTTGATTGTGTAAGTGTCTAGATCATCCAGACCAGACCTTGAACACTCAACAGAGCCACTGTTGAAGTATTCTGGGAAAATATATTTGGTGGCAAAATCTTGCTTCCTTCTGTTTTATGTATGACATTTCCCTTAAAGGGAAAAAAAGTTGGAATGACTAGTATCATTATTCTTTTCTTGTTTTTATTTTCCACCCCAGAACCATCTGTCATTAAAAAACAGTTTACTTTACACCTGTCGGGTTGAGTTCCACATTCAGAGAAGATTGGTTGGAGGACAATGGTGACCTCTGGACGCCCTGCGTCATGGGGGCTGGGAGATGCAGGAGGTGAGTGAGTGTCACCCCACAAGGGTGCTCAGGAGAGAGCTGAACTGAGCATCTGCAGAAGAGAGATAAGAGCAGTCCCACAGCTGTGTCTGCACTGTGCATGGGCCAGTGAGGTGTTTAAGGCAGGCAGATGGAAATCCATGTCCCCTGTCTCTTCTCACTGTGTGGGAGTAAGGACACCCAGTAGGGTGGAAATGCAGCTGAAGCTCTGCCTTTGTGGGTGGCAGATCTCATCTGTGACGTGGTGGGCAGGGATCACATATGGTGGCAGCTAGCACAAAAATGCTTTACATTGAGATTTTTTTTCATCCTAGAGACTATGGGGTCCCTATGGGACCAGAGAGACCGGGGCCGGAGCTGATAACTATCGTTATTAGATTTCAACCTTCTCATAGCTTCATATGGGAGGAGTTAAATCAGAGACTCTAGGCTGAGGTTGCTGCTGTAGACTCCAAAGGTACAGATGGAAATGGGAAGATGCATCGATTGTCTAACTATTTTGCTTACACCAGGTCTGATATCCAGCCATTGAAAGATGGGTATCACACATTTGGGTTTCGAGCTTGATGCTGAGCTAAGGCATCTGAGAGCTTCAGTGTTCATGTGAGCTTAGATAAAGTTTCCCACAATTTTTTGAGTGACATTTTCAGACGACTCAGATTGAGGAAATGTCAGTCTAGGCAACCAGAAATGACACTGTCTTCACGCTGTCCCCTCCACCAGAACGTCTGAGCTCTTACTAGGCACAGGCACGCTAATCAGAACTTTATTATGTAACCAATGAAGAGTCTGCTCAGGGTTTGAGGAGCAGGATCACCTGGTCAGATGTATATTTTCACAACGATCACCCTGGGTGTGTGTGGGTGGTGGGTTCTGAGGGGGAAACTGGCCTTGCAGACACCAGTGGAAAACCAGTGGCATAACCTGGATGGAAGTTGGTGACAAAGGCCTGCAAATCTTTTTTTTTTTTTTTTTCGGATAGGGTCTCGCTCTGTCACCCAGGCTGGAGTGCAGTGGCATGATCTCGGCTCACTGCAAGCTCCGCCTCCTGGGTTCAAGTGATTCTCCTGCCTCAGCCTCTTGAGTAGCTGGGACAACAGGTACATGCCACCATGCCCGGCTAATTTTTGTATTTTTTTAAGTGGAGACAGGGTTTCACCATATTAGCCAGGCTGGTCTCAAACTCCTGACCTCAAGTGATCTGCCCACCTCAGCTTCCCCAAGTGCTGGGATTACAGACGTGAGCCACTGCGCCTGGAAAGGCCTGCAATTCTGCAGCAGTTTGAGGGATGGAGAGGTTGGGGGTGCCAGTGGGCCAGGGTCCCGTCATGAGGTTATCACGTAGAGAACCCAAAATGTCTAATCATGCCTCAGCCCAACCACCTGCTTAGCCACAGAGCTCCTCAGGAAATATCCAGGAAACAGAGGCAGAGCAAGGAAAAGAAAATGCTTCTTTTGTTCAGTTGTCATATGAACTCCCCTCTCCTCGTGTTTCCTTGCAAGTGTCTGGATATCAAGGAGTGCGATACCCTGGTCTCCCTCCACTCCTCCACAGACTCCCAGGGCTGACAGCACACGGCCTGCTGCTCCATCCTTCCAGTTTTACGGAAGCTGGATCTCCCAGTTTCCCAGTCCAGAGGCTGCCCTGGTCCAGAGCTGACCGTGGGAAGAAATCTGCTTGCTCTCAGTATAAGCCACATTTTCTAACACCAGCTTTATCTACAGCAAAAACGACAATTTGATATCCATATGCCTTATTTCTCCTTTTTTGTCTCTTAACTGGTTCAGAAGTTGGATGACAAAAACAAGCATGTCATTTATTATGCCCCCTCACACCCTAAATTTAACATTATCTGGTGCTTTGGCCCCAAACTCCAACCTCTATTAAACTGGGTTGAACCATGTGCATTATGCTTTGGCCTGGGTTTGAGAGCAATGCATTTTATTGTCCCTAAGTCCAACTCCCAAATTAAAGGGGTAAGCTTCAACATGAGGAAAGGCCTCAGGGCAGCCTCAGAAGCTGGAGAGTGGGCAAACTCACTTGCCCCATTAGAGCCCACAAGGAATGGTAGCTGGGAAACCAACCCATCAGACCACCATACTTGCTCTTTGGGAGGAAGTGAGGAGAGGGAGAATCATTTGGGGGAGGAACAGAGGAGGACTTGAGGCCCACAGACAGAACAGGAAAACTAAGAGAGGCCTGTTGAAGAGGTAGAACCGGTTGGGTACAGTGAGTGAAGTCACTGTGTGGGAGGAGGCCTGATACTCCCAGCTTGGGAACCTGAATGGATGGAGGTTCCATTCACTGGGATGGGAGACACAGCAGTGCAGAAGGATGAGGGAGTTGTCATGGCTAGGTAAAAGGGAAAGAAATTCTGCAAGGCTCTAGAAGCAGGTATTGCTCATGCCTTACAGAACACCCCTTCATTCCAAAGGCCAGAAGGATCACTGAAGTGTGCCACATACAAGAGACCAATAAAGCTGGGTTAATAGAAGCCATGAAAGCCTGAAGTTTGATTTGACAAACATTTAGTGAGCACAAGTATATGTCGGATACTGTGCCCAGATCTGGGAATACACATGGGGTGAGCAAAAGAGATCTGGCTCTGCTCTTGGGTGTTTAGGAAGGCTTCTCCAGCTTCGTCTTTTTTGTTGATCCTTGTATGGGTTGGGAGTAGAATAAACTCGTTGTCCCACCTGTCAATGCTGAAGATCTGTGTATGTTGATTTCCTATTGTTACAGGCTGGTGTTAGAAAATGTGGCTTATACTGAGAGCAAGCAGATTTCTTCCCACAGTCAGCTCTGGACCAGGGCATGCTCTAATAGCCAGCTCAAGAGCCAGCAACAATAATTTGCCCAATTAGCCAGGAATGGAAATTCTAAGCAGTGTCCTTTCCATCTCCCTTTTGCTCAATTAAAACATTTATTACATACATGTTATATATAATCTCCGTAAGACTGTAGATAAAGGGGGTGTGTCCAGGGCCCAACTCCTAGTGAGTGCTAAATAAATGTCACTTTGTCCATTTCCTCTCTCCCCACCTGTGTGCCCCGATGAGCACAGGAGGCATCACACCCACACAAGTGCATTGAAAGAGTCTTGTTTGGGGATTTCTCTCGTTTGGAAAGAAAAGCCCTTGGCCGCTCCCACCATTAAAAGCTTGAGTGGCCATAAGACCTCTCACCTCCCTTGGTCTATTTCCACACCTGGAATAGAGGGCCTGGCCTAGGTCAGGAGCTCCGTCCCTGGCTGTGCATCTGAATCACCTGGGGAGCGTCAAAAACCACGTCTGGAGATTCTGCTTCACCAAGTCTGGGCTCAGAGCTGGAGGTCTGTGTTATCAATAGCCTTTCTCCTGCAGGGATTCTGGCACAGCCTGGAATCCAGACCAACCCAGGCAAAAATAGCCCAACCAAGCCCTGGGATGACCTGGGCTTGTCAAGTGAGGCTGAGGACTCGGCTGTGGTTTTCGGCAGGGGCATCAGTATGGCTGTGGGGCTTTCAACCTTGGAGAAAGCCCAGTGGGCAGTCAAGCACCTGAGAGAGAACAGGAGTGAGGTAATGGGAAGCACTGGCTTCCTGCTTCTGGGGTCTGAGGAAATGTCAGACCTGCCCATGGGGATGCTCCCAGGTCGGCACTCTCAAAGAGCCCCAGGACGCATCAGACCCAGCTACCCCGGGGGGAAAGAGTCTGTCGCCGGGGATTCCCTTGTCTGGAGCCTTGGCAGACAGCTCAGGGTAAAGTTTTAGGATGGTGGTCACTCCAGAGGTCTTCTAAGAAGGAGTTCTTCTCCCTGCTGGCTGACCCCTGCGGAGGCTGGGAGCCAGGTGCTGCCTTCAGCTTCCTAAGGAGACACTTGTGTCCTTTCTGCAGACTCTTCCTGGCCCCCTGGACTCTACCCTAGCAGAGCCTGGCTCCAGGGGTGGGGTCCTTTGCATGATTTTCAGGAGGCTCTGGATGTTCAGAGCCCCTCTGCTGACCCTATGGTGCCATAGGGCTGTGTGTGGCTGCCTCTGTGCAGCGCATGAGGGTCCTCTGGGGGGAGAGGGGGTGCAGCCAGCA
Organism: Homo sapiens; assembly: GCF_000001405.40. NCBI lineage: Eukaryota > Metazoa > Chordata > Mammalia > Primates > Hominidae > Homo > Homo sapiens. The sequence continues at coordinate 226,809,020 of NC_000001.11, forward strand.
TGTGCTGTGCAAGCAGCAGTCTGGCTGTGTGCCTATGGGCTTCCACAGGGCTCCGAAGGCTGATGCCCTCCTGATAGAAGGTGGGGAAGAGTCGGAACCACAAACAAACAGGAAAAGCACACCCTGGCTCTCCAGATGGTGCAGATGAGGGAGGGGTGCTGGGAAGGCCTCTATGGGGACTCAGGAGAGGGACTGAGATGTGTTCTGAACCCCATGAGTGGGTGGCCGTTGGGAACAGAGTCCCGCTCAAGCATGATCAGTTCCAGTAAACAGGGAACAACTGTAGGGACATTTCATGGAATCTAAGCAAAGGAAGATCTGCATAGCTCAGCTTCAAAAGGACAGAAATCCATCCAGACCACACTGTCTCATCTCTTTCTCTTTCTCCACCGGCTCCCTCAAGTTCTTGCGATCACTTCTTGGAACCTCTGCCTCTCCCTGCTCATCTGCCCTTTTCTGTCTCCAGCCAGCTTGCTTTACCCATACTTTCTATTCCTTCTTAACTGATCCTCTGCTTTGGCAATACCATCTTTTGGTCCCTCAGTTTCCACATTCAGAATCCCATTCAGAATGAACCAAGAGAGAAATCTAATCAGCCTTTTTCACATCAACAGTCGATGGCCTCAGGTAAGATGCTCTGCCTCGTTCGACCCCCTGGATTCATTTAGGAGGGGTTCAGGGCAGATCTCCTTAGCAGGGCAGTGGGCGTGGCAGCAGTGATTGGCAGCTCTGAAGAGGTCTCTGCAGCCTGAGTATTTGAGTGAGCTGGGAACTGAGGAAGGCAATACACCAAGTATTCAGAATTTCCACCGTGGACATTGTTATGAGGCGACCTGAGACTTCCCTTGTGCTTTAAGGCAGGTTCCCGGTGTTGGCATTATGCCTGGCACGGGGTGCAGGTATATGGCCACCAGGAGCAGTGGTGGTGTGTTAGAGTGCAGAGGATGCTTGCACTCGCCCTGGAACATCTCCGCCAGCTCCTGCCGTGGCCTCCACTGGTCCATCAGCAGCTCCATCTGCAGTCATTCATGTTTGGCAAGTGGTGCTGCTGCCCCTGGGATGCAACCCAGGCCCAGCTCAGGGTGCAGGGAGGCTCCCAAGTGCTGTTTGACTTGGACACAGTAGTCTCTGCAAGGGAGTCACGGGAAGGAGCGTGAAATGATTCCAGATTCCTGATTTTCTATGGTATGACAGGAGTGTTTCTCTGAGCCTCCTGATTCTCCTGGCCACATTCCCTGGTTGGTTTTACTTCCTCGGGTCATTTTTGAAGGGCCCTTGGCCAAAGCAGCTCAGAGGGGTCATGAGGCTGAACAAAGGCTCTCCAGGAGGTGGGGGCTGAGTTTTCTCCTGCTTACACAAATGGAAAAATGGGGAGGTCATTTGATTCCCATAAAATACCCCTCCAAGCAGACTGCTGATTTCCAGCTAACCACTAAAGACTGGAGAATGCATTCCAAGCCAGCTTTAGCAGTCACCACAGAAATTGCCTGGTAACTGGTGGCAGCAGCTTGGCGGTGTGATGTTGTGCTGAACAGCACACATTTGAATAGCTTACTGAGTAGCTGAAAAGGGCAATGACCTTGACCCACTTTGTGATTTCAGGTGCTTTTAAGAAGAACCCCATGCCAAGTGGAGGACGGTGTGAGAAATGCAGAATGTGATGGGGTAACTTGGGTGGGTATCAGCTTCCCATCAGCTGACCAGTTCCCCATCATCCCTCTCTGGGCAGCACAGGGTCACTGGGCTCCATCTCCAGCTCAGGGAAAGTTCAGTGCAGCTGTGCCGGCTGTTGTTGGAAATTTCATAATGTAAAGTGGAAATTGGGCACAGGCCTCCAGGTGGTGGGTTCTTACCCCACTTGCCTTCTGGGCATCTGATGTGGTTTGGGTCTGTGTCCCTACCCATATCTCATGTCAAATGGTAATCCCCGATGTTGGAGGTGGGGCCTGGTGGGAGGTGATTTGATCATTGGGGTGGATTTCCCCTTCGGTGCTGTTCTCATGATAGGTGAATTCTCGTGAGATCTGGTCATTTAAAAGTATGTGGCACCTACCCCACCTCTCTCTTCTCCTCCTTCTCCAGCTGTGATGTGCCTGCTCCCATTTGCCTTCCACCATGACTGGAAGCTCCCTGAGGCCTCCTCCAAAGCAGAAGCTGCCATGCTTCCTGTACAGCCTGCAGAACCGTGAGCCAATTCAACCTCTTTTCTTTATACATTACTCAGTCTCAAGTATTTCTTTATAGCAGTGTGCAAATGGACTAAAACAGCATCTCAGAGATCCCAGCCAATCCCAGGAGCTCCAGTGCCCCATCTCTCCAGGTGTCCCAGGCTGTAGGGACCAGCCTGAAGCCTTCCCTGACCCAGGCCTAGGCCCTACAAGAGGCCTGTGACAAGAGACCTCCTTAGCCTCTTCAGCTTCCATTGGAATCAACTTAGCTGCCAGGAGGCTGGAACTTTCCCCCACTCTGTTAGTTACTTGAAGGAAAGCCACCAACATAGACAATGGCTGCACAACACTGGAATGGAGAAGGTTTACCATAATTTATACAACAACCATTCCCCTACTTTTTGTTTTTTGACTTTTCACTATGAATATCCTCATGATAAATATCATGGGCTCATGGTAGCTTTCCCTTAAGATAGACTCCCCAAAGTGAAAAAAAATTGGTCAAAGAATATAAGAATCTTTATGACTCTTGCCAAATTCCTTCTCAAGTATTTGCACCACTGTAAAATGTCACCATCAACATGTGAGAGCACCAGTTTCACCCTGACTCTGCTAGTGTTATTATTTGTTGATTATTTTTCCAACTTAGTAGTTAAAAATATACAGTCTGCCCTCTGTTTCCAGGGGTTGCACATCCATAGATTCAACCAGCCAGAGACTGAAAATATTTGGGAAAAGAACCATAAAAAATAACAATATGTCCATAAAAATAATACAAAATTTAAAAACAATCTAGCATAACAACTATTTAAATAGCATTTATATTGTATTAGGTATTATAAGTTATCTGGGTGACTTAAAGTATATGGGAAGATGTGCAAATACAGTGTCACTTTATGTAAAAGACTTGAGCATCCTCGAATTTTGGTTTCTCTGAGGGGTCCTGGAACCAATCCGCCACGGCTACCATGGGATGAATGTACTCCCTCATCAATGTTTCAAGTTGCATTTCTTGGATTACTAGTGAGACTGAACATTTTCCCATGTCTGTTTATTGACTATATTTTCCCTTTCCTAAAGTATCAGTTTCCATCCTTTGCCCACACATCTGTGGGGAGTTCACTGGGTTTTGTAGATATATCTGAGGTTACTGCTTTGTGATATTTGCTCAGCATGTATTATCACTCCACTTGGATATCTAATGGGCCATTTAAATTTAAGATGTCAAAATGTAACCCCAGGTTTTCCTCCCTAAACCTGCTGTCCTTTCTCTGGTCTTCCCTGTCTTAATAAATGGCACTATAATCCACCTTTGCCCAAAACCCAGGAGCCCTTCATGATCCCTCCTTTTCCATACTCCATATATCCCATCTCCCAGCCAGTCTCCCCCATCCACCCTTCTCTGATCACCCAATTCATGCCAGGTCACCATTCATCACATAGCCTCCTTTCTTCTTTGCAGTACCTGCTAGGATCAGAAACTCTCTTTCCTTCCTTCTTTCCTTCCTTCCTTCTTCTCTCCCTCCCTCCCTCCCTTCCTTTCTTTTTTTTTTTTTTTTTGAAATGGGGTCTCACTCTGTCACCCAGGCTGGAGTGCAGTGGTAGGATCACAGCTCACTGCAACCTCCACCTGCCAGGCTCAAGCAATCCTCCCACCTCAGCCTCCCCAGTAACTACAAGCGCACACAACCACGCCCAGCTAATTTTTGTATTTTTTGTAGAGACAGGGTTTCTCTATGTTGCCCAGGCTGGTCTCCAACTCCTGGGCTCAAGTGATCCACCTGCCTTGGTCTCCCAAAGTGCTGGGGTTACAGGTGTGAGCCACTGCACCTGGCCATTCATTTATTTCTTGATGGTCTGGAGTGGCCATCCCTTAGGGGCAGCTTGATAAATACATATAGAATTAACTTTGCCCTTTTAATCTATTTGAATTTGTGTAAGGAGACAGTAGGGCATAGAGGGCCAGAGCACCGCTTGGGAGGCAGACAGTTCCAGTATAAAGCAGGGCTCTACCACTTACTGTGGGATTTGAGCAGGTTACTTAACATCTCTGTGCCTAAGTTTATTCAGCTTTAAAAAGGAGAATAATAATACCATCTTCATAAAGTTGGAAGATACATTAGATAATGTGGGCAAAGTACTTAAAAATAGAGACCATTTATAATAAAGTATTCAATAAATGTCAAACTAGCTCAGTGTTTCTTTGTGATTTTTACTCTGTGGTTTCTGGGTTTAGGAGTCATTCCCTTCTTTTCATTAAACCCTTAATTAACGTTAAGTTATATTTTATTTTGGTTTTATGGTATACTTTTTAAAAATGTTTACCCTTTAGTTTGGAACTTATTTTGGAGTATTAAATAAAGTGAACTTCTAAGTGAGATTGGCACAATTTGTTGAATAATTTTTCCCACTTGTTACGTTTTATCACAAATTTAATTTTTATATATTAATATAAAAGTGTTTTTTCTGTCTTTGAAATCTGTCTCCCTGACCCCTTTTGGGTTGGGACTACACTGTTAGGCTGAACAGGTCAATAATATCTATACTGTTATGCTGAGCGATCCTTGTAAATAAATCCTAACAAGGCTTGACTAGATCTCGACTTTGAGCATCGGGCCTAGCCTTGCCCTAGTTGTGGAAGAGTCTCACATTCTCTGCCCACAGGTGCAGAAGTGTGACATCTGTGTGACACGTGCATTTGTTCTAGTTCCAGTCTCTCACAAGACTACTGACTCTTTCTGCCCTTGGGTTCTTGAGACATTAGCACATCCTGATATAAATGTCCCCTTTTTATTGGAGCCAATTTAAACAGGTTTCTGTATCTTGTGACTAGAAGAGTCCAAAGGTAACCTTCACCTTTATAATGATCGAAGGAATCTTCCCAGCCAATGAGGCTGCATTCTGACATGCCACAGAGATTAAAATACTGTCCCTAACACATTGTCAGAAAGTGTCTGCCAACACATGAGAATTGCTTGAGCCTAGGAGGAGGAGGTTGCAGTGAGCTCAGATTGCACCACTGCACTCCAGCCTGGGTGACAGAGCAAAACTCTGTCTCAAAAAAAAAAAAAAAAAAAATCTGCCAATATCTGCCAACAGGGTCAGCAAAACCCAAGAAAGCCTTCAAGACCCCTGCACTGCAGGACAGACACACCCATCCTGCCACTGCCTTGATGGCGGTGACTGCTCCAACACTGCTTACAGATTCAGACAAATCCGAGAGACAGCTGTCCCTGATATGTTCAAGACTCTGCCAGCTCAACAGGCTGTGGGAAAACCAAAGAAATAATGTATGTGAAAGCACCTGAAATCAACATGAGAATTTATTATTAATATTGCCTCATTTCTTTCCAAAAAGGATGTGGGGGTGGCATACACAGTAGATATTAGTAATAAAATTTAAAAATAGTTTTAAAAATATGTCTCAAGATCTGTATTTTATAGTTATCATTAAGAATATCAATATCATTTATCAGCCTACAAAAGCACTACAAGTAGGGATTTCTTTGTAACTGCCCTGACCCTGGATTATGCCCTACTCCTTATTTTGTCTAAAACATTAGCTGGGCATGGTGGCATGGGCCTATAGTCCCAGCTACGCAGGAGGCTGAGTCAGGAGAGTCACTTGAGTCCAGGAGCTTAAGGCTACAGTGAGCTATGATCCAGCCACTACACCCCAGCCTGGGCGACAGATCCTGTCTCTATAAAAGAAAAAAAAAATCCTTGAGAGTAGCTTGGCTTTGCAGAATGCAGCTGTTTCTTGCTTTTGAGGGTGTTTGTTTGCCATTTGACCCTCTTTTTTTAAACCTTATGTTTATAAGGGAAAGCCTCTTACAGTAAGTGTGTTTAGGGTTCTAGTTACAATTAATCTGTGGTCCTAGAGAAGGCAAGAGGGCCGAGGGAAGGGAGAAGAAGGGCTGGCAAGACAGTGAGAGCAGAGAGCTTGTGACTTCACTCCCCCAGGCAGAGGGAAGAGTGACTAAGCCGGACGCTCCATCCAGGCAGGAAAACCGTCCAAGCTTGCTCATTTCCCATCAGCCTCGCACCTGCTGGGATCTCCTGGCTGGCATGGACTCTGTACAGTCACCTGGTGTCCCCAGCACAGGACACCCTGGGGCCTTTTTCCTACTCAGTCAGATGCCAGAGGGTGTGGCCGTCATCCAGTTACAGACGGAGCTAATAACAAAGTCACTCTGCCTTTCATGTGTGCAGCACTTCAAGCATTTCTAAATGCTTGCACGCCACTAAGAGATCTTGCATAAGCACAGGGTCAAGTCCTTTTGATTTATTCAATAAGACACAAACCAACTTAGAAAGTGAAAACTCTGACTTTTTGGCATGCACTTGGTGCTGCTCCACATTTACTGCTGGCCTGTCCCTGTCCCTCCTTGTCTTTGTCACTTAGCTGTGGCCCTTCTTGCAGGAAGACTTCTGGAATTGTCATATTCCCACCTCTTTCTCCTTCCTCTGCTTTCTGCAGGTGACACTAAGGAAACTCATCTCAATGCATGCACAGGGAACAATGAAGATGTAGAGGATGTGCTATGACCATTGCAAACATAGAAAAATTAAGCTGGGGGCGGGGCACAGTGGCTCACGCCTGTAATCCCAGCACTTTGGGAGGACAAGGCGAGCAGATCACTTGAAGTCAGGAGTTCAAGACCAGCCTGGCCAACATGGTGAAACCCTGTCTCTACTAAAAATACAAAAATTAGCCAGGCATGGTGGCACACACCTGTAGTCCCAGCTACTCAGTAATCTGACTCTGGAGAATCACCTGAACCCGGGAGACAGGGGTTGCAATGAGCCAAGATTGCGCCACTGCACTCCAGCCTGGGAGACAGAGTGAGACCCTGTCTTAAAAAAAAAAAAAAATAAGCTGGGGGTGCAGAAGCATCCTTCGGGCCCAGATCCAGAAAAGTTCCCCTGCCCCATCTTCCTTCCTCTGAGGAGCTCACCAACTACTGGATAATTCAGGTGAGACAGAGGTGAAGTGGTGTTGCTCTTGTTACCATATCCAATTCAAAACAGCCTCAGCTAGCAGCAGACTGCTTGTATTTATCAGGAAATGCTGGTCCCCTTGCTTTACCACCTGGTTATTCAAACATCTAGAGCAACAATTTCCATACACTCCATTAGGAATCCTCCTCAATTCAAATAAGCTGCTGCTAGAGATCCTTTTTCCGTGAGCTGGAGGTTTGGTTGAAGATTATCAAGTCTTCCAGGAAAGAAAGGGCAAGTGATGATGGGTTCATACGAATGTCCCAAACTTGCTCCCATTCTATAGTTAAATGCTAGGTGAAGGCTAAGTCTACAACAGGCTAAATAATTAATCTTCAAATTAAGGTTTCTATGGCTCTCTTTGGTCTGCAGAGTGCATGATGATCTAGGAACTGTCAAAGTGAATTGTTCATGCCTGGTGGACACCTCAGCACCAGTCTTGGATTCCCTAAATCTAATTAGCCTGTGGAATATCCAAATAACTCAAGCAGAAATTTATTGACTTAACAAACACTTTTGTGAGTAGCTTTTGCAGGCCACAGATTGTGCTAGCCTTTGATCATGGGAATTCCTGAATCATTTCTCATCTGGGTCTTCCTAAGAAGACGTGGCTCTAAGAAGCTCTTAACCTCTTAAATCATCCTAGGTCTCCCTAGAAACTCAAATTCTTCAGCTACGACTCCCCCCACCTGGGTAAGACTCTCCCTCGGAAAGCCACAAAGAGAAGGAGGAGGACCTGGAATCCCTTTTTCCCTTGAGCCAACTCCCCACACTGAGCTCCTGAGAGCCCCTGAAGAAGCCTCTCTTGGCTGTGACTGCATCCTGGGTTCTGCTTCCTTTGGGAGGATCTGGTTTAATGACCTGCCTCTGGGACTTCACAAAGGGGCAGTCACTGCTTCACAGTATTATGGAGGCCGCATGTTCTTTCCCTCTGCTGATGTTGTTTCAGGTGTTTCTAGGAGGGCATTACCTTCATTCAACATTCCCGATGGCTTCAGTTATCCACTGCTGTATAACAAACTACCCCAAAACTCAGTGGCTTAAAACAAAGATTTATTATTTCTCACAATTCTGGGGGTTGGCTGGGCTCAGCTGAGCAGTTCTTCGGCTCTGTACTGAGTTGCTCAAGGTCACTTGTGTGGCTGCATTTAGTTGGGAGCTTTAGTTGGAATTTAGATGGAACACACAAGATGGCTTCACTTACATGTCTGGCACCTCAGCTGGGGTGGCTTGAGGAGCAGGGAGCTGGTTGAGCGCTCCCTCTCCACAGAGTCTCTCATCATTTAGCAGTCTGGCTTGAGCTTACTTACACGGTGGCTGAATCCCAATAGGCCAAATAGACATTCTCAAGCTTTGTAAAGCGGGAGCCTGGAACTGGCAGAGCATCACTTCTTTTTTTTTTTTTTTTTTTTTTGAGATAGGGTCTCACTCTGTCACCCAGGCTGGAGTTCAGTGGTGCAATCTTGGCTTACCGCAACCTCCACCTCTTGGGTTCCAGCGATTCTCCCACCTCAGCCTCCCGAGTAGCTGGGACTACAGGTGCAGGCCATGATGCCCCGCTAATATTTGTGTTTTGGGGATTTTTTGTTTTGTAGAGACAGGGTTTTGCCATGAACTCCCAGGTTCAAGTGATTCACCTGCCTCAGCCTCTCAAAGTGTTGGGATTACAGGCAAGAGCCACCACGTCCGGCCTTTTTTCTCATTCTTTCAGTCAAATCAAGTAACAAAATCACTTCTGGTTCAAAGAAAGGGGAGACAGACTCCACCTCTTGATGGGAGGAGTGGCATGAGGGAGGAATTGTTGGCGCCATCTTTGAAAACAATTTATTACACTAATGAGAGAAAAGAATTCAGCAAAGGATCAATGTTGTGTGGCTCAGATGACATACAATTGCTATGTTTTTAATGTTAACATTTTCTCATGTGGATCCTTGCAGGGTGTCAAGCAGAAGCAAGCAGAACTCCATTTTATTGGCTACAGTATATTCTCCTTAAAACTAAAGCCCATCAAAATGAAACAATAATGACAGAAAGCAGATCAGCAGTTGCCTGGAGCTGAGGGTGGAGAGGATGGTTGACAGCAAAGAGACATGAGAGAACTTTTTGGGATGACAGAAACATTCTATATCTTGAATATGATGGTGGTCACATAGGCATATACATTTGTCAAAACTCACTGTTCACTTAAAACAGTGCTCAATGTTCTCATTTATTTGTGGGATCTAAAAATCAAAACAATTGAATTCATGAGCATAGAGTAGAAGATGGTGACCAGAGGCTGGGAAGGGTGGTGGGGTGGCAAGGTGAGGAGAGGTAGGGATAATAAATGGGTACCAAAAAAAATAGAAAGAATGAATTAAGGCCGGGCACGGTGGCTCATGCCTGTAATCTCAGCACTTTGGGAGGCAGAGGCGGGCGAATCACCTGAGGTCGGGAGTTCAAGACCAGCCTGACCAACGTGGAGAAACCCCGTCTCTACTAAAAATACAAAATTAGCTGAGCATGGTGGTGCATGCCTGTCATCCCAGCTACTCAGGAGGCTGAGGCAGGAGAATCGCTTGAACCTGGGAAACGGAGGTTGCGGTGAGCCGAGATCACGCCATTGCCCTCCAGCCTGGGCAACAAGAGCGAAACTCCATCTCAAAAAAAAAAAAAAAAAAGAATGAATGAATGAATTAAAACCTAGTATCTGATAGCACAACAGGGAGACTACAGTTAATAATAATTTAATTGTACATTTCAAAAAATAACTAAAAGAATATAATTGGATTGTTTGTAACACAGAGGATAAATGCTTGAGGGGATGGATACCCGGTTTTCCATGGTTTAATTATTATGCATTGCATGCCAGTACCAAAATAGCTCATGTATCCCATAAATATATACACCTACTATGTACCCACAAAAATTTTTAAAAATAAAGTAAAAAATAAAACAGTGCTCTGAGCCTGACCCTACCAGTCCAATTTATTGTATGTAAATTCTACCTCAATGGAATTGTTTCAAAAAAAGTAAAACCTACCTAGTATGAATTTTCAGAAAGGCTAAAAATGTGAAGTGGAGTTAAATAAAGCTGGTGTTAGGGGTATACTATATTTACAAACAATAGCAAATTCCTTTGGGGAGGGAAAGGAAGCAAAAAGCCAAAGGGGATGTTTTGTTAGTACCAAAGCAGGATGCGAGTTAATGTGACCATGTCCCCCTGCTGCAATTGTACTTACAAAACGTTTGCTATCATTTTCAGAATGCTGAGTAGCTGATTTTTGGTATTCTTGGTATTTTATAGATTATTAAAGAGTGGCTACATCCTGCTTCCTTGGGTGCGGGAAGAGCTGGGGTCACCTCAAAGCAGACACAAACAAAAAATGTGGGGGTCACTTGTGTTAGATCATTTGGGATTAAACTAGAGCCAACATTGGAGAAAACTAATTGGTGACCTTTACAGATGTCTCCAGGGATTTCCTAGCTTCAGGAGTCAAGGTCCTGCAAAGCAGGTAATCCCAGTCAAGTATGTACATTATGTGCAAGATCCTGCAAAGCAGGTAATCCCAGTTAAGTATGTATGTTATGTGGGGTCTGAACAGTGTCAAGAAGTGTCAAGGGGCTGGGCGTGGTGGCTCACGCCTGTAATCCCAGCACTTTGGGAGGCCGAGGCAGGCGGATCACCGGAGGTCAGGAGTTTGAGACCAGCCTGACCAACATGGTGAAAACCCTGTCTGTACTAAAAATACAAAAATTAGCTGGGCGTGGTGGTGGGCGCCTGTAATCCCAGCTACTCAGAAGGCCAGGGCAGGAGAATCGCTTGAACCTGCCTCAGGTTTTAGGCGAGGTTTTAGTGAGCAGAGATTGCGCCATTATACTCCAGCCCGGGTGACAAGAGTGAAACTCCATCTCAAAAAAACAAACAAACAAAAAAGAAGTGTCAAGGGAGTGAGGTGCATAGAAGGGGGTGTGCAGGTCTATCTGTAAAGTGTATCCCATCTGGACTCATGGAGACCGTGCCAGGGATTACCGAGCTCTGAAATTCAGTTCTGGGGAAAGAAACTGTCTTGGGAAGGCAGGAGAGATAGTAATATTTAGGTTTTCTTGAGGAGTACAGAAGCTGTCCAATAATGCCCATGTTGGGAAAGCAATATACTTGCCCAAGAAATGAGAAGGGACAGGGATCTTCCCACGGGAGAGAAGAGTGGCTGTGGGGACAAGAGGGCATCACTCAGGGAGCCCGTGGTTGAGAAGGACAGCCCTTGGTCTCCTGTGTTCACTACATACACCAAGTTGTTGGACCCACATCAGCAATGAATTCAACTTATTGCAGCCATATCAGCAACGCACAATTAACACAGGTCACTGGTTTTGTATTACATTGTAATCTTAGTTTCCATCAGAATTCTACTTGAGCTCTCAATTGATAGAGTCATGCTCAGAGCAAACCCTCTGTAGAGCTACATTTTCCAGTGTAATAGATAAAACACACACACCATCAAGGAAGGAAGGACGGGTCCTCGCTATGACAGCTTTCCAGCTTTGCTCTGCTCGACAAAGGGCTCCCTGTGAATGGTCTGTTTCTCCCTAATGTAATTTCCTCATCAATGAATGTCCTTACCCCTCTCCCCCATAAAAACATAATTATGGACACACATTTCTTGGGAAATTGTTCTGCTGAAGGGATGTTGAAAACAATCCGATTGAATACTAACATATTGATTACCACTAGATTATAAATTATTGACAAGGTCTTAACTTTTCCCTTTCTAAAGACTTTTGGGTTAGGATATTTTAGCCTTAAGCCATTTCAGGCAATGGTAATCAGAAAACTCCTCCTCAACAATATCATGGAAGGAAAAGTCCTCACAGGATTAGCATTCTTCAAAGGAAGCTCTGTGTGAGACGAGGCAATCTTACTTGCCCCTTGTAAGATCCAAGAAAACTCATAAACAGCATCCCCCGGAGGGCGTGGGAGCACTTCAGAGGCATGGATTTGATTTTATAGTAGCTGCAACCCCTATGGCCTCCTGAACACATTCATCACCAATGTGTTTCTCCTTCTTTTATGCTTCTTAATTCTCAAAATCCTCAAAATAACATTCAATGTTCTGGTCAATGTTCTTGGTTCAGTGTCTCAAGAGCATCCTCAAAAGTAAAGGCCCAGGATAAAAATCTCATCTGCAGAGATTTTCACACGATACTTCTGGTTTCCAAAGTGCGTATGAACTGTGAAGTGACTCAGAAATACCAACGGCTAATCCTGATAGAGTCCAGAGGGAAAGGATGACTTCATCTGAAGCTGACCCAAGGAGGAAGGCACATCTGTCATCTCCTTGACAGTGTTCCAGGCTGAGCACGAGCTCCTGGAAGCGGCTGTGTGTCAAGGCTCTGCTCACATCTGGCTCCTCATCTGTGAGCCTTCTTGGCCCAGACTCAGGGGACAGGAAGGGAGGGGAGGGAGAGGAAAGCCAGGAGGACTTCAGGCACCTCTCCCCAAACTGAAATAGCAACTGGCTATCCCTGGGGGAAAGTGGCTCTGAGAGAGTGCTCCTAGCACCTCCCTCACCTGCATCTGAGGAAACTATGCCAGTCATCCCTCACCTCTCCTAGATGGGCCCTTCTGAAGCCCACCTGGAAACCCCATAGTCACTTATTCTCTGGACATGGTCCCCCTCCACGGCCACTCTAGGACTAAAGAGCACCAGCTGTTCTGTGGTTGCTGGGATGCTCTGCAGCTGTAATTACAAACTAATGTGCACTTTGGCTTCCATTTCCTGATCTTGCTGAATGATTCTGGCTGTCTGGAAAAGCAAAATGCTTCACCTTCCAGCACTAACACTGACAACCTTGCCATAAGGTATGTATCAGTCAGAGTTCTTAGTGGCAAATGAAAGAATCCACAGTACAAGATTAAGTAGCAAACAGATTCATAGAAGGATACTGTGTGGCTCACAGGATTTCCAGAAAGGCCAGCAAATCAGGCCTGAAGGCTCTACAGCCTGGAACAATACCCAGATCATCCTCCCACCACTGCTGAGTGCAGGTGCACACTTTAGATACTGAGATGGGACACCACAGCCAGGACCTCTGCCCCTGCTGCCCCTGAGATCTCAGTGACTGCTCCACAGAGCCCCTGGGAGAGGAATCCTCCAGGGGCCTTCTCACTAAGGTGCATATGATGGTGGGGAGGCCCAGGTCAAGTGTTTGTGTCCTAGCTGCAAGAGATACTGGGAAACGCAGCATGGCCTGGAAGTGCCTAAAAATAGGAAAGGAATTTATTCAAAAGATATTAAGCATACGCAAATATGACACATGCTTATTCTACATGGCTCCCTCATTTTAGTTACTGTGGCCAAAAAATAGGCATATATATATTATATATAATATACAATATAATAGGGATATATATATTTAATCTGCTACTTGTCTTTTAAAAAGGTGAGATGGTGCAGCTGGAGTGTACTGGCTTCCTACTGCTGATGTAACAACTTATCACAAACTCAGTAGCTTAAAACAGCACAAATTTATTCTCTTGTAGTTCTGGAGGTCAGAATTTTAAAATCAGTTTTGCTAGGCCAAATCCAAGGTGTGGGCAAGCTGGCATTCCTTCTGGAGGTTCTAGGAGAATGTTTCCTTGTCTTTTCATCTCCTTGGGGCCTTCTGCATTCCTTGGCTCCTGGCCCCTTCCTTGCATGGCCCCTCTTGTTTCAGTCATCACATCTCCTATTACTCTCTCAGATCCTCCTGCCTCCCTCTTATAAGGACCCTTGAGATTACATTGGCCCCACCCAGATAATTCAGGATGAGCCCCCTCACCTCAAGGTCTTTGACTCAATCACACCTGCACAGTCCCCTATATGGTAACATGGTCACAGGTTCCAGAGATTCAGGGTGTGGACATATTCGGGGTCATTATTCAGCCTGCCCTGGTGTGTCTCTAAGGAAGGCCAGCTGGCTGTCTACACAAAGGCCCTGAGACCAGAGTTCCTCTGGTGAGTTTACCAGAGTCTGGGCTTCATCCTTGCCAGTATCTCAGACTTGGAGATGTTAGCTTGGAACCACTAGATACCGGCGACATTGTCGGATAAACTGGAATTCCAATGAATTCATTTATTCCTTTTTATCAGGCACTATTCCTTTCCAGAAGGGTCTGCCTGGTGTTTGAACACCTGTGTGGCCAAATGAACAATCAGAATGCTGTTCGGTGAACATGAACATGAACATGAACTTGGCGGTGGGTGTTGCCAAGGGGTGTTTCACCCAGGTAGCAGGGAAGACAGTGAGCCATCCTGACTGACAACAGAACTCACCTTTCTACAGGCCAGATTCTGCATTTTTCCCTAAGCAGAGCTGGATACAACTCCCAAACTCTAGCTTTTTCCCTCTTGTACCATGAGCCAGGATCCTAGAATCATCCTCAATTCCTCCCTCACACTCCACATTCAATCCAACACCAAGTGCCATCTTTTCTTCCTAAGTATCTCCCATATTCAACCACAGCTTAAAATCTCCTCTCCCACACCCTACTCCAAGCCGTCTCACCTGGATCACTGTAACAGCCTCCAAATGGGCCTTCCCGCCCCTACTTTTGGTCCCCTCTGTCAAATTCTCTACCCAGCAGCCAGACTGAGCTTTAATCTAATCATGTCACTTCCTCATTTAAAGCTCTTCAATGGCTTTACAGTACCATTAGGGTAAAGCCTCCTGTGTTAGTTCAGATCCTCCCAGAAGCAGACACAGAGTACAGTGGCGCAATCTCGGCTCACTGCAACCTCTGCCTCCTGGGTTCAAGTGATTCTCCTGCCTTAGCCTCCTCAGTAGCTGGGACTACAGGTGTGTGCCACCACGCCTGCATGCAAGGGTTTTTTCTGGGGAAATTGTGACAGAAATGTGGAAGGGAGCTGCAGGAGTCTGGGAGACCCATCCAGTGTGATGTGAGTCTGGCCCCACAGGAAGGGGAAGGTGAGAGTGGAGGGTAGACGTAGTCTGCCGACCCTGAAGTCTAAGGAAAGTTCAGCAAACCACCATGGAATCCTTGAGCCAAAGCTAGCGACAAAGGATTTCTGTCCCTAGGGGAAGCCTGGCTTTGGTGTGAGTGGCAGGAGCCCCTGGTCAATTTTGCTGCCCAGAGTTAGAGGTCTACAAGGTGCGTTCCCCTGGCCACCATGCTCCCAATCCTCATCTCATCTCTGGCCCACCTCTTCCGTTCCTGCTGTGCCAACCCAACTTACTCTTTCCCATATGTGAGTCTTTGTAAAGGCTGTTTGCTGTGCCCGAATTACTCATCTTCTCACCTCCCCTGTCCCCTTTCCCTTCCCCCAACTCACTGATACTTCAGCTGAAACATCACTTCCTCCAGGAGACTACCCCATCCGTCTCCCACGTGCTCCCACAGCCTGGATCCTTCTCCATCCACATTCCTCATCTCCTGTGTTTAATGCCTAACTCCATCCTCAGATGTGAGACTTTAGCAGGCAGGAACTGTGACTATTTTATCCACTGCCATATCCCCAAAGCCTGGCATATAATAAGTGCTCAGTAAAATATTCATTGTTGAGCCAGCAAGGTCACCTGAGTCTGGCAGATGCAAGGAAAGAATGTCACAGTTTTGAGAGTAGTCAACCATGGAGGCTCGGAAAAGGGAAGCATGGAGGCAAACTGGCAGAGTCCATCCAGGCATTAGCAGTCGGTTGAGCTCAACATCATGAACGCTGATTTGTGCCATAGAGCATCTACTATGTGCTAGGTGCTGGTAGCTAACCAATGAATAGAACCTCTTAAAGTGTAATATGGCACGGGTACGACTAGCTGGGGCCATGGTCGCAGGTGGTAAAGGAATTTACCAAGACAGTTGTAGGTAAAGAAAGGCGGATTATAAGAGGAAGTATGAAAATACCTTGCAACGTTGCAATGGGCAGCACAGCAGAGAAGCGTCTGTCTGCCAAGAGGTGGGGGCCTGGAGGGAAATTTTACAGGGCCGTGCTGGAGGGGGCTATGTGCTGAATGAGGACATTGTGCCCCCAGAACAGGCCATTGTTTGTGATTCTGATTTGTGTTTCTCAGAATGATTGTTCATTGTTCTTCCCCACCTGGGGCCCCTTCCTCTTGTTGCTTACTTATCTAATCAGGACTTCACCTAAGGAATTGTGTAGTCAGTCTAGGGGAGAGACAATGCTGTCAGCCTACTAAAAACCAACTCTTCCAGCAGGTGTATGTGCACCTATTGTTAAAGGTGATGGCAATAATATGTAACTGATATTACAACAGTTGGTCTGATGTGGCAAAGACACTGACAAATTTGAACAGATGCCAGTCATTAATAACTGGTGTAGCCATGGGGAAGATTCCAGCTGAGTATTGGCTGACTGAATGCAGGCAGAGAGCCGTGCCATTTCCACTGGAATCTACCTCTTGCCATACTTGTTCTGACCCATGACCACCAAGGAAAGCCCCCGGCGCCCTGCCCCTGCCTGTTTGGTTGGTCATGCGGACACAAATATCTGATCTTATTTCTCATTTTAAGTGATGGCTTTATGCATCATTCTCTTGTGAGCTTCTTGAGTCCCCGCACCACAGAGCCATGGACAAAATAGAGTTTCTCGGCATGCAAGACCAAGGTCTGAAACCTGGGCCCTGGTACCTACCTTCTTTAGGGCCAGGCCAACTTGTGAGCCCCCTTCCTACAACCCCAGACCTCTCTGTGCTGACAGACAGCTCTCTTTGATGGCTGCCATTGGCACTGGGGAGTTGATACTTGAATGGGGGCGGGTGGGGTGGCCTCTCAGACTGTAGGCTCGGGAGTAGCCCTTCCAAGAGGCTGACCCTGATAGTTGAGTCAAACTGGTGACAGAATTGATGTGAGAGCTTGACAGCAGACCTAGGGCAGATAGCTAGGGGCTGCTAACCAGAGACTTAGTAATTAGCATGCAAATTGAGCAAGAAGGTGATCAAAGCTGGGAAGTGGAGGAAATTAGATGTCTGCTTCTGCCGGCATTCTCATACACGCTGAAGAGGCAGTAGTTTGTCCAGCTGTGTGTCTTAAAGATACCATCTGTGTCAGTCTCAGAGGTGCCAGGAGCCCCTCTCCCAATTACCTGTCATCTCTGCATCAAATTCTCCAAAGTGGATTTTGTTGTGGTTGTTGTTGTTGTTGTTTTGAGATGGAGTCTCGCTCTGTCGCCGAGGCTGGAGTGCAATGGTGCGGTCTCGGCTCACTGCAACTTCCGCCTCCCGGGTTCAAGTGATTCTCCTGCCTCAGTCTCCCAAGTAGCTGGGATTACAGGCGCCCGCCACCGTGCCTGGCTAATTTTTGTATTTTTAGTAGAGACAGGGTTTCACCATCTTGGCCAGGCTGGTCTTGAACTCCTGACCTCGTGATCCACCCGCCTCACCCTCCCAAAGTGCTGGGATTACAGGCGTGAGACACTGCGCCCGGCCTCCAAAGTGGATTTTTGCTCAATATGTTCTATTCCCAGCTGTCTCAGACATGGGTGGGGTAATGACTGATTCCTAAATCCGTTGACCTCAGCTTTTTTTTTGACACAGGGTTTCCCTCTGTCGCCCAGGCTGGAGTGCAGTGGTGCAATCACATCTCACTGCAGCCTCAACCTCCTGGGCTCAAGCAATTCTCCCAGCTCAGCCTCCTGAATAGCTGGATCTGCAGGCCCGCACCACCATGCGTAGCTACATTATTTATTTATTTTGTAGAGATGGGGTCTCCCTATGTTGCTCAGGCTGGTCTCATACTCCTGGGCTCAAGCGATCCTCCCGCCTCGGGCTCCCAAAATGCTGGGATTTACAGGCATGAGCCGCCAGGCCCGGTGACCTCAGCTTTTACCCAGCACCATCAAAGCAGGACGCACTGCACAAACCTGAACATTAGCTGTTGTCTAGCTGCCGGAGTATGCCTGGGGAACAGTCACAGTTGTTGCAGCTACACAGCATGTGTGCGTTTGTGAGTCTGGAGTTGGAGTTGAGTGAGACCCTGATACTAGGGAAAGAGACGGAAAGCCAGACTCTTACTTAAGGGCTTCTATCGCAGGAGGGAAGATTTCTTCCAAGAGCTCAGTGCAATAAATGAAAGAAATTTAGAAGGCTGCCAGGCTCAGGGCAGCCCCGGAGCATCAGAAGTAGGAGGCTGAGGGTCGGGAATGGGGAGCAGGGGTTAGAACTGAGGAAGCAGGGGTTAGAACTGAGGGGTTGCTGAAGACACCACCACGTTTCAGAACTCAGGATAGGGCCTGCCTGGGGACTCGCACAGAGGAGAAGGAACCGGTAGTCTAAAATACTAAAACGTGTGGAATTCCTGCATGGAGGCTTCCTACTGGGAGTGTAAAATTTCTGTGAGAACTGTAAGAAGTAAGCAAACAGCATCAGAGGACATGAGCCCCGTGGAAAGTGCCTCAAAGTGTGGTTTGAGGATTACCCGCCTGAGACTCCAAAGAGGTGTTTGCCAAAAAAGGCAGATTCTTGGGCCACACCCGGCTCTATGGAGTGGGAAGCGCTGAGGGTGGGGCCTGGGCGCCTGCTCTCAGAACTGGTGCCGCTGAAAGCTTGCAGAGCCCAAACGCTGCGAGGAGGTCGCACCAGCAAGTGAGGAAGCAGAAGGGATGGCTTCCTGCGCCTCCCACACAATTTTCAACTTTTCAGGAAGTACCATAGGAGAAGTCAAGGTAGATGAATACGTTTTTCTTTGGTCCCTAGCATTTTTCTTTTAAAATTTTATTTTCCTTTTGAAAAAGAATGTGAGAACAAAGTCTGAGAACGAATGTGAGAACGAATCTCGAAACGTGAGAAAAAGGCCTTCTTCCCCCCCTCCACCTCCCCTGCGTGGTCCTTGGGTGCTCTGTGAACGGTGACCCCACCCTCACAGGGACCCTGACTCCTGAGGGGTCACCACTCATATCCTGTGAGAGACTACGCTATTCCCTGATTCAGCGGGGTCTCCAGGTCTGAACGCCCAAGGCCAACACAGAGGCCTAAAAATAGAGCCCGGGAGGCCCAGTCAAACCGGAAGAGAGCCAGAGGCCTCCCTGGAGTCCCGAAGACGATCTGAACCAAGGAGCCCAGCGCCCTCTAGCGGGAGACAAGCTGCTTCGCGGCCCTGGTCTCCGGTCAGAGGCACTGGGCTGGGGCTGAGCACTCCGAGGCGGAAACCAAAGGGTGTGCCCCTGGGGACACCGCCTCAAGACCCCTGACTGAGGCTCCAAAAGGAAAAATTGTGCCACTTGTGTTTTACGAACTTCAACGTAATTGTAGGATACATTGCTGTAATGTATAATGTTGTAATAATGATTACCTTCTATAACCACAGATTTTTATATTTATTTATTTATTTATTTTTGAGACAGAGTCTTGATCTGCCACCCAGTCTGGAGTGCAGTGGCACGATCTCAGCTCACTGCAACCTCCGCCTCCCGGGTTCAAGCAATTCTCTGCCTCAGCCTCCTGAGTAGCTGGAATTACAGGCGCCTGCCACCATGCCCAGCTAATTTTTGTATTTTTTGTAGAGACGGAGTTTCACCATCTTGGCCAGGCTGCTCTTGAATTCCTGACCTCGTGATCCACCCGCCTCGGCCTCCCAAAGTGCTGAGATTACAGGCGTCAGCCACCGCGCCTGGCCGACTTTTATTTCTTTACTTATTTACTTATTTATTTATTTTCTGAGATGGGGTCTTGCTCTGTCGCCCAGGCTGGAGTGCAATGGCGTGATCTCAGCTCACTGCAACCTCTGCCTACTGGGTTCAAGTGATTCTCCTGCCTCAGCCTCCCCAGTAGCTGGGATTACAGGCACGCACCACCATGCCCGGCTAATTTTTGTATTTTTATTAGAGATAGGATTTCACCATGTTGGCCAGGCTGGTCTCAAACTCTTGACCTCAGGTGATCCACCCTCCTTGGCCTTCCAAAGTGCTGAGATTACAGGCGTGAGCCACTGCCCCTGGCCTAGCATCACAGACTTTAGACCCTTTTCATTACTTCTCAGTGAGACCAAGGTTCCTATCACTAAATTCACATGCACATAACATATAACCTGGAAGGGTACCCAAGCACCTCCGACAGCTGCACCAAGATTCCATCTGGGAAAGCTGTTCTCTGGGGGAACATACAACTTTGGGATGGGTGCTCAGGAGCCTTAATAGCAGAAAAGGACCCCTTGCAAGTCAGAAAATTTGGCTGAATCATTCCAGGCACTCTCTGAGGGGGCAGATGTCTCTGCTGGCTAATTGTTCCCCCACCTGAAGACATCAACTCAGTTTTCCCTAAGTCAGAGAGAAAACATACTCCTACTGTACATATTTCGAGAAAGGAAATATACAGCTGAACACTGAAGTGCCCAGTTAGGCTTTGAAGAAAAGGATTGTGGCCGAAAGACACCAGGCTTTTAATAAAAGCTAAAAAGCAAAAGTGTATACCACCTCACACCCATGCGGATGGTGACTATTAAAAAACTAAAGAAAGAAAGAAAATAAGTGTTGGTGAGGATGGAGAAATTGGAACTCTTGTCCTCTGTTAATGGAAACGTAGAATGGTACAGCTGCTGTGGAAAGCAGTATGTCAGTTCCTCAAAAAATTAAAAATGGAATGACCATTCAATTCGGCAATTCCACTTCTTTTTCTTTTTTTTTTTTTTTTGAGACGGAGTCTCGCTTTGTTGCCCAGGCTGGAGTGCAGTGGCACAATCTTGGCTCACTGCAACCTCTGCCTACCAGGTTCAAACGATTCCCCTGCTTCAGCCTCCTGAGTAGCTGGGATTACAGGCACCTGCCACCACGCCCGGCTAATTTTTGTATTTTAGTAGAGACGGGGTTTCACCATGTTGGCAAGGCTGGTCTCAAACTCCTGACCTCATGTGATCCGCCTGCCTCGGCCTCCCAAAGCACTGGGATTACAGGCGTGAGCCACTGCGCCCGGCCCCAATTCCACTTCTGAGTGTGTAACTACAAAAATTGAAAGCACAGTCTCAAAGAGATAGCTGCACACCTTTGTTCATAGCAGCATCATTCCGAATAGCCAAAAGGTGGGGGCAACACAAATGTCCCTCAACAGAACAACAGATCACCAAAATGTGGTGTATACCCACAAAGGAATATGATTTGCCCTTTAAAAGGATGGAAATTGAGCCGGGCATGGTGGCTCATGCCTGTAATCCCAGCACTTTGGGAGGCTGAGGTGGGTGGATCCCTGAGGTCAGGAGTTCGAGACCAGCCTGGCCAACATAGTGAAACCTTGTCTCTACTAAAAATACAAAAATTTAGCTGGGCATGGTGGCGGCGCCTGTAATCCCAGCTACTCAGGAGGCTGAGGCAGGAGAATCGCTTGAATCTGGGAGGCGGAGGTTACGGTGAGCCGAGATCATGCCATTGCACTCCAGCCTGGGCGACAAGAGCAAAACTCTGTCTCAAAAAAAAAAAAAAGATGGAAATTCTGCTGGCACGGTGACTCACATCTGTAATCCCAACACTTTGGGAGGCCAAGGTGAATGGATCATGAGGTCAGGAGTTCAAGACCAGCCTGCCTAACATGGTGAAAGCCCGTCTCTACTCAAAATACAAAAATTAGCCGGGCATGGTGACATGAGGCAGGATAATCGCTTGAATCTGGGAGGTGGAGGCTGTGGTGAGCCAAGATTGTGTCACTGTACTCCAGTCTGGGCAACAGAGCAAGACTCTGTCTCAAAAAGAAAAAAAAAAAGGATGGAAATTCTGACAAATCCTACAACACAGATGAACCTTGAGAACACATTACACTAAGTAATTTAGGTCAGACACAAAAAGATAAATACTGTGTGAGCCCACTTATATGACATACCTAGTCATGAAAATCATAGAGACAGACAGCAGAATGATGGCTGCCAGGGGCTGGGGGGAAGAGAATGGGAGTTATTGTTCAATGGGGATGGAGTTTCAGTTATGCAAGATGAAAGGTTCTGGAGAACTTTGAGTGATAATGATGTGTCAGTGTAGGTTCACTGATCATAACGAGTGCAGCACTCTGGTGGAAGATGTCAAGCAGGGGATCTGTGCACCTGTGGGGATAGTGGGCACATGGGAACTCTGTACTCTGCTCTCAATTTTTCTGTGAACCTAAAACTGTTCCTTTAAAAGTTGTGACACTAAACTGCTCTTTAAAAAGTTTAATAATTTGTCTGGGCGTGGTGGCTCACACCTGTAATCTCAGCACTTTGGGAGGCTGAGGCAGGCAGATTACCTGAGATCAGGAGTTCGAGACCAGCCTGACCAACATGGAGAAACCTTGTCGCTACTAAAAATACAAAAAATTAGCAGGGAGTGGTGGCGCATGCCTGTAATCCCAGCTACTTGGGAGGCTGAGGCAGGAGAATTGCTTGAACCCGGGAGGCGGAGGTTGCGGTGAGCTGAGATTGCACCATCGCATTCTAGTCTGGGCAACAAGAGCAAAACCCTGTCTCAAAAAAAAAAAATGTTTAATAATTTTCTTTAAAAAGTTCTAGAGATGGATGGTGGTGATGGCTGCACAATAATGTAAATTTCCTTAATACTATTAAAACTGTACACTTAAAATGGTTATGATAGTAAATTTTATGTGTATTTTATCACAATTAAAATTTTAAAATAAATAAAGTAAAAAACAAAAGGCGGAGGGACAGATAGGCTAGAAAGGGACTGTAATTTAATAACCAGAGAGTACTGCGCATTTAGAAATGTCATCAATAGGAGTTATAGTCATTTGGGGATATATATTTTTAAGTATTTTATATTAACATGAAATCATTTGGAATTTCAAAAACAATTTTAAATAAAAGTACACAAGAAAGAATGCTTATCAGACAAAGTCAGGGAGGATGGCACAGGCAGAAAGAGGAAAGCAAAGGCAAATAAACATTTTAGGACCTTTGTTCTGAAGGGATTATTACTGGGGGCCTAGAGGAGAAAGTTGGGACAGAAGGAAGATGGTTCAAAGAAGGAGGGAACTCAGCCCTCCCCTAGGATCCAGGTGAATCACTGTTCCTGTTCTGAATCATCCAGGCAGGAATGTGGTTATTTTGTTGTTGTTGTTTTGAGACAGGGTCCCACTCTGTCTCCCAGGCCGGAGTGCAACCTCCACTCCACTGCTCACTGCAGCCTCTGCCTCCCGGGTTCAAGCAATCCTCCTGCCTAAGCCTCCCGAGTAGCTGGGATTACAGTCACGTGCCACCATGCTCGGCTAATTTTTGTATTTCTTGGTAGAGATGGAGTTTCACCATTGGTCAGACTAGTCTTGAACTCCTGACCTCAGGTGATTCGCCTGCCTCAGCCTCCCCAAAGTTCTGGAATTACAGGTGTGAGCCCTGTGCCCGGCCTAAAGTGTTGTTGTTTTTTTTTTTAGGCTTGGAAATTGTGGTGAAAGAAGCTACGAATGAGATAAATGTGTGTTCTTTCCACCCCTAAAAACAGTGTCACCACCACTCATCCTTGAAACCATCAGGTACAGGCAGGAGAGGACAACAAATTTGGAAAAAAAGAATGTGGAAATGGAGACACAGGCTTGACATCGTTTGTTTTTCACTTTCCAGCAGCAGGGAAACCTGTGAGCGACGTTCACGTCTAGTGTCCAGTGCCTTGCGTGGTCCCAATCACAAACCCCTAGCTCAGGGGCAGCGGGGCCATGAACTAGGGAGGCCGCCGTAATGACAGCCTGGCAGGAACCCTATGTCCAAACCAGAGGAGCCCCCTCAGAGCAACCTCCACAGGCAGTGCTGCTGTCAAGGAAATGCCAGAGCCGGGTGGTAGTTAACATGGTAAGAGGAGACTTCATTCAGGACCATTGCAGTAGGGGAAACAGGTCCTCAGTATAGAAGTGGGCTCAATTCAGAATACAGCATAAGCAACTGGGACTCTACAGGCAAAGAGCAAGGTGAGGCTGGGTGGGTGGAAAATTACATCAGGGGTAAGGGGTCCTAGTTCAACCAACTCTGAGAATATAGAAATAAACTCAGTTTCTCCCATTATAGCCTCATAACACACTTCTGACACCAGCTGTGGGGAGGATTTTCCCCACACCTCGAGCGAACAATCAATTCTGCAGTGGACCTCCACTTGGTCCTCCAACTGGGTATTCTCCAATTCAATTCTGACATTATCCACCTGAGTGTCAGATCCTGCAGGGTGAGGGATCAGTCTCCATGACTGCCCCCCGACTTTCAAAGCCAATTGGAAGCCCCAAGTTCTTTAACCTGTCCTTCAATGAACAGCTCTAAATTAAGCTATAAACTGAGGTTCCCATGGCTCCATCTTCAGGTTCCACTAATTTGCTGGAGCAGCTCACAGAACTCAGGGAAACATTATATTTACATTTATGGGTTTATGACTGTCAGGTCTCTGAGCCCAAGCTAAGCCATCATAACCCCTGTGACCTGCACGTATACATCCAGATGGCCTGAAACAACTAAAGAACCACAAAAGAAGTGAAATAGCCAGTTCCTGCCTTAACTGATGACATTCCACCATTATGATTTGTTCCTGTCCCACTCTAACTGATCAATTGACCTTGTGACATTCCTTCTCCTGGACAGTGAGTCTCAGGGGCTCCCCACCAAGCACCTTGTGACCCCTGCCCCTGCCTGCAAGAGAAAATCCCCTTTAACTGCAATTTTCCACTACCTACCCAAATCCTATAAACCTGCCCCACCCCTATCTCCCTTTGCTGACTCTCTTTTTGGACTCAGCCCACTTGCACCCAAGTGAAAATAAACAGCCTTGTTGCTCACACAAAGCCTGCTTGGTGGTCTCTTCACACAGACAAGTGTAACATTTGGTGCCGAAACCTGGGACGGGGGACTCCTTTGGGAGACCGGCCCCCTATCCTCACCCTCACTCCGTGAGGAGATCCACATATGACCTTGGGTCCTCAGACCAGCCCAAGGAATATCTTGCCAATTTCAAATCAGCTAAGTGGTCTCTTCACTCTCTTCTCCAGCCTCTCTTGCTACCCTTCAATCTCCCTATCCTTCCAATTCCAGTTCTTTTTCCTCTGTAGTAGAGACAAAGGAGACACATTTTATCTGTGAACTCAAAAACTCCAACGTCAGTCACGGATTTGGGAAGACAGTCTTCCCTTGGTGTCTGATCTCCATGGGGACGCCTGCCTTGATCATTCACCCACATTCCATTGGTGTCTGATCTCCGTGGGGACGCCTGCCTTGATCATTCACCCACACTCACTTGGTGGCAGGTCAATTATGGGGACGCCTGCTTTGGCTGCTCACCCACATTACAGCCCAGGGCTGCTCATCCCCCACCTCCCCCACCACTTCTCCATGTCTCTACCTTCCTCTTTAAACTTACCTCCTTCACTATGGGCAACCTTCCACCCTCCATTCCCCCTTCTTCTCCCTTAGCCTGTTTTCTTAAAAACCTAAAACCCCTTTGACTAACACCTGACCTAAAACCTAAATGTCCTATTTTCTTCTGTAATACCGCTTGGCCCCAATACAAACTCAAAAATAGTTCCAAGTGGCCGGAAAACAACACTTTCAATTTCTCCATCCTACGAGATCTAGATAATTTTTGTCGTAAAATGGGCAAGTGGTCTGAGGTGCCTGACGTCCAGGGATTCTTTACACATCGGTCCCTCCCTAGTCTCTGCTCTCAATGCAACTCATCCCAAATCTTTCTTCTTTCTCTCTCTTGTCTGTTCCTTCAGTCTCCACCCCAAGCTCTGAGTCCTCTGAATCCTTTTCTATGGACCCATCTGACCTCTCCCCTCCTCCCGAGGCTGCTCCTCGCCAGGCCAAGCCAGGTCCCAATTCTTCCTCAGCCTCCACTCCCCCACCCTATAATCCTTCTGTCACCTCCCCTCCTCACACCCAGTCTGACTTACAGTTTTGTTCCACGACTAGCCCTCCCCCACCTGCCCAACAATTTCCTCTTAGAGAGATGGCTGGAGCTGAAGACGTAGTCAAGGTTAATGCTCCATTTTCTTTATCCGACCTCTCCTAAATCAGTTAGCGTTTAGGCTCTTTTTCATCAAATATAAAAACTCAGCACAGTTAATGGCCCATTTGGCAACAACCCTCAGATGTTTTACTGCCCTAGACCCAGAGGGGCCAGAAGGCTGTCTTATTCTCAATATGCATTTTATTACCCAATCTGCTCCCGATATTAGAAAAAGCTGCAAAAATTAGATTCCGGCCCTCAAACCCCATAACAGGACTTAATTAACCTCGCCTTCAAGGTGTACAATAATAGAGAAGAGGCAGCCAAGCAGCAACATATTTCTGAGTTGCAATTACTTGTCTCTGCTGTGAGAGAAACTCCAGCCACATCTCCAGCACACAAGAACTTCAAAACGCCTAAACCACAATGGCCAGGCGTTCCTCCAGGACCTCCTGCCCCAGGATCTTGCTTCAAGTGCTGGAAATCTGGCCGCTGGGCCAAAGAATGCCTGCAGCCGGGGATTCCTCCTAAGCCATGTCCCATCTGTGCAGGCCCCACTGGAAATAGGACTGTCCAATTCACCTGGCAGCCACTCCCAGAGCCCCTGGAACTCTGGCCCAAGGCTCTCTGACTGACTCCTTCCCAGATTTTCTTGGCTTAGTGGCTGAAGACTGACGCTGCCCGATCGCCTTGGAAGCCTCCTGCACCATCACAGACACTTCAGGTAACTCTTACAGTGGAGCGTAAGCCCGTCCCCTTCTTAATCGATACGGAGGCTACCCACTCCACGTTACCTTCTTTTCAAGGGCCTGTTTCCCTTGCCTCCATAACTGTTGTGGGTATTGACGGCCAGGCTTCTAAACCTCTTAAAACTCCCCAACTCTGGTGCCAACTTAGACAACATTCTTTTATGCACTCCTTTTTGTTATCCCTACCTGCCCAGCTCCCTTATTAGGTCGAGGCATTTTAACGAAATTATCTGCTTCCCTGACTATTCCTGGGCTACAGCCACACCTCATTGTCACCCTTTTCCCCAGTTCAAAGCCTCCTTCGCATCCTCCCCTTGTGTCTCCCTACCTTAATCCACAAGTATGGGATACCTCTACTCCCTCCTTGGTGACCAATCATGCACCCCTTACCATCCCATTAAAACTTAATCACCCTTACCCTGCTCAATGCCAATATCCCATCCCACAGCATGCTTTAAAAGGGTTGAAGCCTGTAATCACCCGCCTGTTACAACATGGCCTCTTAAAGCCTACAAATTCTCCTTACAACTCCCCTATCCTACCAGTCCAGAAACCAGACAAGTCATACAGGTTGTTTCAGGATCTTCACTTTATTAATCAAATCGTCCTTCCCATCCATCCTATAGTGCCAAACCCTCCTATCTTCAATACCCCCTTTCACAACTCAGTATTCTGTTATCGACCTCAAAGACACCTTCTTTACTATCCTCTTGCATCCCTCCTCCCAGCCTCTTTCCGCCTTTACTTAGACTGACCCTGACACCCACCAATCCCAACAACTCACCTGGACTGTTCTGCCCCAAGGCTTCAGGGACAGCCCACACTACTTTGGCCAGGCCCTTTCTCATGATCTGCTTTCTTTTCGCCCGTCTGCCTCCCACCTTATTCAATAGTTTGATGATCCTCTTCTTTGCAGCCCCTCTTACCAATTTTCCCAGCAGGACACTATCCTGCTTCTTCTACATCTCTACTCAAAGGGGTACTGAGTATCCCCCTCCAAGGCACAAATTTCTTCCCCTAGCGTTACCTATCTTGGTATAATCCTCCATCAACATACATGTGCCATTCCTGCAGACTGTGTTCAGTTAATCTCCCAGACCCCAATCCCCACCACCAAACAACAACTCCTTTCCTTCTTAGGCATTTTTTGGTATTTCCAACTCTGGATACCAGGCTTTGCTATCCTAACCAAACCACTTTACAAGCTCACAAAGAGTAACTGAACTGATCCCATAGACCCTAAGTTTTTTCCCTATTCTTCCTTTCGCTCTCTCAAAAAGGCCCTGGAGACAGCTCCCACACTAGCATTCCCCGACTTGTCCCATCCTTTTTCCTTACACACAGCTGAAATACAAGCCTGTGCTGCTGGAATCCTCACACAGGAGCCAGGCCCACGACCTGTTGCCTTTCTATCAAAACAACTTGACCTCACAGTTCTGGGCTGGCCCTCATGTCTGTGTGTGGTGGCAGCCACTGCTTTAATACTTCTAGAGGCCTTCAAAATCACAGGCTATGCTCCACTTAGCCTTTACAGGTCTCACAACCTTCAAGCATTAATATCCTCCTCACATCTTTCACACTTATTACCTGCCGCTCGACTCCTCCAGCTCTATTCACTCTTTGTTGAAACTCCAACAGTAACTATTACCCATGGGCCCGATTTCAACCCGGCTTCTCACTTAGCACCCAACACAAGTCCTGAACCACATGACTGTATTTCAAGGATAGAGCCCAAAAACTTGCCAACCAAGCAAATAATTATGCTGAACCCCCTTGGGCACTCTCTAATTGGATGTTATGGGTCCTCCCAATTCTTAGTCCTTTAATACCTGTTTTTCTCCTTCTCTTATTCGGACCTTGTGTCTTCTGTTTAGTTTCTCAATTCATACAAAACCATATCCAGGCCATCACCAATCATTCTATATGACAAATGCTCCTTCTAACAACCCCACAATATCACCCCCTACCCCAAAATCTTTCTTTAGTTTAATCTCTCCCACTGTCGGTTTCCACGCCGCCCCTGATCCTGCTTGAAGCAGCCCTGAGAAACATGGCCCATTATCTCTCCATGCCACCCCCAAACATTTTCGCCGCCCCAACACTTCACCACTATTTTGTTTTGTTTTTCTTATTAATATAAGAAGACAGGAATGTCAGGCCTCTGAGCCCAAGCTAAGCCATCATAACCCCTGTGACCTGCACATATACATCCAGATGGCCTGAAGCAACTAAAGAACCACAAAATGAGAAATAGCAAGTTCCTGCCTTAACTGATGACATTCCACCATTGTGATTTGTTCCTGCCCCACCCTAACCGATCAATTGACCTTGTGACATTCCTTCTCCTGGACAATGAGTCTCAGGAGCTCCCCACTGAGCACCTTGTGACCCCCACTGCTGCCCACAAGAAAAAACTTTTAACTGTAATATTCTACTACCTACCCAAATCCTATAAAACTGCCCCACCCCTGTCTCCCTTTGCTGACTCCTTTCTCGGACTCAGTCCACCTGCACCCATGTGATTAAAAAGCTTTATGGCTCACACAAAGCCTGTTTGGTGGTCTCTTCACACGGACGCATGTAACATTTGGTGCTGAAACCCGGGAAACCGACAGAAGCAATGCATGGGGTAAGGGATGTGGGAGGGTGCAGAGCTTCCATGCCCTCCCTGAATGTGCCAACCTCCGGGAACCTCCATGTGTTCAGTTATCCAGAAGCTCACCCAACTCTGTCGTTCTGGGGTTCTATGGAGGCATCATTACATAAGCATGATTGTTATATCATTGGCTACAGGGGATGGACTTAATCTTCAGTCCCTCCCCTCTCCCAGGAGGTTGAGGAGTGGGGCTGAAAGTCCTAATCCTCTAATCCTGCCTCTTTTCGGATGGGTGACCAGCCCCATCCTAAAGCTACCTAGGGACTGCCAGCCATTAATCAACTCATTAGCACACAAAAAGACATTTACTTTTGGGAATCCCAAGGAGTTTAGGAGTAGTGTGCTAGAAAAGAGAGACAAAGACAAAATACTGTATATATTTCACAATATCCCTCCCACCCCCAACCTAACAGCATTCTGGCTGAAAACAAGCCAGGGCAACCAGACATCACCTGGCAGGTAGCAGGGGATGAAGAATCCCATCAGATATTGAAAGTGACTGGATATGGAGGGTGGGAGGTTCTGGCTAAGCTGATTTAGCATCTTGTTAAAACTGGATTTTACAAGAAGGTGCACAGATGGGCCTAGGAGAAGTTTCAGGAGTCTGACTAACATTTGGCCAAGCATAGAATCTTTGTCACTACCAACTGATATATATCTGCAACCCTGCTGGTAAAAATGTCAAAAGCACATTCTCTTCAATATCTTTACTAGTGGCAAATCTTTGTTCTGGGGTGGATTGGATGTTTTGAAACAGCCAAAAGTTATTTAGAACCAACTGCTCTGAATTAAGAAAACTGAGCTGATTTCCCTCATGTGGATCATATGCTGACTCTGACAGCAATTTGAACAGAAGAAATCCAAAAAGGGTTCTAAGAAAGGCACTGGGCAGTGTCTTCCATGGTGATTAAATAGAGGGTGGATCACTTGAGGTTAGGAGTTTGAGATCAGCCTGGCCAACATGGTGAAGCCCTGTCTCTACTAAAAAAAACCCACAAAAATTAGCCAAGTGTGGTGGCAAGTGCCTGTAATCCTAGCTACTCGGGAGGCTGAGGCTTGAGAATCACTTTAACCCAGGAGGCGGAGGTTGTAGTGAGCAGAGATTATGCCACTGCATTCCAGACTGGGCGACAGACTGGGACTCTTTCTCAAAAAAAAAAAAAAAAAAAAAGGCAAGTAGCTACATGTCACGATCTTTCAGTTTTATCTCAGTGGCATACTATGCAGCATTTACAAAGCCCAGGTAATTCTGATTTCTCAGCTCTAAACACCCTCAGATAAGTGCTATGCAGCTCTATGGAAGACTAACTAACTGCCTGGCATTTTTTTTTTTTTTTTGAGACCTAGTTTTGCTCTTGTTGCCCAGGCTGGAGTGCAATGGCACGATCTTGGCTCACCACAACCTCCACCTCCCAGGTTCAAGCAATTCTCCTGACTCAGCCTCCCAAGTAGCTGGGATTACAGGCATGTGACACCACGCCCGGCTAATTTTTGTATTTTTAGTAGAGACGGGGTTTCTCCATGTTGTTCAGGCTGGTCTCAAACTCCCGACCTCAGGTGATCCGCCTGCCTCGGCCTTCTAAAGTGCTGGAATTACAGGAGTGAGCCACCGCACCTGGCCCTGGTAGTTTTTTGAATTTGAAGATGTTGCTGTTGCTGATGGGAATTGTCATATAGGCCTGGCTTTGAAGACTCTGAGACACCAATATTCTCTTCAACTTGTGCCAAGGCTAGCTGTTCTTTAGCTGGAGGATAAAGCAGAGGTACCACCAAGCCTGGCACTTAACCCCGTAAGTCAGCCACTTCATATTGCAAAAATTTCCAACTACTCCCAGGTCCACATGTCTGATACCAGAGACCAAAGCCAATCACCCAACAATCATTTCCCCCAGGGTTAATACTTATCAAATGTATAACACTTCATATGTCTCACAGGATGGTTATACTATTCCAGCAAGAGCAATTTCCTATTCTTTCAGGTGACTATTTCTGCTTTACCTTCTTTTGAATATTTCAAGAACTTTAATTTCAAGGGAACTGGCTGGGTGCAGTGGCTCACGCTTGTAATCTCAGTGCTTTAGGAGTCTGAGGCAGGAGGATCACTTGAGGCACAGGAGTTCCAGACCTCGTCTCTACAAAAAAATTTTAAAAATCAAAAAATTAGCCAGGCATGGTGGCATGCAGCTGTAGTCCCAGCTACTCAGGAGGCTGAGCTGGGAGGTGGGAGGATCGCTTGAGCAAGGAAGTTGAGGCTGCAGTGAGCTATGATTGTGCTACTACTGCACTCCAACCTGGGCAACAAAGCCAGACCCTGTCTCAAAAAGAAATTTTTTTTTCAAGGAAACAGGCCAATTTCAAGCTGTATTAATCTGAAAATGAGGCCACTTAGAGAAAGACAGTCATATGCAGAAAAAGGACAAGCACTCTGCTGGGGGCAGATAGACCCCCTCTATAACTCCCACCAAGAAGGGATGTCTCACGCTTTGCTACCTCTTCTTTTCCCTTGGCCAGAAGAAGCAGTCACCTGAGCAGGGAGCTCAAGGGAGGGAATTTAGATGTGAAAAGAAAGCCTTTCCTCTGTGTGACTGGAAGCAGGCCTTCTCTCCTCCAAACAAATTCTGGATGGAATACAGAGAAATACAGAATATATATATATATATACACACATATTTTTTTTCCAAATTTCTTTTTTCTTTTTTTTTTTTTGAGATGGAGTCTCACTCTTGTTGCTCAGGCTGGAGTGCAATGGCGCGATCTCGGCTCACCGTAACCTCTGCCTCCCGAGTTCAAGCGATTCTCCTGCCTCAGCCCCCCGAGTAGCTGGGATTACAGGTTCCAGCTAATTTTTTGTATTTTTAGTAGAAACGGTGTTTCACAATGTTGGCCAGGCTGGTGTCAAACTCTTGATCTCAGGTGATCCACCTGCCTCAGCCTCCCAAAGTGCTGGGATTACAGGCATGAGCCACTGCACCTGGCCTTTTTCCCAAATTTCTAGCTGGGCAAAATCTCTTTAAGCTTAAATTACACGGAGAAAAATACCAAGGAAAAGACAACATAAACATTTTTAAAATCTTTATTATTTATTTTAAGATATCCTATGTTTACAATGGTCAAGAAAAGAGGAGATAAAATACGTAGTTAAATGTATCGTATTTTTTCATCTTTAAGTAGAACTTACTTTTCAGTTGTTGGGATGTCCATCACAAATATAAGTATGCACCTGTATACTTACGCATTATTATACAGTAAATTAAAATTTACATGCAGTGAAACACACAGCTGTATGTTGAATATACAAGATACATTTGGATTTGGATAAGTGTATACACCCACATAACCACCACCCAGACAAAATATATTCTGTCATCTGGAAAGTTTCCCAGTATTCCCTTTCAGTTAATCTTTATCCCCCCAGAGGAAACCACTGTTCTGATTTCTATCTTGTAGATTAACTTTCCCTGTTCTTAAACTTCATATAAATGAAACCACACAGTAGACATACTTTTGTGGCTGTCTTTTATATATATATATATATACACACACACACACACACACACATATATACACATATACATATATACACATATACACATATATACACATATATACACATATACACATATATACACATATACACACACATATATATACACATATACACACATATATACACACATATACACATATATACACATACACACACATATATACACATATATATACACACACACACATATATATATATATATTTTTTTTTTTTAAGAGACAGGGTCTCACTCTGTCACCAGTGATCACAGCTCATTGTAACCTTGAACAACTGGGCTCAAGTGATCCTCCTACCTCTGCACCTGGACCACAGGCGCATGCCACCACACTGGGTTAATTTTTTTCTTAATTATTATTATTTTGAAATGAGTCTCAGTCTTACTTTGTTGCCCAGGCTGGAGTGTGATGGTGCAATTCTAGCTCACTGCATCCTCTGCTTCCTAGGTTCAAGCGATTCTCCTGCCTTAGCCTCCTGAGTAGCTGGGATTACAGGCACCCACCACCACACCCAGCTAATTTTTGTATTTTTTAGAAGAGACGGAGTTTCATCATGTCGGCCAGGCTGGTCTCGAACTCCCGACCTCAAGGGATCCACCCACCTCAGCCTCCCAAACTGCTGGGATTACAGGTATGAGCCACCATGCCCGGCCTACTTTTCCATTTTTAATTTTATGTTTACTGCTTTTCTTGTGACTGCTCTGAGAAAATTTGTCCTATTCCAAAGTTATGAGAATATTCATCTAAATTTGTTCTAGAAGCTTTATAGTGTTAGCATTTAGATTTATGAAATAGGGGGGCAAGGTTTATTTTTTCCCGTACATTGATTCAATAGTTCCAGCACCATATTTGTTAATGAGACTTCCTCTCCCTATTGAATTATCTTGATATCTTTGTCAGAACTCAAGTGACCATCTATCTATGGACCCTCTTTTTTTTTTCTTTTTTGAGACAGAGTCTCGCTTTGTGGCCCAGGCTGGAGTGCAGTGGCACGATCTTGGCTCACTGCAACCTCCACCTCCCAGGTTCAAGCAATTCTCCTGCCTCAGCCTCGCGAGTAGCTGGGACTACAGGCGCGTGCCACCATGCCCGGCTAATTTTTTGTATTTTTAGTAGAGACGGGGTTTTACAATGTTGGCCAGGATGGTCTTGATCTCCTGACCTTGTGATTCCCCAAGCCCTGGCCTCCCAAAGTGCTGGGATTACAGCTGTGAGCCACTGCACCAGGCCTTGTAGAAATCTTAAAATCAGGTTCTGGCCAGGCAGTGTTGAATAGGAGCAAGAATAGACATTCTTGCATTTTTCCCGATCTAAGAGGAAAGCATTCAGTATTTCACCAGTAAGTATGATACATAGCCTTTATCAGAATAAGAAAATTATCTTATATTCCTG
Organism: Homo sapiens; assembly: GCF_000001405.40. Taxonomy (NCBI): domain Eukaryota; kingdom Metazoa; phylum Chordata; class Mammalia; order Primates; family Hominidae; genus Homo; species Homo sapiens. The sequence goes on from NC_000001.11 coordinate 226,843,410, forward strand.
CATTTCTGAGAATTATTATGAATGAATATTGAATTTTGTCAAATGTTTTTCTGACATCTACTGAGATGATCATATGGTTTTTCATTATTCCATTCATAATTATATTGATTGATTTCCAGTATGAAATCAACCTTGCACTCCTAGGATAAACTCCTTTTGGACTTGAGGTATTGTTCTTTTTATATATTGCTGGATTCAAGTTGCTAATATTTTGTTAAAGATTGGTATGTCCATGTTCATGAGGAATATTGGTATGTAATTTTCTTTTCTTCTGGCATCTTTGTTCTATTTTGATTTCAAGACAGTTTTTTGCTGTTCTCATCAAACAAATTGGAAACTATTCCTTCCTGTTTCACTTTCTGAAAGAGTTTGTATAAGATTGGCATTATTAATTTGTCCTTAAATGTTTTAAAGAATTTACCAGTGGAACCATCTGGGCCTGAAGTTTTATCTGTGGGAAGGTTTTAAATTAGGAAGTCAGTATCTGTAATAGGCAATACCTATTAAAAGGGACAATTTAGATTTTGTATACTCTTGTGTCAGTTTTGATGATTTGTATTTTTCAAGGAATTTTCTCATTTCATCTAGGTTACTGAATTTAATGGCATGCCATTATAATAATATTCATTTTTTATCTTTTTGATGTCTGTAAGATCTATGATGATATCCCCCCTTTCATGCTGATATTGATAATTGATATTTTCTCTTTTTCTTCATAATCGGCCTTACTGGAGTTTATCAATTTTATTAATCTTTTCAGAGAACTAACTTCTGGATTTGTTAATTCCTTGTTTGTATTGTGTTCACTTCTGTTCTTATCTTTATTATTTCCTTTCTGCTACTTATTATGGGTTTAATTTGCTTTTCTTTTCTAGTTCTTAAAGTGAGGTTTGGATCATCATTTTAAAAATGTTATTCTTTTATAACACTGTAAGCATTTAGTGCTATAAATTTTACTCTAAGCACCGCCTTAGCTACAGCCCTTAAATTTGCTATGGTGGATTTTCACTCAGTTTGAAATATTTTCTAATTTCCCTTGTGGTTTCCTTCTTGTTCCATGGATGCTGTTTAATTTTCAAATATGTGGGGCTTTTCTAGTTATCCTAGTATTGATTTAATAAGAACCAATTGTTGTCATAAGAAAACATACTCTGTAAGATTAAAACTTATTCCTGTAATCCCAGCACTTTGGGAGGCTGAGGTGGGCAGATCACCTGAGGTCAGGAGTTGAAGACCAGCCTGGCCAACATGGAAACCCCGTCTCTACTAAAAATACAAAAATTACCCAGGTGTGGTGGTGTGCACCTGTAGTCCAGGCTGCTTGGGAGGCTGAGGCAGGAGAATCGCTTGAACCTGGGAGGTGGAGGTTGTAGTGAGCCAACATTGTGCCATTGCACTCCAGCCTGGGTAACAGAGGAAGACTCCATCTTAAAAAAAAAAAAAAAAAAAAAAAAAAAGGCCAGGTGCAGTGGTTCATGCTTGTAATCCCAGCACTTTGGGAGGCTGGGGCAGGTGGAACACCTGAGGTCAGGAGTTCGAGACCAGCCTGGCCAACATGGTAAAACCCTGTCTCTACTAAAAATGCAAAAATTAGCCAGGTGTGGTGGCGTATGCCTGTAATCCCAGCTGCTCAGGAGGCTGAGGCAGGAGAATTGCCTGAACCCGGGAGGTGGAGGTTGCAGTGAGCCAAGATCGTGCCACTGCACTCCAGCATGGGCAACAAGAGCAAAACTCCATCAAGAAAGAAAGAAAGACAGGAAGGAAGGAAGGAAGGAAGGAAGGAAGGAAGGAAGGAAGGAAGGAAGGTAGGTCAGTCAGGAGGGAAGTCAGGAAGGAAGGAAGGAAGGAAGGAAGAAAGAAAGGAAGAAAGGAAGAAGCCCCTCTAAAAAATGGAAATGGCAAGGAAGTAGATTTTTTTCCCTAGAGCCTCCAACAAGAGCAAGGCCCTGGTTTGGCCCAGTGAAACTGATTACAGACTTCTGACCTCCAGAGCTGTAAGGGAATATATGTGTGTTGTTTTGAGCCACTCAGTTTATGGTCATTTGTTATAGCAATCATAGGAAACTAACACATGTTTTGGCATCTGAAAGTGGGGTGTTGCTGCAACAAATACCTAAAAATCTGGAAGTGGGGTGCTGTTGTAAAAATACCTCAAAAATGTACCTGTAGTGCCAAGTATTTGGGAGGCTGAGGTGGGAGGCTCACTTGAGCTCAGGAGTTTGAGTCCAGCCTGGACAGCAAGACCCCTATCTCTTTAAAAAAAAAAATGGAAGTAGTTTTGGAATAGGGTAATAGGGCTGGAAGAATTTTGAGAAGCACAATAGAAAAAGCCTAGATTGCTTTAAACAGACTGTTATCAGAAATATTGATTTGAAAGATTCTGCCAGTGAGGGCCAGGAGGAAGTGAGAAACACAGTATAGAAAGCTTGTATCACCTCAGAGAATATCTATATTGTCATAAACAGACTGTTAGTAAACATGTGAACATTAAAGGTGCTGCTGGTGAAGGTTCAGAAGGAAATTATTGGAATTTGGAAGGAAGAGGGTCCTTGTTATGCAGCAGCAGAAACTTTTGCTGAATTGTGTCCTGAAGTTTTAGGAAAATAGAACTTGTAAGCAATGAACTTGGTATTTAGCTAAGATTTTCAAGCAAAGGGTTGAAAGCATAGGCTGGGTTCTTCTTGCACCTTATAATAAACTTTAACAGGTAAGAGATAAAATGAGGGAAGAGGCGGGGCATGGTGGCTCACACCTGTAATACCAGCATTTTGGGAGGTCGAGGCGGGTGGATCACGAGGTCAGGAGATGGAGACCATCCTGGCTAACACAGTGAAACCCCGTCTGTACTAAAAATACAAAAAATTGGCTGGGCATGGTGGCAGGTGGGGCCTGTAGTCCCATTTACTCAGGAGGCTGAGGCAGGAGAGCCACTTGAACCCAGGAAGCGGAGGTTGCAGTGAGCCGAGATCATACCACTGCACTCCAGCCTGGGCAACAGAGACAGAGCAAGACTCTGTCTCAAAACAAAAAAAAAAAAAAAGAAAAGGGGGAAGAAATGTTAAGCAAAAAGGAAGCAAGGCTTGATGATCTGGGAAATTCTCAGACTCTCCAGATTGCAAAAGATGTTAAACTTCCAGAGATACACTGTTAAGAAAGCGGGCTCTAGATTGAAGGCCAAAGGTATGGCTAGACAACCTTTTCTAGTGCTGAAGAGATCACATATGTGATTCATGGAGTCCCTCAACCGTTTTAGCAAAAGCCATGAATAGAGATCGAATGGTCTATGGAGGAGCCTTTTGTTTAATGGAGTAAATCTCTGTGACATACACAGGAGACCACTAAGGTTTTTGAGAGTATTATAACAGCAGCACTGTCAGCTTGGACTGAAAGGGATGGACAGAGAATGAAATGAAAGAAGACTGTCAGAGTCCCAAATTCTACAGGCAGGAAACAGGCTGATAAAACTGCTCAGCTGCAAACATATGCTACCGTTCCAGAAAAAGAAAGATGACTTTGAGGTGGGGTGCCTTGGGCCCAGAGGGTGGAGTCTCAAGCCACAGAGAATTGTTTCCAGGTCTTGAGACATAATGGAGTTTGCTCAGTTGGAATTCAAAATTGCTTGAGGCTAGTGATGACTCTTTTCCTTCCATTTTCTCCCTTTTGGAATGAGAATATCTACAACTGTTATCCTGTGCCTGTCATGCAATTATGTATTGGAAGCAAACCATTTGTTTTCTAGTTTTACAATTCCACAGATGGAGAGAGATTTTGCCCAGGATGGACCATGCCCAAAGTCTCCTCCACACCTGATTTAGATTATATGGGCAACGAGATTTAGAACTTTTGAGCTGATGACACTTAGGTAAGATTTTGGGCTTAAGTTGATGCTGTTAATGGGTTGAGACTTTGGGGGATGTTGGGACAGGGTGAATGTTTTTTGCATGTGGGATGGATGTACAAAAGGAAAGTATCTTAGGCCCCTTCAAGCTGGGAACCACTCAAGGCAAATCTGCCTCCCATTCTATTCAAAGTCATCCCTCTGCTCACAGAGATAGATGCATAGTCTGATTACCTCACATGGAAAAACTTATCAGAAACTCAAAAGAATGAACCATTTGTATCTTACCTATCTGTGACCTGGAAGCTCCTTCCCCACTTTGAGTCCTCCTGCCTTTGTTTCAAGTTGTCCCGCCTTTCCAGGCCCAATCAATGTACCTCTTACATATATTGATTGATGTCTCATGTTTCCCTAAAATGTATAAAACCAAGCTGTGCCCCGACCATCTTAGGCACATGTTGTCAGGACTTCCTGAGGCTGTGTCAAGGGCATGTCCTCAACCTTGGCAAAATAAACTTTCTGAATTAACTGAGACCTGTCTCAGATTTTCTGGGTTCACATTTGCTGAACCCACATTTCTGGGTTCACCATGGGGGATTCTGAGTGGAGATACCCCTGACCTTTGACGAATCTCCTATCAGTGCTTGGTACCAGCATGAGCTAACTTTATGGCCCAAACCAATAGGACAATTTGCTGAGGTCTGAGAGCATCTCCTCCAGAGAATCCCTGAGCTCCCAAAATTTGGTCAAGATCTAAAGTTTATTTCGTATTTTGTTGTACAGCTCCTCTTTTTTTTTTTTTTTTTTTTTTTGGAGTTTTACTTGCTTCCAAAACAAGGAAGGCAAGTTTTTCCTGCTTCCATGATGATGGAAGGCAGGTAACTCCTTTATGGAGTTTGAGCTTGCTTCCAACAGAGAACATAAGGTTTTTTTGTTTTGTTTTCCTGCTTCTAGGATGGTAGAGAGCAGTCTACAGCCTGAGACCCATCACTAGGTAAGAAACTGGTCTGGGATTCTGTCTTGCAAATTCCTTTTAAAAAATTAAAGTTAGCATTAACAACCAGCTGGTGTTAATTTCTGCTTACACTTAGAGCGCTCAGAAATCATAGCATTTGTGTGATCATTGTTAGATTTACTTCATGGTTTTGTTGTTTCTGTCTTGGTCAAATCCGAAGGGGAACTCTAAATTATGAGGAACAAGACCTTTAAAGTGGGAGAAAAAATGGCCAGCAAAAAAAAAAAAAAGAGGAAAGATTTTTGATTTTGACTACTAAATGGGCTTTATTTACATAACAAGGCCACCTTTTTGCCAGCCAGCCCGCCCAAACTGAAAGAGCAATGGTTGTACTTCTGAAATAGCAGCATTTTGTCCTAGCTGAAACATGGTAATAAGATTTTTAAAAAATTTTGTTAAGGAGCTCAATGGTTAAAACTCAGCTTAATTAGGCTGGTCGCGGTGGCTCACGCCTATAATCCTAGCACTTTGGAAGGCCGAGGCGGGCGGATCACCTGAGGTTGGGAGTTCAAGACCAGCCTTACCAACATGGAGCAATCTCATCTCTACTAAAAATACAAAATCAGCCGGGCATGATGGCGCATGCCTGTAACCCCAGCTACTCGGGAGGCTGAGGCAGGAGAATCGCTTGAACCCGGGAGGCGGAGGTTGCGGTGAGCCGAGATCGCGGCATTGCACTCCAGCCTGGGCAACAATAGCGAAACTCTGTCTCAAAAAAAAAAAAAAAAAAAAAAAAAAAGTCAGCTTAATTAAAAGGCTAACATCCAAGATGTATGTGTGCATGTGTGCATGTTTGTATTTGAAAGGCCTTCATGTTTTTGGTTTCAACATTTGTTTTTCTATTCTAAGACCTTGTCTTTTTTTGGAGTGCAAGTTTTTTTTTTCCTTTTCTTCTCAGTTGACTGAATTCTGTTTTCACCTGATTTTTTGACTAAAATAGCTATTGCAACAGAGGCTAGTCTTGGGTTTTTAAGGAAGAGTGTAGTTTAATTTTATGTTTAATTTGGCTCAGAAAAATTAAAAGCATCTCCCTCTAGCACCACCAGACTTTTTCTCTCTGTACCTTATGATGTACATTCCGCTCTTTGATTTTCACCTGAGCTGTTTCCTTTAATGTGCAAATTTAAGGCTATTTAGCTGACAACTGCCTAGGGTTGTAAAATAGGTTATCAAGGATCTGAAACTCTAAAATGGTGGGGAAGAAAGGGGGGCTGTTTATAAATCACAAAATGTACTTCCATCAGCATGTCTAATGTGTTTATGTGTTGTATTTATGTGTTGTGTACACGTTTCACTACTAAAAATACATGAGAGCTCTAATTAATTGGCTAAAAGAAAAATAAAAGCACTTAAATCAGATACTAAAAAAGAAAAGACTAGTCAAATGCTTTTTCAAGTTTATGTAACAAGTAAAATCTTTAATAAGCTAGCTTTAAAATTATTGGTAAAGTAACATTAGAAATTTCTTAAGAATTGCCACCAAACATTTTTCGTTTGCATTTATTAATCAGGCAATTTCATACTTATTTCTGCCAAATACTATAAAGGTGTTAAAATTTGGCATAGGGGTTACAAAACTATAAACCCAGCTCAAAACAAATGATCTTTGTGTAGTTTTTAATAAATAAGACATTGATATTGGTTTAATGAAAATAGCTGCATCTTAAATTTAGTAAGATTACCATACCTTCTAATCTTGTGGCTTTTAGGTAATCTAGTACACAGGGAGTAAGGAGGTTTGTTTTGGGAAAAGGCTGTTATTGCCTTTGTTTCAAAACTAAACTATAAACCAAATTCCTCCCAAAGTCCAGGAATGAACAGGCACAGCTTGGAGATTAGAAGCAAGATGGAGTTAGTTAGGTCATATCTTTTTCACTGCCTCAGTTATATTTTTGCAGTGGTGGTTTCATGACTATCACAGTTTTCATAAATAATCTAAGTAAACAATTAAAGTAAAATAAGTAAATGTAATGGAATAAATACTTGTAGGCAAACTTGTCATAGTTTAGAATATAAAATTATATATTATAGATATTTCATTATTTGGGTATTTTCTTTTCTTTTCTTTTCTTTTTTTTGAGACGGAAGTCTCGCTCTGTCGCCCAGGCTGGATGGAGTGCAGTGGCGCGATCTCGGCTCACTGCAAGCTCCGCCTCCTGGGTTCAGGCCATTCTTCTGCCTCAGACTCCCGAGTAGCTGGGACTACAGGCGCCCGCCACCACACCTGGCTAATTTTTTGTATTTTTAGTAGAGACAGGGTTTCACCGTGTTAGCCTGGATGGTCTCAATCTCCTGACCTCATGATCCGCCCGCCTCGGCCTCCCAAAGTTTTGGAATTACAGGGGTGAGCCACTGCGCCCAGCCTATTTGGGTATTTTCTAATAAATAGATATTGTAGGAAAACCAAGTGTGTCCTTTAAAAAAATAGGTGAATAAGTTTTGTCTAATTCAGTTTATTTAAAGGTTATGTATAAAACAAGGTAAAAGGAACCAGGAAATAAAAAAATATGTAAAGAAAGTTATAAAAATAAAGAGGTATTTTTTGCGGTTAGAAACCTTAAAGAGAAATAATTTTATATGAGAAAGAATCTTGTATGGTAAATTTAGTCCTAAAATAAAATGACTGGTTGTTTAAGAAGGAGGGATATTCAGGATAAATCAGGAAGTATAAGTGTCAGAGGCATGTGAACCAGAGCAACTCCATCTTGAATAAGAGCTGGATATAATGAGGTAGAAACCTACTAGGCTGCATTCCCAGATGGTTAAGGCATTCTAAGTCACAGGATGAGATAGGAGGTCAGCACAAGATACAGGACATAAAGACCTTGCTGATAAAACAGGTTGCAGTAAAGAAGCCGGCCAAAACCCACCAAAAACAAGATGGCCATGCTATCTTGCTACACTCTGACCAGCGCCATGACAGTTTACAAATGCCATGGCAACATCAGGAAGTTACCCTATATGGTCTAAAAATGGGAGGCATGAATAATCCACCCTTGTTTAGCATATCATCAAGAAATAACCATAAGAATGGGCAACCAGCACCCCTTGGGGCTGCTAAGTCTATGGAGTAGCCATTCTTTTGTTCCTTTACTTTCTTAATAAACTTGCTTTCACTTTACTCTACGGATTCGCCCTGAATTCTTTCTTGCACGAGATCCAAGTACCTTCTCTTGAGGTCTGGATTGGGACTCCTTTCCTGTAACCCAAGTATGTCATGAACAGTCAGTGTAAATCACAAGATGATTTATTTTTTAAAAAAATGTTAATATGGATCAAATTGTCATATTATTATCAAGTTTCGGTTTGCTTAGAAAAAAACTGAGAAAAAAATTTTTCTAAATTAAGGTTATTATATCCATGTACCTCCTTGTATGTGCTTTTAAAGTCCTTGTGACATTGAGTAACAGGGATTCAACTCCTGGGTCTAAAAAGGACACCAAGTCCTGCTAAATCTTAAACACTGACAGCCAATTAAAGCCCTATCTTCAGGCCCTGTAGAAGATGCCAATCAAAATAAACTGCATTCTTGAGACACAGGGCAAGAAATTAAAGCTATTCAACTCCTCAAGGCCCAGGGACTATCGCAGAAGAGGTGGGCACGTATGATTGTGAGGGCTGATTTTGAAAGGTAAAATAAGTTCAGGTTTTCTATAAATTAATCATTAATGTTAAAGGCACACAGATGCAAAACCAGCATATGGTCCCCTGTGTCAGATTAACAAGGGTTTTTTTTTTTTTTTTTTTTTTTTTTGAGATGGAGTCTTGCTTTGTCTCCCAGGCTGGATGGAGTGCAATGGCCTCATCTCAGCTCACTGCAACCTCTGCCTCCTGGGTTCAAGCGGTTCTTCTGCCTCAGCCTCCTGAGTAGCTGGGATTACAGGCACGTGCCATCACACTCGGCTAATTTTTATATTTTTAGTAGAGATGGGGTTTCACCATGTTGGCCAGGCTTGTCTCGAACTCCTGACCTCAGGTGATCCGCCTGCCTTGGCCTCCCAAAGTGCTGGGATTACAGGCATGAGCCACCGTGACTGCCCTAACAAGGTTTTCTTGAAGTATTAACCAACTCCTTAATAAAGGTTGTAAAGGTTATAAAAGGCTTATGGAAGCTATATCATATGGTCAAGATTAAAATTTTATAGATTATTTATAAAATTTTGAAAAACAAATTTAATTGGCTTCATGCTGTTTTTATTAGGGCTTATGATTTGGAAAATTAAGTCTCCTCTCTCAAAGATAAAGGTTTTTGCTTTTTTTTGAAATCCTTGAGTTATCACTTTGGTTAAATAAATGACTTATTTTACAATGACCTGTGAACCTATTTTGTGATATCAAATGTTTAAAACCTTTGATATTTGACAAATTCTCCAAAATCAAATTATAAATTATATCTTTTTCTGACCTAATTAATCTTTTAAGATATTAGGCTCCCTAAAGTCCAGAAAATAGAAGTCCAAAATTTGGCTTATTTGGTACAAAAATTATACAGGAAGCATTATCAAATATGAAATTGTGTTGGGTTTTCTTTGGGTTATATTTGTATAAATATGTTATTGGTATATGTTCTAAAATTATGGGAAACTCCTGTAATTCTGACATAACAGTATATATTATCAGTAATAATCATAATTGTTATGTTAAAATTATTGTGTGCCACAGAGGTAACAAATTTCCTCATTAATTGTGTCTTTGATTGTGGCTGCCCTAAAACTTTCATCATCCATGGACAATTGTCCTGTTTTGGTCCTCTTTAGAAGGTAGTTTTATAATCAGCTATACAATTCTAACAAGTGCTCTTGAATGCACGTTTCTGATAACTTTGGAGATTGTGACATCAGAATAGAGGAAAAACTTTCAGGACTCATGGAGAGCTAAAATGTTTACGAGTATCAAGCAGAACAGGAATTAACAGCATGGTCTGAACTAATCTTTTTGACTTTTTGCTTAAAATGTTTGCTGATCCTAAAATCACAAGCATTCCTATACACCAATAACAGATAAACAGAGAGCCAAATCATTAGTGAACTCCCATTCACAATTGCTACAAAGAGAAAAAAATACCTAGGAATCCAACTTACAAGGGATGCGAAGGACCTCTTCAAGGAGAATTACAAACCACTGCTCAACGAAAAAAAAGAGGACACAAACAAATGGAAGGACATTCCATGCTTATGGATAGGAAGAATCAATATCCTGAAAATGGCCATACTGCCCAAGGTAATTTATAGATTCAGTGCCATCCCCATCAAGCTACCAATGACTTTCTTCACAGAATTGGAAAAAACTACTTTAAAGTTCATATGGAACCAAAAAACAGGCTGCATTGCCAAGACAATTCTAAGCAAAAAGAACAAAGCTGGAGGCATCATGCTACCTAACTTCAAACTATACTACAAGGCTACAGTAACCAAAACAGCATGGTACTGGTACCAAAACAGAGATATAGACCAATGGAACAGAACAGAGGCCTCAGAAATAACACCACACATCCACAACCATCTGATCTTTGACAAATCTGACAAAAACAAGAAATGGGGAAAGGGTTCCCTATTTAATAAATGGTGCTGGGAAAACTGGCTAGCCATATGTGGAAAGCTGAAACTGGATCCCTTCCTTACACCTTATACAAAAATTAATTCAAGATGGATTAAAGACTTAAATGTTAAACCTAAAACCATAAAAACTCTAAAAGAAAACCTAGGCAATACCATTCAGGACATAGGCATGGGCAAGGACTTCATGATTAAAACACCAAGAGCAATGGCAACAAAAGCCAAAATAGACAAATGGAATCTAATTAAACGAAAGAGCTTCTGCACGGCAAAAGAAACTACCATCAGAGTGAACAGGCAACCTACAGAATGAGGGAAAATTTTTGCAATCTACCCATCTGACAAAGGGCTAATATCCAGAATCTACAAAGAACTTAAACAAATTTATAAGAAAAAAACAAACAACCCCAGCAAAAAGTGGGCAAAGGATATGAACAGACACTTCTCAAAAGAAGATATTTATGCAGCCAACAGACACATGAAAAAATGCTCATCATCACTGGTCATCAGAGAAATGCAAATCAAAACCACAATGAAAAACCATCTCATGCCAGTTAGAATGGCGATCATTAAAAAGTCAGGAAATGACAGATGCTGGAGAGGATGTGGAGAAATAGGAACGCTTTTACACTGTTGGTGAGAGTGTAAATTAGTTCAACCATTGTGGAGGACAGTGGGGTGATTCCTCAAGGATCTAGAACTAGAAATACCATTTGACCCAGCGATCCCATTACTGGGTATATACCCAAAGGATTATAAATCATGCTACAGTAAAAACACATGCACACGTATGTTTATTGTGGCACTATTCACAATAGCTAAGACTTGGAACCAACCCAAATGTCCATCAATGATAGACTGGATTAAGAAAATGTGGCACATATACACCAGGGAATACTATGCAGCCATAAAAAAGGATGAGTTCATGTCCTCTGAATGGACATGGATGGAGCTGGAAACCATCATTCTCAGCAAACTGTCACAAGGACAGAAAACCAAACACCACTTGTTCTCACTCATAGGTAGGAATTGAACAATGAGAACATTTGGACACAGGGTGGGGAACATCACACATTGGGGCCTGTTGGGGTTTGGAGGGCTGGGGGAGGGATAGATAGCATTAGGAGAAACACCTAATGTAAATGACGAGTTGATGGGTGCAGCAAACCAACATGGCACATGTATACCTATGTAACAAACATGCACGTTGTGCACATGTACCCTAGAACTTAAAGTATTAAAAAAAAAAGTTAGCTGATCCTTTGTTTTTTCTGAGTCTAAAACTTTTCTTTTGAGCTATCGACAGCTTTTAACAATTTAGTATATTCTCATGAACAAAATTTGGGGCATATTTGTTTCTCTCTACTTGATATCTACAGAATTTGGAAACTATGAGTATTCGTAACTTATGGCAATACAGTTATTTGCATAAGTGCAATAAAAATCTGTTTTCATTTGTAACAGGACACAATTGGAGAAACTGGTTATTTTACCAAGGCTTTGACTGGAATAGTGTACTTTCCTTTAAGGAATCAACTTGGCTTATGGAGGAAATAAAGCCCGTGGCAAAACTGGCCTCATATTTTGTGTACGCAGTGCCTGTACAAGGTTTCTGACCTGTGGTAAGTAAAGAATGTCACTTTCTAACAAGTCCAGAAGCCCCAGGTTTATCTTGGAACCTCAACAGGAGAGGAAATTCACCCAACTCATTGATATTTGATGCGCAAATCCACGACTGGGCTTGGCTTTAAAAAAGTCTTATCTGATATCCCTTCTGTGGAACAAAGTTCCATCAAAGCCAATTAAAAAACTATTAAAAAATAATTATTCTTGCTGCACTGTATACAAATAATTAGGCCAAGTATAATAAGGCAAACCAGTCCTACCATGATTTGTCTTCAGCAAGGGAAACTGGAGAGAGAAAACTTATGTTTCAAAAAGTATAGTACACCTGTTGTTAGATTCTAATCCTGCCTAATGTTTTTCAATTTTTATTATTTCTACAGTTTGGGTTGAATTCTAAATTTTTTCTTGGCTACAAGTCTTCAAAATAATGTTTTCAATTATTTTTTCTTTTTTTCCTTCTTTTTTTCCCATTTTTCCTAATTGGGAATCACTGAAAGCTAAGCTGTGCTTTCTTAAAGCCCTGCGAACTGAAACTAGAGAACTTAAACTTCAGAAGAAAATAACAGCAACCTATTTACATACATAAGACACTTTCATACCTGCCTACTGATGTATAGACTTCAGAGGAATGTGGCCTGTATCAATTTTGCAGGATTGTTCTTTTGTTTGTTGTTGTTTTTCTCCCTTCCTCCTCCTATTTTCTCTTCAGAGGACACTAGACTTCACAATCTGCTAAAAATGAGCTTTCAGCACCTGCTCGTCTAGGAATAAACCATCCCAGCCATGAGAGATCAGATGAAACCTGAGACCAGAGACTCATTTTCTTGCAAAATGCTTTCTCGAAAAGATTTTAGAAAAGTTGGGAAATGTGAAAGGAAAGTATCTTGGGCCCCTTCAAGCTGGGAACCACTCAGGGCAAATCTGCCTCCCATTCTCTTCAAAGACATCCCTCTGCTCACAGAGATAGATGCATATTCTGATTACCTGCTTTGGAAAGACTTATCAAAAACTCAAAAGAATGCAACTGCTTATGTTTCACCCTATGTGTGACCTGGAAGCTCCTTCCCCACTTTGAGTCTTCCTGCCTTTGCTTCAAGTTGTGCTGCCTTTCCAGACCAACCAATGTACTTCTTACATATATTGATTGATGTTTCATGTCTCCCTAAAATATATAAATACTGGAACAATCTCTGCTTTGTGTAAATCTGGTTTAATTTGATTCTTTGTGTTAGCTCAGAAAATATTTATAGTAAATACCGAAATGGGGCGAACATCTTTATCATAAAAAGTTAACATAAATTACTAAGAAAAGCATCAAGAAACCAAAATATACACAGGTGAGGGCCATGATGGGTCTTTCACAAAGGAGAACATGAAACTGGTAAGCAAACATAGGAAAAATTCATACTTCCTAGTATTCAATGGAAATTAAAACACTGAGGTTTTTATGAATCTTTCAAATGAGCAGTTTTATAAAAAACTGAAACATTTAATAATGGCCGGGATAGAGACACTCTCATATCCTCCTGCAGGGGAGTAAACCTTAATTCAAGTCTTTTGAAAAGCAGTTTGAGAATATACTTCAAAAGCCCCATGCGACATAAGAAAAAATATATTGATCTCTGCCCCCAATTCCTGATACATATCTAAAACCCCTAGAATTTCCTGGGTGATAGAAGGATCTTTTGTTCTAATGAGGTGACTCTTGGTGGGCTCCTGGGTGGGCACCTGGCACCAGAAAGACCAAGACATGGTTAGGAGCTTGGAACTTTCAGCCCTATCCCCCCATCCTCAAGGGAGGAGAGTGAGGCTGGAGACTGAATGCACAATGGATCATGCCTATGAACTGAAGCCTACACCAAAATCCCTAATCTGCAGAGTTCCAAGAGCTTCCAGGATGCTCAACACATCCACGTGCCAGGAGGGCGGTGTACCCCAACTCCATGGAGACAGAAGCTCCTGTGCTCAGGACCCTTCCCACCTCACCCTAGGCACCTCTCCATCTGGCTGTACATCTGAATCCTTTCTACAAAACCAGGAGACGTAAGTAATGTTTCCCCTGACTTCTGTGAGCTGTTACAGCAAACTCTCAAACCTGAAGAGGAGGCTGTGGGAACCGCCAATTTGTAGTCAAGTTGGTCAGAAGTAGCAGAGGCCTGTGTCTTATGCTTGGCTCTGAAGTATGGGCAGTCTGTGGGGCCTGTGAGGTGTGCACTAACTCCAGGTAGGTAGTGTCAGAATTGAACTGAATGTCAGGACACCCAACTGGTGTACAGAGAGTTGAAGAAATGATTAAGAGTGGGGAAAATCCCCATACGGTTGGTCAGAAGTGTTTTGAGTAGAAAAACAGTGTTTTTATAGACCCCGATAATTTTACTTTGGCAGATTTAGAAAGAAATCTAAATACGGAAAAAGAAATCTATGGCCTAAAATTTTTTTAACTGGAAATAATCTTTAATAAGCACAACAGTGAGTATATGGTTATAGTGTGGTGTATCTATTCTTTGGAATACTTTTTCACTATTTCTTTTTTTTTGAGACGGAGTCTCACTGTGTCACCCAGGCTGGAGTGCAATGGTGTGATCTCGGCTCACTGCAACCTCTGCCTCCTGGGTTCAAGCAATTCTCCTGCCTCAGCCTCCTGAGTAGCTGGGACTACAGGCACGTGCCACCACGCCCAGCTAATTTTTTGTATTTTTAGTAGAGACGGGGTTCCACTGTGTTAGCCAGCATAGTCTCAATCTCCTTGATATCATGGTCTGCCCGCCTCAGCCTCCCAAACTGCTGGGATTACAGGCGTGAGCCACTGTGCCCAGCTCTCTTACATTATTTCAAATAATGTTTTAAAGACTACACAATAATACATGCATAAAATGCAATGTCAAGGGGGAAAGGCAGGCTACAAAATGCTCTACATACTGTATTTTTGATAAAGGTTGAAAGGAAATGCACCAAAATATTATTATTGGTCATCTTTGGAAGATGAAACTATTATTTTCTTCTTTATACTGCTTAGGATATCTAAGTTTTTGTTGTTGTTGTTGCTTTTTTTTTGAGACGGAGTCTTACTCTGTTGCCCAGGCTGGAGTGCAGTGGCGCGATCTCGGCTCACTACGACCTCCGCCTCCTGGGTTCAAGCAGTTCTCCTGCCTTAGCCTCCTGAGTAGCTGGGATTACTGGCATGCACCACCATGCCCAGCTAATTTTTGTATTTTTAGTAGAGACGGTTTCACCATGTTGGTCAGGCTGGTATCTAATTCCTGACCTCGTGATCCGCCCACCTGGCCTCCCAAAATGCTGGGATAACAGGCGTGAGCCACCGCACCCAGCTCTTTTTTTTTTTTTTTTTTTTCTTTTTGAGACAGCGTCTCGCTCTGTCGCCCAGGCTGGAGTGCAGTGGTGTGATCCCGGCTCACTGCAATCTCTGCCTCCCAGGCTCAAGTGATTCTCCTGCCTCAGCCTCCCGAGTAGCTGGGACTACAGGCATGTGCCACCACACCAGGCTAATTTTGTATTTTTAGTAGAGACGAGGTTTCACCATGTTGGCCAGGCTGGTCTCAAACTCCTGACCTTGTGATCCGCTCACCTTGGCCTCCCAAAGTGCTGGGTTATAGGTGTGAGCCACTGCACCTGGCCTAGAATATCTAAGTTTTCTTTAATGAATGTGTATCGCTTTACCATAGAAACAAAATCTGTAAAGCCAGAAAAAATCATGAATGCTAATTAGCGTAATACAATATTATCTTATAATTTAGATGTGGAAGCAAACAAAATGTAATGAAACTAAAAGTGTTATCCAGATGTATGCATTACTTCTTTTCTCTCCACTGTCAACAAAGTAATTTCTGGCTAAGTGGGAATAACCATCTGAGAGCTACTACTTCCCTTCATAAATCAACATGTGTATAGTAGCACACAGAACCCAAGAAAATGCAGAGAAAGCCAAGGAATTTTTAAAAGAAAAACATTTGCCAAATTGTCTACAAAGTACGTGTTGTGAATTTCATAAATCTCGTTAGAATATGACAATAAAGTGTGTGTGCACATCTTTGCAATGGTTTACAGAAACAGACACCAAAATGCTAAGCCCATGCACTACACATCATAGAAATATGGAATGAAGGTGGAGATGTCCTTAGATAAAATGGCATAAATAAGCAGTTCTCAAAGTGTGGTCTGCAGACCCCCAGGGTCTGTGTGGGCAAAATGGTTTTCATAATAATATTAAGACTTTGTTATCACTCATTTTCACTATGTTGATATGTGCACTGATGGAACAAAATCAGTGTTGGGTAAAACTGCTGACGCCTTAGCATGAACAAACTCTGTGACGCCAAACAGAGTAGTCGATGCTGCATTCTTCACTGCTATGATATTGGTGATTTTTTTAAAATGGCAGTCTCAGTTGAGAATGTACTTAATAAAGCAGTAAAAATTATTATTATTTTTTTTTATTTTATTTTTTTTTTTGAGACGGAGTCTCGCTCTGTCGCCCAGGCCGGACTGCGGACTGCAGTGGCGCAATCTCGGCTCACTGCAAGCTCTGCTTCCCGGGTTCACGCCATTCTCCTGCCTCAGCCTCCCGAGTAGCTGGGACTACAGGCGCCTGCCACCGCGCCCGGCTAATTTTTTGTATTTTTAGTAGAGACGGGGTTTCACCTTGTTAGCCAGGATGGTCTCGATCTCCTGACCTCGTGATCCACCCACCTCGGCCTCCCAAAGTGCTGGGATTACAGGCGTGAGCAGTAAAAATTATTAATTCCATCTAATCTCTGCCCTTGATCCTGTACTGTTTTTAATATTGTGTGTGATGCCACGGGACGTAGGCATAAAGCATTTCTGCTACAATTTGAAGTATCTTGGTTGTCTCCAAGAAAAGCACTTACGTCATTTTGTGAGTCGTAACCTGTACTGTTTTTTGCATAGAGCACCATCTTGAAAATATGACGGACAACCTGAAGTGATTCAGACTTGTGTATTTGGCAGACATTTTCTGAAAAATGAACAAAGTGAGCCTGTCACTTCAAGGGAAACAACTGATGCTATTTGTTGCCAATGATAAAATTTGAGCTTTCAAATGAAAGTGAGAATTCTGGAAAACTTGTATCTGCCATTATGAGTTTAATAGCTTCTCTGTATCTTTGGATAAGATTGACATTAATGAATGTGATCTTTTTTATCTTGTATAATGAAATGTGTCAACAGTTGGAAGATCTGCATAACTTAGTGAATCAGTGTTTTCCAAATGACCAGTACATCATGTTACAAAATAATGCATAAGTAAAAGATCCATTCAAATTGCAAGATGGGCCAATGGGTATTAATGTAACAGATATGAAAAGTTTGTTGATATGATTTCATGTTCTACATTGCAACTAAACTTTAAGAAATTACAACTGTTAAATTTGGTGTTATATCAAAGAATAATCCACAATGATCTGAAAAGGCTATTAAAATACTCCTATGGTTTTCAACTATAAATCTACATAAGGCCAAATTTTCTTCATATACTTCAACCAAAGCATCATATCACAACAGACTGAATGCAGAAGCAGGTGCAAGAATCCAACGGTCTTTGGTTTAGCCAGACACTAAAGAGATTTGTAAAATTGTTGGATTAATTTTTCCTTTTTCTTTGAGACAGCGTCTCTGTCCGTCACCCAGGCTGGAGTGCAATGGCGTGATCTCAGCTCACTGTAACCACTGACTCCCGGGTTAGAGTGATTCTCCTGCCTCAGCCTCCTGAGTAGCTGGGATTGCAGGCATGCGCCACCACACCCAGCTAATTTTTGTATTTTTAGTAGAGACAAGGTTTCACCATGTTGGCCAGGCTGGTCTTGAACTTCTGACCACAAGCAATCCACCCAACCTGGCCTCTCAAAATGCTGGGATTACAGGTGTGAGCCATTGCACCTGGCCTTGTATTAGTTTTTCTATTGCTACCATTAAAAATTACCACAAACCACAGTGGCTTAACAACACAAATTTATTCTCGTACAGCTCCGTAGGTCCGCTGTGTGACATGGGTTCTCACTGAGCTACCATCAAGGTATCCCAGAGCTGTGTTCCCTTTTGGAGGCTCTAATGAAGAATCTGTTTCCTTACCTTTTCTAGCTTCTGGAGGTCCTGTTCATTCCTTAGCTCTTGACTCCATCCTCAATCTTCAAGGCCAGCAATAGTGCATCTCCCTCTGAGCCTTCACTGTCACATCTCCCTCTCACCAGTTGGAAAAGGTTTTCCATTTTTCAGGAGCTGATGATTAGATTGGGTCCACCTGGATAATGAAAGATAATCTCCCATCTCAAAATCGTTAACCCTAATCATATCTGTAATGTCCCTTTTGCCACGTAAAATAACATGTTTTATAGGTTCAGAGTATTAAGGTGTGGACAGAATTGAGGGCCATAACTGCTCACCATGAATGTGAAACAGTACCATTCTTCCCACTAAATTTGTTTGCAAAATAGATTTTTCATTAGAATGTCATATCTTAACACATAATGGGTTTGTCATTCTAAAGTGAGTGAATATTTTTAAAAAATTTCTCAGTTTTGCTTTCTAACATGGTATCTTGGTCCACTTAATGTTGCTGTAACAGAATACCTGAGGCTGGGTAATTTATAAAGAAAAGAGGTTTTTTTGGCTTATGATTCTGGAGCTGGAAGTTCAAGAAGCACGGCGCCCACATCTGCCTGGCCTCTGGTGAGGGCTTCCCGCTGCATCATAACATGGTGGAGAAGCAGAAGGAGAAGCAGGCATGTACAAAAAAGGGACCAAAAACAAGGAGCAGCTTTGCGTTATAACAACCCACTATCATGGTAACTAGTTCAGTTCTGCAAGAACTAGCCGGGTCTCACAAGAAGTCCATCTTAACGAGCTAATCACCTCTGATACGCCCCACCTCCCAACACCGCTACACTGGCAATTCAAGGTGAGTTTTCACAGGGACAAACCACATCCAAACCACAGCATATGGTTAAGTATTGGTAAACATAAACCACATAAACAAAAGCTTTTGGAGTTCTGAATTAGTTTTAACAGAGTATAGAGGTTATGAAGCCAAGAAGGTTGAGGATTGCTGGCTTAAATTTTTGAAATGGTAAGAGCAGACCCATCCTAAGAGTGTCTCAAAATCACATAAACATCCTCCATGGAAAGATGAAATCATCCCATAATACAGAGAAAATGCTGGAAAAATGTGGTGGTAAGTGTCATTAGGTGAGTTGACCAGAATCTTTCAGATGATTGGTGCCAACTCCCAGACACACTGGCAAAAGCTCTAGCAAAGAAAGAGCTGCTTTAAGGTGTCCTTTAAGCATCCCTTCTGTCCCCAGTGTCACACATGACTGGCAAACCCTAGGGATGTGTCCCTAGTGCCTATGCTATGGCTGGGTTTCATGCATGTCGGACTGACCTTGCCCTGGAACCCTACTGGTGAGACTATTGTTGACATGGAATGTGGTTCTGCATGGCTCAAAAGAAACTACTTCAGGCTCACTCCATGGCAATCTTATGTCAGATATTGCTAGCACTTATCTACTCTTCTTTTTTTAGAGACAGAGGTCTCACTATGTTGCCCAGGCTGGACTCAAACTCCTAAGCTCAAGTGATCCTCCCACCTCAGACTCCTAAGTAGCTGGAACTTACAGGCATGAGTCACCACACTTGGCTTCATCTACTCTTCTATTTTTTTTTTCATGTGAAGCAAGGCTTCCAAATTTGTGAACAATAATATAGTCTATCATTTCAATGTCAAACAAAACCAAACAAAGCTCCTACCTCAAATGAGAAGAGAAGTAGGAGAAGGAAGACAACTAAAATTTGTAGAGTGCCTGCCATAATCCTGTCATTTTGACTGGTTTCTCTTTAATTCTCTCTATAAACCTCTGAGAGATATCATCCTATCCTCTCACAGGTGGGAAAACTGAGGCCCAGCAAGGTTAAGAAATCACCCTGGGTCAGGCAACAAATAAGTAGAAGAGACAGATTTCAGACCTGGGTCCATCTGGTTCTAACATTCACACGGGTTCCGTTCCCCCACGCTGTCTGCTAAGCAGTGTTGGGACCCTAGAGTGTGTTAAAAGAAAACACCATGCTCTGAACACCAAAACCCGAAGAGAGGCCATCCCTCCTGAACTGAGGCCAGGCCCAGGAAGAAGTTTACTCATCCCTCACAAATCAGCATGTGAAAAGCAGCTGACGACCTCAAAGGAAAACCACAAAGGGAATGAATTCATCAAAGATCCCTCAGCCACAGCCCCAGTGCATGCACTGCCATGGGACCTTCAAAGTGAAGGAGAGGGCCAGCCACTGCATTGGGCCAGAGGGACTTGAGTTCCACATCTGGTTCTGCTACTCATTATCCAAGCACAATTGGGAAACAATTTTGTCTTTGTAAACCTCCATTTTCCCATGTGTAAAAAAGCAATAATGCCCTCCTCTCCCTGAGTTCCTCCAAGAATTAAAATAAGGAATCCAAGACAGAGACAAGACACTCATGGGTAGTGAGAGAGACAAGTGAAGAAGACCCTCCTGATAACTCCCAGTAAACGCTGTGCAAAGAAATGGAAGCAGAGAGAGCTGCATGGCATTGAGCATAGCTAGTGGGGCATACAGCGTAGGAGGAATGTGGCTGGAAAGGCCGTGTGTGCAAGCAAGCTTTGATTTAACTGTATGTGAGGGAATCACAAAATTACAATGGCTTAAACAAGATAAAAGTGGTTTTCCCTCCATGAAACCAAGTAAGGAATTAGGCAATGCCAAGCTAGTGGCTCCACAATTGAGGACACAGCTCCTTCCATTTTGTGGCTTCACCGTCCTCATGGTCTTCATGGCCCAGCATGGCTACCTGAGCTCTGGCTATCATCTCCATATTCTCGAAAGGAAGCAGAATGACAAAAAAGACATGCCTCTTCTCCTTCCATCCGATTACCTGGAACTTAGTTACAGGGCTTCACCTAAAATAGTCTGAGGGATTTCTGAGTGCAGTGGCTTATGGGCAGTTGTCCATGTACCTAGGATTCAGGGAGAGGACTAAACATTCCTCATGTAGCTTGCTGGTGCCAGGGTGAGCAATATGGACTTTGTTCTCAAGTAATTGTGATTGTGCATTTTGACATGCCTGGCAGTTCCCTGGGGGACTGGTGCAGAGGCTTGTCTTTTCTTCAACCCCTCAGGCTGGTGCACCTCCCCAGGTGGCATCTTGTTTGTTTTTGAGACAGAGATTCACTCTCGTCACCCAGGTTGGAGTGCAATGGCACGATCTCAGCTCACTGCAACGGCACGATCTCAGCTCACTGCAACCTCCGCCTCCTGAGTTCAGGCAATTCTCCAGCCTCAGCCTCCCAAGTTGCTGGGATTACAGGCGCCCACCACCATGCCTGCCTAATTTTTGTATTTTTAATACAGACGGGGTTTTACCATGTTGGGCAGGTGGGTCTCAAACTCCTGAGCTCAGGTGATCCACCCACCTTGGCCTCCCAAAGTGCTGGGATTACAGATGTGAGCCACCGTGCCCAGCCTGTTGAAAACATTTAAAGACATAAACTCCCCATAGCTGTCTGGAGCAAGGGACAGCAGATGGGTCATGCAGCACATAGACCAAAAATCCTGGGAAGGAGGACGCTGAGGAGGAAGATGCTTGGGGAAAGAAGGTCGTTGAAGGGCTACTGCATATACCAGGGAACCCAGGCTGCAATGCACATGTCCAGGGCTGGACACATGCTCAGAAAAGATCTAAGAGGACCCTAGGCTTGCACCTGTGGCTGATCTTTGTATTCCATGCAAGCAGGAGGTAAAGTCTAGGGAAAATGGAAAGAGTGGCTTGGCTAAGTGTCTAAGGAATGCCTCAGCTCAGAGCCAATCTGCCAAGATCAGAAGATTTTTCTTTTGTGTTTGGTCCAGGTGTTTTTAGTCCAGGTATTTAAGGAAATCTGTGTCAACTGTGGCTGACCACTGAGGTAACAGATCAAAGACTTCAGTGTCTACATATAAAGAATGCAGTCTGCAAAAATCATATGGAAATGTCACTAAACAAAGAAGACTGCAGCCCTTAATAAGCAATAACAGCAAATCTTGCAAAGGGCAAAGAATCTGATTTCCAGAGTTATCACATTATAATATTCAAAATGACCAGTTTTTTTCTTTCAATCAGCTTCCTCAGGTTGAAATGTCGTTTTTAACAGCAGCAAAAAAAATTAGAAGGCATACCAAGAAAAAAAGAAAAGTATAACCCATTCACAGGAAAAAGAAACTGACAGAAGCCATCCGTGAGGAAGCCTAGACATTGAACTTGCCAGGCAAAGAGGGCTGGACTGTTCAGCCCTACCCCTTGACCTCCTGGGTCAATGATTTTATGGCCAATGATGTTGATCAATCAATGGTGCCTACGCAATAAAACTTCCATAAACACCCCCAAATGGCTACGTCTGGGGAGCTTCTGCTAACTTCAGGTACATATTATCAGAATTGAATTGAATTGTAGGACACACACTTGGTGTCTGGAGAATTGTTTTTGTGTGGAATAAAAAAACCACACACTTGGTGTCAGAAGTGTTGTGAGAAAAAATAGTTCAGAGAAGTATTCCCTCCTCTTCTATTTCTTAGTAGAGTTTGAGAATTGGTGTTAATTTTTCTTTAAAGGTTTGGCAGAAAATTCACCAAGCTGAAGCCATCTGGTCCTGCTTTAGGGGAGGTTTTTGATTACTGATTCAACCTTTTTTTTTTTTGTTTGTTTTTGAGATGGAGTCTCGCTCTGTCACCCAGACTGGAATGCAGTGGCTCAATCTCGGCTCACTGCAAGCTCCGCCTCCCGGGTTCATGCCATTCTCCCGACTCAGCCTCCTGAGTAGCTGGGACTACAGGCGCCTGCCACCACACCCGGCTTTTTTTTTTTTTTTTTTAGTAGAGATGGGGTTTCACCGTGTTAGCCAGGATGGTCTCAATCTCCTGACCTCGTGATCTGCTGGTCTCAATCTCCTGACCTCGTGATCTGCCCGTCTCAGCCTCCCAAAGTGCTGGGATTACAGGCTTGAGCCATCGTGCCTGGCCTTACTGATTCAACCTCTTATTGGATTCAATCTCTTTACTTTTCCTAGCTTGTTCAGATTTATTTCTTCCTGAGTCAGTTTTGGTCATTTGTGTACAGTTGTTCACAGTATTCACTTAAAATGCTTTTTTTTTTTTTTCCTGTAAGGTCCATAGTGATGCCCCTACTTTCATGTCTGATTTTAGTTATTTGCATCTTTACTCTTTATTTCTCAGTCTAGCTAAAGATTTGTCAGTGTTGTTCATCTTTTCAAAATTTTCATTTCAGCTATTGTACTTTTCAGCTCCAGAATTTTGATTTGGTTTATTTTTCATAATTTGTCTCTTTGCTGATATTCTGTTTATACATTTATTGTTTACCTGGCTTCCTTTAGTTCTTTGTCCATGGTTTCCTTTAGTTAGTTAAGCATATTTAAGACCATTTAAATAAACGTTTAAGTAAACTTTTAAACATTTAAATAAAAGTCTTTGTCTAGCAAGTTCAATGTCTAGGCCTCCCCAGGGATGGTTTCTATCAATTTCTTTTTCCTGTGAATGGGTTGTACTTTTCTTTTTTCTTGGTATGCTTCCTATTTTATTTATTTATTTACTTTTTGGTTAAAAACTGGGCACTTCGGGCCTGGCATGGTGGCTCACGCCTGTAATCCCAGCACTTTGGGATGCCGAGGTGGGTGGGTCACAAGGTCAGGCATTCGAGACCATCCTGGCCAACATAATGAAACCCTGTCTCTACTAAAAATACAAAAAATTAGCTGGGTGTGGTGGTGGGTGCCTGTAATCCCAGCAACTCGGAAGGCTGAGGCAGGAGAATCGCTTGAACCTGGGAGGTGGAGGTTGCAGGCTGCTGAGATCGCGCCACTGCACTCCAGCCCTGGTGACAGTGGGAGTCTCTGTCTCAAAAAAAAAAAAAAAAACAAAAACTGGGCACTTCAACCTGAAAAAGCTGATTGAAAGAAAAAAAAACCTGGGCATTTTGAATATTATAATGTGGTAACTCTGGAAATCAGATCCTGTTAATGCTTATTAAGGGCTGCAGTCTTCTGTTTGTTTAGATCATGCCTTAGTCTTTCTGGCCACCAGCCCCTATCCTGAAGCTAGTCAGGGGTCCCCAGCCACCAGTCATTTCATTAGCATACCAACAACATTCATCACACCTGAGATTCCAAAGGTTTTAGAAGCTTGTGCCAGGAACGGGGATAAAGACCAAATATTTATTTTTATTATATCACAACTTCCTAACTCATTTATTGAGTCATTATGCTTCACCTTAGGGCATATGCAGCCTCTTCACATTAGGGGAAATTCAGCCTATCAAGTGCAACACTGAAAGCTAAATAACAACAACACAACAACAACCAATCAGGGATGGGCGCGGTGGCTCATGCCTGTAATCTAATCCCAGCACTTCAGGAGACCGAAGCGGGAGGGTCACTTCAGGTCAGGAATTCGAGACCACCCTGGTCAACATGGCAAAAACCCCCTCTCTACTAAAATTACAAAAATTAGCTGGGCAGGGTGGCACATACCTGTAATTCCAGCTAACTTGGGAGGCTGAGGCAAGAGAATCACTTGAACTTGGGAGGCAGAGGTTGCAGTGATCTGAGATCGTGCCACTGCACTCCAGCCTGGGCGAAAAAGCAAGACCCTGTTTCAAAACAACAACAACAACAAACCAGGTTGGGGAGTTATTTCCCAGGAATTCTGTAGCAAGGGCTCATATGCATCAGTTAGAGTTGGACTTTGTGACCTTCAGGTGTCCTTCCTTTTCCAAGAATCGATTATTTTTATAATTCTGTTAAATGTAATTAATTTCTCAAATTTATCAAAGATCATTATTTGGACCATTATTTTCTTAGCCAAAATGCTGGCCTGCCCCAGTTCCATCCAGGGTTAATCTGCATTTAAACAGCTCTTTGAAAATATTTGGTTTTCCCCATCCATCTATGGCCAATTGATTTTTGACAAGAAGCCAAGACAATTCAATAGGAAAAGGACAATCTCTTCAACGAATGGTGCTGGGACAACTAGAAGTCCACATGCAAAACAATGAACTTGGACCCTAACCTCACACTACATACAAAAATTATCTTAAAATGGATCAACAACCTAAATATAGGAGCTAAAACTATAAAACTCTTAGAAGAAAACACAGGAGTAAATCTTCACAACCTTGGATTTGACAATGATATCTCACACAGGACACCAAATGCACAAACAACAAAAGAAAAAACAGTTAAGCTGAAGTTCATCAAAATTAAAGTTTTATGTGCATGAAAGGACATCAGAAAGTGAAAAAGACAATTACAGAATGGGAGAGAAATATTTGCAAAGCATATATCTGATAAGGGTCTAGTGTCCAGAATATATAAAGAACTCTTACAACCCAACAACAAAAAGACAACCCAATTTTAAAATGGGCAAAGGACTTGAATAGGCATGTCTCCAAAGAAGATATACAGATGGCCAACAAACACATGAAAAGGAGAATGCTTAATAGCATTAGTTATTAGGAAAATGTAAACCAAAACCAGAATGAGGTACCGCTGCACACCTACTAGGATAACAATAAAATGGAAAATAACAAGTGTTGGTGAGGATGTGGAGAAATTGGGATCCTGTACATTGCTGGTAGGAATATAAAATGGTTCAGCCATCGTGGAAACCACTTGGGGTTCCCCAAATAGTTAAACACTGAAGGCTGGGCACGGTGGCTCATGCCTATAATCCAGCACTGTGGGAGGCCAAGGCAGGCAGATAACTTGAGTTCAGGATCAAGACCAGCCTGGCCAACATGGGGAAACCCCATCTCTACTAAAAATACAAAAATTAGCCAGATGTGGTGGCACACACCTGTAACTCCAGCTACTCAGGAGGCCGAGGCAAGATAATTGCTCGAACCTGGGAGGCAGAGGTTGCAGTGAGCCAAGATTGCGGCCACTGCACTCTAGGCTGGGCAACAGAGCAAGGCTCTGTCTCAAAAAAAAAAAAAAATTGAATTACCATGCGATCCAACAATTCAACCCCTATGTATGTACCCTCCCCAAATAAAAATGGGCTCTCAAACAAATACATGTACATGCATGTTCATGGTAGCATTATTCACAAAGCCAAAAGATGCAAACAGCCCCAATGTCCATAGATGAATAAACTGTGGCATACATGATACACACACACACACGCACACACATATACATATACACACACAAACACTATTCAGTCATAAAAAGGAATAAAGTCTGTTACATGCTACCTGAGGATGAACCTCGAAAACATGCTAAGTGAAAGACACAAAAGTCCACACACTGTGATTCCGTTTATATGAAGTATCTAAAGTAAGTAAATATAGAGACAGAAGTAGACTGGTAATTGCCAGGGGCTGGGGGGGAAGAGGGCATTGGGAAGAAACTTCTCAATGGGTATGGGGTTTTTCTTTCGGAATGAGGAAAATGTTTTGGAACTAGACAGAGGTGGTGGTTGCACAGCATTGTGAATTCACTAAATGCCACTGAAATGCCCACTTTAAAATGGTAAATTTTATGTTATGTGAATTTCACCTTAAGTTAAAAAAAAAAAAGTAAAACTACTCAGACAACGCCAAATTATTGACAATCTCAACCTACCCCACAGACCCCAAATCCTGGAACCACAACCCCCTAGGCCAATTCTCAGGTCAGGCAGCAATTTATTCCTGTTCAATTTTATGCAGAGCTCCTGGTGGCTCTGAAGCGCCCTAGGGAACAGACCAGGAACATTCTCATGGTGTTAGCTCACATTGGGCCATTAGTGCTCCTTTAATGTGAGAACAACCGGGAGGAGGAGGGGATGTGGACCCAAAACTACAAGAAAGAGTGTCCTCGAAGCCTATGTCCTACCGCCCCACGCTGCTGCCAGGCCCGCAGGAAGATGACAGGCCCGGCCTCCACTCCTTCTAAGGTCGTCGCTTAGTTCCGACGTCGGGATGACCCTGTCATCCACGCGGCGTGAAGGCCACCCTCCCCGCGCGCCCGGGACTCCAGGTGGGGCCCCAGTGGACGAGGGAACGCGGCGTCGCCCACCGGGCGTGGCCTGGGCGGGCGTGGGGCGGGGCCTGGGCCGGCGCCGGGTCCGGCCGGGCGCTCAGCCAGCTGCGTAAACTCCGCTGGAGCGCGGCGGCAGAGCAGGTGAGCGGGCGGTGCCGGGGGGTGCCCAGGCCAGGGCCCTGTCGCCTGCGGCGCTGAGGGCCCGGGGTGGGGCTGCGCCCTGAGGGCCCTGCCCTGCCCTCCGCACGCCTCTGGCCACGGTCCCTTCCCCGGCTGTGGGTCTGCGGCCCCTGCGTGCGCAGCGCTCCTGGCCTCTGCGGCCAGCGCGGGGGCGGAGAGAGGAGAGTGCCCGGCAGGCGGCGGCTGGGCCGGCCCGGAACTGGGTCGTGGAAGGATCGCGGGGAGCGGCCCTCAGGCCTTCGGCCTCACTGCGTCCCCACTTCCCTGCGCCCGCCTGCCGCCGAGCCCCGGCTGGGGGTGGGCGCGGCGCGAGCGGTTAAAGGGCCGGTGCATTTAAAGGAGCGGTGCACGTGGGTCTCTGAGGCGTGTAGCAGGCGGGGGCGTTTTGTTCTTCTTCTCTCTCGCCGGAGACCTCCGTTGCGCCGAGTCCATTCGGCCTCTAGCACCGGGTCCTGGGCATGCTTTCCCCGGGAAGGAGGCGCGCGGGGGCTCTGCCCGCACGTGAGGGGCAGGGCCGCAGGCTCAAGCCTAGAGCCGGTTTCTGTTAGCAGCGGTGTTTGGCTGTTTTATCAGGCATTTCCAGCAGTGAGGAGACAGCCAGAAGCAAGCTTTTGGAGCTGAAGGAACCTGAGACAGAAGCTAGTCCCCCCTCTGAATTTTACTGATGAAGAAACTGAGGCCACAGAGCTAAAGTGACTTTTCCCAAGGTCGCCCAGGTACGATATAGCAGAGCCAGGCTTCGACCCCAGTGTCCTGGCTTCTAGATCTGCTGTCCATCCCTCCGAGCAGACCTCACCCCTGTTTATTGCCTTAATAAGTATTCCCTTTGAAAGGTATGAACGGTGTTGAGTGAAGTAACTGCATCCCTATTTACAAATGGAGAACCTGAGAGCATTCCATAGAGACGATTGTAGACTAACTTAACTCAGAAGCGACAGCCTGGGGTTGCCAAGGCTGTCTACGAAGTAACTTGATTAGGACCGACCCCAGCTTCCAGTAAGGAAGCCTCTGATGCCTCTGTAGCCAATTCTGCAGACACCTGAGCCTCCAAGGCCTTCAGCCAAGACCTTTGGCGGTAATTGGAGTCTCGGGATAAGCTGCTTCAGGTGTGTGAGCCTCAGGTTCTTCTCTCCTGAATGTGGTTGTGGGCAGCCGGTGACTGGCGCAGGTGCAGAAGGGGCCTGGTTCTTGGCCCCACCTCAGAGCTGCGTCCTCACGACGCCCACGTTGAGCCTTGGGTTCCAGGGCAGAGACTGGAGTGAGGGCTTGGGGGCATGTTGCTTTGAAGTGGGATGGATGTATCAGGTTTTTGGGGAAAACTCTGTACCCTTTGGTGTTGAAGTGCCCATGTGCCAAGTCTTGAGTCCAGCATGTTCACATGTGGGGAGTGAGTGGCTTGTTCCTGTCTATTTGAAAGAGCAGCAAGGAGGAGGAGGAGCAAGGGCTAGGGGCTGCTGCTGGGGTGCCTGGAGCTGTGGTGCATAATGTCACACCTGTCTCCCCTCCGTAGCTGCTCACCGTCCCCCCAAGGGGGGTTTGCCTCTTGCCTACTTTGGCCTTTCTCTGTTATCGATGTTAATAATGACATATATCTCGCTTATGAGTTGGTCATAATAAAAAGCTATCTTGTACAGAATATTAGAATTTAAGATCTTAAGAATTTCAATGACACTGAAATAGTTTATTATTACCTTTTTACAGAAGAGGAAACAAGTTCAGGGAGTTAAGCAGCTAGTCCAGTTATGTGGCTTCAGTGCTTTAAGCACCAGGATTTGAACATAGCTGGCTACACTGTCTTTATCTCTTGAGTTTTTGCGCAGGAGGTTCCTGTATTCAACTCCTACCCGTGTCTCTCCACTACTGCTGGGAAAGTTTTGTGGAGTCCCCATGAGCAACTTCCTGACAAACAAACAAAATTTTTTTAAAGAAACCAAAGCAGTGTGTGTAGGTCACATGCAGTGTGTCTAATGAAAACATCTCTGGCGGGTTTTCAGCTGTTGCTTTGACTTTCGGACACTGTTTAGTTGGGGACTGATAAGACAGCAAATATTTCTGCAAGTATTCCCACCTGTTCTATTCCCAGCTGCCACAGCTGCGGAAAGGCGGGGGTGAGGCTGAGAGGCCCCGAGAGGAACATTTTCCACTGGGCTCCAATCCTGGAGATGGGATGACCATCATGTTAATGTCTGGAGAAAAGAATGATTTCAGGCTGGGTGCTGTGGCTCATGTCTGTAATCCCAGCACTTTGGGAGGCCGAGGTGGGTGGATCACCTGAGGTCGGAAGTTTGAGACCAGCCTGACCAACATGGAGAAACCCCATCTTTACTAAAAATACAAAATTAGCCGGGCGTGGTGGCACATGCCTGTAATCCCAGCTACTCAGGAGGCTGAGGCAGGAGAATCGCTTGAACCCAGGAGGCGGAGGTTGCAGTGAGCCGAGATCGGGCCATGGCACTCCAGCCTGGGCAACAAGAGCAAAACTCCATCTCAAAAAAAAAAAAATGGTTTCACATCAGTCCTCAGGAAAGATCAGATGTCAGTGAGGGAGATCATTTCTTGAGAGCCTCTTCACTGAGTGGGAGAATGGGCTGCTTGTTCATCTTTGTGAAAATTCTAGAACGGGAAGAACAATTCAAAGGGTGTCCACCATTCTGCTGTACCTTAACCAGAAACTTACTGGACTCTTTTTAAAATAAAAGTAATTCATGTTTATTCTAGAAAATTAGGGAAAAAAAATTTTTTTTGAGATGGAGTTTCACTCTTGTTGCCCAGGCTGGAGTGCGATGGTATGATCTCAGCTAACTGCAACCTCTGCTTGCCGGGTTCTAGCGACTCTCCTGCCTCAGCCTCCTGGGTAGCTGGGATTACAGGTGCCTGCCACCACTCCCAGCTAATTTTTGTATTTTTATTAGAGGCGGGGTTTCACCATGTTGGCCAGGCTGGTCTCAAACTCCTGACCTCAGGTGATCCGCCAACCTTGGCCTCCCAAAATGCTGGTATTACAAGCATAAGCCATTGCGCTGGGCTGAGATAACCACTCTTAACATGCATTTCCTTCCACACTGTTCACATATGCATATTTATCTATTAAAACAATAGAGGGAGGGAACCGTAGGTGAAGTTTGTGTATCCTGTTTTTTCTGTTATGCCTTCAGAATTTTCCTTTTATTGAGTACTCATGGAAAAGCAGATTTGATGGCTGTGTAGAGCATTTGAATTATTTATCCTACCAGTCCCACAGCAGGACACTTTCCCACCCTCCCTTTTGCCCCAGAGAAGCAGTGCCCTCTGTCCTCCCCATGCCCATATGTGGGCACTCCCCACCATGGAGCCAAACCTACCTGGGCAAGTAGCAGAGGGAGAGCAGAGTGAGCCCTGGGGGCAGGAGAGAGACTTGAGAGTTTTGAGGTGACAGATGAGCTGGTGAGTGAGTGATTAGGGAGCATTTCTTGACACATACCTGCCCGTGGTGAAGGCATGTGTCTTGTGAGTGTGCTCCCAGAAAGCCTGTGTAGTGTGTGGTGGGCCTGCCTGTGTGACCAAACCCTGGCCACTGGGTACGTGACCCTCACAAGTGCTGACTGGGCTGAGAAGAGCTCCTTGATGGGCAGTTTGGAGACTTGAGTTGTAACTGTGGCTTTTGGCCATGGGACATTAACTGATTACTTTTGCCCCTCTAGGCTTCAGTTGTCCTTAATTATAATACAGGGAGCTGACTAGGTGGCGTTGATGGCCTTTACGGTCCTTGCCAGCTCTGACATTGTCCTATGGATATGTCCTTTCATTTGATAATATGTTTACGTGGCCATAGTGCCTGGGGCTGGGCCGGGAATGGAAACTTGATCTCTGGGGCCTGGCCTTTGAAGCCAGTTCATGTGTCTGGTGGTTCAGCAGATCCGTAACTTTCCAAGAGGCACATCCATAGGCTACCGTGTCCTTTCTCACTGTGTCCCTCCTCCATTTCATCTTCTTTATAACTACGACTTATTGAACATCTACTGTGTGCTGGACACTTTACAGGTTATCTCTAGGTTTTACGATAATCTTGCAAGGTATGCCTGTTCTGCTTTTTACAGCAGAGGAAATGAGCTGTGTCAGATTAGACTGTCTGAGGCCTCTTGGCCAGGGAGTATGTGGTTCAAATCACATAGGCAGGCGATCTGAACCCTGTCAGTCTCCAAAGCCTCTGCTTTTGACCGCTGACTTGCTGCTGCTTGTTTAAAAATAAATGTGTTTCTGGAGCCTACTCCAGAGGGGCGTGCTAGGGGCTCCCTCTCCCACTTCCCCACAAACCACCCTTTTCCCTGGCTGCTTCAGGAAATGAGAGAACTCTGCCTGGGCCCCAGGCACTTCTGAGTGGGACAGGGCTGTTAGAGGTAAGTCTAGAGCCTGGCCCAAAATTCAGGAGGCCCCATCAGAGGGCCCCTGGGGCCTGTGGTCCGGGAGGGTGGTAGGGCAGTACCTCACTTCCCTTTGAGACTCAGGCCCCAGCTCTGGCTTAGGCCAGGGAGAACCATCCCCAAGTGGTATGTGTTACTATATGAGCTGAGATGGATGGTCAGCTGGACCAAATACATAGTCGGGTACCCAGGGCCAGGGGGAGGAAGGTGAGCAGGGAAGCTGTGGGCAATTGTCTGGGTATCACCTGACCTTAGCAAACTCTTCCTTGTTTTAAGCGAGGACGTGGGACTTCTCAGACGTCAGGAGAGTGATGTGAGGGAGCTGTGTGACCATAGAAAGTGACGTGTTAAAAACCAGCGCTGCCCTCTTTGAAAGCCAGGGAGCATCATTCATTTAGCCTGCTGAGAAGAAGAAACCAAGTGTCCGGGATTCAGACC
The DNA here is from genome assembly GCF_000001405.40 of Homo sapiens. Lineage (NCBI taxonomy): Eukaryota > Metazoa > Chordata > Mammalia > Primates > Hominidae > Homo > Homo sapiens. The sequence goes on from NC_000001.11 coordinate 226,875,527, forward strand.
TCTCTGCGGCCCCAAGTGTTCGTGGTAAGTGCAGTGACTCCCAACCTGCTTTTGAACCCTCTTTTTCCATTAGGATTTTCTCCGTGGAGGCAGATTTCCATGGGAGTTTGCTGTGGCATTTTGAAATCTGTTTCTTACCTAGTTCCATTGGCCTTAAATGTTAAGGCCAAAGCCTTTACATTTCTCTGTAATGAAAAGAAGGTCGAGGAAATTGGGTCATTGGGTTTCCATAATGATTGCAGGAACTGCTGACACAAGCACGGCTGGGGAGATTCTCTAGGTCAGACTCCCTTGGTTTGGCTAATTCAGCAGTTTGATCCCATTCAGCTGATTAATGGGAATGTGCAGTGGCTTCTTTGGATGTTTGATTTTGCATCCTAATCCAAAGCAGCTATCAGCCTCAGCACTTCCTTGTTGGAAGGCTTTCCAGAACGTAGTCTATGTTGGACACTTCCTTCTGCCTCTCTGCATTTTCCTGCCACTTCTCTAGAGAATGGGGTGCAGGGGGTGGGAGACGGGGAAAGCTGGTCGCTGAGTGGCTGATGGGACTTGACATCACCCAGCCCCACCCCCACCTGCCCGTGAGTCAGCCTCCGGGGAGAGTTCATCGCGTCACCGGCACTCTAATGTGGACAGACACCTAGCAGTGTTGTTTATCTGCACACGTTTGGGTGGTGATTTTTCCCTCCAAGGATTTCAGAGCACCAGCAGGCTTCAGAGCAGACTTAGGTGGCTTGCAAAGCAGGCCCTCAGGAATTCAGAGGGTAGCAGAAGTCCATCCCAGATGCTCTGTTTTCCTTCAGGAGCTAGGTAAATCAGAGGGGCTGAGGGACAAATGAAAAAAGTTACAGCCTTTGAGTCCCATCTGCTCCTCCTGGCCAATGAGAGGGGATCTGGGAGGGGCAGATGTAGAGGAAAATCTGTCTAAATGTTGATGCTCGTTATTTTCCTTTAAAGAATTAATAGCCTAAAATAAACCCTACAGATACAGTCTGTGTTTATTATGGCGACTTAGAGAAATGCAGAAAAATATCAAGAAAATAAAAACCACTCTTGGTTCTACCATGCAAAGATAATCATCTTTAATGTTTTGTAATATTTCCGATCTTTTATATACATACATTTTATAAGGACATTCAGATGATCAGGTTCGTAAAGTTTTATGTTCGGTTAAATTTAACAGCGTGTCATTGTTCAGGTTATTAAATGTTTGAAATAAGATTTTTGGTGGTCCTGTCACAGTCTCCATGAAGTAGCATTTCAGGATCGAAAGGTATGCTGTGTTTAAAGTGTTGATTCTTACTCCTTTCAGTTAAGGCCAGTGCAGTTTGTCCAGGTAGTGACTGAGACCCAGTTTTTCCACACTCTCCTCCGCAGTGGGCATTGTTTTGGGCCTTTTTCAGCCCAAGAGCTCTCTTCTCCCCATGCCGCTCTGCTGGTCTGAGATTTTTCCACTCCTCCTCCTCCCTAGTTGCTCTCTGACCAGACTCTAGGTATTCAGGAGAAAGTGTTCATTGTCTCACTCTCTCATGTGGCAATCAAGTAGTGCCAAGCAGTGAGAGGGTGAAGGTGGGTGGGTGAGGGACACTCACCTTGCTGAGAAAGGGCCCCAGCCTGTTCGGGTGATTATAAAGCAGAGACAGTGCCAGGAAAAGTCTGACACTGGCTGAGAATCACCCGGGGACCAACCATCCCGAATGCGGATCCCTGACACTGGGTGAGGATGGAGCTTGGAGATCTGCATTGTTAATAAGCAGCCTAGCAGAGTGGTGAAGAGTCCAGACACACTACCTAGGTCCAAGGGTAACCTTGAGCTAATTACTTTTTGAGCCTCTGTTTCCTCATCAGTACCATGGGGAAGAATAGTAGCACCTTGCTCCAGGATGTTTAGTGCCGGCTAAGGGCTCAGCAGGTGCTGGTCCATCTCCACCAGCCCCCAGTGGCCTGGGCCACCTTTGAGAAACAGTGATCCTAAGGGATTCAGCATTTCCTAAGTTGGTGCCTCCCACCTGTCACCCCCACCCCACCAGGCTAGGAGGGTTGTGATTAGAGGGTGCCCTTGCTGTGACAGCTGAGACTAGCTCTTCCCTGATTATTCCTTAATGACAGCTCTCTCCTTCCCTGCTTTCTTGAAGTCTTGGTCCTCGTTGTTGTGGGCACAGCTTCAGGGGAGGCCTTGGAGGAATTTTTGAAAGTGGAATGAGGGAAGCAGCCTGCTCAAGGGAACACTTGTTTTCTGGTGAGGAGGCCGCATGTATGAATGACGTTTGTGGGTTAGAAAGCATGTTTTGTAGTTTTTCCTTGTTTCTTCCTGAAGACATGTCAGGTCTTGATGAGACCGGGCCTGGGCACAGGGCAGGCAGTCAGCGAGTGTGGATGATGACGACAGTGGTCACCAGGTCACTGTCTAGACCAGGTCACTGTCTAGCGCAGTGTCACATGGAAAGGGTATGGTCCTTTAACCCTACCCTCCCCAGCACAACTATCACAGATGTCAGGGAACCTCTGCTCACAGAACTGCTTTCCAGGGATTGTCTTTTTTTTCTTTTTCTTTTTCTTTCTTTTTTTTTTGAGACAGAGTCTCACTCTGTCGCCCAGGCTGAAGTGCAGTGGTGCGATCTCAGCTCACTGCAGCCTCCGCCTCCTGGGTTCAAGTGATTATCTTGCTACAGCCTTCTGAGTAGCTGGGATTACAGGTGCCTGCCACCATGTCCAGCTAATTTTTGTATTTTTATTAGAGACGGGGTTTCCCCATGTTGGCTAGGCTGGTCTTGAACTCCTGACCTCAGGTGATCTGCCCACCTCAGACAGGCATGAGCACCGCACCCAGCCCCAGGGAGCGTCTTATTAGTGGTTGGCAACTGAATGGAGACGTGGGAATTGTAAGGAACTGATTCTACTTGATCCTGGGTCCCCTGCTTCTCCATCTTCACCCACCCATCAGCTCCCTTTCTCCTTTAAACAGGCACCTTTGCTCTCTGCTTATCCATTTTTGTTGTGCATTGCTATTTGGGAGCCTAAGAAACACAACATCCTCTGAATGCTCCAGCTGTTGTGGGTCTGAAGGGTGAGCCTGCCCTCTGTCATTGGAGGCTGCAGCCTGTGGCTTTTTAGGTACAGGGACTCCCAGAACTGCTCCTCCAGTCATAGCAGAGATAAATCACAGGAGCTTAAGAGGCATGGGAAGAACAGAGGGAGGAGATCGTAGCTTCCCTGTTCATTCACACCCAAAACAAAACTGTCATACTAGAAAAGGAGGTATTAAAAGAGCCACCTGTACAGCCTCGTATCTCATCCAGCACACTGCTGCAGATGGAATATTATGATTTAGCTTGAGAAAATGCAGCAACTCTTTGTTGTGGTGCCCCTCTTTGAGTAAGAGTGAATTCCCCATTGCCAGAGTGGATAGTGAGGGAAACCCTGGGTCCAGGCAGGAGTCTGTTTAGGATTTATCTAGTGAGGCTGAGCCAGAGGAGGACCTTACAGTTTTTTCTCTTCAATTTCTTTTATTTATTTATTTATTTTTGTAGAGATGGGGTTTTGCCATGTTACCCAGGCTGGTCTTGAACTCCTGGGCTCAAGCGATCTGTCTGCCTCAGCCTCCCAAACTGTTGGGATTACAGGCGTGAGCCGAGCCACCATACCCGGCCCTTCTCCTGCATTTCCACCTGATAATTTCTCTCATTTCCATAGATGATGAAGGAACTAAAGCCAAGAACTTTCCAAGGTCCTGCAGCTCTTTGGGGGATGTGAAGCTGTGCTCTATTTGTATGGATTTTGCTGGTTCCCAGAACTTCCCTGTGGCCCTGGGGCCTAGTCTGAGGGTACTCTGAGTGAAGAGGGAGGAGGGCCCACACCTCTTCTGCAAAGGCTGCTTTTGTAAAGTTCACTTCAGTTCACATCTTCCTCCTGGTCAGAAAGCTTCGGGGGCTCTCCTCTGCTGCATTAAGCTCTTACTCCTCCATCAGGCACCAAACTCCTCCCTGGCATGGCCCATCCTACCAGGTCCCCACACTTGAGCCACATCCAATTGCTCGATATTATCAGGATAGGTTATGTTATGTTCCCAACTCATATGTTTACTTAAGTGGTTACCTCTTTCCAGAATGAGCCCCCTCCTCCAAACTCTGCCTGGTGAAATATTCCTAACCTTTGCAGCTTCACATCCCTCTTACTTCTTGTGACCTGAGGCATCTACTCCTGACAACTGATAGACTGTGTCCCCTCCTGTCGGGTGCATTGTCCTTGTCACTACCCTCCTGGCTTTTAGCTGGCTTTGCTTCCCGCTGTTGTTACTCCTGTACTTGTCTCATCTATCCTAAACAGAAGGTGCTGCAGGCTGGGGAGTTTGTTCATGTTGAAATCCCTGTGATGGAGGTGAGCAGAGGCAGTCTCTGCCTGTGCCTCTTATTTGGGGATGAAGTTAAAGTCCCTGTAGGAATAATCCAGGCCATAGCCGGGGTTGCTGTCTTCAGAAAGAAGGGCAGCCACAGGTCTTGTTAAGGGGATTGAAATTGGCTGACTTGGTGGAAGGAACCTGCCTGCTTTGTTTAAAAACCACATATAGCTGAGTGTAGTGGTTCACACTCTGTAATACCAGTGCTTTGGGAGGCTGAGGCAGGAGGATCACTTGAGGCCAGGAGTTTGAGACTAGCTTGGGCAACAACGTGAGACCCTCATTTCTACAAAATATTTTAAAAATTAGCCTAGTATGGTGGCGTGCATCTGCAGCCCTAGCTACTGAGGAGGCTGAAGTGGGAGAATTGCTTGAACCCAGGAGTTCAAGGCTGCAGTGAGCTATGATTGCACCACTGTACTCCAACGTAAGTGACCAGTGAGACCCTGTCTCTAGAAATAAAAATAAAAAAAATCACATATATTGTGGGGTGACTTACTTGGAGACGAACTTTCAGCAGAGCGCACACCTGCTATCCCTGCCCAGGGTGTGAAGCTCAGCCCTGAGGGTCTCTGGACAGCGATCACTCAGCCTCTGGACAGCGATCACTCAGCCTCTGGACAGACAGCGATCACTCAGCCTCTGGACAGCGATCACTCAGCCTCTGGACAGCGATCACTCAGCCTCTGGACAGCGATAACTCAGCCTCTGTCCCCGTCTGAGATGTTGGCAGGGACTGTCAGATTTGCCAGGCATTGTTTGAAGTTCTTCCCAGCCCAGAAACCTGCATGTGTAGATTTTGGTACACTGGGTCCCCCACTTGGTACTACTGTGTGAAACCCCACTTGGCACTGTTTTAGGGGGCAGGCTTCCCTCCTGTCCCCTTGGCCTTGGCCTTCCCCTGGGTCCCGCCCTCAGTGGCACTTCCCCACCTCACACGTCTGCTCTCATGGCTTAGGTCTCCACTTCTAACCTCAGGAGACCTGGTCCTCAGACACCTCCCAGACAGCTTCCCCATTTTATCCCATAGACACTCAAAGGGTGAAATTCATGGTCTTTCCCGAGACTCTCTTCTCCGGTCTTCCCTGTCTTAGTCCCCACCTGGCTGCCATTCTAGACTGTGTTTTCTCTCCTGCGTCAGGTCCTGCCCTTGACCTCTTGACCCCTTCTGGACTCTGCCCTCACTTGCATCCATCCTGCTGCTGTCCTCAGCTCTCCTCACCTGCCACAGTTGTCTCTGGGGGTCACTTTCCCTCTCTGGTCAGTGGCCAGACTGACTTTTATAAACCTGGTTCAGATCTTGTCTGTCAAGATTGTCCTCAGGGTGATGTGTGTCTCCTTAACATGGTGCCTGAGACCCTGATCATCTCCACTGCCCGCCCCACAGTGTGAGGCCCTCACTGGAACATTGTGCCTTCTGCCCTTCCCTCCTCCTGGGAAAACCAGTCTCCATCAGATAGGCTCTTCTCTAGAAAACATTCGTGATCTCTGAGATTTGGTTCCACTTTTGTGCTTCTGCACCTACCATCAAACACCCGGATTGTATCATTTGTCACATTAGATGATTTTTGTTTTGTTTTAAGACAAGGGTGTTTCTTACTCATCTTTTTATCCCCAGAGCCCAGCATGATCTTTGGTGCATAATAGATGCACCACAGATGTTTGCTGATTGAATGAATGAGCACACTGACAGTTTGGAGCTGCCCTGACTTTCGTGGCTATGCGTTTTGCCCCCTGGGATGTGAGTCACCTCAGGCCAGCCCCAGGCAAGGCCGCTGCTGCCTCCATGGTAACTCTCAAGGCCTCTTGTTTTATGGCAGTCGTTTGATTGACAGGCATCTCTTGGAAGCTTTTGGGGCAGGACTTGTGTCCAAGTCTCCAGGTCGCCTCCAGCCACCCCCTGAGTCCTCCACTGCCTTTGTCTCACAGGAAAGTGGAACAAGGTCCTTGTGCTCCTTTTTCCAGGTGCTTCCAGAGGCAGGGCTATGCTCACATTCATGGCCTCTGACAGCGAGGAAGAAGTGTGTGATGAGCGGACGTCCCTAATGTCGGCTGAGAGCCCCACGCCGCGCTCCTGCCAGGAGGGCAGGCAGGGCCCAGAGGATGGAGAGAACACTGCCCAGTGGGTAGGTCCCACCAGCAGCTGGGGGCCTTCAAACAGGTCCCTGCGGCTACTGTACCTTACAGATGAAAACCAGACATTCATTCCCTGATGCGGGAGGGAGAAGGGAAGTAATGATGAGGATTGGCCGAAAAGGTGGGTGGCTGGCCATGATGGACCTTCCATCTGCAGGGTTTCATAGGACTGCGCATTCACAGCCAGAGATGGACTTGGCAGTGGGCTGAAGGACGCTGTCCACTCTGCCACCTTGGGTTTACCTCTCTCATGCAGGTCACTGTTTCCACTGTAATAGGAGAGTTTGTTTGGATGCCTGGGTGCTAGGACAGGTAACACAGAAGCTTAGGATGGTAGCAGGGGAAGCATTTTTTGGCAGATGGCCAGACATGGTAAGTGTGAGAGGAGTCTGCCTGATACACGATTGACTTTTGAGCTGGGGATATTTGGGCTTCACTGTGATCATTCAGCCCCCAGGGGAGGAGATTGTAACGTTAGAAAGAGTAGGATATCGTTGGGAGAGCCACTTAGTTGTGTCCTTTCTCTCCCGATCAGGGCAGAACATCTGAATTTGCCTGAACCCTGTTCTCTGTTTTGCCCATTATAGAATTAAAAAATGTCTCTGTGTGGACTGTTTTCTTGCAGCCAGTCTTAATCCTGCTTGCTGAAATTTGAGCTCACTTCTCCATGTTCTCCTTGAGAACGGAACCATCGTCCCTAAGCCCTGAGTGAAATCACACCAGCTTAAGGCCACTGCTCTGCCACTCCTCAGCCTTTTCTTGTTTGTTATCTCCGGGAAGTTTTGTACACTTTGGTTGTTTCAGTTTCTGTTCATGAGTAGTCTTCTTTCTTGGCTGAACGTCTAGATTGGGACTCTCTCTGCAGAGAACCGGTACTGAAGCAACTGTCATTTTCAGTTTTTGTTTCATTTGGCTTTTTCTTTAGCTGTTCACCTCATTAGCAAGGCAGCCCATGACCTTGACTTGCCACAGTTCCAAAACACAAATTCTTACAGATCGGTTTGTGCTAGTGTCTGGCAGGTGTCCTGCCCTCCCTCGTTACCTCCTCATTTGTGCCTGCCCACCTTCCCAGAGCCTGCGTCTTCTCAGATGCTTAACACCTGTTTAGCCTCTCTAGTTCAGAGCTACAAATTTACATGCTTGATTCTGTGGGGCAGAAAGTTCAAAGTAATTTCTTCCTCTGCAAATTCCCAGTATCTTAGTCACACGCAAAGAGAGTGTCCCTGTGCACTGACTCCTCTAGCTAGTGATTTGTCAGCCAAAAATGTTTATTTATCTCCTGGCCTGTTTCCTCCCATATCAGTATGGCCACATGAACAGAATTGAGTGACCTCCTGAGTCCCTGTATTAGGAAGGGGAAAGATCTTTTGATTCATTAACCATTAAGTTGATTCATTAACCATTAAGTCTTGGGCCTGCAGACCATAGCAACCTTCCTTCCTTCATTTATGGTGCTTCATCCAGCTCCAAATCTTCTCTACTTTGTCCTCACAAACTTTTCATATGCCCTAGTAGCTCATAGACTGCTCCTTATATCTGGAAAGCAACATTCAAACTTCTCATTTCTGGTTCCAAAAATCCGTGCATTACATGGATAGGCTGCCGTGGGGGACATTCTGCGGCCCTCACGATGTGGTTTCCCACAGAGAAGCCAGGAGAACGAGGAGGACGGTGAGGAGGACCCTGACCGCTATGTCTGTAGTGGGGTTCCCGGGCGGCCGCCAGGCCTGGAGGAAGAGCTGACCCTCAAATACGGAGCGAAGCACGTGATCATGCTGTTTGTGCCTGTCACTCTGTGCATGATCGTGGTGGTAGCCACCATCAAGTCTGTGCGCTTCTACACAGAGAAGAATGGACAGCTGTGAGTTGGGGGGCTGGGGGGAGCAGGGTGGGGTGAGGGCTGAGTTGCCAGGGGGTGGGGGGCGCAGCAGCCTGTGTTGGTCACTGTACCTGCAGCTCCACACCAGCAGCGGTAAAGAGCAGGGATGAAGAACCGCCCAGGTTCATGGCCTGGCTCACTGCCTCCTGGATTGTGACCTACTTGGGCATGCTTTTAACATCCCTATGCCTCAGCTTCCTTGTTCGTATAATGGGTTGATAACGCAGTTACTGGGAGAATTAAGTGAGTTAATATGAGTGAAGGGCTTAGAAGAGTGTCTACTGCACGTGAGTGCTCAGGCAAGCTGGATCCTGCTGCAGAAAGCAAGCTCTTGATCCTGGGCATGGCTGTGCCACTGATCCCTGTGTGACTGCAAACAAATCACTTCCTCTCTGAGTCTCTGCTTCCCTGAATGTGAAACAAGGTGGTTGGACCAGATATTTCTCAGCTCACTTCCAGCCTTGTGAGGAAGACTTATAAAGCCTTTCGTTTATTTTAGTAAAATACATGCAGAGGCAGCAGCGTAGAAAAATGAGAAGCTTCCTCCACTTCTTCCCCCTCCCCTTTCTGTGGTCCTCACTGCTAAGCACCTTCTGTAAACTTTTTTTTTTTTTTTTAAAGTTAGGGATTTTTGTTTCATTTCGTGTGTGTTGGTTTTTTTTGTTGTTGTTGTTTCTTTTAAAGAAAGGAATAAGGCCAGGTGTGGTGTCTCATGCCTGTAATCCCAGCACTTTGGGAGACTGAGGTGAGAGGATTATTTGAGCCCAGGAGTTTGAGACCAGCCTGGGAAATGTGGCGAGACCCTGTCTGTACAAAAAATGCAAAAATTAGCCAGGTGTGGTGGTACATGCCTGTAGTCTCAGCTACTTGGGAGACTGAGGTGGAAGAACACCTGAGCCCAGAAGTCGAGGCTGCAGTGAGCCATGATTGCGCCACTGCACTGCAGCCTCAGCAACAGAGTGAGACCCTGTCTCAAAATTTTTTTAAAAAATTAAAAAAGAAGTAGAGTCCCATCCTCAGAAAGCTTATAGTGTGTGGGGGATTCAGCGCAGAACAGGTGAAAGCATGGAGAGAATGCAGCCAGCGGTTTGTTTGCAGCAGTCCAGGCTGGGAAGAGTGAGGTTTGAGTGAATTGCTTCCTGTGTCTGCTTCCTGAGCTTATGAGCTGCAAGGACAGCAGTTGCTTCAGCGGATGGGGGTCGGGTAGTAGCAGGTGGAGGAGTGCTGGGCTGGGTGGAGCTGGTGGAGAGGTGTGGGTGGGTGGGGGAATGAGAACTGGATGGGTGAGAGAAGTGCCTAGGGAGCCTTTAATCCCTGTGGGGGTGGGGAAAGCAGCAGGGAGGTCATCTAGCCCTCGTCCTCACTGCTGCACTGGGCCCAGTTGGCAGGCTGAGAGCCACAGGTCTGTGGTCAGGGTGCCAGGAAATGAGCTGGAGGACAGGAACTGCTCATGGGGATGGTGCCCGCACTCCATCAGGGCAGCATGTGGGCAGCATGGGCATCCCAGGCACCTCCCCTAGCAGGTCCAGAATCACTCAAGGTGGGGAGCCTCGAGGAGCAGTCAGGGCCGGGAGCATCAGCCCTTTGCCTTCTCCCTCAGCATCTACACGCCATTCACTGAGGACACACCCTCGGTGGGCCAGCGCCTCCTCAACTCCGTGCTGAACACCCTCATCATGATCAGCGTCATCGTGGTTATGACCATCTTCTTGGTGGTGCTCTACAAGTACCGCTGCTACAAGGTGAGGCCCTGGCCCTGCCCTCCAGCCACGCTTCTCTCCGTCTGCCCCACACCATGGCGGCAGGGCCCGTGAAACAGCCGCCTTTAGAAAAACACAAATTAGAGGAAAATAGACCCAGATTTTTTGTACTCCTCCCCACCCCATCCTGTCTCCCACCGTGGATGACCTAATACTGTTGTCTTTTATTTTTATTTATTTTCTTTTTCTTGAAACATGGTCTCACTCCATTGCCCAGGCTGGAGTGCAGTGGTGCGATCATGACTCACTGCAGCCTCAACCTCCTGGGCTCAAGTTCTCCCACCCAGCCCCTCAAGTAGCTAGGACTACAGGTTTGCACCACCATACCTGGCTAATTAAAAAATTTTTTTTTGTGCAGGCTAGATCTCACAGTGTTGCCCAGGCTGGTCTCAAACTCCTGGACTCAAGTGATCTCCCACCTTGGCCTCCCAAAGTTCTGGGATTACATGTGTGAGCCATTGCATCCAGCCTGTTGTCTTTTAAATTTACACATTATCCCACTTGAGTTCCTCATTGCAGTGTTCCAAGCATCATTTCTCATATTTCAAAGTTAATTTTGTTTTGCTTCTCTTTCTGAAGTTCTATTTTAGGCTCCCCTCACCCCGATACTTCCCCTGAAGATTTATTTTTAGTTTTCCTTTTCCTTTTCGGGCAAGGATGTGCAGAGGCCATGCTGAGGTCTTGCAGCCCTGGGAGACTTTTGGGTTGTAGCTGCCTATAGCTGCCGAGTAGCCCCAGGGAGTAGTGGAAGGGCAGATCCCATCTGGCCAGAATCATGGGCACTGCCTGTCCCCAAAGATGCCATAAGCTTTTAGACAGCGGCTTCAGGCTTTTCTCCCAGGTAAGGGGTTGAACCCCTAACGATGGAAAGGAAATTAAGCTGGGCATTACCTATTTTAAAACTGTTTACACACAGGTGCCTCACAGCATTTTTTGTTCAGGCCGCTGCCATCCATGGAGCAGGTAGATAGAAGTGCAGAGTGCCCAGGCTAGAGGGATGGGACAGGGACAGTGCAGGGAGGGAGCTGAGCCCCCTTCCAGCGGGGGCAGCAGAGGGGAAAGCCATGGGAGGGGCTGCAGGATGTGTCCTGAGCTGAAGCTTATCAACAAGTAATGAGTACCAGCTGGGCATTGTGGTGCACGCCTGTGGTCCCAACTACTTGGGAGACTGAGGCAGGAGGATCGCCTGACCCCAGGAGTTCAAGTCTAGCCTGGGCAATGTAAGACCCTGTCTCTAAAAAAATAATAATAAAATAAGTAACAATTACCTGTGTAACTGTGACGAGGCAGGGTTTGAACATTGCCGCTGGGAGGTTGGCAGATGGTGGGAAGCAGGGTGGAGGGCTGCTGGTTTGGAGCAGAGGATACAGATTGCATGGGGTCAAGCTAGAAATTGCGTGGCAGATGTGAAGAGCTGGCCCCACTGCGGGCAGTAGGTGTCTGGTGGCCAGTCCCAGAGGCTGTGAAGAGGGGCTCAGCCATCTGTCTAGTAGGGCTTCCTTGGAGGTTCCACGATACAGGCAGATGGTGGTGGCCCGGGCAGCCAGGTGGTGGCTGGGATGAAGAGGGTTGGCAGGTCCCAGAGGCAGCCCCTTCCCCTTTTGGCTGTGTGTGCAGCAGGGCCGTGGAGGCTGCTTTTAGTCCAGGTAGACCAGGGCCACGCTGAGGTCCCAGTGGGCTGAGCTGGTGACTGATGAGTTGGTCCTCAGGGGTGAGGCTGGTGGGAAGTGATGTCACTGTCCCGCCGATGGCCAGCTAAGGGACTGGGTTAGGATCAGCCCCCTCTTGTCCTTCACTCTCCCATCCTTGGCCAGGAGAAGAGGAACAGGTCTTTCTGAGGACCTGCTTGTAGACCTTTGGGTAGGAGGGGACTTCCCAGGTTCTCTGTTGAGGCCACTCTATCTAAAATAGCACCCCAGTGAGTCTCCTATCACTGTATCCTAACATTATTTTCTCCATGGCCCTCATCATTACCTGCTGATATACTGTATGTTTGTCTATATGTCATCTAACACCCCTCACACTGGAACACAATGCCCGTGGGCAGAGACTTTGCTAGCCTTGGTTCCAGAGCCTAGAACAGTGCCTGGCAAGTAGGAGACACCCAGCATTACCTTTCTAAGTGAACCAGTAGAGATGGGGGGAGACCGCAAGGCTATGCCGGCAGACCTGAGGGAGTCCTGTCTGCATGCGCTGCAGGATGACCTGAGGGGAACTCCTTGGACTTCTGTGCCCTCTTTATCTGTAAGGTGGCCACCTGATCCCTTCCAGCGTAGGCATGAAGTAGCCTAATGAAGAGCATTCAGGCTTGGGTATCAGTCTCAGGATCCTGGGGGCCTTAGAATTTGTGGCGCTTGGGGACACCTTGTGATCGTGCAATTTCTGTTGTCTAGTTCATCCATGGCTGGTTGATCATGTCTTCACTGATGCTGCTGTTCCTCTTCACCTATATCTACCTTGGGTAAGTGACAGATAAGCAGCAGGGTCCCTGGGAGCCCCTCTCCATGTGGCACAAGTGGACATGGGCATGAGGACCTGGGCGGGGAAAGATGACCATCGAGCTCCAGTCTTCCCCAGTGCCAGCCGTTTTGGGAACCCAGGCCTCCGTCGCCCTCTCTCATGGCCTTGACACAGGGGAGTGGAAGTGGGGCTGCATGGTGGACCACATGTTTCTGTCTCGTTCCTGATTTAAAATGAACCCTTCATGGAGAAGGCTCTCTGTGAACCCCAGGGGGATAGAAACCCCCCAAAATTTACATTCTGATTTTTAGGCTAGGCCTGGGTACTTTCTGGTTTGTGGGAAAAATTATCTGTTCTATCGCCCCTTGATTTGGGATATCAGCCTGACCCAGGGGCCCAAAGAGACTGGGAGGACAAGAGAAAACACTTTCCCAAGGACCTTTCCATGTGCACAGGGTCTTCCAGGTCATGCCCATGCACATTTCTGTGATCTGTTCCAAGCATCCCCACCTTGTTTTAGAAAATGCTGCAAATGGTAAATTGTAAGGACAGTGAAGGTCGGGGAAGGAAATGTTAGTAAAGAGGGCCAGGTTGGGACTGAATGGTGGTAAACTGCTAGGCTGTAATGCCTCCACTGAGTCCCAGTCACAGGCTCCACCTTGGTCCTGCAGGGAAGTGCTCAAGACCTACAATGTGGCCATGGACTACCCCACCCTCTTGCTGACTGTCTGGAACTTCGGGGCAGTGGGCATGGTGTGCATCCACTGGAAGGGCCCTCTGGTGCTGCAGCAGGCCTACCTCATCATGATCAGTGCGCTCATGGCCCTAGTGTTCATCAAGTACCTCCCAGAGTGGTCCGCGTGGGTCATCCTGGGCGCCATCTCTGTGTATGGTAGGTGGGCAGCAAGGCTGGTGGGGGCAGTGGGGGCGATGTCCAGGGCCAAATCGTCCCCAGTGCTGCACAAGGAGGGCAGGTGCTGAAGGGCTTGCATCCCTTTCTGCAGAGGCCTGGGTGGGATCCCTCCTGAGAGAGTCGCCTTTGTAAAACAGAGGGGGGTCCACTATTTCTGGAACACTCCTGGTGGTCTAGATAAAACGCAGTAGTCACTGAGCTCCTCATTTACTTTTTTTTTTTTTGAGATGGAGTCTTGCTCTGTCGCCCAGGCTGGAGTGTAGTGGCGCCATCTTGGCTGACTGCAACCTCCGCCTCCCGGGTTCAAGTGATTCTCCTGCCTCAGCCTCCTGAGTAGATAGGATTATAGGCATGTGCCACCACGCTGGGCTAATTTTTGTATTTTTAGTAGAGATGGGGTTTCACCATGTTGGCCAGGCTGATCTCGAACTCCTGACCTTGTGATCGGCCCGCCTCAGCCTCCCAAAGTACTGGGATTACAGGCATGAGCCACTACACCCAGCCTCATTTTCCATTATTACTGCTATGCTGATTGAGCAAGTGCACTGTTAAGCACTGGACACGCTGTAAGTGATTTGTTCATCAAGACAGTCCTTTGGGTACCATGCATATACATAACCCCAAATGTTAGCTGCTATTTGATATTAGCATGATTATCATTGCCAGTATTGTTACTTCCATTTTAAGGTTAAAGAATTGGAGGCTCAGAGAAGTGGGACTCCCCAGCCTGGCCACCGCGTCTCGGGTGCACAGCTCCTCCATGCTTGCAGTTGCCTGCGAGGCCCTACTCTGGCTCACACCAGGGCCTGCTCTAAGTTGTGACTGGAGAATGAGAATTTGGGATGCCAGCCCAGAGGCAAGGCATGCTCTGAGAGCTCCACCCGGGGCTCCTGTGCTACAGGGCAGGCTCTTCTTCAGGGGGCTGCCCGGGGATAGTTTGACAAGGATGTCTCTGTCTTCCTAGATCTCGTGGCTGTGCTGTGTCCCAAAGGGCCTCTGAGAATGCTGGTAGAAACTGCCCAGGAGAGAAATGAGCCCATATTCCCTGCCCTGATATACTCATGTGAGTGAGCCCCCCGTGCCTCTGCCTGACTCGGGGTCAGCAGGCAGCCTGTGGGGGGACAGGGGCCTGCTTCCTGGCCGTGGCTTTCAGAGTTGACTGGGCGATCCCAGGAGGGTCTCCACTTTCAGAAGCCAGGGAGGGCAGTATCTTGTTATTACACAGTAAGAAGCTTAGAAAGTTAGGACAGGAAGCAGGCATCTGCTGGGATGTGCTGCAGTCCCTGACTTCATCCCGTCCATCCTCCAGCGGCATGCTGCGGTGCAGGTTGCATTCCTGTGATCCCGCAGCCACCCCTCAGCTCTCCAGGCTCTTGAGAAGGGACTTTGGAGAGGGATTCTTCAGGGCAGGGGGTCGGGGAGCAAGGAGCTTCTGGGCTTCCTTGACAGCAGCGTGGCTGATTGGCATTAATCCTAACTGAAGGGAAGGCACACGGGATGGCCCCTGGCCTCGGGGTCAATGTGTAGAGATTTGGACTTACACATGCAGTCAACAAAGGCACATCAAGTCCCCATTTTGTGACAGGCACTGTGCTAGGCATTGGGGGACCCAGCAGGAAAGAAGACCACAGGGTCCCAGGCCTCATGGAGCTCACGGCCCTGTGATTGTGATGCCCTCGGTCTGTTGATGGCGGGGCTTAAATAGCCTGAATTTCTGGAGCTCTGGCGTCTGCAAGGTGGCCTGGGAAAGAGTTTATGGAACAGCTACAGAGTTCTAGGTACCTTCATGCAGTTGAGGATTCGAGCCCGTAGAGGAGAATCGCCTGCAGCGTGGCCCCACGGGAAAGCACATTCCAGGCGCATTCCGAGGATGAGCGGAGACCATGTATGGAAAGGTAGTGCCAGGACTGTCATGAGTGTCCCAGGGCTCGGGGGATTCACCCGTGAACTGTGAGGTCTTGGCTCTGATAGACCTGGTTCTTATGCTTTAGGAGGGGAGACAAACAGTAACAGAATAGACAAATGCAAGAGAGAGTGACTCTGGACCCCTCCCACAACGGCCTCCTAACAATGGAGCATGAGCAGATACCTGCAGGATGGAGGGTCCTGTGCAGGCTTTCTGGGACGCAGACTGGCCACCTCCCCCAGGCCCTGCAGGCAGCCACTGTTAGCACCGCCTGAGATGTGAACCTTTTCTCCTCCCCCAGCTGCCATGGTGTGGACGGTTGGCATGGCGAAGCTGGACCCCTCCTCTCAGGGTGCCCTCCAGCTCCCCTACGACCCGGAGATGGGTGAGTATCTTGGGGAGCTAACAGCCTCTCATCACTGGGGGGCAGCTCCCTACCTGCACCCAGCTCTGCTCGGCCTGGCTTCCCTGAGAGGCATGAGTTCAGGAGGGGCAGAGGGAAAGGTCCGTTGAAAACCAGCCGGACACATGCGGCTTGAAGATTCAGCAAGTGTTGGACCCTCGGTCCTCTGCCAGCCTCTGTTGCATCGTTCTGCTGGGCGTGGGTGGGTGGAGTGGGGGAAGCCCTGGTGTCAGGTGCTGGTGCTCAGGGGGACCCCTTCTTGGAGCTTTGTTCCCTGGTAACACTCTGACCAGCTGTTGTTTCTCTCTCTTGTTGTCCCCTCCTCACGGTGATGACGGACATCTTCTCTTCCTGGACACCCAGAAGAAGACTCCTATGACAGTTTTGGGGAGCCTTCATACCCCGAAGTCTTTGAGCCTCCCTTGACTGGCTACCCAGGGGAGGAGCTGGAGGAAGAGGAGGAAAGTAAGGTGCCCATGTTCACACGGCCTGCTTCAGCCTACGGCGGGAGCGGAGACAGAGGGTGGAGGCTCCCTGCAGCCTGGGTGGAGGAGGGCATGAGGGGAGGGGCCCCTTTTCCCATCAGAGGCATCTCTGTGAAAGTAGAAGATGCCTGCAGCGCTGGGGTCTTCTCAGCAGGCCCCATGTAGTTGTCCGGCATGTATTGAGTATGGGCCACGTGCCCGTGCTGTGCTGGGTGAGGCCCAGCCCTGGTGGGACCCACAGGCTAAGGAGACACGGGCAGTAATCACATAGACTGAGAAGCCAAGGACTATGAAGGGGGCCATGGGGTTGGGGAGGGGCGGCAGGAGAGCATGCCACGGGGCTTCTTGACCTGGTTGGCAGGGGTGAGAGAAAGTCAGCTGAGGAAGTAACTGCTGAGCTGAGCTCTGAAGGTTGAGTCACAGCAGTCACTAGAGGAGAGGAGCACAGGGTGGGGAGCATTTCCTGACAGACAGACTCAGGAATCAGAGGAAGCCGGGGCGGGATGCAGAGAGCAGAAGTGTGGGAGAGCCTTGCAAACAGGCCTGGAGACATGCGAAGATAGGAGTTCATCCTGGCGTCAGTACACGGTGCCTGCCTAACACCCAATGCCAGCCCACTGCTGCGTGCCAGGCAGCACCCTGGAGCAGGGAGATGCTGCACTGTCGTAACAGCCCCTGCCTTGAGAGGTGCCTTACGGGAGCAGCCTGGTGACAGTGGCTTGGCATACAGGACTCCAGTGACACGGGAGGGGCAAGCTAGGGAAAGATCACTCTGCGGTGGGTCTGGAAGGAGGAGCAGGTGCGCACCCTCCAGGCAGGCTTGGGGGAGGTATTTATTCCAAGGCCAACTGGTGTGCTGCAGACCAGGAGTTAGCACAGATCCCACGGGGCCCGCAGGACTGGCCTCCCTCCAGACACCAGCCACAAGCTCTAGAGGGTCTAGATGCCACTTGTGCTTCTGACCGGCTGCAAATTTAGGGCTCCCATGACCCCCTTAGGTTCAATAACTTGCTAGAATGACTCACAGAACTCAGGAAAGCACTACACTTAAAATTGCAGTTTGTTTTTTGTTGTCGTTTTGTTTTGGAGACAGGGTCTCGCTCTGTTGCCCAGGCTGGAGTGCAGTAGCACGATTGTGGCTCACTGCAACCTTGACTTCCTGGGCTCAAGTGATCCTCCCACCTTGGCCTCCTGAGTAGCTGGGATTACAGGCACGTGCTACCACACCTGGCTCATTTATATTTTTAGTAGAGACAAGGTTTTGACTTGTTGCCCGGGCTGGTTTCGAACTCCTGGGCTCAAGTGATCCACCTGCCTTGGCCTTCCAAAGTACTGGGATTATAGGTCTGAGCCACAGCACCCGGCCAAAATTAGTTTTATTATAAGAGATGCAACTCAGGACCAGCCAAATGAAGAGACAGTGAAGAAGTAATGCTGATGGATCACACCTGGTGGGGGAAGGAGGACAGCTGGGGCCAGGAGCAGGAGGGACACCTGCAGGGCTGGAAGGGCAGGGGAGGTGGGCCTCCATGGTTTGTGTTTATTGCATAACCATTTTTATTGTCTACAGTGAGCAAAGTTATCCTATAAACAAGTGTCAGGGACCATTGCACTAAAGAAAACAAACGAGAGCATTTTGGAAGCTCTAATTTCCTGATCAGTAATGGGTAGACTAATTCCCAGTTATATTTACCTGTTGTAAGGTGAAAGGTTCTTCAGAGGACCTCTGTCTTGGTGTTATATGGGCTTTTGAATGTACTGAAATTAAATTCCCTAAAAATCTGTGATTCAGACTTCATACTAAATTGTACAGCAGTGCCCAGCCCAAGGCCTTGCATTTCTATTTGTTGTTTTCTTTACTCTCTAAGTGCCCAACACTGGTTTTACCTGAGTTTCAGAACTGCCCGCTTTTCTCTGCCCAGGTTGTAAGTCACCCAGTCCACAGGTGTCCCCTGCTTTCCCACTGGCCACTGATTTGGGGAGGCAGCTGTCCATGTCCCCAGTCCACATCTTAGCTTCTAGAGGCCAGGTGGGGTGGGCTGGGCTGGGCAAGAGCAGCTGGGCCTTCTGGGCCAGAGTTTCTCTTCTTTTTCCATTCTGTGCACGCCTCTTCAGTACGGGTTACTGTCTCTCCTCACACAGGGGGCGTGAAGCTTGGCCTCGGGGACTTCATCTTCTACAGTGTGCTGGTGGGCAAGGCGGCTGCCACGGGCAGCGGGGACTGGAATACCACGCTGGCCTGCTTCGTGGCCATCCTCATTGTGAGTGGCTGGGGATGCGTCCAGCTGCCTCGTGGTGGGGGCCCCCAGGGTCCTCATTGTGGTGGGGGCAGGTCTCAGGATCCCTAGGGATTTTTCATTTCTTCTCTTCCCTCTGAGGGACAAGAGCAGGGAGCGGGGCTGGAAGGGTCAGCTTGAGACCAAGGCTCACAGGAGGTGTGCTCGCCCCTAGGTGGGCTCCAGCCTGTGGAGGACAGTGCAGGGGAGGGTGAGGAGTGTACCGGCCCCAGCGTGGCTGAGCACACAGCCTCCAGGCCGAGGACCCAGCTGACAGCTTTGCGCAGTGATGATACCCTCGAGGTGGTTGTGATGACATCAGATTTGCAGAAAAGAAAATTGCTTAAGGGCCTTGCCCATGGGCGCAAAGCTAGTGAGGACCATGTTTTCCCCCTCCTCCATGCCATTGGGACACCACAGGGTCTGAATCTGGGGCACTAGGGGTGGCCCCGTTACTGTGAACCACAGCAGTGAAATGTGGAGGCCCTGTAGTCAGTTAACGTGACCAGATACACATAATGGGGAGACGTCCTGCCGTGACTTCATCTCAGAGATTTCGCTGTCACGTTAGAGGAGGAGGAGCGTCTGAGCCGTGCGCTTGGCATCTGCCCCTTAGTGAAAACCCTGGGCATGGCATGATTAAGGTTGATGCTCCAGTGTCCAGAAGGTTTTCTTTTTGCCCACAAGTATATCAGGGATGGGATGGTGGACCCAGGCTCCTCCACCACCAGACTGCCTTACCTGAGCCCTGCTGGCCCCAAAGATATAGAAGGCACCCTGGTTCCCTGTGCTCACCTGGACCACTGCCTGCATCAGCTGGGTCAGGGGAGGATGGGCAGCCCCCACACCTGCTTCCCAGGGGCAGGTTGCCTGGCGGCTCTGATTCCCTTGGTGCCAGCTGCTGAGAACCTTACTGCCATTTCAGTTGAGCCCACCTAGCTCTCATATAAATACATGTTCCCTGAGGGCATCTTACCATCCCATGTGACCACTCCAGCCAGACAGGGGAGGCAGCACGGCCTCGGGGCACAGCACTGCTCCAGGAGTCAGGAGGCCTGCCTTCTGGTTCACTCACTAACAGGTGAGGTGATCTAATGGGGGTGAGAACTTCTGCCCTTAACACCTCAAGAGCTGTTGCAGGACCAGGGAAGATAATGGGGTGTCTAGCGCCGTTATCCGACTGGTCCTCGAACAAGCTCCTGTGCCCAGGGACTAGACCATGACTCACAGCTCCTGTCCACACCAGGGATCACCACGCTCACCCTCCCCTCCATGTCCTGCAGGGCTTGTGTCTGACCCTCCTGCTGCTTGCTGTGTTCAAGAAGGCGCTGCCCGCCCTCCCCATCTCCATCACGTTCGGGCTCATCTTTTACTTCTCCACGGACAACCTGGTGCGGCCGTTCATGGACACCCTGGCCTCCCATCAGCTCTACATCTGAGGGACATGGTGTGCCACAGGCTGCAAGCTGCAGGGAATTTTCATTGGATGCAGTTGTATAGTTTTACACTCTAGTGCCATATATTTTTAAGACTTTTCTTTCCTTAAAAAATAAAGTACGTGTTTACTTGGTGAGGAGGAGGCAGAACCAGCTCTTTGGTGCCAGCTGTTTCATCACCAGACTTTGGCTCCCGCTTTGGGGAGCGCCTCGCTTCACGGACAGGAAGCACAGCAGGTTTATCCAGATGAACTGAGAAGGTCAGATTAGGGCGGGGAGAAGAGCATCCGGCATGAGGGCTGAGATGCGCAAAGAGTGTGCTCGGGAGTGGCCCCTGGCACCTGGGTGCTCTGGCTGGAGAGGAAAAGCCAGTTCCCTACGAGGAGTGTTCCCAATGCTTTGTCCATGATGTCCTTGTTATTTTATTGCCTTTAGAAACTGAGTCCTGTTCTTGTTACGGCAGTCACACTGCTGGGAAGTGGCTTAATAGTAATATCAATAAATAGATGAGTCCTGTTAGAATCTTGGAGTTTGGTCCGTTGTAAATGTTGACCCCTCTCCCTGCATCTTGGGCACCCCTGGGATAACTTGTGCTGTGAGCCCAGGATGGAGGCAGTTTGCCCTGTTTGAAGGAACTTTTAATGATCTCGCCTCTCTGCACACATTTCTTTAACTAGAAAGTTTCCTAAGCAAAGGAGTTAGGAGAGCAGGGTGGCCTGACATCTGCCAGCCCTGAGCTGTAAGGCTGTGGATGCTGAGCAGGTCCCTGGACTCAGTTGTGCACGGTGGCACAGACACTGCCAGGTGGTTGCCAAAACATCCAGTGGTTCCTTCAGCAAGTGTTCACCCTCTGCAGAAGCCTGTGAGGGCCTGAGCTCAGAAACCACTCTCCTTTCCTTCTCTGGCTTTGGCCCTGGGCACTGTGGTGGGAGAGTGGACAGTTTGGCTTTGCCTTCTCTGTACATCAATCATGGGTTGCAAAGAGAATCTCAGAAGTGCCTCTTCCTGAGCACAGTGGCTCACACCTGTAATCCCAATACTTCGGGAGGTCGAGTCGGAAGGATCACTTGAGCCCAGGAGTTTGAGACCAGCCGGGGCAACATAGTGAGACTTTGTACAAAAAAAAATTTAAAAATTAGCCAAGCATGGTGGCATGCATCTGTAGTCTCAGCTACTCTGGAGGCTGAGGTGGGAGGATCACTTAAGCCCAGGAGGCTGAGGCTGCAATGAGCCGAGATCAAGCAGGTGTTAGGTATATCAGACAGCTGAGAAGACGCAAGTGTGCCCTGGGGTTCAAACTGGTACCCCTGTCTCCCTGTTCCAGGAATAACATGAGTGCCGGGACAATGCATCTTTATTATGAGAGGAATGAGAATTGTGTATCTTGACATTTGACAGGAGCTTGCTTTCCCCCAGGCTGTTTGAGGAAGGGCAGAGGAAAATGTGGTGCCCTAAGAAGGAAGGACAGAGGAGGCCGAACACTGGCGGGTGGAATCCCACTGATTAGTAGTGCAGGTCAGAGACCTGGGATGGGGGGCATTGCCGTCATGGAAGCCACAGCGGGGAGCGGGTAAAGCAGACAGGGATGGTCCCTGATGGTGACAACTCGCAAGAGGTTAAGGGGAAAGAAAAACTGAAAAGCTTATTCAATTTGGCAATTATGGCAGTGTTTATCTTCAGAAGAGCAGTTTTAGGGTGGGGTTTCCAAAGATGGGATTGGACATATATTTTGAATCATTAAGCTTGAGGTCTTTCAAAGGCCTGGCCAAGGGTTGCTGGGTGGAGACCACATTCAGAGGTAAAGGCAGAAATTGGGGGCCCTTAAGTAGACAGCGAGGGAGGAAGAAATGAAGGGGCCTGGTGATGGTTAGGGTGAAGTGTTAAGACTGAGAAAACAAGGACATGTGAGAAGACGAGGGAAGAGCATTGGAGAGAACAAAGACACTGGAGGAGATGCTACTTGGAGGTCCCCAGAGAGCAGGGAGACAAATGAACCCAGAACACAAATGGCAAAGAAGAAAAATGAGAGAATTTGTAAAAGACAGCATTCGAACATGCCGAACAAGAGCAGGGTACTGGTGTTCAAACACCTGTATCTCCCCCGTGTAACCCGTCAACTAATATCTTTCCATATTTGCTCCAGATTTGTCTTTAGAAATAAAACCCACGTTCTGAAGTCCTGTTTGTATGTGGCCCCAGTCCTGTTGCCTCCGCCTCCTGTCCTGAAGTCGATTTCTGCCCTTCTCATCTATGGTTAGTTTTGTTTTGTATGTTGGCATGTTTTCTTAACTTTACAGAAATGGTATCATACTGTACATATTTGATAATTTTTTAAAATATTGCATTCTGGAGGCATGTATAAATGTAGCTCCAGTTCATTTATTTTATTTATTTTTTGAGATGGAGTTTTGCTCTTGTCACCCAGGCTAGAGTGCAATGGCGTGATGTTGGCTCACTGCAACCTCTGCCTCCTGGGTTCAAGCAATTCTCCTGTCTCAATTTCCTGAGTAGCTGGGATTACAGTTGCCCGCCACCATGCCTGGCTAATTTTGTATTTTAGTAGAGACGGGGTTTCACCACGTTAGCCAGGCTGGTCTCAAACTCCTGACTGCAGGTGATCCACGCACCTTGGCCTCCAAAAGTGCTGGGATTACAGGCGTGAGCCACCGTGCCCAGCCCAGTTATTTTAACTATTGTATAGTGTTCCATTGTATGAGTTCTACTGTTTATATGCTATTGATCGACCTGTAGGGGTTTTGCAGTGTTTCTGTATTACAGCTGTGCTGCAGTGAGCATCCCATCACATTGTGTGGATTTGAGGAAGTATTGGAATTCCCCCAATTGACTGGACATTCCCAATTACCCTCCAAGTATGTGTCTGTTTATCCTTCCATCCGCAATCTGAGAGTTCCCCAACTCTATAATACTTGGTGTCATCAGACTTTTCATCTTGTCTGATTGGATGGGTGTCATTTCCTTTAGGTTTTATAATTATCTTTTCATATGTGTATTGGCTGTACAAGGTTCCTTCTCTGTTCATTATTATTAATTTTTTTAGACAGAGTCTCGCGCTGTCGCCCAGGCTGGAGTGCAGCAGCGTGATCTTGGCTCACTGCAAGCTCCGCCTCCCGGGTTCATGCCATTCTCCTGCCTCAGCCTCCTGAGTAGCTGGGATTACAGGTGCCTGCCATCACGCCCGGCTAGTTTTTTTGTATTTTGAGTAGAGATGGGGTTTCACCGTGTTAGCCAGGAGGGTCTCGATCTCCTGACCTCGTGATCCACCCGCCTCGGCCTCCCAAAGTGCTGGGATTACAGGTGTGAGTCACTGCGCCCAGCCCAAGTTTCCTTCTCTGTTACTTGTTCATATCCTCTGCCCATTTTTCACTTGGATTTTTTGTCTTACGGATATTTAAGCCTCTTAAAATATATATTCTGGAGAGATGCTAATCTTTGATTAATTATATGCATTGCAAATGTCTGGTACATTGTGGCTTGCCTCTCTTCCCTGCCTTTAGGAGTGTTTTGCTGGACCCAAGTAATTTTTAAATGTTAATGTTATTAAATCTATCAGTTTTTTGCTTGTATGGCTTATGCCATTGAATCTTGTTTTAAGAGATCCTTCCCTACCCTCAAGGTTTTCTAAATTTTTATTTTCATAATAAGATTTTTAGTTCATCTGAAATGTATTTTTATGATTGTATTTAGTAGGGACCTAATTTTGTTTTTCTTTGTAACCAGGTGTCCCAGCACTGTTTACTGAACAGTCTCTCCTTTCTCGCTGGTCTGTAGAACTCTCCTGACATATACCAAGTTTCCATAAGTGGGTGGATGGGTTCCTGAGCTCTCTACTGTTAATAGAACTTGCTCTCTCGCAGGCCAATGCCTCACCAGGTGATTGAAGCAGAGAAACTTAGGTGGTGAAAGGAGAAGATGGGGCCTGTCCTGAGAGTTTCTGTTCCTGAGATGCTAGAGGCAGAGGGTATGTAAATCTGAAGTTACACTGGATCTCCTAAAACAGTATAAAGCTACAGAAGTATAATAGTGTGGAATGGTGGTGGGAGTCAGTAAGGGTTAGGTCACTGCAGTGGTTTAAACAAGATGGGCTAGAATCCTTTCACAGGCACAGGCAGCTTGGAGAGGGTGCAATAGTGCATGGTATCAGGGGTCAGATGCCTCTTTTTCCTTTGAGATCAGTAAGTGGCTTTCACCTCATGACCTAGGCTGGCTGCTGTGTGCTAGCCGTCAAGTCACACTCCATCCAGCATGAAAGGAGGTTAGAAAAGGGTGCATTTCCTCTTCTTAAAAACATGTCTCAAAGTTGCACACAGCACTTTTGCCTATATTCAATTGGCCATTAGTCCCACGGCCATACCTGTCTGAGACTGAGAGACTGGGAAATGTCTTTATTTCAAGTGGCCATATATCCACCTAAACAAGATAAGGGATACGTGGTTATGGCGTGTCTTTTGGTTTACCAATGCAGATAATGAAGTTACCAAAACAATGAGAAAATGGGGTCGTGAGGGATCATGTGAATCACAAGCTGATGTCTTCAAAGACGGTGGAAATGGGCCCCGGGAGGCAGCAGATGACAGCAGTGGGGATTAAGGTAGACCTCCATCCTGGGGTTAAAATGAGGGGAAGGTGATGGAGCTGGACCAGCAGTCAGAATGGTCAGTGGTTAGGAGACCCTCTGCCCCCCACCGCTGCCACCATTGGCTCTCTACAGAATGCCTGCGAGTGGCTTAGAGTGACCAAGGATGAGGTGCAGATCCATGTGCACCCCCCTGCCCCCTCTGTGGACAATTTTCATGCCTGACAGCACAGTCTATGTGGATTGCAAGCCGATGAAACTATGCAAAGTAGAAGCATGCCTGCAGTTTGTGATTCGGTGATGTGTTTTATGCTTATGTGAGTCGAATGGGGCGGCAGGGTCCTGTGGTCACCCGCTGAGAAGGAAGGGTCCTGTAACCACTGCCTTTCTTTCAGCTACTTGAGAAAGGTGTTGTGAGGGACCGTGGATTTTGGGACAGCTTTGAATGGTGGTAGGGAGGAAGGGTCCGGTCTGAGTGAATGGCCAGAAAGCTGTGGGGAAGCTTTTAGGACATTGGCCAAGAGCTCCCTGAAGGCAGCCAGGGAGATACTTGTCAGTACATGTGACTAATGGCCAACTGAATATAAGCAGAAGTGCTGTGTTGCTGTGTGCAACACTGGACACCTTAGGAAGGACCTCGAGACAGTGGTTGTGGACTCTGTAGAGAGTAACAGTGACAGTAGCAAACCCTTACCCAGTGCCAACCTTGTGCTAGGCTCGCACTAAATGAGTTTACCTTCAATTCTCGTAACAATAGGAGGTAACTACTATTCTAATTTCCATTTTATAGATGAGGAAACTAAGGCACAGAGATCACTGACTTGCCCAAAATCAAGCAGGGAGTAGTTAGTATATAAGCCCACGGTATGTGGTTTGTAGAATAGGTGCTCTTGACTAGCAGAAATAGGTCCTCCCTGCAGTGTGTAATTGATAACAAGCATGGGCTGCCATCTTCCTGTCGAGGCCACTCAAAACACCCAACAGGCTACGCACGGTGGCTCACACCTGTAATCCCAGCACTGTGGGAGGCCGAGGTGGGCGGGTCACCTGAGGTCAGGAGTTCGAGACCAGCCTGGCCGACATGGTGAAACTCCGTCTCTACTAACAGTACAAAAATTAGCTGGGCGTGGTGGCGGGCACCTGTAATCCCAGCTACTCAGGAGGCTGAGACAGAAGAATCACTTGAACCAGGGAGGCAGAGGTTGCAGTGAGACAAGATCACGCCATTGCACTCCAGCCTGTGTGACAAAAGCGAAACTGTCTCAAAAAAAAAAAAAAAAAAAGTATGATTTTATAATCCCAGCACCTTGGGAGGCTGAGTCGTGAGAATCACTTGAGCCCAGGAGTTTAAGACCAATCTAGGCAACATGGCAAGACCCCATCTCTGCCAAAAATAAAAAATAGTCTAATTTTAGCTATTCATGTGTGTGTGAAGTGGTGTCTCTTCGTGGCTTTGATCTGCATTTCCCTAATGCTGACTAATGACGTTGGGCACCTGTTCATGTGCTTACTGGTCAGATATCTTTCTTTTGTTACATTTTATTAAGTTTTAAAATTTAAAGTCAAAGATTTCCCTATGAGAATGACTTTTAAAATGACCAAAAAGGGGAAGATAACATTAATTCTTGAAGAGAAGGCCTCTGAGAAAAATACAGTTGTAGCAAGCTGCTACTTTGCAAATGACCCATGCATTTTAATTTTCCCCTAAGGAAGGCCAAGGAAGAGTCTTATCACCTCAGGGCAGGAGATGTAGGGACTTGGGTCATTTAATAAGAGTGGTAGGTTTGAAAACTCAAACCCAGAAGACTCCTTAGAGTTTCTCCCAGGAGGTAGGGAAGGGGCCGCATCCATGGAGAGAGGAGGATGTGACTTAGAGCAGTGGTCCCCAATCTTTAGGGACCAGGGACTGGTGTCATGGTAGACAGTTTTTCCACAGATAGGGGTTGGGGGGATGATTTGGAGCTGAAACTGCTCCACCTCAGGTCATCAGGCATTAGATTCTCATGTGGAGTGTGCCACTTAGATCCTTGGCGTGCACAGTTCACAATGGGGTTCGAGGTCCTATGAGAATCCGATGCCACTGATTTGACAGGAGGCGGAGCTCAGGTGGTAATGCTCATCTCCACCGCTTACCACCTGCTGTGCAGCCTGGTTCCTAATAGGCTATAGACTGGTACTGGTCCATGGCCTGGGGGTTGGGGACCCCTGATTTAGAGGAAGTAAGGGCATGGCTTACCGTGGGCCCTGGGGTGTTCTGGGAATGGGGAGGATGGAGAGAAGAGAGGAGGTAGGGAAGACCTCCCCTTGCTCCCCATTTGGGATTTGGGGAGAAAGTCAGGTCTCAGGCTCAACAGTACCTGATCCTGTACCATCTTCCAAAGGGAAGTCAGTGGGGTTGGAAGGTAGGCAGGGGTTATCTTCTCTGAGCCACGGCACAAGACAGAAGTTTCCCACCATTCCTGAGGGGGCAGGTGGTAGGTCCCCAAGCAGAGAGCCAGCAGTCCCTCTCTGAGGCCTGCAATGGAATGGGGTGGGGTGTCCACTGAGCCAAGGGTCTGTCAGTGAGAGCTGGGGAGGCTGGGCTGGCTTGCAAGCACCTGTTATAACCAAACCAGGAAATCAGGTTCCGAGTCTTGCCAGCAAGGGCCTACAGCTGCCAGCAGAGATGGACAGCCAGGAGACCCCAATTGGCCACCCAGAGCCACCCTCCTCTGCCTACCCCACCCTCCAGTACTCCAGAGCCTACTCGGAGGGGAACAGAAACCTGAGAGGCTGAACACACACACATGGAGAAACAAACGTAGTAAAATATTTGGGGAATCAGGAAGAATTATTTGTACTATTCCTGCAACCTTTCTATAGGCTTGAAATTATCAAAATAAATTTTTAAAAATTGTAATAACATTCTCATACTAAAACACTGAGTTTTTTTCTTTCATTTTTTGATTTTTTCTTTTTGACTCCAGCATGACTTACTCTAACAATGGGTGGTCTCGATTTTGAAATACTTTCTTCTCCAAGCCTTTCATGACACCCTGTCTCTGTTGGTTCTGAAAATGTTGGATTTTGTCTCAGCCCTTGCTTCTGGAAACAGCCAAGGTTAAGAAAACCCCCCATGCTTTGTGTTCTAGCAGACAGCTTCCTGCAAAGAGCCATCTTCCCAGAGCACTTAGGCCTCTTAGATGTCTCCCTTGTTTAATTATGACAAGAGCACACACACAGACCCTCCAAATTCCCATTCTTAGTCTTCTAAATGATTAGCTGAGCTGCTTTTCCCCACTGATTAATCGGAATAAAATGCTCATTAACCAAACTTCCCTCCTTTCCCCAGGTCCCTAAACTTTCCTGAGTCGGCAGACATCCCCTCTGGAGAAGAGGTTGGCCCCAGAGTCGAACATCCTCTGATCTACCTGATCCTGCTGCCCTTCCATTCCACTTCCCCACATCTGTTCTTTCTGGTCGTGTTTACTCCCCTATTAAAAAAACAAAACCAGAAAACGTGTTTGCCTAGATCTTGAGACTCTGGAAGATCTTAACAGTCAGAGGTTCCCCCTATTTGCAATGATCTCCTTTCCTGCCCCTTCCTATCCTTGCAATAATCCTTTTGAATAAAGTCTCTCCTTACTAAATCCAGTTCCTAAAAATTAATTTTTTTAGAGACAGTGTCTCGCTTTGTCACCCAGGCTGGAATGCAGTGGCATGATCATAGCTCACTGCAACCTCGAATTCCTGGGCTCAAGCAATCCTCCTGCCTCAACTGAGGCTACATGCATGCACCATCATGCCTTGCTAATTTTTTTTAATTTTTGTCGAGACAGGGTCTTGCTATATTGCCCAGGCTGGTCTGGAACTCCTGGCCTTAAGTGATTGTCCAGCCTCAACCTCCCAAAGCGCTGGGATTCAAGCATGAACCACCGCACCCAGCTCCAATTTTATTTTGTTTGGCAGTTTCCTCCTACTCTTCTTCCCTCCTCCTGCTCATTCCTTGGCCATTTTCCAGCTGCTGCTCTGCTTTTACCCTAGATGCACATTTTCAGGGCTCAGTTCTCATTCCTCTTCTCTGCTTGCTCCTCCTCTCTTCCCAGTGTGATCCTATCCATTCACGTGGCTTTCACAAGCGAGTTGCCTTCCCCAGTATCCCTCCTAGCAGATCCTGCTGTGCTCAGGGTGTCCTCCTGCATATTTAGCACTGCTCACCTCCCAGGGTCCTGGGCACTTAGGAGTGGCCATGTGACTCAGCTCTGCCAAAGTCTAGTGCTTGGGTCTTCCAGAAAAGCTATTGTTCTCCTGGTTTTAAAGGCGGGGAGGGGCGCCTCAGCCATAATCTGCCATTTTTTCCTTGCATGGGACACAGATGTGATGCTTTGAGATGTCACAGCTGCTTAGCGACCACCAGGATGAAAGCCGCAGGCAAAGCGTGTATGACAGAGAAGGAAACCACAAGTAGCTGCCCCAGCCACCCCTGGACTTCTTTTCTGTTTGTTTGTTTGTTTGTTTTGAAATGGAGTCTCACTCTGTCACCCAGGCTGGAGTGTAGTGGTGCCATCTTGGCTCACTGCAACCTCTGCCTCCTGGGTTCAAGCGATTATCCTGCCTCAGCCTCCCGAGTAGCTGGGACTACAGGCACAAGCCATCATGCCCTGCTAATTTTTGTATTTTTAGAGAGATGGGGTTTCACCATGTTGGCCAGGCTGGTCTGGAACTCCTGACCTCAAGTGATTCACCCACCTAGGTCTCCTAAAAGTGCTGGGATTACAGGCTTGAGCCACCGTGCCTGGCCTGGTCTTCTTTTATGTTATTAATAGAAACCCCTATCTGGTTAAACTATTATAGTTGGGTTTCTAGTACGTGCAGCCACATGCAAGCCTGACCTACCTTTCAGTCAGACATCTCTGCTCACTTGGTATCTCTTCCACTTAGGTGTCTCAAAACACTGTTCTTCTCTCCCACCAACACCCCAAATCTGCTCCTCCAGTGTTTAACACCCCCAAAAAGCTTGTCTAAGTAGTTTCTCCAGAATTCTTCTTAGAAAGGGAGCTACTGCTGGGCGCAGTGGCTCACGCCTGTAATCCCAGCACTTTGGGAGGCCAAGGTGGATGGATCACCTGAGGTCAGGAGTTCGAGACCAGCCTGGTCAACATGGTGAAACCCTGTCTCTACTAAAAATACAAAAATTAGCCGGGCATGGTGGCACATGCCTGTAATCCCAGCTACTAGGGAGGCTGAGGCAGGAGAATCGCTTGAACCCGGGAGGTGGAGGTTGCAGTGAGCTGAGATCACACCATTGCACTCCAGCCTGGGTGACAATAATGAAACTCCATCTCAAAAAAAAAAAAAGCTGTATTTATTTAAGAAAACATCTTGATGAGAAGCATCAAGTAAAAGGTGAAGCCCTAAGGGCATGTATCAGAAAATTAAATGAATAGATACACTGCTTTGTATTGGAACAAGATTTTGAGGCTAGGGGATGTAAGGAGAAGAAAGTGTTTCTTGTAGCTGGATATTGCAATAATTTCACATCTGTTTCCAGGTAAATAAGCTGGGAGCAGAATTCATCCCTTTTCTCTTGTAGCAATGCAGCCATTCGTTCCTCATTGCATTCCTCATTATCTTGGGATGCATCTTAAGCAATGGCAACAGAGTTCTCCAAAGCTTCATCCTTGGTGGGAATAGCGTCTCCATCCCTGAGTCACAGGTGGTGGTTTTCTCAGACACTGCATCATCACAAACCATGAACTTTCACCCCTGCATGGGACGGTGATCACTCACCCCCTCCCACAAAAGGACATGGTGCCATAGTCACTTACATATTCCTTCTGAGGGTATGTTCTGTGCATCCCCACTGCTGGTACCAAATCTGCCTGCCTTCATTGGATTAGAAGGAGCAGAAAGCCACTTAGACTGCCTTAGGGAAACACAAGATTATTACGCACCTGTTAAATATATTTTTCTATTTATAACTCTCGCTTTTTAAAAGGGTCCTGTTTGGTGGCTTTTCTTCTACTAAGCACAGGGTCTGGTTAAGCAAGGGGAGCTGAATGTCTCTGTATGATAATACTTGGGGAGGGATTTGGCCTCCACTTGATATAGAAGGAAAAGGAGCCAATAGGAGGCAGGTGGCCACATACTATGATGTAACCTCGCCCCCAAGAGCCCCCAGAACCTTTGATCAGGTCAGTCCAACTCTGAAATAGTGACTATTCACAGAGAACTCACAGAGTCAGGGATGTGGATTTGATTCTTACTCATCCATCTTGCTCACCATTCCCTGTGCCTTGAAATCTGAATATTTGAGTCTTTATTCAGATCTTGGAAATTTTCTCCCCTTATTTATTTTCTCTGTTTTCTCTTTTTGAGATTCCCTCAAGACTGGTGTCAGATCTCAGAACTTGTTTTTTAGTGTCTCTTCAGTGTTGTCTCCTACTCTCCATCCCTTTGTCTTTTCCCTGCTCTGTATGCTAGGATTTTTCTTCTAGCCTTTTTAGATTTTATTTTTTGACAATCTTGTTTGTTTTTTTTTTAATTTCCAAAAACTCATGATCTTTACTTGCTCCTCTCTCATAGCTGTTATTTTTGATGGAGGCAATATCTTCTCAGCTCTTACTGAGAAACGAGTAATTCTTGAAAGGTTTTCTATTTGATTAATTGTCTCAGTTTTCTTTAGCCTTTTTGTTTATCTGTTCATCTTAGGTCCTTTTATTTCTTATATAACTCTTTGAAAATGGCTGATGATCCTTGCTTGACTGTTCACATTTATGAATGAAGAACTAGACTAGGTGTCTGGAGTTACTTTCCTTGGCAGATGTCAGTCTGGTGGTGGGTTAAAGTATTATCCAGTAAATATTCATTCCCTTGCCTGCTGGCCTCATGAGGGAAGCCTGATCCCAGGCCATGTCCTCTCACCCCTCTTCGGTGTTCTCTGTGGTGCATGGGAACTGCCTGCACTCAGTTCCTGTTCAGCTCTGCTGCTGGGGGACCAAATTGAAACAGGACATGCCCCAGTTTAGCCAATGTCACCCTCTACTAATTACCATCTCATTCAGCTAAGAAAATGTATCTTCCGGCCAGGTGCAGTGGCTCATGCCTGTAATCCCAGCACTTTAGAAGGCCGAGGCGGACGGATCACCTGAGCTCAGGAGTTTGAGACCAGCCTGGCCAACATGGTGAAACCCCATCTCTACTGAAAATACAAAAATTAGCTGTGGCCAGGCACGGTGGCTCATGCCGATAATCCCAACACTTTGGGAAGCCAAGGTGGTGGATCACAAGGTCAGGAGATTGGGACCATCCCGGTCAACATGGTGAAACCCCATCTGTACTAAAAATACAAAAATTAGCTGGGTGTGGTGGTGTGCTTCTGTAGTCCCAGCTACTCAGGAGGCTGAGGCAGGAGAATTGCTGGAACCTGGGAGGCAGAGGTTGCAGCAAGCTGAGATTGCACCACTGCACTCCTGGCAACAGAGCGAGACTCTCAAAAAAAAAAAATTAGTCGGGCATGGTGATGGACACCTGTAATCCCAGCTACTTGGGAAGCTGAGGCAGGAAAATCACTTGAACCCAGGGAGTGGAGGTTGCAGTGAGCAGAGATGGCGCCACTGCACTCAGGCCAGGGAGACAACATGAGACTCTGTCTCAAAAAAAAGAAAATGTATCTTTCTAAAGTATGTGTGTGTGTGCGTGCGTGCGTGTGTGTGATAGTCCCTTATAGTGACAGTTTCCTAGCAAAACAAAAGAGAAACATAATAAAATGTGTGGGAATTTGGTGTCTAGAAAGCTAAGTTATATTCTGCTATCAATAGCCATAACCATCTGGTCAGTTCACTTCTGTGGGCCTGTTTCTCATATTTATAAAGTGAAGGGTTTAAAACACATTCATGATTCCCAAACTAGGGATTTGGAGAGTAGTAAAGATTATCCAAATAGTCTTATAATAGTTTTTAAGAGCTATGACAAGGCCACTCAAGCTATTAGCTGATTACTGCAGGGAATGGAGGAGTGGAGCAGAATATGGTGCCGGGCAAAGAACACAGAACTCTTGGCATGTGGAAGGTGGGCCCTGGAGCACCTGCTGAGCTCCCCGCTCAGCCCCAGCTATAGGACCTTCAGCCGACTGTCCCAGGCTCAGCACCATGTGCCTTGAGGGTAGGGCAGAGGGGCTTAGGGGGCTCAGCCAGCAGTCACCACAGATGTAATCTTCCAGGGATATGCTCTGAGCTTGGGAGGAAATTCACTTCTTCATGCCGGGGAACGTATGACCCACTTTGGTGTATTCCAGGCAATGTGGAGATACAGAAATGAAAAGACTCAGTTCTCAAGGGGCTTGAAGTCTGATTCGCTGAAATAATTTTTAGTTTCCAGAACCACAAGACAGACCCAAGAGGGCTGTGTTGGCAAAACAAATGGCAGAGTGGAGCTGGCCAGAGGCATCTGTGCGTGGCGACTCCAAGAGAGCACCCGACTCCAGATGGCGACACTGCAGGATGGAGCGGGGCATGCCTGCAGACAGGTGTCAGGTGCGAAAAACAGAACAACCGGACGCTTCTGGCTGCAAGGACCTGAAGCCTTAGGGGGTGATATTGGTTAAACTGAGGTAGGCCTTGTGTTAATAGGGTCTCCACCTGACTTTGTCAGTTTATTTTCTCACTGACAAGAAGTGGAGTAGG
Source organism: Homo sapiens (assembly GCF_000001405.40). Classification (NCBI taxonomy): domain Eukaryota; kingdom Metazoa; phylum Chordata; class Mammalia; order Primates; family Hominidae; genus Homo; species Homo sapiens. The sequence goes on from NC_000001.11 coordinate 226,908,834, forward strand.
GTGGCTCTGGGTTTGATTTATCCAGCAGTTCAATTCCATCTTTGATTTTTTTTTTTCCATTCTTTCCATTTTCCTCTCTGGCATTCTTTCCTCTCCCGCATTCTCACTTACATAAAGCCAAGTGCAGGGGGAGAGAGAGGAGAGAGACTCTTCCTGTGTCATTTTTTTAAGGTCAATGAAAACCATTCTTAGGAGCCCCTGGGCAGATTTCTCCCTGAATCTCATTGGCCAGAACTGTGTCACATCCCCATGCCTAAGCCAATCACTGGCAATGGGTGTGGGATAGTTGTGGCCAGCCTGGACCCATCAGAATGTAACCCTGAGTCTCAAGGGGGAGAGTGGATGCCAGAATGAAATCAGAGTTCCATCCACTTTCCATTAGAAAGAAAAGAATGGGAGAGGAGCAGAGAAGGCTCCAGACAGACAACTAACAGTGTTTGATACAATAACTTTCTTATGTTTCTGTAACTTAAGGTCCATTTTGTCTATTGCTAGCATATATAAGCTTAATGCCTGCTAGATTCTGTTGTTTACACTGTCCTCTTCTCCCTGGAGTAGTACCGAGGGTGAGGGAGCCTGTGGCCTCTGTAATATCAGGACATAGAGGATAGGGTTGCCGGGGGGCACATGTGGTCCCTTGATTGCCACGTTTCTATTTTGGTTTCTTTTCTTTAAAAGAAAACTTCTTTTATTTTATAGATAAGGTCTCATTCTCTCACCCAGGGTGGAGTGCAGTGGCGTGATCTCGGCCTACTGCAGCCTTGGCCTCCCAGGCTCAAGCAATCCTTCCACCTTAGCCTCTTGAGTAGCTGGAACTACAGGTGCACACCACCGTGCCAGGCTAATTTTTTATTTTTATTTTTTGTAGAGACGGGGTCTTGCTGTATTGCCCAGGCTAGATTTGAACTCCTGGCCTGAAGTAATCCTCCCACCTTGGCCTCCCAAAGTTCTGGGACTACAGGTATGAGCCACCATGCCCAGCCCTAAAAAAATTGTTGATTGTGGTAAACACATAGCATAAAATTTACCATTGTAACCATTTTTAAGTGTACAGATAATAGTGTTAAGTATATTCATATTGTTGTGAAACAGATCTCCAGAACTTTTTCATCTTGTAATATGAAATCCTACACCCATTGAACAACTTCCCATTCTCCCCTGCAACCCCCACAAGCCCCTGGCAACCACAATTCTATTTTCTCTTTCTATTAGTTTGACTACTCTAGATACCTCATGTAAGTGGAATCATACAGTATTTGTCTTTTTGTGACTGGCCCTATTTCACTTAGCATAATGCATAATGTCCTCAAGCTTCACGCATGTTGTAGCATGTGACAGGACTTCCTTCGTTTTTAAGGCGGAACAATATTCCATTGTATGTTTATACCATATTTTGTTCATCTAATCCTCCATCAGTGGACATTTGGGTTGCTTGTACCTCTTGGCTATTGTGGATAATGCTGTTCTAAACATGGGTGAGCTAATATCTTTGAGATCCTGCTTTCAATTTAGATGTATGAGATTTCTGGGTCATAAGATTTAATTTTTTGAGAAACCACCATGCTGTTTCTTTACAGTGGCTACGTCATCTTACCTTCCCCCCAACAGTGTACAAGGATTCCAATTTCCCCACATCCTTGCCAACATTTGTTATTTTCTGGTTTTTTTTGATAGTGGCAATCCTAATAGGTGTGAGGTGGTATCTCATTGTGGTTTCATGAGGTTTAAGTTGAGCATCTTTTCATATGCTTTTAGACCATTCGTATATATCTTCTTTGGAGAAATGTGTGGTGCAATCTTGGTTCACTGCAACTTCCACCTCCTGAGTTCCAGCAATTCTCCAGTCTCAGCCTCTCGAGTAGCTGGGATTACAGGCATGTGCCACCATGCCTGGCCATCTTCGCTCTTGAGCACCTGTGTCATGGTAGGTCAAGGACCCCTGACAGTCAGGGTCCCAGGCAGGAGGGGGCACATCCCTTCTATTATCTTGGATTCTACCACCCCCTTAGAGGGAGACTACAGACCCCCGGACTCTTCCCAGAGACCCATTGCCAGCACTTCATTCTGTTGATCTCCTCTTGCACTTCTGCCTCCCCCAGCCTGGAAAGAGTTTTAAACATCTTGTCCCTGGCAAGGAAACCCTGGCTCAGCCAGTATTCTTACCTAATTTTTCTGCCTCGTGTCCAAAGTGCAGCTGTATTAAATGTATTAAATAAAAGGAAAAACTTGGGCCAGAAGCGGTGGCTCATGGCCAGCACTTTAGGAGGCCAAGGTAGGTGGATCATCTGAGGTCAGGAGTTCGAGACCAGCCTGGCCAACATGGTGAAATGCCGTCTGTACTAAAAATACAAAAATTAGCCAGGTGTGGTGGTGTGCACCTGTAATCCCAGCTACTCAGGAGGCTGAGGCTGGAGAATTGCTTGAACCCGGGAGGCAGAGGTTGCAGTGAGCTGAGATCATGCCACTGCACTCCAGCCTGGGTAACAGATGGAGACTCCGTCTCAAAAAAAGAAAAAAAAAGAAAAAGTTGGAGGGCTTTACCATTTCTGCTGGGAAGTCTGGAGCAAAGGCCACTGGCAGTGCCACTCAGCTTGAACATAGTGAGGGTGGGTGGGAGGGCAGGAATACAGTGTTCCTTCACCAGGTTGCAGGTGGGCATCGACCTCTTGGTGGTCTGGCGCAGCCTCCCTGCCTGGGGCCGTCTGCCTTGGGCTCGTCACTGCCCAAGGATCAGATGAGCTGCTGGAGGAGGACCCTGAGCCAGAGTTAGTTCTTAGCTTAAACTCTACAGCCGTGCTTCTCAAAGTGTGGTCCTGGGGGCCCATGAAGTCAAAACTATTTTGTAATAAAACTACATTACCTTACCATTCTCCTTCTATTACAAGTGTACACAGGAGTTGTCCAGAAGCTGCATGATACGATATGTGATATCACAAGGGATTGACTCCAAAAGCAGGTCGGAGAATCCAGCTGTCTTCTTCTTCTTCTTCTTTTTTTTTTTTTTGTGGAGACAGAGTTTTGCTCTATTGCCCAGGCTGGAGTGCAGTGGTGCGATCTCAGCTCACTGCAACTTCTGCCTCCTGGGTTCAAGCAATTCTCCTGCCTCAGCCACCAGAGTAGCTGGAATTACAGGCACGCGCCACCACACCTGGCTAATTGTGTAGTTTTAGTAGAGATGGGGTTTCACCATGTTGGTCAGGCTGGTCTTGAACTCCTGACTTCAGGTGATCTGCCAGCCTTGGCCTCCCAAAGTGGTGGGATTACCGATGTGAGCCACCGTGCCCGACCTCACCTCCTGGGTTTTCAGCAATTCTCTCTGCCTCAGCCTCCCAAGTAGCTAGGATTACAGGTGCCCGCCACCATGCCTGGCTAATTTTTGTGTTTTTAATAGAGACGGGGTTTTGCCATGTTGGCCAGGCTGGTCTTGAACTTCTGACCTCAGGTGATCCACCCACCTGGGCCTCCCAAAGTGCTGGGATTACAGGCGTGAGCCACTGTGCCTGGCCGAATCCAGCTCTCTTCTATTAAGATATTCTTTTTATTCTAGTAAAGAGAATTGCAAAAATGTAAACAAATGCCAGTCTTCATGAAAGGTTTTTGGTTTGTAAAAATATAGCTATTTTCAAAAAACTTATTTATGTTAAAATGAAATGTTTATTTTTGTTATTTTTTAAAAAGTTGATACATAAATAAAATTCTCAGTTGTAATTTCTCAACAGGATAGAGCTAACCCACATAACAAAAGGTCTTTGCAGTCCTCAGTAAGTTTTACAAGTTTAAAGGGGTCCTGAGACCAAAACGTTTGAGGACCACTGTCCCTCCGGAAGGCTGCGGCTTTCTTCTGGTGGCTTTACACTTCTGCTGTCCTTCAGCCACGTCCCTTTCGCGTCTCCAGGGACTCCTCCATTTGCCTTGAATTTCTCCTGTTAGCTCCACTCCAGGGTGGCCACATGAGGGCAGCCGATTCCGCCCTGAGCCCTTGCGGGGGCCTCAAGCACAGGTGTTCACCAGGTCAGCCTTCAGCATCCAGTTCCTACCGAGTCCCTGGCTGGTGGTACTGGAGAAGCAAAGACGATAAACCAGGTCCTTGTTCTGTGGGAGGCTCAGGCCTCCTGTTCTCTCCCTCCCAGGGGCCAGGAGAGAGGCCCCAGCCAGAGCCTGAGCACATCATAGGGTTGACATGTTTGGTGAATGAACATTATCTCTGTGTTGTGCAGAGCTGAGCATAGAACTCCATCTTCTAGATCCTGAACTTTAACCTGGAAGGGTTAGGCCTTCTTGCCATTGCCTGCAGGGAGAGGTGAGCACCCTAGAACACTTACTGTTCGGGAGCACGTGGTTCTCATGCAGTAAAGTGAGAAGGGGAGAGGAGGCACCTTTTCTCTAGTCTTGGATTAAGGTGGAAGTAAAGGGCATATGTGAAGTTTTTCCCAAAACTAAGGCCTCATTTATTTTTTATTTTTTATCAGAACAAGTCATGGACATCTCTAGCAATGAAAGCAAAGCCCTGCAGTCATTTAACATAGACATACTCTCTACATCCTGTTAGCCAGCGGCTCCTACGACTTCTCCCAACAATCTTAAAGCAACCTGGCATGAAGGAGCTGGCTCAAATGCTGGTCAGTGGAAAGGGCATAAGCTCTGAAGTCACAACACAAGGGTTCAAATCCGACCCTCCCGGCTCCTGGTCTGTGCTCTCTCCCCCTTACTGTAATGCCAACTTCACTTTGGTTTTTACCCCTGCAAATATTCATCATTGTGTTGAGTCAACACAATGATACATAAAAAATCAGCAGTCTCTGATAAAGTGTGGCCTACTGGTTAAGAGGAGCAGGGCTTTGAAAGGATAGCCAAGGTAACACTCCTGGTTCCACCATGTGTTAGCTGTGTAACCTCGGGCAAGCTGCTTAACCTCTCTGAGTCTCAATTTTCTCAACTGTAGAAAGCAGACATAATATTACAGGGTTGCTGAGAGAATAATATGACATTAGGTTTCTAAAGTGCTTAATTCAGTACCTGGCTCATAGTAAGTGCTCAATAAACACCAGTTATAAACATCACTGCATTTGAAATTCACAGCTTTTTCAAAGTTAGAGTCAGAAAGAATTTCAGAAGTCCTGTAATTCAATGTTTTCCAAAGTGTGTTCAAAACACTCACTTCCCTCAAGATGCTCCATGAAAAAGGGTTCTGTGGCCAAATATGATGGGTTGTATATTAAAGCCTCAGAGAAGCCACAGAGTAAAGAAACCTGTTGAACTTTGATTACTCCAACCTTTATCAAATGGATTTGACTGTAGAACCCTCTTCACACATCACTTTTTAACTTCCAGGTTGCTGGTAGACAGAGCTCAGTCATTAACCATCATTAAGAATCATAACAAATACTGGATAACATTTATGGAGGGTTTGCTCTATGCCAGGCACTGTGATATGCACAAGGCATGTATTATCTCACTTTATTCATAACAACACTAAGAAGTAGTGCTATCATCTTTTACGGATGAAAAAATAGGCTTAGAAGACTAAGTAACTTGGCCAAGGTCACATACCAAGAAATCGTCAGCATGCAAACTCAGGTTGGCCTGGCTCTGGAATTCAGCCTTGCCACCTCCCTGTATGGTTTCCGCAGCCCACTGCATTACCCCTGACTGTTGGACAGTCCTTCCTTGTATTGAGCTGAAATCCAATTCCAGTTCCAATCACACTGTTTCTCCAGGGTGCACATAAATATATGGTGAAATGTATTATTTAGTTTCAATTCTAAATATCCTTTATTTGTCATTGTTTCTCGAATTGTATTTATTCTGTTCCCTTTTCTCTTGACTTGCTCAAGTACTTCAGCATTTCATTTGGACTAAAAAACTCAACACAATTCTGTCTGCTTTCTTATAGTATGATATTTTCATTTTTAGGAAGTGACACATTATCAAAACCCATAAGAACTAAATTTTTTTAAGAGGGGGAAAAAGACAAGGTCAGGAGGCTGAGGTGGGAGGATCGCTTGAGCCCAGGAGTTCGAGACCAGCCTGGGCAACAGAGTGAGACCCTGTCTCTACAAACACCACCACCACCAACAAAAAAAAAATTAGTTGGGCATGGTGGCACATGCCTGTGGCACATGCCTACTCAGGAGCCTGAGGTGGGAGAGTCACTTGAGCCCAAGAGGTCGAGGCTATTAGTGAGCCATGATCACACCACTGCACTCCAGCCTGGGCAACAGAGCAAGACCCCATCAAAAAAGAAAGTTTTAGATGTATACAATAACTAAGTTATTTTCCCTGCAGGAATTTTGATAACAAAGTTGTCTTTTATAGCTCTAGTAGTATTGCTGTAAAGCTATAAAAGTACCTCTGGCTTTTGCCCAAGTGTAGTAGTGTCTGTCTCTCTCTCTGTCTCTCCATAGCAGCACATTGTTAACTGTTTCTTACCAGTAGCACTACTTTCATTACTTTTATGACTCATTGTCTCCCTTATTTAGTAAACAAAGTATACAGCCACTAAAAGCAAGTAGCTGGGCTATTCACAGCAGCTTCTCCCCCATACACTGTGGTAGTTCCTAACTACAATCTGTTTGTGTCCAATAGCAGTTCCTAGTGATGCAAATAGTACTTTCCATTTAAACAATTTCATTATAGCCAATTCTAGTTCTGAAAATACCACTGGAAGAAAAACACTTGAGTTCTCAGTATGGTTTGACCAATATAGCTTGGAACTATCACTTTCCTTGTTCTGAACATTATACTTCACTAGTTCAGCTCGAGATCTCATTATTTTGGGTAACTGCATTACCCTATACCTGCTTGTGGAGTTTGTCTCCAACCAATTAATTTTCCCCTACAATTCTGCTATACATCAGCAGTTGTATTTTGGAGCCCACGTGAAAGGAAACTATACTTACATCTGTTCCAGTTCATCTGTTTAGGTCTGGCTCGTTGTTCAGCCTGTGACAATCATCTGGGAGTGGCGATCATTCTCCTTCAGCCCATGTCCTCTGTGAAACTGATAAACCTGCCCTAGAGCAGCACTTTCCAACAGAATGTTCTGTGAACATGGAAATATACCAGATCTATGCTGTCCAATATGGTAGCCACTAGCCACATGCAGGTTTTGAGCACTTGAAATTAGGCTCATGCAACTGGGAACTTAATTTTAAATTGTCTTTAATTTTAATTAATTTAAATAATCCCATATGGCTAATAGATATCATACTGGACAGTGTCGTAGCTCTAGATGTTTACCTGAAATGCAGGTAAAAATATTAAGTAGAACAGGGACCTGCTTCTGTCCCTGGAGTCCAAACTCTGGACTGGGGATGGCCATTCAAGGATTATCAACCACCTGTGTTTATAATAACTCGGTGCACAATTTTATCCACCAGCGTATATGAGTATCAGTGAAGGACTTTGTCAAATGCCTTGTAAAAAGCAAGATGGCCTAGAAATATGTGGCACTGCCCTGCTCTACCAGCCTCATGATTTTTTTTTCCTAGAAAATAGGGTGTGTTTTTTTTTCTATTTGTAGAAGTCATACATACCTACTGTGGCAAAATGCAGGAAAGTACCTAGAGGAAATTAACAATGACCAAAATTCTGCCATCTTGAGATAACTACTGTTAACATTTCAGCATTTTTCTTTCAGCTTTTTTTCTGTGTTGGTATTTTTCACATCACTGAAATCATACCTTCTCTGTTACCTCCTGTTTTTTTTAATTTAAAAAAATTAAAAAAAATTTAATCGACAAAAATATATATGTTTATCATGTACAACATGCTGTTACACTGTGGAATGGCTAAATCAAGTTAATAAGCACACACATTACTTCACATATATATCATTTTTTTGTAGTAAGGACACTTAAAACCTACTCAGCAATTTTCAGTACAATAAATTGTTATTAACTGTAGTTACATAAACCAAAAATAAAATTCTAAGGCCCTGCAACCATCTGAAAGGATCCCTCCTCCTGGCTAGGGCATTCCAAAGTTAGCCTAAAAACTGGTTCAGGCCATGATGGGAAAGGAGGGTCGGACATGCCTCATTATACTCTTCTGCCTTTGGGATTTCAGGAAAAGCTGACGAGCATTTAACATCAACACAGGACCTTAAGTCCGCTAAGAAACATTTACAATCTCTTCTCTGTGAAGCTTGCAACCTGAAGGCTTCACCTGCATGATCAAACTTTGGTCTCCACAACCCCTTATCATAATCCAGACATTCCTTTCTATTCATAATAACTCTTTCAACCAATTGCCAATCAAAAGTTTTAAATCTACATAGAACCTAGAATTCCCCTCACTTCAAATTGTCCCACCTTTCTGGACTGAAGCAATGTATATCTTACATTTTTATGTCTCATGTCTCTAAAATGTATAAAGAAGGTTGTGCCCCGACCACCCTGGGGACATGTTCTGAGGGTCTCCTGAGGGCTGTGTCTTGGGTCATTGGTCACTCATATTTGGCTCAGGATAAATCTCTTCAAATATTTTACAGAGTCTGACTCTTTTTGTCCACAACACCATGTGGTACAATAGATCTCTTGAACTCATCCCGCTTATCTAACTGAAATCTTGTATCCTTTTACTAACACCTTTCCAACCCTTGCCTCCCAGTCCCTGGCACCCACCACTCTGCACTCCGCTTCTACGAATTTAATGTGTTTTCTCGTTTGTTTGTTTTTTGTTTTTTTTCTGAGATGGCGTCTCACTCTTGTTGCCCAGGCTGGAGTGCAATGGTGCGATTTGGCTCACTGTGGCCTCTGCCTCCCGGGTTCAAGCGATTCTCCTGCCTCAGCCTCCCATACCAGTTCAACTTTTTCAGATTCCACGTGTAAGTAAGATCATGCAGTGTCTGTCTTTCTGTGCCTGGCTTATTTCACTTAATATAATGCCTCCAGGTTCATCCATGTTGTTGGAAATGACAGGATTTCCTTCTTTTCTAAGGCTGAATAGTATTCCATTGTGTGTATATACCACAGTTTCTTTATCCATTCATGCACTGATGAACACCTAAGTTGATTCCATTTTTGGCCATTGTGAATAATGCTGTAATGAATGTGGGAGTGCCGATATCTCTTGGACATACTGATTTCATTTTCTTTGTATGTGTATATATTATAGTAGCGGAATTGCTGGATCATATGGTAGTCCTGTTTTTAATTTCTGCTTTTTATATTTTCTTTATATTTTAAAAATTTTAAGAATTTTTATAAGTATTTCTTACATTATTAAATACTCTTTGAAAACAATCTTGAAGGCTGTATCAATGGTTAATAATTTGCATAGCAATTCCCCTGTTGCTGTACTTTCAGCTTGTATCTAAGTTTTTGCTATTACAAATAAAACTGTGCTGAATATCTTCTTGTACAAAATAACTTCCTGAAGGTGTATTATTAAAACTAAGAATATGAACATTGTTGAGGCTAACTCTTCTGAAAGAGGAAATAAGGTTATCCTGGACCACATGCTGGCTCTTAGTGGCCAATTCTTTCCCTTCTGAATATTCAAGGCCACCCATTTCATCCTCTCTTTTAGCCACTCATCCCATATTAATGTCAAGCTCACCTTAATATACTTTTTAGATTCTAATTTCTTAGCCTTTTTGAAAATCAGGAAGACATTGCCTGCCTCGTCAGTCTTCCAGCAATATTTCTGTTCATGAAGGTTTCTTAAAAATGAAGTCTCCTGATCTGTGAGCTCCCTCAGTAGCCTTGAATATGACATTTACAGGTCAGAAGACCTGAGTTGTTCTGAGGCAGCAGGGTGCTTTCTTACTGCCTCCTCCTGTGCTTGGAGCTTCAATTTCTCTTTCCAATAGTGCTCTTCAACTTTCCACCCTGACCGTAATTCTCTTTAATAAGGGAAACCACAGGAGTGTGTGGCAGAGAATATCAGCGCTGGGCAAAACTCATGCTCTCCTCTACTTCCCAGGCACACAGCTGGGGGACATCTCCCAGACTCCCCTGCAGCCAGCTGTGGCTATGTCATTGAGGGCCAGCCAGTGAAGCGTGGGCAGAAGTGATGTGTGCCTCTGCCGGCCTGGCCATTAAGACCCCCGCATGGAGTGGAGACGACACCCAGGGCGACCTTGGAAGTGGCATGATGAAGAGACCAGAGCTTTTGTGGAGCAGTAGTGCGGAGGAGGAGCACCTGCTGAACCACTCACTCCCCGACAGTTGTGTTGGATTGTGGACCTGTTTTCTCTTTGCCCACTCTGGGCTCATTTGCAATTATAACCTCGTTGCTTCTGCTTGAGCTATCTTTCCTTTGTCTTGGATCATGGGATCAAGCATGCGTAATTTTTCTCCAAATACCTTGGGATTCTTCTTCCTAACTCTTGGTACAGAGTCCAGCTGTCCCAGGCTCCTGGATGACAGGGAGCTTTCTCTCACTCTCATCTGACCAACAGGTTCCCCTAGCGGTACATAATTAGATCCAAAATGGTGCTTCTCTTTATCATTTTCTCTGCTTTCTGAGAAATGGAATTGTCATTTTGGCAAGAATTTGGCAGAAATTGTATTTCAGATTTTAATACAATTGAGAAAAAACCATTCATAACCACAGTTGTCTGGTACGTAATGAAGGTAGATCTTGCCGAATGGAACATCCTTCTCTGCAACTTGGTGGGTTTGAATGGCTGAGTTTGGCAGAAGGAATGGTAGAGAAATAGATGACTCTACAGAATAAATGGGGAAGGATTTGGAGTTCTGGAAGCAATATAAAAGGGAAGGGGTAAAGAGGAGAGATGGGAAGATGAGGAGCCAGCTGGATCACTCTGTAAGGGGAGCTAGCCTAAAATCCTAATGGGACCGGATGGCTCAAGAGCTTTTGAGAACACTGGTGTCCAATATTTCATTTGAAGTTGTTGAGTAGATCTCCTCCACTCCCCTGAGGGGTTGGTGCCAGGCTGGACAGGGACAGCACACAGATGGTGAGACAGCCCACAAGCTGAATTCTCCACTTGCAGAGGCTGAGAACCAGCGATGACTGTAAATGTGAGTCTCTGCCCGCCTTCTGCCCTGGCCTCCCTCCTGAGAACTGGCCAGACTTTTGAGGAGGAATTTAGACTTCCAAAGGGTGGAGAATAGAAGTTTCATCCAGTCTTATCTAGGGAAGCTCCCGCTGACATCCAAATTACATAATAAACACGGCCAGTAAAATACTACTGCTACTACTATCATAAAATAAAATAAGGAATTAAGTAGATAGGTCAGGAATTTGGCCCCTTAAAACACTGAGGCCAGAGAGATTACACAGTGTGCCTCAGGGATGTTTTGCTCTGTTCTCAGGTTATCTGGCTCCTATTCCTTGTGTCCTCAGTCCTTGCCTGGGAAGAGAGTGCAGTGAGCAGGGTAGCTCCTCACCCCCTCTCCTCAGGTACCAGGTGCTCCTGGGCCCTCAAGGGCTCAGCTCTTCCCTCCGCAGCTCCTGCAGGGGCTGTTGGGTTTATCAGAGACTGGTTCTGTCAAAGAGCTGAGCTCAGGGGAACATTTTGGGGGAGTGAGGTTCCTACCACCTTGGAGATAGCTTTTTCCAAACAAGGGGAAGCATTTGAGAAATATGTTCATTAGTAAGTTCGTCAGTGGTCATAAAGATATTTTGTCTGATGGCAGAAGGCCTGAATCTTTGTTCCCATAAAAGACTTACTCCTCTAACCAGAAGAATAAACGAAAGGTGGTGAGACACTGGGGACATCTGGGCAGCCATGGAGAAAGAGTTTGTGGATCTGACCCACTGTTCTCCTCTTGTCCAGATAAGGACGTGTGTTTGTGTGTTGACTGGTGAGGACAGGAGGAGGTTTCCTGAGTGCAGAGTGCCAAAGCACAAAGCCTGAGATAAAAAGGCATAAATAGACCTAGAGCCTGACCCAGAGCCAGGCCCAGTGTCCTTGGGCTGGTAGGACTTGCAGGCCAGGTCCCAGATGGGGAGGGGGTACTGGGGCTGAGCAGCTGCTATGGAAATTTCCATGGGCTGTACACCAGCTCTTGGTAAGCTCTTGCACTCAGCATGGCATGGGGAGGACATGGGTTATGAAAGAGGCACAAGACTTAGTCCAAGCTTATAAGGAGCTAGGCCTCTAGAGAAAAAACTCAGGCTTGCCAAAGCAGCAAGTAAACAAACAGGTTGGAAAATTTTGAAACAAAGTTGTAAATAAGGTCAAGGCATGGAACCAGTCAAGAAAAGTCAATATCGTATTCCAGTTATTAGAACCTCATTTCACCTTCTAAGGACAATGTTGAAAATACAAACTTCACATTAAGATAAAAATGGGTTTTATTACTTTAAATACTAATAAAGAGGTGACAATATATTAGTTTTTTAAAGAAAAAACTTTTTATAATTAATTGCCACTTGCCAGAGTTTGAGATTTTCTTAAGAATTCAGGTTAAACTTACAAAATCATTTTTAATACAGAAATCAATGAAAAATGATCCAAAGACATTAGTTTCATGCATTGGTAATCGTTACCAAAAGCCTTACAGTGTGCAATTTTGTAAAGTCAATGTTGCAACTATCCCAGGAATTGGAGGTCTGTGTTTTTCCCCTCTCTAGTAAGATTCAGGTCGTGTGTGTGTGTGTGTACAAGTGTGTTCACACGTGTGCATGTGCAATGTATGAACCCACAATGCTGACCATAATGCTGGACTCCCAATGCACTGGTTAGGATGCCTTTGCTTGTATTTAAAGAAGCCATGAAGAGGACATATTAGTTCACATGGCTGAAAAGTTAAGTGTTAGGGCAGCCTTCTAATAAGCTTTAATCAGGGCTCCAGTTCCATTTCTAATTCTGTCTGCCTTGCCCTGTTGTGGCCAGATTCCTTTTCGGGCTGGCTTATTCACAGTTGCAAGATGTCTGTGAACAGCAACTCAGCCAACAACAACTCGTCTAAGGAGAGAGGAGCTATTGTTTCCTACAGCCGTTGCATAGAAGTCCTGAGCTTCCTTCTGATTGGACCACCCCAGGACCAGTCATTGAGGGCGTGCCATGTGCTGACTGGCTGAGATTCAAAAACCTATCATCTTGTCAAGTGGATTGGGATTGACTTATATCGGGGGCATGATATGGTTTGGTTGTGTCCCCACCCAAATCTCATCTTGAGTTGTAGCTCCCATCCCACGTGTCATGGGAGGGAACTGGTGGGAGGTAATTGAATCATGGAGAGGGTCTTTTCCATGCTGTTCTTGTGACAGTGAATAAGTCTCATGAGAGCTGATGGTTTTATAAACGGGAGTTCCTCTGCACAAACTCTCTTGCCTGCCACTGTGTAAGACATGACTTTGCTCCTCATTCTCCTTCTGCCATGATTGTGAGGCCTCCCACGCCGTGTGGAGCTGTGAATCAATTAAACCTCTTTCCTTTATAAATTACCCAGTCTCGGGTATGTCTTTAGTAGCAGCATGAGAACAGACTAATATGGTAAATTGGTACCAGTAGTGGGGTGCTGCTGTAAAGATACCCAAAAATGTGGAAGCGACTTTGGAACTGAGTAACAGGCAGAGGTTGGAACAGTTTGGAGGGCTTGGAACTTCCTAGAGACTTGTTGAATAGCTTTGACCAAAATGCTGATAGTGATATGGACAAGTAACATCTAGGCTGAGGTGGTCTCAGATGGAAATGAGGAACGTGTTGGGAACTGGAGTAAAGGTCACTGTTGCTATGCAAAGTGGCTGGTGGCATTTTGTCCCTGCCATAGAGATATGTGGAACTTTGAACTTGAGAGAAATGATCTGGGGTATATCTGGCAGAAAAAATTTCTAAGTGGCAAAGTGATCGAGAGGAAGCAGAGCATAAAAGTTCGGAAAATTTGCAGCCTGGTGATTCCATAGAAAAGAAAAACCCATTTTCTGGGGAGAAATTCAAGCCAGCTGCAGAAATTTGCACAAGTAACAAGGAGCCCAATGTTAATCACTAAGACCCCACCCAAATCTCTTCTTGAATTGTAGCTCCCATAATTCTCACATGTCATGGGAGGAACCTGGTGGGAGGTAACTGAATCATGGGGGCGGGTCTTTCCCGTACTGTTCACCTCTTGAGATCTGATAGTTTTATAAAGGGGAGTTCTGCACAAGCTCTTTTGCCTGCCCTCATGTAAGACATGACTGCTTCTCATTGGCCTTCCACCATAATTGTGAGGCCTTTGCAGCCATGTGGAACTGTGAGTGCATTAAAACTCTTTCCTTTATAAATTACCCAGTCTCGGTTAGCAGCGTGAGAACAAACTAATAGAGGGCACCACCCCTAGAGCTGGGTGAGACCAATGCCACTCAAATTGATGGTGACTACACAATGGGGAGGAGAATGGGTGATAAACATTCCCAATGTCTACCACACCTTGGTAGCCATTTAAACTTTTTTTTTATTTAAAGCGTACTGTCTAGGTTTAAGGTACTGTAAGAGATATAAAGATACACAGTTGACAATCTATTAGATATAAAAAGACAAGCTGACAAATAACTACAATACACTATTATTAGGTGTAATGTAAAAATGACACATGTAAATGCTAAAACGAAGTACAGTAAATGTAAAGGAGAGAGACAGATTGTTTCTGAGGTGATCAGAGAGGTGTCGCATAGCAAATAACACTGGAATTAGGTCTTAAAGAGTGAGTGGGATTTTAATTATTATATGGGAGGCAGGGGAGCTTTAAGAGTAAAGCCCCAGAGGCAGAAAGCCAAGGGAAGAGTTGGAGAAATGGCCCAGGTAAGTTGGAGCACAAGTTCTAGAAGTTGCTGCTAAGGCAAGAAATGTTTCCCCAATACAAAGATATCTCAGAGTTCAGATAACACCTGAGGAACTAGGATAATAAAGTCAGGGTGCAAGGTGAATATGTCTTTATTTTCTCCCATAAAGAAACCTGGCTTAAGCCTCCATTTACCTGATTAGTGGGAAATTCAGTATCTCCTTCGTGGGGCTCCCCCAACTCCTTGTGTTCAACCCAACGCTTTACACAGTCCAAAGAGGGAGCAGGGCCAGTCTGACTTTCACATGCAGGCAGAGGCCACTGGTCTCTTGTCAGTCTGGTGGACAACACGCATCCCCAGGTCTCTGTGGCTTCTCAGGGAGGACAGTATCACTCATGTCACTTTGAACTTGGTCGTGAGTGTTCCTTTTCAGGATCCAGGGCCATTATCTCAGAGCTCTGCCCTTCAGTTAAATTCAGTTTCCCCATTTGCCAAGTCACTCGCTGTCCCAAGGACTTTGGATAAGAAGTAGCTTGGGATATCCATGTGGATGCAGAATTCTTTCATTTATTTATTTATTTAGAGACAGTGTCTCACTCTGATGGAGTGCAGTGGTATGATCCCAGCTCACTGTAACCTCTGCCTCCTGGGTTCAAGTGATTCTCCTGCCTCAGCCTCCTAAGTAACTGGGACTATAGGTGCCCGCCAGCATACCCAGCTGATTTTTATATTTGTAGTAGAGATGGGCTGGCTCATCTGGCCAGGCTGGTCTCAAACTCCTGACCTCAGGTGATCCTCCCACCTCAGCCTGCCAAAGTGCTGAGATTACAAGTGTGAGCCACTGCGCCTGGGCCTGGATGCAGAATTCCTATCCTCTGTTCCTCCCTGGGATCCACCGCACCCCAGAAAGTGGGAGATTTTCCTTGCTGGCTGTCCCCCAACCCCCCTATGGGCTTCCCCCTTGTGCACCCTTTCCTGGCCACACATACCCCCCTGGGGTTCGTGGGGTGGAGGCACCTCTCTGAAATGCTTGGCATCTTTCTCTGGTGCAAGGAAAGAAAATAAAACCCAAAGTTCAGACACCACTGGGACATTCTATTCTACTTGGATTTATAGGTCCACGCCTCTTAGTCTCTTCCAGGATTGCTTATTTCACCCAAGGGAGCCAGGCCCTCCTGTGCTCTTTTATTAAAATTTCATATTAACATTTAACCTTCTTGGTCATTGGCAAAATCTGTGTCCTTAGTCTGTCCTCACCTTGAAGTTGAAATTCTTTTATTTGCAGCCACTTAGACCCTGCCTTGATGGCATTTCCTGCCCACAGCAGGCTCTGAACTAAGTCTTGCTGTCTGTTTTGGACACATGGTGACTCTCTTTCTGAGATGGAGTCTCGCTTTGTCGCCCAGGCTGGAGTGCAGTGGCACGATCTTGGCTCACTGCAACCTCTGCTTCCCAGGTTCAAGTGATTCTTCTACCTCAGTCTCCCGAGTAGCTGGAAGTGCAGGCGCATGCCACCACACCCAGCTAATTTTTGTATTTTTAGTAGAGATGGGGTTTCACCATATTGGCCAGGATGGTCTTGAACTCCTGACCTTGTGATCCGCCTGCCTCGGCCTCCCAAAGTGCTGGGATTACAGGTGTGAGCCACTACGCCCGGCCAGTGACTCTCTTTTCTAAACTCCCCTTCACAATTTTGCTCTCTTCACCCTGCTTCTGTATACTCACAAGGAAGTGGGTAACAGATTGTCGGAATTAGGCTCGGCTCATGGTTTGCAGCTTCTCGCCTGTTTGCTGCTTCTCTAGTTTAAAAACTTGGGGTTCCAAATGTGGAAATTACTCCAAAACTTAGGTGAATTAGAAACAAGTATCCAGTGACTGTCTGAGGGAGAACAAAGTAAAATACATATTCAGCAACTAGGCAAGTAGGATGGCTTCCCCAATACAGTAGAGCATTTAAGAACTGGAGAATGGGGTGCTGAGAAGAATGTATATTCTGTTGATTTGGGGTGGAGAGTTCTGTAGATGTCTATTAAGTCCGCTTGGTGCAGAGCTGAATTCAATTCCTGGGTATCCTTGTTAACTTTCTGTTTCGTTGATCTGTCTAATGTTGACAGTGGGGTGTTAAAGTCTCCCATTATTATTGTGTGGGAGTCTAAGTCTCTTTGTAGGTCTGTAAAGGACTTGCTTTATGAATCTGGGTGCTCCTGTATTCGGTGCATATATATTTAGGATAGTTAGCTCTTCTTGTTGAATTGATCCCTTTACCATTATGTAATGGCCTTCTTTGTCTCTTTTGATCTTTGTTGGTTTAAAGTCTGTTTTTATCAGAGACTAGGATTGCAACCCCTGCCTTTTTTTGTTTTCCATTTGCTTGGTAGATCTTCCTCCATCCCTTTATTTTGAGCCTATGTGCATCTCTGCATGTGAGATGGGTCTCCTGAATACAGCACATTGATGGATCTTGACTATCCAATTTGCCAGTCTGTGTCTTTTAATTGGAGCATTTAGCCCATTTACATTTAAGGTTAATATTGTTATGTGTGAATTTGATCCTGTCATTATGATGTTAGCTGGTTATTTTGCTCGTTAGTTGATGCAATTTCTTCCCAGCATCGATGGTCTTTACAATTTGGCATGTTTTTGCAGTGGCTGGTACCAGTTGTTCCTTTGCATGTTTAGTGCTTCCTTCAGGAGCTCTTGTAAGGCAGGCCTGGTGGTGACAAAATCTCTCAGCATTTGCTTGTCTGTAAAGGATTTTATTTCTCTTTCACTTATGAAGCTTAGTTTGGCTGGATATGAAATTCTGGGTTGAAAATTCTTTTCTTTAAGAATGTTGAATATTGGCCCCCACTCTCTTCTGGCTTATAGAGTTTCTGCTGAGAGATCAGCTGTTAGTCTGATGGGCTTCCCTTTGTGGGTAACCTGACTTTTCTCTCTGGCTGCCCTTAACATTTTTTCCTTCATTTCAACTTTAGTGAATCTGACAATTATGTGTCTTGGAGTTGCTCTTCTCGAGGAGTATCTTTGTGGCGTTCTCTGTATTTCCTGAATTTAAATGTTGGCCTGCCTTGCTAGGTTGGGGAAGTTCTCCTGGATATATCCTGCAGAGTGTTTTCCAACTTGGTTCCATTCTCCCCGTCACTTTCAGGTACACCAATCAGACGTAGATTTGGTCTTTTCACATAGTCCCATATTTTTTGGAGGCTTTGTTGGCTTCTTTTTACTCTTTTTTCTCTATACTTCTCTTCTGGCTTCATTTAATTCATTTGATCTTCAATCACTGATACCCTTTCTTCCAGTTGATCGAATCGGGCTACTGAAATTGACCACATAGTTGGAAGTAAAGTACTCCTCAGCAAATGTAAAAGAACAGAATTTATAACAAACTGTCTTTCAGACCACAGTGCAATCAAACTAGAACTCAGGATTAAGAAACTCAAAACCGCTCAACTACATGGAAACTGAACAATCTGATCCTGAATGACTACTGGGTACATAACGAAATGAAGGCAGAAATAAAGATGTTCTTTGAAACCAACGAGAACAAAGACACAACATACCAGAATCTCTGGGACACATTCAAAGCAGTGCATAGAAGGAAATTTATAGCACTAAATGCCCACAAGAGAAAGCAGGAAAGATCTAAAATTGACACCCTAACATCACGATTAAAAGAACTAGAGAAGCAAGAACAAACACATTCAAAAGCTAGCAGAAGGCAAGAAATAACTAAGATCAGAGCAGAACTGAAGGAAATAGAGACACAAAAAACCCTTCAAAAAATTAATGAATCCAGGAGCTGGTTTTGTGAAAAGATCAACAAAATTGATAGACTGCTAGCAAGACTAATAAAGAAGAAAAGAGAGAAGAATCAAATAGACGCAATAAAAAATGGCAAAGGGGATATCACCACTGATCCCACAGAAATACAAACTACCATCAGAGAATACTATAAACACCTCTATGCAAATAAACTAGAAAATCTAGAAGAAATGGATAAATTCCCCGACACATACACTCTCCCAAGACTAAACCAGGAAGAAGTTGAATCTCTGAATAGACCAATAACAGGCTCTGAAATTGAGGCAATAATTAATAGCTTACCAACCAGAAAAAGTCCAGGACCAGATGGATTCACAGCCGAATTCTACCAGAGATACAAGGAGGAGCTGGTACCATTACTTCTGAAACTATTCCAATCAATAGAAAAAGAGGGAATCCTCCCTAACTCATTTTATGAGGCCAGCATCATCCTGATACCAAAGCCTGGCAGAGACACAACAAAAAAAGAGAATTTTAGACCAATATCCCTGATGAACATCAACGGAAAAATCCTCAATAAAATACTGGCAAACCGAATCCAGCAGCACATCAAAAAGCTTATCCACCATGATCAAATGGGCTTCATCCCTGGGATGCAAGGCTGGTTCAACATACGAAAATCAATAAACGTAATCCAGCATATAAACAGAACCAAAGACAAAAACCACATGATTATCTCAATAGATGCAGAAAAGGCCTTTGACAAAATTCAACAGCTCTTCATGCTAAAAACTCGCAATAAATTAGCTATTGATGGAACGTATCTCAAAATAATAAGAGCTATCTATGACAAACCCACAGCCAATATCATACTGAATGGGCAAAAACTGGAAGCATTCCCTTCAAAAACTGGCACAAGACAGGGATGCCCTCTCTCACCACTCCTATTAAACATAGTGTTGGAAGTTCTGGCCAGGGCAATCAGGCAGGAGAAAGAAATAAAGGTTATTCAGTTAGGAAAAGAGGAAGTCAAATTGTCCCTGACATGATTGTATATCTAGAAAACCCCATCGTCTCAGCCCAAAATCTCCTTAAGC
Source organism: Homo sapiens (assembly GCF_000001405.40). Lineage (NCBI taxonomy): Eukaryota > Metazoa > Chordata > Mammalia > Primates > Hominidae > Homo > Homo sapiens. The sequence goes on from NC_000001.11 coordinate 226,928,375, forward strand.
TGATAAGCAACTTCAGCAAAGTCTCAGGATACAAAATCAATGTGCAAAAATCACAAACATTCTTATACACCAATAACAGACAAACAGAGAGCCAAATCATGAGTGAACTCCCATTCACAATGGCTTCAAAGAGAATAAAATACCTAGGAATCCAACCTACAAGGGATGTGAAGGGCCTCCTCAAGGAGAACTACAAACCACTGCTCAATGAAATAAAAGAGGACACAAACAAATGGAAGAATATTCCATGCTCATGTATAGGAAGAATCAATATCGTGAAAATGGCCATACTGCCTGAGGTAATTTATAGATTCAATGCCATTCCCATCAAGCTACCAATGACTTTCTTCACAGAATTGGAAAAAACTACTTGAAAGTTCATATGGAACCAAAAAAGAGCCTGCATTGCCAAGTCAATCTTAAGCCAAAAGAACAAAGCTGGAGGCATCATGCTACCTGACTTCAAACTATACTACAAGGCTACGGTGACCAAAACAGCATGGTACTGGTACCAAAACAGAGATATAGACCAATGGAACAGAACAGAGCCCTCAGAAATAATGCCGCATATCTACAACTATCTGATCTTTGACAAACCTGACAAAAACAAGAAATGGGGAAAGGATTCCCTATTTAATAAATGGTGCTGGGAAAACTGGCTAGCCATATGTAGAAAGCTGAAACTGGATCCCTTCCTTACACCTTATACAAAAATTAATTCAAGATGGATTAAAGACTTAAATGTTAGACCTAAAACCGTAAAAACCGTAGAAGAAAACCTAGGCAATACCATTCAGGACATAGGCATGGGCAAGGACTTCATGTCTAAAACACCAAAAGCAATGGCAACAAAAGCCAAGATTGACAAACGGGATCTAATTAAACTAAAGAGCTTCTGCACAGCAAAAGAAACTACCATCAGAGTGAACAGGCAACCTACAGAATGGGAGAAAATTTTTGCAATCTACTCATCTGACAAAGGGCTAATATCCAGAATCTACAAAGAACTCAAACAAATTTACAAGAAAAAAACAACCCCATCAAAAAGTGGGCGAAGGATATGAACAGACACTTCTCAAAAGAAGACATTTATGCAGCCAACAGGCGCATAAAAAAATGCTCATCATCACTGGCCATCAGAGAAATGCAAATCAAAACCACAATGAGATACCATCTCACACTAGTTAGAATGGCGATCATTAAAAAGTCAGGAAGCAACAGGTGCTGGAGAGGATGTGGAGAAATAGGAACACTTTTATACTGTTGGTGGGACTGTAAACCAGTTCAACCATTGTGGAAGTCGGTGTGGCGATTCCTCAAGGATCTAGACCTAGAAATACCATTTGACCCAGCCATCCCATTACTAGGCATATACCCAAAGGATTATAATTCATGCTACTATAGAGACACATGCACACAAATGTTTATTGTGGCACTATTCACAATAGCAAAGACTTGGAACCAACCCAAATGTCCATCAGTGATAGACTGGATTAAGAAAATGTGGCATATATACACCATGGAATACTATGCAGCCACAAAAAGTATGAGTTCATGTCCTTTGTAGGACATGGATGAAGCTGGAAACCATCATTCTCAGCAAACTATTGCAAGGACAAAAAACCAAACACTGTATGTTCTCACTTACAGGTGGGAATTGAACAATGAGAACACTTGGACACAGGAAGAGGAACATCACACACCAGGGCCTGTCATGGGGTGGGGGGAGGGGGGAGGGATAGCATTAGGAGATATACCTAATGTAAATGATGAGTTAATGGGTGCAGCACACCAACATGGCACATGTATACATATGTAACAAACCTGCATGTTGTGCACATGTACCCTAGAACTTAAAGTATAAAAAAAAAAAAGGAACAGGAGAATGAACTATTTTTTTTAGAAATGGAGCCTCACTCACTCTGTCACTCAGGCTGGAGTACTGTGACATGATCTTAGCTCACTGCAGCCTCCACCTCTTGGGCTCTTGGGCTCAAGTGATTCTCCTGCCTCAGCCTCCCAAGTAGCTAGGACCATGCGCCACCATGCCTGGCTGATTTTTTGTATTTTTAGTAGAGACAGGGTTTCACCATGATGGCCAGGCTGGTCTAGAATCCCTGACCTCAGGTGATCTGCCCGCCTCGGCCTCCCAAAATGCTGGGATTACCGGCGTGAGCCACAGCGTCTGGCCCTATATGCTTTTTTCAATTCAATGGCTACTTGCCTAATTTTGAATGGCCAAAATAACCTTCCAGTTATTTTCCCTTAATGGAATCAACCTAGAATAGTTGCCTGGGGAGAGGGAGCTGGGGGGCAGTGATTGGAAAGAGACATGAGGGAACTTTTTGGAGGGATAAAATTGTTCTATATTTTGATTTAGGTGTTAGTTACAGGATATTTTCATTTGTAAAATTTATGAACTGTAGACCTTAGATCTGTGCATTTTACCATATATAAATTATATCTCAATTTAAGCATAGAAAAAGTAAACCAATGATTGTGATATACTTGGCTAATGTCCATATGCTACAGTGTGTTGAAAAGAAAAATAATACCCTATTGAGAAGGTAGACATGTACTGCAAGCATAAGCTATGAAAACAGAGAAAAGCCGCAGACATTGTTAACGGACTGAGCTGGGATGTTTCCAGTTGTGGGGATTCTGAGCCTCTTTTGTAATGTGCTTAATCACTTCTAATTGTACAGTCAGCTAATTACAGTAATTAGTCTTGCCTTAGTTCAACAGAGTTGAACTAAGTCATTCTCTTAGCGGGACTGGGTTGAATTTTCCTGCATCTAGCGACTTCCTCAGATTGTGGCCTGCAATGGTGCATTCCCGGGGCTCAAGAAGTGATCTGTTTGTGCTGGGTTTTCACCACTGGGTGTTTGAGGGGTGAGGGATGTGACTAATCATGGAGCCAGTGAGTCACGCGTGTCAGGCCTCTGAGCACAGCAAGAGCTCTTTGGGCTCTGCACTGGCACCACTCTCGGCGTACTGACCCAGCCTTGCTTAGGTCCAAGTCAATCACATTGTTTTTTTTTTTTTTTGAGACAGAGTCTCACTCTGTCACCCAGGCTGGAGTGCAGTGGCATGATCTTGGCTCACTGCAAGCTCTGCCTCCCGGGTTCATGCCATTCTCCTACCTCAGCCTCCCAAATAGCTGGGACTACAGGTGCCCACCACCACACCCAGCTAATTTTTTTGTATTTTTCAGTAGAGACTGGTTTCACCATGTTAGCCAGGATGGTCTCGATCTCCTGACCTTGTGATCTGCCCGCCTCGGCCTCCCGAAGTGCTGGGATTACAGACGTGAGCCGCCACGCTTGGCCGTCAATCACATTTTGAAAACAGACAGGGTTATTTACTGCAGCACCGTTTGTAATACCAAAATAATAGAAACAGTCTGTAGGACAGGAGACTGGTTAAATAAATTATGGTTCATTCATATAATACTGACAAAAAGAATGAGGATGCTCTCTATGTACTGATCTGGAAAGAGCTTCAAACTATATTGTTACATGAAAAAAAAGAACTGAATGCATAGTAAGGCCATTTGTATAAAATATAAAAGTATAGGTTTGTATTTGCTTGTTTATGTATAAAGAAACTGAAAAGAGATAAGAAACAATAACAGGGAAGATGTTTATGTGGGAGGGCAAGGGAATTTGGGGCATGAAAGTTGGGAAGTGGGTGGGAAAGGGATGGAATTAGGCAAGACTTCACTGCAAACCTTTATAAAATAGATGTTTAAATATTCAAATGAATGTGTTATTACCTAATGAAACATTGAAATCAATTAATTAAAATGTACAAGAGTTTTTTTTTTTTTTTTTTTTTTTTTTGAGACTGAGTCTCGCTCTGTCACCCAGGCTGGAGTGCAGTGGCATGATCTTGGCTCACTACAAGCTCTGCCTCCCAGGTTCATGCCATTCTCCTGCCTCAGCCTCCCGAGTAGCTGGGACTACAGGTGCCTGCCACCACGCCCGGCTAATTTTTTTTTTGTATTTTTAGTAGAGATGGGATTTCACCGTGTTAGCCAGGATGGTTTTGATCTCCTGACCTTGTGATCTGCCCACCTCAGCCTCCCCAAGTGCTGGGATTACAGGCGTGAGCCACCGCGCCTGGCCAAGAGTTTTTAAAAATAGAAAAAAGTTTTAGGGGAAGAAGAAATCCAGTGATCACATAATCTAACATTTCCCAAATAGTGGTTTTTAAAGGTATAATGAGAAATTTGTGTATTTAAAACAATAGTGGGCAGGCCTGGTGGCTCACACCTATACTTTGGGAGGCAGAGGCAGACAGATCAATTGAGCCCAGGAGTTTGAGACCAGCCAGGGCAACATAGTGAGACTCTGTCTTGACAAAAAAAATTAAAATAAAATAGTCGAGTATGGTAGTGCTTGCCTGTAGTCCCAGCTATTCAGGAGGCTGAGGTGGGAGGATCACTTGAGCCCAGGAGGTTCAGGCTGTAGTGAGCCATGACTGTGCTACTGCACTCCGTCCAGCCTGGGTGACAGTGAGACCCTGTCTCGAAAAATAAAATAAAGCAATAGTGGAATCTGTTTTGACTCCTACTTTCTTATATTTAATGCATAATTGTTTCTTTTTGAGATGGAGTTTCGCTCTCGTTGACTAGGTTGGAGTGCAATGGTGCAATCTGGGCTCACTGCAATCTCCACCTCCTAAGTTCAAGCGATTCTCCTTCCTCAGCCTCCCAAGTAGCTGAAGTAGCTAGGATTACAGGCATGCACCACCACGCCTGGCTAAATTTGTATTTTTAGTAGAGACGGGGTTTCATCATTTTGGTCAGGCTGGTCTTGAACTCCTGACCTCAGGTGATAGACCTGCCTCGGCCTCCCAAAGTGCTCGGATTATAGGCATGAGCCACTGTACCCGGCCCATAGAATAATTTTTAAGCAATTGTTTTCCCATTATGACAAAACTCTGAGAGTTCCTGGGGTGTGGAGTGGACACAGTAGACAGCCATGGAGAGCAGGTGTCCAGGCTGTGACTTGGTTGATTAAGGATCTTTCTGCTTGAAAACACCTCTTCTTGTGCTTGTACAGTTATAATTTGTTTTTATTCTTTTTTTTTTTTTTGAGATGGATTCTCACTCTGTAGCCCAGGCTGGAGTGCGGTGGTGTGATCTCAGCTCACTGCAACCTCCGCCTCCCAGGTTGAAGTGATTCTCCTGCCTCAGCCTCTGGAGTAGCTGGGATTACAGGTATGCACCACTATGCCTGGCTCATTTTTTTTTTTTTTTTAGTAGAGACAGGGTTTTGCCATGTTGGCCAGGCTGGTCTTGAACTCCTGACCTCAGGTATTCCACCCACCTCAGCCTCCCAAAGTGCTGGGATTACAGGCGTGAGCCACTGTGCCCGGCCTGTTTTTATTCTTAACCATGTTTAATTAATGCCCCAAATGGCCCAAGAATCAAAAAGAATCTTGCTGTTGAACACAGCTAGGTAATGTGGAGCATGAAAATTATTATTCTACAAATATGCTTCAGGACTTTTTCTCCAGATCTGAAAACTGTGATTAATCAACTTCTCATATAGAAAATTCAGCCCTTCCACTTTAGAATCTATTGTTAATGAGAAAATATTGCAACCAGTGTATAAAATGATTTTCCAGGTATTATAAATGAAGACTACATTTGATGTGTCATTTATAAATAAAAGATGAAATTATTAAAGTTAACTAGTTGATTTTGGGTGTGCAAAATGTGAGAATTTCATATATGTATATTATCTGTGGAGCAGTAACATCATGATGACTTTACAAATTAGGAAAGTCACTAAACAAAGAACAACTATAACAAGGAGCAATAACTACAAACCCTGGGGAGGGAGTAGAGTCTGATTTCCAGAGATGTACATTATATTATTTAAAATGTCCAGTTTTCAACAAAAAGTATGAGACATGCAAAGATACAAGAAAGTATGGCCCATGCACAGGGGAAAATGCAATCAATAGGAACACAGATAATGTCTCTGCCATTAGATTTATTAGACAAAGACTTTAAGTCAGCTACTTTAAATATATTCAAAGAAATAAATGAAACCATGTCTAAAGAACAAAATAAAAGTATAAAAATTTTGTCTCACAAAATAGGGAATATCAATAAAAACATATAAATTATTTTTAAGATCATCGAACAGGTATTCTGGAGTTGAAAAATATAATAACTGAAATGAAAAATCTAGTGGGGCTCAACAGCACATTTGAGCAGGCTGGAGAAAGAATAAGCAAAATTGAAAATGGGTCAATTGAGATTATCCAGTTTGAGGAACAGAAAAAAAAAGAATGAAGGGAAAAAATGAACAGAGCCTCAAAAATCTGTGGGTTCCATCAAGCATACAAACATACTTATAATGGGAGTCCCAGAAGGAGAAGGAGAGAAAAAGGACAGAAAGAATATTTGAAGAAGTAGAAAAGAACTTCCAATTTTGATAAAAAGTACAAATAAGCATGTCCAAGAAGCACACTGAACTTCAAATAGGATAAACTCAGAGATTCACACCTAGACACATGATAATCAAACTGTTGAAAGCCAAAGGCAAAGAGAGGGTCTTGAAATCAGCAAAAAAACAAAAAAACCAACTCACCGTGTATCAGGATTCTCAATAAGATTAACATTTGATCTCTGGAGGCCAAGAAGGCTATGATATGACATAAAATGCTACAGAAAAAAAAAAAAACAAACATACCTGTCAACTAAGCATTCTATATCCAGCAAAAGAATCCCTCAGAAATAAAGGAGAAATCAAGGCATTCCTAGATAAACAAAGTGAGGAAATTCATCACTTAGCAAATCTTCCCTGTAAGAAATAAAAGGTGCTCTTCGGGCTGAAAGGACTTGAGGCATTAAGTCAAATTCACATGAAATGAAGAATACTGGTAAAGGAAATTACATAGGTAAATATAAAAGGCAGCATAAATATGCAATAATTATAAACGTGATGGGCATATAATGGATAAAAATGTAATCTGTAGGACAGTAACAGCACAAAAGAGGGGAGAATGGAGCTATATAGGAGCAAAGCTTTTGTATATTATTGAAATTAAGTTGCCATTAATCCAAACTAGAATGTTATAAGATGTTCATTATAATCCCCAGGGCAACCCATAAGAAAGAGGGAGGAGTGATCAACTGTGTCAAATGTAGCTGATAGTTTAAGATGAGATCTGAGAATGACTATTTCATTGGGCAACAGAAAGGTCACTGATGAGCAGTTTTAGGGGAATGGTGGGGACAGGTGGCAAACCTGACTAGATTGCTTTAGGTAGAATAGGAGGAAAGGAAGTGGAGATAATGAATATGGATAATTATTCCAGGAATTTTGCTGAAAATGAGGGCAACGAGAATGGAGGTGAGCGCAGGAGATTTTTCAACGGGTTTGTTTGCTCATGGGAATGCAGCAGGGAAAAACTGATTGTCTCCTCTGTCACTGTTATTAAGGGAGAAGTTTGAAGATCAGAGGAAAGTTATTGGAACATCATACTTTTCACCCTAAAGTCCCAGGCACAGGAATCTTTGGTTATTGGGAAAATACACACAAACACACATTTGTTTGAGTGGGTTTATATTACATAATACTGTACTCACAGATACATTTTAAAAAAATATCTTAACTAAGATGGCAGTATATGATCATTAACTAATACTTTCAGGCACAACAATCAGAGTGAGGTACTCCATGAATGAAATCTATGTTTCAAATGTTTTCTTGATAATTTTGGATTTTATTCAAAATTTGAAAGGCTGTGTTCTTATCAGCTACAGTTAGATCTATCCTTGCCCTTGCCTTGTACTGAGGTTAACAAGAATAGTAATGACTGTTCTTCACTGTTTTATTTTTTATTTTTTAATTTTTTTTGAGACGGACTCTCGCTGTCACCCAGGCTGGAGTGCAGTGGCGTGATCTCGGCTCACTGCAGGCTCTGCCCCACGGGGTTCACGCGATTCTCCTGCCTCAGCCTCCCAAGTAGCTGGGACTACAGGTGCCCGCCACCTCACCCGGCTAATTTTTTGTATTTTTAGTAGAGACGGGGTTTCACCGTGTTAGCCAGAATGGTCTCGATCTCCTGACCTCGTGATCCGCCTGCCTCGGCCTCCCAAAGTGCTGGGATTACAGGCGTGAGCCACCGCGCCCGGCCTATTCACTGTTTTCTTCTTGTTCACCCTGCCCACATTATTAGTGTTATCTTCAGGCTGGGTGTTCTTTGCAGATACCTTTTTTTTTTTTTTTTTTTTTTTTTTTGAGACGGAGTCTCGCTCTGTCGCCCAGGCTGGAGTGCAGTGGCGCGATCTCGGCTCACTGCAAGCTCCGCCTCCCGGGTTCACGCCATTCTCCTGCCTCAGCCTCCCGAGTAGCTGGGACTACAGGCGCCCGCTACCACGCCCGGCTAATTTTTTGTATTTTTAGTAGAGACGGGGTTTCACCGTGTTAGCCAGGATGGTCTCGATCTCCTGACCTCGTGATCCGCCCGCCTCGGCCTCCCAAAGTGCCTTGTTTTTTTAAAAAAACTTTTTATTATAGAGAATTGGAAACATATATAGGCAATAATATAATGAACCCCCCGTAGACTCATCATTCATCTTCCACTATTATCAACTTGTTACCAACAAAGCTGGTCCCCCATAAAATGGAGTCTTTCCCTCTTTGGTGTCCCAAAGCCAATTTGGAAAAACAAAAGCAAGTGTCAAGCAGTGCAGGCCTTGTTGGATGGCCAGGGAATTGAGAAGCAGGAGCTTGGTTCATGAATTAACTTCTCAGCTTGTGAAAGTCAGGAAGTCACAAATATAGGGCCTCTTTAATGAAGGGGTTGGGTATTAAAAGCTAGGGGATAATATTCATGTCTTTTTTGGGAATGGACAGAGAACTTCTCAAAACTAGAGTATTGCCTTCCTTTTTTTTTGTCCTTTTATGGTTTCCTTTGGTCATTGTCATGGTGATTATCAACTGTCACGGTGCTGGTGGGAATGTCATTTAGCATGGAAAGTAGATTATAATGAAGTTAGAAGTTCTTCAGAGGTCAAGTGAGCTGCCTTCTTGGATCTCAGTGTTTGGTCATGTGGGGCACCTTCTGACCACAGGTATCCTGTTTCCTAAAGGTAAGCCAGGGTAGAAATTCACCTGTCACATAGGCATGTAATGTAAAGAAACCCATGGCCTGTTCACTTCCCCCGTCCTGTAATATTTTGAAGATGATCCCATATATAATATTATTACATCTGATAATGTGTATCTCTAAAACATAACGACTCTCTTAAAAAATCTAACTATAATCCCATTATCACACTTGAAAAATAATTTGCAGGGAAAATCTTTGCACTAAAAGCCAGGTCAAGAAAGAAAGAAATGTGTCTTTAGTATAATAAAGCTGAGGTCATTATTTCACAGGGAGTAAGGTCAAAGTCGTATTAATTTGAGGAAGATCCTGTCTTTGCATAGACTAGCTGGAGGTCATTTCTCTAGTAAATCAGACTGGCAGTCCTTGAAGAAAAACTAATGTTTGTGGTGGTGGGTTATGCTTGTCTTCAAGGTACTTTAGGAGAGAAGCTGGCCTTGGCATTGCTGGTGGAGTGGGACTGAGCTAGCATGGAAGCCACCAATTCCTGCCCCATGTTTGTGAAACTGAAGCACCACATCCTTCCCCCACTTAGCAGAAGCAGGAGTTGATGACAATCACATTCTCATCCAGCTGAAATCTGATGGGCTAGAGTTCGTAAGATTCAGGAAGTAACGAACCAGGAACTCTCTTATTCCATGGACTGTGGTCTGGGTCAGTAGGCTGGGAGAGCTTGGAGGAAACAGGGAGGGAACAGCATAACCGTGTAAGGGAACAGTTACTGTAGGAGGAAGCAACGGCCACCCTTGAAAGGCCTTGAGGCTTGGTCTTTTTCTCCTATGTGGAGAAAGGGAGCCAGCTGACCTAATCAAGGCAAGTTGTCAACTGTTTGGGGCAGTTACTTGAAACTTTAGCCAAAATAACTCCTTAATTGTCCTTTAAAATTTACTTTGTATTTAGTGTGGTGGAGATGGGGGAGGCAGAACATGGACTGCGGGGAGGGCATGTGAATGTGCAGAGAGGAGCACCCAACAGCCGACCAGTGCCCAGCCACAGACGCCACAAGGCACAGTCTCCATTCTCCTTGGAAGAAAGGCCTCCCCTACCCCTAGGAAGAACGGAGCCTGACACAGAGCTTGTGTTCGCCCATATCACACACACTTAGAATTCTGTTCTTGGGAACTCAGGCAGATCTCTGGGGAGCCGATGGGGGACTGTGAAATTAGGTTCACTTCTGGATTTCATTATAATAAAGCAGGCCCCTATCCCCAATTTTAGGCATCAACATAGAACAGCTAACTTTAAATTTTTCCAAGTGATAATATAAAACAAACGACTTTCAATTAAGTTAAATGTCAATATTTGTGAACCGAAAAGTACCTGTATCAGTTTAGAAATTTATGTTGCGAAGGTGAAGGACTCGCGCCCAGAAGACAGGTCTGTGCCTTTCTCCAAAGATGATTTTGAGGGCTTCAATATTTAAAGGGGAAAAGCAGGCTGGAGGGGGAAGATGGAAGGTATGTTCACATTATTGAAGCCACATGTTGCGATAAAGGGAGCAGGTAGGGCAACAGTTATGTATTTGGCGCTCAGTAAATCGGCACTTTACACAAGATAAGGTGAACATAGAGTGGAGATACTTCACCTTTAATCTGTAGCTATCTGCTTAGGAACAAAAGGAAAGGCAGTTGCATGACTCAGCTTTCAGTTTAATTTTTTTTCCTTTTGGCAGAGTGAATTTTCGTTTCACAATACCAAAAAAAAAAAAAAAAAAAAAGCGGGGGGAGGCTCAGAATAAGGAACAATCCTTTGGCTTGAGTATTTCATTTCATGAAAAACTAAATTGTTATTTCTTTTTTCCACAAGAACGATTAACAGAGCTGCAGACCAGTGTTTGGGGTCATCTGAGTGGAAATTGTCGAGCCGACTTTGGCTCATACGTTCCTTTTCTCGTTAAGGAGGGAGTGACGGGGCAAATCTGCGTGCTGCTGGTGGCGGTGCCTCCCAGGGCTGCTCGGCGGGGACGCCGAGGGCTGCACCCGAGCTCCATCCCGTGTTGGCTGCGCGCCCTCCAAAACCCCGGCTGTCAGCGACTGCGGGCACCTGCACGCCGACGAGACCGGCGGGCGGACAGCGACTCCGGTGAGGGTACTATCTCTCTACCCTCGGGGCGCGGGTGGCAGAGGCTTCCTGTTTTGAGGATGGCGCCACACAAAACAAGCATCCTTAGCCTGAAGGGCCCCGGCCGAAGGGCCGGAAGTGGAAGTGCGCGGCCTTGCCCGCCGCGTTTCCCCTCCTCGGAGTGCTTTTTGTGGACCCTGGGCAAGGGGCTCTTGCTACATAGAGAGGAGCAAAGAACAGGCATCGCCCGGTCCTTAAAGCGGCGGCACCCTCCACGCCCCGCAGTCGCGTCTGCTTGGTCCACAGCCTCCCCTCCCAGGCCCGCGCAGAGGCCCAGCAAGCACCAGTCTGGAGGCAACAAGCACGCAGGGGTGCCTTTGCGGCCACGCACACTGCATCGCAGTGAAAAAGGCTCCCGTTCTCAAGGCGCATGCGCGCAGGCCAGCAACTCCAAAGCCAGGCCTCCAGCCCCGGTTTGCTAGAGAGAAAGGTAGCCGGGAGGTGGGGAAAAGGAGAACAGGAGGGCCCTGTCCGCTAAGGTAGCCTCCCATTGGCTCCTCTTGCTCCGCTCTCGGTCGCGATTGGCTACGGGCCGGGAGCACGGGCCGAGCACGCTCCCACGCGCAGAGCGGCATTCGGCAGGCGGACGGCGGTGCAGCCAATGGGAGCGGCCCGCGGGGCGGGGCTTGTGAGCTGGGGCTCCCCCGGAGCGGGCGAGTTGGTAAACAGATCCGGAGCGCGTGGCGGGCGTCAGCGCGGTGGCCAGCGCGCAGAGGCGGGCGCGGAGGCGGCTAGAAGGTGACCGCGGATCCCAGCTTCCTGCAGCCAGGTAAGGCTGCCACCCGCCGGCCCGCCGCGTGCCCAGGCGCCGTCTGGCTGCGGCCAGAGCTGGGGTCAACACCCACCTCAGCCCTTCTTGCATTCTCTTCATGTGACAGCGCAGCTTCCCCGCGAGTTTCGCTGGCCGCGAGCCTCAGGTCCGGACGCAGTGGGGGCGCCTCAGTTGCAGGGTGGGTCCTCTGCAGCCGTCTCACGTCCCTGGGTCCACCTCAGCCCCTCGTTCCTGCTTCGGGGAGGAGACGAGGGCCACGTGCAGAGCCTTGGGTCCCTGGAACACGCCCGCTGCTTGCCCGACCGCCTTCCCGCTGCCGAATGCCCGTTGCCCATGCCCTTTGGTCGCCAATACAGCTTTGATGCTTCGCTTTCTAATAATGTTGTTCTTCACTCCCAGACCCCCTTGCACTGTGTGTCTGGGGCTCTAGGCTCGTTGCCGCTGGCTGCAGGTTTGGGTGAGAACTTTGACTTCCTTGGCTGGAGCCAGCTGTTGGGCTTCGCAGGTGGGAATTTTGTGTGAACTTGGGACAGGGGATCCTTTTTGATCCTTTCTTCCTTTCGCTTTTCTTTGGCCTTTCCTCTTCTCCAAACTCTGGGGGGTCTTGTGAGTGGTTTGGGCTTACTCCCCTAAACTCGAACCTTTCCGAGGCTCATTCTCACCCATTGCACAGAGGTAACAGCCCCTCTGCCAAACCCTCTTTGGGCGATGGGGAGTGCTGCAGGGGCAGGTTTGGGTGTTGGGACTCCCCATTTGGGTGAGAGATGTCAGGTTCCTGAAGGGTGAGAGGCTTGTGTGCAGTCTTCCAGCCTGAGTCGGGCCTACAGCCTGTTGAAAAACTTGTGCACGTTCACTTGGGCCTTGGATCTACGTGACAGGATTGAGTAGCTGGTCATGCCAGGCCTACCTGATTGCCAAAGGATTTGAACATTCCTTGATGCCAGCCTGCCAGTTGTCACGCTGTGGATGGGTAGGTCATCCTGGCAGGAGGGCTCTTGGGAGACTCTTCTTTTGGAGGAAGGCCTTTCTCCCGAGGAGAGACAAAAGGGGAGCTACAGGAGCAGCATCTGTAAGACTCAGGCGGCTGGGTGCGGTGGCTCACGCCTGTAATCCCAGCACTTTGGGAGTCCGAGGCGGGTGGATCACCGTAGGTCAGGAGTTCGAGACCAGCCTGGCCAAAATGGTGAAACCCCGTCTCTACCGAAAAAAAAAAAATACGAAAATTAGCCGGATGTGGTGGCGGGCGCCTATAATCCCAGCTACTCAGGAGGCTGAGGTGGGAGAATTGCTTGAACCTGGGAGGCAGAGGTTGCAGTGAGCCAAGATGGCGCCAGTGCACTCCCCTCTGGGCAACAGAGCGAGACTCAATCTCAAAAAAAAAAAAAAAAGGCTCAGGCAATGGCTTAGAGTGTTTTGTTCAGCCTTGCAAATGGTGCGGACTATGCAGAATCGTAATGATTTGGGGCCTAATGTTGAGCAACTCAAAGGAAAAGTGAACCAGGCAGAATGGGCACCTCCCTCAGAGCCAGTGTGTTATCTAAGACAAAGTTTTTCAACCTGTGGACTAATGACATTTTGGACCCATAATTCTTCGTTGTGGGAGACCTGGCCTATACATTGTAGGATGTGTAGCAGTATCCCTGGCTTCTGTCTACTAGACTAGCACCGCTCCCCACCCCTTCTAGCCGTTGTGACCATCAAAAGTGTTTCCAGACATTGCCACGTGTCCCCTGGAGGGCAAAATCTCCCTTGATTGAGAACCACTGAGGTAAAACTCTAAAAAGAGTTGTCCTGTGCTGCCAGGGGTCCCTCTGGGACCTGCCCGTGAGTAGGTGAGAGGTTTAGGCAAAGGGTAGTGTTATGCCTCCTGCCCTAACCCAGTGGTAAAAGCCATGTAGATTGGGCTACCTGTGCACCTAGGAGGGCAGAGGCAAAACCTGCAAGCAGAAAGTTAGGAGGTAGACACCCATGGGCATGTACTGTGCCTGCTAAATGTGTGGCAGTGACTGGCTGGGTTGGGGGTGCTGGAGAATTAGAAGACTGGTAGCTTCTCGGGGATACTGCAAGACTAGGGGATTTGCACATGAATAACTATGGGCCAGTTTTAAAATAGGAAACATGCTTAAGCTGAGTGCTGGCACAAAGGCTAACTCAGCTATCCACAAGTGGTTCTTCAAGGAGATGCTTTATTCATCCTCACTTTTTGCTCAGACAGCTCTGTGTCTTGTGATGTGGGAGGGGCTGGGCCTGCATCTTCAGGGAGTGAGTGGCTGGGTGCATTTCAAACATACGTATGTGTATTTTTACACAGCAGCGTGGACATGGGTATGATTTGTGGAGTTCTTTTGTAGTTGCTTGAAGCATCAGTGTCAAGGTCAGTGAACCTTTTCTTTTTCTTTTCTCCTTTGGTCAGCCTGCTCACCAAAGAGACATATTTACGTGTGTGTGGAGAAAGATGCTTTACTTCTGAGTCTAAATTTTGCCTTCAGTGTAATCCAGAATTTATGCCCCAAATTTCTAAGTCCCAAACTGATTGGCACGCAGAAAAACTGAAAAACAGGGATTTCTTGCACAGGGCAAGGAAAACCATCCTAAGCCTATTCAGTGAGTTTCTTTTTCTTGCTGTTTTGATCCTGTGGGGATGTATCAGGATTTTCCTGTAACACTCCTTGGTCAGTTAGGGGATCTTTTGGGTGCCCTTTGTTGCCTGTAGAAAAGGATCAGGAAGGAAGGTCACTTCTCCTTTCTCAAAGAGAATTTTAAAGAAGGCTATTATTGGGAAGCTCAAAACTTGGCAGGATAATTTTCCAGTAAGAACCATGGACACTGAGTCATTATCTTTGTCCGTTGAAACAAGAGCTGTGTGCAAAATTAGACAGGAATATTTAGACAGAGAGTTGTCTTGATTTGACAGTGGCATCTGGAGATACTTCTGTCATTCCTGTTAAGCAACAGCCAGGAACTCGGGAGAGCCAGTGGAAAGGAGAGCTGGTGGGAGTGAGTGAGTTCGAGGGTCCTGCTCTTTCTGGAGTTGCACATATGGAGGGGTGGGAGCCCCACGGAGGTGGTTTGTGAGAAGTGAGGATGGCCCGAGTCCCCAAGGGGAGATAGAACTGAAGGCATGGATTCAAAGAAATTTATGCAGGTGGAATTTCTAGACTGACTACCTGACTGGATATATGGCTGAGATTTCTAATCAGGGGGAGGAGCTGGTTGATGGAGGAAGAGCTGGTTTGGGAGAAGGTGGTCATCTTAGTTTTAGACATGATGGGAGCCTATGGGACTTCTTTCCATCCTGTTTGATATAATTTGCATACGGTAAATTCATCCTTCTTAGTGTGCAGTTCTGCGCAGTTTGACAAACGCACATAGTCACATAACCCCTACCACAATCAAGCTATAGAACAATTTCATCACCCTCCGAAATTTCCCTGCACCCCTTTCCAGTTGCCTGTGGGTCTTTGAAGTGGTGATGCGGTATGTGTGTGTGTAACTTGGTTTGTTCTGGAAATGGGTTCGGTTGTTGAGAGGTCCTGCCTGGCCTGAGTGTGGGGAGGCATCAGTGCAGAGCCTGTGGAGGGGCTCTGGCACCCCAGGAGCCAGTGCAGATGGCAGGGAGGCAGGGGTGTCGAGGACCAGCCTGGGAACTCCCAGGCCTTGGAGTAGGTGGAGAAAGAGGAGCTGGGGGAGGAAGCTGAGGAGGTGAGGCCAGAGAGGAGGGAGGAGGGAGGGCTTCTGGGAAGAGTGTGGGGCCAGCAGGGAACACTGTGGGGCAGGGGGTGGCTGAGGAGACCCACTGGCTTGAGCCCTCAGGTGTCACAGAGGGGCAGCTTGGGGTTGGGGCCAGAAAGTGTGTGCCGAGGGAGCAGGGAAGATGGCAAGTGCACTCCATCCTTGGGAGATGGTAGCCATGTCCAGAGGGTGGAGGAGAAGCAGAGCCTATGGGAGGTTTATTTAAATGTTTGGTACAGGAGAGCAGAGAGTGGGCTTGTGGGCTTCAGGGGAGGGCTTTTATGATTGAAGGCAAAAGAAAAAAATAGGTCAGGGGCAAGGTCTTGTTGCGGGAAGGAGGAGGGATGGTCAGTGTGGGAGGAGATTGGACAGAGGCAGGGGAAGGGTCTGAGAGATGTGGCCAAGAATGTGCGGGCCCTCCTATCTGGTTGCCCCCATTTCTGGAGTAACAAAGGTCCGCTAAAGAGGGGTCGAGGCCTTCTGTTTAATGTGAGAGGGCCAGGGGTGGGGGCTTGAAGAGCCTTAGGTGCCTCAGCATCCTTTGAGGAGTTGTACCCTGAGAGAGAGAGAGAGAGAGAGAGAGAGAGAGAGAGAGAGAGAGAGAGAGAGAGAGAGTGAGAGAGAGAGAGTGAGAGAGAGAGAGTGAGAGAGAGAGAGTGTGTGTGTATGTGTAGAAGGGAGGCAGGAAGGTAGGTGTTTCCGGGTCATTTGGAAAAGCCCAGTCCCTTATCTCTCCCTACCTCTGCACCGTCCACTGGAATTTTCCATTTCCCAGAGGTGTGTTTCCTGAGAGACAGAGAGGCTGTAGCGCCCCTCTCTGCCTTTCTGAAGACAGCAGGGTTGGTCTGCCTCTTACCTCTCACTATTTCATAGAATCTCTAGAAGGATCAGTATCTGCGTTGTTTTGAGCATTACTCTTTCTAGACCCCGTTACATCCCAGCTTTCAGAACAGCCCTGTGTGTGCTCTCCTTGCTGACTTTCTGCACTCCAGGGATGCATGGCCCTTTCCTAATCTCTGGGAACTAGACCTCCTCCAGGTCAGTCGCCTCACTTACACATGAGGAAATGAGAAAACGCAGGCCCCAAGAGGAGAAGCGGTGTGCCTGAGGTCACCCGCGCTTGGTGGCCTTGCTGTTGGTCCTCCCCGTCGGCCCTCATCACAATATATGCGGTGTCATCTGGGAACTGGAGGACCTGGTGGCAAGTCCCTGCTGTTCACGGGGCTGGATGAGGGGTCCTGGGGACAGTCCACATGAAAAGAAATGTTAAAGTTCAAGCTCAGAGCCTGGGCCCCAGCCCAGTGTTTGTTCTGTGCTTGGCACATTTTTTGTTTGGCACTGATACTGGCTCAGAGGAGGGTAAAAGTAAGAGTCGATTGCCCGGTAAGCTGAAGGTGGTTACTGTTTGACACGTGCTTGAGCAAACATCTCTAATCTTCCCGAGATTGAAAAAATCCTGTGGCTCTTGCTCCCTAAGGTGTTTACAGCCAGCATGTGGTCAAGGGTTGGACATTGTGCTGCCGCGATGCCTGTTGTAGCTGCTGTTTACACCTGCTTGGTGCTCACGGTTCATGGGCCAGGGCTGATTGGCCTGCTGAGGAACAGCTGCCTGCTGGCTTCAGCCCCTCCTCTTTTCCCTCAGTCTTAGACAGGGACGGGGGTGACGCAGAGGAAGCAGTAGCAGTGACTGCGTCCCCTGCTCCCTCCCTGGGTCTGTGTGCCCACCATGAGCGGGATTATGAAGCTGGCTTGGAAACTCATCTGGCTTTTGCTCCTGTAAAAATCACTTTTTGAACAGGGTGCTGCTGCCATTTCTGTGGCTGTGCATGTTGGGGATTCAGGTTCCCCTGGTGCTCAGCCTCCTCGGTGGTCTCTTCAGTCCTGGGCTCTCGATGAGGGAGCTCAGGAAGCCACGGAGCCTGGGTGCCTGGGTCCTGCCTCACTGACTCATAATGCTAATAAACTCGTGTGTATGAGGACAGTGCCAGACCCCGTTGGGGGTACAGAACTGGGAAAGAGAGGGCCCCTCCCTCCGGAGCTTACCTTGCAGTAAGGGAAATGGGACAGGCACACACAGAGTCATACAGGGCATGGCGAGGTGACCTTAGGCCATTAAGAGATGAGGGAGTTTAGAGGAAAGGAGATGACTTGCCTATGGAGGGGTTTACCAGTCCAGCAGGGTGGCCAAGATTCCAGCAGGGGAAATGATATTCCATGGGGAGGAGGGAGCAGGATGTGGAAGCTGGAAAACCTGTGTGGGTGTTGGGCGGGGCCGGGGGTCCATTCTGGCTGAAGCGTTGGGGCACGGAGGCATCTAGCGAGAGGTATCGCTGCAGAGGTGTCTGGGGCTCCACAGTGAAGGGCCTTGCTGGCCAGGCCAGACCAGGGAGAGTGGAGATCAGCAAGGAGATGGCCACCTCTCCTGGGTCTGTGGTCCCCTTGCACCCTGCTGAGCCTCTTCTCATTTCTCGTTGCGTGTGTGGTTGTTGTCTGTCTAGGATTGCCCCTTGTCTGGGTTAACTGGGTGATTTTAAAAGCTATCGAGGTTTTACATACACATGTAGTGCCTAAGGGTTGTGTGTGACCTCAGGGCAGAACATGTTTATTTAACTTCCATACCAGTGATGTGTGCATGTCCACACCTGGCCTGTGTGTGGCATTTGGAGGTGATGCTAATAAAGGTTGGTGCTGGTGTTGAGTGTGGCAAGACTGAGGGCCGTGTGCCCGATGGCTCCTCCTAGCTCTTGCACACCCAGAGGCAGTCTTCAGTGTAGGGCGTCTGCCTCTTTCCACTATTTATGTTTAAGATCAAACTGGCTCTGGAACCAAGCTTTGCCTCTAGTGGGTAGGATCACTGGTGCTGAGAATTGTGATACCCTCAGTCCTGGCAGCTGACAAACTTTCCAGAGCAGGGAGTTTGGCCAGATGGCCTTTGAGAGCCCAGCTGGCCCCAGAATTTTTATGACTCAATTTTCTGTAACCAGGAAGACACATTTCAGGATGTAAACCTTGCTGATGTCTCATATTGAGTGACTATTGATTTAACAAAAAAGGAGTTATTGATTTGGGGCAGTGTTCTTCTCTGCTATCTCTCAGCTTCCTAGGCAGTAAGAAGAAAGGACTGGAGCCTGAGTCAGACAGGTGTGGAAGGGTCCAGCATCCCACAGCTTTGGCCCTTAGGAGATTGCTCAGCCTTGATGAGCTTTAATTATCCTATCAATGAGTGGGGATAATACCTCACCAGGTCTTTGTAAGAACTAGAGGTAATATAAAGTGACAGGCAGACAGAGGGGAATAATAAATGGTAGCTGTTCTTGTTATTATTCCTATTTCATTGAGATATTAAACCTGAAGTAAAAGTGTTTTGAAAGATTAAGAATATAAAACCGAGGCCAGGCACGGTGACTCACACCTATAATCCCAGCACTTTGGGAGGCCGAGGTGGGCAGATCACTTGAGGTCGGGGGTTCGAGACCAGCCTGAGCAACATGGTGAAACCCTGTCTCTACTAAAAATACAAACAAATTAGCCAGGTGTGGTGGTACCCACCTGTAGTCCTAGCTACTCAGGATAATCACCTGTGCCTGGGGAGGTTGAGGCTGCAGTGAGCTGTGATCATGCCACTGAATTCCAACCTAGGCAACAGTAAGACCCTGTCTCAAAAAAATATATATATATATATATCTATCTGCCTGGCATGTAGTATGGGCCCAATATAGAGAAAGTCAACAGGACTCCGTCATTAAGAACAGGAATGCACTGAGCTGTCTGTGGGGTAGTCTACCACCCAGCTTGGTGCCTCGCACTTGGTTGGCATTCAGTAGTATTTGTGGAGTGACCAAAGTTAATTTAGAAGAATGGTCTGGAAATTATTCTAGAATACAGCCCCTCTCCCCAACCCAAGGATCTGCTTTAATTTCCTATGGCTGTTGTGATAAATTACCACAAAGTTTGTGGCTCAAAGCATCATAAATGTATGATCTTACAGTTCTGGAGGTTAGAAGTCTGAAATTGGTCTCACTAGGCTAGAATCAAGGTATCAGCTGGGCTGGTTCATTTCTGGAGGCTCAAGGGCAGGACCCGACCCCTTGCCTTTTCCAGCCTAGAGGCTGCCTGCATTCCTTGGCTTGTGGCCTCTTCCTCACAATGGCATCACTCCAGCCTCACTTCTGTCTCCCATCACCTCGTTCTGACTCTGCCCTGCCTGCCTCCCTCTTATATGGGCCCTTGTGATTACATTGGGCCCACCTGGATAATCCCCCATCTCAGGATCCCTGACTTCATCATATCTGCAAAGTCCCATTTGCAGGTAACATTCACAGGTTCTGGGGATTGTGGTATGGGTATCTTTGAGACACCATTATTCAGCCTACCACAGCCACCCACAGTATTTTGGCCAGATTTAAAGACAACCCTGTAAGCGTCTGAAAGAAACGTTGAAAGAAACCCTTCAACCTCAACTTTAGGATCCTTAATTACCTTCCTGGGTGGCAGTGGTTCGTGAATTCAGTCAACGCTTGCGCTTGTAATTTGTGTGGGTGGATCACTCTGTGTGTGTGGGTGGAGTGGGAAGAGTCAGAGTTGTCTGAGACAAGAGCCTCCCACAAGGAGCTTATAGTTTGAAGAGAAGAGAGGTCCATGTGCAAGAAGAAGAGTAACTTACAATGTAGGAATCTGACCAGCAAGTTAGATCAGCTGTCAGGAGAACGTAAATATGGAAGAGCTGGGAATCAAGGGCCTGAATAGGAATACGTTCTTGAATTTATATGGTGCTTTAACACATTTCAAAGTATATCCACCCACCCCTCCATTTATATTGGACAATATAATAACTTATACCATCATTTCGAGGAGAGGAAACAGGTCAGAGATGGTTCGAGAATATGCCTGGAGCAGCCCAGCTGGTCAGGGCAGAGCTGATTCCCAGCCCCAAGGCCCCAAGGCCCTCACCCTTGGCTAATGGGTGGGTTTTCAGACGTACAGAGATGAAGGGGCGAGCGGGCCTGCCTGAGAAAGTAGGACCTGCAGAGTGGAGTGCGCTCACATGGCTCGCGCGTAGCTGGAGGCTGGAAAGGAGGCCGGGGGCCTGATTTCGATGCCTGGGACTTCAGGCGCAGGAGTTTGGGTTTTATATATATGTCTACATACATGTCTACAGGTAGAGGAGCCATTTGAGCAACGCGTTGGCATGATGAACGTGGGTTTTTTTATAGGGAGAGGAATCTGGCAGGAGAGTGTTCCATGGCTCGGAGCTGGGGAGCTTGTGGGAGTTAGAGGGGTTTTCTTCCCAACTGCCTCTCCCTGAATGTACCTGGACAAAAGCCTCCCATGCTGTTTTCTCCTTTAAGGTGAAGTGGTAAGGAATACCAGTGGACATTTGTGTCCCTGGTTTCGAAGCAGGCTGCCAGCACTTTGGACTGCCTCTCCTGAATGATGCCTCATACCACAGCACTAAATAAACCACACTGGTCCTCCCCAGCCCAGCCTTCCTCCCAACTCAGGTATGAGACTGTGCCTGGCAGGAACAACTGCGGGTTATCCAGACTGATCCCATTCACCCTAACCGTTGGTCTCACCAAGTCTGAACTTCATTCCAGAATGTCTGTGTGCTTGCAATACTACTACTAATAATAATGGCATTAGCTAATGGTTTTTAAGCACCTACTATATGTCCTGAATGCTGTTACATGGATTTATCCAGTCCTTTCAAGAACAGATGAGGAAACTGAGGCACAAAGATAAGCTCACATGACTTGATTTAGGTCACACTAGCAAGTCAGTGGCAGAGTCATGATGTGAACCCAGATCACCTAACCTCAGAGCATCTTAACCATGTCACCAGTATCACTTCCTGAGCCAAATATTTTAATTTAAATGTTTTAAGCAGTAAACTTCACTAGGTTTTTAGTCAGAAAACTAAATTGCCATCAGGACCTTGCGCTTGGCTGGTTGGCCTTTAAAAGCCTTGTGTGTCATCGGCTATATCAACTCACAGAGTGGGAGAGGCTGCTTGGGACCCTCTGTTGCCTGCCTGTGGTTGGAGCTCTGAGCCCATGCAGGTTCGCTCACAGTGTTGGGTCCTTCTCTGGACTATCATCAGAGGCTGGAACTTTGCCTTCTGCTGCTTTTATATCACCCCCAACCCTGCCCAGCTCCCAACCCAGTGCTCACCACAGGGCAACTCACCCAGGGAATCCTAAGAATATCTTAATCTTCCAATGGATGGAGAATGGAGGTTTGCAGCCTGGGACATCAAAAACACACTGTTTTGCTCTTTTTCTCCTCTTACCTGTTAAACAGGTTGCCTAGCTCCTGAGCCATGATGGATCCAGGTCCCAGCTTTACTTCTTAAAAGCTGTGTGACTTCGGGCAAATTACTTAACCACTCTGTGCCTTAGCACCCTCATCTGTAAAATGGGCATAATTTACCTTTTGAAAATGATTGAGTTAATACATCTTTGTGCTAAGTAGAACACTGAGCCCAGAGCCTGGCATATACTAAACCCAGCAAAAGCAGCTGTAGTTATCATTGGCATGGTGGGCTGGTTCTGCTGCTCACAAAATGAAAACATCTGTGAAACTGGTTTCATTCATGGGGGAGAATGTCAGTGCCTAGTTGCTTGCTTTTTTTTTTAAGAAAAAATTAGCAGTATGGGATTCAGTGCCTGCTTTCAACAAGCTCTTGTTTATGTTATTAGCACAAGAATGTATAATTTTTAAACAGTTCAAAGAAAAACCCCAGTAGTCTGGGAGCAACTTTCAAGGGAACTTGAAGTCCTTAGCCTAGAAGGCAAGTTGAGCCCTGGAAACTCCCTTTCTTACAAGGCATGACCCACTGGGACATCCAGAGGCTGTGGGTACAGACCTGTGTGAGGGCCATGGTGAGCTCAGACCTCTCTGCCGGGGCAGACAGGCCAGCGTATGTGGCTCACCAGGAGGCCACCAACGCCCTGCAGTCAGAAGGGACTCTATGTGGGGCATGGGGTGGAGGCAGCAGCGTGCGTCCCTGTCTGCCTCTGTGTCTCCCCTGACCACCCCCTGACCCCACACCCACGTCAGTGCTTGCCTTGCAAGGGGGTTCTTGTAAAGGAGGCTGAGAAAGTGGAGGGATGAAGGAATGATTAGATGGTGGATGATTTTATATCAGCCCAAGCCCAAGCCGTGGACCAACAACGTGGAGGGGAATGCGGGTGTCTGCAGTTAGGCTGTGAGCCTCCTGAAGCGACAGGAGGAGGGAGGAGAGCTGTACAGAAAGTTGGCATTGGACAACCCCTCCCAGCCCCCCAGGCCTGTCCCTTCATGAGCAGTACTTAGGGGCCACCCTGGCCTGGATAATACAGTACCAGGTGGCTTGCCTTTCTCTGGCTTCACCTGGGGGCCTGTGGGTGTTGGGCAGCTCTGTGTCTGGCGAGGTGAGCCCATTTCTCAGGGTCAGGAGCAGAACTATAATGGGGGGGTCCTTGCCCCAACACGAGCCTTATTGGGGTGTTCTCATTCAACTCTGGTGACCTTCCAAATTTCCTGGGACAGCTGTGGTTTTTACTCTTGCCCTAGAATATGAGTCGACAAATAGTAAATATTTTGGGCTTTATGGGTCATAGATCTTTCTTGCAACTGCTGAACTTTGCTGTTGTAGCCAAAAAAGAAAAAAAAAAGAAAGCAGCTAGGGACAATACATATGTAAACGAATGAGCTATACGTAATCTATAAATGGGTGAGCAGGCTGTGTTCCAATAAAACTTTATTGACAAAAAAGCAAGCAGTAGGACTGGATTTGGCTTGAGGACCATGGTTTGCTAACCCCTGCCCTGGAAGGACACTAATTATGTGTCTTAATTTTTGTTGCAAAAGATGTGGTCACTGCACCTACTACCCAGTTCTAAACTAGGATCCTGTTTTTTTGAGGATCGGGGGTAAGCACCCTTTCATTATTTCCGTCTTTTAACCCAGAGGCCAACATTAGGGAAGGCAGGCAGACCCGCTGCTTGTTCCAAGTGATTTTTTTCCCCACTGTCCCGAGAAGGGCAGTTGAGCCTCTCTCTCCAAATTGGAGGTGCCACTTTCCATCCGCCTGGTGGCCTGTTAGGAGCAGTTGTCTTCTGATGAAGGACAGTGGCTAAACAAGGAGAGGCAATGTTTATGCCATTCCAATCTGCTGCCTAACCCTTGCCCGTTCTGCTATGGACAAGCACTTAGGGGATGGGGAATACATTTGTGTGCTTGCTTACTTTTTAAAATTTTAATAAAAGATATTTAAGATTATTTTTATTTTATTTATCTTTTATTTTATTTTTTTTGAGACAGGTCTTCTTGCTCTGTTACCCAGGCTGGAGTGCAGTCGTGTGATCATAGCTCACTGCAGCCTCAAATCCCTGGGCTCAAGCGATCCTCCCACCTCAGCCTTCTGAGTAGCTGGGACTACAGGTGCAGCACCACGCCTGGCTAATTTTTTTGTTTGTAGAGATGGGGATGTCCCTGTGTTTCCCGGGTTGGTCTTAAACTCCTGGCTTCAAGCAATCTTCCCACCTTGGCCTTCCAAAGTGCTGGGATTACAGGCGTGTGCCGCTTCACCCAACCTGATATTATTTTTATAACATTTATTTTCTATTGTAAAAGTAGTTCATGTTCTTTGTAGAATATTTTAGAAAATATAGATACAGGTACAAAGGCTGTATCTATATACAAATCTTTCTATAAAGAAAGATTTGTCTTCCCACCACTGCATGAAAAGCAACGTTCCTGTTTTTGCTTCCTGTCACCTCCCTCCCTTTCTTCTCTCCTTTCCTGCTCCAAAAGGAAAGATGATAGTTTTGTGACCTGCTTTTTATTTCCCGGGAATATATAATAATACACTTTCTTATTTGTCAGTAAACACCTTTCACAGTGTTATTTTATTTTATTTATTTATTTTTTGAGATGGAGTCTGGCTCTGTCTCCCAGGCTGGAGTGCAGTGGCATGATCTTGGCTCACTGCAGCTTCCGCCTCCTGGTTTCAAGCCATCCTCCTGCTTCAGCCTCCCGAGTAGCTGGGATTACAGGCGCATGCCACCACGCTTGGATAACTTTCGTATTTTTAGTAGAGATGGGGTTTCACCATGTTGGTTAGGCTGGTCTTGAACTCCTGACTTCGTGATCCACCAGCCTTGGCCTCCCAAGGTGCTGGGATTACAGGCATGAGCCACTGTGCCTGGCCCACAGTGTCATTTTCAATGACTATGTGGAATGCCCTCCTATGACTATTCCACCGTTTAGCTAACTAATCTTAGGCAAGGTTGTGATGTTTACATTCTTGTAGTGAATGTTCACATCTGTTTTTAGGGAGATGTAATTTGACAGGTTTTGCCAGGCAGGGCCTGAGGAGAAGGGGAGAGGGGACTTCCTGGAAGATGTGCTCTTTGGGGCCAGCTCTGAGAGCCCAGCCCTGGGGTAGACTCTTGAGTACAGGCTCCTGGGCTCCCGCTGTGAAGGTCTCACTCAGCAGGCCTGTGCTGGGGCTCACTGACGGGGGAAGGACGGAGGCTTTTTTCCCTCTTTCTCATCTCCTGGGTTCTTCATGTGTTCAGTTGTCTTTGAAAACTGGTAGCAGGTGAGGATATTTCAGGACCTACTGACAGAGACCCTGAAGCTGGACCTCGCGAGATAGAAGCCGGGAGTTGCCCGAGATGTTTGAGTGATGCTCCCTGGTGTGTGATCATAAAGACTGAGGTGAAGGTTACATCTAAAGAGACTCATGGAGTTTGGTTCAGAAGTTTGAAGTCTTTGCCCCAACACATACATTCTTGTGAGTCCTTGGAGGAAACAGTCAATTGTTTTCTTTTTCTAAGAGTAAAAAAGGAAAAATTTCAAGGACGTAAAGGAATGTTTCAGTGCCCACACAGGCTAGAAATTGAGAATGTTCATGCCCAAAGTGAAAAGACAGTTCCTGGCTGGGAGGGGGGCAGAAGGCCACTGCCAGCCCCTCAGGGTATCCTGAATATCATTAAACAGTCCTTGCCAAAGCATCCTTGAATTGACAGTCTTGAGAGCCTTTGGAGGTCTGCTCTGTGGGTCACGGTCTCTAAGCTCATTCACTTTTGATTTCCTTTTTCTGTTTCTTGAAGAATAATGGAAAAAGAAGGGGCAGGTGGAAGACTTCCGCCTAAGGGCAAAGCCAGACTCTTGGGAAGAGGGTTTCAGGGGGAGACTCTTAGGAAAGGGTCTCTGTGGAGGCATCCTGCCTGGCCATAGGCATGGGCCACCTCTGCTCCCCTTCCCTCTCTTCCTCCAGAACCGGGGTTCTCAAAGTAAGTTCCTGGGACCTGCAGTGTCAGCAGCACCTGGGAACTTGTTAGAGATGCAGATTCCCGGGCCCCACCCCAGACCTGCTGAGACGGAACCCTTAGGGGTGTGGCCCAGCACTCTGGACTCGTCTTAAGGTGATTGAGACGTTCGCAGCAGCTTGAGGACCAGTGCCTCAGACCAGCCTCCTGAGAGGCCCTTGATTCTGTATGTGGAGTAAAAGTTGCCAGCAAGTGTGAGCCAGCCAGAGAATAGCAGGCTTTCTCAAACTTTGGAGGGACCAGCTGAGTTCATTTCCTTTGGCAAATATTAATGACCTGTCTGCTCAATCCTGAGCATGGTGTTCGGTGCTGGAGAGAGGAAGACAGATGTGGTCCTTGTCCTATGGCTGATGGTCCTTGTAGTCCTTGTCCTGTGGCTGATATCCGACTGGGGAGAGAGTTAGGCAGATTCAGGAAGTGGTCACTGCTGTGCTGGAGGGGATGGGCACAGGGTGCTGGGAGGCATGTTGGGGAAGCCTTCCCAGAAGAGGTGATGTTGGTGCTGAGATCCGGGAGGAGGAGAGGAGGTGTGCCCCCTCTGCACAGGCCTGCAGGAGGAAGCCTCTCTGGTTCCAGGAGTGGGTTGGCCTGGCTGGAACCTAAAGGCAGTGGAGGGAAGGGCAGAGCCATGGTGAACGGTTGCTGCATCACCCAGTGGGAATATCAGATGCTTGAGGGCAAGGGAGGAGGCTTGAAAGAAGCGTATGGTGGCCACATTCCTCAGGGTGGGAGCCCTGGGAGGATGAGGTGTGGGTGGTAAGGTCAGTTTGGGACGTACTTCCTATAGGAGGTACCTATAGGTGGTTGGGGTGCTAGGCTTGCAGCAGACAGCTGCCCTGGGGAAGGCTTCTCAGCGTGGACTCTCCCTGACTCCCACTCTCCCTGGCTCCCGCTTTTCCTGGTTCACTCTCCCTGGCTCCCACTCTCCCTGGCTCCCACTCTCCCTGGCTGCCACTCTCCCTGGCTGCCACTCTCCCTGGTTCACACTCTCCTTGGCTGCCACTCTCCCTGGCTCCTACTCTCCCTGGCTGCCACTCTCTCTGGCTGCCACTCCCTGGTTCACACTCTCCCTGGCTCCCACTCTCCCTGGTTCACACTCTCCCTGGCTCCCACTCCCTGGGTTCACACTCTCCCTGGCTGTCACTCCCTGGTTCACACTCTCCCTGGCTCCCATTCTCCCTGGCTCCCACTCTCCCTGGTTCCCATTCTCCCTGGTTCCCGCTCTCCCTGGCTCCCACTCTCCCTGGCTCCCACTCCCTGGTTCACACTCTCCCTGGCTCCCACTCTCCCTGGTTCACACTCTCCCTGGCTCCCACTCCCTGGTTCACACTCTCCCTGGCTCCCACTCTCCCTGGTTCACACTCTCCCTGGCTCCCACTCCCTGGTTCACACTCTCCCTGGCTCTCACTCTCCCTGGTTCACACTCTCCCTGGCTGCCACTCTCCCTGGCTGCCACTCCCTGGTTCACACTCTCCCTGGTTCCCATTCTCCCTGGTTCCCGCTCTCCCTGATTCACACTCTCCCTGGCTGCCACTCCCTGGTTCACACTCTCCCTGGCTCCCACTCTCCCTGGTTCACACTCTCCCTGGCTCTCACTCTCCCTGGCTCCCACTCTCCCTGGTTCCCACTCTCCCTGGTTCACACTCTCCCTGGCTCTCACTCTCCCTGGTTCACACTCTCCCTGGTTCCCATTCTCCCTGGTTCACACTCTCCCTGGTTCCCGCTCTCCCTGATTCACACTCTCCCTGGCTGCCACTCTCCCTGGCTGCCACTCCCTGGTTCACACTCTCCCTGGCTCCCACTCTCCCTGGTTCACACTCTCCCTGGCTTCCACTCTCCCTGGTTCACACTCTCCCTGGCTCTCACTCTCCCTGGTTCACACTCTCCCTGGCTCCCACTCTCCCTGGTTCCCACTCTCCGTGGTTCACACTCTCCCTGGTTCCCATTCTCCCTGGTTCCCGCTCTCCCTGATTCACACTCTCCCTGGCTGCCACTCTCCCTGGCTGCCACTCCCTGGTTCACACTCTCCCTGGCTCCCACTCTCCCTGGTTCACACTCTCCCTGGCTCCCACTCCCTGGTTCACACTCTCCCTGGCTCCCACTCTCCCTGGTTCACACTCTCCCTGGCTCCCACTCCCTGGTTCACACTCTCCCTGGCTCTCACTCTCCCTGGTTCACACTCTCCCTGGCTGCCACTCTCCCTGGCTGCCACTCCCTGGTTCACACTCTCCCTGGCTCCCACTCTCCCTGGTTCACACTCTCCCTGGCTGCCACTCCCTGGTTCACACTCTCCCTGGCTGCCACTCCCTGGTTCACACTCTCCCTGGCTCCCACTCTCCCTCGTTCACACTCTCCCTGGCTGCCACTCCCTGGTTCACACTCTCCCTGGCTCTCACTCTCCCTGGTTCACACTCTCCCTGGCTCCCACTCTCCCTGGTTCACACTCTCCCTGGCTCCCACTCCCTGGTTCACACTCTCCCTGGCTCTCACTCTCCCTGGTTCACACTCTCCCTGGCTGCCACTCTCCCTGGCTGCCACTCCCTGGTTCACACTCTCCCTGGCTGCCACTCCCTCGTTCACACTCTCCCTGGCTCCCACTCTCCCTGATTCACACTCTCCCTGGCTGCCACTCCCTGGTTCACACTCTCCCTGGCTCTCACTCTCCCTGGTTCACACTTTCCCTGGCTCCTGCTCTCCCTGGCTTCCGCTCTCCCTGGCTTCTGCTCTCCCTGACTCCCGCTCTCCCTGGCTCCTACTCTCCCTGGTTCACACTCTCCCTAGTTCACACTCTCCCTGGCTCCTACTCTCCCAGATTCACACTCTCCCTGCCCCCCCCCCCCCACCTCCCTGGTTCACACTTTGCCCAGAAGAAAGGCTTTTTGTGCCACTTGCTTCTAGCTTCTTATACCAGTCATGTCTAGGCTTTGGTGGCAGATATGACTGCAAGAGACTTCAGGACAGTGGGTCCTTGGCTTTTAGAACAGACACCATGCTTTGCTGGGGAGGAGCTGGTTTATAATGCTGTGCTCTGTATTTACGGAGGAGATTGAACAGTGGCTTGGTAATGCAGATGACGTCCCTGGCCTGCTGTCATAGAGGAGATGAGTGACAGACAGTGAGTTTTGGCTGTGAAGGGGGGACTTGGAGTGTATAAGGGATCCTCAGAGTAAAATTCCTTCCTTCTGGTGGGTCCTGAGTGGACAGTGTGTGATAATCTCATCTGCCGTCTGTCAGGATTGACTGTTGAATTCATTTTTAAAAAGGACACAACTCATTTTCCTATTGATATATCTTCTTGTATCTGGCCGGTTAGACAGCCCGTGGGGGTGTCTTTTGGTTTTGGAGACTAGATTTGAAGGTCCCCATGACCCAAATAATTTCCAGCTCGTGTGCAGGTCAGGATCCCCGAGTCGGAGCCTTGTCTCCAGCATGAGTGAGACGGTGTCCCTGAAAGGTCAGAGAGTGAAAGTTTGGCCAGAAAACACCCTCCTGTGGTGGGAACACAGCCTTGTGCAGCTTTCCTAACCCCTGTCCGTGGGGTTGGGAAGCTGCATTTATCACGGTTCTTTTTCTCTCTAGACACTTCAATAAAGACATTTATTTACTTTAATCGTGATCCCAACTCCATCGTGCTCAACTAGTCACCGAACCAGCATCAACTCCATTAATAGTCCTAATAATAAAGCCCCTCAGATGTCAATATTTGATCCTCATGTTTCAGGATACTCCTCAGTAGCCATCGCCATAGTATAGCCAAAAATAACCGTCATGCCACCCAAATAAATAAAAAAGACTATCAACCCCACAAAAGCCCGTTAGAGCAGGTTAGCACATTAGGACCAGAAAAGGGGTCTGATGAGGCACCCAGAGCCCTTCCGTACTGAGCTACTGAGGAGGGGGGAAGAGGTTGAGCCACACGCTGGGCAGCGGCAGCTGGTGGGTATGGGCCTGGAGTCTCACGTCCCGGCTCCAGGTCGTCGCTTCCACTCTGCCTCCGATCCTGGCGTGTCAGCATCAGTTGGCCCCTAGCTGTCTCCCTGGTGTCTGTGCCCATTATAGAGGTACGGGCATGCCACGCTGCCATGAGCCCTGGGCCAGGGCAGGTTCATCGGGGCCTGCAGGAACTAGCCCAGAGCCCTGGGAGAGGTCAGTGAACTTGTGTTGAAGGAACCTCCGGTTGACTTTTTATTTTGGTTTCATGCCTGGCTAGTGGACACTCCCAAACATGAGCACCTGTCTCCCACCCCCACTGCTTTATCATTTATGGTCACTCTTTTGGCTGCCCCTCCTCAGAGGAGAGCAGGCAGGCACACGGAGGCCTTCAGGAGGCTGCTGTACCAAGGAGGCACAGAGCCCAAACACTTCATTTCAGTTACTCACAGGCGAGACCCCCAAAACGTGCTCATGGAGCAGCAGGAAGAAGTAGGGTAGGTGGGAGACTGGTGTTCCTAGCGAGGGCCTGGTACTTGCAGATGAAGTCACGGTGCTGATAGGATTTTTAACTTGTGTATTACATGGTTTGAGGGCTTTTATTTCTTTAAAATCATGATGAAAATACCTCCTGGTGTAGCTGTGTGCCTGGTTCTTGGTACACCCCTGGAAGGGATTTGCAGCGAAATTGTGGGATCGTTGAATTATGAGGCACTTTGGGATTGTGGTGCATTAGAAGTAGGATTTTAAGACCTAAGTTTTGAAAACAGAAGGTGAGAAAAGTTCTGGACAGATGTTTCCTTCTGGTAGTTATTCCCCTTCCCTCCTTTCTACTTCTGTGAGAGCGTAGACTCCCTTGCAGAAAAATACCTGGTCTTAAGCTGGCATGGTGGTGCAGGCCTGTAATTCCAGCTGCTTGAGAGCCTGAGGTGGGAGGATCAGTTGAGCCTTGGAATTTGAGGCTGTAGGGTGCCATGATTATGCCTGTGAACAGCCTTGACACTCCAGCCCGGGCAACATAGTGAGACCCCTCTCTTAAAAAAAAAAAAAGTACCTGATGTTGATGAGGTGTGAAGGGTTCACTTTGCATGGTAAGGGGAGGTGTGGGTGTGGCCCCTAAACAGTAGGTCAGCGATATTTGTCAAAGGGGGGTGGGTACAGGCTGTGGTTTTGAAATGAGTCTACATGTTAGTCTGCTCACAAATGACAGACTGTGTTTATTAGCAGCATCTGTTTATTAGCAGTCTGTGTTTATTGATTTGAGAAGAACAGGTTTTGCATCCCAGTATGCAGGACCACATATCTATGGGGTATTTCCCCTATTGGGCCCTCCTTCCAGCGGAGTGGGTGCTCACCATCTCTGCTTCCTGGCTCTGGCGCCACTGTCTAGGGTGGGGCTTGGCACCAGTTGGGAGTTCACTGGGTATGTAGGATGCAACTGTTTAGGTAGGAAGAAAGACACAACCAAGTACTGTTCAGTGTGTACTTTTTTAGATGGCTTATATATTTGCCACTTTGAAAGTAGGACAAGTGAACTAAGAAAGCTACCCACAGTGCTCCTTGATGCTTC
This sequence comes from Homo sapiens, assembly GCF_000001405.40. Taxonomy (NCBI): domain Eukaryota; kingdom Metazoa; phylum Chordata; class Mammalia; order Primates; family Hominidae; genus Homo; species Homo sapiens. The sequence goes on from NC_000001.11 coordinate 226,959,954, forward strand.
CTTTTTGATTCTGCATCATGTGGTAGTGCTTGGTGGTGTTGGTGCTTGGTGGTGGTGTTGGTGCTTGGTGGTGGTGGTGGTAGTGGTACTTGGTGGTGGTGGTACTTGGTGGTAGTGGTGGTACTTGGTGGTGGTGGTGGTGATGGTACTTGGTGGTGGTGGTGGTAGTGGTACTTGGTGGTGGTGGTACTTGGTGGTAGTGGTGGTACTTGGTGGTGGTGGTGGTGATGGTACTTGTGGTGGTGGTACTTGGTGGTGGTGGTGGTGGTGATGGTACTTGGTGGTGGTGGTCCTTGGTGGTGGTGGTGGTGGTACTTGGTGGCGGTGGTACTTGGTGGTGGTACTTGGTGGTGGTGGCGGTACTTGGTGGTGGTATCAGTGGTACTTGGTGGTGGTGGTGGTGGTGCTTGGTGGTGGTGGTGGTACTTGGTGGTGTCAGTGGTGGTACTTGGTGGTGGCGGTGGTACTTGGTGGTGGTACTTGGTGGTACTTGGTGGTGGTGGCAGTACTTGGTGGTGGTGGCAGTGGTACTTGGTGGTGGTGGTGGTGCTTGGTGGTGGTGGTGGTGCTTGGTGGTGGTGGTTGTACTTGGTGGTGGTGTCAATGGTACTTGGTGGTGGTGGTGGTGCTTGGTGGTGGTGGTGGCGGCAGTGGCGGTGGTGATGGTGGTGGTGGTGGTGGTGGTGGTAGTGGTGCTTGGTGGTGGTGGTGGTTGTTCATTTCTTTTGAATGGTGGTTAGGATCTTCCAAATTATTGCACTGTGGGTCTGGACTGCAGTTTGAAAACATTGGTTTGGTGAATAGTTGAAGCTGAGGGTGGGCTGACCCTGAGGGGTCAGGGAGGGGCTCTGGTTGTCCCTTGGTCTATGGATATCCGTCACAGGCCTCACTGGGCAGAGCAATGGTGGCTGGGCAGGGACAGGCAGCCTCAGCCCCTGTGGGTTTGGGTTGGAGCACCAATGCCGTGAGTGGTCCCTTGGACCTTGCAGGGAAGTTCTTTGGGAATTGGATGCTCCTCTCCCAACAGGCAGTTTTGGTCCAGAGGGATGAACCCTAGACTGGGAGTCTGTGCGCCTGACTCAAGTCCTGGTTCTGCTGCGAATCATGAATCACGCCACCTGTCTGTGCCTCAGGTTTTCCGTAGGGTGCTTGTGAGGCCCAGGTGAGGAAATGTGTGGGAAGCAGCAAGCACACCGCACCACTGACTCAACGGCCTTTATTCTGCTCCATTCCCCTGGAGTGTCCAGAGTCACGTGGAGCCTCCCTTGAGCCCTGGGCCCTTTCTTATCTCTTAGCAGAAGGGGAGATCAGTGGAAAAACCAGCCCTCTGGACCTTCTGCTCAGAGTTTGGTGTGGAGTTGGTAGTGTGGGTTTGGCCTGCAGAGGCCTGGGGCCTCCCCTGACTTGGCCTCCTCTCTTCCAGCCCTGAAGGATGGCTGCCATATTGGGAGACACCATCATGGTGGCTAAAGGCCTTGTCAAGCTGACCCAGGCGGCCGTGGAAACCCACCTGCAGCACTTGGGCATCGGAGGGGAGCTGATCATGGCGGCCAGGGCCCTGCAGTCCACGGCTGTGGAGCAGATTGGCATGTTCTTGGGGAAGGTGCAGGTAAGGGGGCCTGGCAGTGGGAGGGGTGCTGGCAGGAAGAGGGTGGGACCTGGAGCTCTGGGGGAGACCAAGGGCTGTGACCATGGCAACTGGTCTTTGGTGGCCAGGGCCTGAGGGCCCACCAGCTAATGTGTCCCACGGTCCTTCCAGGGTGGGACAGGGCCCCTGTGTGAGGCTGTGGCAACTATAACAGAATTCCATAGACTGGTGGCTTAAACAATGCACGCTTATTTCTCAAAGTTCTAAAGACTGGAAAGTCCAATATTAAGGTGCCAGAAGATTCAGTGTCTGGTGAGGGCCTGTTTCCTAATCCATAGATGGCCATCTTCTCACTGTGTCCTCATGGGGCAGGAGGAGGGCAAGGCTGCTCTCTAGGGCCTGTGTTATGAGGGCACCAATCCCATTGAGGAGGGCTTCATTCTCATGACTTAATTACTTCCCAAAGGCCCCACCTCCCAATACTATCACACTAGGGGCTAGGTTTCAGTGTGTGCACTTTGGAGACACACAATGCAGTTTTTACTGGGGCCCATGTGTCCATCAGCCTGGCTCAGCCTTCGAAGGCCCTTCCCACTGAGCCTGCTGAGCCTCCGCCAAGGCCTGGCCTCATTTTTCTCCTTCAGTTTGCTGAGGGTCTCTGCACTCCTGACTGGGGGCCCTCCTTTCCTTGGTGGCAGCTGGCACAGCCCTTCCAAGAACAGCTTCATCTCCAGCCTCTCTCTCATCCCTGTGCCATCTAGGGGAGGAGATGACCTTTTGTGCCAAGGTCCAGGAAGCCTTGATGTCTTACCTCCAAGGGGTGATTTTCAGTGAAATCGTGTGCTGGAGAGGTGACTATAGACAGGGCTGGCTACAGCAGAGCACGGCCCACCATGGCGTCACCTTGCACAGTTGCCAGCAGCTTCCCTGACAGTCAAGGAGACAGGGTGGGGGGTGTTTGTGTGCCTGTTGCGCGTGTGCACCTGTGTGTGTGCGCTTAGGCATGTGTGCATTGGAGGTTGTGTCGCAGCTTCTCTCCTTCCACGTCTGTTCTGTGGATGGCTGATTTCTGGACAAAGGTCACCGCCCTCCTGCAGGCTGTGAGGCCGTCGCAGCCCCCAGGCATCTCAGTCTCAGGTTTAGGACCTGCAGGCCCTTCCCTGCCGCTCTGGGAGGATCCCACAGTGATACAGTGGCTGTCACCAAGCATACCTGCCTTTAATGTTCAGAAGTCCTCACACCTGTGCTCTCCCCCGAGCCTCACCACTGTCCTGGGATGGGGGCCAGCCTGGACCATCACACCCATTTCTCAGATGAGGAAACTGAGGTGAAGCAATTTGCTGCAGGACTCATAACGAGTGACAGGACCAGAATTCTTGTCCCCTCCCAGCCTGGACTCCATGCTCTTGCCCTCCCCTTGCCTGATTTGGTGCCTGAGTGTGGGGCCTCGGCCTCGCTCTTGGGTGTTTTGCCTGTGGGACACTCAGAAAGTGAGGTTGCCCAGCTCACTTGGGCCTGCCCAGGAGTGGGACAGCCTGGACAGGCCTTAGCCCTAATGGCGAGCAGGGCCTCCTACTCGGGCACTCTCCAACCCTCTGCTCCCAAAGCATGTCTGGAAGGGGCAGGGCTTCCCCATCAGTCACTCGGAGGTAGGGCTGAGTGACGAGCCACACCACCCAGGAGGCACGGGAGCAGGGTAGGCACCGGAGCAGGGTGGCTGCCCGCAGTGCGCTGCCATTCACTCCCTCAGTGCTTCGCTTTTCCGTGTCTCCCTTCTCGCGAGGGGAGGAAGGTCACGGACTCCAGGATCCTGTCTCCCTCCAGCCCCTCAAGGTTGCTTCCACATTCATTCAGCAGATACTTACTGAGTCCGGGTCCCTTCGGGGCCCTGGGGACCCCCCCACTGGCCTTGGGCTTCCACAGTGACACCGACAGGTGTTAGTAGCACAGGGCCAGGGGACCATCATGGGAGTGATGGGGCAGAAGGAGGGCCCTGCCCAGGCTCCCTCACTGTCAAGCCTTCCCTGGGGGCTCTGTGAATTTAAATATGACTTCTGTGGTTTTTTATTTTTTATTTTTTTGAGATGGAGTCTTGCTCCATTGCTCAGGCTAGAGTGCAGTGGCGCAATCTCTGCTCACTGCAACCTCCGCCTCCCAGGTTCAAGCGATTCTCCTGCCTCAGCCTCCTGAGTAGCTGGGATTACAGGTGCCTGCCACCACGCCTGGCTAATTTTTGTATTTTTAGTAGAGATGGGGTTTCGCCATGTTGGCCAGGCTGGTCTCGAACTCCTGACCTCAGGTGATCTGCCTGCTTCATCCTCCCAAAGTGCTGGGATTACAGGTGTGAGCCATCGCACTGGCATAAATACAACTTGTTTCTACTCTGAGAGTAGTGCCACAGCCAGCAGGGCCAGCCTGGGTGTTGGATCCCGGCTCTGTCATTTGCTGCCTGGTGACCTTCACCAGCACATCAGCCGTCTTTGCCTCAGTTTCCTGTTTTTGAAATGAGTGTAACAGCCTGTCTCTCTCCTCCCTCCCATCCTGTGACATCTTAGACAGCAGAACGTGAGGCTTGGGTATCCTGCTGTCTGCATACCCTGCGCATTTCATTTGTTTCAGTTGAAGCCGAGAATCCAGGCCACTGGTCTCCCTCTAGAAGCCGGTGCTGTTCTAATTATAGGCTCCTGGGTGCTGTTTCCTGGCCCTGTCTGTGGCCTCCAGTAACTGTGACTGTGAGGAGCCCTATTTTCAGATGAGGAAGTAGCAGAGAAGGGTCAGGAGCTCACTCAAGGTCACTCCTGGTTCAGAAGCAGAAAGGACCTGGGCCCGAAGCTCAGGCCTTGGTGACCATCACAAAGAAAACATGGCGTATCCTCTCCCCTGCCCCTCCATTTCCCTGTACCCTGAGCTCTTAGGGACGGCCAGGCCTGGTCCTGGTTGTAACCACCTCTCCAGTGAGGATCTCTTACATGCATACCCCGGCTGGTGGGTGGCATCCATGTCTGCAGTAAGCTGTGGGCTTAGGTGGGCCCGTCGGTGTGCTTCCCTCACCCCTTGCTGGCCTTAGGCTGTGTGTTCACCTCTCAGAGCTTTCCCTGTCTTTTGCGCCCTGGTTTACCATCTCCAAAGCCCTGGAGGCCTTCTTGGCCCTGTTTTATAGGTGAGGAACCCGCTGCGGGCGTAGTGTGCACTTGGCCTGGCCCCGGCTGGGCACACAGTAGGTGCTCAGTGTCCCACCTAGGACCACACAGCAGAGCCCCAACAGAAGCAGGGCTGGAGCCCAGGTCCCGGCTCCCAGGCTGGGAAGGGTGCCGGGCCTCAGGTGCAGCACTGTGCCACCTCTGGAGGTGGGAGGGGGCGGGATGCTGGTGGTGTGCTGTCCTGGGCAGCAGGGGACAGGCAGGGAGGAGCTCCTGGCTCGCTCTTGCTCTCCTAATGCTGGCCTTTGCTCCCTGCAGGGTCAGGATAAACATGAAGAATATTTTGCTGAGAACTTCGGCGGCCCAGAAGGGGAGTTCCACTTCTCAGTCCCGCATGCAGCCGGAGCCTCCACAGACTTCTCTTCAGCCTCCGCTCCCGACCAGTCAGCGCCCCCATCCCTGGGTCATGCCCACAGCGAGGGCCCAGCTCCTGCCTACGTGGCCAGTGGACCCTTTAGAGAAGCCGGGTTCCCCGGCCAGGCCTCCTCCCCTCTGGGCAGGGCCAACGGGAGGCTCTTTGCAAACCCCAGAGACTCATTCTCTGCCATGGGCTTTCAGCGAAGGTTCTTCCACCAGGACCAATCCCCTGTTGGGGGCCTCACAGCCGAGGACATTGAGAAGGCCCGGCAGGCTAAGGCTCGCCCCGAGAACAAGCAGCACAAACAGACGGTGCGTATGGGAGGCCCCTGGAGGGCCGAGGTAGCTGCCACCCACAGCAGTGATGGCCTTGGGCTCTGCTCTAGGGACTTTTCCTGGGTGCTGTGGTCTGGGGTTTTTAGGAGCGTGGTGGCCTTCTCTTGGTGGAGTGTGCTGTCAGGCGGAGCTGCTGACTGTGGGGTGGAGAGGAGATGTGGGGGCAACAGGAGCCTCTGAAGGTTGGTCCTGTCCCCTTGGCTGATTCCACAGGTCTCTTTCTCGTCTCCCTCCAGCTCAGCGAGCATGCCCGGGAGCGGAAGGTGCCTGTGACGAGGATTGGCCGGCTGGCCAACTTCGGAGGTAAGGTGGCTGTGTGCCCCTGGACTGCCTCACCTGCCCTGCCTGGGCACCACGCTGCGGCCTGCATGGAGGTGGGGACCCAGCAATATCCCGGGGAGGGCGTTGGGGGAGCAGGTGGCGGTGGCCGCCCCTGCATGAGCTTTTGGGGAGCTGGAGTTTTTCATGGGAGGATGATTCAGTTACTGGATTCCAGCTCTGCCTGGCTCTCCCCTGCGGGTTGGTACAGGGCCGATGCTGTGCCAGGAGCTGAGTTTGGATTGCCCGGCAGGCCTCGCCTGGAGGCGGTGTCTGCAGCATCTCTGTTTCACCCCTGCCTCAGGTTCACTACCAGTCGGCTGCTTTGGAGGCCTCTCAGGAAGGAGGCTGGGCAGTGAGGAAAAGCTCTTCCCTGGGGCTGTTCAGCAACTCAGCAGGGCTTTCTTTCCCCCTGGGACCAGACATTTAGGGAGCCCATTTGCTGGGTCCCCACAGGCCTGCGGCTCATGAGTGGAGTGACAAGATGCCATGGCCTCCAGCTGCTGCTGTTTAAAGCCGTTTGTCTGTACTTTGGGGGGTTGAGTTGTCATTGTGCCCAGTACACATGCGCTCTTTTTATAGAAGTTGAAGGGTGATTTTATAGTGAAGGTTTATAGCAGTTGTGTCTGCTTTGATGGCATCATGTTTGTCATGCTGCTGCTAATGCGCTGGCCCAGATGTTCCTGTTAAAGTGCCATCTCCTTTGCTGTGGTACACTCTAAGTTAGTTACTGGGATTGCATTTCTTTAACACTCAGCTGTCCTCAGTAGGTTCTCCAGGTGATATAATTAATGGAAGCCACAGTTTTGGTGGCTTGATTTGGACCCTGACCTTGGGTGAGTGGTTAGTTCCAGGGCTGTAGGCAGCAGAGGTCTGAGTGGTCCATGATGGTGCTGGTGCTGGGTGGGGCATGGAGATGCACTCTCATGGGTCTGCCTGTCTCTTTGCTGGTTTATGTTTTTCCTCCCATACACCATCCATCATACATGCTGTTCCTCCGCTCCTGCCTATTCTCTTTTGGAAACCCCATCCTACTTGTTCAAGACTGGTTCTGGGCAGAGGCTCACGTACTGTGCTCCCCGAGAGCCTGGTATTCTGGGAGCTGCGTAATGTGTGTGGGTTCTGACATTGAATGATGGCTGGCCCCCCTCTCCAAGGTGCTGAGCAGACTTGGTTAACTGGATAGAATTTTCTCAGCAGTAAGGTTTTCTTTCATAATTTTTACCTTAATATTTGGCATCCACTGTACTTAGCCATTCAGGAATTTAGTATGAAGTGTCATCTATGTGACAGCCAAGAGTATTTGCTTATTTCCTTTTCCTGGGGTAACATTTCAAGCAGTCCCTCATAGAATATCACACCTCCCTGAGTTCTGCTGTCAGAATGAGTTTGAGAATCACTGCCTTGGTGGCCTCTAGTGGTCCTTATCCCCTGGAAGACTTGGCATGTTACTTGCTTTGCACATTGGCTTGTCATTGGGTAACATGTATTATTTCTTATTAAAATATTGAATGGAGGCTGTCTTCTTTCCCCATGATATTGAGGGCAGGAGCTACCCTGTTTTCACATCGGTACCTTTTCTCTGTCCCCTCCCTCTTCCTTTCACTCTAGACTCTTGGTGAGCCTGTCCCTGGAAGGCTGAGTTTGACGTGTTTCAGGACTGGTGCAGTCCTCACTTCGGAGTCTTTGTGGGGTGGGGAGAAGCGGTAGAGCTAATGCAGGCTGTTAGGGAAAAGTGGTCAGAATGAAAGTCTTGATGGTGAATTAGAATCTGGTGGAGCACCACGAAGTCCTGGCGAAGGAGGCAGTAGTCAGACCCTTTTGGGTGACGGGTTAAGGAAGACAGAGACTGATGTGGAAGGGGTTATATATAGGAAGATGTGTAGGAAGAAAAAGGTAGAGAGCTCTCCTCAGAGGGTGGGGGATTATGGGTAGCCAGAGGGAGCCTGGGTTAGTGGAGTTGAAGCCCTAGTCTTGGGTGCTTTGTAGCATCAGAAGCCTCTGGAGCCTTTGCTGACACCTGCCTGATGTACGGAGCCATCTGTGGGTGTCTGTGTGCTGGAGGATTGCCCACAGCTATGATTCAGAGATGCTCATGTTGTTGCCCAAGCAATTGACAGATGATGTTTCAGGCTTGGAGATGGCAGGATGGGAGCAAAGAGAAGCCAGGTCAGGAAAGAACGTGCCGTTCTGGCCCTAGTGGGGAATTCTGGGCCTTCTGGCTCACCCAGTTGAACCTTTCAAACTGTAGGTTATGACCCTTTAGTAACTGTGAAATTAATTTAATGCATCAGGATCAGCATATAAAAAACAAGTTAACTGTAATCTCAGCACTTTGGGAGGCCGAGGTGGGAGAATCACCTGAGGTCAGGAGTTTGAGACCAGCCTGGCCAACATGGTGAAACCCCAATTCCTACTAAAAAAATACAAAAATTAGCTAGGTGTGGTGGCATGTGACTGTAATCCCAGCTACTCGGGAGGCTGAGGCACAAGAATTGCTTGAGCCCAGGAGGGAGAGGTTGCAGTGAGCTGAGATTGCGCCACTGCACTCCAGTGGGGGCGACAGAGTGAGACTCTGTCTCAAAAAACAAGTTAAACAGAATGGAATTCAATAGAAAAGATTAGAATTAATATCGTACATCCTTACAATGAACTATACACATGGCAAGATATTTTAGTTTCAGAGACATACATACTATTTAAGTATGTTCTTCACTACAATGTGAAATATATAGCTTACTGGTGGGTCATCATCCAAACAGTTTGTAGTTGCACTGTTGCGCTTTGTTCTCCTAGAAAATACCTCTAGCCTTTCTTCCCTTCATGGAGGAAAGGTGTTTTTCAGGTGCAGACTGACAGACTTTAGGAAGTTTTTACACGGGGTTATGAAGGAAAGGGATTGCTCTAGGTCTCAGGGAGGTAGGGCTGCTGCAGGGACCCAGACGGGTTTTCAGCGAGGTTGGCAGTAGGTATTCAGCTATATAGAAGTGGAAGTCAAGGACTTTCCAATTCCAGGGGCTCATTTTGATGCTGAAATGGGGGCGGGGCATGAGTCCTAAGTCCAATTTGGCTATGGGACATTATGACTGTGATGCTATGGGCAGGATGATCTGTGGATATTAGATTTTCTTAAAGAGTGGTGTGAAAGAAAGGGTCATATATTGGATATGGGGTCAGAACTGAACTTTAGTTCATCATAATAGCTGTCCTTTGATTACAACTGTGCTTCCAGTGTGACCTTGGGCTCTACCGTGGTTTTCTCTTTTGTAAAATAAGGGTCTTGCCGTTGATTCCAAATGGGAATATTTTGGTAAATGTTCCATGTTTACCTGAAAATAATTCATGTTGAGTGCAGTGATCCGTCTATCTAGTCTGGTTTATTATTCATATTGATCAGATTTTTAAGTGATTTTGGTTTGCTTATTCAATAAGCTATCGAGAGAGGCATTAAAAAGTCTGCTATGATTGTGGATTTACCTACTTTTAGTCTATTGACTTGTGCTTTATATGGTTTGAAGCTATGTTATTTGTTGCCTACAGATTCAGAATTCTTTTTTTTTGTTTGAGACAGAGTCTTGCTCTGTCGCCCAGGCTGGAGTGCAGTGGCACAATCTTGGCTCACTGCAACTTCTGCCTCCTGGGTTCAAGTGATTCTCCTGCCTCAGCCTCCCGAGTAGCTGAGACTACACGTGCGTGATAAGTCTCGATCTCCTGACCTCATGATCCGCCCGCCTCGGCCTCCTAAAGTGCTAGGATTACAGGCGTGAGCCACCGCGCCCGGCCAGATTTAGAATTCTTCTTATATCCTCCTAGGGATTGACCCTTCATTCTTATGTTATGCCTCTTTTCATCTCTGTGAAAGTCCTCATTGTCTGATATTACTATAGCTACATTCCAGCTTTGTTTTGGGTAATGTTTGCATGTTACCTTTTTTTTTTCCCCTGTACTTTCAACTTTTAAAATGTCCTTATGTTTAATGCATATCTATGAGCAGCATATATAGTTGGTTTTTTGTGTGTTTTAAGTGTAGACTGATAATCTTACAATGAGAATATTTAGTCCATTTACATTTAAATGCAATTGTGGATGTATTGGAGTTTATATCTACTACCTTAGTTTTTGTTTGTTTACTATTTGACCTGTCTGTTATGTCCCCCTTTTTCTCACCTGTTTTGCCTTCTTTTAAATTAATCAAGGACTTAAAATTATAGTCATGCGTCTCTCTTTTTTTTTGGAGACAGTCTCGCTCGGTCACCCAGGCTGGAGTGCAGCGGCGTGATCTCGGCTCACAGCAACCTCAGGCAATTCCCATGCCTCAGCCACTCGAATAGCTGGAATTACAGGTGTGTGCTGCCATGCCCGGCTAATTTTTGTAGTTTTAGCGGAGACAGGGTTTTGCCATGTTGGCCAGGCTGTTCTTGAACTCCTGGCCTCAAGTGATCCACCTGCCTCAACCTTCCAAAGTGCTGGGATTAAAGGCATGAGCCACCGCACCTGGCCCTCATGTGTGTCTTAACAAGGATTCAGTCCGAGAAATGTGTCGTTAGGCAGTTTCATCATTGTGTGAACATCATAGAGTGTACTTACACAAACCTAGATGGTATAGCCTGCTACATGCCTAGGCTGTATGGCATAGCCTGTTGCTCCTAGGCTACAAACCTTTACAACATGTTACTGTACTGAATACAGTAGATAACTGTAATACAACGGTATTTGTGTACCTAAACATAGAAAAGGTATAGTAAAAATATGATACAATCTATCACTGTCGTATATGCAGTCCGTTGACTGAAATGTTACATGATGCGTGACCGTGCATGTTCTCTCTTTGTTAGCTCTTATGTTTTACATTCCTTTACGGTTCTTTTGGTGATCACTCTTGAGATTACAGCACGCATCTTGACTTATTACAATATAAAAATAAGTGATTATTTTTACTACTTCTCCAATGATGCTAATACCTTAGAACACTTTTTAGATATTAAGATATATTAAACACCACAAGAATTATTTCTTTGTACAGCCCATATGAATTTAGATTTACCCACATATTTGCCCTTTTTTGTGTTTCTTTCTTCCTGCATTTCTATAATTTTATTTGGTATAATTTTCTTTTTCTCTGAGGAACTCTCCTCTCTCTTACAGTGTAGTCTGTTAATCATGAATTCTTTTAGTTTTTATTTATTTTTTATTGATTTATTTTTTGAGATGAAGTTTTGCTCTTGTCACCCAGGCTGGAGTGCAATGGCGTGATCTCGACTCACTGCAACCTCTGCCTCCCGGGTTCAGGTGATTCTCCTGCCTCAGCCTCCTGAGTAGCTGGGATTACAGGTGCATGCCACCACACCCAGCTAATTTTTGTATTTTTAGCAGAGATGGGGTTTTGCCATGTTGGCCAGGCTGATCTCGAACTCCTGACCTCAGGTGATCCACCCACCTCTGCCTCCCAAAGTGCTGGGATTACAGGCATGAGCCACCACACCCGACCTAGTTTTTATTTTTTTGAAAATGTCATTATAGCTGGGCACGGTGGCTCATGCCTGTAATCCCAGCACTTTGGGAGGTCAGGGTGGGTGGATCATGAGGTCAAGAGATCGAGACGATCCTGGCTAACACGGTGAAACCCCATCTCTACTAAAAGTACAAAAAGTTAGCTGGGCGTGGTGGTGGGTACCTGTAATCCCAGCTACTTGGGAGGCTGAGGCAGGAGAATCACTTGAACTGGGGAGGTGGAGGTTGCAGTGAGCCAAGATGGCGGCGTTGCACTCCAGCCTGGATGACAGCTCCATCTCAAAAAGAAAAAGAAAAAAAAGAAAAAAGAGAATATATCATCATACTTTATTTTTTTAAGGTATTTTTGCTGGGTAGAATATTCGATGTTGAAAATGTGTTTCCTTTGATCACTTTAATAATATTCCTCTATTGTTTTCTTACTTTGATTGTTTTTTTGAAAATGTGGCTATCAGTTATATTGCTGCTTCTTTGAAAGTTATGTCTTATTTCTTTTCTCTGGCTGCTTTTACGATTTCCTTTTTGTTTTTGTTCTCTAGCAGTTTGACTGTGACATGCTTGAGTGTGGTTTGCTTTGTATTTATTCTGCTTGGGGTTTACAGAGCATCTTGAACTGTGGCTTCCATCAGTTTTGGAAAATTTTGATCATTTCTTCAAATACTGTATCTGTACTATTCTCTCCTCTCTTTCTGGGACTCCAATTACACATATGTTAGATCTTTTCCCTCTGTCCCCTGTGTCTCCTTTGCTCTTTTCTGTATTTTCCATGCCTTTTTCCATTTATCCTTCAGTCTTGCAGGTTTAGAGGAGATGACTTATCTCCTCTGTACCTATACATTGAGAAATGGACACCTACAGAAGTGAGACTTTAATGGATAGAGGAGGCACTAGAGAAGACTTGCCAGAAGGAGTTGAGCACTGCTTTGTGCATAGCTCTGTGGTGGTTCCTGGGGCCTTCACACAGGAACTTACAATCCACATCATTAAGGCAGAAGGGGAGAGAGGAAAAGGGGAGAGAGGAAGACAGGAAACAAAAAGTAAAGAAAGAGGAAGCAATAATATTATTTGATTCTGTGTAGAAAGGATTTTGAAATTTGACCTGTGAAAACAAGGAGATGCTCATATGAGAAAAAGCAGGTCAGTGGGCCAGGAATGAAGAGTAGAGGGAATGGACCTTTGGGTATCCTATTATTTTTAAAAGGTAAAAGGTTGGGGGTCCCTTACTCCCAGAAAAATACTTTGCTTTTAAATATAGCTTATGAGACTCTATTGGGTTTCCTAAGAGGTAAGGTAACTCTCTTATGTTAGAAAACAGGCATTGCTTAGGCTGTTGGCTCTTGTTGCTTAATTTCCCAAAGATGCCAGTACACTTCGGATACTGTTAATACACCAGCAGCAAAGCTCTCTCTGGGACCATTGTGCCCCATCCCCCCAAACTTTTGTGTCCCTCATCTCAGTGGTAAAATTTAAAACAAACATTGGGTGAATGGGCTTGGGGTGGTTATTTTTAAAATTTTGCATGTAAGGACATTTAAAACAAAGCACCACTTTATACCATCACTTTATTTATCTTTTCAAAAGGACATTTTAACAGTGCAAAAGTATAAAGTACGTGCTTTAAGACAGAGGAGAATAAATGGAATAACTTAGTTTTGTGAAAGACTCACAGTATCACTTGGTTTCTGGACACGGTTCGAGACCTGGCTGTGGCTTGCTGTGGCCTTGAGAGCCATCCCACAGCAGCAATGCTGTTGGACCCTTTGGCTGGGACCTTCAGGACCCCCTGCAACAGCACTGTGTGCCCTAACCTGCTGGCATGATGCCCCTTTGTTGACAGGGCTGCATACAAGGCCAGCGACAAGTGGCAGGCAGTGACGCCAGCCTGATTTGCTGAGGGCACACGCCATGCTTCCTGCAGTGCCAGTGCTCTTCTGGGTCCACTTTGCAGCAGGATAGATGTGTTCTAGATCCAAGAGTTCTGCACCCTCAGCAGGGGTGCGGGAGTGTAGTTTTTTGCCTTCTCAGGAGCCTCCTTGGAAAGGGGCTTTTCTGTGTATTTCAGGAGCTCTGTGTTGGAGATGAGAGAGGTTCTTATTCTCTCCTGTTACAGATGAGGAAGCTGAGCCAAGAAGAAGCATATGGCCCAGGGCCATATGGTTATTTGTGACATCCCTGGGACTAGAGCCCAGGCCTCTGTGGTGTGTGTGGAAGTCTGAGCCTGGCCAGGCTCTGTAATTAGGCCCCAGAGGGGCTATAGGGCTTCCCTTCCCCCACCAGTCCAGTTCTGGGAACAGAGGGACAGATCCTGAGAACCTGTGAGAGCAGCCGCTAGGAACTCCTCTCGCCTTCCCGTGCCCCTTCCTGCCATGCTGGGGGCTGCAGCCCCCTCCCCAGGCCCCCTGTCCTCCCCTGAGGCTGGGGGCAGCTGGAGGATGCCAGGTGGTGATAGAGAAAGACTGAACACTGGGGATTCAGGAACACCTTGAAGCAAAGGGAAGCCTCCTGGGCTGCTGCATTTTCTGTGGGGATTTCTTGTCTATTAGATGAGGATTGTTGGATGCCTCAGTAAAAGCTGGGCTTAGCGCAGCGCCTGGTTTATAGTTTGCTGCTGTTTAGCTGTATCTTTACCCCTTGCTGGTAGAGAAACTCCCCCGAGCCCTTCTCTGTAAACAGGCCTAGTTTCTGGCAGGTAAAGCCAAAGCCCCAAGGAACTTTACTTACTCACCCCTGCCCTTAAGCACTTTTCACCCAGCCTGCTAGGAAGGGCCCTGTTTGTTGGAAGTTGTTTGATGTTTTGCTTTTTTTAACCTCCTGGTGTCCATCTGGGCAGAAGCCGAGTGACTGCCCACAGGAGGGCCCTGTTTGGCTCTGATGACCTCCTAGAGGGACTTTTGGGAGGATGGGGCCTTGTGGGGGACTGGGCTCCAGAAGTCATAGGAGGTTGGCCTGCAGCCTGTGTTCCTGCCTGGGGGAGAGCCTGCCCCTCCCTCCCCTGTCATTCCTTCATTGCATAACTTCTCTCGGAGAAACATGTCAGAAGCTTTCCTGGAACAGGCCAGGAGGGAAGCAAGGCTGCTCACAGTGGCTTTAGAGCCTGGAGCTTGTGCTGGGGCTGGTTTTCCTCCAGGACGACCTTGCTGGCCACGTGGGCCAAGCCGGGGGCGCTCTTAGAATGTGGATCTGAGCAGGGAGAGGTGTGAGGTGTCCTGAGGGCTGTGGGGGTGCCGAGTGGGGTCCCACGAGGACCCGGGGAGTGCCGGCTGAGGTGCTCATCTTCTGGAGTTGCCTCCAGTGCTGGCTGGTTCTAATGGAGGGCAGAGGCTGGCCTGGGTTCCTGAGCAATGCGCTGAGTCTGGGGCGGGAGGGCCTCAGTTTATTCTGGGTTCACTGGTGCAGGAGCTCGTGAGGCCAAGGTCAGGGTTGCTGGCCAGCTGGGCTGGTTTCTGTCCCCTGGGGAGCCTGCCTGTCTGTCAGTGGGCAGCGCCTTGGCCTGGCACTGGGCTGGTCGGTCCTGAGGGACGTGTGGGGCCTGAGGCCTCCTCTGTGGAATGTTCTTTTGGTCATTTGTTTAATAACAGGTCCTTGCCAGTGGAGAGCTGTGTGCCTGAAAGTGGCCAGAGAACAGTTTGAGGGGGGTCCTGATGGAGGGTGATGAGGGGGACACACCTCTGCCTGCAGAAGGAGGAGCTCAATGTGGCCCACCCTACAGCTGTGGCATCTCCGGTAACCTGTGGATCCACCTGCCCCTCTCGTGGGCTTGTCTCTGGACTTGCTTCAGGCAGAGAAGAATCCAGACACAGAGAGACATTGGTGAAGGTCACTGCAGTGCACAGGCTAATGTTGCCTGTCTCCGTTTATTTCGCTAAGTCAGATCGTGTGCTCGAGTGCTGGCAGGGCAGAGGTGGGCAGGCATCAGGGAGTTAATGTTTAAACGGGGACTGTGTCTCCCAGCTCTGAGCCCAGGGCTTTCTACAGCGAGAGAAAGAGCTGATGTACCTGCCAGGCACCCCCATCCCAACACAGCAGACATCTGTACCATGTGTGTTGTCACTCCTGAGGGCCAGGAGGCTCAGCTTATCCTGCCCCATGCTGCCCAGTACGGAGCCGCCAGCCGCACGGGGCCTTGGAAATGCGGCTGGTCCACAGTGGGATGTGCTGAGTATAAAACACACATGGTGTTTGGAGACTTTGTGCACACACACAAGTGCAAAATATCTCTAATAATATTTATTTTGATTACTTGTTGAAATGATAACATTTTGGGTATATTAAGTAAATTATACTATTAGAATTCATTTTGCATGTTTCTTCTTGCCTTTTTCAGTGTGGCTGCTAGAAAAGTAACAATTATATGTGTGGCTTGCCTTCTATTTCTTTTGTTCTGCGCCGGCCCAGCCTTTTTGAATAGAGTCACGAGAACAACAGCAGCTGCTTGTGTGGCCTTTGTGTGTTCCTGGCCCGGCGAGTGCTCTACTCACGCCCGCACGACAGCCTGTGAGGCAGGGGCTGCCCAGACTGCTGGGGACGTGGAGGGTGCACTGTTGCCCAGGTGTGGGTAAAAATGTATCGCAAAAACATTTTTTTAAAAATTGAGTTGTCTTCTTTTTAGTTTTAAAATGTACTTTTCATTAAATTTTCAACAAGTTCTGTATTTTTCATAAAAGTCATGCATAATCACTGTAGAGAATTTGGAAACATGCAAGCAGATGCCAGTTTCCTTGCGCCTTAAACAGAGCGTCCTGGTGTGAGCCCTCTCCCCCAACAGCCCCCTGCTGCGATGTTGCCTGGCTGCCGGGCAGTGGGGCTGTGGCGCTGCGATGTTGTCTGACTGCGGGGCTGTGGGACTGCGATGTTGCCTGGCTGTGGGGCTGCGGGACTGCGGGGCTGTGGGACTGCGATGTTGCCTGGCTGCGGGGCTGCGGGACTGCGGGGCTGTGGGACTGCGATGTTGCCTGGCTGCGGGGCTGTGGGACTGCGGGGCTGTGGGACTGCGATGTTGCCTGGCTGCGGGGCTGCAGGGCTGCGGGACTGCGGGGCTGTGGGACTGCGATGTTGCCGGGCTGCGGGGCTGCGGGACTGCGGGGCTGTGGGACTGCGATGTTGCCTGGCTGCGGGGCTGTGGGACTGCGGGGCTGTGGGACTGCGATGTTGCCTGGCTTCGGGGCTGCGGGGCTGCGGGGCTGCGATGTTGCCCGGGTGCGGGGTGCGGGGCTCTCCGAGGCCGGCTCATCGTGCGGCCGCTCTGGTCTCAGCCCTGCCGGCCATGGTCACCGTGCCCAGCCAGGTGCTCTTCACCCTCTTTCTGCTCACCCATGCCTACCCGGAAAGCCAGCTACAGCTGGGTATAAAGGAAGAGAATACTGGCCCTGGGTGAGGTGTGGCATTAGTGGCACCTTCTGGGCTCCTGGGCAGGGGTGGGGAGTGGCTTTCTTGAGCAGCTGGGATCATTCATTGACTGATTTTTGGATAAATGAGGTGTTAGTGGACCTTGATTCGGAAGATTGTGAAAGAGGATAATGGGAAGGCCTGGCACCCCACGGTCCTCAGATGTCAGTGTTTGCCAGCCCCGCAGAAAGGGCAAGGTGGGCGAGAGGGCCTTCCATTACCCAGCGAGGGCTGCGCCTGAGCCCCGCGAGTTCCCCTGGCTTGGATTAGGGGGAGCCAAAAGTGTTCTCACTCTCACCACCAAGTGCTTTGTATGCCTGTGGCAACACCTTTCCTGTTCCAGTGAATTAGGGAAGTCTAGGTGATGGGAGGCTCTTCAGACAGACCTGAAGCGGGTGGTTGTGTTCTCAGGGTGCCCTGTGTGGTCGGGGTGACGTTGGTCTGTGGACCATCCCTGGTCCGTCTTCCCATTTGTGCTGGGTCCTTCCCAGGTGCTTCCCAGCTGGCATTACTTTGGGGTGTCCGTGTGCCCGTGAGCCTGTGAATTATCAAAGGTGATGGTGTGGAGTGGGGGATTCCTGAATCTTTTTCACTGAAACACCTACCTCGAGCCAAATGTTCTCTTAAAACAACAGGTGGCATCTCCCACCTTGTTCCCCACTTTTCAAAATGCTGGTGTGGCAGCGAGGGCCCCTGGTGCAAGCGGTGTCTGTGTGGTGCTGCCCCAGGCCTTGTGGGTGGGCGAGCGGGTGGCCCCAGCCCTGCGTGAGCACTGAGTGCCCGCCCCCTCCTCCTTGCAGGTCTGGCCGTGGGCCTGGGCTTCGGGGCACTGGCAGAGGTCGCCAAGAAGAGCCTGCGCTCCGAGGACCCCTCAGGTGAGCCGGGCCCTTCAGTGGGAGGGGCAGGGTGGGCCCCGGGAGGGTTGAGCCTGTCAGCCCCCAGCCCCACCTGTGCTCTGGGAGTGTCAGCCAGCTGGGCCGCATTTGCATGGGGTTCCACGTAAGTGGCGTCCCTGGGGTGATGAGGCTGTTCATACAGACAGATTGACCTGCTTTAGAGGGGGTGAGGCTGGAGGCCCTTCCTCCTCCCAGCCCAAAGTGGCCACCCAGCCCCTTCTTTTTGGCTGCCTGCACATCCACACGCCTTCTGCACACCTGGACACCTTACACACCCCCTGCACACCCACTGAACACCCACACACAACCCCTGCACACCCACCGAACACCCGCAGACCTTACCCCTTCCACACCCAGCGAACACGCGCACACCTTACACACCCCTTGCCCACCCACCAAACACCCGCACCTTACATACCCCTTGCACACCCACTGAACACCCACACACCTCCTTATACCTCCTGCACACCCACCGAACACCCACAGACCTTACACACCCCTTGCACACCCACCGAACACCCGCACACCTTACCCCTGCACACCCACCGAACACCCGCACACGTCACACACCCCCTGCACACCCACCAAACACCCACACATCTTACCCTCCACACACCCACGCACCTTTTTACATCCTCCACACACCCACCTCATACCTGCACACCTCCTTACACACCCTCTACACACCCACCACACACACCTGCTTACACAGCCTCCGCACCCACTGAACACCCGCACACCTCCTTACACACCCTCCACCCACCCACCACACACCTGCACACCTCTTTATCCTCCACCCACCCTCCACCCACCCGAACACCTCCTTACACACCCTCCACATACCCTCCAAACACCCGCACACCTTGCACACCCTCCACACACCCACCTCTCACCCACACACCTCCTTACACACCCTCCACACCCACCAAATACCTGCACACCTCCTTACACATCCTCCACACACCCACCGAACACCCACTGAACACTGCACCTCCTTACCCTCCACACACCCCCCACAGCCACACACCACCTTACACACTCTCCACACACTCTACCCTCTACACACCCGCCCACCTTACACTCCACACACCCGCCCACCTCCTTACCCTCCACACACCTGCCCACCTCCTTACACACCCTCCACACACCTGCACACCTCCTTACATCTTCCACACACCCACCTCATACCTGCACACCTCCTTACACACCCACCTCACACCCGCATACCTCCGTACACACCCACCTCTCACCCGCACAGCTCCTTACACACCCTCCATGCACACACCTCCTTACACACCCACCTCATACCTGCACACCACCTTACACACCCTCCACACACCCACCAATCACCCACTGAACACTGCACCTCCTTACCCCTCCACACACCCACCACACACCCACACACCTTACCCTCCACACACCCGCACACCTCCTTGTAAACCCACCTTTTGCTGCTGCCCTGCTCTCTGGAAGTCGCTGGTCTGGCCGGGTCAGGTGTGGCTGGGGACAGGCGAGGTGTGCAGGCAGACCCTGCAGGCTTCTCCTCACCAGCTTAGTAACCTGGGGAGGCTGTAGTCTATGCAGAGGCACCTCACCTCTGACGTGAAGGTCACAGCCAGGGTCAGGCAGGTGGTCAGGTCAGGACACTCATCCCACTGAGGTTGGTGGCCCGCTGTGGCCGGGCCCTCTGTGGAGAGGTCCTGCGAACGGACCACGCTGAGGCTTTGGGCATTCGTGCTGCTGTGATGAGGAGTGGGGCGCACTGAGTCCCTGCCGCCTTCTGCCTGTGAACACCAGGCCGGGCTCCTCCTCAGGCCTCTTCAGGCACGGGGGGCGGGCCAGGTAGGTGCGAGGTCAGCCCAGCAGGGGCTTTCCTGTTAGTGGGGCCTGGGGTGTGGAGAGCAGTGCCAAGGGAACCGTCTGCGTGTGGATCTTCCTCAATGCCTCTGGAGTTCTGGGCCAAGTCCCCTGGCCCCGGCCCATTCAGGGAATGTCAGCTCATTCTGGTATCACGCCCTTCCACCCCCGTCCATGGGGACCCCCAGAGACACCCAGTGTCTGGCCACACTGCAGCCCTCACAGCCCTGTCTTCCAGCCTGGGCTAGCCTCCTTTGGGGGCCCTGCCAGTCCCCGGACAGCCCCCCTTCACCCACCAACGCTGCCTTCTGGGGCAAGGGCACTAGTCCATCCCACAGGCCCGGACTGAGTCCTGGGGACACGGGCGGCATGCACGTCCTTGGAAGGGGCTGAGGACGGAGGGCTTAGCAAGGGTATTTTTAGCGTTGGTGCTGACACTCTCTGGGAAATGAAGCCTGGGTTTCTCTGGAAGGAGAAGCCAGCCTTCCCCTACTGTCCCCTACTGTCCTCTCCAAAGCTGGCTGTTCTCCAGACTACCTCATCCAAGCAGGGAAGAGGCCAGGCTGGCTTCACAGTTACAGCTAGTGTCCTTTGTCAGGGACAGTGGTGACCCCAGGCTGGGGGTTAAGGGGCCCAGGCATTGTTAGCCCTGAGAGGGGGACCCGAGGCTTAGGCTGGAGTGGGGTGGCCCTGGGCAGCCCCAAACTGTGCTCCAGCTTCCTGACCAGGCCCTGGCACCCTCTGGACTGGAGGACACCGGCCACCCTGGCTGAGCTCTGCCCTGGAAGGACCTTTCCTGAGCTGGGGGCACACTGCCGTAGCCCTGGGCCCATCCCCACTTGCCAGGTCATTCTCACAGCCAGCCCTGCCTGGGTGGGGGACATACCTCCAGCCTGTGGCATTGACCAGCTTTGCCAATGGGCTACCTGGGAAAGCCCGGATTGGGCCAGGCACCGTTCCCATCTCTCAGGAGTGCTGCTGCTAGCCTAGGCCTACTCTGTGTGTCATGAGGAGACAGACTGTCCCTCCTCTGGCCTGGGGCAGTGGCCTCTCCTCAAGGTTTGCCTCTCTGCCTGCCCCTCCCCAGGGACCCAGGCCCAAGCCCCCAGCCCACAAGTACCACAGGCCTAGGGGGCAGAGGGGACATTGACTGCCTTTCCTTTGGTGCTGGCGTCTGCTGCTGCCTAAGGCAAGGGGGTGGCCGAGGGACCCTTCTGGGCCCAGCCCTCTTGGACTCGCTCTGCCCATGGGTCATAGCTCAGCCTCCCAGGGCAGCTCAGCCTCTTCCCGCAGAGCTAACATCTCCCACCTTCACAGGTCCCTTCCTGCTGTCTGGGACCCTGGAGTGAGCCTGGCCCCTTTCCACGTAGCTGCCTGCATGTGTGGGCAGATGCGGGTCTTCTCCGAGGCTCCTCTTCCGGGCCCGCAGGGCCTCCATTCTCAGGGCGGCCCGCCCCACCCTGGTTTCTCAGGGGCCAGGCTGCACCCGGCTCCGGGGCAGAGGGCAGTGGCACGGTCACCTCTCTCTTCCCCTGCTGGGGACCTGGCTCCGTGCCACCCGAGCGCTGTGCCAGGCCTGAAGTGATTTGAACTGAGGCAAATGCTGGGTGCTGTGGGGGCCAGAGAGGAGGAAGCCGCACTGCGACCTCTTGGGGCTTGAGATCTAACTAGATTCACAGGACAGAAGGCAGGAGAAGCTCCGAATGTCACAAGGGCTGGAGGCCCGGCGACAAGGGGTGCTGAGGAACTCAGGGAAGGTGGAAAGACTTGGAGCCCCAGATCCCTGCTCAGGCCTCTGTCTGCCTCTGGATAGGGGCACCTCCATGTCTAGGCAGCACTGAACTGATGGCCCAGGATAGGGGGGAAGCTAGAGAGGACCCAGCAGCCCTGGGCCACACGCCTGCTGGCAGTTGACTTAGCCGGCCTTCTGCTGCTCCTGAGTCGCGGCCCTCAGCCCTCCCCTTGGTGGACTGGAAAAAGGCCACCTGCACCCTTGGGGTCACTGCATGCTCATCACTGGCCAGCTGGCTGCACTGAGCTGCAGGGGGCCTCTGTGGGTGGACGGGAGAGACGGGCACCCCTGGGCTGTGCTGCCCTTGGCCTGAGCGCCGTTCCCTTGAGGACAGCCCTCTGGCTGAAGCCACTTGGCCCCATGTGCAAATGCATGCCGACCCCACAGGTGCAGCGGGCCTTTGTGCAGTGCCCTGGGTGGGGGTGCACAGGGCAAAGGCTCGGCACCTCCTCACCTGGGGTCCTCTGGGTCCCTACATCCCTCTTGGTTCCCACTCCCACGCCCCTTCCAGCCACAGGCAGCACCATGGCCCTGTCACGGCCCGCCAGGTCCCCATATGGAAGGGAGAGGCCCTTTGTGTGTGTGCGTTTGTGTGTGCACATATGTACGTGTGCATGCCTGTGTGTATTGGGAGGCGCTGGCGTAGGGCCTGGGCATGTGGCTCACACAGGCTTGGGGAGGTGGACATGGAACAGTAGTTAGTTATGTTGCTGGTTTTATGGACGCCTGGGAGGAAGGACATTGTCTGAGCCTCCGTCTGTATCAGGTGGGGCTTGCCATCCCACTCCCAGACCCCCCCGAGTGCCGTGGTGACCCCTCTTGCCCGCCCACAGGGAAGAAGGCCGTGCTGGGTTCCAGTCCTTTCCTGTCCGAGGCCAATGCAGAGCGGATCGTGCGCACGCTCTGCAAGGTGCGTGGTGCGGCACTCAAGCTGGGCCAGATGCTGAGCATCCAGGGTGAGTGGGCGCGGGGGCTGCTGCCCCGGGACTGCGTGGGCTGCTGGGGGGGTCAACTTCCAGGGCCGGGAGCAGTGGCCCCACCAAAGCTCAGTGGGCAAGATGTGAGCAGGCTGGGGAGAGATCTTAGAAGATAATAGGCCTGGTCTCCAGACGGGTGGCTCTGGGTCCAAAGAAACACATGGAATAAAGAGCAGAGAGGAAAAATTGCTCTCTACAGGTGGTCAGAACACAGGTCATTTCAACATTTTACTATGTTTTATTTTCCAAATTTCTTTTGTAATTATGAAAAACTCTGCATGTTGAGTGTAAAAAGCCCACCTTCTCAGGTCACTGGGCGGAGGCTGGGGCTCCCGGGAAGCTGAGTGGCCGAGGGCGTGTGTGCGAGGGCTCCTGTCTTTCTGGCCTCACCCGTGCTCCTGGTGGGGAGGGTGTGGTGGCCAGGGCATCCCAGGAGTGTGCCCGCCCAGGTCCTGGGCGCACACTTTAATCCCCAGGTTCGCCCTGTGTCATTCTCCTGCCTTCCAGATGATGCCTTTATCAACCCCCACCTGGCTAAGATCTTCGAGCGGGTGCGGCAGAGCGCGGACTTCATGCCACTGAAGCAGATGATGGTGAGGAGCCAGGGGCTCTGCCCACTCTCTGTGGCCTCGGCCCCCACTGGGTGGAGGGGACAGACTTGGGGCTTCTCCCGGTGGCCCAGGCAGGGCATGCTCAGAGCCCCTCCCTGGCCCTGCCCTTCAGAAAACTCTCAACAACGACCTGGGCCCCAACTGGCGGGACAAGTTGGAATACTTCGAGGAGCGGCCCTTCGCCGCCGCATCCATTGGGCAGGTGCACTTGGCCCGAATGAAGGGCGGCCGCGAGGTGGCCATGAAGATCCAGGTAGGCGGCCTGATGCGCAGTGCCTGTCCCTATGGGGGCTGCAAGGGGCAGAGCTGGGGCCTGGCTCATGGAGGCCTCTACACCCCACGTCCCGCAGGGCACCCTCTCTCCTGGCAGGGCCATATGTGGTGTCTTCTGGCCCCAGTGCCTGGACGGCACCAGAAGCTTGGGAAGTATTTGCTAAATGAGTGACTTTGGGGGCACAGAGGGGCCCCCAGCAAGCTTGATTTGGGGTGGGCAAGGACAGGGGACAAGTGATTGCTTTTTGGGGCCAGAGCTGGTGGGAGGGTGGCCGTGAGCTGTTCCCAGGGGTGAGGTGAGGCAGGAGTAGGTGGACAACGAGGCTGTGATGGGGTCCAGGTCACGGCAGCATGGCTGGGTCTTAGCTCTGGTTCTCCAGGGTGTGGGCTGGGGCCAGGACACAGCTGGGAAGCCAGTTGGGGGTTGGGGGAGTGCCCCAGGCAGGGCCCACCCGTCTCCCTGGGCTAACTCCCCTGCCTCACCCATACCCCCACAGTACCCTGGCGTGGCCCAGAGCATCAACAGTGATGTCAACAACCTCATGGCCGTGTTGAACATGAGCAACATGCTTCCAGAAGGTCTGAGGCTAGGTGGTTGGGTCAAGGGCAGGAGTGGGTGGCAGGCATCTGTGTTGGGTTCTGGGGACCAGAGGGGGTCCTCCCTGCAGAGCCCCCTTCCTCGCTGATGCCCTCCTCCCTGGCCCAGGCCTGTTCCCCGAGCACCTGATCGACGTGCTGAGGCGGGAGCTGGCCCTGGAGTGTGACTACCAGCGAGAGGCCGCCTGTGCCCGCAAGTTCAGGTGTGGCCCCCGGCCGGGCCCCTTGCGTGTTTGCACCAGGGAGGCAGAAGGGACCATGTTCAGCAGCTGGTGAAGGCCCCTCCAGCTCTGAGGGGCAGAGGGCTGGGGTTGCAGCCTGGGCCGAGGCCATATCCTGCCTGGGGTGAAGGAGGGCCCTCTGCCTGGTTGGGGGGTGTGTGTGGGGGGGGGGACGGTGTGGAGGGCCTGTGGCTAGGGCGTGACCTCCCTCCCCTACCCAGGGACCTGCTGAAGGGCCACCCCTTCTTCTATGTGCCTGAGATTGTGGATGAGCTCTGCAGCCCACATGTGCTGACCACAGAGCTGGTGTCTGGCTTCCCCCTGGACCAGGCCGAAGGGCTCAGCCAGGAGATTCGGAACGAGGTTTGTCTGTGCCAGCAGACAGGTGGGGCCAGGGTGGCCCTGCTGTGTGGCTGTTTGGTGACCTAATAGTGTGAGCTGGGGACTTGGAGCCCTGAGGTGCTCCCTGGGGGTGAGGGGCAGTGAAGTAGCACCAGTGGGACTTAGGGGGACACAGGGGAGCTGCTGCCTTCCCTGGCCCAAGTAACACTGGGAATCAAACAGTCCCTAGGGTAGGGTGGGTAAAACAGGAGGCAGGGGCTTCTCTGGCCCCAGTCTCCCAGGGCACCAGGCAGTGTGGTGCTGCCTGACACAGACCCTTCGCGCTGTCCACAGATCTGCTACAACATCCTGGTTCTGTGCCTGAGGGAGCTGTTCGAGTTCCACTTCATGCAAACAGACCCCAACTGGTCCAACTTCTTCTATGACCCCCAGCAGCACAAGGTGAGCCCCAGGGTGGGGGCACCCGCAGCCAGGCCTGAGAGCTTCTCCGAATGGGGCACGTGAGGCCCTGGACTGCCCCTTGTCCTGGGAAAGTCAGCAGAGAGCTCAGGGCTCTGGGAGTGGGGATCCTCACTGCCCTCTGTTGCACCCCCTTCCCGGCCCCACACACCCGCACCATGGAGCACCAGGGCCAAACTTCTCCTGGTGTCTCTGTCCCCAGGTGGCTCTTTTGGATTTTGGGGCAACGCGGGAATATGACAGATCCTTCACCGACCTCTACATTCAGGTAACTGGAGAGGGGCCCTGGCCTTGGTCCATGTTTTTCTGAGGCTGGGACAGGATGCTGGGGGACTCGGGGTAGGGAGAATGACTGGGTTCCTGCCCTTGTGTCCCCATCTGCGCTGCCTGCCCCTCAGGTCTGGTGACAGCAGGCAGTTAGGCTGACAGCTGCCAGGCGTGGTGTCACAGCACTGGCCGGGGGCCCTGTGCAGGGAGAGGATGAGGGTGGGGTGGGCTCGGGTGTGGCACTTGGCTCCCTGGGATGTCGGGAGCTGAGCTTTTCATGCTGCCCACGGTCCCCTCCTGTGCCTCTCCCCAGATCATCAGGGCTGCTGCCGACAGGGACAGGGAGACTGTGCGGGCGAAATCCATAGAGATGAAGTTCCTCACCGGCTACGAGGTCAAGGTGAGCAGGGTTGCGGGGGATCCCCTGGGCCTGCTGACCCAGGGCCCGGCTCCCTGTGTAAGAATGGATGAAAGCACAGGGGGCAGCTGCCCTCAAGGGGCCCCCAGAGCCCGGGCCTCCTTGGGCACGGTCTGAAAGCTGGGGCCCACCCCGGCCCATGCTGCCCTGCTGAGCGTGAGATTTTCCGAGTGGGCCAGTGAGTTGGGGACTTGTCGTGAAGCTCTTGTTTCTGCCTCTCACTCTTGCCCACTTAGGGCTTGGGGTTGGGCCTCGATTGAGCCAACGTGCAGAGCAAGTGGGAAGGGAAGCCCCAGCCCTCCCCTCATCGAGCCTCCCTGGGGGGAGTTGGAAGAAACCTTAGAAGCCTTTTAAATAAAGGGGAACGGTCTGTGCTGGTGCCGCCTGAAGCCACCCACAAAGTGGCATTTTCCGCTTGCTGCTTGACAGTGGGGAAGGAGTTAAAGAAATCCAGGTCAAGCCTTGGGTCTGCCGTCTCATAGGAGTGTCATTTGAGGCTTGTCAGTATCTCTGAGCCCCCCTTATCTCAGCTGTAAGCGCTCAGCGGGCAGCAGCTCTCTCCCGCCTCTTCCTTATGGCCACTCGCACTGACTCGATTCCTGGCCGCCCCGTCCCTCTGACCACCTTGGGCTGTCCCTGGCGGCAGCTCCTCTCCCCTGCTCTGCTGGCGGCGGCTTCCTTAGGTTGCTAGTTCCCGTGGGCAGACACACGGCTGCTGGGTGTGTCTTGGGTGGACTCTGGCAGGCTCAGACACGCATGGTGGGAGGCCCTGCCAGCTTAGGCCCACGGACTCTGTTCTTTTTGGCCAGAACAGTGTTTTGTTAAAACTCTGTATGAGTGCCACGAGGCGGGACGCATCCTCTGCACTCTGCCACAGGCCCCGCCACTCCCTTTTGTATCACATCAGCCCAGTCCATGTTACCCTCGTGTTCCCGGCCCCTGTGGGTTTGAGTTTATGCCCATTACCATGATGTAATCCAGTTTACAGCAGAGCTTTGAATGAGAACTCAGCGCCCCGGGCACTGTGGGAGGAACCCGGGCTGGTGGAGGGCTCTGGTGTCTCGCCGCCATTTATCCTTCCTCTCTTGCCCCAGGTCATGGAAGACGCCCACTTGGATGCCATCCTCATCCTGGGGGAGGCCTTCGCCTCTGATGAGCCTTTTGATTTTGGCACTCAGAGCACCACCGAGAAGATCCACAACCTGATTCCCGTCATGCTGAGGCACCGTCTCGTCCCCCCACCCGAGGAAACCTACTCCCTGCACAGGAAGATGGGGGGCTCCTTCCTCATCTGCTCCAAGCTGAAGGCCCGCTTCCCCTGCAAGGCCATGTTCGAGGAGGCCTACAGCAACTACTGCAAGAGGCAGGCCCAGCAGTAGGGCTGCGGGCCACGCCCAGGCCGGCTCCGCGGGAACTCTCTCCCTCAGACAGGCCAAAAACCAGTAGCGAGGTCGTGGTGATGCTCTTTTTAACTCCTTTGCCCAATAAGGGGGGTGGCTGCCTGGAGCCCCGTAGCCAGCGCTTTCCACGGTTTCTGTTGCTAAATGGTTGTAGGGTGAGAAGTGCAAGAATGAAGATGAAGCCCCACTGCTCGGTCAGTCTGCCTCCGTGTGTCCTCTGAAATAAGCAGATGAAGATGAAAGGGCAACTTTGTTTTCTTCTTTTTCCTGATGTGAATGTTAAGCAGAAGGGAGAGAGTCCTTACTCCCTTCCAATCTCTGTTCAGTGCAAAACCCAGAAACATGAACAGATACGATTGTGGGATTTTATCATCTGTGTAGTAGGTGTGTGTATGTGTTTCTAGAGTGAGATTTGTGTTTTCTGCCCTTTTCCTCTCCAGCCGATGGGCTGGAGCTGGGAGAGGTGCTGAGCTAACAGTGCCAACAAGTGCTCCTTAAGCCTGCGAGGCCCAGGCCTGTGGGGCTGGTTCTCACCTTTGACAGCTGAATGTTCCTAAAGAACTGCTGCCCCACAGTGAGGGTGGGAGCAGCGGAACAGGGAATGCCAGACACAGGCTCGCTGCTGCTGGAAGGCGGGGTGGGACTTCCTTCCTCTGTCCGGAGAGGCACAGGTGTCACCAGTTCCAGCCAAAGGCTCCTCACAGGCGCTGTGAATTTTTGTACAAGTCTTGTAATTATCGAATCAACAACTTGTTTCAATTTAATAAAAATGCTCATGGGAAGTGCTTTGGCGCGTGTACCCTCTTCTGTATTCTGGAGAATGACGACCCGTATCTTCTAGCTCGTGGTGGTGGTTCTTTTCTGACCTGACGGTCAGCAGGTTCAGTGTCACAGCCCATTTGCAAGGGTTGGGACTGGTTCAGCGTGAGGCCCTTGGCCCTGAACCTGGAAGGCTCAGCCCCGTTCCCTGTAAGAAGGGAGGTGGGAGGGGTGGAGAACAGGAGGAGAGGTTGCGGTGTCACTGCCCCAGCCCCCGGGAGGCTGTACCACACTGCTGAAGCTGCTGTACCTGGTGATGGTGGCAACTGGGAGGACAGTGACACCTGCCAGCACGGCTGATGCCAGGTCTGCATCACAGTGAGACGTCTCCTCTCTAGACATCAGCTGCAGTTGAGGACCACGTCCTGAAAAGTGGCTTTTCCTGGGGCCAGACTGATTCCTAGATAACAGGACACACTGGACACTGAGCTGGGGCCCTTTCTACGGACCTGTGAGCAGTTGAAAGTGCATCTGCAGAATGCACAGGCCCAAAAGAGGCTTTGAGAGGTATAGGCTTTCAGGGTTCTTAAAGAAAGAAAATATAGTTTCTGAAATTTGGGATTGCCGAGTAGCAGACCCAGTGGGCTCCGGGACAGGATGGAGAGGCCTGGGTGGCGTCCGTGAGGCTGCCTGGCTAGCAGCGGCGCCCAGCACCACTGTCAGATCCCTGGCTGAAACTCTTGTGGCCCTCTTCTTAAGGGTATTTGCTGTTGTCTAGCAAACTCCTCTGCAGCACTCAGATCTGAAGCCATCGCCCTGCAGAGTAAACAGCAGGGGAAGAACCCAGGCCAGCCCCAGCCAGGGCTCTCACAGTCTCCTCTTCCTCTTGAACAACAAGCCAAACAAGTCAAGCAGCAGCATGCGGGGGGAAGGGAGAGGAGAACAACAGCAGCCAGCATTTGCTTCCCCAGGAACCACGACCATAACTGCTGGAACAGGAGAAGTTTTCTAAGGGAAAACTGGAATGTGGTTTGTGTGTCCTAAGTCTGAGAGCCGGCTGAGAACTAGAGCCCTCCCTGTGAAGACAGTGGGGATCACTGGATTGCAAATGACTTTAATCCCCAAGTAAAGCTGGCTCTGAAGCTGGCCACACATACTTATTCTTTTGTACCTATTTTGATTTTTACAGTATTGTGATGAATGACTCCCCGTGCTCACCCATTCACACTGAGACATGGGGCATGAGAACATGGCAAATCATGGCTTGATTTTCCCAGGGTCTGTGTCTTCGTGTCCCTAACATCTAGTGAAGGGCTGGACACCACACAACAAAAAAATATTTGTTACTGTAGGCTTTGGCGGTTACTCATAAGGACAAAACACTAAACCATAGGCTAGAAGTTAGATTCTGAGTGCATTAACTCCTGACACTCCAAGTGGGCCTTTTTACAGAGGGAAAAAAAAAAAAAGAGGCCCAGAGGTTAAGTGGCAGAATGAGGATTTGGAACAAGACAGTCTAGTCTTACAGTCTACACTAAGGGGACCAAACGAAGGGCTGGCAAACTATGATGGTCCAAGGGCCAAATCTGGCCCACTGCATTTTTGTAAGTTTTATTGGGGCACAGCCACTCTCGTTTATGTACGTAGCAGGCTAAGACTGTTTTTGCACTGAAATGCCAGAGCCGGGGAGCTGCAGCAAACTATATACACAAAGGCACAAGGATTTCTTAACTGGTCCTGGACAGAAAAGGGTTGCCAAGCCCTGTTCTAAAGCACTGCACAGCTGACACTACAGTAAACCAACATAACAGTATCAGCCACAAATGTCAATTCCATGGGCCATTGGAACCGGAAGTATTCTCCGAATAACTACTTAGCTGCCACCAGTTCAGGAGTTCCTTTAACCCCACCCCTGGACCTTCCCTGTATGTTCTTAGATGAACCATTCTAACTCCAGAAAAGCAGTAACAGTCCGTCTTGTTTAAGTGACACAAAATCAAACTGCTCCCACATTCACACTGTCAGGGCCACTCAGGAAACCTCACGCAGCCAGGGTTTGGTCTTGTGGACCGAAGTAACAGCAACAGCGAAGTTCTGGCCAGAAGAGGGGAGTTGAAAGCTTCAGGAGAATTGAACATCATTCTTACCCGAGCTAAGGAAGAAATTAAGAAAGTCCTAGATTAAACCACAGGGGCAAACTAACCCCATGTCCTTTTACGGCATAAAGAAGCAGCCTGGATGAGGAAGGAGGCCAGCAGAAAGAAGAGAAGTGACAGGCGGAGAGGTGGCACCTTTCTCTATTTCTCAGACTTTCAAGTGGGGGGAAAAGAGACAAAATACTCAATGCTAACAGTTCTCTGTTTTATTGCAATACAGCAAAGTCTGGTTAATATTAAGTGATATCAACATAAAGTATTGGTGAGGAGTCTTTTGTGACATTTTTTACCATCCCACCTTAAATATTTCTGTGCAAAAGAATCCACATCATTGTTTGGTAGCAGAGGATCTCTTAAAAAGTTCCCTAAGACACTGAGGGCATAAAACCAAACAAAATAAAATAAGGAGTGATAGGCTAAAGCAGTATCTTCCCCTCCATCCACATTTGTCAGCATTATATTCTAACCAAAAAATGATCACACCAGGCCATGCAAAACTGTACAATATTACGAGAAAAACCCTAAAAAATTTATAAAATGAATGATATTACACTATCAAATAAAAAGACAAGTCATTTTGTTTTCATGAGATTTCAAGGTTGATTTGAGTCAGCTTCCCCCGGAACTGCACGGTGTCCTGTGTGGGGAGGGCCCAGCGTGCTGCCAGTGCTGGGGGGCAGGGCTTACACTCCTTATCTAGCAGAAGTGCACAGAGAACTCTGGACTTGAGTAACAAAGTCATAAGGAAAGAGATTTTAAAATGGGCTCCATGAAATGCAGCTCATCTAGTTCAGGGCTGGGCCAGAGAGACGGGGGAGTGGAGTGCCCAATTCATTCCCTGTTGTGCTCACCAGACATGGGCTACGGCAAAGTCTGCTCTGAGCGCCCCTCTGTCTAGATTGGATGGGGAGCCTTAGGCTTGGCAAGGCCTACCTGCTGGGAGACTGCAGTGGTTGTGATCCCGGCCAAAGGCGGCAAATGGCCCTGCTGCGTCTGTGGTTTTGACCTCTGCTCACCCCTGCTCTGGCTTTTCCTTAATGATACCTGAGATGCCACATAAATGTAACCAGTCTTTCTCAGAAATAGACGTGGCCACTAAGTAACAAAATGACATAATTCTAACCTATGGAAGGAGAGAGAGGCTGAGAGCTAGCCAGGAATGATAGATTGTTGCTGTAAACATGACAGGAATTTCAGATTCTCCCCTGAAATGTGAGTACAATAATTGGCTGGAAAACCAAATAGATGGGCTCCTTTTAGTTGTATCTCATAGCCTTAAAGCTGTGCTCCCTAGGAAATAACAGAAATCACTAAGTGTGTTGGGGATGTGTATAAATACATACATAATAACAAAAAATGTAAGATCTACTTTAGCAATCATTTGACAAGAAGCAAGACTTTTGTTTTTGGCAAAAAGAATATATATGTATGTAATTTTAAATACCCAAAGCACAAACATGATTAGTCAGAATTTGAGGGTAGATAACTTGGCTGGACATAGATAGCACCAAATACTAACACAGATAGACTATCCCAGAAATGCCTCTGAATGTATTTTTTCTATTGAGAAACAGGTTTCTGCTGCCATATACGTTTTTAAAATGTCCTGCATGAAAACAAAAGAAAACTTCAGATAGTAATAAAATACTTTATCTGTGAGCTGTGCTACTGACTCCTCTGAATGGTCATTATGTTTTCTTTGCCTAGAACCCACTCCCTGTCTTTTCACATCATTCTTCTCAGAAGCTTCTGGAGGTAACAGGCTTCATATTTAAGGGTGGGATAAACCCAGTAGGATGACCGTTATTTTGGGAAAACCCTCCCCAAAACTATTCCCCCTGGCAGTGTTTCTCTCCTAAAGCCCTGCTTTTAGAATCTGCACGCATTCGGGACTGCTCTATTATGACTGATGAGATTACTTGCCATTGCAGTGGAAAAATCAAAGAGTGCCATGGTGCAATCCATGGGGTGAATATGGACAAGTCGCCCAGTTAGCCTGGCAACCTAGACAAGCCTCAGTAGCTCTCTCTCTCTGCCCTGTTGGGAGGCTGAAGAGTATGACCCATAGCAGTGGAGCTAGACTTTAGGTAGGGTTATTATTTTGATCTTAAAAGCATCCTTTGCAAAATAAGCACCTATAAGCAACAAAAATTCATAATTACTTGTCAAAGCTACAAACTAATGGCTTATGTCAAGTCCTGTTAATCTCGGCTTGGGATGGCCTCCTCCCTGCCTGAGAAGAGAAGGGAGAGAGGAGAAGGCAAGGGGAAAGGGAAGAGGAGGATGGGGAGGGTGGGGATGGGGAGGGTGGGAAGAGTGAGGAGGAGAGGAGGGGAGGGTGGGGAGAGTGAGGAGGGTGGGGAGAGTGAGGAGGGTGGGGAGAGTGGGGAGGAGAGGAGAGAAGGGTGGACAGAAGGGGTGCGAGCTGGTCACGAGCACCAAGCAGGGGGCCGGCTGGCTGACTCCCTTCTCTCACGTGAGGTGCTGAGGACAAGGATCTACCAAGTCATATGACAATGATCCAACTAAAGGGCCAACCCTTGGTATTCAGGTGAGAAAAGTATTTTTATACTTCATTCTAAAAAGCAGAAAGATTTGGGAGATTAGAACTGTGCTGTGAATTACACCCATCCAAAATAAAATATAATCAAATCTGAGCTGGCACCAAACTCAGAATGTTTAAATGTCAAAGCTGTTACATGAAAATTCCCGATTATAGGTGCTTACAATGGAATCCCCAGCAGGATCCTTTCTTCCCTCACTGCATCTCAGAACCTTCTCCACACAGCAGCATCACCTGGAAACAGCCTCAGCTCCCTGCACATGCCGCAGGCCAGCATGGTGGCCACCTCAGTGACACGCAGGTCACCTCAGTGACACAGACGTGGAGTCACAGACAGCAGCAGTGAAATGATGGCCTTAAACACTGCAACTCAGGTTAGCAACTGCAGGAAAACTTTCTTCATTTTCACTGAATTTTAAAGAGAGAATCCTGTCTCTATTTCTCAGAGAAACTTAGGTGAAAAGTAAAAGAGAGGCAAAATCTCTTTCCTTCATGAGATACTTTTATTTTTATCTCTTTCTCTACTCATGTGCTTAACTGGTGAAATGATTCTGTAGAAATAGATCCTTCTGATTCTGCATCTCATTTCCTTATGGCAACTACAACAGGAGGAATCCAGCTGGAAATGCCACTAACCCCACAATCCAGCACCTGAGAGAGGAAGCCAGTCGGAGCGCCGTGCTGGGCTCACTCACTCTGGCCTGCGCACTGGGGTTGTCACATCCATTTTCCACTGGCTATGGGGAATAATATTTGGTTAAGGCTGTTGAAGCCCTTGCTTTTGAGGTTTTACATTATTTGGTAATGAAAGCCGTTTTTTCTTCCTTCCCCAGGCTTATGTGAAGAAGCCCACGCCCACTCTCAACAAAACAGACTCCTCCTTGGGAAGCATCTCCAGCCCTGGGACAGACACCTCGCTGTGACTTAGGGAGGGACAGGATTAGCCCAGGAATAAAAGCATTTTTAGAAATTGTTTTCTGCACCTTCAGAAGCTACAACACTCCTTGTAACCTTTCAGATGGAAGGGATCAGAGGTGACAGAATCGTGTATTTCTACATTTATCTGCGGAAGATAAAATACAATAAAAAGTGAGAAGTGTTCAAATTCCACCACTAGGAAAAGAAACATCTTGGGTAGAGATGAGTTCGCCTTTTGCTGCTGCTGCTGAAGTGGCTTCAAATGTTAAAGCTCTGGTGCCCAGGGCATGCCCCAAACCAGCAAAACCTGGCTCTGCAAGTGTTTTCTACAGCTCCCCAGGTGACTAGAGCCTATGACCAGTTTGAGGACAGGGCAATAAAGGGAACTCTGATTTCTCTCGCTCTCTCTCTACAAATGTGAGCTTGAGGCCTTTCCACCCTTTACATTACATTACAGACAAGAAACAACATATTTCTTTAAATTAAATCATCTCTCTTATATATGCATCCATCTTTTGTTGAATACAAGAGGCTCCTTTTAAATATATACATTCAGTACTTCTACATTTATGTATTCATTTAAACTCTGTACTGTAGTAAAATATGCATTGTTTTAATTCATAAGGATTTCCTGGCAACAATCAGGTTGATACTCACTGCGTTTGCTGATTAAGAGCTTAGTGAGCCACTCCAGGGACCAATTCTCCCTTCTGGATGCGGAGAAGCCCATGAGCTATTTTAGGACTATAATGAGACTCTACTGTGAAAGCAAAATCTGTCTAATCTTATTCTTATCACTTACATTTGTGTAATCTGTCTATTTAAGCTACCTTTGGGAGTAGGGGTAAAATGTTACTGAAAGCAACTCTAAGTGCATGGAATGAAATCAACGTTAATCTAAGCTGCTACGGAAAGTCTGTCTTTGTTGTTGCTGTTAGGCTGGGGGCGTGGATCTGAGAGTCGTGTCGTCAGAACTCCTGAATCCCTGTCCTGCTACTGCTGCCAGCCCCTGGTGGCTTTCAGGCCGAGCAGGCGAGGTGGAGGGAAGAGATGAAAGTGAGAGGAGGCGAGTGGCAGGGAGCGGAGAGCGAGAGGTCCCAGTGCTGAGGCAGCTCACGGGTCCCAGCTCCCGCGGTCAGTGCTCTCCAGGGAGAGGCTCTTGGTTTTTCGGGGTGAAGCTGGGCTTGGGGGGCTGCTTAGGTTGGAACTGTTGGAAGCTGTGGAATGCCTCGGAGAGTCAGAGTCCTGTAAGGCCCAAAGTAAAACATTAATGAGAAGGAGGGGGAGAAAGGGAGGCAGAAGGGGCTCAGATTACCACCGCCCCCTCCAGCCACCCTGACCAAATAACCCCATGGGGCGGCCTCACTGTCGGTATAAAGCCCCTTCTATGAGCTGAGGAAGAGGCACGGAACATACAAGCTCCGTCCTTTCTGTAGGCCTTTACAGATGATGGTATTTTCACACAAAAGCCAGAAGTCTGAATGCCTCTGGGAAAACTGCAGTTTGCAGCCCGAGTGACTGGCCTAGCTGCCCGCTGGCCAAGAGTGAATGCTGGCCCCTGACCCCGAACCCTGCTGCAGCTGAGGCCAATCCCAAGGTGGTGGGATTGCCTGGGAAGATGCCCTAGTCTTTCTGATACATGACGTCTCCGGAACCCTGCCCACTCACCTCTCCGTCAAAGTCCCTCGCTGGGGCATCACTTCCTTGGTCCATGCCTCCAGAGGACAAAGAGCCCTCTGACGGGGAGGGCATGGGCTGCCGCTTGGCACTGTAGCTTCCTCCAGAGAATTCCCTCTTTAATGCGCTGCCATTCTGTGCGGATGACCCTACAGTACATCATGCAGGCAAAATTTTACATATGCAGAGGGGACAATACTCTAGAAAGCACACAGACTGCTGAGCTGACAGGCCATCCTTTGCAGGCCCCAGACCACTCCTCCCCTGAAGCGCAGTAAGTCCAACTGTAGTACCTTTGCCCTGAGCTCAACCCCGAATCCAGCAATCTCACTCGCTGTTCCTGTCCACCCCAGCCACGGGGACTCCCGGTGAGCGAGCACTCTCTAGGCTGTGCCATCTGCCCCAATGCCCTGCTTGTTAACAATTCCCCAGAATCCCTCAAGTCTCCACCTGCCTGGTGCTGCCTTGCACATCTTTCCCAGCCACTGACGGCTCCCAGCCATCTTTCACACATCTCTTTCATGGCATTTATGAAGTCATGTTATCATCATGTGCCTGTCATTCTCCCAATAGATGAGGTGTCTTTGCCTCTCCAGGGCCTAGCACAGAACATGGCACACGGCAGGCTCAAAACAGATGCGCTAAATGAGGAAGCTCGGTTGTACCATCCCGAGAGAGGCCATGCCACTCAATGAAGAAATATCGCTTATCTTCTAGAAAATTTTCATAAAACCATAAAGAAAACATAAAAGTACTTTTACTTCACAGGGCAAAGAGCCTGAGATGTAAAATAAAAGTGAGGTTTTCTTCAAACTCACTCTCTATTTTGTTCTCAGAGTTGGGGTAGGTAACAGTGGACCAGCAGCATTCACAGGAAGAAAAGGGAAGACCCAGAACACCCTGGGGAATCTCGGGGCTATTGTCAGTACCTATTTAAAGCTCTTAGCATTCCCTACTATGACAAGGTTTTTGCTTAAACATGCCTTCATCGTGCTGAGTTTCAGTATTAGGATGATTGGTCCAAAAGACTGTGTTGAGGTTTTAGCACAACTCTAAGGTACAGGTTGTGCTTGTTTCAACTTTTTGCGGGTTTAACATGTCTCAATTGTTTTTCACATTAAGAATTCAGTGAAAAATGTCAAAAAATGATAGTTTAAAGCAGCACATTTATCTAATGACCACCAAAATACACAAGCGTTCATAAATAAACTGAACAAGAGCCTGCCTGGGCAGACTCTGTCCTTGGTAATCCCCCTTCCACCTCCCTTCCTCAGCTTCTTTGCGAAGCCCCTGGGCTGCAGTCACAGGCTCGCTGGCATTTCCTCGACACTGGAACTGACTGACTGCAGATCAGCAACACTGGTGGTTTACTGTTTAGCGTATGATGGAGCTTGACAAACACCAATGCCCAGCCCTATCCCAGAACAATTTGCAGAGTTTCTGACTTAACTTTAAAAGTCCTCCTGTCATTTTTGCACATTGATTTTGTAACCTGAGACTTTGCTGAAGTTGCTTGTCAGCTTAAGGAGATTTTGGACTGAGATGAAGGGGTTTTCTAATACAATCATGTCACCTGCAGACAGAGACAATTTGACTTCCTCTCTTCCTATCTGAATACCCTTTATTTCCTTCTCTTGTCTGGTTGCCCTGGCCAGAACTTCCAATACTATGTTGAATAGGAGTGGTGAGAGAGGGCATCCTTGTCTGGTTGCAGTTTTCAAAGGGAATGCTTCCAGCTTTTGCCCATTCGGTATGATATTGGCTGTGGGTTTGTCATAAATAGCTATTATTTTGAGATACGTTCCATCAATACCTAGTTTATTGAGTTTTTAGTATAAAGGTGTTGAATTTTATCAAAGGCCTTTTCTGCATCTATTGAGATAATCATGTGGTTTTTGTCACTGGTTCTGTTTATGTGATGGATTACGTTTATTGACTTGCGTATGTGGAACCAGTCTTGCATCTCAGGGATGAAGCCGACTTGATCGTGGTGGATAAGCTTTTTGATGTGCTGCTGGAATGTTTGCTAGTATTTAATTGAGGATTTTCGCATCAATGTTCATCAGGGATATTGGCTTGAAATTTTCTTTTTTTGCTGTGTCTTTGCTAGGTTTTGGTATCAGGATGATGCTGGCCTCATAAAATGAGTTAGGGAGGAGTCCCTCTTTTTCTATTGTTTGGAATAGTTTCAGAAGGAATGGTATCAGCTCCTCTTTGTACCTCTGGTAGAATTCGGCTGTGAATCTGCCTGGTCCTGCCTTTTTTTAGCTGGTAGGCTATTAATTACTGCCTCAATTTCAGAACTTGTTATTGGTATATTCAGGGATTCAACTTCTTCCTGGTTTAGACTTGGGAAGGTGTATGTGTCCAGGAATTTATCCATTTCTTCTAGATTTTCTATTTTATTTCTGTAGAGGTGTTTATAGTATTCTTTGATGGTAGTTTCTATTTCTGTGGGATCAGTGGTGATCTCCCCTTTATCATTTTTTTATTATGTCTATTTGATTCTTCTCTCTTTTCTTATTAGTCTGGCTAGCGGCCTATTTTGTTAATCTTTTCAAAAAACCAGCTCCTGGAATCACTGATTTTTTGAAGGGTTTTTCGTGTCTCTATCTCCTTCAGTTCTGCTCTGATCTTAGTTATTTCTTGTCTTATGCTAGCTTTTGAATGTGTTTGCTCTTGCTTCTCTAGTTCTTTTAATTGTGATGTTAGGGTGTCGATTTTAGATCTTTCCCGCTTTCTCCTGTGGGCATTTAGTGCTATAAATTTCCCTCTAAACATTGCTTTAGCTGTGTCTCAAGAGATTCTGGTATGTTGTGTCTTTGTTCTCATTGGTCTTAAAGAACTTATTTATTTCTGCCTTCATTTCGTTATTTACCCAGTAGTCATTCAAGAGCAGGTTGTTCAGTTTCCAAGTAGTTGTGCGGTTTTGAGTGAGTTTCTTAATCCTGAGTTCTAATTTGATTGCACTGTGGTCTGAGAGACTTATAATTTCCATTCCTTTGCATTTGGTGAGGAGTGTTTTACTTCCAATTATGTGGTCAGTTTTAGAATAAGTGTGATGTGGTGCTGAGAAGAATGTATATTCCGTGGATTTGGGGTGGAGAGTTCTGTAGGTGTGTATTAGGTCCGCTTGAACCAGTGTGCAAAAATCACAAGCATTCCTACACACCAATAATAGAGAGCCAAATCATGAGTGAACTCCCATTACAATTGCTACAAACAGAATAAAATACCTAGGAATCCAACTTACAAGGGATGTGAAGGACCTCTTCAAGGAAAACTACAAACCACTGGTCAAGGAAACAAGAGAGGACACAAACAAATGGAAAAACATTCCATGCTTATGGATAGGAAGAATCAATATCATGAAAATGGCCATAATGCCCAAAGTAATTTATAGATTTAATGTTATCCCCATCAAGCTACCAATGATTTTCTTCACAGAATTAGAAAAAACTACTTTAAATTTCATATGGAACCAAAAAATAGCCTGTATAGCCAAGACAATCCTAAGCAAAAAGAACAAAGCTGGAGGCATGATACTACCTGATTTCAAACTATACTACAAGGCTACAGTAACCAAAACAACAAGGTACTGGTACCAAAACAGAGATATAGACCAATGGAACACAATAGAGGCCTCAGAAGTAATGCCACGTATCTACAACCATCTGATCTTTGACAAACCTGACAAAAACAAGCAACGGGGAAAGGATTCCCTATTTAATAAATGGTGTTGGGAAAACTGGCTAGCCATATGCAGAAAACTGAAATTGGACCCCTTCCTTACACCTTATGCAAAAATTAACTCAAGATGGATTAAAGATTTAAACATAAGATCTAAAACCATAAAAATCCTAGAAGAAAACCTAGGCAATACCATCGAGGACACAGGCATGGGCAAGGACTTCATGACTACAACACCAAAAGCAATGGCAACAAAAGCCAAAATTGGCAAATGGGATCTAATTAAACTAAAGAGCTTCTGCACAGCAAAAGAAACTACCATCAGAGAGAACAGGCAACCTACAGAATGGGAGAAAAGTTTTGCCATCTATCCATCTGACAAAGGGCTAATATCCAGAATCTACAAGGAACTTAAACAAATTTACAAGAAAAAAAACCAACCCCATCAAAAAGTGGGTGAAGAATATGAACAGACACTTCTCAAAAGAAGACATTTATGCGGCCAAGAAACATACAAAAAAAAGCTCATCATCACTGGTCATTAGAGAAATGCAAATCAAAACCACAATGAGATAGCATCTCATGCCAGTTAGAATGGTGATCATTAAAAAATCAGGAAACAACAGATTCTGGAGAGGATGTGGAGAAATAGGAACACTTTTTTTTTTTTTTTGAGACACAGCCTTGTTCTGTTGCCCAGGCTGGAGTGCAGTGGCGTGATCTCAGCTCACTGCAAGCTCTGCCTCCCAGATTCACGCCATTCTCCTGCCTCAGCCTCTCGAGTGGCTGGGACTACAGGCGCCCGCCACCATGCCCAGCTAATTTTTTGAATTTTTAGTAGAGACAGGTTTTCACCATCTTAGCAAGGATGGTCTCGATCTCCTGACCTCGTGATCCACCCACCTCAGCCTCCCAAAGTGCTGGGATTATAGGCCTGAGCCACCGCGCCCAGCCTAGGAATGCTTTTACACTGTTGGTGGGAGTATAAGTTAGTTCAACCATTGTGGAAGACAGTGTGGCGATTCCTCAAGGATCTAGAACCAGAAATACCATTTGACCCAGCAATCCCATTATTGGGTATATACTCAAAGGATTATAAATCATTCTACTATAAAGACACATGCACACGTATGTTTATTGCAGCACTATTCACCATAGCAAAGATTTGGAACCAACCCAAATACCCATCAATGATAGACTGGATAAAGAAAATGTGGCACATATACACCATGGAATACTATGCAACCATAAAAAAGGATGAGTTCATGTCCTTTACAGGGACATGGATGAAGCTGGAAACAATCATTCTCAGCAAACTAACACAGGAACAGAAAACCAAACACCGCATGTTCTCATTCATAAGTGGGAGTTGAACAATGAGAATACCCAGACACAGGGAGGGGAATATCACACACTGGGGCCTGTTGGGGGGTGGGGGGTTAGGGGAGGGATAGCATTAAGAGAAATACCTAATGTAGATGACGGGTTGATGGGTGCAGCAAACTACCATGGCACATGTATACCTATGTAACAAACCTGCATGTTCTACACATGTATCCCAGAACTTAAAGTATAATAATAATAATAATAATAATAATAATAATAATAATAATAAGCTCTCCTGATGATTCCAGAAGGCCCCTCGGACTGAGAATCACTGACAACCTCACTCCTCAGGAGACACGTTTCCCCTAACACTCCATCCCCACCACTGGGTTTCTCCACATGCACTGGTCTTCATTTGTTGACATATTTCTTGGGAAATATACTCTTTACTTTTTTGATGTGGAACGTGTGTCTCCTTAGATTACGAGCTAATTGAACGCCATAAAATATTTTTTGAGTTTTCTTCCAATTCCTTGTCTAGTTTAGTGCTCAGTTCAAAAAATAATGAAAAAATTACTTTAACATTTTGTTATTCTGCACAGAAAGTCAAACTGCCAGAGACTTCCACTGCTCTGCTTACTAATGGTGTGACCTTAAGCAAGTTATTTTACCTTCCTGAGTTTCCATTTTCTTCACCTTTAGGTAAAAAAATAAATTCTACCTTACAGGACTTTGTGGGAACAACTCACCACTCAATGCATGGAGAGTAACATGCAAGACAGAAGGTGTGTGCTGGCCCACACTGTGCTTCTGGTCTTTTCACTGCCTCCCTCCTTCCTAGTGATCATTTATAGAGCAGATAACTGAACTGAATCCCACCCCAGTGATTTCCAGTATGTTTTTTTCACTTTTAAACTTCAGGAATTTTTCTTTTCAAAGAAAGGTTACATTCAAACACTACAACCTTTAAAAAAAAAAAAAAATCAAGGCAGGGCTGTTTTGATTGAACAGCAAAAGGAGCCTGGGGACCCTCTGGCCTGAGACCACATACTGTACTCAGGATACAGCCCCTTCCAGAGAGTTTTAAGTGGTGACTCTGGGGACTGGGCCCTAAATCTCTTGGGGATGAGCAATATCCAACCTCTGCATGACTTCCAGGAGGGTCTGGGAGGCTCCCAGTGAGCCCCTACTGCTGACAGGAGCGGGTCTCATTCCTCAGGTGAACTAGGAAGGAGGGAAGGAAGCAT
The DNA here is from genome assembly GCF_000001405.40 of Homo sapiens. NCBI lineage: Eukaryota > Metazoa > Chordata > Mammalia > Primates > Hominidae > Homo > Homo sapiens. Next base: position 227,001,095 of record NC_000001.11, read on the forward strand.
GGTGAGCACCGCTGTTTCAATCTGACTTTGCATCATGAAATCGTTGAGTCTGGCTGTGGAAGATCCTGTGCTTCTTGCTGTAGAGACTGAACATAGTTGGCCTGTTCCTCTCTTGGCTGGCTGTCCTTCTGGAAACATTTTATATGAGCTGGGCTAGTCTTGAAGCCAGCAGGAGGCACTCTAAACACCAGATGCCCCTTGGCATTCCCGAGAGGGTCTTTCCTCTTATATCTTTACTGGACAAGCAGCTGGTAACCAGGGACATAAAAAAGGCCAAACTCAATGAATGCGTTAAGGGCCTTGACAAGAACGCCAGGCCAGCTCCAGTCTGTCGTTTGCATGCCATCAGCAGTGATATGGGAGCCTCACTTCAGCACTTCTAAGGAGATGGGCTGTCTTGGCTCTTTAAATCTTTGCAGTTTAGGGCCTATCTTTATCTGCAATTCCACAAATCCAAAAGTGCTGAAAACCAAAAGTTTTTTCACAAGCTTGATGCAAATTCATGTGATGACAAAACCTAATGTGAACTGGGCTGGGCGCGGTGGGTCACGCCTGTAATCCCAGCACTTTGGGAGGCTGAGGCGGGCAGATTACCTGAGGTCGGGAGTTCAAGAGCAGCCTGGCCAACATGGTGAAACCCCGTCTCTACTAAAAATACAGAAATTGGCTGGGTGTGATGGCACCCACCTGTAGTCCCAGCTACTCGGGAGGCTGAGGCAGGAGAATTGCTTGAACCTGGGAGGCAGAGGTTTCAGTGAGCCAAGATCGTGCCACTGCACTCGAGCTTGGCCAACAGAGTGAGACTCTGTCTCAAAAAAAACAAAAACAAAAAACAAAAAACAAAAACGCAAAACCAAAACAAAAAACAAAACAACAACAAAACCCAAAAAAATCCTGGAGGCCGATTTTAGGCTTTATTTATAAAGACTACATTTATTCCTATATTTACAGTGTAAACAGTCATAACTTTTGCTGTGTAAGTATTAATGTGTTCGTGGGAACTTAATGTGTTTGTTTGTCATGGATCTTGCTGGGAATATAACATAATATATGGTAGATCCCTTTCTAAAACATAAAAACATTCTGGCCTCAAGGGTTTCAGGTAAGGAATTATGGACCATCACTTAATTCCTAAAGTTGTAAAACCTTTGTAACTGACTTCTAGATAACTTATAGTTAGTAACAGCTTACATCAATCATCAAATCTAGCTATCGCTAATAAAAAGATTAATAAAAGTGGTTGTCATTTTCCCACTTGGCAAGATTTTTTCATTGTGGTCAGGGCTACATACTGGGTACAGATGATGTTAGGAGATAATGGCAAGAAAGTTGCAAACTGTACATTTCAACATCTTCTTGTCAATTGAAAGCTCCTTGAAAGCATGCTCTATGTCTGTAGCCAGGCTCCAAGATGATCGTCCCTTCTAGTATTCACTCGTATGTAGTCCCTTCCCACACAGTACCAGGGCTGGTCTGTGTGATCAACAGCATACTGAAGAAGTGGTGATACAGCACTCCTGAGGTTAGGTAGAACACTGCTGCTTCTGTCTCTCTGATCACTTGCCCTGGAGGAAGCCTGCAGCCAGGCCATAAGGACACTCAGGCACTGGGTATGGAGAGGCCCACATTGGCAAAAACGGGAAGCCTCCAACCAACAGTCAGTGAGGAACTCAGACGTGTCCACAACCACATGGGTGAGCCAGGAAACTGATTCCCTAGTCACAGCTGAGTCTTGAGGTGACTGTGGCCCCAGCAGACAGCTCAACTGCAATCTGATGAGAAACCCTGAACCAGAGCCATCCAGTCTATGATGTTCCCAGATTCCTGACCCTGAGGCAGTGTGAGATAATAAATGTTTGCTATTTTAAGCTATGAGATAATAAATGTTTGCTATTTTAAAGCTCCTAATTTGTGGGATAATTTCTTATGCAGCAAGAGATAACTAATACAGCATCATTCATCTTTATGTCGTCAGAATCTAAAAAAAAAATACCTGGGCACAAATTGGGTGCCAAAATCAGTATTTGCTGAATGAAGAGCAAATGAATGGAGGAAACTCAATCTGCATCAGAAGACTTGAATTCAAAATATGTAACATTCGAGAATAGAAGGGAACAAGTAAGTTTTCTGACTCAATGACTTTTAAATGTGAAATTGGATTTAGTGCAGTTACTTTCTCTTAAAGTTCATTTGCATGGAGGTGAAAAAAGGTTTCACTAAGTTGCACCTGGTACACTTGGGGACTGCACTTACGCTGGCACACTCGATCGACACTCTCTCTGATCTCCAAGCAAGTACCATGCTCCCGGGAAAGCACACACTTGAGAAAGTTACAGAAAAGCAACCTTCAGCCAAGAACATTCTTCCCCAAGTGAAGCTACAATGATCACTTGATAATCTACAATCGCACTGCTTATAATCCAGGAAATATCTTAGATCGCAGTGAATTTGACGGGAGTAAAATTTACTTTTTTAAATCAGCCAGATGTCCCATCTGTACATTTCTCTCATTTTGAGGTAAGTAGCCTTTAGCATCTTTGTATAATTTTATTCAGGCAGACAATATCTTTTTACACACCTTTCCTCCCCCACCAAAAAGCTGCTCCGCGACAGTAGCTGAACCTAAGTGCACCATGGAGCACAGTTTTTTCTCTCTATGGTCCCTTAGCTCAAGGTTCTAGTTTTAAAGTGTAAAAAAAGAGATGCTGCAGTTCCGAGTACAGTTAAAAACAAAAAACAAACAAACAAAAAAAACGGAGAGAGAGACTAATAAAGACTGTGAGACACCTGAAAGCAGGTACTAGGTCATGTATGTATTTTTACCCCCAGCACCTCAGCAGAAGAGTTGGTATCTAATGGAACCTCAAACATGTGTACTGCATGAATGTTATCTTTATTGTAGTAAAGGGTATATTCTTGAATCCATTCCTGGCCTTCTTTCAGTGAATCAAACAGATACATTTTTTTTTTTTTTTTGCTACCTCGGGACCTTTGGACATGCGTGGAATGTCCTGCCTCAGCCCCTTCTTAAACGGTGGTAAATGGGAGTAAATGGTATCATACTAAGGCCCTAGCAGGAAGTCTGGGAGTCATCTTTAACTCTCTCCCTTACTTTTCCATGACTAATTCATCATCAAGTCTTACTGCTTTTAACTCTGAAAATATATCTGGAGAATCTACCATCTTCTCTCCTTCTGCCCCTGCTGCATCCCAAGCCCTCATTGGTTTCCATTGGGACCACTCTAGGAGTCTCCTATCTGGATGCTGGCTTCCACTCTTCCTGCCTCTAGTCCATTCTCCACTTGGCAGCCCGCAGGATTGTTTTAAGAATGTAAATTGAAAGAAAATTCTTCCCTACTTAAAAGTCTTCCTTTTCCTTTTGAATAAAGTAAAAAATGTCTTACCTTGGTCTTCAAGTCCCTGCTGGTCTGACCCTTACCTGCTACCCCGCTCTAATTTTTGTTACTTCCTCACCACTACCATGTAGCCATACTAGCCTTCTTTCAGTTAACCAAACATTACTCAAACATGACTCCACCTCTAGGGAGTGATTTTCCTAATTATTCTGCCAAGTAGGGATTCATCCCTAACAGCTACCCCTTGTTATTCTCTATTAATGTATGCTGTTTACTTCCTTCAGAGCCTTTATCATCACAATTTGTAATCATATTTGTCTGTCTCCCAGATGGCCTGTACACTCTAGAAGGACTCTGGGACTATTTTCTTAACAACTGCATTTGTGCCTATTAGGCATTACCCAGCAGGGTCTGAGACACTGCAGCCACTTGAGAATGCAATGGGCACACGTAAGTGAAGGACATGTCACCCACGGGACAGGAGGGGAGGGAGCTGGGGGTCACCCTGTCTCAGAGGCACCTTCCTGTAGCCCCGGCACTTACTTGCTGACAAGCCACTGCTAGCACTCATGGAGCGGCCTGGCTCAGGGCGGGATTTGGTGATAGATGGAATACTGACTGAGCCACTGAATACTGTCCGACTTTCCTGAGGCCGAGGGTTCTATAAACAAAAGCGAGAGAGACATCCTTTAGCCAGAAAGAAACTGATTTTTCTGCAGAGATGTCTATTTTTCACTATAATTACCAAGAAATAAAATCATCTTGACCAGAATGACACAGAGTAAGGAATGGCAGATTATATAGTCTTTCCCACCCACAAAAGTAATAAAACCCTAACATGAAGTAAATCTCATCCTAATCAGGAATAAGTACTTATACTTACTGAAATACTTATCAGTAAAAAACAGCATTTTTTTGTTTGTAAACACAGTAAGTAAAAGCTATATGGTTAGATGTGACAGTGAATTGTAGAATTACATGGACATTTGCCGATAACTGAAAGCTTTTACTATGTATGACATTTTTATTTGCTTAACAGCTGATACGTCCATTTGGAGAAAATTCTACTAAAATTATATTCTTCTCAAGAAAATGTTTTATTGATGTGATACCAAATGTGCCATTTATAAGTTCACACCCCAGTCACCAGGCATCTTTACTGACTCACACCAATAGTAGTACTGGGATTAGAAATAAGACGCTGCAATACTCACAACCTAGGTGAAGTTAGTTAATTTGGGAATATTAGTTTGAAAACTAATTTCTGATGTAAATGGTCTGGATTTGATTTCAAAGAGTTTATAAACAGGTTTATATACATTTACTTGGAAGATTTACCTACTCCTTATTGATATTTCCATTTAATTATTGAATGATTTTAGTGTGTGAGGTAGGAAAATAGGCCACAGAATGTTTTGCAAATCACACACGCCTAAAGGATAGCCACATAGGTGGTGTGCAGGGTGAGCTGTCTGATTACGGTTGAGAACAGAAAGCATGCTGCCTCCCCAAAGGCCCCAATCTTTTTCAGACCAGGAGGATGAGATGTTGGGGCTGACACAAGTCCAGAGGAGGGAAAAATATTTTAATATTCTTTATAAATCCTGGAGAAGACAAATTACATATACCATGTTATTAACATCTTTTAACACTCATAAGGCTTTTCTCCATTTCTTCACATAATCCCAGCCTCATGTAAGCATCTTCTGATGCAAATGGTCTGGATTTGATTTCTTACAATTTATAAACAGATTTATATGTATTTACTTAGAAGATTTATCTACTCCTTATTGATTTTTCTTTCATAGCTACAAAAATGATGGTAATCTTACTAGCCTATTGTCAGCCAGCCTCTCCTTCATTGGCTGTTTGTGAGGGTGTGCCATAAAGGCAGCATGGTGGCTGTGAGCACAGGCTATGGAGGGATTTGGCCCACTACTCACATCTGTGCTGCACAGCTGACTGACAGCAGGGCTTGGGGTTGCTAAACTCTGTGCCCCAGTTCCCTCAGCTGTATTATGAGGATAAGAACTGCCTCCTGGGGCTTGTCTGAGGATGAAGCTAATTACACTAGCAAAAAGCAAGCATGTAGCCCAGTCCCACTATGTGCCTTTCTTTCCTCATGAGTATGAGTAACAACCTCATACAGCCATCTGCAGTATCACTTTCAAACCTCCTTTTAGTCACATCGAAACAGCCATTCTGGCCAGGCACGGTGGCTCAGGCCTGTAATCCCAGCACTTTGGGAGACTGAGGTGGGCAGATCACGAGGTCAGGAATTCGAGACCAGCCTGGCTAATATGGTGAAACCCCGTCTCTACTATAAATACAAAAAAATTAGCTGGGTTTGGTGGCACATGCCTGTAGTCCCAGCTACTCGGGAGTCTGAGGCAGGAGAATCACTTGAATCTGGGAGGTGGAGGTTGCTGGAGGAGCCAAGATCACGCCACTGCACTCCGGCCTGGGCGTGCACTCACTCTGCAGAGTGAGACTCCGTCTCAACAACAACAACAACAACAACAACAACAACAACAACAACAACCCCCCAGCAATTCTGCTTGGTGGTGGGGGGATCACAAATTTTACATGTGTTAAACAATACCTTAACTCTATAATGGAAATGCAATGAAAAAAAATCACACATTAAAAGCAGTAAAAAATTCAAGTTTTGTGACTTTTCCAAAGGATCAATTTGTTAAGTAAAGCCAAATAGTTTAATTCCAAGTTAAACTATAACATGCAACTTTCCTTTGAAAACAGATGTTCTCTTCATAGAATGCTATAGGCTACCATTACTATAGGGTAATCCTTTATCTTTTCTACATCATCAGAAAATCACACAGATAGTAATAGCCACTAAGACATAACAAGATGTGACTGGAAGATATATTTATTAACCTGGTGTTCTCTCAGTGCTAACTAGTTCATTAAAATTGTTTGCTTTTTTTCTGATTATAAAGGTAATACTCATGAACTGTAGAATATATAATGAAATTATAAGAGACCAAAAAAGTCACCTGTGAATTCACCAGATACTAATAACAATTTGATGTGTTTCCTATCTTTTCTTCCAACATAATTTAAGAGTTGATGATACTGTATCATGCTATTTTCAAATGCAACAGAACACCAAGCTAACTAGTGTATTTTTAAAAAAATGTTACAACTGTCTGCCTAATTTTGCTGTTTCAAAAACACAATCTTTTCTCATCATTTCGGGCTCAGAAAATATTACTCTTTCTTCTAGTAGCTTAACATAGAGAATACAATAGGGAAATTTATCCACATACCTGCCATACATTGATAAACTTTGTGGTATGACTTATGTTTATTCATGACTTATGCTATTTAACGTTAATAGAAATCTATCTTACCTAAATGGTTTTACAAGTTTCAGCAAGAGAAAAGGCCTAAATGCTTAAACTACATTTTACATATTTTACTAAACGTCCTCATACTTGCCCTTTAAACATAGAAACCCAGGGGAACACTGTTGGTAGGCACACCCTCCTCCACACTCACCACCTCAGGGTCCTCAGCTTTTGGGCTGACAGTTCAGTTTGTCCTGGTTATAAGCAGGCATATGGTTCCCTAGCCTCAGTTCTTTAGTCATCTTATAATTTCTTATACTGACTGTTATTACAACAACACTAAACTCTCCAGCACCTAAAATAGTTAGGTGCTGAAAGATATTTGCTGAATAAATAAATGGAAAATGAATAGATTATATCTGCAATCCTAATTTTCTAATTTGAGTATTGAGATTAATTCAGTTGGCAATGTAATTTCAAAATATGATCCTTTCTGTAAAACAGTGTTTAGTTAATATTGATTTGAAGTTACAGGCCTGTGTGTGTTTTAAAGATACAAAATAACATTTTATGCAAACACTTAAAAGATGACTATCTTCTTTGCTATAATATGGTATAGATTAAATAATTTAACACAGAATACAATGAAATCAGCACAAATACTTAAGGCTTTTGAGGTTAAAAGAAACAAGCAATAAAGAAATGTACTAATGTGGCTAAAAAATATTTTTAAGTTATAATAAAAGTCTAGAACTGGAAACTGAGTTCCCAGTTGCCATGCAATTGTGAAACTCACTCCAAGGAGAGGTTAGAGCTCAGAGAAAGTTTGCAGCACTGAGCTTTCCTACATGCACCTGAAATGCCTGAGAAAAGGTTATGGCAAAACAACTAAAAAAGGGCCAAAGCCAGCACTCAGGAAAACATGCATTAATACCACTTGAAAAGCTCCAAAGCATACATTTTGAAGAATCGCACATACTGAAAGTTGGCAACTAGTTGGCCCCAAATTTAACTGCTGCCATCTACATGCCATCTACATCAATTTGGTTCATCTACCAAATTTGCAAAGTCCATGTAATTCTTGGTGCGTTATTTAAAGCAAATGCTTTTTTTTTCTCTAAGAAAATAAAAAAATTAAAATGGAAATAGTCAATGCTAGCAATTCAACAGACACATATACAAGAGCAACCCTGTAAGACGCAAGCAGCATGTGAACAATGCAGCAAAGAAAAGCTCAAAGGAGATGGGAATATCCGTTTCAGGCTATACATTTTTTTATTGTTTTTCTGTAAACCTTAAGATACATTGATGTTGTCCTTTCCTATAAAACAAACCTATCCTAGAATAAATAGCAAAAATTAAGGCTACAAACTGTATCTGAAACTTAGTAACAACTTAGTAGCTTTATTACTTAGGCTGAAGTAATAAAGGAATGACAAAAAAAAGTTTTGTTAAAAAACAGTTTATCATTCAGTCCGCTAGAGTTAAATAAACTTCATTATAAAGTGACAAGTAACCTAAGCCTCTGGTCCTTTCAAGGTACAAATATGTATAAGATTAGGGTGAGACTTTCATTTGATGGCACAGTATTTCTAGTTATAGATGACTAACTAAAGCAACATTTCCATGGTCTTTTATATGAAAAGTTATTATTATTATTATTTTGAGACATAGCCTTTCTCTATCACCTAAGCTGGAGTGCAGTGGTGCAATCACGGCTCTCTGCAACTTCGACCTCCCAGGCGCAAGTGATCTTCTCCCCTCAGCCTCCCAAGTAGCTGGGACCACAGGCATGTGCCACCACATCCAACTAATTTTTTTATTTTTATTTTTTGTAGAAATGGGGTCTCGCTATGGTTGCCCAGGCTTGTCTCAAACTCCTAGGCTCAAGTGGTCCTCCTGCCTCAGCCTCCCAAAGTGCTGGGATTACATGTATGAGCCATCATGCCCAGTGAAAAGTTCCTGATTAACATATACAAAATTCCTCTGGAATCCACTCCCTGCAGTCTAAGCAAACTCAGGCTTATTTTATCGTGGTTAATTTAATTTTGTCAGATAAGATATTTAAGTGATATAATAATTTAAATGTCAGTAACATTTAAAACATTATAATTTAGAATAATTTTATAATACAAACAACAAAAAATAAACTTCCCATCCTACAGCTAATTTTCTAATTGGAAAATTTCTACATATATAAATACAAAAATTGATCTACTATTGTTGTAAGTTAGGGGACATTATGGGAAGTGGTTTGCATGATACAATATAAACATTTTATTACCTGCAAAACTAACTTCAGAAAATGTTCCCTTGAAGTTACTGTAAGCATACACCACTTGATGGACATATGAATATTCAGCTTTAATGGCCACCAGCTCTCCACCCTACTGCAAAGCCACTGGTAGCAAAAATACAAGCTGAATGGAAGAGACCAACAGCAGCTGCCACAATCCTTCAGAATACAGCATGCTTTTTAAATTTTCCTCTTTCTTTGCTTTAGTTTTCTTACCTTGGATCCTGGTTGGAATTACATGCATTTCAGTAACTCAAAGATTAGTAAAATCTAACTTATTTTTGGAATTTTTGTTACTCATTAATATTAATTTTTTAACTTTTCACTTTGGAGATTTTTAAGCTTTTCAAAAAGGGGTTTATTGTAGATAGGTCTGTGGATGGGTTCTACCACAGACTTTAACCTCACTAAATATAAAACATTTCACTGAATTGAACTGGTTATAGGGTAAGGAGCTAAAAAATTCAGAAATTCTGGGAGCCCTTTCCTGTTTGTTTTAACAGAATAGAGAGCTATTTCTTACAATGGGAAAAACTTTTATTAAACATAGATAAATCTTTAATACTGTGTTTCAAAAATGAAAATTGAAATCTTCCCTATTCCTCCATCTTCTTCCTCAAAAGAAGAAACAAAATAGAAATGGGAAAGAAGAGGAAGATACATGGAGGAAGAGGAAGAGGAGAAGTTTGGCAGAAGAGAAATAGGCCAAAGGAAAAGGTTCACAAGATGGCACCATTTCAGCGGTGTTACTTATTAAGCCAGGCAAAAGGAAATCCATACATGGTTAGTGAAAGTTAACACCTGACTCAGCTGTTCATACCCTCAGAGTCATAAAGCTTGGTGTACCAGGGACAGAGCGCAGAGACGGGGAATATTCAGGGTTTATGGAATCAGGAGAGAGAAATTTTTCAGCAGAATTAACAGTCATGTGATAGATGTGTTCAAAGTTGATCGGAGAGGAGATCAGACCGGAGTGATGATGAGGGGATGGATAAGGGAAACCTGGCTATCAAAAACAAAAGAAAGATGAAAAAAGGCAATAAGGTGATGAAAATGGATTCACATTTCACAAAACATGCACACAGAACAAATGGAATAGTATCTGATATCAGAGCTGAATCCTTAATGAAATACTTTTAGGTCTTAGAAAGTTAAATTTTGTAATACTCTTGCCAGTTACTTAAATAGTTGATTTGCAAAAGATCATTCTTTTTTATAAAATTATTCTTTAATTAAAATAAGTAAGGAGAAATTGGACTTTCAGAGATACAAGACTTTCAGAGTTTAGTTCAGTATTTTCTTATGTAATAACACAATCAAAATATGGCAAAAATCTATCAAAAACATTAAGGATAGAAAAAGCAAGAAACAAGCAAGAACATGAACAAGTGAACCTACAACAGCTTCTAAATAGACGTGTTATGAAACTGTTTCTTTAGAAATCTAAAACCATGTAAAAGCATTCCCTGATAATGTGTTTGTTTTTACTGATTTTATTTCCTTATAACAGTTAACCATGGAATATACTAATTATTGGTTTACCTTTAAGCAGCCCAAGCTTATCTCCATTTAGACACCCAAAAAGAACATGTTTGTTTTCTTAACAAGGTAAAAATCTTCCCTTCAATGTTCAGGTATATTTTTTAAAAATGAAATAATGTAATATCAAAGATATAGAAAAAAGCTTTTGAATCCAAGGACTATTTTTAGAGATAAAAGAACTACTTCCGATTACGCAGGAACTATCACTCAGTAGCCAGTCACCTTCTCTAATGGGAATTTTCAAGATTCAGTTCTTGAAGAACAGTTATGTTTCCAGAAAACATGATCCCTTCATTAGAGGCAGAGGGTGAATGGCGTGTTGGAGAGAGTGCTAACTGAATCCAGCATGGAATTCACGTTCCCATGAGCTGAGATGAACCTGCTTTGTAAAAAGATTGCATAAATTACCTAGCCTTAGAAGAAAGGCTCTTCTGTAAGGTCTTGTTTTTATTCTAGATATATGAATAAAATCAGTACCCTCTGAGGTTGTACTGACGTACATGAAACTTTGACTTTAAGAAGCAAAATTACATCTTAAAGCTCCAGGATGTCACTAAGCTCGAAAATATACTTTTATTAACAATTTTAGTAATGGATAAAAAGCTAGGAGAAATGTAATGTGCTAAAAATAAGTCTTCTAGAGGTAAAGTATTATTCTTGCATCCAAATTAGAGAAAAATTTGTTCTTTATCACAAATAGCAACCATGTATTAAAACGGTAAATTATTTTAAAAATTCAAGAAAATGAATATAGCATCTATTTATAAGCCACACACACCATCTTATATTAATGCTTATATTGTCTTGGCTCACTTAGATACAAATAAAGGTTTGCATCTGATAGAGGAATATGACTCCCTTAGCCTCACTTCTCCTTCCACATTCAAAAAGCAAACAATTCTGTTTCAAGAACATCTTGCACAAAAGCAACAGAATTAAATTTCTAAAGACATACAATAAACTTTCTAAGCTTATAAGTATTTCACAGGAAAGCAATACTGATTTGAATAAATTAAAATATAAAAATGTCTGGGACACATGCTCTCTGAATAGATGACAACATGTGGCTTTGGTATTTAAAAACATATATGTTAACTTTAGATAAATTTAATTCATCTTTATTTTATGAGACAGTTTGTAATAATTCCATTTCAATGGAAAGAACATATTAACAACTGAGAATACATTAAAATATCACAAGCTTTTCAATAGATACATACACAAGTACAGGCATGCATATTATTATTATTTTCAGACATGCATATTATTGTATTTACTAGTGTCTACTCTGAGATAAAGATGGTTCCGGGCACAAAGTAAGTGCTCAATAAATATTTGTTAGATGATTAAATGGATGCCTATAAAAAAGCCCCAGGTTATATGTCCTTTGGTAGTGAAATAGAAAAAAGTCATGTGACAATAAAATCTGGTTGTGAAGAAGAGGAATTCAGACAGATAAAATCTTTGATGCATACTACATGTACAGGTGAAGAAACAGGTTTCAAAAATTTACACCAACTTCTTGTCCTGGAAATACAAAAGCACTTACGTGATAAGAAAACATTAAAGCAATGAAAGGTACATTAAAAACTGAAATGCAATGAGAGGGCAAAAAGTCACTTGTGTTAATGCCAAAAAGAACGATTATCATGTGTTAACAAAATCAGGTGACAACAAACACTAAAAACCAAGCAGTCTAATGATTCTGTGGAAAATGCTATCTTCACTTGTTTTGCTTATCAATATAGACCTTATTTTGAACAAAAAATAAGATACAGATTTTTTCTTTTTATCTCTTTTTTTTTCTTAAAGTGGTGGAAGGAAGAGGGAAGAAAATGTAGAGGAGGGATCTCTGATAAAAAAAGTTCTTATAATGTTTGAAATCTGACATTTTGGCATCAAGGTGCATAGTCTTATTGGATATGAAGGTCTGAAAGAACTCTGGAACATTAGCAAACTGATTTTTCACCTGATGGCAGAAGGATACTAAGCAGAGTAACATTCTGTTAAACACTGTAGTATGCGGGCTAGAATAGAATGTCTACAAACATTTTCTATACTACTTCTAGCTACATTGTTGGAATGTATGAGATAAAAACATTCTTTTCTGTGTAAAATGAAACAAAAGTGTAAAAAATTTAAATTTTAAAAGACTATCTATTAAAACCTTGTAACTACTGAAATAATTTTATATTTGCTGATGTTTTGCTTTGCAACTTACATATTTGAAATTTGTATCCTGCTACCCCTACATAATTCTAACTACATATTATGTATTGAAAAAACTACTAACTCAATTTAAAAAGTTTAATTAAAATACTACACAGCACTTGACTTATCAAATATAAGTCATAAATATATTCACATTTCAATTGTTTATCACAATTTAAAAAATTCTTTACGGTATTTTGTGCCTGACATCCCACCTTCCATAAGGAAAAACAACATGCTTTGGACTCTATAGTTATGCTATGTTTACTTCTGAGGTTAAAGGAAAACCAGACTCAGGACTTTAAGCAAATGTTCCTAATGGGAAAAGGATGGAGAGAAATCTGAGATCTCACTCCCAGAAAAAGGTTGAAAAAAAAATAGTATAGCTTTTAAACATGATAGAAAAGTATAATAGTTTTAATATTTAATGTGCTTGACCTGAAAATTTTTAAAAGTACTATATCAAGATAAGCTGTAATCTAGTTTTTGCACTTTTTAAATATTTACTCAGCACAGCCAACCCTATTCCAAAAACATAAGTGATTAATGAGGCTGGTTTGAACTCCACAAAGAAAAGTATATTACTATGAATATATAATAATATTTTGATATTATTGGTAATGGTAATAAGAATGTCACATTCATTCATAAGCAAGCAGAGCCAACTGATGAACTGAGATATTTACAATGAAGAACTCAGACTTGAATGCAGATATGTTTTCTTCCCATGAAATAAATGCAAACCTCCCTTTAAAAGGCGTTTTTTTTAATTTAAAGAAACTTGACTGCACACCGAATTATATTATCAATCAATTTCTCTGTCAGTGATAGATGTTTATATCTTCTATCACTGTAGTGTTGATAATGTGGTTAATTAAGACAGATTTCCTTAGAGAGCAATTTGGGTCAAGATTCACAAATCATCTCCCAAATGGCCATGAAATATGAATTATACTTAAAATTCTGCGCAAAATTTAGCAGCTATCACTACCAATCAAAAGGGTCATTTTTAAAGTTTTAATAGTATGCTGAGAGAACTATGGTACTGAAATGTACAGAGCCTGGCTAATTCCACTAATATTCTTAATTTAAACATGACCGGTCTGAGAGCCTAATCTTCATATTGTTAAAACAGAATAGTTCTCCAATGTTGTACTTTTTTTTCTTTTTTTGAGATAGGGTCTTGCTCAGTTGCCCAATGCAACGGCAATCATAGCTCCCCGCAGCCTCAAACTCCTGGGCTCAAGTAACCCTCCCACCTTAGCCTCCCGAGTAACCAGGACTACAGGCACACATTACCATGACCAGCAATGTTTTTATAGAAATGGGGTCTTGGTCAGTCTTGGTGGCTCACGCCTGTAATCCCAGCACTTTCAGAGGCCAAGGTGGGTGGACCGCAAGGTCAGGGTTCGAGACCAGCCTGACCAACATGGTGAAACCCCATCTCTACTAAAAATACAAAATTAGCTGGGCATGGTGGTGGGTGCCTGTAATCCCAGCTACTCAGGAGGCTGAAGCAGGAGAATCACTTGAACCTGGGAGGCAAAGGTTGCAGTGAGCCGAGATCACACCATTGCACTCCAGCCTGGGTGATAGAATGAGACTCCATCTCAAAAAAAGAAAAAAAAGAAATGGGGTCTTGCTTATGTTGCCTGGGCTGGTCTTGAACTCCTGGCCTCAGCAATCCTCATGCCTTGGCCTCACAAAGTGCTGGGATTACAGGCATGAGCCACTACACCTGGCCTATGTTATACTTTTTCACGTACAACTGACCAGGTAACATGTTTGTAAATGGGCAAAGGAAAACGATTTAATTTCACAACTGTCGGAGAGATGTGACCATTAATAACCAAGCTAATGTGGTTCTCTGGGAAGAAGGAAAAAAAAAGAGTAGGCCAAATATCTGTATTGATTTGCTAACACGTAGTGAAATTTTAGTGATTTGGTAACCACATTCCAAATGTGGTATAGAACCTCTCCGAATTTGGTAGTTTCTTCCACCACCAATAGTAAACCTAGGCATGGGAGAAATTCTCCAATATGGAACTAAGTAAGAACCTGATTTGTTTGGCTTTTGACAGATGTCTAAATTTTATGTTTTGTTCATCAGGTATGTCATCATGTATCTTAGACATATTGTGGTATACTGAGAGAAACATTTCCTCATTACTTTCACATATCCTTTGAAGTCTACCCATGTATTTAAGCCTATGTATTTATACTCCCCCCACACCCGCCCTTTTTTACACTCACTCTTAATTCCTCTTACCATGGGCAGATCTTTCAGGATCTGTATTCCATCTCCAGGACCCATGTGTGCTATGTGATTAAAATTAGTTGGATTAGAAATTAATTTATTTCTCATTTCTGGATCTCGTAGCATTTCCCTGTAAGACAAGGCATCTGTTTAGATACTTTTTCCACAGTTAATTTATGTAGCTTATGAAAAAAATTAAGCTTAATTTTCTTAATAAAAATACAACTGTTAAATCACATTAATAAGAATATAGAGTAACAGAATATACTCAATTAAAAATGTACTTCCTTAGAATATTTTGTTTTAAATTTTAAAAGATCTTACGATTTTAGGTGGAATAGTAGAGGATCTTTTTAAATACTTAAGACATCAAAGAAGCTCTACTTTGTTTTACATATAATTCTGAACATTTTATGTATCTCTTTAAAAATGATTGGTAACACTTTAGAAACGGTCTTATATATAACTGTAAATACTACAGTCCTACTTCTGTTTGCTCATGAAGAGAGTAGTTAGTCTGAACTTCTTAGACATATACAGGTTTACTGTATGCACAGCTATGTCCTATGCTTATACTGTAGAAAGGTACACAATCCAAAAATATGACTATTCCATATACATAGAGAAGTGAATGAAGTGAATAAAAATATGGTACTTTAATCCAGTGCATACTCACAATTTTGAGAATATTAATTAAAATGACACTGAGAAGTTACATTCATTATTGCAGTTTTTGACACCACAGATCAATGAGATTTTCAGATACCCAATTTTCCTTCCAAATCAAATATAGTATCATCACCGAGTAGTCCTTGATGGTACAAGCAAGCATGGATGATACTACAGGTTAAGTATCTACCTCCTCTGCTGCATCCTTTCCTCTTCTGGGACTCTGAAGGAATAACGCCGCTTATTGTTAATGTTTCTAACCATTTGTTTCCGACTATTATCTGATGTTTCAGGTACTACCAGTTCGTCCCCTTCTGTTAAAATAAAAATACAAACGATAATGATGTTCTTTAAACTGTTAAAATGCTTTTTATCTATTAACCTCCAAGACAGTACAAACATTGATAGTACAAGTACATGCAATTCTGGTTTTTAAATGTTGTGTTGATAACCCAGTAAATAATATTTAACAGAACCTATGTAAACAGATAATATGCTGAAAGTAAACATAGCTTACAAAATATACTTTCACTTTTACTTGATTATAAACACAGTAGGACATAATTTTACTAGAAGAAAACTGCAGTTGCCTTGGTGTTCTGTCACTAATCAGCCACCCCACCCCAGTATCTCAATACTATATTTTCTCTCCCTCCAGGTATTGATTTCAATGGCTTAGGGTGTTGTTAAAGAGCTACTACTGTTACCCTGAACAGTAATCAGGCATAAATGGTAAGCCTGATTTACCATAAGTGGTAAATAACAATTACAACTATCTTTACATAATAAAAAAATTTCCTTTGCAAGGTTCAGTCTATGAGATACGGAGTAAAAAGAAGGAGCTGTGCTTCCACTACCCTTCCTTTATAAAAGGTAAGAATCTGTCGCTATTTTTCCTCTTCTGATCTTGGGGGTAGATGATGTTTAATCATATACACCTAGCAACCCAGTGATAGTCTTATCCGATGTCAGTTTTAATATCTAGAAGTAAACAAAACTGTCTGCCAGGGACTCCCAAAACATGCTGGGCTGTGTGAAAATAAGAAAAAAATAGACAACTGTATCCATATAACACAACAAATGGTGTCATTATCTAAATAAGATAAGGAAAAAGAGCAAAGTTTAGAAATTTTCAACACCCAAAAAGCTGAAGTGAGAAGGAGGAGGTGAGAAGAAGCCAAACGAGCCTAGAAGAAAACAAAGGTGATAATTAGCAGAAATGCAACATGATCCTCGTGGCATAATCATATGGCTTAGGCAGACTGCTTTCCTAACAGTAAATATTTTAAAAATAGAATTATTATTATTATTATTATTATTATTTATTTGAGGCAGGGTCTTGCTCTGTTGCCCAGGCTGAAGTGTAGTGGCACCATGATAGCTCACTGCAGCCTCGACCTCCTGGGCTCAAGTGATCCTCCTGTCTTGGCCTCCCAAAGAGCTGGGATTACAGGCACATGCGCCACCATGCCCAGCCAAAGAACAGAATTTTTGAAGTGAATGAGAATGTGGGACACAAATTTGGAATTTGAGAATTATGAGGGTAAAGCAGGTCTTGGAGACTCAGGGTGGCAATGGGAGATTTTGGACAGGCAGAGGGTTGCAGGAACACTTTGACCTCTTAAGAAATGATGGAGAAAGCAAAACACAGAAAAAGAAAGGACCTCTTGAGATGGGCTTTCCTTCCTTTGTCAAAGAAAAAGACAACTACATTAAAATTTTGTCAGGTCCCTCTTCTCCAAGATCTACCTCTACTCTTAGCCTAGAGTAGAAAGATGAAAAAGCATGGGAAAAGACAAGTCAGAATAGGTTTTGTCTTATAGACACATAGTGGGTATGAACACATTTATGACCAGCATAGTCACACACAGTGAGAATAAGGTGGAGCCAATCTTATACAAATATGTGGAGTTCCTCTAAGAAACAGAATACAGGCATACCTTGGAAAAAGTGCAGGTTCAATTTGAGACCACATAATAAAACAAATATCAAAATAAAGCAAGTCACACTATTTTTTTGGTCTTCCAGTGCATATACATTATGTTTACATTATACTGTAGTCTGTTAAGTGTGCAACAGTACGTGTCTAAAAAAAATACATACCATAATTTAAAAATGCTTTATTGCCAAAAATGCTAACAATCATCTTCACCTTCATGAGTCATATTCTTGTTGATAGTTGGAGGGTCTTACCTCGATGTGGATAAGCTGCTGACTGAGCAGGGTGGTGGCTGCTGAAGGCTGGAATGGCTGTGGCAATTTCTTAAAGTGAGACATCAATAAAGTTTGCCACACTAACTCCTCCTTTCACAAAAGATGGTTCTCCATAGCATAATGATGCTGTTTGGTAACATTTTACCCACAGTAGAATTCCTTTCAAAACTGGAGTGAATCCTCTCAAACCCTGCCTCTGCCCTATCACCTTAGTGTATGTAATATTGTAAATATTTTCTTGTTTTTTCAACAATGTTCTTAACATCTTCACCATGAGTAGATTCCATTTCAAGAAACCATTTTTTTTTGCTTACCCATGAGATACAACACCTCATCCAATCAAATTTATCATGCGATTGCAGCAATTCAGTCTCCACTTCTAATTCTAGTAGTTCTCTTGCTCTTTTCACCACATCTGTAGTTATTTCCTTCACTGATTTCTGGAACCTCTAAAAGTCATCTATGAGGGCTGGAATCTGCTTCTTCCAAACTCCTGTGAATGATGGTATTTTGACCTCCTCCCATGAATCACATACGTTCTTAATGGCATCTAGAATGGTGAATCCTTTTCAGAAGGTTTTCAATCTATTTTGCCCAGATTCATCAGAGGAATAACTATCTGTGGCAGCTATGGCCTTATGAAATGTGTTTCTTAAATGATCAGACTTGAAAGTCAAAATTACTCCTTTATCCATGGGCTACAGAATGGATGCTGTGTTAGCAGACGTGAAAATATCATCAATCTCCTTGTACATCTCCATCAGAGATTTTGGGTGACTTAGGTGCATTGTCAATGAGCAGTAATATTTTGAAAGAAGTATTACTTTTCTGAGCAGTAGATCTCAACAGTGGGCTTAAAATTTTCAGTGACATCCTGTAAACAGATGTGTTGCCATCCAGACTTTGTTGTTCTGCTTATAAAATACAGGCAGAGTAGAGTTACCATAATTCTTTTTTTTTTTTGAGATGGAGTTTCGCCCTTGTTGCCCAGGCTGGAGTGCAACTGCACAATCTCAGCTCACCGCAACCTCCACCTCCCAGGTTCAAGCGATTCTCCTGCCTCAGCCTCCCAAGTAGCTGGGATTACAGGCATGTGCCACCACAGCTGGCTAATTTTGTATTTTTAATAG
Source organism: Homo sapiens (assembly GCF_000001405.40). NCBI lineage: Eukaryota > Metazoa > Chordata > Mammalia > Primates > Hominidae > Homo > Homo sapiens. The sequence goes on from NC_000001.11 coordinate 227,020,081, forward strand.
AGACAGAGTTTCTCCATGTTGGCCAGGCTGGTCTCGAACTCCTGACCTCAGGTGATCTGCCTGCCTCAGCCTCCCAAAGTGCTGGGATTACAGGTGTGAGCCACCATGCCCAACCGAGTTACTGTAACTCTTAAGGGCCTAGGATTTTTTCAAATGGTAAATGAGTACTGGCTTCAACGTAAAGCCACAAGCTGCATTAATTCCTAACAAGAGTCAGCCTGTCCTTTGAAGCCAGACATTGACTTCTCTCTAGCTATGAAAGTCCTAGATGACATCTTCTTCCTACAGAAGTCTGTTTTAGCTAAACTGAATTTCGTATTGTTCAGTGTAGCCACCTTCATCAATTATCTTGGCTATGTCTTCTGGATAAATTGCTGAGCTTGTACATCAATACTTGCTGTTTCACCTTGCATTTTTATGTTATGGAGATGGCTTCCTTCCTTAAATCTCATAAGCCAAACTCTGCTAGCTTCTTTTCTTCTGCAGGTTCCTGATAGCTCTCAGCTTTTACAGAATTGAAGAGAAAGCTTTGCTCTGGATTAGGCTTTGGCTTAAGGGAATGTTGCGGCTGACAGTCTCTCCAGATCACTAAAACTTTCTTTGTAACAGCAATAAGGTTGTTTCACTTTCTTATCATTCATGTGTTCTCTGTAACAGCACTTTATTTCTTTCAAGAACTTTTCCTTTGCACTCATGACTTGGCTAACTGTTGCAAGAGGCCTAGCTTGCAGCCTATCTCGACTTTCAATATGCCTTCCTCATTAAGTTTAATCATTTCTAGCTTTTGATTTAAAGTAAGAGATGTGCGACTCTTCAGTTGAACACTTAAGAGTCTATTGCAGGGCTATTAATTGGGCTATTTCACTATTGTTGGTTCTCAGAGAATAGAGAGGCCCAATGAGAGGGAGGGAGACCAGGGAACAGCTGCTTGGTGGAACAGTCAGAACACACACATTTATCAATTAAGTTTGGCATCTTATATGGGCATGGTTTGTGGCACCCCAAAACAATTACAATAACCTCAAATTTGGATCACTGATCACAGATCACCGTAACAGACAGAATAACAGTGAAAAAGTTTGAAATATTGCAAGAATTACCAAAATGTGAAACAGAGACATGAAGTCAACACGCGCTGTTGGGAAAATGGCACTGAGACTTACTAGAGGCAGGGTTACCATAAACCTGCGACTTGTAAACAATGTAGTATCTGTGGAGCACGATAAAGTGGCACACAATAAAATGGGGGTATGCCTGTATAAAACTAAGTATGGGTCTTGGAAGTGAAGCATCTAAAGCTTACATTTCATTAACTTCACGGGGTATCCATCTCTAAATGAGAATCACTTCTAAAACCTGAATATACTTTCTTAAGTCATAATGGAGTCTTACCATAGACTTCTGCTATATTCACCAGCCTGTTCACCAAGAAACCTCTGGTTCCAAGACAATGTACCAATGCACTGAACCAGAAATCAAGCAATTTTGTGTATTCCAGTACTTAATAACACAAAAACACACCAACAAAATAAAACAAAACCAACAAAAATAATCACAGAAAAACTTCTGATGGATTTTTTTTTTGATAGTAGAAAACACAAATTTATTAGAGGAATATGGGGTAGGTGGGAGAAAACCATTAAGATAATAATTTCATGGCCAGGCGCGGTGGCTCACGCCTGTAATCCCAGCACTTTGAGAGGCCAAGGTGGGTGGGACACGAGGTCAGGAGATGGAGATCATCCTGGCCAACATGGTGAAACCCCGTCTCTACTAAAAATACAAAAAAATTAGCTGGGCATGGTGGTGCGTGCCTGTAATCCCAGCTACTCAGGAGGCTGAGGCAGGAGAATCGCTTGAACCCAGGAGGCAGAGGTTGCAGTGAGCTGAGATGGTGCCACTGCACTCCAGCCTCGCAACAGAGCGAGACTCCGTCTCCCCCGCAAAAAAAAAATAAAATAAAAATAAAAATTAACTACCCCAAAATAATGGGTCTAAACATTTTAATGTGTTTTCTTGAAGCCAGTATTTTTACTTATATTTGTCTACTTAAAATTATTTTAAATACTGGCCAGGCGTGATGGCTCAGGCCTATAATCCCAGTACTTTGGGAGGCTGAGGCAGGTGGATCATTTGAGGTCAGGAGTTCAAGACCAGCCTGGCCAACATGGTGAAACTCCATCTCTACTAAAAATACAAAAAATTAGCTGGGTGTGGTGGTGCATACCTATAATCCTAGCTACTCAGCAAGCTGAGGTGCAAGGATCACTTGAACCCAGGAGAAGGAGGATGCAGTGAGCCAAGATTGTGCCACTGCACTATAGCCTGGGCAACAGAGTGAGACTCCCGTCTCAAAAAAAAAAAATTATTTAAAATACATAATGTACTGTAAATACATCCTCGCTAACAGACTTGCCATAACAGATCAGAAATTTACAAATACTTCTATTATATAGAAATTTGCTGCTATGACACAAAAATGACTTTATTATATAGAAGAGGGCACTATAATAATGTTCGTTAAAAGTGAGACTTTAACTGTTTGGACACCCTGACAGGCAAACAACATTTAATTCTATGTGAACAGTCTCCCTGGCATTTTATGTGTGGTATGTAATGACATGTGTGACCTCAATATTTTGGTCACTGACCAAATATCCTCCCCTCCTGTCTGTAACACTCTGGGTCTCTACTCCCTCTCCTGATTCCAGGCACTCCCATGACTCTCCTCTCTTTCCTGCTTCTTCCTATGCTGACATCACCACTTTCGAAGTGCTAGGCCCTGTACACTGGCAGAAGATATGTTCCTGAAGACATATTCCTCAACTCTAGATGAGTGTTTATAATTTTAATGTTACAAATTTTGGTTAGGTTCTACAATATTGAAAATACAGAAGACATAATCAGCTACACTTTCTCTACTTACTCAGGTACTCCACAGAAAAATAACAAGGTACATCAGAATCAAATACTTAAGTGAGCTTAAACAGAACGACTTTTTGCCCAGTAATTTATTCTAATATATTAAGAATGTGATAGTGGCCAACATCATAGACTTGGAGTAAGATACACCTGTGTTGAAATCTGGACTCTGGCACTTATTATTAATGTGACCTTGGGCAGTTAGCTTAGAAATAATATTTCCAATGAAGCTATCCCTATGAATATATGTATTTTCTTACCTGCCATCTTATTTTTGAAATATATTAATCTAATGGTCTCCAACCCTAAAAGATTTAATGATCCTTCATTGTTTAAGGGTCGAACCTAAAATAAAAGACAAAATTAGTATTTCAACAAAACCTTTAAAAATTAAATTATAAAACTTTTGTCCTGCTTATAAAGCACACCTTATTAAGACTTCTCATTTATCTACTTCAAAATGCAGCCCTCTCAGAAAAATCAACAATAATTCTGACTGGAAAGGTATAATACTATCTAATTTGAACAAACAAACTTGCAATGATAATATTTTAAAGGAAGGCTATCCTAAGCAAATGAACAAATAAGTAGAAATACATTTAAACCTTAGACTTTTTAAAGCCATTAATGACCCAACAGTTATACTAAGCAGATATCAACACAGCTGATTTATGAATTCTTACTATCAAAAACTAAATGCATACATATGATGGAGATGGAAGGGTAGATCACTGGGGAAAGGAGGGACTGTCAATAAATAGTGATTGAGCAACTGGTTATACGGAACCAAGCATGAATTCCAGTTGGATTAAAAACATAAACGTAATAGGCTAAGCTTTACAATGTTTGGAGGCTGGGTATATACATTTAAAAAAGATTTTTTAAAAAAGGTAAAATGTTTGGAGGAGAATAGAATGTATCTTATGACCTTAAGGTAGGAAAGAGTTTCTTAAACAAGAGAAAAAAGACAAACATAAAGGAAAAGAAAGATACATTTAACTACATTAAAATTAGTAACTTCTGTTCAGCCAAATACAAATGAATGAATAGGTCACAAAGAAGAAAAAGATTTACATATCCATTATTAGCCAGTATCCACAATGTATAAAGAATTTCAATAAATAAGAAAAATATGGCCAATCCAATAGCAAAATGAGCAAAAAGCATGACCAGGCATTTTATGGAAGAGGAAATATGAATGATGAATAAACACACAAAAGACTTTCAACTACACAGTTAATTAGCAACATGCAAACTGAAACTTCAATGAAATACTACTTTGTAACCATTTACAAAACCTATGAATCCTGACAATGGAAAGTACTAGGATGTTGATAAGAATTCCTTTATGCTGTTGATGGGAGTATTGGTTGGTACAATTACTTTGGAAAATAATATGACACTATCTCATAAAGCTGACTGAACTCCCTATGTCCCATCAATTCTGCTCCTAGGTATATGACTCAAACTCCTGAAAACTATTCCAAAAAACAGATGCAGCAACATCACAATTGCAAAAAGCTAGTAAATAATTCAATGTCCCCCAGTCAGGGAACAGACAGTAGTGCTAAGTTCACCCAACAGAATATTTTATAGTACTGAAAGCAATAAACTATATGGTATATATAACAACATGAACGAATGAGACTCAGTGGATGAGTAAAGAAAGCAAGATAGAAAATGACTATATATTATAACATTTTCATAAAGCTCAAAACCAAGCAAAACTGAAAGATATATTATTTAGGGATACTTAAATATGCAAAAATTCTGTATTTTAAGAAAAGCAAAGGAATGATAAGCACAACATGACGCAGTTTGCAGTTATATGAGTGATGTTCTGATTCTCAGGTTAGGAGGTAGGTTCATGAGTGATCAGTTTATTATTATCTTTCACAAAGGCCATATATCTATTCTTTCACATACATTGCAAAAATTACATGATAAAAATCAAATAGGGCTGAGTGCAGTGGATCATGCCTGTAATTCCAGCACCGTGGGAGGCCGAGGCGGGCAGATCACTTGAGGTAAGAAGTTCGAGGCCAGCCTGGCCAACATGGTGAAACCCTGTCTCTACTAAAAACACAAAAATTAGCAGGGCATGGTGGTGTACACCTGTAGTCCCAGCTACTCTGGAGGCAGAGGTGGGAGAATTGCTTGAACCCAGGAGATGGAGGCTGCAGTGAGCTGATATCATGTCACTGCACTCCAGGTTGGATGACAGAGCGAGACCCTGTCTCAAAAACAAAAACAAAACAAAAAAATCCACAGAAAAGTAATAATGACCAATCCAAATTTACAAACTAGAGTATATTTTAGTTGCTTTAGATAATCTGGCAGTATTTACAAGAGCTTTTTAAACTGCTATTATGATTTTAAATGGGTGCTAATTTTGAAATATGATCTAAGCTACTTTCACATATTCTCTAAACCCTGTCCCCCAACTAATCATACATGCTATATATATATCACATCTATCTATATGAAACTATTGCTCTTCATTTTTGCAAACTAGCAGTTCTATAATTGTAAAAATTCTCTTTGTTATGGAAACAGGATTATATATTAAGAAAAATATTATGTTTTATTAGGAATATATGAAATATTTATTTTTCAATTATGGACACTTAAACAGTTTTGGTTCTAAGTTTAATTACTTTTCTAGCCTTTTAAATCTGTCCTCACAGGATTAAACACTGGGTGAATGACAGTTATAATTCATAATAATCATGTACTCTCTCAGAGCTCCTTAATCCAAAAGTAGAAGATAACACTGACATTTTAAGTTGTAGGATATATTCTAGTTGTTCATAATAATAACAATCATACTTTGCATAAACCAAATATAGTAAAATTAGTATGGTTTTAGTGAGGCATAAGGAAATTAACCAACTTTATTTCTGTTTCTATTTTCTCACTCTTAGCTAAGTCCCAAACTGCCAATTACACATTCCAGAAAATGTTGAATTAATAAAAAAAAAATTACTATGTAGTAATTTAGTGTTTTCACTTATACTCAGTTGGCTTAGCCCACATTTTAATGTTAAATTACCTTTTTGAGAGGAAGAGTCTGAATCCATTCCATGGAGTTCACATCAAAGATATCAACTGCATTTTCACTGTACACCGAGAGATATGGTGCATTGTAACCTGGGAGAAGGGAAGGGGGGGCAGCTTGCGGATTACTTTTAACTATTAAACCCCAAATATTTTGAAAGGTCTACACTAAATAACTGTAGAGTGGAATCCCACCCAAATCCTATGGGGCTATCATATAGTAGCCAAATCAAAACATTTTTGAAGCAAACAGAACATATATCGTAAATGAGGAACTGGTATACCATGATTCAGATTATATAGCCGTTATAATATAGACGGATTCTGTAAACACCAGGGGTATACTATTTCTTTGCCCAACATGAGTTCTATAAAGGAATTTCATTATATTTGAACTATTTGATTCCTAAAAGTAGTTAAGTTATTGACAGTGAATCAAACTTAGAAAGCAGAGAAATCTTCAGGTAAGTGTTCTAGTCCCTGTTAAGAATGTATAATAAAGCACTGTAGCACAGTTACATGAATAGGGTAGATGCTCAATATACACTTGTTGAAAGAATGAATATCAACAAATGGTGACACAAGCAAAGAAAGATTCAATGGTTTACTTAAACTAAGGTTACAAAGGGAATTATTGAAAGAGCTACACAAAAAAGTCAGACATTCCAACTCTGACTCTACATTAGAATAATCATAATTATTATCTGATTCAGTTACAAGACAGCATTTATTCCACTGATGAGTATGAGAGTGTGTGTGGGTTTGTGTTTTTAGAGATAAGGTCTCACTGTATTGCCTAGGCTGGAGTGCAATGGCATGATCATAGCTCAAGTGATCCTCCTACCTCAGCCTCTTGGGTAGTTGGGACAACAGGCATGCAACCACTACACCTGGCTAATTAAAGAAAATTTTTTATAGAGACAGGTTCTCGCTATGTTGCCCAAGTTGGCCTCGAACTTCTGGCCTCAAGCGATCCTCCTGCCTCAGCCTCCTGAAGTGCTGGGATTACAGGTGTAAGCCACTGTGCCCACCTAAGACCATATTTTTCAGAAGAAACAAAATATTAAAAATAGTTAATTCCCAAGATCTGCAGTTGAAAAGCTGGAAAGACAAAAAACAACAACAATAACAACAAAAAATAGTTAAGTCGTTCATCCCAGGATGGAGGGTGGGGGAAAAAAAAGTCTGGATGGGTAGAACTAGAGGTATTTTTCTTTTGTCCTGTTCACGCAGACTTTCTGATTTTTCTGTAATGAGCATGGGTTGCCCTCCCAAACTTTCTCGCACTGAACCTTTAAACTTGACTAGACCCATACCCATCACTCCTCCTCCTACCTTGTTACAAATGAAGAGGTTTTACTCCTCCTGCCCCCAAGTAATTCTTGCACCTGTCTTCTGAATTTTGTCCTCTCTGGCCTTCTTGGCGGTCTTACTCTATTTCCCATATAGACAACTTTTCCATGTAGTTCCCTAGGGTTTTTTTTCCCTTCAGCATTTTAACATGCTCAAGTATTTTTCATTAAAAACAAAACAGTTTGGATGAAATACTTCTATGTGCTTCTACAGAACTCTCTACTTCTGCTATCATAGCACTTACACTCTACTGCAACTACTTGCTTTATCACGAATCTTTTCCACTGCACCCCATGCTCTGTGGGGTTAAGACTGTATCTATTTTACTCATTGCTGTTAACTCATATTCAATGGCACATATTCAATAATAATTGGATTATTTTCAATAACCAAAGTATTCTATAATTAAAAGTATTCAATGAGTCTGGGTGTGGTGAGTCAAGCCTATAATCTCAGTGCTTTGGGAAGCCAAGTTGGGAGGATTGCTTGAGGACAAGAATTTGAGACCAGCCTGAACAACTAATGAGACCATCTCTACAAAAACAAAAAATAAAAACATAAGCTGGGTGTGGTGGTGTGCACCTGCTGTCCCAGCTACTCGGGAGGCTGAAGTAGGAGGACTGCTTCAGTGTAAGAGTTGGAGGCTGCAGTGGGCTGTGACGATACCACTGTACTCTATCCTGGGTGACAGAGCAAGACTCCATCTCTCAAAAAAAAAAAAAAGTATTCAATAATTTATTATGTCTTAATATTTCTTGAAGGGGTAAAATAAGCAATTATAAATATCTACCCATCTAGATAAAAGTGGAAAACTGAAAAAACACCTCTTATAGATGTTACATTATACCTTTACATACCTGATTAAATAACTCACTTAGTAACTACTTCTCCAGAATAAGTTCTGTGAAACACTGATGCTTACAAGCACCATATTTTGGGGGACCATGAGATAACAATTCTGGGTTATTTCAAAATATGATGTGGGGTAAAAAATCCATCTTAGTGAAATATTCCACAGAAAGATGTTTTGTTTAAATTACGTGCATGCTAATGCTGGCCCTGTTTGCCCAGGCCTAACTACATATGGTTTTTACATCAACAACATAATCAATACTGAGGAAAAGCATTAAGAATGACTTTTTTAAAAAACTGTTATCAACAATGACAACATTTGGGAGACGAAGTAGAAGGGAAAAGGAAGAAGAGATATAAAGATAAGACAGCCGTAAGAAAGAGAATCTTACAACAAGAGGAAGGATTTGCTGGCCACATCAATTCCTGTTGTCTAGATCTTCGGCCCTGGCAGTCAGTGTATATCCCAATGCTGTTAAAACACAGCAGATATTCTTTACTGGAGATCTCAACTGCGCAGATAGCATCCATTGGTTGATGTGCAATAAATGATAGTGTATGGTCATTTGAATGGAGCATACTGTATGGATTTCCTTCTCCATTCAAGGGGTATCTTAGAAATCCTGACTGGAATCCCACACAGAGTTGTTCACTGAAGATTGCCATCCACTGGACATTATATGGGACTTGAATTTCTTTAAATTTTCTGTGACGGGTCTTGCTCTGAAATAGTTCATAACAGAGGACCTGCCTTTTCATAGCCACACACAGGCATGTGAGAGCTCCATGGCGCACCTTTCCAGAAGTTACGGTTTGACACCCTTTAGTTTCTGACAGCTTGTAAAAATCGGTCTCTCGCCCATCCAATGCTGACATAGGAAAAAGTCGTACATGACGATTTCGTCCTGAGATCACAGCAACAAGCTGATCATTTGGAATGAGTTCAATCTGATGAATCTTCTTATTGTCACCAACTCTAATAATTTCTAAACACAGAAAGAATAATAAATCAAAATATAGTTTTATTGATTAATCATATCCCAATTATACTCAAAAGGATGTAAGTCAACTTACAGATGCACATACGGAAGAATAAGACATCAGAAGTCACAGGAAAAAAAGATTATCCAACCCATCATAAGATAATTTAACTCACCTATAGTACGTATTAAATTTGAGTCCTGAGATTTCTGGCAGCCAAGGCAAACCCCAAAGGATTCTTGTGTAAAAGTATGCCAAATCTTCAAGGAAACTTTTCTACTGGCACTAAATTCTAGGGAACGTCACCATAGGATTCCCATTTTTAAAAACAGAGAACTTATTTTTCAGAAGTTTTTATATGGCTAACAATGCATTGTTTTCCCATGATCTAAGTTGACATAAAGATAAAACTTAGAATACTGTATTTATGAATACCAAGTTATATTGGTTTCTCTTTATTTCACCCAGCATTTAGTTTTTCCCTAGAAGAAAAACCTCCAAACAAACACATTTTAATAGCTGTTGCCTCTTCTGGTACTAATAGAACAATGTGAAAATCAAGTTGTATATATTTTTTTTCATGTTCCATCTTTAGAAATGCAATCTGGGCTGGGCGCAGTGGCTCATGCTTATAATCTCAGCACTTTGGGAGGCCAAGGCGGGTGGATCACCTGAGGTTGGGAGTTCGAGACCAACCTGGCCAACATGGAGAAACCTCATCTCTACTAAAAATACAAAATTAGCCGGGCGTGGTGGTGCATGCCTGTAATCCCAGCTACTGGGAGGCTGAGGCAGGAGAATCTCTTGAACCCAGGAGGCGGAGGCTGCAATGAGCCGAGTTCGTGCCACTGCACTCCAGCCTGGGCAGCAAGAGTGAAACTCTGTCTCCAAAAAAAAAAAAAGAAATGCAATCTGAGTTCGTACAGAACTGTTAAATAAAATGATACAAGAAAGACAATACATATTTGAAGTTTTAAACCTCAGGGGGATTATAGAAATTTAAAAATAATCTTTTAATTTATAAACGTCAAATTAGGTCTGGAAAATTTTAGTCGCAGGATAAATAAGAGCAAATCCTGCTCTTTGTAGAATTTAGAATCTACAGTTTAAATTTTTTTAACACGATTTAAAATTACTCCAAAAAAAAAAAGTTTTCTCTTACCATCTTTGGTGACATGTACAACAAATAACCCTTCTTCGTTTCCCAAAGCAATTCTTTCATGATCTATGTAAGACATGAATGTGAAAGATTTTTATTAGGAAAAAAACCATGTAATGCTAATAAACCAGATGATAAGAACATTTGGTGCAAAAAATGGAAATAAAATGAATTACAATAACAGTTTACACTATTTCCTTTCAGATTATACTGGTAAATCTCTCATGTCTTCTAAAATAGAACAATTATTAAAGAATAATCCATATCAATACTTACAAAAAGAAGTAAATGTTTAATAAATGATGAAACAAAATGAAAAACCTAAGTTGTTCTACACTTATTGTTTTGGGAGGTAAAAATTGTGAATGGCATTTGAACCATACTCATTGAACTTTTCAGTATTTATGGAAAGTAACAAAAGAGTTAGATGCATACACAGGAATACAGCAAAAATTTAAACCTCCAGACACAGAAACTGCCATTTGTTAAGGGGATTTCTTTCTTATGCAGGGCACTCTGTGTTATGTATTCCATCTTATTTAAACTTCCCAATAACCTCAGCAAGGTAATTACCATCTGTATTTTATATATTAAACTCTAAGAAACTAACTTGTTCTAAATCACACAAGCAGAAAATAGATTAGTAGGCTAATGCTTAGCACTGTTGTTTTTTCAGGAAAAAAAAGGCACTTTGAAAGTGTATTTATACTCCTGTTTACTGAAAAACAAAGATCTGATATAGGTCTCATTCATTCAGTAAACATGTACTGAGCATTTATGATATGATGCACAGTATGTTGGACACTGGGGATTCCTAGATGAAAGCCAATCCCTGTTCTCAAGGTAGATTAGTAAACAATGATAATAATATGATAAATGTTATAAATTCATACCTATGATTGCGGCTGCCTGGGTTGTTTTAATGAGGGGTAGAGTGCTGTCATAAGCCTCTTTGGGAACATAGACTGAGCGGTCTCTGAATTTGTTTTTCTTCAAAATCTTGTGCAATTCACTCAGCACTCCCACCCACTTATTCTTCTCATTCTCAGTGTCTGCTAGCATCAGGATTGAACATTTGTTATTAGATGCTGAGAGCTGGGAAGCTGTGACCTAGAACAATTTAATCAATATTCATGATATTAGAAAACAGACACCCTTTATGCTAGTTTCATGATTATGTTAGTTTGCTTAGCACTCACCAATAAAATAAGCATTCATTAAATGATACCATTACTGGAGTTCAGCTATTCCTAATCAGAATAACTACCTTTAGCACTAGAATACATGACAAAGCAAAGGTGGCAGACACCATTTGAAATGTTAGTATCATTTTCATTTTCCTTCTGTAAAAGTGCCAGAACACTATCACTAAAGAGGCATTAAATATATAACAACAACAACAACAACTGACATTTATTGAGTAAATACTGAGCACCAGGTAGATCTAAGCACTTTACAAGTATTAACTCATTTAACTCTGTTAACATCGTCATGATTTAGGATGTACTGTCATTATATCCTTATTTTATATATGAAAAAAATGGTGATGCAAAGAAATTAAATCATTTCTCCAAGGACATACAACTACAAGTCTGGGATCTTGTGCCCATGCTCTTAAGCGCCACACCATACTGACTTGTGACTTGTTTTAAGGTCAGAAGTGCTCAGAAATATATTCTCTGTTACTTCACAACAATAACTCGCATTATCATTAAGATTTGACCATTTAAATTAATATTTAAATGAAGGTTTATCATTATACAAACAACACTATCAGAGCAGTTTTAAATTTTACCTATATGAATTCCTTATCATAAGTAAAGAATTCCTTATTAAGTAGCAGTGACAATAAACTCACACTATGAAAATCAGTTATAGATAAGTGGGCCTCTGTAGGCTCCCTTGGTGGCTGGGAGGAAAATAAATAGTTGTCAGTCTGGGAACTAAGAGACTAAGTATAATCTTTGCCTGACCTTCCTTAGATACAAGATTCATAGACAAATATAGGGAGATAGGCATAACAATTGGGCAGTAGTTTTTTTTTTTAACCTCTATTGTCTTAATTTACCCACTCAAGATTGCATCGTGGCAAGGGCCTCCAAAGACGCCTACCAACAAGTCCTCCTAAGGAATTCCATTCTTCTCATCAAGAGGTGGAGTCTATTTCCCCTCCCCTTAAATCTGGGCTGACCTCATGACTTGCTTTGACCAACAGAATGCAGAAGGGTTATTATACCTGTTTTGGGCCTAGTCCTCAAAGGGCCTGGCAGCTTATTTTGCTCTCTTAGAAGCCAGCCACTGGGAGCTCAGCCAGCCTACCTGACGACCAGAGACCACATGGAGGGAGTTCACAAAGAGGAGAACTGAGATCACCCAGCTAACAGCCAGCACCCAGATGTAAGAGCAAGGTCATTAGATGTTCTGGTCCCAAATGAGCTGAATGCAGTCACATCAGTGACACTAGCGGACACCACAAGAACTGTACAGCTGGTCCACAGAATAGTGAAAAATAGTAAATCACTGTTGGTTTAAGCTACTAAGTTTTGGAATGGCTGTTACAAAGCAGTAAGTAACAAACGCATTAATTTTTCAAGACAGACATTTTTATTTTTTTAAAAACTTGAGAAACCTCACACTTATCTAATTTTCCATGTGGTAGTATTTATTTAAAAATTGAATTGGAACTAAAAAATATTATCTACCAGGAAGCATATTTTATAAGCCATATATTGATGCTTTCTCCAGGTCTTTCACTAATTAAATACTTAGCACCAATTTTCTATACCTTCAAGTACTGGATGATATGGAATATATAAAAGAATATAAGATTTGGTTTTACTTATAGTGAATTTATGATTTATATAGGGAGGCAAAATATACTCATTAAAAACACATAATTCAGTGATCAAATTACAGCATACACACTTACCCTAAATATACAGGGTATATCTTTCCGACTTGCATGGATAACATCAGAAGCCAAGACTGAACTCACAGAAAATTCTTCATCCCTGAACGAAAAGCAAAGCATTAAAAGTTACTATATGTGGCTATGTGTGTGTGGTTTGGGGTGTGTATCCAAATAACACATACCCAAAGCTTAACTGCACCAAACACCCAAATTTAATTTTTTAAAAAAATTAATTTTCCCCCATTGTAATTAATAGTGCCCCAAATAATTTATCAAGAATAACTTCCTAGTGGCACATTATACAAGAGCTAGAAATCATTGCTGGCTTACCCACAGTCACAAGGCCAGTTAAGTATACACGTAGAACTGGGATTTGAACCCTGGTAGGTCTCTGGAGCCTCCAGTGGACCCTCTTGCCTCCCATAATAAATCTTAAGTACCCTCAACCCAGCTCATGTTATATTTTATTGTTCCTTCAACATCTACAACGTATTTCCTCCACAATAATTTCTTGTGATTCCCTTAATTTTGTTGTTGGTACCATGACTCCCTTAGTCTTACAGGCTTGACACCTTAGTCCTATTTGTGATTCTTTTCCCTATCTATATTCAGTCCCTTAGTAGGTTCTATCAGATTTTTCTTGCCAATATTTCTTGCATCTATCCTGTCATGTTCCATATTTGTAGGGGAAGATAATGCGTTTGAGATGCCAATGTGAAGTGCCAATTTGAGTCACAGCTAGAAATTCCGGTTTTGAGCAATGGATGGATATATCTGAACTGGAGATACAAGTCTGGGAGTCATCAATGCAGAGGAGATGGCTGAAGCTGTGAGTAAATATGATCACTCAAGGATAGTGCCTGGAGTTAGGAGAAAAGGTAAAGGAGAGAGAACTAAGGAACACAGGAAGAATCTGAAAAATGAGACCAGAAGTGTTCAAGGGCTGTACTTACTTAAATGTTTACTGATTATGTTTTCCAGAAGCCTTTCTGATTTTTATTTTCTTTCCTCACATTGAAATTATACTCTAAGCCTTTAGGTGATGTGATAATATAAACTTCACATGGTAGGCCTCCATTACCCCATTTACACAGGTCTTTGGGACACCAACTTCTTTTTCCTTAACTCCTAGCCCCTCACACTCAACACACATACCAACCTGTCCTATAAATACACCTTACTTCCTATTTTCAATTCTGTTTCTATAGCAATATTAGCAAATTAGAAAATACGAAATTAGTTCATTTAAATAAACCATGGCAACACAATTTTTGAAAATCAGAAACTTTAAAATTCCTATGTTGCAATGATACAAATAATTTTACCTTCAAACTCTTACCTCATGTCAATCACTTGACTAATGACAACACTGGGCTGAGATGCTTTTCCTTCAGCAATATCGTACAGAAAGAGTTTGAAGTCACACACTATAGCCAGTGCTCTCTGCCACCCTTTCTTCACTCCAGCTGGCTTAGGAATCTTAGTTTTGTTTTAGACAGACAAACAGCCAAAACAACTCAAATGAAAATATCCCTTAAATTACATATGTAATTGCATGGTGAAGACCTACAGATAATGTACACGTTTTATAAGTCTGCCATTCTGGTTGGTAAAGTAGCAGATGAGACACATATCATTAAGCTATGAGAAAATGTGAGAACACATTCTTCAAATACAGAATGACTTTTTATTCTGAGAAACATTTTAATGGTACCATTTTAACTTTCACTCATATTTCATTAAAATAACACTCATGGGTTTCTTTCTAAATAGCATAAAAGTCAAACTTGGTGTAAGATGAAGTTCAGCTTACATTGTAAATACTACCCAAGATAACAAGACTATGCCTTAATAGCTCATAATTCATAACCATATGCCACCTCTCTTGCAAGAGCAGGGGCCACAAACTCCTTTATGAAGATTTCATCACAAGATAGGAACAATATGGAAAAACTTGAGACATTTTATAACTTATTTCCATGTAAAAGCTAGGTTTTTGTTTGCAAATCATTATTCTAGATGAAATAAAATTATTAGATGAATTTTATTCATTTAATTTTCCATCAAGAACTATCCTCTTAAACTAACTGGATTTGATTTTAATTCATTAATAAATCTTAAAGGATTAATCTAAACCCAACTTAATCATACTTACCCTGACATGACCTTCATATGCTGTTCCTATTCCTTTCTGAGGATCTATACCCAGGGGACCTTTTGTCTGTTCAGGAGGAACTGGACAAGTGGTTGGAGCTTTGTTTACACAAGTTATATGGCATGAGAATCCACACACTTTTAGAGGGAAAAAAGAAACGTTTGATAAAAATTCATTTTAACAAAAAGAAAATTCGTAACACTCACTGCATACAAGATGCTATGTTAGATGAATGCTTATCTCCAATTTTATTTTAAATAACTGTTTTATCATTTGGGTAGCTGATTCATTTGCTTACCAATGACAATTTTAATGAGACATAGTAAATATTTAAAAAATTACTTGTATTACTGCTGTTCTGTATTGACATTAGTGATCAAAAAAAGAAGCAACAGACGAAGCATCTAACCTTGTGAATAAAATGATTGATTTAGATTTTCTAAAAGAGTGGTTTCTAGAGTTTTTTGCTCTTCATCCCACTGCAACTTGGTATCTGCCTTGAAATTTCTGTTGCAAGGGTCACTAGTGGGCATTAAGCTACCTGACATCTTCGGTTTGGCAAACTCTACCAATCCTTGAAAATGGAGTTTTTCAATGACTAAAAAAGTACAAGTTAAAGGTAAATTTTAGGAGTTATTATTACATATACTTAAACTACTACTAAAATAACAATAGTTAACTTTATGGAGTGCTTTTTATTTTTCTATAACAATCTAAGAGAGGTACAGTTACCATCTCTATAAATGGACTACATATCACTGATGGATACTGTGAAACCAGCAGAGAGGCAAGATGACAAAAATCATCCAAACATCTCAATGCACTTTATTTATTTATTAAAGAGAAGGTCTTGCTATGTTGCCCAGGCTGGCCTCAAAATGATCCTCCTGTCTTAGCCTCCTGAGTAGTTGGGACTATAGGCATGAGTCATCACACACAACTTCAATTCACTTTTTTTTTTTTTTTTTTTTTTTTTGAGACGGAGTCTCGCTCTGTCGCCCAGGCTGGAGTGCGGTGGTGCAATCTCGGCTCACTGCAGGCTCCGCCCCCCGGGGTTCACGCCATTCTCCTGCCTCAGCCTCCCAAGCAGCTGGGACTACAGGCGCCCGCCACCTTGCCCGGCTAATTTTCTGTATTTTTAGTAGAGACGGGGTTTCACCGTGTTAGCCAGGATGGTCTCGATCTCCTGACCTCGTGATCCGCCCGCCTGGGCCTCCCAAAGTGCTGAGATTACAGGCGTTGAGCCACCGCGCCCGGCCTTCAATTCAGTTTTAAGTGGAGTATCTAGCAAGTTATGATTTGTTTTACTTACAAGCAAAGGGCAGTGGAAGCAACAAAATAAGTATCCTATACTGGATCTAATTCCAACCAACCACAAGGAAAGGAACATGACAGGAATCTTTAGAAGCTGGAACCACATTATTACAACATTTACAAAAGCCTGGCAGACAAAGGCTAGGAACAGTCTCATGAGTCCCCATAGCTTCATAAAGTAGGCTTCAAAGGGTCTGAAGAAAAGATAGGCACAATTTCACAGCAAAAGACTCTAGAAGGGAAGAGAGTCTGAGAAGACCTCAAAAATTCCTACTATGAATTGCAAGTAATTGTGGTGCATAAAAAATGACATGGGACTTAAAGCCAGGTAGCTGGCCAGGATTCTTTCTGATAAACAAATTTTAAAATGACATACCATTACTGGCTAAGTTCCAAAATGAAACAAAGCTTGAAAACTACAAATTTTCTCCTTCTTTGCCTTCAGTCACACCTTCCTAGTCAACAATACAGGCGATTCCTTCTCAGGTTAACTTGGCTATCTTTTCCTGTTGCCTTCCCTTAACTATGTAAGAGACTCATGTACTTGCTCTCTTCTCAATCTACATGTACTTCCTGGATGTCATTCATGTTTATAACTTAATACACTCCTAGCTCTTAAATCTCTGCTTTCTTAACCCTGAACATTTTATTTGGCTTTAAACACACATATCTAATGGATTAGTTAAAATACTGCAATCTGGATCTTTCACTTTAGCTGTGAGAACTAACCAAACAGAATGCACTGCCTTAAGATGTTATTAATTTCCCTCTTACTCAAAGTACTCAGATACAGGCTAACTACAAGTCTATTATAAAGGAAACACATGCATCTGATGGGGATGGGCTACATTTCCTTTAAGGTCCCTTCCCATTCTAACAGCAGAAGAGACAGGAAATGGCAACTAGTATTAGAATTTGAGTTAGCAACTATTTTCTTGTCTTTTTCATAAGATACATCAATATGAGAGATCTTCAGAATGTTCATGGAAAATGCATATTATGGAAAAACTATGCATGGATTTAAAATTTTCTTTTGCACCAAAATAAATGCATACTAACTTGTTATAATATGTCTGAAAAGGATCTAGTTTGAGGCACTAAGAAGAATGAGACATCAATTTGAAAAGAGCCCCTATCAGAACAACATGAATTCTGCTAAAATTAAGTAAGAACAAATATAAAATTTACAATGAAGCTTGGGTGAAATCATTGATGCTTTACAAAAAGTTTATGGGGACAATGCCTGATATGGTTTGGCTGTGTTCCTACCCAAATCTCATCTTGAATTGTAGCTCCCATAATTCCCATGTGTCATGGGAGGGACACAGTGGGAGGTAATTGAATCATGGGGGCAGGTCTCTCTGTGCTGCTCTGGTGATAGTGATTAAGTCTCGTGAAATCTGATGGTTTTATAAAGGGGAGTTCCCCTGCACATGCTCTCTTGCCTGCCGACATGTAAGACGTGACTTTGCTCCTCTTTCACCTTCCACCATGATTGTGAGGCCTCCCCAGTCATGTGGAACTGAGTCAATTAAACCTCTTTCCTTTATAAATTATGCAGTCTTGGGTATATCTTTATTAGCAATGTGAGAAGAGACAAATACAATGCCTTAAAGAAATCAGCAGTTTACAAATGGATAACTCATTTTAAGAAGGGATAAGATGATGTCAAAGATGAAACCTGCAGTAGCAAACCTTCCACATTAATTTGCCAGGGAAAAAATTAATCTTGTTCATGCTCTGTCTGAAGAGGACTGATGAATAACAGCACAAACAACAGCCAATACCACAGACATCTCAATTGGTTCAGCTTACACAATTCTGACCAAAAATGAATGCTGAGCAAACTTCCTACTTGTTGGGTGCCAAAACCACTGCACCCAGATCAGCTACAGAATGTTCAACGGAAATTTTAAACAAGTGGGATCAAGATCCTGAAGGATTTCTTTGAAGAACAGCAGCAGGAGATGCAACATGGCTTTACCAGTATGATCCTGAAGACAAAGCACAATCAAAGCAATGGCTACCAAGAGGTGGAAGTGGTCCAGTCACAGCAAAAGTGGACCAGTCAAGAGCAAAGGTCATGGCAATAGTTTTTTGGGATGCTTGAGGCATTTTGCTTGTTGGCTTTCTAGAGAGCCAAACGATGATAGCACCTGTTTATAATGAGAGTGTTTTGAGAAATATAGCCAAAGCTTTAGCAGAAAAACGCCTGGGAAAAGCTTCACCAGAGTCCTTCTTCACCATGACAATGCTCCTCCTGCTCAGTCCTCTCATCAGACAACAGCAATTTTGTGAGTGTTTCCATGGGAAATCATTAGGCATCCACCTTACAGTCCTGATTTGGTTCCTTCTGACTTTTTTGTTTCTGAATTTCAAAAAGTCTTTAAGGGCACCCATCTTTCTTCAGTTAATAATGTAAAGGAGACTAGACTGACATGGTTACATTCTCAGGACCCTCTGTTCTTCAGGGATGGACTAAATGGGTGGTATAATTGCTTACAAAGTTGTCTTGAACTTAATGGAGCTTATGCTAAAAAAAAAGTTTATATTGTTTATTTTTATTTTTAAATTCTACTTTTCCACAAGCTTTTTGAAGTCCCCTCATATAAGGTAGTGTTGTAATGACAAATTTCATTTGATTTTTTAAAAAAGTATTCTTCTGAAACATTTAAAAAAATATATGTTCCATTATAATTTAAACCATTTTCACTTCAGAGGTCCTAGGAAAAATAAAGGAATACCCAAACAAATATACTTTCTTTTCTGTTCACATGACCCCTGACCCTCTCTCCTTCATCACTCAGAATGTGCGCTCTATGAGGGTAGGATCTATGCCTTTCCCCTATCCACTATTATGTCCCCAGTGCCTAGAAGTACAGTGGGTGTTCCATAAACATGTGATGAATAAATCATGGATGTTAGGGGAAAAAAAAAAACCTCTGCTATTAATACAGGAATAAAATATCTTTCAGACATAGTGGCAGACATTTAATATTTCTGAAAAGGTTCCCACACTGTCTACTTTTTAATAACAATTTCTCTAATAAATTAAACAAGGTTAAAATTCAATGAATTTTCTTCTGTCAGGTTAATGTTTTTTGGCAGGGACTACAAATTTAATAACAAAACAAAGACAAATGAACCATATTTAAATATATTGCCCCTGAAAAATATGTCTAGTTTCTCGAACATTCAACAGACAACACAGATTATTTCCATTCCTGTTATGCAAAAAAGCAAATGATTAAGTAAAACAAACATTTATACACCTTTGAAAGAGAATCAACTTATTTGATTACAATTTAGATAGTGAAGTCACATTTTCTTTCCTTTGTGTTCTTACCTTCACATGAACAGCCCTGTCTTATTAAACCCACCATCAAGGAGGTACACTGATGACACTTGGTAGGAGTAGTAAAAGATTTTACAAAAAACTGGTGAGTCTTGCGCTGCAAAACAAATTGATAAAAAAACACACAGATTGTTTAAAAGATTTCCATAATGTGAGTCCTTATGCCCCATACCACTTTCTAGAATGTTTTCTAAATAGGAATAGAATGAATTATTTCCATTTCTCATTACATCTTCTTATAGTTTATGGTCTTTAAACATTTTTATTAGGTAATTTGAACTGGACTAAGCTAAAATAATTAAGAAGTTAAATGATAATTGCTCTTCAATGCCATTTTAAAAGTATATAAAATAAACAATAGCTTTTTTGGGGGGCTCATAAATCTTAGCTTCAGAATTTTAATAAATTATCCAAATTATTGTTCAGCAAATAGTTAAGTAAAATATTGCATATTTATACTGATACAAATATAGGATTTTAATATGCTTTATACCTTCTTAGGAAAAAGAGTTATTTAAAATTATTGTTTCTACTGTAAATCATGCATTTCTCTTTCTGGGACCAAGGACAAATAATATGCTTCACGAATCAGTTTCCTCCTATGGAAAGAGGCAGTATAACACTTGAGCAGATAAGAATACACAAATATTATTCCAGAGACAGATGGCAGATTGAAATTTCTTATTGAATACACCATAGTTAAAGGTATCTTAGTCTTACCTGATTTACATGGTGGTAAGCAAATGTAGATTTTATCTCTTTGGAATATTCCTTTGTTTTCCAAATTAATTCTCTTAGCATGTTTTAACAATAAATGATGTATAATAAATAACCTTTCATTCTGTTGTGTGAACTTAGGAAAAAATTACTAAATTCCTCTCTGTCTCACTTTCCTTATCTACAAAACAGGATAAATAATAGTATCTACCTAACGGAGTGGTTAAATGAGTATTAATATAAACAAAGCCTTTCAAACAGTACCTGGTACATACTAAGTACTCAAAAAAAAATAATTTCAACTCTTATTTTAGATTTGTGGGTACACGTGCAGGTTTGTTACCTGAGTATATTATATGATGCTGAAGTTTAGGGCATGACCGATCCATATTACCCAGGTACTGAGCACAGTACCCAATTTTTTAGCCCTGGCACCCCTCCCTCCTTCCCCTTCTCTAGTAGTCCCCAGAGTCTTTTGTTGCCATCTTTATGTCCATGGGTACCCAATGTTATTTGAATTTTGCTATTTTTTTCTCTTGTAAATGTGTGATTGATTTAAACTACTAAGAACTCTACTCCATATTCTAATAAATTATGAATACTGATTTTAAAAGGTTATCAAGTAGCATTTATTTCAGTAGACACTAACATATGAACAAAAAACTAAAGGGAATATTTGAAGCTTTAAAATTCAAGTTAAAAATAAATCTTGTTCTTTTCAACTGGGATATATGATTTGTACACTACAAAAGAAATTAAAAAAATAGAAGTAGATTATCTTTTTACATAGAAAAACCTGACTACCAGCATTAGTCAGAGAATGGGGTGAGAGTCTCAAATTTAGAGTGGTCATGAGCTCTGGTCCAACCTCAAAGCATTGTGTTCTAGAAGTTCCTCACGATCTTTTGGTCAGTTTCAAAGCAGCACTAGGATTTGACTCTAAGTAGAACACAGTCTATCTTATTACTAACTCTGCAACTGCTCCTATAGCTTCTGAGTCCCAGTCAGGGTACAGACACTGTACCAGTACTTTACATAATTCATCTTATTTCATGCAAATAACCACCTTGGAAAGATAGATATTATTTCCTTATATGAAGGAATCTATTAAAATCATAAAATTTTGCTCTTTCTCCTGTATACTACTTTTTAATTTTTGGCTCTTTGAGAAACTATTATGAGTAAATTTTCTAGTGCTAACTTTTTCAATTGTTCAAAATGCATTAATGCAAAAGACGTGAAGTTATTTTACTGGTTAGTCCTAGAGGCTTTGAATACAAAGAAGGAAAAATTAATCAACTGCTCTAAGTAGGTTCATGTTTTTCTTCTTCTAAACAGTAACAAGACATACCTGAAACAGTAGCAATGAAACAACTCTAGGGTTGACAAATTTATTAGTAATTCTCCATAATACCTCCCGAATTGCACATATACATATATGATATATATATATATATATCATACACTTCCTCTCCAGCAAGAGATCTATTCAGGATGTCACAATTCTGAGTATGACAGCAGGGAAAAATATAACAACCCAGTGTTTTGGCTGAGCATTAATTTTAGGTAATAAATCATCCAACTGGTAGGTGCTGGTTAAATTATAGGAGAGGTTGTGTAATCCACTACTAAAGATTAACGGGTTTATATTTCACTAATCTCCACTAAGGATAGTATAACATAACATAATTAAAGATCGTTATTCTGAGGCCATCAATCTTTAGGTAATACACAATAGGATTTTGTTTTTGTTTTGGTGTGAAAATGTATAAAGAAAGACACAGGAATGATCGATCTTAGAGTCTAGATTCCTTGGCTTCTAATATCCCTGTTTCCTGCCTCCTGGTCAATATTTGATATCTAATACTTCCCTTTGTGGACAGCTGGAAGAAGAGAAAAAAATGAAAAGAAAAAAATCTAGTAAGAAAGGTATTAAAGTATGGACTAAAATTAGAATTTTAGATTATGTGATCATTTGGAGTAGAAAGAATTAACCATAACCTCAAATTTCAAAGTGGTGATTAGAAAGAGTTCTTTTCTACTCTGATTTTTTCTGTGTTGTAGATTTTAAGCTACACATTGGAGAAAGTAAAATGTTTTTAATAGAAGATGTAAGAGCCAAGTAGAACCAAGTACAACTCTTGGTGAAAGCTTAAAAATTTACTGTAGATAATTAAACTTTTACCACTAATAAATGACAAGTCAAAGAGTATCTCACACAACCCTTTCTTTTTTACAAAAAATTTTAAAATGTTTTAAAGAAATTAAATTTTCTGGCCAGGCACGGTACCTTATGCCCGTAATCCCAAGCACTTTGGGAGGCCAAGGAGGGCGGATCACGAGGTCCAGAGATCGAGACCATCCCAGCCAACATGGTGAAACCCCGTCTCTATTAAAAATACAAAAATTAGCTGGGCATGGTGGCATGCGCCTATAGTCCCAGCTACTCGGGAGGCTGAGGCAGGAGAACTGCTTAAACCTGGTAGGCAGAGGCTGCAGCGAGCTGAGATCACGCCACTGCACTCCGGCCTGGCGACAAAACGAGACTTCGTCTCAAAAAAAAAAAAAAAAAAATTTAATTTTCTTTTTAAAAATATTTTTTCTTCCCTTTTAAAATTTCTATTTTGAGATAATTATAGATTCACTTCTCTATCTTTTAAAAAACATGAAATAAATTTTATTTCTTGGGGAGAAATATTAGGTGCAACAAACTAAGTTAATATTTAATTCATAAAATAATATCAGCTTGATAGAAGCCTCACTCTAGTTTTATTTTGTCTTATTTTGCCTTTTCATCCTTGATGATCCAATACCTTGGACATGTATATATCTTTATAAATTAGATAGTCTGAGTATGTGTTTTTAATTTATATAAATGTGTTTCTGTTATATATCAATTACATTTTAGGAATCTTTCCCCTATTTCCAACTCCCTACTGCCATAAAAAATACAGTAATAAACATCTTCATCATGTTGCCTAATGAATCTGTATGGAGGTTTTTGTAAAGGAAAGAGATTTTTCTGATGAAATGAGATTGCTGAGTCATACAGCTTACGTATGACTCTACACTGTCTAGGTTCTCTCCAGAATGGCTGTACCCGTTTATACTTCCAGTATCCACGTGTGAAGCTGCCTGTTTCTCCACATCCATGACGTCATCTTACTTAATTTTATCTTGATTTTGAATAGAAAGTGATAGTAATTCTAAAATTAAATTTTAAAAATTTCTCCAATGATTAATGAAGTTGGACATTTCTTCACATGCTTGTTGACCATCAGGATTTCGTCTTCTGGGAATTATTTATATCACTTGCCAATCTTTCAATGGGATTTCTAGTCTTTTTCATATGGAGTTGCAGGAGTTTCTTATGTATTTTAGAAATAAGCCTCTTATTAGTGGTAAACATTGCAGATATCTTCCACTAGTCTGTCATCATCTGTTAACAATGCTTTCACTGTAAAAGCATTTTTAATTTTGATATAAAGCCCACGAATATTTTCACCTTATGCTTGTGATTTGAGATCTTATATTTATTCCCAGTCACAAAAAATTTTTCTACATTTTCTGTTTTAAATTTTTAAAATCAAATTAATACATACACATGGTTGAAAAAGTAAAATGGTATTACAATGCTTATGACAAAATCAGAAGTATTCCTCCTACTTCCTACAGGCAATTTCATTTAACTCTCCTTTTTTAAAAGCTATTTCCCTCCTTCTGTAATAGGTATCTATATGGGCGGGGCAGAGCTGGGGTGGAAAGCCTATACTACAGTTTTTTGATTTGAGACGTTATCTGTTCACTTCCTGCTATGGTAGAGAAGGATATGGCCCTTTTACACTATCTACTCCCTTTTTTCATTTTTCCCAATATTGTTATAGTAGTTTTAGCTTAAAATTTATATGTAATGTCTAAGTTATTATGACTAGAGAATCATTATTCACTAATAAGAAGTACACTATGGTTATCATCTTACTTGTATAACCTCATGATTTTTCTAAAATTAATAGTTCCCCTCCCACCCTCGACTTTTACCTTTCTGTATCTCTATCACTAAATCTTCCAGACTCTTCTAAGGAACTGTAAAATCCCCTGGAATCTATTTACCACATGGTCAAACACACTGGAAGCCTTTCAGCCCCCTTACCCCTTTCTATTGACCTGAAGACAACCCTGCTGAAGCCCTCTGGTTTCCTATTCCAGTCTTTCTCTTAACCGGTCTGTGTACAATTCCTTCTTCTATAGACCTCATGTCTCTCTTTCCTTGTCCCCTTCCTTGTTCTGGTAGAACTAATTAAGTTTCCTTAGAAAGTAGCACATGGGTGATAAAAATTTCTTTGAGATCTGGAATTTCTCAAAATGCAATTTTTTCCCCCCTGCAACTCGATGGGACATTTGACAGGGAATCAAAAATTCTAGCTTGAAATCATTTTACCTTCTAACTATTCTTTTCATTTTGCCTTGGGTAAGTATGTCATTTCAATTCCTGAATATGTGGATGTGATCTTTTTTAAATCTCCTTAAAGGTTTAAAAAGTTCTATCTTTGGTATCTTGAAAACTCACACAATGATGTGACTGGGGACAGGTATTTGTCATCCACTAGTGCTAGTAGGCACTGATGGAACTGTGCAATCTGGAAACATGTCTTTTAGTTACAGGAAAAAGTCTTTTACTTACTTGATAATTTCCTTCCTTTTCTTTTTTCTGTCTTCCCTTTCAGGAACTTCTACTTGTTGGATATGGATTTCTCATATTTTCTTTTCCTAATTTCTACCTGATTTTTTGCAATATTTTCTAAGAGAATTCTCAAATTTATCTTGTGACTCATCTACTGAATTTAAAAAATATTTATCATATTTTCTTTAACTTGAGACTTCTTGTTCTCATATTGCTCTGTTTCTTTCTGCTTTTTGCATTGTCCCTTTTTCCTTCAACAAAAACAGGAAATATTTATCTTTTTCTTTGAGACAGGGTCTCACCATGTCACTGAGGCTGGAGTTTAGTGGTGCGATCTCAGCTCACTGCAGCCTTGACCTCCCAGGCTCAAGTGATCCTCCCTCCTCAACCCCCAAGTAGCTGGCACTATAGGTGCACATCACCACGCCTGGCTAATTTTTGTATTTTTCATATAGACAGGGTTTTGCCATGCTGCCCAGGTAGGTCTCGAACTCCTGGGCTCAAGCAATCAGCCCGCCTAAGCCTCCCAAAATGCTGGCATTACAGGTGTGAGCCACCACGTATCCCTGATCTTTTTCCTTTGTTAGATAATTTTGAAATGTCTACTGACTGTTGGGAATCTTAACATTTTTAAGAGTCAGTAAAAAAGCTAAAGAGATTTTGTGTCTATCTATGTGTCCACATGAGAGCAAACATATGATGTGCTTGTTAAGAAAGGACCTAGCCATCTCATTAGGGAGCCCCAAATGACATTATCGATAGGTCTTTTCTGGGCCATTCAGTGGACCCGAGGATCCACTGATATCCTCTCCAAGCAGAGTGGGGAGGAGGAGGCTACAGTCCCAAGAGTCAGTATTCTGGGAGCTAAGCAGAGGAAAGGATTTGAAGTCTCGCCATTCAGTACATGGACTTTTGCCAAATCTCAACTATTTGTGGTTTTGCACTTCTTTCTCTCACCAACCAGTGAGCCTGGTTGGTGCCCTTAAATTTGTGATCTCTTTGGTTTAATTACTTCACAAAATTAACGTATTGCTGAGTTGGGGTAGTTGTCTGGTTTTCAGAACTGGTATAACACTTTATGTGGACTTTGAATCAATTCTCTAATTTACTCTAGACTCCTGCTTCACTCTTGCCTCTCAAAGTACTTGGTGTCTTATCATTTTGGTTGTCTGAAGCTTGTTCTCTAGCACATTGCTTGAGAAGGGGTATGGGAACAGTATTTCCTGAGCTCTTGCATGTTCTTAATAGTTTTCTGTGGCCTTCATTTTTGGAGTATGCTTTACTATCCTTAAAATATTAAATCCTTAAAAATCTTTCACTTGTACTTTCCTTGGGTATCTTAAATGTGTTATTTCACTGCTGTTGTTTTTAGCATACTGTTACTATGAAAAAATCTGATGATAATCTCATTTTCTTTCCCCTTTAAGTGACATATTTTTTGCCTGAATGCCCAATATTTTTCCTTTTATTTATAAACCTTTAGTTTACTAGAGTGTTTTCTTTTGGTTGGGTTGTCATATATCTTAACTTTCCTGTTTTTCATCTTATCTTCCCTCCTACTAACTTGTTTTTCTGTGATATCCATTTTACCCCTTCTACTATTAAAGTCATCTATTTAGTTATTTCAGCAGTTATGTTTTCATGTCAAGTATTCCCAATTTATTTTTCTTCCTAACTACCTTATCCTGCCTCATGTTACCAACATACTTCTTATCTCTTTAAGGATATTTTTTATGTTTATTTTAAATTCATGTTCTATCTGGCCTTAAAATTTTGCTTTATCTGGGCACAGGTTATTTCAGTTTGTCTTTCTTCTATATCAGTTATATTTTTTGTATATTTTTTCAGGTCTATTGACCTCTCTCTCTCATTTTGTGGTTTATCCAAGGTTTATGTTCTGGAGAGGCAGATCATTCAGTTTTCCAATTTCTGGAATTTCTTTGTGGGAGCTTGAGACAAGCAACTAAATCTTCTCATTCTACCATATGTAATACTTCAGTCATATTTATGTCAAATAGAATGGGAAAAAAAAGTCCACCTGAATTTTTCACTAAACGTTTTTCTTTCTCACTGGTTTATTGATTTCAGTCTCAGATTCTTCCACAAGTGGCCTCAACTTAATGCCTTACTGAGGCATATACTGCTTAGAGGAAGTGCTACTTCTTATTATAACAGACTTCAAAACATTGAATTTAAGAAGATGAAAAAGTGCTGTACGCTCTCCCTACCTTTCCTATTGGTGATTATTTGCATTCACACATAATTTATTTTATAAGTTTTTCTGTTTGTAAATTTGAAGAAATAATATCAAAAAAATCACAGCAAATGCATAGAGCAGATAAAATTCATTTTTTTTGGAACACACTATGCTTATAACTAGATTGAGTACCTTAGGTGGAAAGCCAGTTGAACCAGGACATCCTTTTTTCCTTAAGGTTGGTGTGTGAACTGAAAGTGGAGTGGAGTCTACAGTCTGAACCCAGGAGCAAAAAAGGAAATAAATGTCATGAAACACTCCATTAATTTCAAATATAACTAGAAAGAAGCCAAAATAAATAAAACAAAACATCAATAAGGCAAAAAGTTCTACTAATTAATAATAAAGAAAACCTCAATAAAGCTAAAATTCTCATAGTGTTGATAATTTAAATCTCTGCCTGCAATATCTACGAATGAAATATTTGTTCAATTAGTAAGTTACTTTAGTCTGGAAATATAAAAATAAATCATTTGGATCAAATGATTCAAATAAAAAAAGCCATAGCATGTGGCCTACATAAATATGAGGATATTAATTTTTACATTCATCTGAATTTGCCATATTCTAAAAAGTATCTCAAAATGATTTATAATAAAATATTTAGAAGATTCTTTTAACTACTCAACTTTCATACATAGAACATATATTACATATATAGAACACAGCTCTGGATGTGAATACATAGACAGAGACTGACACTGGGATTTTTGTGCAGAAATTAATTTCCAAAGAAGGGAATTATTTAATTTTATTGTAATTATTTAATATTATTGGAATTCTGACTTTAATACAAATTTAGTCACATACCATATCTTTCTTAGGTAGCTATGTAAAATATGGTCTTCTTTTATGGGGTTTTATTGTAATATTATTTCTTTGAATGCAAAGAACCAATCATTCCACTGGATGTTATTATGGGGAAAAAAGAGCCACTGCTTAATCAGCAAAGTAGTGAGAAAAAAAAAAAAAAAAAAGACATGGAAAGTAACTTCCTTTCAGGATGCCAAGCAAAAAAATAAAAGGAAAACGCTAGTCTTTGTATAAAGAACAGAATATTTTAAAATATTATAAGAAAAATGGATGGTCCTTTCTTTGCTGTTATTATACAACCTCATCTTTGTTGTTACTATACAACAATCTATCTTTGTTACCATACAACCTCCAAAAACAGAATATTTTATAAGCACTACAGCCTTAAAACAAAATTCAGTTGAGTTTCTCAGAGTTTTCTGTTTGTGAGTTTAGCTCTAATTTAGATTTTATTTACTTTTAAATAGCTTGAAAAAGTTTTAAACCAAACTTATAATTTAACATTTGAAAAGATACATATGAAAGATAAAAGAGAGGAACACTGAAAATCTATACAAAAGTTAATAAAAAACAATAGGAAACAAAGTCGTCAAATTTACATAGAAAGTCCAAAGGTTATTAGAATTAAAAAAAATTAAGCAAGGGTGCTGGATACAAGATCTAGAGTTTATAAAGACAAGGCAATGCACAGTAAGAAAATGTATTTAAAAAGAATCCCAGTCACCACAGCAACAAAAAATTTAAGGTACCTAGGAACAAATCTAACAAGCAATATGAAATACACTGAAAATAATGAAACTTTATTGAAGGATATAAGAGAATCCCTAATATGTATACCATGTTCATAGATGGAATACCCAGTATCATGAAAGATGTCAATTCTCCTCAAATAGATCTATACATTAATGCAATTCCAATCAAAAGCCCCATGTGAAATTTGACAAGCTGACCTTAAAAGTAATATGAAAAACTAAAAGGTCAAGAAGAAAAGGAAGAAGGTATGTGGGATGGCTCACCATACCAGGTATCAGGAATTATTTTAGAGTGAAAGTAATTGTAATTAAGACAATTTACTGCCAATGCAGGAAAAACCAAAAGAACAATGGAAAAGAATTGAGAGTATCCAAACAGATCCATGCATATAAAGCAGAAATAGCCATTACAAATCGATGGGGGGAAATATAGCAGGGTCACTTGTTCACATGGGAAAAAGACATTAGAAGCCCATTTCCCATTATACATAACAATATATATCAGTTTGATTAAGGTCCTAAACAAGTAAAAGCAAAATTTAAAAACTTTTAGAAGAAAATATAGAAGAAAATCTTTATAATCTCTGCATAGAGAACTGTTTTAAAAAGACATAAAAAGCAGAAGTCATAAAGAAAAAGACTGATAAATCTGACTATTTTAAAATCAAAACTTTTGCAAGACAAAAAGACACCACAAATAAAATTTTAAAATAAGCCACAGACTGGGAGAAAATATTTGCAATGCATATAGCTAGCAAAGAATTAGTATCTAGAGTATATAATGAACACAAAAAGCTATAAGAAAAATGATTCAATAGAACAACAAAGGACACAAACAGGCAAATCATCAATGGTCAATAAACATACAAAAAGATGCTGAATAACACTAGAAAACAGATGTAATACAAAAATGACACTTAATACCCATCAAGCTGGCAAAAGTTAATGTGTGACTGTGAGGTGAGGATGTGGGGAAATGGGGAACTCACACACACTGCTGGGGGAGTGAAAATTGGTCCAACCACTGTGGAAAACAATTTGGCAAGATCCAGTTAAACTTGAAAATGCATATAACATACAACTCAGTAATTCCACTAAGTATACATGCCAAACAAACTCTGTACATTTGCAAAAACAGATATTAGGATATTAATTTCAGCACTGATAATAATGAAAAATTGGAAACAACCTAAATATCCAACTGCAGGAGAATGGATAAGTAGTTGTGGTATATGCCACAGTTATAATGAATGAACTAAATGAACACATATCTGTAGGAATAAACCTGAAAAGCAGACTTCTGAATGAAAAAAATTACAGAAGGATACAGGTAATATTTATGTAAATTATAAACACATAATAAGCACTACTATGTATCATTTGTGGATACAAATGAAATGAACATCTAAAACCAAGAAAGGGAAGATGCACATCAGCTTCAGGATATTTAGATATGTCTGGGAAAGAAGAGTGGGGAACGGTATACACGAGGATGTTTCAACTGTTTCTGAAATATTTTTGAATAAAAACCTGAAAAACAAGCAAAATTTTCGTATCTGTTTAATCTGTGGGTGATATTTACATGGGTGTTTATATTCTCTGAATGCTTGAAATATTTTATCATTAAAACAAAAATGTATAATCTCAAAATATTAAAACAATTATAACTAAAAACACAAGAGGGTCTCATTAACTTAAACAATTTGGGGGAGTCTGTCACAGAGTTGGAAAAATCAAGTCAGAACCTGACTACAACCTCACACTTCACTTCAGACAACTCTTCAGATTGGACTATCTGCTTCTATTGGAATGCTAGACACAGCTCTGGAGATTTAAGAAAAGGAAAGCAAAGGAGCTTTGTCTGAATCCTGATGCTGAATGAAGAACCAGAGCTGATCTTAAGGTAGGATGGTATGGACTGAGGTACAGCATTCTTTTGACTTGTGGAAGAAATGATCTCTGTTAAGAAAATTGGCCTATTGGCTATTTAAAACCATTGATTGACATGAAGTGTAAACACAACACAGTTTTTTTTGCACTATTAAATGTCAGGATTTAGTTGACTGTTACCAATTTAGCAGTTAGAATGAACTATTCAGTTGCCAGAAGTGGCTATTTTATTTTTCAGCTCTATTTATGATGTAACAGGTTAGTTATATCATGACCTATTACATTTATTAGAAGAATTAAAATATGAGAATGGCACCTGCACTGCCATTTGCCTAGAGTTTCTAATAATTCAAAAATTTACATAATTAATCTTCTGTTCTACATGGTTCTCTAATTAAAATAAAGACTATCTTTCTAGTTAGTTTTGTCTATTTCAGATTGACTATTTGAGGACAATGTGCTCTTTAGTTTTTTACTTCTACCTACATTATCAGTTAAATGTAATGATCTCCAATAGACTGTAACTTATTACATATTTGGTTAAGAGGAGAGAGACAGACTTGTTTTATTCAATTCCCTCTTTTCTGACACAAGTGAAAAGTTGGGGAGCAGGGATGCTCCAATAAGGCACCTTAACTGGCTCAGCTTCACTAGATGTGGAAGGAGATGTGGACCGTGACTGGATGTGAAACTTGACGCTCGGGTTCCATACATATGTGTTCTCAACGGGATCAGTCTAGGAAAATAAGTCGGGAAAAATAAAAACCCAAAAAATCACTTTTCAACAATGTGCAGGCTTAGCAAATTTCTGTAAGGCATGATTATGACAACATTTCTTGAGAAAGGAGGATAACAAACTTTAGTTTGAATATTCACGTTAGGGATACATCATTATACAAAAGCATAACCACTACCTTTAATGTAAACAAGGATTGACAGAATAGTTAACCAAAGGCTCCTCCCTGATCTTCACTGTTGATCTGTTACTTTGAGCCCTGGTCCTACTGCACATTCTATGTTGGTATTCCACATGGAACTTTTTATTTCACAAAAGGAATCATACATGTGAAATAAATGCCGGGTACTTAATAGAGATACATACGGCAGATTAAAGATAACTTTGTCCTTGATAAGAATGAAGTTTGGTCTTTTACTACTCATTAACTGAAAGTAAAAAAAACCTAACCTATCAGTTTTGTGCAGGACACTAAAGTAAGTCTTCCCTTTATTTTGCATCAGTAGAAAAACCAGCACTTATATTCAGTCGCATCCTTTTACACCAAGTATTTTTAGAAATTAAAAATGCTTTGGGTTAAAATTTAGCATAAAAGATCTTATGAACCATACTGATTGAACCATACTAGTCTGTATGGCAAGTTTCAGAGTTACTAGGATTGAGTTTTTAAAATGAAAGGACAATGAAGGTAATTTGGAAAAGTGGTTCAGGAACTTACTTTGAATATGTTGTACAGCAAAACAATGTTTAGATCAGAAATCACAAATCATAAAAACACCATCAGTTTAAGAATTTAAACATGAACTTATAATTATTTTCCTTTGTTCTTACTATGGCTATATTTTAGAGGGAAGACATGATGATAACGTATCCCTTAGAAATGCCACTGCTGAAAGAGTCAGGTGCAGTTGAGACTGCTGGCAAAGTAGAACTATTAAAACAATGAATTAAAATACAATGCCCTTGTACTCAAAACTAAGTGAAAAGCAAAATTTCACTTTGAATGAATGATAAATAATTGAGAGTAGAAACACTTGGAAAAGAAGGTTCCCCTAGAAATTAACTTCATAGATTTGTTTTTAGCTCAACAGAACTCTGGGCATGTGGCTTCAATCTCTAAGGGCACAAATTGTTTTCTCAAGTTGGGGATATTTTCCTATTGATAATTAATGTAGAATACTATCAGCAATGTATGATATGTTGCATATGTTAAAAACAGTCAACTTCTGTTCAATGTGGAGAATTTAAAACATCTGGCAAGTGTATGGGAAGAATAGGCTAGCAGGCTGGGAAACACTATCGTGCCCTCCATTGGTGCCCACCTACGGCCTTCCTGGGTGGTGGGCATGGAAAGGTATTCTGGTAACCACAAAGCCACCACCAGGCCATAAACTTTCAGCTACTGGATTTGGGAGGAGTAGGGAGAAGAAGGGTGAAGGCATTAGGGGTCTTGGAGCAGCAACCACTTACCAACTG
This sequence comes from Homo sapiens, assembly GCF_000001405.40. Lineage (NCBI taxonomy): Eukaryota > Metazoa > Chordata > Mammalia > Primates > Hominidae > Homo > Homo sapiens. Next base: position 227,053,462 of record NC_000001.11, read on the forward strand.
CTAGGATACTCAATATTTAAAAAACTGGGCCACTGAACTAAAGCTTACCAGCTGAATATCAGCTCTGTACATGTGATGTGGCTGATTTCATGAAACTAGTATGCCTTGTGAAGTTGGAGAGCCAGGCCTGTATCCCAACTCAAGTCCAAATTCAGCACTATTTTTGTCCTACCAGAGGCATCTCCACAGCAGAGTAATTTACTCAAAGTAATTTAATAATCAAGGAGGCTAAGTTATATTATTTCCTTTCCTGATAGTAAATTTTGACCAGGAAAAGAAAAAGTAGAAGAAAATGGGACTCAAGACACATTTTGGCCCAGTTTACAATTTTATTCAGGGACAGCCATGGAGAAAGTAATCAGTTTAGATTATAAATATGAAATATGACTCTGAGTTGGGAATATGGCAGAAATGTCTTTTAGTTTCTAAAAATCTCCTCCTCCTAGTTTTCATAAGATTATACACATTGCAAGAATTAGGTGTCCATGGAGAGGGGCTTTAGTTAAAATGGAACTGAGAAGCAAAGCAGAATTGATACATTTTATACCAGTAAGAACTTAAAACTGACTGAAATGTCATCTCAAGAAGTTTTAAGGTATCTAAGTAGGGGACTTTCTATGTGTAAGAAACTGAGCCATCTTAAGAAAATTGTAAAGTTTCTGACCTGTTGCAAAAGGCTTTATTTAGCCCCACAGCTTGACAGAAAGACACAAAATGCGAAGTTCCTGTGTGAAAGGTAATGCTGTGTATATGTGAATAGCTGATATAACGGCTTTGTATTATCTGGGTTTGATTATTTCAAAAACTCTTTAAAAATGGGAAAGGCCAAGTATTTGCTGTTTGCAATAGCACTGGTTGAAATTTTACAGCAGGTCTGCTCTTTGAGCTGTTTAAACACATGCTGACAGAAGTTGGGCATACTGTCTTCTACTTTCTCGCATTAAAATTAGAAAATACTGCCTTAAGCCATTTTGTCAGTATATGGACTAATGGAAGGTTATATCATGAAATCAGTGAACCTAAAAAGCAGGGCTTTCTCTAGTCCCAGAGCTGGTTGTTAAAACATTTACCAGCATGTTTGCTGATCCTATGAAAATGTGGTATTATGACAGTGGGATATTGGAGAAAGGAAAAATACACTATCAATTTAATTTGCAACTACACAAATTAGTAACTCTTTTCTTGAGGCTTTTAACACACACCTCTTGGCTCCTCTGTCAAGTCTTATTCTCCTAACTAGTTTTTCTCCAACAATAAAAATGAAAGAGAATATGGATATGGACAAATTTAAAAGTGATTTTCTTTGCTGAATGAGGTAAAAGGTGGTTATTCAGAAATAGAAAATATTTAATTTAAATGAAAATATTTAATTGTAATAAAGTAGAATAATGAAATTTACCATACTAGCTTTTTAGAACTATATACTCTTAAATAAAAATCAATTTCAGAGTTTAAACAAAATCAAGTAATTTTTCCTATAAAAAATATTAAAAATAAGTGAAAATACTGAAATATTTTGAGATGGTATTAGGCATATTAAAAAGTTGAACTATGCCATTTATAGTGATAGTCATATCTTTAATTTTAAAAACCTATGAATATAATAATTAAAATTTAAAAATTACCACTTTACTTTCAAAGTGTGTTTCTTTTAAAGACAAAGGACAAAGCTTGGTAAAGGTGAATAAACTCAGGGCAAAAACCATTTCAAATATAAAAAAAAATGTCCAGGCCTTTTAAATGAAACTAATGCTAATAACATTAATAGATTTAAGTATTTCATTTCTCGGTTACCGCCAGTGTAAACAATATCTCAAAAGTGTTACACCACAAATCACTTATTTTCTTTATTCAAGTTTTAATTATCGCCAACCAGACTGGAATTTTCAGGAAGTTACTAATTTTAACCACAATTAAATGCCTACCAATGCATTTATAATTAATGGCTTATTCTATCCACTAAAAAGCAATTAATTCTATTAAACTTTCAGAATATTCAATGAATACATGCTGGCATTTAAAGACAGCCTATGATTCAGTTTAATTATGAATTGGCAATGACTCTGATATAGTATAGCAGCAAAGCAACTGATTAATACCATTAGTTATTTTATTACAAAGTATTTTAAAACCTTAAAAACAAACATAATCATTATTAATATTTTAGCCATGGAAGTTAAAATATTCTTTTTGTCATTTTTTATGTGCTAAAATACTATAGCATTAAGTATAATAATGCAGCAAAAGCTAATAAACATACATAAGTAGCAGAGATATTATAAATTCAATATAAGAAATATCTTTAAGTAAATGCAATTTTTTTTTGTTAGCTAATTTTCTTTTCCTAAGTAAACATACTTTAAGGTGTTACTCTGACGAACAGTCATTAGAAACATCTACTATATTTCAGTATCATTTTACTTAATGCTCTGTTAAAAAAAAAAAGAGGAAAAGCTGAATATTAGTGGTACTGTCCATACTGCAAAACATTTTAATGCAAAATGTTCATAATGGTCCCTGAAGCTGTTAGGATTTTTCTACTAAAAGATCCTCAAATGTATTTTTACAGTAGTACATTTAAAAAGGTCCCCCCGCCGCCCAGGATCACAGAACTGGTTTTTAGATGACCCACTTATCAAGAATTCCTCAAATTATGGACAGCATGGTTTTCCTATAAATAATAAAAATAACTAAAACCACTCATCTTGAATATGTATCAACAGGCCTTTTCTACTGCCTAAATAATTACAGATTTGCACAAGTAACAACCCCTCTCATAAGAAACCTTGCTTCAAAGTAAAAAACACCAAGATGTGATATGGATTATATATGGTCAACCTACTAAAAACTAGCTTGCATCTAACAAGTTGTTTGTTATTGGTAAACATAAACTGTAAGTTAAAAAGTCCCAGTTTCTTTTCTTTTCTTTTCTTTTTTTTTTTTGAGACAAGGTCTTTCTCTCTTGCCCTGGGATGTAGGGCAGTGGCACAATCACGGGTCACTACAGCCTTGAATTCTTGAGCCGAACTGATCCTCCTACCTCAGCCTCTAGAGTAGCTGTGAACACAGGCATGTGCCACTATGCCTGGCTAATTTTTAAAAAATTTTTTTGTAGAGGCAGGGTCTCCCTATGTTGCCCAGGATGGTCTCAAACCCTGGGCTCAAGCGATTCTCCCGCCTTGGCCTCCCAAAGTGCTGGGATTACAGGCGTGAGCTACCATGCCTGGCCAAAATCCAGTTTCTATCAATTTTCTTTATCCTCTAGCTAGAAGTATTTTGAAAACAAAGTAGAAGGTAATTTAATATTTTGTATTGAGAACAAGTATAAACTCAAATCTTTTAGTGATATATTTATTTCTGTTAATTGAACTTATGATACAAAAACAGTATTACAGAAGTACTATATCATTTGGAAAACAGTAAATACATTTTATTGCGCTAGAACAAATCCTAACAAATGACTAAAGGTTGTGACCAGTAAGGGTAAGCTTACTAGTTATACATAATGCACCTTGTTTCCCTTTAAGAAAATTTATTCTCAAGTTATTTTCAATATACTGATTGGAATATCTAGTCTGGAGAATTTACACATATTCTAAGAAAACATAAGAGAAAGTTAAGCCATACGTGGGCTATAAAATCTCTGCTCCAAACTCTAAATGAACAATCTGAAATAATACATTCAGTGTTTCTCACTATTAATGAAAGCACTGTGGAAATCTCTCTCATCATTTGTATTTGGACATTAACAATACTATCAATAAAAACTTTTTCTTCTACTATACTTAATACTATTTATAAAGAAAATCATTCAAACTGTAAATGAGGTTTAATAGCATACTAGAAACAAGAATGCAAGAAACATTATTTTGTAATACTACCTCATTCATATGACATTTCATAGTTAATTTTAAATTTATTAAAATACTGCATATTTTCTTGTCTAAAAACATGGTATATAACATAAAATCTTATGCTACTGTTACAACAGAGGCCATTGTTAAGAATGGTAACTGCATGTGTCCTACTGAAATACACTGATGTCCCAGGGAACACTGAGGTTCTACACTATACCACTGAGATGCTTCTATTTAACAGCTGAGTAATTTGTAATTCTTCAAGCATCTTCACAGGCACTATTACTTTTCAGTGGCTGACTTTTTTTGTGAGATACTTAACCAAAGAAAAATTGAAGGAGGCCAGGAAAGCAGATAACCAAGCCTATTATATCTACGTTTAAAATAATCATATGTAATAATAAGTCAATAGATTATGGTTAATTATAGTTTATTCATATCTCATAGAATAAAGACATAGAATTAAGGAGAGACCTTATAACAGCTATTTCCCTCCAAAATTTTTTTCTTATTTCAAGATTCACAAAAAATGTTCTAGGTGTCCAAGGCCCCAGAAAGTCTGCAAGGCAAGTGAGACATAATTAATCCATAATAAAATGAGAGAAACAAATCCTAAATTATAACCTTATTGAAAAAACAGCAAGTAGTTAAAAATTTAGTCAATTCACGGGCTGGTGATTTGACCCTAATATAACTGGGCACACAACATATTGGTTTTCCCTTCTAGAGGTTATGTAATGTAATCAACATATATTCAGATTCATTTGATAAATCCAAATATCTAATGGTTTTAAGTCTCTACAAGTTTCAAAATAATCAAGCAATCAGTTGAACTAGTAATCTTTCATAAACACAATAATTAATGAGATATCACTTGAATGCAGTTCTACTGGCCATAGTACAGGTATCTGAAATGCTTATTCATTATTAAGCTGTAATCCGAAAATATTATATATGCTATATTAGAGTTATTCATGTTTATTTTACAACCAACCCTCCAACATACCAGAAAGACAGGACCACAGGAAGCAGCAGGCCACCCCTACTGCTTCCCATGCCTACCACAAACCACAGAATTCCCTCATCTAGAACTTTCCGAGTCTAAGAATTCGGAATGTAAAGTGTTGATCAGTCTCCACGGAGATGACTGGTGAACATTACGAATTTGTATCCATCACTGACTTTCCTTTTGAATGTTACTATTTTACATAGTATATGAAAATCCCAACACTGTCAGCTACCCTGTCGCTTTTCAAATAGGGAGTATGTATGTGTGTTTATGACTAGTGTTGGGATGTGGCTGGTTTAGAAAAATTCCATCTCTGGGCATGTCAGAATCTTGTAGCACAGAGGTAGTGGCTGACTCATTTCAAGTTGAGAAACACAGAGCTAGGATTAGTATAGGAAGATATTTACAGTTTGTTAATAATACATATATAAATAATGTTACTGATATTTTTTAAATCTTGGAATTATCTTAGAATAGAAAGGCTTTATTATTAACATTATTTCCTCAGATCTAGATAATTAGTTTGGGAGATTCCTCTGAACTACATTAAAAAAAAAAAAACAAGATTTCTCTAGAACTGATTTACATAAATTATAGTCAATAAGATGTATAATTTGTTCCAAATCATTTTTGAATGTTGTACAACATGAATGATCAAGTTTTCTTTCTACATAATTAAAATCTCTAAGAAACAATCTACATACTTGCTTACAAAAGATTCTTAGGAGCTCATGTACTTTGACTACTTAGAAGGCATACTTTAGGATCACTTTTCCCCTTGATCAAACTAAAAAAGATATCATTTTAGTAGTTTGGTTATAGTGATTTATATGAACATTCCTAAAGCTTTGCGGCCAAAGCCAAAAAAAAAACATAAACAAAAACATAAAAGCAGCACAGCAACAGCAGGAGCAGCAGCACAAAGCATGCAATAGATGTAATAATATACCACAAAAACATTAACAGGTTCCGCAATCACAGGCAAAAGGATGAGAGAGGGGTAAAAGGCCTCAGGATGGGTACATAAAGTGCAAAAGTCTCTTACACGTCTGCCTTTGCTAGCTGGAGTACAGGATGGAGAGCGCTTCAACAGAGAAAGGAGAATAGGACATGTTACAAATATTTACACACATAAGACTCTCAAGGACTACTATTGTATTAACAGACAAAGTATATAAACATACATATAAAGCCACAGTTTTGGATAGGTTGAATGTACATGTATTTTTAGGAAAAACTGGAGGATAGGATGGTAAAGAAACAGTTGTTTGGACTACGTCTAAGGTTGACAAACTTTTCACTGGCCCATGTACAGTGACCCACAAAATAAGCCTTCATCAAGTGATAGACAATTTCTTTTCTGGAAAGGTTGGCAGTAGCAGACTGGAACAAATGAGAACAAAAAGGATCTAGATATTTCTGATTTAGTGCTGGCAAACATTCAATAAAATAATGAACTAGCCTGGCGTTAGACATTTACCTAGTAAATTTTTACTCTTTTCAAAAATGATTCTTTTAAATGACAAGGGCTAAGTTAGGATTTCAGAATTAATGATAATAAATTAAAATTAAAAGTTATTTGAACAATACTCCATCCTGACTCAACTTCAGCCATAGTCAAAAGAGGGACTTTCACCTTTCTAACATTAAAGAATTAAGTAATTAGGAAAAAAGGAACAATTATCTCAAAAAGTTTTTTTTTGTTTTTTTTTTTTTTTTTTGAGACGGGAGTCTCGCTCTGTCGCCCAGGCTGGAGTGCAGTGGCGCAATCTTGGCTCACTGCAAGCTCCACCTCCTGGGTTCATGCCATTCTCCTACCTCAGCCTCCTGAGTAGCTGGGATTACAGGTGCCCACCACCACGCCCGGCTAATTTTTTGTATTTTTAATAGAGACGGGGTTTCACCATGTTAGCCAGGATGGTCTCGATCTCCTGACCTCGTGATCCACCCACCTTGGCCTCCCAATCAAAATATTTTTGTGATGCTCCAGCAGTAGAGCTTCACTAATATGAACCATATCTACTTCGGCAATTTCTAACATTCAGTGCAACCTAACATTTGTTGTGAGCTCACAATACGTTGGATACTAAGCCGACTTTGCAAGGGATTGAAAGATAAACAAGACATGGAAGTTCACAGACTGGTAGAGAAGACATCATGCCAGCAACAATGTGACAAATGCTATCACTGAGATATGTACAAGGTTTGTATGGGAACCTAGAGGAGGGACAGAGAAGATTTTCTTGGGGACCTAGAGGAGGGAACTTATAGACTAGGTCTACAGGAGTTATAGAAGATTTAAGAAAAAAGGAAAAGTTCAAGAATGAGAAACACTACCAAAAATTCAGTATTAGTGTTACAATAACTCTGGCAGGTAAGTAAATAGGTACTTTTTTTTTTTTTTTTTTTTTTTTGAGACAGAGTCTTGCTCTGTCACCCAGGTGGATGCAGTGGTGCGATCTCGGCTCACTGCAACCTCTACCTCCCAGGTTCAAGTGATTCTCCTCCCTCAGACTCCCGAGTAGCTGTGATTACAAGTGCGCGCCACCATGCCCGGCTAATTTTTGTATTTTTAGTAGAGATGGGGTTTCACCATGTTGGCCAGGCTGGTCTCGAACTCCTGACCTAAGTGATCCGCCTGCCTCGGCCTCCCAAAGTGCTGGGATTACAGGTGTGAACCACCGCGCCTGGCCAGAAATATTCTTTCTTTCCATAGGAAATGGAATGGAAGATAACTTGAACACTGTGTCCTGCAGAGTTAATAGTAAACCAGGATTAGAAGGCCCGGAGAGTTCTAAAGAAGTTTTTCCATTATGGAGGCTAAAGTCTCAGGTTCAAACCTAGTTACTTTTCCTCAGTTATTAATGGGAAGAACCTCTCTCATTCCTTCTTGCCCCCAAAACCAAACAACCAAACAATAAACAAATCAACTCCAACTCTTCCTCTAGCTATCATCTATCTCCCTTCTTCCTTAATAATCATAATAACATTTATTATGTGCAGAGTATATGCAGATCGTTTTCCAAAGTGCTTTACATATATGAATTATTTTAATTCTCACAGAAACCCTATAAGGTAGGAATTATGATCCTCATTTTAAAGATGTAGAAGATGGATCAACTTGCCTAAGGTTATAAAACTATTAAGTGGTAGAGCCAGGATTCAAAACTTCCTCAGCCAGATTTCTGAAAAATGGTATACAAATGCCGTCTGTATTTTCTAAACTCCCAATTAACTTCTAATACAGTGCAATTCAGATTCTGCTTTGATCTGATACTCAGGTCAGTATTTCTGGTTTGTCCTATCTGACCAACCACCTCTGCCATACCATCACACTGACCATTCCCCTCCTTAAAATTATCTGCTCTTCTAGTTTTTCTGACAGGTACTTTCCTAAGTAACCACATACTTCTCAACGATTGCTTTCTTAGCTTTTGTGGAGTCCTATTCCTTCACCCTTTCTTCAATGGAGATTCCAGGTTTCTGTCCTTGGCTCACTGCTACAATCTGCCCCTTGGGGAATCTCATCCACTTTCAACTCTGATTATTTCCAAATCTCTGTTGCCAGTCCACTCCTCTTCCTTAAACTCCTGACGCATATATTAAATATCTGACTGTCTGCTGGACATCTCCAACTGGATGTCCCTTAGGAATCTCAAACTTAACTTGTCCAAAATGAAGCTGTCACCTTTCTCTTCTGTTAAATCTTTTAATAATTATTACATATGGGACTGATTAAACCTAAGCTCTGTAATATGAAGTATAAAGTTGAGAAACATAGACCCTTATTCTGGCCTTTGCCCATGTCTTCATACTCATTTCTCAATCCCTTCCTCACCCTTTTTGTTTGCCAAGCAAGGGACAATTCTAACTAAATTGAAATCTCCCTCTGTCCACAATCCCGTAACTCCCTGCTCCCTCCCCCCGCAAGTTCGCTCTGCCTGTCTAGAATATACTCCTCTTATGTAGTTGTTTTATGATTTTGCTGAACATACTCATCTGTGAAGACCCAGCTCAGGCATTATTTCCTTTAATAAGCTTTTCTGGATCCTCCTGGTTCAATCAGAAATCTCTCTTCTTTGTATTCCCATGATATACGATCTTTATCTTTTATTACTATATTTCCCACATGGTGTTATAGTTATCTGGTTATATATTTGTCTTTCCAATTAGACTGTCAGGGCAGGAAATATTGTATTATGCTTAAGGGCAGGAAATATTACGCTTAAGGGCAGGAAGTATTGTATTTTGCTTAGCATAAGACTTCAAACTTAAATATTCTCAATAAATATTGAATGAATCCTTCTGAATGTCCATAGTACTTAGCCTAGGTATTTCTCATGGCATTTATTGCTTTCCACATTGCATAGTGTGTAACTATATAATTATTTTTCTAATTATAAAATAAGTACTTTGAGGTCCATTTCCACATCTGCTTTGTCTTTGTATCCATTATGCCCAGTATATTACCACCCATGTAAAAAGTGCTAAAATGTTTAACATAAAAAAAAAAAAAACTTTTTTGGCTATCTCTACTTCTAGACTAGAGTCTGGAGTATGCTAAAACCATGGAAAAGAGCATGAATATCTCAAAATAAATATATTATCACTATACTAAAAACAAGTTAAAATGTCTCCCGAAACTATCTTTGAAAATGAAGGACAATACATTTTCTAAGCCAATACCATTTAAAGCTAATAATGATACTATCACCACAGCAATGATTTCTTACCAAAGTGTTTACTTAGAAATTGTCTAATTTTTATGTTTTCAATATTGTTACGTTTTCAACTATTTTTATGTTTTCAACAGAAAAGGTGAGTTAGAGGAAAACACACCCACACACTTTCTCTCTCATATATACCTACACACACTGTGGTTTTTATAAACACTGAAATTGAATTCATGGCAAACACTATAAACCAGCACCTTGTCTTAATGTGCAACCAAATACCACTTTAAAACATGTATTTCATATATAGGTCCATGACATGCCAACAAAACTTTAAGACTGAATATGAAGGTATGCACACAAGCAGAAACCAAAAGAAATAATCTCAGGAGTACATAATTTGGCTAATAGTTTTTAAGGTTCAATTAATCCTAGAGGTCTTATTTAATAAAATACCAAAGAAGAAATGGACTATGTAATCATGGTTCTTTCTCTTTAGATTGTCTAAATATATTATTATATTATATATGCGATAAAATACGTAATATATACAATTATATTCAACATAATATATTGCCTAAGTTGAGGAAAAAATGCATGTAACTTTCTGAAATATGCAATCTTCAGGTAGGGTTGTGGTGAATATGTGGATAGAAATTGTAAAAACAAGAATTGAATGAGCAAATTTCAGGAATGCCAAAGAAGCTAGGTCTGATTTTGGTCATAGGACTAAAAATCTTTAAAATGTATGTTTTAAAACTCTATTTCCTACCAATTCTCACATACAATTGACCATTCCCCCAAGTATCGCTGAAACTATGCTGCCAAGCCTCAGATTTCTGTAAAAGCCTCGGATTTCTGTAACTGATTGTAACAGAATGTAAAAGAAGCTGGGAGATAAAACCATGTGAAATCAAGAGATAAATTAAAGAAGTTAGAAGCCATGACTGAAATTAAATATTTTGAAGCATCTTAGTAAGATGTTATACAAGGTTAAAATCAAGTCCAGAACTCAGCCTGCCAATGTTGTCAGACTACTTGCTTTTCTTATATGCCAGAATATAAGAATGGAAAACAATATTAGGGGGACCAGACTGTTGGGCTATAGATACTATCTCTGTTTCTCTGTGTCTGACCTTTATATTCCCGAGCTTAATCCTTGATTTACTCTTTCATCAGTATATCAGAGTAAGAAAACTCTGAAAAACCAAGTTGAGTACATTCTCATTTTCCAGGCAAATGGGCAATTTCTATTTTTGTGAACTGGGACTAAATGAACAAAGTGTAGAATTGTAATTTAATCAAATTCAAAACTTACTTAGCACATATTTAATATATGACAATACGTTTCTCAAATATAAAGAGCAAGCAGCTAATTTATATGATTGTAATTAGTATTATCTATAATACTCTCAAGCCAAGCTTTTTCAGGTTCGGCTGAAAAGAAAATGAACTGAAGAGAGTATAGGAAGTTGCTACAAGCTTGGTGTGATGATCCCTGGATCTGTTACTATTGGGATGAAGGGAATAGATGGGGGAAAGAAATGGGAAAATCTAAGCAGCTGAGCTCCATTTGCTCCTCACCCTGTTTATTACCTAGAGAAAGAGGCTGGGGCTAACATGGACTAGACAGTCCAAGACTGGGCATGCACGGTTGAAGGAAAAGATGAGGGTAGAAGTGGGAATAATTTCTACAGCAGAAGGGATCTTGGTATCTCTGTTCTACTGCTTTCTTAATAGGTTGAATGGAAATGCCTTTCTCAAGAGACCACTTATCAAAGTAGTTTCAATTTCTTTTAAAATTAACTCAAACCCAGTCAGGCATGGTGGCTCATGCCTGTAATCCCAGCACTTTGGGAGGCCGAGGTGGGCAGATCACGAAGTCAGGAGATCAAGACCATCCTGGCTAACACGGTGAAACCCCATCTCTACTAAAAATACAAAAAATTAGCCGGGCGTGGTGGTGGGCACCTGTGGTCCCAGCTACTCGGGAGGCTGAGGCAGGAGAATGGCGTGAACCCGGGAGGCGGAGCTTGCAGTGAGCTGAGATCGCGCCACTGCACTCCAGCCTGTGTGAGAGAGCGAGACTCCATCTCAAAATAAATAAATAAATAAATAAATAAATTAACTCAAACCCTTCTTTATCTGTCCTAAAGAATATTTTACATAACAATGTATCACCACACTGTCCTAATCCCCAAAGATTGAGAACTTTAAAAAAGTCACTCTTAAAAATGGGAGAGTAACCTATCCACTCTTAATAACAGAAGAGTGCTGTAATGGTTAAAACAACTGGATTAAATACTTTCTAAGGTTTTCTCCTTCAAAACTCTATGATTCTACATGTAGAAAAGCCCAAATGCCTACATTCCCCCAAGTTAGAGAAGCAGAGAGTGTTGAGAATATGCTCTGCTCTGCCTGGTTGCCTCCTTTCATTTTCCCAGAGGGAAGGGAATGACTGGTATTACATATATTTCTTCTCTTCAAAGCTACTCTTACACATACAAGTATTGGCCAAACAATGTGACTTAAAAAGGAAAGCATGTTGCTCCGAACATCTTCCCATTGTGCCAAAAATTCCAGCATTCATTTGAATTTTGAGTTAACAGGCAAAACATGTGGAGGAAAAAATAGGGATGGGAACATTTTAACTTAAAACCGTACTGTTTTAAATAAAGTAACTACACTTAGAGGCCTGTGTGGAAGGGTAAAAGTAGGAGTAAAGAAGGTAACTTTGGAGGAGGAGAGGCACTGGTGGTAAAGCTCCAACAAATCAGAGGGCAGCATGAGAACACTGGGTTCCCAGAGACAGAGGGAGAAGAATGATAATATGTTGATACCAAAGGACTTGATTCCTGCAATTCTAGTCAATACTAGTCTTATTCCCTTCTATACGTACAAGTTCCAGCTGCAATTCAAACTTTAGGTCTTCAACATAATCTCCTCTATAGCAACGAGACAGAAAACAAAAAAGAATGTCCAGAAGGATGTGTACTACTCATTAGAGCCTTACCGCAAAGGGCAGGCATATAAGCATCAAGCACAATATAACTAGATTTGGCACAGAGAACAACAGAGACCTGATTTGCTCCTTAAGAATCCAAGTGCAGCCGGGCGTGGTGGCTCACGCCTGTAATCCCAGCACTTTGAGAGGTTGAGACGGGCGGATCATGAGGTCAGGAGTTCAAGAGCAGCCTGGCCAACATGGTGAAAGCCCGTCTCTACTAAAAATACAAAAATTAGCTAGGCACGGGGGGCATGCACCTGTAGTCCCAGCTACTTGGGAGGCTGAGGCAGGAGAATCGCTTGAACCTGGGACGCAGAGGTTGCAGTGAGCTGAGATCGTGTCACCGCACTCCAGCCTGGTGACAGGGTGAAACTCTGTCTCAAAAAAAAAAACAAAAACAAAAACAAAAAAAGAATCCAAGTTCCTAGCAGAAAAAGAGCTACAGAAGAACTTGAGCGTTATGCGAAATATCTTGGATGCTGAACTCAAGTATGTCAAAGATTGAATACTGCTGTTCAAAACATCATTCTGCTATGACTTTGAGGATCAAATGAATGAATGATAACTCTGGGAAGGGAGATCATAGGTACAAACTCTAAAGAGAAACACAAAGTTTGTGCCATAAAATATTGGTGGTGGATAGATGACTGAGTGATGAAGAGCTAAGAAAGCATTTAAGTGAAACTGAACTGATGGATGAGAAAAGAAGCTAAAGAGAATACAGAAAGGGAGGGAACCAGCTTATTAAAAGTAATAAGGGCATTATTACTGACGGCATTACATACACTGTTTCCTTAAATCTTCAAACAACATTATGAGATTAGTTATATTATTATTACTATTTGCCTGATGAGCAAATTTAGGGTGTAGAAAGGTTAATTTCTTCCAAACCATACACCTAGAAAGTTGTACAGGCAGGATTTGTGCCTGCTTATGCACTTAACCAATAAATTGGGAGAATGGAGCTTAGAAAGCACATGAGTGGGAAATCATGCCTTTTAGGAGGTGGAATATAAATAAAAGATTTGGCAGCTCTTGTGAACTCAGTTCCTTTTTACTTCATACTAGGAGTTCCCTTGCAGTGCAATAAAATTTACTTTTATATTTATACTGAGCTCATGTTGCATTAATAGAGGGTAGAAGATGAGAAAGGATATTCCTGGAGGAAAAGTAACACTGGGAAATGGCTGCGGGGTGCTCAGGCATTACAGGTGGGTGGCAGCAGTGGCAGAGTGCCTGTGAGAGCAGAAACAAGCTGAGGACCTGGCTGGGGTGTGCATTCCTGAAAGGTCTGCTGAGAAGACCTCATGTATTTGCCAAAATACATACTGCTCTTAGGTTTTACAATCAAATATATGTACATTTTTTTTTTGTGACAGGAAAAGGGATGGAGAGAAGTTTGTTAGAAATAAAAAGGTTTTCTAGTGGAAAGAACAACCAAAATAATTTACTCAAACTTCCTTCCCTTTCTTTTTTAAGGTGAATAATATCTGTATGGAAATATCATATTGAATATTTTAACATCCTGAGCAGCAGATTATAACATGCAATACCACTGTACACGAGGAGAGTTCTCTTTTTATCACACTATAGAGTTAACCAGAGTAATTATTTGTTTTGAGAATAGCAAAACACTTTGTTTAGAATGAAAATGTGCAAACTTCAGTATAAATATTCCAAGCATATTCAAAATCACTTTTTTGTTCAATAATTTTTAAACATCTAGATCAAGAAGTTCCTTTAGCAGAACATTATGCTAACTACTCTTCTGACTATAAGTATCCTAACAAAACAGAAAGAATAAAACATTAAAAAATCTCCCGATTTAAAAAACAATTCTATGCACAATATTTGCATTTGAATCCATTTTATTTCCCCATTTCTGTAAAGACTATTCAACAGGATAATAAATGCTTTAGGACAAGAATTACTGTGCATTTAATGTGGAATAGAGAGAATGTTATGCCAGGTAGTAAAGAGAATGAATGATACACATTTAACAGGAACTTCTAAATTATTAAATTGATAGAATTCAGGAGAGAAAGTGATAATGCAGTCAATTTATAGTGCATATAGTGAATATGTTAACTAAAATCACTTTGCACATTAGAAGAGAAATTCTGTCAGCATTAGAAATAAATCAATTAAACATTGATTTATTTTAAAATCAGTACTCTATTATTGTCATACAATAAAACCTACTGGAGAAATTAATTAAAAGTAATTTTTTTTTATTATACCACCAGAGGTTTATTTTTAACCAACATAGAAATTAAACAGTAAAGTGCTGAAAAGAAAAGGGAAAAGTAAAATAGAAATCGCCAGGAAAAATAAAAATAAGCAATTATTTATATATATATAAAAAATAATTAAATAAGCATTCTAGTTTTAGAATTCTTACAAAGACTGAAAATACTGGGATTCTACAACAGTCAAAGCATTTTTGAAAGTAAATTTTTACTTCATTATGTTTAATACTGATAAATCCTTCATTATATTTAAGATAAGAAAGAAGCATATTTTGGCTCACATAAATTTTCAAATGTGGTATTTCTAAAACTGACTGCATTACTAGGCAAATTCTTCAAATCAATTCACTGATCTTTTTTACTGAAGGATGCATTGGTTTGAAAATCAAAGACTTACGTCATCCAAAAAATCAATCAGTGAAGATGAGGAAGAAGAAAAGGAATCCTATTTAACGAATACAGCAATAAAAAAATAGAAAATATGGATGAAGCAATTTAATAAGAATAATAAATCAAAAACTTTGTAAAACAATTGAAAGGCAAATGACATTAATTCAAATAAATAAATGAGAAAAGCAGTCACTATCATTGTTCTTGAGAAACTTAAGAGATTCATTAATTACTTTTTAAAGAGTGATTATTTTTCCTTTTCCTAAAGGAACGAAACACAATTCACATACTGTGCCCAAAATGTAATAAAATGAAGCTCATGACAAATAATTAATAATCAAATTAAATGTAAGTACTTTTGAAGTAACAACTAAAAGTAAGCAATGGAATTCCTGAGGCTTCTAATTCTTCCCACTGGAATGTAAGTTCTAGTGGGAAGGACTTTGTCTATTTTGGTCACTACTATATCTCCAGCACTTACAACAGTGCCTTGCACAAAGCTACATGATTATTATTTGTTCAATAAAGATATAATCACACTTAAATTTACTGAGACAAAAATATACTTGATAACAGTAAGTTGATTTTTTTAAAGCAAAGAATTTAAATACCAACGAATGATCAAGAGTTACATAATCACAATTTCATTACTGTGTGATATGCCTAACAGAGTCTATGTAACACCTTTTAACAAAAGCACTTCTTACTGTATAGTTTTTAAAAGATGAATTGATTTGAAATAAGAACCAGCAATACCTTATTGTCAGCTTTGACATTTTCTCACTTTTTATTGTGGCACTATGCTTTGGAGAATAAAAAAATTGTCAAATTATTTCAAAAGTTGGGATTTGTTCTGCTCTTAATGTTTCTTAAGGGAGATGAAATTGCTTTTAAATCTTATAATGACTCTCATGATTAAATCTTTCTTAGATGTTTTGTTAAACAGAGGTGGGATTATAGTCTCCATAAGAATGCAGAACATATTCCTCTGCTAATATGTTTTTGTTTATTTAAGATTCTAGGTCCTCTGATGTGGGAAGCAATAAAATGGTTTTATTATAAGTGAACTTTAAATTACAAAGTGAATTTTAAATTGACCCCAGAGGATATGTGACATGTTTAATACTTACTTCAAATTGATCCAGAGCATCGGTAGGCGTATTCAAAAATGCCAAGAAAGAATGCTGTGAGTCTTGGTGCTCTATACCTAGAAGACAGCAGCAACTTTTTTTAAGGCTACAACAATTAAAATTGATTTTAATGGATAACCTTCCCTGTCTGAATCTACTAAAAGCAGTTCACAAACTACTGTATTTCAAAGTTGATCACTATAATTAACTCTACATTTAAACAAAACTAAAATACACTAGTGTTTCCTAGAATATCACTTAATAGTTCAATTACATCAGTTTCCATGAAATGCTTATTTATGTTACTGAGTTTCTTTCTTTTTGTGTATAGTAAATAATAAAAAACCACATTAAATCTTTTGGTAGGCTTGAGAGAATTTAAAAATAGGAGTCTGTTTATATCTGATTTTTCTAAGCTAATTCAACACCAAACAGGCTTATGTTTTGAAATACTCTTATCAAAGCACAGAGTATGCACTAATAAGAATAATCCTTTATAAGAAATTAATGCAGTGATGAAACAAATACACTTAATTACAAAAAAACTGCCAATCTGATTTCAGGTATTTTTTTATTGACAGGATGAAGACTCCAAACCCCAGTTTTTCTCAGATGAATTTTTAAAAATTCATACATATCTCTTGACTATGGCATTAACTTTAAATGCACAATTTCCCAAGTAATTCTTACAACATACAAATAAAAATACTAGGTAGAAAAAAACCAGAAAACAGCCAATCCCACATTTTTCACTTCCATATCCTTAGGAATTGACATCAGCTGATTTGTGTTTTTCATATTACTATCTAATAATATAACACAGTTATCAGGTAAGGCAGTATGTTCAGAAATTCATTCAAATATTGAGAGTGTGCCAGACACTGTCCTAGAGACTTGGGGAAATAATAGTAAATGAAGCATTAAAAACATCCTTGCCCTCATACTGTAAATATCACATTATATTACTGAAGTAGTAGTATACATTATGTTATACAATAAAATTTTGTTCTGCAATATTCAAAATCCAAATTAAAAAGCTGTGGTAAACATGCCTTCAGTGATAAACTTAAGTCTCTTTCAAGTTTAGGTCTATTCTAAAAATGATGCAATCAATGTCATCTGGCGTGCAAGTCATATTCTGCACTAGTCTCTCTCCTATTTGCCATTAGGGCCACGAGTTGTCCATGTCTTACGAATTCTTTTTCTTTTCCTCACTAAATAATGTATCTTCTTTCAAATTTCCATTAATTAAAACCTAGCTTGATTTTCATTTTGGCATGATGGCTTGTGCTCCTAATCTGAATTACTATTCACTTTTTCTGGGCTCCTTCCTTTTGTTGTTAATTAAGAAATTCAATCCACAAGAATTTATTGAGCATCGACTATTTGTAAAGGCTTTTTCTTGTTAGCTTCTTTATGTGATTACTCTCTGTTCTCTATCATTTTACATGCAGATGCAGAGACTCCACCAGTTTTATCTCACTGTGTTGCATGGCTGAGAAATGATAGGAAAGCACTTAGACCTAATAAAAAGCCCATTAACGAGTTCAGTATTCAGTGATGGCCTTTGTCAGGAAAATCAATTTCAAATAAATGTATATAAGATATCCCTTTATTTTAAAAATATCTGAATTTCTTTTTATTAAATCTTCACTTTCTTAACATCCACATTAAGGAAAGTTTAAGAAGTTCATGTAATACAGCTATGAAGCACTCTGACTAAGCTTTCACATGAATGGAAAAATGTTCAAGTAAAGTTTTCAAGAAAATGGTAATAAATCCGGGATATCCTACAGGACAAGCAATTTAAGTGTCAAACTGGAAGAAGACATTAAAATGCCCCCCAAAATTTTCCTTACTGAATTGCTCCATTAATACTAAATTAATCTTCAGCTATTTCATACATTGTTTCCTCAACTACCCTGAAAGTGAATCCCACCCCCCCCCCCCCAATTTTTATACATTCTAGGCACATAAAAAGTGCTAGGAAATACTTGTTCAAGTACCCTTACCAAGTTCTGGATGTTAACACACATTGCCACTGTCAGAGTGATAACCTCATATCATAGCATTTGAGAATATTATAAAGTACATTATAAAATAAAATTTTTTTCCAATCACAAAAATGTTATTCATGAAGTAGTCCACTGCACTGAAAAAAAACGTCAAATTTATGGCAAAGTGTCTTTTTCTGTTACTATGAAATCATTAAACAATGCATATTAAGTAAAACAAAATGACTCAGAGGTCAGTCTTCCAAATGTGTGTGTATGCACATGCATCATATATACACACGTATATTCATAAATGAGTGCCAGAATTGCTTATGTCAACAATTCTCCCACCTATGCAATGAATTGATTCTTCTGTAATAAAATATATTTATAACATAACAGTAAGTCCTGAGTGAGGCAAACACACACTCCCATACCCTTTTCAGATCTAAGCTCTTCAGTGTCCTTTATCAGCTGTTCGATTTCTGAGAGTAGTTCCAAGTTCTTCTTCTCTGAATCTTTTAGTTTACTTAAATAAGGAGAAAAAAGGAAAAATGTCATTAATTTTTATTGCTGGTTAGTGAGCCATCTTGGATGTAGCCAAACTTACTTGGTTTAAATGTCAGGCATGGTAAATTAGGGGACTATAAATTACTGCGGGAAGAACAAATACAGCTTGCTACCTACTTTCATGTAGATTAACAGTTTTACTAGAACACAGCCAATCTCATTCATTTAAGTATTGACTATGGCTGCTTTTACACTACAATAGCAGAGATGAGAAGCTGTGATGGAAGCTAATCAAAGCCTAAAATATTTACTAAATGAACCTTTACAGAAAACATTTGTGGACCCTGAACTAAATTATTAAATTTAAAAATGTTACAAAATCAAAGGTTAATTTTAGAATTCTGTTAGACTTTGTTAGATATTATACCATTACAGGCAACCATGAAAGTGGAGCACATACAGGAGTAAGTTTATAATTTTTCAAACTGGCTCATCTTCCTGACTTATGAACAATATGTAAACTCATCTGTCCTAGGCATAAGGAGAAAAGATATTACTTATTTCAAATTACAACACAGAGAATGATATTCATTAGCTCTTTATGCTGGGATCAATTCACTTTCTCCAGAAAAAGTTTTCCCCTCCTCAATGCCACATAAGCACATTTAAGTAAAACATACAATGTCTGCATTATTTATAGCAAAAAGCTTATAAACCAAAAGTTTATAATCCAACAGAAGTATCATGTATCTGGCCTTTGATTTGATTAAAAAGATAAACAATTGCAGTTTAAGGACTATGACTACACACCATTAAAAACTGAATTCATGGGCCTGCATTTCTTTTCAGGCTTTTGGAACTTTTGGTATTCTCAGCAGTCAATGGATTTTCGTATTTGTAGTTTCACTTGTGATGTGAAGTTTCTATTGTTCCTCTATGTCACTTAAACTGGCTTATTTTGAACCATGTTTATAATCAGTCTAACTGTGAATCATTTATGTATTCAGAGTATGATTCACTCTAGTGTTGTGACCAGAATTGACGAAATGTGTTCATTAGCTAACTGCTTCAGAGACTGTGGGATACACTTTTTCTAAATACATAAAGAAACATGAAAAACAATAATTATACTTAAAAGATATTATATCATTATGAAATTTGCCATCAATAGAATTTTCATTTATAAAAGACCTATGGTAGAGGCCACAATTTTCAAATGATTATATTTTGTTCTCACCATATGTTGTATTATTATACAAATATAATATTCCTAAACATGAGAGAATTTTAGGTTTAATAAAATTTGAGAGTCAACTAAATTTTATGAGGAAAATTAAATAATGGAATATTATTTAATACTATTAATTCTACTTTATGGACAAGCCAGAGGAAAACAAGGCTATATTAAAACCTCATCACTATCTACAAGGCTTAAAAGCATCTAGTTATTTTCAAATCTTTGTAACATATTTGGCCATCATTTTTCTAAAAGCAAGCAATGGAAACTAAACATGTAACTTCTCTCCAAATAATTATGACAAACTTAGAAATTATTCTAGTGGGACTATATGATTCAATCTTACCATTCTGTTATGATATTAGATGCTTTAACTTTATTCAACTCTTCTTGGATGGCCTGTTTGGCTCTTATTTCTGCATCCAGAGCCGACTGCAACTCCAGTCTAGCTGACATATCCAGTTTCGCAAAACGACGCATTTTCCAGGGCATATCCTATGAAATAATGACTGTGTTTTTAGTTCCATCCTATTTTTAACATTTAAATTATTATAGTTAACCAGCTGTGTGTTATGTTTTTCTAAACTGGAAAAGACCCAAACTAATAGTTTTCTCATAAAAAACTCTTTAGTAGGCTCAAAGTCTAAACAAACTGATATAAGTAATTGGATTTATTATAGTGTTTTTTAAATCTCTTTTTTCTAATATGATAAGCCTCCATGCAAAATCATAGAAGCTTACTGTTGCTCGTGTACCCAAGCTGGAATTTCTTAATGCCTCCAATTCTTCAGTCATTTTAGAAGCTAAGGCCTGAAGATACCCTCGTGCATCCTTTTCATCGCTGACCCTAGAATATATAAAGACAAAGTACAAAAGTAAAACAAAAAAGCTTCAGTGCAATATATGTTATTTTAAAGCTTCCTAAAGAAATAAGTGGTAGGAAATTCAAAGATAGTCTTAAATAATTTCTTTGAAAAGGTCTACCATAGTATACTACCTGTCAACAACTGGGAAGAGGTTTATGGAACTGTTCTTTTATGTACATGGTAGAGCAGGTGATGTTTACAAAAGTCCAAGTTACTCATAGCTGATACATTATTAAAACTTCACCCTTGAAACACAGAATTAACACTCTTTAAATCTAACAATTAACACAGATGCACAAATGTGTGAGGTTTTCTAAATAATAAGATTTCTCAATTGGATTCTGCCATTTTATATCATAAAAACAACATACCATTCTTAAAACTGAAGTGTATATTAAATTTAGAAAGTTTAATGTAGGATATTCTGCAAAAATCAGGGTTATATTGTAATTAAGCTCTTCTGTTTTCTGAAATGATCAATAAAATAACAAAGAGGGAAGATTAAAGTCTACCAAAACCTAATTTCTACTTACTGTCTTAAGGCTATCTAGCTAACGATACAATTATAATTTTAGACAGAAAGTTTTCAAATTATATTTAGTAAGACAAATTCCACATTTTAGAATTTCTCAAGAAAACGTCTGCATTTCTTACACTTCCCTCAAGTGGGGAGAAGGTGAGGGGAGGAGTCCAGCATATCTACAAGAATCTAAAAAAGAAGGTCCTATTCTCAGGAAGAATGAAAACCACTGGTATACAGAAAGCCATACTGCACAAACAAAAAAAATGGAGTTGAAATTTGCAATGCTCACAAGTGTATTCTAAACACACTTTGGGGAAGACAATTTGTCTTTGTGCAGGCTGGTTGTCTTCAGATAAAATCCAGGTCACTGAAGCTATGAGGAAAGTATATTTCAGGTAAATCAGCATGTATCCGATGCATACAGCAGACATGTTTAACTCCTGAGCTCTGCTTTAGTATCTCTTAGAATGTAAACTCCTGAGGAGTCAAATTTATATATATCTTAAAGAGGCCCTTTAAAAGAGGCTTGTTGCTCTCTCCTCTTAGATGGGAGATTGTCTTTGGAGTATAAGCAAAAGAAAATATGGAGATGCAATAAAACCATGGTAAGGGACAGTTACACATTCCTAGGCTCTATCTACATGTACACATTTTTATTGCCTGTTAAAGAAAAATGGTTTTGGAAATTATTTTAAGAATGTTTGTGTAGCAAGGGTTGTGTCCTTCTAAAATTCTTTGACTACAAGTGACTGTAATCTTTTCATTTAATTACCTGATCTATAGTGTAGAGAATAAATTGGGATGAAGGAAGATTATCTTTTTTAGAATACAAAAAAGATACTTATATAGTAACAATAAAGAAAACTGTATTATCCTTTAAGTGCCCAGGCTAACAGGTCTCACCTAGTGCTGGTTTAGTATCTACCATGGCTCAGAGATCTTAGTTTATGCACATTTCCAAGAAACTGTGAAGTCCAATGTGTTTAATTAACTTTGGAAATCAACCTCTTGTAAACTGACTTTAAGTTATTTGGAATTTTATATGACAATCTCTTTTTTCTAACTTTGCTTTTTATTTACATGTTGAACACATTACATGTTGAACACATTTATTTACATGTTGAACACCTTACAACTGCAGTCTTCCACTAATTCCTAACTTTTGATTAAACCTATTTCTCTTTTTCTTGGCTATAGAGAATTACTGGTTTGGAGGGCAACTCATGCCATTTAAGTTCCACTGTACTCTAAGTCTCACACAACTCCTTCTCATAATCATTGCTATTTGTCTATTTTTCCACCTCATTAAAAAAAAATCTTACTTTCTCCAACCCCACCACTATCTTTCTCTCTTATTTATTTATTTTTTTGAGAGAGTCTTGCTCCGTTGCCCATGCTAAAGTACAGTGGCACAATCTCAGCTCACTGCAACTTCCGTCTCCTGGGTTCAAGCAATTCTCCTACCTCAGCCTCCCTAGTAGCTGGGATTACTGGCACATGCCACCACGCCTGGCTAATTTTTGTATTTTTAGTAGAGATGAGGCTTAGCCACGTTGGCCAGGCTGGTCTTGAACTCCTGACCTCAGGTGATCCACCCGCCTCAGCCTCCCAAAGTGCTGGGATTACAGGCGTGAGCCACCGCACCTGGCCCCAACACTATCTCTTGCTCCTTGCTTGTAGGCCATTTGGTTAAGTTTATTCATATTCATTCTCTTAACTTTTAAAACCAGTTTTAGAGGTAGGTGTCTTATCTTTTATTTGGCTAAATCATTCAAATATTTCTTAATAACAGTTATTATTACTATACATAATCACCCTCCCTACTACACCTCATATTTTCAATTTCATTATTTCCATTGGTTCCTTTAAACATGTACAAACTCTACCAAATCCAAAAGTTCCCTGTCCTCCTCACTGACAAATCCCCAAACATCCCATTTTCCCTCTTTCATTGTTACACTCCATACGTGTAATTGCTCTAGTATTAAACCCTCCATTCACTACTCTATACTTCCCGAAGTCTAATTCCTGCCTCAACTATTTTGCTGAAGCTAATCTGTTAAAACTCAACTACAGAAGGCCAACTTAGATCTATGTGTTCTCTTGGCACATTTAATCCTTCCCTTCCAAGTTCTCTCAAATGATCAATTAGTTAATACTTATTAAATACTATTGCATTGGGCATATTGAGAAGACAAATAAGGGACAGTTCCTGAAAAGTTGGGGCATATATAGTAATTAGGAACTTTGATTCTTAAGTCATATAGACCTGGTTTCAAATCCTAGCTCTGGTGCTTACCAGCTGTGTAACTTTGGGCAAATTACTTCTCTTTGTTATCCCACTTATAAAATGGGGATAGTAAAAATATCTATCTCACAGGACCGGTGTAATAACTAAATAAGAATACATGTGAATTTCCAGCCTAATGACCAGAACACTCTTATGTTTTAATCAATAGAAGCTATTACTATACACAAATGAGCATTACTGAATGAGGAATGTTTCAAATATGTGAGTGGATTTAAATAAAGAGAGACAAAGGTTTCATTACTGAAACGCTTTGTAATTATTAAACCCTTCTCCTGGTTCTCCTCTACAGAGCTGTTTCATCTAGCTTTTATAATATAGCCCTTACCATCCTCCTTCTTTCTTGTCTCCTTAAAAAGATCTCAACCACTTCACTGGCCTTATTCACAAGGAATTTAATTCCCAAATTTACATTTCTAATCCTAATCTTTATGTTAGTTTTTCAAAAGCATGAGAAATCTCTACTAAGATGTCTCAGGATCACCTCAGTCTTACCAACAAACAAAATAAAATAACAGCTAAAATTGATTGTATCATCTTCCCCAAGGGTGGTTACCCCTCTTAACTTTCCTACTTCAATGATGCCATCATTTTCTTAACCTCCTTAACTCACAATTCAGGAATACTAATTTCTCCTCATCTCTTGCCCTTCATTTGTAAATAGTATTAAGTCCTATAGAGTTTTCTTTCACAATGTCTCCTGCATTTGTTCACTTTATTTCCAACATTACCTTCTACTTCATTCTGAACATTACTGTTAAGAGCTATTTGCCTAATCATCATTTTAATTAACACCATTACCTTTGAAAAACCTTCTCCATCTTACAAATAAGTGAAGGTAAAATTCTTACCTAGTATTCATGACAACTGTGTTGCAGTAACTTTATTACTCTTATTTCCTACTATTCTTTTACAAAAATTCTCCAATTTGGTCAAACTAGGTGTAGGATATTTTACTAAACTCAGGGTTTTCAGAACACACAGTCTAGTTTAACTGATTATTCCCACCCTTCTTGAGCAACTAGTCTGAGATAATTTTCTCAACACTACATTCTTATTTTTAAAAAGTCAGTATCTATTCAATATGTAAGGCATTTATATTTAAGTCTCATAAGTTATCTCCAGCTCTGGTCAAAATAGTTTTTAAACTTTAAATGTTTAGTTACAAGTTACTTAAAGAAAAGTACTACATTTATAGATCTCTGTATCTCTTATTGTACCAGAAGAATGCCTTATGTGAGGAAAACACATTTAAAAAATAAATCTTATGGACTAGCCTATTAATCTAACCTCTCTTTGTAATATTATTTCAAAGAGAAAACGTGAAGTCCTCTGATGAGCCAATGGCGAGAAGGAAGGTTCCTACTCTAACGGCGGTGAGAAGATGTCCTTGCTCTAAAAGAGTTTCTGATGAAAGGGATATTTCATAGCAAAAGAGAGAGGAGGTGGAGTTCAAGAGCCATTAGAAGTGACTTCGTAAAAGGTTTTATATACTGCAGTGTTTGTTTTGTATTAAAACTGTTCATTTGTCCCAGGAAACATTTAAAGTGCTATATGTCATGAGGTCCTATAATCTTGTTTGAGCATTACCTCATTTTTCAAAAGAAGGTTGAGTATTCCTAATCTGAAAATCCAAAATCTGAAATGCCTCCAAATCTGGAACTTTTTGAGTACTGACAAGATGCTTAAATTTTTGGATTAGGGATGCTGAACTGTTAAGTATAACGCAAACTTCCCAAAATCCAAAAGAAATCCAAAATACTTCCGGTCCCAAGCATTTTGAATAAGGAATACTCAATCTGTAAACTAAACTCAAAAAATGAAAATAACTCAGTCTTCTGACCTTTATAAACTTGGATATTGTATCTCACAGAGTTAACTTTGAAGTGGTAAGAAAGTTGAACAGGGAATATATATTTTACTTTTTCCCTTTGGGTATTTGCCAATCTGCTATCTATTACTCCATTTCTAAATAAAAAGTAGGGTTAATAACAGCTTTCATGCAAAGTGACTTCCTCGTATTTCTGATTTCTGCATATTTCGTTTGAATGTGAAAAGTGTATAGTGAGTGTTTTGTGGCATCATATAAAACTTTCATCTTCACCCTTTCTATTAACCCTTTCTACAAAGCCCACATTGAAAGCTTCCTTCCATTACTAGCACCACTTCCCATTCCAGCTGAACTCATCATGCCAGACACTTGAAAAAATCAGTAGTCTAGTATCACAGGTTTTGACTCTGTCTTCTGAAGTCATTTTCAGCTCCTCCTTACATATATATTTGATAACATAAAAATGGAATCACAAATATCAAGTCATAATTTTTGATATTATAAACTTGGTTAAACATTAAAATGGATTTTGCTTCAGAAATGCAGACTTGATGATATAGATATAAATTAATGAACCAATAACTGTACTGTCTAGAACCCAAATAAATTTCCACAATCTGCATATTCCCTTTATATGCACTGAATAGAAACATTATAAGCATTAAGAGCTCTTAATGGAAAAACATTTGAACCAAAATATGCATACAGGAATTAAAATTCCCTACAAATGACTGATCTATAAATATATGATGAAACTATAGGCTGGGTATCCTTTACATGAAATGCTTGAGACCAAAAGTATTTTGGATTTCAGGTTTTTTTTTTAAATTTTGGAATACCTGAATATACATAATGAGATTATCTTGGGGATGGGACCCAAGACAAAACACAAAATTTGTGTTTTATATACATCTTATAAACATAGCCTGAAGGTTAACTTTTTACAATGTTTTATAATAATTTCTTGTGTATGAAACAACATTTTGACTGTGACCCATCACAAAGTCATGTCTAAAATTTTCTACTTGTGGTGTCACGTCAGCACTCATAAAGTTTCACGTTTTGAAGCATTTCAGATTTCAGATTTTCAGATTAGGAATGCTCAACCTGTATTTGTTTTGATATAAATTAAACACCTACCATTTGCCAAAATGGATTTCAAAAGTTAAATAAATATAAAAAGTTAAGTTACCTATTTTTACTTGGAAATACAGTCTTCATTAGATTCTACTTTCCCCATGTATTATTAAAATATGAAATTTTTTTACCAGCACCAGAATAATCGTTTAATAAATGAATATGAAGGTTACTAAGATGAATATTCCAAACTAAATCCCAAGAGCTTAAGAAAGAGCTGATAAAACTAAAATGTAACCATTTAAGGTTTTAAAAATGCCATGTGTGAATTAATCTGGTATAATCATGATACAAGATAACAGTACAGTATCTTTAGCTTCTAAGTTTTTTTTGCAGGCCTTCCATTTCTTAAAATACTCACAAATACAGGACTTTTGGTCTTAGAAAGAAACATCCATAGGTAGCAGATGAATTCCAACTTTGACTCTGAAGGTGGTAACATTTTCTTAGAAAGTAATAATAATCAGATTTCAATGAAGCTGTGTTAAATGCTGGTATGGGACATTTGTTAGAGTTAGGGAACAGAGGAATGTAACAGAAAACACAGTAGAACACAACAGATCAGTAATAAAACTGTGCTTTTCAGAGTAACTTATTTATCACATCTGACAAATGAGATAAAAACCATTATTAGTAGCCACCTGGAATTCATACCAACTTGGCCACATACTCACAATCATCCACAAAAAAACGTTTAAAAGAGCACTCACCACTGAATTATTTCTGTGATTTGGGCTTCCCAATGTGCAACTGATTCTTTCTTGTCTGCTAGATCTTTAACCTCTTCTTCTAACTGCTGGTTGTGTATACTTAAGTTCTCATACAAAGTAGTAAGCTGAAAGATAGTTTTAAGACATGCATGACTTTTAGGACCAAGAATTCGAGGTGTTCAGACAGGTATTGTCAAATTTGATTACTCAACATCATCTACCCAAAAATGCCTGTCTTATTATAATAATCCCTTTTGCTCACTGAATTTGGATATCAAGTACTCTGAATTCTCCTGCTACCTTTGCTTTTCCCTTACAACCTACAGTGACTTGGTTCTGTGAACATTCTCTACTTGGCTTAAGAATTGCCCATTTCTGTTGGTAATAGCTTTTTTTTTTCTCCAAAAATGTCTTTATGTCATTTTTTCTTTAAAATAGCATGTAATTTCAAGCATATACAGAAAAGGAAAATAAAAATGAATTCCCATGAGCCCCACTACCTAATTTCAACAATGATTACTTCAACATCAATCTTGTTTCACTTGTACGCCTGTTCTCTCTCTCTTTTTTTTTTTTTCAGACAGAGTTTTGCACTTGTTGCCCAGGCTAGAGTACAATGGCACATTCTCAACTCACTGCAACTTCTGCCTCCCGGGTTCAAGCGATTCTCCTGTCTCAGCCTCCCCAGTAGCTGGGATTACAGATGTGCGCCATCACGCCCGGCTAATTTTTTGTCTTTTTAGTAGAGATGGGGTTTCACCATGTTGGTCAGGCTGGTCTCAAACTCCTGACCTCAGATGATAAGCCCACCTCGGCCTCCCAAAGTGCTAGGATTACAGGTGTGAGCCACCACGCCTGGCCTATACGCCTGTTCTCTTATCCCCTCCTCCTGTACTATTCGGGAACAAATACTAGACATCATACAATGTTATCCATACATATCACTGTATGTATCTCTAAAGAATAAGGATCTCTCTTTTAAAATATAACCACGATAGCATCATACTACAAATTTCACAAATTTCCTAATATCACATAAATAGTAATAGTTCAAGTTTCCAGTTACTTCAACATATCACAAAACTTGTTTATTAAACTGAATCATGATACCAATAAGAAAACCCAGCTTAATGGCTGGATATATGTTTTTTTTGAGACAGGGTTTCACTCTGTCACCCAGGCTGGAGTGCAGTGGTGTGATCTCAGCTTATTACAACCTCCACCTCCTAGGCTCAAGCAATCCTCCCACTTCAGCCTCCCTAGTAGCTGGGATTACAGCTAAAAAAAATTAGTATCCAGCTAATTTTTTATTTTTTTATTTTTTAAATTTTTTTGTACAGATGGGGTCTTGGCATGTTGCCCAAGCTGGTCTCAAGATTCCTGGGCTCAAGCCATCTGCCCGCTGTGGCCTCCCAAATTACTGTGATTACAGGCATGCACCAGCATGCCTGGCCCGATACATCTTTTAAGTCTATTTTATTTATAGGTTCCCCTGCAACACCTTTATTTTTCTTTTGACTTGAAGAATGCAGGTTGTCCTGGCTGGGCACGGTGGCTCACACCTGTAATCCCAGCACTTTGGGAGGCTGAGACGGGTGGATCACGAGGTCAGGAGATCGAGGCCATCCTAGGTAACACAGTGAAACCCCGTCTCTACTAAAAATAAAAAAAAATTAGCCAGACGTGGTGGCATGTGCCTGTAGTCCCAGCTACTCAGGAGGCTGAGGCAGGATAATTGCTTGAACCCGGTAGGTGGAGTTTGCAGTGAGCTGAGATTGCGTCACTGCACTGCAGCCTGGGTGACAGAATGAGACTCTGTCTCAAAAAAAAAAAAAAAAAAAAAAAAAAAGAATGTAGGTTGTCCTGCAGTTTTCCACATTCTGAATTTTTGCCTTCATTTCTGGAAGGCATTTTTTGCTGTAAATAACACTGTAAGTTGGCAGTTATTTTACTATAGCACTTTTAGGACATTCTTTTTCTTCTGAATTCCGTTTTTAATTTTTCTGTTGGGAGGTCAGTTTTCAGTTGAAGTTTCATGCCTTTGAACGTAATGTGTCTTTCTTCTCTGGTTGCTTTTAGAATTTTATGTTGGTTGGTTTCTGGCCGCTTTTCTAGGATTTGTCTAAGTGGGGTCTGATTTCTATTAATTATTTCACTTTTAGGGTTTGTGGTATTTCTTGAATTTGTGGCTAAATGTTTCTCATAGGTTTGGAAAAATTCTGGGCCATAAACACTCTTCAAATATTGCACTGCCACCATCTCTCTCCTTGCCTTTTGGGAAACCAATTATTTGTATGTTAGAACTTTTCATCACATCCTCTATGTCTTAGATCCTCCTTTCTATATTTTCTATTCTTTTTAATCCCTGACTACACTTTAGTCTAAAAAATTTTTTTTTAACATATGCAGTCCTTTTCTTTGTTTCTCTCCAATCTGTTTTTAAAATGTTCTATTGAGTCTTTTAGTTATTTAATTTTTTGCTCCTGGAAATTCTATTTGACAGTTTTGTATAGATTCCAGTTGTTTGCTGAAATCCTTCATATGTCTACTTTCTTGAACAAATCACACGATTAAAGTCCATTCATAAAAATTTCATACTGCGAACTCCTGCGGGTCTGTTTCTACTGACTGCCTGGTTTTTATTTTCCCTTTTTTGATTTTGTTTTTGCTGTTGAATTTTTCTCTTGGTTTTCAATGATTTGGTTGTGTTTGCTGATATGCCTGGTAATTTTTTACTGCATGCCACATATCGTGTATACAAACTTTAGATAATTTTAAGACTCTGGATAATATCTTCCTCCACAGAGTATTTACTTTTACTTTTGGTAGGCAATCAGAGTAAAGATAGATCAAAGATTGAAATACTTGGAGACTGGGTTTCAGTCACTGAGGACTCATGTTTCTTACTCACCCTTACTCCTAAAATGTAGGCTTTCAATGGGTTCAACTGAAAGTTTGAATTATTTACTAAAGATCCTGCAACTTGATAGGCAATGCACTTCCATTTTTCTCTCTCCAGCCTTGTAAAACTGTGGAATACCATGTTCAACTTCCTAGATTCTGAGGTTTTTCTGCTTTCATATCTGCAAATGCCTAAAGAGGAAAAGTGGCACTAAATGTTGGGCTCACTGCTCTGTACTATTCTTCTCTTTAGGATCTTGGTCAGTAAAGTCCTGGTTTCCTTGTTGTCACTCCAATGACTTCTTACAGATGAATACTGTAAGTGGTATTCATATAGTATTATTTTTAAAATCCAGCTTTATAGCTCTTCTTGGTGAGGTGGTAGGATGTAAGCTAATCTGTCACAGAAGCAAAAAGTTCTTGCTTTAAGTTTTTAGAAAATTCATGAAAAAGGCTGGGTGTGGTGGCTCACGCCTGCAATCCCAACACTTTGGGAGGCCAAGGTGGGAGGATCACCTGAGGTTAGGAGTTTGAGACCAGCCTGGCCAACATGGTAAAACCCCATCTCTACTAAAAATAAAAAAATTAGATGGGTGTGGTGGCACATGCCTTTAATCCCAGCTACTTGGGAGGCTGAGGCAGGAAAATCGCTTGAACTCAGGAGGCGGAGGTTGCAACGAGCAGAGATAGTGCCACTGCACTCCAGCCTGGGCAGCAGAGTGAGACTTCATCTCAAAAAAAAAAAAAAAAAATTTTTTTTTCATGAAAAAATATTTGCATACTACTTTATTTCAGAGCTACATTTTTTTCTGATAAATGGTCTCACCTGCTATTTATTACCACTCCTTTCTTCCTTTTTTGTATGTTTGTAGAGATACCGTGCTAGTTTCTTCTTGATTACTCAACTTTGATGAAGGTGAGTTGCTCCTAGAGGATCTATTTACAGGTTTTTAGGGATAAAAGGGCCATGTGATTGTCAACTTGACTGGTCCACAAGGTGCCTAGACATTGGGTCAAACATTATTCTGGGTAGGTCTGTGAGGGTGTCTCTGCGTAACACTTGAATTGGGAGAGTGAGAGAAGAACCCCCTCCCTAATGTATGTGAGCCCCATGTGATCAACTAAAGGCCTGAACAGAACAAAAAGGCTGAATGCACCAATAGTAGGGGGGAACATCAGCTGTGACATCAGCTTCTCCTGCCTTCAGACCTGAAACGAGGCAGAAGCTTTTCCTGAATGTTAAGCTTGCCAAGCTTTGGGACTGGAACTACAAAATATACTCTCCTGGGTCTCCAGCTTGCCCAATGCAGATCTCGGGACTTGTCAGCCTATATAATCACTTGAGCCAATTCCTTATAATCTCCCCTGCTCCCAACACACATACATATACCACCTCCCACCCCCCACATACACTCACTCTATTGGTTCTGTTTCTCTGTGGAACCCTAACTAATACAGGCCACAACCATGTTCTAAGTCAAGGGTCTGCAAACTTTTCCAGTAAAGAACCAGATGCAAGTATTTTCACCTCTGTGGGCCACATAAAATCTCACATCATCGTCATCTTCTTTTTAAAAATAGCCATTTAAAAATGTAAAGATCATTTTTATTCTGTGGGTCAGACAAAAACAATCTGGGAGCTAGATTTGGCCAGAGGCCATAGTTTGCCAACTCTCAATTCTAAGCTATTAGGAATTCTACTGATGACACAGGATTTTATTGGTGTGCATTTTGAACCTGTATTTCTGTGCAGAGATAGGCAATTTTGGCACAAATCACAAAGCAAAGTTTCATTTCTTCCCCTCTGGCAAAACAACAACAACAAATTGTTTTATGCATATAGAGTTTGTCTGTAATACCCCATTTAATCCTACCTCCAACCTCCTTGTCTTCCCAAAAGGAAATGAGATCCAGGGAAGCTATCACTCACTGCTGGCACACACTGATTTGCCTATTGCAAACAAGAGATTTAAGTTTGTACCTTAGGGTGTGCCATTTGCCTCTGAAAATATAGTTTACCAGTTTTTTTTCACACTTTTACTGAGGTATAATTTATATAACATAAAATTCACCCATTATAAGTGTATACTTGAATGATTTTTAGCAAACTTCAACAGTTGTACAGTGATTGCTACAATCCAGTTTTGGAACACTTCTAATACTCAAGAAATATCCCCATGCCTATTTATAATTGATCTTGGTCCGCACTCTGATTTCTCTAGGCATCACTGACCTGCTTTCTGTTTCTGTAGAAACATTTTCTGAAATCTTCTATCAATGAAATAACAGAATATGCAGTCTTTTGTATTGGACTTCTTTCACTTAGATTATTGAAGTTGAACCTCAATACTGTTGCATGCATCAGAATTTCACTCCTTTTTACTGCTGAGTGGTATTCTAGTATATGGGTATGATATGCTTTGTTTATCATGCACCATTGATAAACATTTGTACTGTTTCCAGTTGTTTACTATTATGAGAATATTATGCTATGAAAATTCATATGTAAGTCTTAAGGGGACTATGCTTTCAATTCTTTTCAGTAAATAGGAGAATTGCCAGGTTGTATGGTAAGTATATGTTTAACTTTTTGAGAATTTTTGGAACTATTTTCTACAAGTGCTATGCCATTTTATACTCCTATGAGCAGTGTGTAAGTTCTAGTTCCTCCATATCATCATCAATAGTTGATACGGTCACGCCAATTGATTACAGCCATTCTCGAGGGTATACAGCAGTATCTTGCTGTGGTTTTAAGTGGCATTCTCCTAATGACGATCATCTTTTCATGTGCTTATTTGTTATTCATGTATCATCTTTCATGAAATGTCTATTCGGCTTTGTTACCCATTAAAACACTGAGTTGTTTATATTTTAAGAGGTTTTTTTTTCCTTTTTTTTTTTTTGAGACAGGGTCAAACTCTGGGTAGTGGTGTCATCTCCACTCACTGCAGCCTTGACTTCCTGGACTCACATAAATCCTCCCGTTTTAGCCTTCCAGGTAACTGGGACTACAGGCATGCACCACCTCACCCAGCTAATATTTAAAAAAGATTTTGTGTAGAGATAAGGTCTCACCATATTTCCCAGATTGGTTTTGAACTCCTGGGCTTAAGTGATCCTCATGCCTTAGACTCCCAAAGTGCTGGGATTATAGGTATGAACCACCACGTCCACCTTAAGAGTTCTTTACATATTATGAATACAAGTCTTTTTTCAGATAAATGATTTGGAAATATTTCCTCCCCATCTGTGCACGTCTTTTCATTTTCTTAATGTTCTTTTTAAATTTTGATGCTCAATTTATCATTACTCTTCTCTCATGCACTGTGCTTTTAATGTCATTATCTTGACATTTTTAACCCTGAATCACAAAGACTTTCTCCTATGCTTACCTTTTATATTTCAGATTGTGATCCACTTTGAGTTAATTTTTGTATAAGGTATGAGGTAAGGATCCAAGTTCATTTTTTCTCACATATGGATATCCAATTGTTCCAGTACTATATGAAAAGATTATCCTTTTTCCATTGAATTGCCTTGGCACTTATGCAGAAAATCAACTGACCATAAATGTAAGAACTTATTTTTGGACTCTTCGTTTCATTATGCCAGTACTACATGTTTTTGATTACTGCATTTTTATAGCAAGTATTAAAATTACATAGTGTTAATCCTCCGACTTCTAACTTTACTCAAAATATCTGAACTATTCTTGGTCTTTTCTATTCCTCTATAAGTTTAAGGGTAAGCTTGTGAATTCCAACAAAAAGCCTACCAGAATTTTGATAGGGATGTCCCAAAACCTATAGATCAATTTGGGGAGAATTGCTATC
Source organism: Homo sapiens (assembly GCF_000001405.40). Lineage (NCBI taxonomy): Eukaryota > Metazoa > Chordata > Mammalia > Primates > Hominidae > Homo > Homo sapiens. Next base: position 227,087,630 of record NC_000001.11, read on the forward strand.
CCAACAATATTGAGTCTTCCAATCCATTAACATAGTTTATCTCTCCATTTGTTCAGATAGTCCTTAATTTATCTTAGCAGTATTCTGTAGCTGTCATCTTCCTCTGGTTAACTCCAAGACTTCTGAAATGATTGTTTTTGACAATTGCATTTGCTTTTTAGTATTTTTTTAGAAGATTAATCAATTTCTTCATATTAGCATAGCCAGAAGTCTATCAGCTGTTTTTGAGAGTTGTATGTGCAGCATCTTCTCTTACATTAATTCCTGCACTAATATCCATTTTGGATTACCATTATTTTTTATAGCCCTTCCACATTTGTGGTTGGGGTTTCAGTTGGAGATTTGCAAGAGAAGGAGGAAAATGCAAACTCTGCACTGTCATATTACAACAGTGACAAGCAGTTTTCAATAGATTGCTTAATGTATGTGGAATCGGTTAGAAAAAAGTTAATCTTTGCATTATTACCAAATAAAAGCATGGACTCCGGAGCCCGACTACCTGTACTCAAATCCTACTTCTTATTCTTGTGATTGGGAAAGTAGTTTAACCCTTCTTTGACTTAGTTTCCTGATCTATAAAATGGCAAGAACAAAAGGGTACACCTTAGAGAGTTATTGTGAAAATTAAATGAGTTATATGAAGTAATTCCAAAGATGACCTGCACATAGTAAATTTTAAGTATTAGTTCATTTTTCATGTTTGAAAATGAGGTTTTACTATTTGTACATTGACACATTTGACTTATAAGAAGACTACATAGGAATACGAAAAAATGCTCTTAACATTTTAAGTGAAAAGGCAGATTAGTAAGTGGATTGTATACATGATTGCAATTATGTAATAATAAGGATATACCTGGAAAGGAACATACAAAATTAAAATACCTGTTTTGTGGTGATCACATTATGGGTAACTTTCATGTTAAATATTTTCCACATTTTTTGAAAATATTTTAAAAACAAAACAAGTTTTAAAAACAAATTACAACTTTTCTTACTGTAAACAATTAATTTTACTCACTGGCATAAATGGCTGATTTTTAAAAATTTGTTATGAGATTGAAGGAAACCAGATGGCTAATTATATTTGCAATGATATATATATATATTTTTTGAGACAGACTGTCGCTCTGTCGCTCAGTCTGGAGTGCAGTGGTGCGATCTCGGCTCACTGCTACCTCCACCTCCTGGGTTCAAGTGATTCTCCTGCCTCAGCCTCCCTAGTAGATGAGACTACAGGCACGTGCCACCGCACCCGGTTAATTTTTGTATTTTTAGTAGAGATGGGGTTTCTCCACGTTGGCCAGGCTGGTCTCAAACTCCTGACGTCAAGCGATCTGCCCGCCTCGGACTCCCAAAGTGCTGGGATTACAGGTGTGAGCCACTGTGCCCAGCTGGCAATGAATTATCTTTTAATAGAAGGTGGGGTTTATAAGATTTACAAAAATGTCATCTAATTTTTAAAAATTTATTTAAACGTTTTTATTTTTGGAATTTAAAAACGTGAAAATCTGTAATATGTACCTTTCAAAATTAACCTAATAATTGCTTTCTGACTTCTAGATCTGTAATTCTGTCAAGAAGAGATCCAGTTCTCTTCAAGCTGGTTCCCAATGGAACAGTTGGTGTAGCAATGGCAAATGCTTCTGTGGTCATCCTTGGGGAAACTACCCACTTCTAACCAAATTGGAAAATGAATAAATGGAAAGTGAAGATGTACAGTGAAGTTCAGCTTATCACTACTGAGACAGACAGAATTAAAAAGGGAAAGGTAGACTGAGAATTAGGAAGAGAGAGATGCAAAAATTGAACAAAAGTTTGAGAAACAGAGCAGAGGTTCAAATGGAAATAGAGATTCCAGATCTCTCCCATTTCTTCAGGAATAAATACTGCCCTGTAACCACTGGACATTAAATATTTACCTACCATATGAATTTGCTCTTAAGGTGCTACTCATATCCTACCTATCTTTCAATTTAGCAAGAATGGGTAATTCCGTTTTTTTTTTTTTTTTTTTTTTTTAAAAACAAACTATCCTTCAGGCCTCATCAAGGAGGCTTCATTACATATACTAGGCCTAAGTATGTCCATTTCTCATGGATGTATTAGACTGCAACACAATTTTAATCAAATGAGAAGTTTTGAAAAATTCTCTCTAAATATGTATTTTGGATAAACTCAGCAGAAATGTATGGCTAACAATGAAATTAAACCAATAATTGAATGCAAAAATTTGATCTACATTCAAGTTATTTTCCAATACAATTTTTCTTAAAATGTAATAACATCTTTTAGTAGGTAACTCAACAGAATCTTAAAATTCTGTCTTATAGGACAAAATGACATTAAATTTTGTAATCAAATTAGTCAACACATGAAATAACAATTATTGACCTGCTTGGATAAAGTTCAAATATTGTTAGTCTTATTTCAATGGAAATAACTGTTAAAGTTCATGCACTATTCATGGCTTAAAAAATCAATTTATATTACTTACTGTTCAGCCACTTCCTACAATGTTTGTGTATGTTAGCTTTACAAGACTTTATGATGTGAACAGTATTCTTTCTCAAGTAGTTTTCAACTAGTCATTTTTTAAAGGCTTAGAAAACAAGCAGTCATTTAAAAAATGTTTTAAATACTTATTTAGCATTTTAAATGCTGAATAATCATGGGGAAAATAGTGAGAAATACAGAGCTATACAGAAAACAAAAGGAAGAGTCTCTATTTTACAAGTCAAGGTCTTTCAGTCTGTTATTGGAATAACTAATAATTGAACATAATATTTTTATTGGAGGAAAATACTAGATATCATTATAAAATACAATTAACCAGCCCTTATTATTTAAATTTAAGTAGAATTATTAAAACTTCTGGGCTGGGCGCAGTGGCTCATGTGGCCAGGCATGGTGGCTCACGCCTGTAATCCCAGCATTTTGGGAGGCTGAGGTGGGCGGATTGCTTGAGGTCAGGAGTTCAAGACCAGCCTGGCCAACACGGTGAAATTCCAACTCTACTAAAAGTACAAACATTAGCTGGGTGTGGTGGTGTGCGCCTGTAGTCCCAGCAACTCAGGAGGCTGAGGCAGGAGAATTGTTTGAACCCAGGAGGCGGAAGTTGCAGTGAGACGAGATTGCACCACCGCACTCCAGCCTGGGCGACAGAGCGAGACTGTATCAAAACAAACAAACAATAAACTTCTGGTTAATATTAGGATTTTTACAACTGCTTGCTAGGAATTAGCACAAGAAATGCAGAATGGTGGGAAGTTGGGAAATTTGAGATACTAAGTGGGAAAAAAATTCCTTTAAGTATTTGAAATTTTGTTCATGAATATGGCTACTTCTCAGTTCAATACATGATTCTGTATGCAAGCTAGAAATCAGGCTGAGATGGTTTCTTTAGATATCACCTACCCCTGGTATCATTTCTAGCTTTACTAGTTCTTCTTTGTGAATATGAATCAGCTGTTACAATTTCTCCAGGTTTGGCCTAATTGTCCCTGTTCTTGCCAAGGGACAGCCTTAACTTGGCCTGAACTTATTAGCCATCCGTGACGGGGTAAACGATGAATATATGAAAAAAAAGAGTAAGAAAGAGAACAGATGGTGATATGACTTCAATGTCTGTCTCCTTCGAATCTCAGGTTGAAATGTGATTCCCAGTGTTGGAGGTGGGGCCTGGGGGGAGGTGACTGGATCAGGAGGGCAGGCCCCTCATGAATGGTTTAGCATCATCCCCTTGGTGATAAGTGAGTTCTCACTGAGATCCGGTTGTTCAAAAGTGTGTGCACCTCCCCAGTCTCTCTCTTGCTCCCTCCCTTGCCCTTGCACCTTCTGCCATGATTGGAAGCTTCCTGAGACTCTCACCAGAAGTAGATGCTGGCACCACACTTCCTGTACAACCTGCAGAACCATAAGCCAAAATAAATCTATTTTATTTGTAAATTACCCAGTCTCAGGTATTCCTTTATAGTAACCCCAAAATGGACTAATTGGATGGAGAGTGAAATAAATAAGAGGCTCAAAAAAATATATGGGACAAAGAATAAAAGGAGATAAGCAAAACTCTCTCTTCAGAAGACTCCTATCAGATTATTATAACAAAGAATTGCATATATCATAGAAGCAACATAACTCAGGAGAAAGACTATTAAACAAAAATGTATGTCAAATATAAAGTTATACCCACAATTCCTATCAGTGTTGAACATCTAGCATGTACTACTCAATTAATATGAGATTAAATCACTCACCTTATCAAGTTCACTCGTCAGCTTTTTATTTTCTTCAGTTAACAACACTTTTTCTCGTTCATATTGTTGTTTGAACTCACTTTCAAATTCCTCCCTTTCACTTTGACTAACACAATTCAAAACACAAAAGGAAAAAGGGGAATTAAAGGTCATTTGAAAACTTGAAATTATTTTTCCAATAGTTACATAAAACACAAAATATCAGATTGAACTGCAGAAATGTTGTCCCCATAGAATACAGCTTGTTTATATATAATGACAGGCCTGGTGAAAGCATGTTCCAGGAATTTATATTACAATAATACTGATTTGTTCATTCATTTACCAACTATTTATGGAGTGCTTACTAGGTGCCAAGGAATTGTTGCAGGTCTTGACAGCTACTGCTCTCACAGAGCTTATATTCTGGTAGAGGCAGACTGCCAATGAAGAGTGAGTAAAATGAACTAATTTCAGATAATAAGTTCTAAATTGTATATATATGGCAATGCAAAAAGTATTTGGGAGAGGGTGGCTACTTTAGATTATATAGTCAGAGAACGTACATCAAGGTTGATAATGGACCAAAATGAAAATAATAATTGCCATTTGCTTCACATGCATTACGTTCTATCCAAAGGCAAATTAGTTTGAGACCAAATTAGATACTTTTCTTTGTGTATTTCCACCACAATATTCTTACAAAATACAAAGTTGCTGGGCCCTTATTTAGTATTAGGCCAGAGCCACTTCCTAGTGTTATCAATTTGATTAACAATAGTATTCCAAACATTTTGTTCATAATTAGAATTTATGAGTTCAGAAATTTTAAAAAATTTACTTCGAAATAATTTCATTATTATTAGCAAAGTTACAAGAATAGTACAAAGAATTTTTGTATACTCTTAACCCAGATTCCCCAATTGTAAATATTTTACTGCATTTTCTCTATTATTGTGTATATACCGATTTTATTAGTGTTCTTCAGAACCACTGAGAGGCAGCTAGCTGCAGATATTATGCCCTATTACCCCTAAATACTCCAGTGTGTATCTTTCAAAGTCAAGGACACTCTACCATAATCACGAAGCAATCCTCTCAATTTAAAAAAATCAACATTACTAGAACACTTACCATCTGAATTCACAGACACAATTCAAGTTATCCCTACCATGTCTCCTTTTCTTATGAAGCCCAGGATCCAACTGAGAAACATGTGTTGCATTTAGTAGTCATGTCTCTTCAATTTTCCTTGGTCTAGAACAGTTCCTCAGTCTTCCCTATCTCTCACAACAGTTTTATAATGTATAGGTCTCTAATTATGTACAGTGACACTCAACCTGGGGCCATCTGATGTTTATGACTAGTCTCAAAGAATTCATTTTTGGCTGGAATACCACAAGAACAATGTTTCTCAGTGCATCCCATCAGAAGGTGCAAAATGTTGATCTGCACAACACTGACCAAACCTCTTAGGCTAAGGGTGTGGATTCAGAATGAGTGCAGTCCCCAAGACATGAGATGTGAGAAAGAAAAGAAACTTTTTATGAGAAATGCGAGCCCCTTTAAATTAGCAGGGCCAGACAGGCACTGAAATGTGACTGCAGTCACATCTTATTCTCCCAGTTGAGCTAAGTAATCTACCAGCTATGTGGACTCCAGACTGAGTGTCACCAATAGCTATAAATTAACCCAACAATGCCATATTCTGGACACCATAACTCATACCCTATAGTTCAACAATGTACAGCCAATCATTAATCAATGTTATTTCTGCAAACCAGTGAGAACTCCTGACCAAAGACTTTTGTATGTTCCCTCTCCTGATTTTTCTTTAAAAACCTGAGCCTCTTTTTTGTTCTCTGGAGCACTTCTCTGTGTTTCCTGGGCTGCAGTCCTCAACCTTGGCCCAAATAAACTCTATATTAATTTTGTCTCAGTTTCTGTCTTTTGGACAACATATTGGAACCTTCAGGCAGCAAAAGACAGTGCTGAGAACTCTGAACTCTCGTATTGCTTCAAACCTCTGCAGGTAGAAGCAATCTCATCCCCTTCCTCAAAGCAGCTATAACCTGAGGCAACCAACCTGTTTTTGCATAAATCATTTATTAACTTCACCTGAAATAGTTACATCAAAAAGGGAGGCCAACTATCTTTAACACCTACCCAATCACTTGTCATTGTCTTCAGGCCTATGATGACAGTTAAGATCACAGCAGAGACTAGATATAAAAGCAATGAAGGTGTTAAAGCATTTTGGCAATTTATATTGGAAGGAGTATGGGCAGCATACAGAAATGAATTCTAAGAGCTGAGAAAGAAAATAAACTTTTTTTATCTGAGGAATGTGAGACCATTTAAATTATCAGGCCCAGAGAGGTATTTAAAATGTGAGAGCAGTCACATCTCACTCCCACCTTGAGCTAAATAATCACCTCTTGAGGCCACTTGCTATGTGGGCTCTAAACTGATGCCAAGTAGCCATAAAATGCCATACACTGGAGACCATGACTCACACGCTATAGTTCAACAATGAATAGCCAGTCACTAATCAATGTTATTTTGTAAACCAGTGAAAATGCCTGTCAAACAACTTTGTATCAGCCCAGCCCTTGCCTCCTTTTGCTTTTAAAACCCTACTTGTAACAAAGACCTAATGGAGCACTCCTCAAGGTAACCTGGAAGTGTGTTCCTGGCAGCTGTCCTCACTTTGGCTCAAACAAACTCTTTAAACATATCCTGTGCCTCAGCTTCTTCCTTCAGGTCAGAAGGGTGTTACCCCAAGGTGGGTAAATAAAAAATTAAATACAGCCAAATTTATCAAATGCACATACTCATCTAGGATTTGTGGTTTAATGTGTTGACTCAATATTCAGGTGTAGTTTTTCACTGCTAGGCTGAGTAATTGAAGCCTGGACTTTGGACCCAATAGTGGCCTACAGTCAATTAGCTCGAGATATTTGACTTACTGAGCATAAAGGGTCTACTGGCTCAAAGAGATGAGAATGTCAGAGTGGACCTATTATGTGCAACCTGGTCAGCCACCCACAAAGCACTCCTTTCACCAAGGCATTAATAAATACACCAGTGAGAGGGCACATTAGCATCCTGGAGAAACACTATGGTAGGTGTCTTCAGATGACAGTCTGCAAATGACAGCAGAAAATGCCAGAATGGAACTGCATTGCCTGATTTTATTGAAAATAACAGTATTCCAGATTGGCTATTGCACCATCTGCTTTACTTATAGCCTGATGCTTCCAAATCCTCATCCTTTCCCTTAAAATTAAAAGTCACACTCATTTACTTTTAATGAGTTCAATGAACGTATACTTAATAACATCTATTTGTGTTTCATTTGGAAATCTGAGGAAAACATCTGTGATGTGTAGACTTCCTATGCTCACCTTATTTGATTATGTATATACTAGAAAGCATGGTGAAAGGAGAGGTTAGGGAAAGAGGATATATGAACCACAAAATGATTCCTTGTTCTCAACCCTAGATTGTATTAAAAGTTCAATTAAATTTCCAACAGTTCTATCAATACTTTCAGCCATTCCTTCTTACATCTACATATATACACATTATTATTATAATATTACAAAGCTTATTTAAAATGATAGTTCTGTGGATCATGATGACTTATTTACCCTTAGAAGTAAACACAGTTTTAATAAGACTTAAAAAATCTTCTAAGGAAAAAAGGGGAATAAGTTCTTTGGTTTTTTTTTTTTTTTTTTTGAGACAAGAGTCTCACTCTGTATCCCAGGCTGGAGTGCAGTGGTGCGATCTCAGCTCACTGCAATCTCCGCCTTTCAGGTTCAAGCAATTCTCTAGCCTCAGCCTCTGGAGTAGCTGGGATTACAGGCACATGCCACTGTGTCTGGCTAATTTTTGTATTTTCAGTAGAGATGGGGTTTTACAATATTGGCCAGGCTGGTCTCGAACTCCTGACCTCAGGTGATCCGCCCGCCTCAGCCTCCCAAAGTGCTCAGATTACAGGCATGGGCCACCGTGCCCAGCAAGGAATAAGTTTTTGAAGACTATATTGTTATGTGACAAACAGGCATATATCTACAGCAATTTGATGGATGCTATAGGATGTTAGCAATAAATGAAATTCCATGTGGATCAGTTCTGGGTAATTTTATATGATTGCTTTCTGGTGAACAAACAATGTAAGTAATGGTTGATCTTAAAAGTGTAATCTTAAAAATCTCCTACATAACATTATTGAAGATAAATTATAATTTAAATGACAAATTCAAGGAAAATAAGCCAACCTCCATCTCCAAGCAAATTTGTCACTTCACTACTATCTATAGACAGATGTTAAATTTAGTTATGTTTAGGAAGCTTTCCTAACACAGAAGCAACTTCAATAAAAAAACTGCAAAGACTTTCAGAAAAATATGTACACAAATAAATTGAGTAAAATTTTCATGTAAAACCATTCTTTTTCCTGTTAGCATTAAACAAGCTTAAGTCTCTTCCATATTAAAAATAAAGAAACTCTCCCCATACCCTGTGTCACAATTCATTTCCTAAATCCTTGTCTTCCCACTCACTGGTAAGCATCCTGAAACAGATTCTGTAACTACTTTTTCATCGCTTAGTTGCTCTCCACCACACCAAAATCTGGCTTCTGCCTCCACCATCTCAAGAAAACAGCTCTCTCAAAACTCAACACTGCCTGTGATTACATCCAACCTGCTGGCCACTTTTGACAGTGTTGTCCACTCTTGCCCTCTTGACATGCTGTCTGGCTTTGACTTCAGGGATCCCATGCTCTCCTAGTTTTAGTCTACATTCCTGGCTTCTTTTCAGCTGTCTTTGTGACTCTTCCATCCTTCCTGTAAATATCAATGCTCCTCAGTATTCTGTCTTAGGTGCTGTCTCTTCCCTCTCTACACATGCTGCCTGAGTTAGCTCATCAATGACACCAGCTGGTTTTATTTATGTATTCAGCTGATGATCTCTGAATCTACACTTGAAGCTTTTGTGGCCTTCAAACTGACCTGACATCTCCACAAAGATGTCTTCCAAGCACCACAAGTTCAATATGCCCAACTCAACAAGAGAGCTCAACACACAGACAAGTTCCCACCACCCCATCTATGTCCATATACTCTACTTTCTCTTTTCATGATAGGTTAAAAAAAACAAAACAGGATCGAGTAAGGCCAACCCCTTCATTATGAACATCCTCAAGTACTTTGCTCCAGTACTTTCCTCCTCTCCTCTCTCCTCCAATCATCTATAATTTCTATCAGATTACAAGCATGCTGTTATTTTTTCCATCTTAAAACACACACACACACCCACACAACAAAGTACAATAGTTTTACCTCTATGTTCTGCCTCTAACTGCTCTCCTTCCAGTCTCTTTTGATCCTACTGTGGGGTCTCTGCCTCTACTTTTCCACAAAATTGTTCTTATCAAAGGCACCAATGACCTTCATATTGCTATTGCTAAACTCAATGTCATTATTTAGTCCTTATCTCATTTGATTCAGAACTCATTTTATTTGACATGCTGACAGACTTTATATGCTTTCTTCACTTGGTTTCCAGTGTTACAGTAGGCAGTCAGGCAGACATAAGCAGGACAGGAGGACACCCCCAACCAGGAATGGCCACATCAGGTGATGATCAGGTGGTTGTTAAACTGTCTCTCTAAAATAATAATTGGTCACACCTGGTGCCAGGAAAAGGCAGTCTACCACTAGATAGAAAAGCCTGAAACTGGTGATCAGCAGCTTCCCAATAAGACTCAGGAGTTAGGCAAGTGGGCTCAAGCATGCACACTAAGAGGCAAAATGGTGGAGTTTAACTGGTGGCATATGACCTTCTTCTAGGAGCACTCAACCAGTCAGGGAAGAATGCCTCAAATGAGCACGTGTACAACTTCAGTAAACACACTGTGCATGCAGCCCCTCCCAAGTGCTGGTAGGTCACTGTGCATGTGGACAGCCCACCCCAAGGGAAGAATCAGAGAAGGGATGCAACCCCACAGAAGCATGCCAAGTCAAAGGTTAAACACCAAGTCAAAGGTTAAATCATACACTTGAATCTCTCAAGTCACCCACTTAGCCCAATTCCAAGTGTACTTTGCTTCCTTTTATTCCTGTTCTAAAGCTTTTTAACAAACTTTCACTCCTGTTCTAAAACTTGCCTCAGTCTCTCCCTGTCTTATGCCCCTTGGTCTAATTCTTTATTCTGAGGAGGCAAGAATTGAGGCTGCTGCAAACACATATGGATTCGGCGCTGCTAACACAAGGACACTAAATTTGCCTGTTATTATGCTGTCATTCTCACTGCCCTTTCTCTATCCACTCTGCTGGTTCCTCATCATCTCTTGACTTCCAAAAATTGGAGTACCCCAAGGCTCAGTTCTAAGAAATTTTTTTCTATCTATATCCATTCACTAAGTGTTTTCATACAGTCTCAGAGGTTTAAATGCCATGGAAGTGATAAATATTCTCAGGATTTTACCTCCTGCCCCCAAATCCAGGCTGGTCTATACATCAGCCTATTTGACATCTCCAACTGAATGTCTAATAAGCATCTCAACTGTAACTGTTTAAAATGAGCTCTTTCTGTTTATGAAAGAGTCTTGTCAGGGGAAAAAATGTGCCCTTGATAACACTCCCAATCCCAAACTTGCCTCTCCTGTAGTCGTCCTTTCTAGTAATATATTCTCCCAACTGCTTGGACCAAAAACCTTAGTATCATCCTTGAGTCTTCCTTTTTCTCCCTCATCCCATACCTAGTCCATCAATACATTGCTATCTTTACCTTTAAAGATCATTAAAATTCAAACCCTTCTTATCCCTTTTGCCACTACTCTAGGCCAAAGCCACTGTCATCTTCTGCTTGGATTACTTCAATCGTCTTCTAAGTGGTCTCATCACTTTTGCTCTTACCTAATTCAGACTACTCTTAACCTAGTATTCAGAGTGATCCTATTAAAACACAAATCAGTTGTCACTTTTCTGCTCAGAATTCTACAATATAGTCATGTAATGCATAATGACATTTTGATCAACTATGGACTGCCATTAGTCCATAATGCATTAGTCCATAACTGCGTAAATTTTTCAACTTTATTATAATCTTATGGGAACACTATGTGGTGTTGAAAAATTCCTATTACCTGTGATATTGTAACTGTTTTAAGTACTAATGTAAAGCATTACTCACGTGTATGTGGTGATGTCAGTGTAAACAAACCTACTGTGCTGTCGGCAGTATAAAAGTATAGCACATACAATTATGTACAGTACCTAATACTTAATAATAAATGACTGTGTTACTGGTTTATATATTTACTATACTTCGTATCGTTATCTTAGAGTATACAGCTTCTACTTAATATTTTTTTAAAAGTTAACTGTAAAACAACCTCAGGCAGGTCCTTCAGGAAGTATTCCCGAAGAAGGCACTGTTGTCATAGGAAATGACAATTTCATGTATGTAACTGTCCCTGAAGACCTTCTAGTTGTGACTCACCGAGAGCAACTTCCAGTCCTGTAAGCTTCATTCATGGTAAGTGCCTTATATAGGTGTACCCTTTTTAAAAAAAATCTTGTATATAATCATATAACAATACCTTTCTCAGAAAATATCCCTGGTGTTAAGCAATGCATGACTGTAATTCCCTGCAATAGTTTTACTCAGAATAAGAAACTATGCATCCACTAAATATGACTTACAAGGCTTTACATGATGTGGCCCCCTGTTGCCTCCTCTCTCGTCTCTACTATTCTTTTCCCATCATTCTACTTGAGCCACAATGGCCTCCTCACTATTTTGTAAAAAACTTATTCTTCTCCATGTAGAATGCTCTTTTCACACATCTGTATAAACATCTCTTCTTGTTTTAATCTTTAACTAAGAAATCAATCACCTTCTCAGTATAGTTTTCCCTGGCCATCCTGTATTTATATAATTTAACCCTCCCTTGAATGCTTCATAGAACGGATTTCCTCTTACTTTTTTGTTCTTAGCATTTATCATTATCTAATGTATTCTATGTTTTACTTATAGAAAGTTCTATGGGACAGGAATTTTTTTCATTGTTATTGTCTTTTTGTACCAGTCCCTACAACAGTGCGTCAGATATGGTAGGTTAAAAAATATTACTGAATGAATAAATGCACCAAATTGAATAAATTTGGGCTTCCAATATAAGCTGAGAATGACAATAACATATATTCAGTTGCCTGAAATCTAGAAAGCTGAGTATAACTGATAATTTCTCCTGCTCCCTCATTTCTCACAGCTGCTTATTACGTTCTCCAGGTTCTATCTTCTTAGTAGATGGAATCCATCCACTTCTCTCCATCTTCACTATCACCACCTGAGGCCCACACCTCATCTCTCGCAGCTGGATTCCTACCTCCAGCCTGCTCCTCCCACTTCACTCTCCACACAGTAGCAAGAGTGGTGATTCAAAAATGTAAATATAATCATGTCACCTTTCTTCAATGGCCTGAGGATAATGTGCAAATGCCTTGTATTCTGTCATGACTTTGCCTCTATTTTACTTTCCAGCTTCATTTCTCACCACTCTCATCTATTTATGTTTCAGTCATAGTAAACAGCTATCATTTTCTGAATGTGGCATGTCCCCCTTTTCCTTTAGATCTTAGCACATCCTCCCTGGACACTCCTCCCTAGCTACTTCTTTCTTACTAATTATATCTCAGCTTAGAAGTTTATCGTTTCTTTCTTTCTTTTTTTCCCTGGTAGAGATAGGGTTTTACTATGTTGCCTGGGCTGGGCTTGAACTCCTGGGCTCAAGTAAGCCTCCTTCCTCAGCCTCTTAAGTAGCTCAGATTATAGGTGTGTGTGTGTGTCTGCCATCATACCCAGCTAGTGTGTGTGTGTGTGTGTGTGTGTGTGTGTGCGTGTGCCATCATACCCAGCTAGAAGTAATTTTGTTCAGAATTATCATCCCATTTGCTTTTCTATCATGCTGTATTATAATTTTCTATCTGCCAATCCTGACTTTGGTCTCCTTTAGGTCTAGGATATGTTTATTGTCTATGTATCTCCAATACTTGACACATAACAGGTACTCAGTAAGTATTTACTGTATAGTAAATAATGTGATTCTTACCTTTCTCTTCTGGTTTTTTCCAATTTGTCTTTTAAAATCATAATTTCTTTGTTGAGAGCAAGTTGCTGACCTTCTGAATCATGCAGTTCTTTCTTAAGATTTTTTATTTCATTTGCATGTATTCCTTCTCTTTTAGATAATTCTTCTTCATAAAAGATACTTTTCTTTTCCAAATCAGTCTTTAGTTTGGTTATCTCTTGCTGATGTTCTATGCTGCATACTCCTGGTGAGTAACTAATTTGTTTTTGCTATAGAAATAATAACAAAAGATTAGTGCATCTACAAGAATAATAAAATATTTAAATAACTTCTTTCTGTAATATAAATGAGTATTCATATAACTGCATTTTTTGTACATCCTAACAAAAATAAAATTCTATGTTAAATCTACTAACTTTTTGCCTGCCATATATTGCAAATATTTTCCTCAGTTTACATTCCTTAATAGTCTGTCTTTGTTGCTGTTTTTAAAAAGTTTTCTTCACACAAAGATTACATATTTATTCAAATTTTTGGCTGGGACTTACATGATTTCTTGCTTTACATTTAAATTTCTAATTTATTTACAATTATTGTTGGTGTATGGAGTGAGAGAAAAATCTAACTGCATCCTAAATCTGATGAAGAACTGATAAAAAGTTTTAAGGATATCTGTGTCTTAAAAAAATTAAAATGGGCAAAGGAATGGTAGAGTAGAATGTACAAAAATAAAGACAGAAACCTTTTGCAATAGTCCTGTGAGAAATGGCAAAGGTCTAAACTAACATCTCCTTCATATCTACACTAGAAAAAAAACGGTAGGTCTCTTCACTTTTAGGTATGATTAAGAAGGAGAAGAAATTGGGTTGAAATCTACCTTTTTAGAAATAAGGCTGAAATATCCTCTCAGTAATAAGAAAGAAAAGAAAATGTAAAGTCCAAAGATTCTTCCAGGTACTGCCTAAAGGGTAAACAGAAACATACAGACTACAGATTATGACTGTAAGATTTCCTAAGCTTTGTAATTTTCCAAAGGTCATTAATTTGTTATATCTTATCTGTCTCCCCAGTTGCAATAAAACTTTTAAAACTAAAAGAATCTATGCACTTAAGTTTAGGGACAACAAAGAATCAAGATCTGGAGGTCACTGTATTCTTTTTTGAAGTCAGTCATAAGGGCAATAAAAACTGGTAAGCGTAGTTGACTTAAAGTAGAAGGAAAAATACCCTGACTCCTTCATGTTTGAAGTATATAATTTAAAAAGAGCAAAGGAAGTGATGTGGGCCAGAGAAATAGCCCTGGCGTGTCCACTGCAATATTAACCATTTATCGAAAAAATACTTTTCATGTGCCAGATCCAGATCGTCCAATGGTTTATGAGGCAGCCTAACATGCAAAAGTCTGCTTAACTTGAGAAGAACCAGAGCAAGGCAGATTCTTGCTCTGAAGCATCGCTATGAAAATGAGAACTAAATTGACATCTGTGGCACTTACCACTGACCCGTACTATTCTTGCATTTTTCTAACTACTTAAAGAAAAGAACACTTTTAGTTTGATGTTCTGTTTATTGTGATGACTGTTGGGATGGCAGCAGCATGTACAGTAAGTTTCAAGAAAAAAAAATTCCCCTGAAATCAAAACCTAACAAAGATACCAACAATTATGGTTACAGATGCATATCACTTATTGATAAGAATGTGAAAAGCCAAATAGAACACAAATGATATTATTAAACCATCTGTAAAAAAGAAAAACCTACCAAGAAATAATAGGTTTTATTGCAGACACCGAAGATAATTTAATGTCAGCAAACTTATTAATAAATGTGTCATAAAATGAATTATTTTAATAGATTAAATTTTAAAATCCAAATGATAATCTCAGTATGTAAAAATCCAAATGATAATCTCAGTATGTACCCCTACCCAATAGCATTTTATAAAATCCAGTAATAATTCCAAATACTACTCTAAGTCCCACAATAAAACCATTACATAAAAAAAACCAGTAATTCTTTTAATTTAAAAGTATCCATTTTGAGCTATCAAAATACTATTTACGTGAAACATCAGAGATACATCGAGTAAATTCAGAAATATCAACAAAAAGGATGTCTTCCATTACCACTCTTATGCGACATTCATTTCAGACCAACATATAAAATTGTCTCTCTGACCAACATGTAAAATAGTTAAAAAAATGAATATTGTAAAGAAAAATAACATATTTATCATTTCTATTTAATTGTTCACCCAGAAAATACAAATAAATCTAGTGAAATGTGTTAGAATTGATAGTTGAGTAAAGCAATAGCATATAAGATAAACACAAATCAATACTTCCAGATATTAAAATAAGCAATAAACATAACAAAAATTTCATTGTTAATTGAAGGATAATAGTGAGAAATTTCTGATTTATATGAGAAACCTACAAGTCTTGAAACAAAGTATTTAAAAGGGAAGATTAAATGTACATATTCAATATTTTTCATGTTATCTTCCACATAATTCTAATTAAAAGTTCTTTATAAATGTGGAGATAGAAGGGCATGGAGACATGTTTCTACTCCGTGGATAAGAATAAACTGGTAAAAATGTCAAAGAAAATACCAAGGGGTGCATGGGAAAATATACTTTTCAAATATTAAAACATACTATAACTCTTTACTAAAGTATCACTATGACAGATCTGCTCCCCGAAATAATTTAATTCAATATATGAGACATCTTCAGTCATTGGGTAAGGCAATGATTAATAAATGAAATTGGAATCACCAGCTAGCAATAAAATAACAAAAATCAATCTCATGTCATACCATTTAGCAAAACAAACTCCTAATAGATTAAACAGTTAATTATTTTTAGACCCAACAAACATCCAAAAGAAAGCAGAATTAAATACTTATCAAAACTCTGAGAGAAGGACAAGCCAAGCTTTGAAGCGACAGAAGAAACACTGAGAAAAACCAACAAATCTTCTATAATTTTAAAAAGAAACAAGATCAAAATTAAGGGATACATGATAAATTGGTTAAATAGTTGCTGAAAACACTTCAAAAAGTAAAATTTTTACTGTGCAGAGAGTTTTATGAATTGGTAAGAAAAACATTAAGACTACTAAATTAAATTAGCAAATAAAGAGAGAATTTATGAACAGAAAATATTATTAATAAAACAATCCACTAATAAACCAAGAAATAAAGAGGTACAACTTTTTTGGCCTCTCGTATTTGCAAAGATTTGTGGGATTTATCACATAAATTAGCCTTAAAATAATCGCTAACTTCGTTTCTGGGTGCCTGTTCTAAGAAAATGATACAGAAAAAGCAGTGCATAAAGGTGTTTTTGGCAATTATAATACTGCAAAGAATTTTTAAAGGTAACAATAGAAAATTGGTTATGCGGATAGTCTTCTTGAATTATTTATAATCACTAAAATTATGTTTGTGATAATTTTGTAATAACAAATAGAAATAACTAGGTATGTGAAAATTCTTCTTGAACTACTTAAAATCATTAAAATTATGTTTGTGACAATTTGGTAATGAAAGTAAAAATGCTTATTACACTATTAAGTGAAAAATGTAAGTGTATGGGTTGAACTGTATTACCTTCAAATTCCTATGTTGAAGCCCTAACCACCAGTACTTCAGAATGTAACCTTATTTTAAAATATGGTTTTAAGAGGTAAATCGAATCAAAACGGTAAGGCACACCCCTAATTCATTAAGACTGCGTCCTTATAAAAGGAGAAATCTGGACACAGACACACAGGGAGAACTCCATGTGAACATGAAAGCAGAGATCAGGGTGATGTATCTTACAAGCCAAGCAATACCAAAGACTGTCAGCATGCCACCAGAAGCCAACCATACCAATATCTTGATTTTGAACTTCTAGCCTCCAGAACTGAGACAGTTCTGTGTTTTAAGCCACCCAGTGTGTGGTACTTCACAACAGCATCCCCAACAAACTAACACAATAGGGAAAAAAAAATACCTCTAGTAACATCACAGCATCATATATAACAACTTAAAAGTTTTCTTTAAAAATTTTTTTTATTGAAATGTGATTCACATATCATACAAATCACTCATTTAAAAGTGTAAAATTCAATTATCTTGTTATACTGCATTAATAGTTTTTAAGTGGTAAAACAACATACAACAAAATTTTCCATTTTAACCATTCTACATGCACAATTCAATGGCATTAATTACATTTGCAATGCTATATAAATATCACCAGTATCTATTTCCAAAATTTTTTCATCATTCCAACAAAAAATTCTGTAACCATTAAGAATTAACTCCCTGTTCCCCACTCCACCCAAACCCTGGTAACCTCTATTCTACTTTGTATCTGTGAATTTGCCTATTCTCTTTTTTTTTTTTTTTTTTTTTTTGAGACAGGGTCTCACTCTGTTGTCCAGGCTGGAGTACACTGGCACAATCATGACTCACTGCAGCCTCGACCTCAAGCAATCTTCCCACCTCAGCCTCCTGAGTAGCTGGGACTACAGGCATCTACCACCATGCCCAGCTAATTTCTTAATTTTCTGTAGAGATGGGGTCTCACTCTGTTGCCCAGGCTGGTTTTGAACTCCTGGGCTCAAGTAATCCTCCTGCTTCGGCCTCCCAAAGTGCTGGGATTACAGTCATGAGCCACTGCATCGGGCCTGAATTTGCCTATTCTAAATTATTTCATATAAGTGGAATCATATAGTATTTGTCCTGTTGTGTCTGGCTTCTTTTACTTAGTACGTTTTCGAGATTTAGCCATGTTGTAGCATGTATCATGACTTCATTCCTTTTCATAGATAAATGATACTCCATTGTATTTATATACCACATTTTCTTTATCCATCTGTTGATGAACACTTGGATTGTTTCCACCTTTTGGCTACTGCAATAATACTTCAATAAACACTTGTGTAAAGCATCTATTAGAGTTCCTATGTTCAAATATTTTGGGTATATACCTAGGAGTGGAATGGCTGGATCATGTGGTAGTTCTGTTTGACTTTTTGAGGAACCACCACATTGTTTCAAAAGTGGCTACATTATTTTATACTTTCTTTAGCAACATATAAGGGTTCCAATTCTCTACCTTCTTGTTAAGACCTACTTTCTTTTTCTTTCTTTTTAATTTTAGCTATCCCAGTACATATGAAGTGGTATCTCATTTTGGTTTTAATTTGAATTCTCCTAGTGATTAGTAATGTTGAGCATTTTTTAATTTGCTTATTGACCATTTATATATATCTTCTCTGGAGAAATGTCTATTCAAGTCTTTTGCCCATTTTTTGATTGAGTTGTCTTTCTGTTGTTGAGCTGTAGTTCTTCATATAATCTGGATATTAAATTGTTATCACATATATGATTTGCAAATATTTTCTTGCATCCCTTAAGCTGTCTTTTTACTTTCTTAATAATGTCCTTTGATACCATACACATTAAGTTTTAATTTTGATAAAGCCCAATTTATACTTTTTTTGTTATTTATGCATCTATATTAATAAGAAACGTTGGTCTGTAATTTTGTGATTTTTTTGTCTGGCTCTGGTATTCAGGGTAATGCCAGCTTCACAGAATCAGTTAGGAAGTGTTTCCTCCTCTTCTATTTTAAAAAGAGTTTGAGAAGGATTGGTGTTAATTCTTCTTTCAGTATTATTTCTAAGAATCCATTATCAAATCCAAGGTCTCTTGAGTTTTATAGTTGTAGCTGTAAGATTTCAGTTGCTGATCCAATTTGAGTTAATTTGTATAACTGGTGTGATGCAGGTGACCAATTTCATTCTTTTGTAGGTTAATATTCAGTTGTCCCAAAACATCTGTAGAAACTATTCTTTCCCCATTGAATGGACTTAGTACATTTGTCAAAAATTAATTGACCATAGATACATGCATTTATTTCTGTATTCTTAATTATATTTTATTGGTCTGTATGTCTATCCTTATGACAGTACCACATTGTTTTGATTACTGTAACTTTGTAGTAAGTTCTGAAGTATGACTCCTCCAACTTTGTCCTTTTTTTATGATTGTTTTGGCTGTCCAGGTCCTTTGCAATTCCATATGAATTTGAGGATCAGCTTTTTATTTCTGCAAAAAAGACTTTGAATTTTGATAGGGACTGAATTGAAGCTGTACATAACTTTAGGTAGTAGTACTGCATCTTAACAATATTAAATCCCACTATTCATAAACATGAGATGTCTTTCCATTTATTTAGATTTTCTTTAATTCCTTTCAGCAATGTTTTGTCATTTTTAGTTGGATAAATGTGTCCCAAGGGATTTTATTCCTTTAGATGCAATTGTTAAGTGGAATTGCTTTCTTAACATTCTTTGCAGACTGTTCGTGCTGCCTTATAGAAACACAACTGATTGCTATGTGTTGATCTTGCAGCCTGGAACTTGGGTGAATTTATTTTAAGCTCAAGTCTCAAGTACCTTTCCTTTTGAGACAGGGTCTCACTCTGTCACCCAGGCTGGAATGCAGTGGCCCAATCATGGCTCACTGAAGTCTCGACCTCCGAAGTCTCAGGTGATCCTCCTGCCTCAGCCCCCAGAGTAGCTGGGACGACAGGTGCCTTCTCAAAAAAGAGTTTGGGAAGGATTGCTGTTAATTTTTCTTTAAGTGTTTGGTTCAATTCAGCAGTGAAGTGGTGTGGTCTTGGACTTTTCTTTGTTAGAAGGTGGCCTGTCTTTTTTTAACAAGCCGCTGGAGTGGGGTTGTGGAGTGCAGGAGGGTCTGTCAGAAGGTTTTTGATTACTGATTCAATGTCTTTACTTGTTATAGGTCTGCAGAGATTTTCTATTTTGCCATGAGTCATACTGGGTTATTTGTATCCTTCTAAGAATTTGTCCATTTCATCTAGGTTATCTACTCTGTGGGCATACAGTTGTTCCTCTTATAATTCTTTTGTTTTCTGTTGGTCAGTAATAAAATTTTCCCTTATACTTCTGATTTTAGTTATTTGCAACATCTCTCTCTCTTTAGCTCTTTTTATTGGGAAGGGGTCAGTCTAATTAAAGGCTGTCAATTTTGTTGACTTCTAACCAACTAACTTTTTGTTTTATTGATTCTATTATTTTCTAGTCTTTATTTTATTTAGCTGTGCTCTACTCTTTATTATTTCATTCCTTCTGCTATCTTTGGATTCAGTTTGCTCTTCTTTTTCTAGTACCTTAAGATATAAAGTTAGGTTAGTGATTTTTACTTTCTTCCCTTTTAGTCCTTCCTTTTAATACAGGCATTTATAGTTACAAATTTCTCTCTTGAGCACTGCCTTTATGGCATCTGTAAGTTCTGGTGTATTGTATTTTCATTTTCATTCACGTATTTTCTAATTTCCCTGGTGATTTATTCTTTGACCTATGGTTGCTTAAGAGTGTGTTCATTGATTTCCACATATTTTTGAGCATTCCAGGTTTTTTTTTTCCCTGTAATTGATTTCTAGCTCCATTCCATTGTGGTTGGAGATGATACCTCATACGACTTCAATCTTCTTCCATTTACTAAAATGTTTTTTGGCCTAACATGTGGTCTATCCTGGAGAATCTGCCATGTGTACTTTAAAAGAATGTATATTTTGCTGTTGTTGGGTGAAAAGTTCTATATATGGTTGTCTCTCAGTATCCATAGGGCACTGATTCCAGGACCCTACTTGAATACCTAAAATCCACGGATGCTCAAGTCTCATATATACAATGGTACAGTGTTTGCATACAACCTACACACATCCTCCCATATACTTTAAATCACCTCTAGATTACAGTCACATATTGCTAAACGACAGGGATATATTCTGAGAAATGCATCTCATTAGGTGATTTTGTCCTTGTGTGAACATAAGTTGTACTTCCACAAACCTAGATGGTACAGCCTACTACACACCTAGGCTATATGGTATAGCCTATTGCTCCCAGGTTACAAACCTGTACAGTATGGTACTGTCCTGAATACTGCAGGGAACTGTAACACAACAGTAAACACTTGTGTCTCTAAATATAGAAAAGATACAGTAAAAACATCATATAAAAGATAAAAAAGGTATGTCGCATATAAATATGGTATAAAAGTAAGGTATAAAAAATAAAAAATGGTATGTCATATAGAGCATTATGAATGGAACTTAACAGGACTGGAAATTGGCCTGGATGAGTTAGTGACTGGTGAGTGAACATGAAGGCCTAGGACATTACTGTACACTACTGGAGACCTGATAGATAAACACTTTATACTTAGGCTACACTATTTTTAAAATTTTACTTATCCAATAAAAAACTTGGCTTACTATACCTTTATAAGCTATTTACTATTTTAAAACTTTCTGAACTCTTCTGTAGTAACACTTAAAATACAAACACATTGTACAGATGTACAAAAATGTATCTTTTTTTTTGAGACAGAGTCTCACTCTGTCACCCAGGCTGGAGTGCAGTGACTCAATCTCAGCTTACTGCAATCTCTGCCTCCCAGGTCCAGGCGATTCTCGTGCCTCAGCCACCAGAGTAGCTGGGATTACAGGCATGCGCCACCACGTTCAGCTAATTTTTGTATTTTTAGTAGAGACGGGGTTTCACTATGTTGGCCAGGCTGGTCTCAAACTCCTGGCCTCCAGTGATCCACCTACCTCAGCCTCCCAAAGTGCTGGGATTACAGGTGTGAGCCACCGCACCTGGCTATCTTTCTTTATATCCATTTTCTATAAGCTTTTTTCTATTTGTAAAATTTTTATTTGTTTTACTTTTGAAACATTTTTGTTAAAAATTAAGACACAAACACACACATTAATATAGGGTTTACACAGGGTCAAGATCATCAAGACGTTACTAGATGATAGGAATTTTTCCAACTCCGTTATACTCTTAAGGGACCATTGTTGTATATGCAGTCTGTGGCTGATCAAAACGTCACGATCTCTACTTACAATACCTAATGTGATATAAATGCTATATAAGTAGGTTTTACATTTGGAACAATGACAAGAAAAATCATCTGTACATGTTCGGTACAAATGCACCCATCTAATTTTCTTCCTCCAAATATTTTTGATCCATGGTTGGTTGAATCCACGAATGCAGAACTCATGGATATGAAGGGCTGACTCTGTATCTGTTAGGTCTAGTTGGTTATAGTGGTGTTCACAACCTCAATATCCTTATTGATCTTGTGTGCATATGTTCTATCCATTATTAGAAGTGAGATATTGAAGTCCTTAACTCTTTTTGTAGGGCTATTTCTCTCTTTAAGTCTGTCAAAAGTATTCTCAATGAAGTGAAGATTCCTACAATCTTTAAAAGGGCCAAAATATGTTTTAACCCTTTACTACATGCCAGGTTCTGGTCTATACATGTTAAATGCATTAACTTATTTACTAGGTAGGTGTTATATTATCTCAAATTTCTAAATGACACAGAGATGTGTTTGGCAAGTAGGTAAACATGATACAGAGTCTCCAATGAAGTAATGTTTATTGTAGAAAAAAATAAAAAGCAAACCATTAGATAAATCATGTGAATGAAAGTTAGAAAACCTGGGTTTACATTGTACTCTATCACTTATGACTCTAAAATATTTAACTCTTCTGACCCTCAATTTTCTCAAATAAAAATAATGCCTAAGATTTCTTCCAGTTTGTACTTTATTATTCTTATCATCCAAAGCACCCAGAATAGTGCTGGAAACAAAGCAGGCCCTGACTGAAAAGTATCTGGGATGGTGATGTAATTACTTCTACATACTAATCCTGCTCTAGAGGTATATAGAAGACACATCTCTACTTCGTAAAGCTAACCAGGACTATGAATTCATGATGAACTAAAACTCCCAAAACAAAAACAAGAATAAAATCAAGAGTTTATATTTCTATTTACAGCAAAGGAATTTGACTTGCAACCACTGAAATTCAATTGTCAGACAAAGTAAGCTCTGACCAATTCTACCACATGATTCATTCATTAACTTAACAGGTTTATTAAACAAGTATTCAATATCTGGTCCTTTGCCAGGGCCAAATTAACAATATAACTGTCTGTGTTTTCAATAAGCTAGGTCACAGTTTAGTTGGAAATATACAGATTTGCAAATAAATAATTACAATAAGAGCTAAGCTACAGGTATTAACAGAATTCCAAGAAGCAGTACAGGAGTATGTAGATTTTAAGGAGTATGATTCTTACATGTTATGGATAATTAGACACTAGACTAAGCATGGTCCTAAAAGAAGTAGGTGAAATGGGGGCTGACAGATATAGCAGAGAAAACAGGATGGAAAAAGTTTCCAGTCAAAAAAGATAAAAGGCAGATACCACAC
Source organism: Homo sapiens (assembly GCF_000001405.40). NCBI lineage: Eukaryota > Metazoa > Chordata > Mammalia > Primates > Hominidae > Homo > Homo sapiens. Next base: position 227,111,298 of record NC_000001.11, read on the forward strand.
TCAGACTATTACTTAGTATGGTAAAAATATCACGTCAATTTGATCTTAATTCACTCACTGTAATATACATAATACTATTATACTAACAGTTACTGAACACTTATAATGTGTCAGCTTACAAATGTATGTATGTACTCGTGACATGAAATAGTTTTATAGAGGAGAAAATTAAAGTATAATGAGGTTAAATGTTGTTTTGTTTTGTTTAAGACGGAGTTTCGCTCTTGCCCAGGCTGGAGTGCAATAGTGCGATCTAGGCTCACTGCAACCTCCACCTCCCGGGTTCAAGCAATTCTCCTGCCTCAGCCTCCTCAGTAGCTGGGATTACAGGCGTGCGCACCATGCCTGGCTAATTTTGTATTTTTAGTAGAGATGGGGTTTCGCCATGTTGGTCAGGCTGGTCTCGAACTCCTGACCTCAAGTGATCTGCCCATCCCGGCCTCCCAAAGTGTTGGGATTACAGGCGTGAGCCACTGTGCCCGGCCCCATAATGTTCTGTCCAATGTTACATGTTACACAGCAAGTAACTGGTGAAAGCAAGAAGTTAAGAATAGGTAGTCTAACTCCAGAACGGCTCAAGAATTTCCCTTGCAAAGCACCTTCTGCTGAGATGTTTTAGACTATGCCCATTATCATCTTATCCTAACAGACACAAGTGTCTGCAAAGCTACCCCTGAGCTTCTCCTGAGTCATTTATGAGATATATAGAGGGTCTGGATATCTAACCATGACTCCCATGCAGATTACCAGTACATCTTGTGTAGGTCTGCATAAACATTCTAACTCCCTCCTGATAGATTCATATTTCCCACTAAACATAGTCCTCCATTTTCTTCAGCATAATTAAGAAATCTGTATTAGCTTCCTACTGGTAAGAACGAGAATTATGAATAGTAGGTTTGAAGAAAGGCTAGTTTTCACTGCACACCGAATACAGTATACAAGCTAACACTCCTAACAAGCCTAAAGAGAAGAAAATCAATTAAGCTTCATAAATGTGAAGTCAAAAGATACCTTCAGTCCCTCCAATTCATTTTCCAGTTGCTTAGAATAGTGCTCACTCTGTTCACGTAGCTTCCTGTCTTTAGATGCTTCAGCAGCTAGAGCTTCTGTATGAACTTCCAGCTTTAAAACAGAATGAAAAATGCAGATTTCACGGTTATAATTTTTTTCCAAACAAAACATTTATCCCAATGAGAATTTACCTTGTAACAGGAAGATAATTCAAATGTTTAAATCCATATTAAATAATATTAATGAACTATAAAAATAACTTTAGAAATATTTTAAAAATTATATATTATATTACTAGTCTCAAAAAGCAGCTTTAATCACTATCCCATGGGCACTACAAAATTTGCCTGACTACTAACCTCTTTTTTGGCTCTTTCTGTTCTGCGCAGTTCTTGCCTTAAGCTTTCAACTTTTTGCATCACCAGGTCCACCTCTTCTTCCTTATCTCGGACATGGCGAGCAAGTTTCTGTTTTTGGGTGTGCAATTCTGTTAGCCGCTCATTGATCTCCATGAATTCCTGCATGGCCAGTTTCCTCTGACAGTGTGCGTCTTTCAGCTCTTTGGATTGGTTTTTTAATCGCTCACTAGCCTGGACTAGTTCCTACAGTTTTGTAAAAAGAATATAAGTTACCAATTCTGCAACCTAGAGACCAAATTTGGCCATCAGAATAGCTATCATTAAGTCAAGAAGAGCCAAAATTATTCACCTTAGGACAAATTAAAAGAAATAAACTACTTCTGAACAGATATTAACGGCATGGTGTCCTGATATAGTCTCAATTCCTTATGCTAATACAGTAAATGCACAGGAGCTGCTGATTTAACCTTATAGTACCTTAGTTTCCACAAATGAGGAAAAAGTTTAGGAATAAACGATATGATGGTCAAAATAAATATTTGTGAAATTTAATAAATATGTGTGAGGTTGTTTTCATAAAAAACAAGTGTTGCCCTTGACATGGAGGCTACGCCTCAAGCCAGAAGCAAGGAGATAGAAACTAAACCGGAGACTCCCTAATTAAAATGAGAAACTTAGAGGAGAGCTAAAGTGGACTCAGGGCAGTACCACTACCTGCCTCCCAGCAAAAGGAAATGCAAATTTTCTTTGGGGGAAAGAAGTGCAATGAAATCTGAATTTTTCACATATTAAGAACAAACAAGAATGAGCTCACAACCACAGATTCCAAAATACTCAAAGAACAAAGCACCACAATCAAACAACAAAAACAATAAAAATAAACATCAAAGGTATCTTGGTATTAAAATCATTAGATATCAACACAAAATTGCTACATATGAAATATTTCAAGGAATAAAGGATGAAATAATAAAAACAAAAAAATGACAAAAGGCTATTAAAAATGACCAAGCAGATTTATAGAAGAACTGTATGGAACATTTAGAAATAGAAAACATAAGGCCAGGCACAGTTGCTCTCATCTATAATCCCAGCACTTTGGGAGGCTGAGGCAGGAGGATTGCTTGAGCCAAGGAGTTCAAGATCAGCCTAGGCGACATTGTGAGACCTTATCTCTACAAAAAATAACAATGTAAAAAAAAAAAAAAAGGCCAGGTATGGTGGTATGCACCTATAGTCGTAGCTACTAAGGTGGGAAGATGACTTGAGCCTGGGAGGCTGAGGCTGCAGGGAGCTGAGATCACTCCATTGCACTCTAGCTTGGGCAATACAGTGAGACTCCAACTCAAAAAAAAAGAAAAGAAAAGAAGTGAAAAAATATAAATGTTAAAATTAAAGACATGCATCCATCACCACAGGAAGCTCTACATTTATGAATCAAGAAAAAATTTAGAAAACCCAAACCAGAAGTGTTCAAAAAATGACGCTGGGTAATACCAAAGAGAAATAAAAGACCGTAAAGAAATCAGAGGGAAAGAAAGACAAATCACCTATTCCCCATCCTCAAATAAGGCGGGGAGGAGGAAAATTAGACTAAGAACAGACACTGAAGAAGTAACAACAGCAACAGAAACAGGGTAAAATATTTTCAAAGATATGAGAAGATAATTAAAATTATATACCCCAAAAATTACTTTTCAAGTCTGAGGCTTCATATAAACAAAACTGACAGAGCTTACCATAATCAGATCTGCACTAAAGGAACCAGTAAAGCTTTATTTCAGGAAAAAAAAAAAAAAGATTTTAGAGATCTAATGCAAGAGAAATGAAGAGCTAATAAAATGGTTAACATGAATGTGAATGTAAACAAATGTGTATATAAGATTATACTATAAAAATGTTAACTTTGTACAGTAAACAAAAGATAACAGCTAAAATACTGGCCAATAACAACACATAAAGCTGTAAAGAGGTAATACAGCTTGAATAATCCAAAAAATTTGAAATCTGAAATGTTTCAAAATCCAAAACATTTTGAGTGCCAACATGATGTTCAAAGGAAATGCTCACTGGAGCATTTCAGATTTTGGATTTTCAGGTTAGAAATACTCAATTGGTATAATGCAAATATTCCAAAATCCAAATGCTGGTCCCAAGCATTTCAGATAAGGGATACTCAATCTGTAAAATTAAACGTCTTTAAATTGTTTGTGGGAAATAGTTTTAGGATATTTAACTTAAACTTAAACTTGGTTAATACACATGGTAGAAGCCAAGAGTAACCACCAAAAGACTAGAGAGTAAACTAAAATGTCAACAACAACAACAACAAATTTCAGTGAAGAAGAAATGATTTTGCAAACAAAAAGAGTTCTGGAGACTGCTGCACAAGAATGTAAATACACTTAACATTACTTAACTGTGCACTTGAAAATTGTTTAGATGGTAATTTTATGTTATACGTATTTTACCACAGTTAAAAACTTTTGAGAAGGGAAGAAAGGAAATAAAAAGCAGCATGCAAAAATCATGACAAACAGAAAAAAAGATAGTAGAAACACATCCATATACATTAGTAACCAGTTAAAGGCCATCTATTATACTGGATTAAGAAATGAAATCTTGACTTCAGTAGAAAAAGTATTACTAAGGATAAGGAATATCACTACATAATGATAAAATTCAATACACTAAGAAGAAATATTATCCTAAACTTTTGTGCCTTCTATAAGAGAGTCTCAAAATCATTAAAAAGAAACTGTTAGAACTTCAGAGAAAAATTGGTAAACATCACTATAATGAAAAATTTTAATTTCTTAGTCATTAATAGATAAACCAGGTAGGCAAAAAAAAAAAAATAGTGAATATAAAGACGATCTGAAAAGCTTCATACACAGAAGCTTGCTCTCTAAATTGGAACACGAACTATTTTCAAGAACACACATTGAATGTTTTAAAAATGGAACAGGCTACGCCATGAAGCAAGTCTCAGTAGATTTCAAAGAACAGATACCACGTAGAGCAAGTTCTGTAATGACACTGCAACTAAATTAGAAGTCAACAAAAAAAGATAAAACTCCATATATTGAAAATTTTAAAAGATACTTATAAATAACTCATTGGTCCGTGAGAAAAAGCAGGAATGCAATTCAACTCTTTCTATGGACCAGTATAATCTGAATATCAAAAAAAAGAAAAGAGGAAAAAAAAAAACACGTCAATCTCACTTATAAAAAACAGTGAAAACCCTTTTTGAAAATTAGTAAATCAGTTCCAGTGATATATAAAGTAGATATGCATGAAGTCTGGAGCTAAACTCCTTGTGCTGAAAATCTAGCTCCACCACTTTCTATTTCTATGACCTTGAGCAAGTGAACTAACTTCTCTGTGCTTGGTCTCACCATTCATAAAATGAGAATAACACCTAACTCATGGGGCTGTGATGGAGATTAAATAATTTAATATATGTAAAGCATTCACAACAGTGCTATTAGAACAGATATTTGCTACATAAATGTTATCTATACTATCACAGTATTATAAGAAATTTGGGCTTAACCCAGAAATATAACAGTGGCTTAATATTAGAAAAAGTCTACAAACGTAGTTCACCACACCAACTTATTAAAGGACAAGAATCATATAATCATATCAATAGAGCACAGAAGGGCACATTTAATAAAGTCAGTATCCATTCTAAATAAAAGGTATTAACAAAATAGGAATAGAAGGTAACTTCTTTAACCTGATAAAAATTATTTATTAAAAACTTACAGCAAACATTATTAGCGATGAAATATCAGAGGCAGTTTCTTTAAAATCGGGGAACAAGATGGGGATGCCTGCTATTATCATTTCTAGTCAACACTGTACTGAGGTTCTAGCTAATACAGTAAAACAAGAAAAGAAATGAAAGTCTTTTCTGTATGAAATTTTATGGAAGAACATTTTAAAAGAACTTTAAATATATGGAGAGATATCATGTTTACAAATAAAAAGACTTTAGGAATGCAGAGAAACTTTTATGTTTTTGCAGCTGGTCCCTTTTGAACAAATTTTACCGAAACCTGGGCTAAATGAAAGTCTTAAAAAGTAACTTATAACTGATTTAGTAGTGAGAAAACTAAGAGATTTACCTTCTGGAGGTTATGTGTTTACATTTCAAGGTGGGGTGGGAGAGAGTAGGAGCCTGGACCAAGGGGGCTTCCTTTGATGGAGCAGGAGACTCTGGGCTTATATTTCCAGAGGGAATATTTATCTATATTCCAAAGGGTTAGAGAAAGAACCCAAGATCCTTCTCTTTAGATTTCCAAGGAACTCTCTCAGAACAGGAGAAAGCAGGAAGCAGTTGCTTCTTTCCTCTATATAAGCACCTGCATAAATGTTTTCAAGGCTCCTCATTTACAACACAGACTCCTTATGTGTAGGGTTTTATCCTGCCAGCTCTCAGGGTATTTCTCTTGGGGTAAGACTTGGCACAGAAGGGAGCCATGTAGTTATTCTTTGCTGTATGTAAGTAATAACAATCCGTTCTATTCTGGAAATCTGTGTGTATATTCAGAAAAATAGTAATAAATATAGATAGTAAGAACTTAAAGACAATATTGTAATGATGTTAATTCTCCCTAAATTGACCTATAAATTCAGTGCATTTTTTTCCCCCTGAGATAGGGTCTTGCTCTGTTGATCAGGCTGGAGTGCAGTGACATGATCATGGCTCACTGCAGCCTCAATCTACCAGGCTCAAGTGAACCTCCTGCCTCAGCATCCTGAGCAGCTGGGATGACAGGTGTGCACCACCCAGCTAACTTTTTTATTTTTTGTAGAGACTGGGTCTCATTCTGTTGTTGCCTAGGCTGGTCTCAAACTCCTGGACTCAAGTGATCCTCCTGCCTCAGCCTCTCAAAAGTGCCAGGATTACAAGCATAAGTCACCATGCCCAGCTGATTAAATGCAGTTTTAATCAAAATTCCATCTTCACAGTTTTCAAAAAATAGTTGAGATACAGACCTAAAAATTTAAAACTTTAAGATAAAAATTTAGGAGAATTTTTTAAAATCTCAGATTTTTTATACAAGACAGCAAATACACTAACCATAAAAATATTGATAAATCTGGCCACAACAAACCTAAGAACACTTTTTAATAAAAAGATTCCTAAAAGCAAAAAGATAAGCCACTGAGAGATATTTGTAACACATATAACTCACAAAAGATTAGAATGCCCAAATATTTCCAAGAATTCTTATAACCAGTAAGAAAAAAACCCAACAGAAAAATATACAAAAGATATTAAGAAGCATTTCACAAAAGAAATGTAAACGACAATAGACCCATGTGAAGATACTTGACCTCATTACTAATTAGAGAAATGCAAATTAAGACCACAACCAAACATTTTCTAAAACCTAAAATCTCAATTTAGACTAGATTGGCCAAAAGTAATAAATCTGGAAATATGAACACAGAAACTCTACACTACTCGTGGAAATGGAAGTTGGTATGCTAGAAAACAGTTTGGCATTATAAAAAATCAGAATATTTGCTAACTCAATCAAAAAATGGGCAAAGGACCTCAGTGGACATTTCTCTAAGACGACATACAAATGGCCAATAGGTATATGAAAAAGTATTCAACATCACTAGTCATAAGAGAAGTAAACATCAAAACCATAATGAGCTGTCACTTCACATCTATTGGAATGGCTATTTTTTTTAAAAGACAAAGGATAACAAGTGTTGGCAAGGAATGTGGAGAAAAATCATTTTCTACTGCCTATAGGATATTAAGCAAATCACTCAAAGTCCTTTATTGGTATAATCTGTTTCTTTTCGTCAGCACTATCATCTTCTCAAAATATATAAAAAGGATTTTTAATACTAAAACATTAAAAATTGGTGACCACCTGTCACTATAAATCTAGCTATCTGATTTTCATCCTCTTTCCAAAGGGTTAGAGAAAGAATCCAAGATCCTTCTCTTTAGATTTCCAAGGAAATCGCTCAGAAGAGTAGAAAGCAGGAAGCATAACGCCGATTATGTTAACTAAATTTGGCTGAGTAATCCTACCAATAAAAATGGTAAACCATTAATATTACTATAATATTATTAAAGCAAATAGAACACTAACAGTTTTAAATGACAAATATTATTAAATTGGCAATGAATTTAAATGGACCTATACAAAAAAATTGCTTGAAACCTCATTAAGCAGAAAGTAAAAATGTACTGGTCTATTTCAATCTATTCTTTAATAGCGTTCTCTTTTAGTCCTTTTGATTAGTTTCATCAGCTAAAGGTTATTTGTTTTATTTTTAATTCCCTCCATCTCCTTCCTGGCACCAAGACTTTCAAATCTTCCCCAGGAGGACTTCATTCATTCTATATTATCAGTGCATTATATTAATATATTACATCATTGAATACAACTTATGCTATGCCACAAACTACTGATTTCTTGTTTGCAATGGCTAGTATTAGTCCCAACATTTTTCTATTTGTTAATGAAAGTCACGGTGCTTAGCAGCATGTGGTTCAAGAAAAGTGTTTTCTCTAGTGCTTGAATATTATTTACCCTATTGGGCTGTGTTACAGAGGCTTAGCTATCAATAAATTTTTTTGATGTTTAAAATAATGTTTAAATGTTTCACAAAGTTCTTATGAAAATAACTTTAGCTTATTTACCCCTGCTGCTTTGAAAGATAAAAACTGACATTTAAAACAAATCACCAAATAAATTTTAAATTATAATATTTTAAGAATGTTCATATCAGTAAGTTATAATGAAAATATGCCTGTATTTTAAATTTTTTCTATAGATGCTAAACAGTTTCTACTATTTTCTTATTTCTTCATGTTTCTTTTTCAATAACATTCTTTTAATCTAGTCCTTTGACTATTAACTTTCTAAAAGAACAAAAGATTCTGAACTTTCAAGCTTCAACAAAGTTTCTTAATTTCTAGCTACTAACCAAATAACATACACCAAAATAATCCTAAATTTTTAGACCAACTTTTAAGAAGATAAAATATACTATGTATTATTGTAATTCATTATGAATGCTTTCAGTATTCTTATTATACAAGATTCAAAATAGAGAAAAAGCTTTAATGATCTAGTCACATATTTTACCTTATTTAGATCTTCTCTTTCTTGTTGTAACGTTTTGATTTGTTTTTCATAAGCCTTGATTTGTCTAAAAGCATCATCTAGTTCTTGCCTCACAGCATTAGCTTCTTCAAGTTGCTGTTCCAAATGACTTGATTCTAAAAACAAAAGACAATGTTTCTTTTACTATTTGTATAAAAGCAAATGATTGAACCTAAGGTAAAACAACTAAAATTTTTTTTAAAATTGGTATTTTCAATTTAGTGTTAGATCTGACAGTGTATACCAGTATGACTCTTGACAAATTAAATGCATTATCAGTTCACTGTAAAGACGGTGAATGGTGTATGCCAGTGTGAAGATGTGCAACAATGCCTTACATACTCATTAGGAAAAAAAAAAAAAGCATGCTTCCAAAAACAGCACCTTCGGAAAAATTAAAAATTTAAAACTAACAAGCAACAATAAAACCAACCAAAAAAAGGGCAAGTTTTACTGCAGTGTTGGTAAGCATCCTAGTGCTGATGTTAGTCAAATTACCGTGTAAGACGGTTTTGATTCTAACAGGGTGGTTCCAAATCACTCAGTCTAGTTTCACCACTATTTATCTGAAGAATAAACTCTGATTTCTAAAGAGCAAATATCTGAAAAACTCCTGATCTAAATCAATTCTCCTATTTTTCAGATGAAGAAACTCAGGGAGTTGAATAATTTGCCTACAGTCACATTGCAAAATGTGTATCAGAGCTAAGACTAGAGCCCAGGAAATCTTGCACTGACTTTTCCACCTTACAAGATAATGTTATTAAATAATGTTTAACATTCTCAGATAAGAGGGGCTTTTAAGAAACAACATTATTGATTTTAACCTATGCCTCAAAATGTAATAAATTGATAGGAAATGTTCCTGGTATCAAAAGTAAACTAGTAAAGAATTGAAGTCAGTGATACAGAGAAATCTAAACAACACTCATTATCGGTTCTGCTCTGGATATTTTCTGTTCTTTACACATTATTACTCTAAGTCAGCAATACCCAACCTTTTTGGCACCAGGGACCAGTTTTGTGGAAGACAATTTTTCCACAGCCCAGGAGTCCGGGAGATGGTTTCGGGATGAAACTGTTCTACCTCAGATCATCAGGCATTAGTCAGATTCTCATAAGAGGCATGCAACCTAGATCCCTCGCATGAGCAGTTCACAATAGGGTTCACGGTCCCATGAGAATCTAATGCCACCGCTGATCTGACAGGAGGTGGAGCTCAGGCGCTAATGCTCACTCACCTGCCATTCACCTCCTGCTGTGCGGCCCAGTCTGCTGGTACCAGTTTGTCGCCCGAGAATTGGGGATCTCTGCTCTAAGTAACATCCCCAGACAAGTGACATGAGCATCCCCTAGGAACTTAGATATGGAGAATCTCAAGCCCCAGTCAAGACCTAATGAAGCAGAATCTATACAGTATCCTCAAGTCATTCATTTGTACATTAATGTGTGGGAACCAGTGCACAAAGTGTTGTATATTGTTGAGACTGATGCTTTCAATAAATGAAGCAGTGTTAATATGTTAGTCCTATTGGGAAGAGCAATTCACTTGTGTAGATGAATCCTGGAGTCTAAAAATTACTTAAATGTATTAGTGTATCATGCATTGTATAGTTCTACATTCCATAAATAACTGATATCAGTGCAATAAATTGATAGATTTAAAACCTACTTTGAAAGTATAGTTATTAATAGCATAGTTAACTTTTGAAGATGTAAAGTTGTATTAACTGGTTTTCATAGTATCTGAACAGTATCAATTAATGAATGCTTATGTGAAGAAAACTAAAAATCATAGGGTGTTTAATCTTAATCATGGTGTTTAGTCTTATATTCAGAAAACTGTATTTTATCACTTTATCAAATTTTGGCATTTCATATGGGAATATTTCTATTTAAATCAATTTCTTTCAAACACATTTAAATATTTTCTAGTTTAAGTTTTTAACATTTTTAGGATACCAACAATTTCTTTTTTTTCTTTTTTTTTTTTTTTGGAGACGGAGTCTTGCTCTATCACCCAGGCTGGAGAGCTATGGTGTGATATCGGCTCACTGCAACCTCCGCCTTCCAGGTTCAAGCAATTCTCCTGCCTCAGCCTCCCGAGCAGCTGGGATTACAGACACTCGCCACCACGTCTGGCTAATTCTTGTATTTTTAGTAGAGATGGGGTTTCACCATGTTGACCAGGCTGGTCTCAAACTCCTGACCTCAGGTGATCCGCCCGCCTCAGCCTCCCAAAGTGCTGGGATTACAGGCATGAGCCACTGCCCCTTGCCCGGATTTCAACAATTTCTAAAGTAAATATTAATTTACTTTTGTTATTTCTCATAATTAAGAGTAAAAATGTAGCCTGTAAGGCAGCTGACTTCTGTCACTTCCTGGTTCATTTTAATCTAATCTTATGGTTAAGGAAAATCAATTTAGAGTAGCAATATAGTACATTTAGTAATCCATTCTGAGCACACTTTCTTTCTTCTACTTCTGAAGTGTTCTTCTCTAACATGTTGTTTTTTCAGAAATTATTGTTACTGACTTATTTCAACAGCTCTGAGAAACAAAAAATTCAGTATTTCATAAAATTTCTCTACCATATAAAGTTTGTAACAGATGATATCACAGGGGATAGCTTCTAAAAGCTTTAAGGATATTTTTACTGATTTGTTTCAATATAGTGTTAATTTCAGTTCTCACCACAGCCATTTCATTCTGGCTGCTTTGCAATGGAGTTGTTAGAGAATATATGTCAAATTTCCCTGTTTTATACTTCAGTCACTTTTCAAAAGTGAAAAAAGCTCAAAACATTCATTTAAACAACAGTATGTGAATTATGAGAAGTAAAAAATAATGTACTAGATTAAGAAGTGTTGGAAAAGATAACCCCTCCCCTAATATTTAATAAAATCCTCCATTATGGAGAGAAACACAGCACTTGTAATTTGGAAAACACAGAATGTTGCATTCCCAAAAGATGAAAACCCCATATCACGAAAAATCCAGAATGCTCTGAACTTTGGTCAAATACTATAAAATGAGTAAGGCAGCAGAGCCTTTACTTTCACTACAACAAATAGCAAATATGGCTATAATTCTGAAAGAAATCCAGAGACTATTATAAATACCCAACACAATTAGCCATGACATTTAGATAAAGTTGTTAAAAACTAATTATAGTGAACAAATAGAAAAAGCTGTACTAGGCCGGGCACCATGGTTCATGCCTGTAATCCTAGCACTTTGGGAGGCCGAGGCTGGCAGATCACCTTAGGCCAGGGGTTCAAGACCAGCCCGGCTAACATGGTGAAACCCCATCTCTACTAGTATTACAACAATTAGCCAGGTGTGGCGCACACCTATAAACTCAGCTACTCGAGAAGGGCTGAGGCGGGAGAATCACTTGAACCTAGGAGGCGGAGGCTGCAGTGAGCCAAGATTGCATCGCTGCACTCCAGCCTGGGTGACAGAATGAGACTCTGTCTCAAAAGAAAAAACAGTACTACGAAACTGGGTTAGCTGATACCAACTAAATGGTTCTTAGCTCACGGGTGCTATTTAGGACTATAAAATTCAACTTGTTAGTAATGAGGACTTAATGAAGGCATCATACATATGGGGTTATTTTCTTGGCACTGTATGGCATGGAAGAGAAATATAAAACATGGAATCTGTCTTGAAGGAGGTAAGTTAGACAACAGCAACACTCTTTAAAAAAATAATAAAGTAGAAAATCAAATGCAAATTGTGTGGCAGGCTGTATGTGCTATAGGAATTGAGGTCAAAAAATGGGCATGATTAAAGCAGTATTCAAAGTGGAACACTATAAACTGGAAAGGAGTTAAGACTAGACCCAGTGGGAGGTTGGCAGAATAACCAAAACATCTCCCTGATCCACAAGATGGATAGTTTCATTTTTCCCATTATGTAACTCTTCTGAGATGCGAAGAAACTTTATTTCTAATTATAATCAGTAAAAATAGGCTCCTTTATTATCAATGCCCCTATTCACAGGAGGTAGGGAGGGGAGAGAGAGAGAGAGTGTGTGTGTGTTAGTTTGGGGTTGGAGAAACAGAAACAGTACACAGAGGCACATATCCCCAACCTCAAGGCAACATAAGAACGAGAGTCTCAGAAGTACATTATAGATTATAATAAATTTTTCATTTAGGAGACAAAAAAATTCTATTTTCTCATACAAAAATATTAAATGAGGTATGAATTTTTTATTTAAAAAAATTTTATTTTTGTCTGCAGATACTCAACAAATATATATATAGTGTCAGTTATACAATACTGGCAATAAGCTTGGCACTAGGAATATAGTGGGAAAACCTACTATAACCTACCCCTAACCTTTAGAAGCTCAGAGTATGGTAAAGAAGCAAATATTAAAAAGAAGTTGTCAATAATTATAAAACTGTCGCATTTTTTTCCAGAAACTTAAAAATATTGGAGAACACTGCTGCTGGGAAACACAAGAGAAACAGTCATTAATGGTGGGTATTTGTATACACAAAGACTTTGCTCAAGAAGTATCTGGAGGAATGACAGATTGAAGGTATTTTTTCTTTGGAGGTATATTTTTTTTCTTCAGAGGTATATATTATTCAGAGGTATGTATTTTTCTTTGGAGGTATATATTTTTTCTTTGAAGGTATATATATTTTTTTCTTCAGAGCCAAATTAAAGTTGGGGCTACTCATCAGGCAGGTCCTAAGGGGAGACTTCAATTTGTATTTTTTTAAAAAAAGGGAAGGAAAGAAAGAAAGGGTAGGAAAAAAACAGTATGTGAAGGAAGTGGAGCATCACTGGGTGATTCAGCATGGCTGGAATCACTGGGCAAGGAAGTAGTAACAAGAGACAAAGCTCGAGAGGCAAATACATGCATAATAATGAAGGGCCTTGTATTAGAATTGAGAAATTTCTACTTTATCCTGGAGGCAATGAGGATCCACTGAAGATAGGTATGTTGAAGCTGTGACCTCAACAGACTTATACTTTAAAAGCTTACTCTGGAGACTTCAAGTTCTGGGAAGAAGGAATAGATATATTTCCCATTCTTCCCATTTTAAGTATAACTTAAAACCCTAAGACATTATACATAAAACAAACATAAGACGACTCCGAAATGTGAAGAAAAAAACTTCCTCAGGACACTGGGACCTGATAAACAACATAACGGTGAGTTTTCTGGGGTTTCTTCTTGGTTCATATATCCCAGAATTAGAACTAAAGAAGATGGTAACCCATAAATGACAACAGCTGTAAAGAGAAAAAGCCCCAACAAAAGCCTGCTCTTTCTAGCCAAAGGATTAGGAAAGGGGTAGACCAGAAAGACAGACAACTCACAGAAAGTAACAATTCTACTTGAGATAAACATCACAGAAAAAAAAAAACTGGCCCCATGTCACCAATGTCAACAATGGACAAGTGCAGGGGGAGCTAGATTTCCAACCTCATGAGGCTATAATGAGATGCTCAAACACATCTGCAAGAGTGGTGTCAGAAAAATGCTGGGTGTGGTTACTCATCCCAAAAATCCCAGCACTTTGGAAAGCTGAGGAGGGCGAATCACTTGAGGACAGGAGTTTGAGACCAGCCCAGGCAACACAGCGAGACCCCGTCTCTACTAAAAATACAAAAAATTAGCTGGGTGTGGTCCCAGCTACTCAGGAGGATGAGGCACAAGAATTGCTTGAACCTGGGAGATGGTAGTTGCAGTGAGCTGAGATCGCGTCACTGCACTCCAGCCTGGGGAACAGAGTGAGACTCTGTCTACAAATTAAAAAAAAAAAAAAAAAAAAGAGTGATGTCAGAAAAAGACAGGACATTAACCCTCACTGGCTGACAACAAGCCTCTCCTCACACATTGTCAGTAGAAACCACACGGGGAACCTGGACTTCTACCTCCAACCTGGGTTGGGTTTCGGATCCAAAGCATACTGTATTTTCAATCTCTATTTGGTTGGGAAAAAAATCTGCATATAAGTGGATCCACACAGTTCAAATCCATGTTGCTCAAGGATCAACTGTATTTACAAATTTACAGCATATTTAATTTTACTTTAAAATAAATCATAAATTTATAATAAATGTATAATTTTATAATAATTTTATGTTGCCTCAGCATCCACTTTGAATGCAGGTTTAGCTTTCTTGTTTCAGAGGCAGGGTTTAGTCACTCTTGATGCAGTTTCCAGTTCTACACCACACCCAAGGGGCTCAAGCAGGAGACATCTCTCCCACCTAGCAGACTGGGATCCTGCCTTCCAGCTGCCTCCTCTAAGGGGACCATTCAAGCACTGGCTTACAAACTTAAAGTGACCTACACCCTATTCCCTAATATATACTGCTAGTTGCCATGCTCTCCTGCTCAAAGTTCTCTGTCTGCCTGCACTCCCTGACCTCCAGGTGTGTGGCCTCCAGGGGTGCCACGTGCCACAAGGTAAGTACTAAAAACTCTTAAATGTTCACATCGAGGTTGTCATTGACACTGTACCAGCAATCTGACTCCTGACTGCAAGGTTGCTTCAGAAAGGATGCATGCAGGTGGATCCCCTGCTGGTACTCTTTTGTTCAGGCCTCTGGTGGCTGCTGGTGACAGGAGCCACCAGCTACGTTGACAGAGAAAACAGGCAGTACAAGAAAGGAAGGAAGGAAGGAAGGAAGGAAGGAAGGAAGGAAGGAAGGAAGGAAGGAAGGTAAGAAAGGAAAAAGAAGAAAAAAAAGGAAAACTAAAGACTAATATCCTTCATGTATATAGATGCAAAAATCCTTAAAAATATATTAGGAATGGAATTCAGCAATATATAAAAATAATTGTACACCATGACCATGGTTTACAACAGGGATGTATGGCTGGTTCAATACTTTAAAATCAACCAATGTAATTCACCATATTAACAGGTTATTTTTTGAAAATCGTATGTTCATATCAATTGATACAGAAAAAGAATCTGACAAAATTCAGCACCCATTAATGATTTTAAAAACCCTTAGAAGTACAGAAACAGAGGAAAATGAATGCTTTTCCCCAAGATTAAGAAGCTAGAATGTTCTTCTCATCATTCTTCTTTTAACACAGTGCTGCAAGTTCTTGCAATAAGGCAAGAAAAGGAAACAAAAAGCATATAGATCAGAAAGGGAGAAATAAAACTGTTCCCACCTGCAGGTGACATGATTGTCAGAATTAAAAATCCCAAAGAATCTATTTTTTAAAAACCCTCCTAGAACTAATAAGTGAGTTCAGCAACACTATAGAATACAAAATAAACATATAAAAATCAACTATATTTCTATATATTACAATAAACACATGAACAATAAAATTAAAAATACGATACCATTTGGAATTGCTCAGAAAATGAAATTACTTATTATTATTCTATATATACTGGGTTAGACATCAACAAAGGTTTCCTTTGGATAGTGCCAGAACATTATTGTGAATGACAGCAAAACGTTTTAATATTTAAAAATTCAGCTCTTACATAGAGCTAACAAAGAAGCTCACAACTATTTTAGTGAATGACATAACAACTAGATTGTTGATTTGAATATTTTACATCAATACCATCTATTTCAAGGCAGTTTTAAAATTAATTAGCAAGCTTTCAAAAGCTACTGCCATTCAAAGCCACATTCTACTATTAAAAAGAGGAGAGATATGCTTATGAATAAGTTTTCCAAATCGATATCGCTTCTCTGAAGACGAATCACTGACCATTCTAGCTGGTCTTCTGTTCTACTGCTTTTTTAGTGTCATACAACTCTAACACAGACATTCAGTGGCACTCTTAATGTTATTGTTGGTACCAAAGCAAACTCCATGATTCACTTATCATGTTCCCAATCTACAATAACTTACTTTTGGAAAGATAAAGTAACAGAGATTAGATATATAGATATTTCTTAGGAGGAGAGCCTCTTAAAAACACAAAATAGCATTCATAAATTATGCTCAAAACTAAGATCTCCATATATTTAATATAAACAAAGTATTAATATGGCATTTTAAATAGTCATTTTTATAAAAGATGCTACATTAGATTATTTCTTCTCTTTCACTTATTTTTGCCTAAAACTACCTTTCTGGAGAGGCCTCACCATTCTCGTTAAAATAGTACCTTCTGCTCTCTCTCCCTATCCCTCTGCTTATTCAGATCATGTAATGCCTCTAAACCCTGCGAAAAACTGCCATTTCATTCTGAGTAAAAACCAAAGACCTTACAACAATCAGTAAGGCTCTACTGATCAGGCAACAAGCCCATTTCACCCCTTTAGTTCTCATTTCCTTCCATTCTCCCTGCCTGCTCATTCTGCTCTAGCCATCCAGTACTCTCTGTTTTACTTGAACACCTGGGGCACATTTGATTTTAGAGTTTTTGCACCGGCTAGTCCTTCTGCCTGGAACACATATTTTGCAGATAACTGTATGGCTAACCCCCTTGCCTTCTTTAAATTTTTGCTAACATGTCACCTTCTCAGTCAGGCCTACCCCTGGAGCACTATATTTAAAATGATAAAACTCCTCATTTTGCACATCTGACTAATTCTCCTTATTCTATTCTTATTTTTAAAGCACTTATTACCTTCCAACATATTGTATCATTTACAAAGTTATATATTTACTGGTTTCTGTTTTCTGTCCTTTACCCAGGCCAAAGCAAAGAATTTTTGTTTAGTCTGTTTTGCTTAATGTTGAATCCCAAGAGCCTAAAACAACACCTGCTACATAGTAGGTGCTCAATATATTTATTGAAAAAATGCAATAAATGAATAATAGGTATACGAACACTTGTCAAATTTAGTTTTAATCTCAGTAATACACTGAAAAAATAATTGCATTAACAAAGAAAATAAATTTTCTTGATGCCTGTATACATGCACTCTGCTTGTCTCTAGTGTCCTTCTTCCTCACTCCTAACTCACCTTTTCCTCTCCTCACAAATATGCTTTGCCAGACAAATTCCAAAATGAATAGGCCTTCCAAAAAAGCCATCCTTGTTCACGTAAGTCTGTGTCAGGTGATCCTCCTATGTACTCTCCACGTACCTCCATTTATTTTTCCTGATAGCCTTTTCATATGTATTGCAATAACTGTTTATCTGTTTCCCAGACCAAAATGTGAACTCCTTGAGAGCAGAACCCATTCTTATTTGCCCTTCCCTGACTAGCATGCAACTCACATCACATAACACAGACAGGTTCTCAATAGATGTTTTTTGTGTGAATAAACCATTTTTTAAACATTTCCTAAATTGAATTAACAGTGAATCACAGATATTTACCTGTTACTTGTTTTCTTAGTTTTTCAATTTCTTCTTTTAAGTTTTTTATTTCTAAATCTTTGCTTGCTGTTAGTGGACCATCAACAGTTGAATACTGCAGAGCTTGGACAGTCTGTGTTGACTCTTTAAAAAAAAGGATAAAAGAAATAAAAATATCACCATACTCTAAATTCTTAAAACTAATAACATTATTTTTTTGGAGAGAAATTCTTATACAATTTTATAGAACAAAACATCTACTCACTGACAAAAAGCATGTGAATACTCAAAAATTAAGTCATAAAAAATCAGACCAGGCATGGTAATCCCAGCACTTTGGGAGGCCAAAGTGGGAGGATCACTTGAGTACAGGAGTATGAGACCAGACTGGGCAACAGAATGACACCCTTTCTCTACAAAAGATATAAAAATTGGCAGGGCATGGTGGCACATGCCTGAAGTCCCGCTACTCAGGAGGCTCAGATGGGAGAATTGCTTGAGCCCCGGAGGTTGAGGTGGTAGTGAGCCTTGATCATGGCACTGTACTCCATCCTGGGAGACAAAGTGAGACTGTATCTCAAAAAAAAAAAAAAAAAAAAAAAAAAAATCCACTGCATATATATATATACAAAAGAATCCACCTTCTAATAATTTTTGGTTTTAAATACTATTGGCGTACTCTGCCAATGAATCAACTACATAGCTCCTTTTTCTCCTAGTAGGAACATCACCATGTGATAACTCAAAAGCCTGGTATGTCAGTCAGATGCTATACGAAGAACTGAATCTGGTTTACAAATGGAGAGTTAGGCATGTTAATATACATATGCAGAAATGCTGGCCTTCCAAATTTTATGTCTGAAAGTTGAGGCCCAGCTACAGGTAACCATGGCTCAACAATTTAGCTAAAATATTTAGTTAAAATAGAAAATATTAATTTATCTTGCACTTCTAATTAAAAAATACAAGGTTTTAAAAAAACAATAACTCTATTGAGGCTTATTCCCAGATATCATCAAAAGACATGGAACAAAGAAAACATTTTTTACCATTTTACATCAGAAATGAAATTGCCCTTTGTTCTAAAATAGGTATTCTGCTATTTATGGAGGGATTCTCACATAATAAGTCTCTCCCTTACCATAATTCTTTATGAGTTAGTGCAAATCATTACTGATTACTTTGTGTGTGCATATGTACGTGTGTGTGTGTGTAAACCATAATCCCTATATGTTTGGCAGTCAATAAATATTTGTTAATTTGAATTAAAGGTATAAGATATACTAGATTGTGCATCTGATGTTGATTTTCTGCATCCTATAAGTATTTCTTATACATTTCTTTCTCTTTGGGTTCAAAACATACTAAAAACTGGTCCTTTCCGTATTTATTATTTTGAAAAGAACATCCATTGTTTTTATTTTTTAAGACATCTAAATTGGGGGTAGAAAATGGGGAGACATAAAAATACCCAATGCAGGGGAGGTGTAGGTGCGGTGGCTCATGCCTGTAATCCCAGCGCTTTGGGAGGCCAAGGCAGATGAATCACCTGAGGTTGGGAGTTTGAGATCAGCCTGGCCAACATGGTGAAACCCCGTCTCTACTAAAAATACAAAAATTAGCCACGCATGGTGGTGCATGCCTGTAATACCAGCTACTCGGGAGGCTGAGGCAGGAGAAACGCTTGAACCTGGGAGGCAGAGGTTGCAGTGAGCTGAGATCATGCCACTACACCCAGCCTGGGTGATAGATCGAGACTCTGTCTCAAAAAAAAACAAACAAACAAAAGACCAAAGAATACCAAATGGACATTAATAGGAGCTACTTTTCCTCCTGTACCCCACCTACCACAGGTATGAAGGTGGGGCAGGCATCCTCGCTCATTATTGCCACCTCTTTCCTCAAAATTCCTAGGTCTACTGAAATGACCATTTCCTGCTTATGTGGTTATCCACTTGTCTTCCCTATCTTACTCTTTTTTAAATAAGGATTTTACATGTTGTTCTCTGCTGTTCTTTCCATTACTACTCTTCTTATTATTCTTAGTAACTTTAACATCAAAATAGATAATCCATCTAACACTGACTTCTGAGGCACATAAATCCCCTACGGCAGATACTGCTTGTTTTTACCCGACATCTATTCATCTCTTCTGTCTTGTGAACCAAATTCAATTATCAGGCTACAGTGTGCACATGTAAGGTGGGCCCAGTCAAAACTGGCTGGTTTAAGTTAATCATAATAATTCCATTCTACATTGCAAGTGTTGGTCAAGAATTAGGTATGTGACCTAGTTAGAACTTAAATGGTACCTTGAGAAGAAGTCCACTAGGGGGCTTCAGGGAGAGGTTTTAATCTCCCATTAAATGAAAGATGTATGAAACTAAATGAATCTTTCCACTTTCTGGGTCTCTGGATATGTGCAGATATGAAGATGGAATTCTTGGTGTACTCTGCCAATGAATCTACTTAGCTCCTTTTTGTCCTAGCAGGGAACATCACCGTGTGATAAATGAAATGCCTGGTATGTCTGTCAGATGATATATGAAGAACTGAATCTGGTGTATGAAGGGAGGTCTTACCTTCCAAAGTTTACATCTGAAAGTTGAGGCTTACAATATTGTGGAATCATGTAAGGAAAGCCAAGAAATTAATAGGGAAGCTACCCTAAAATTGGCACTGAAACCATTTACTTCTGACTTAAGTGAGAAAATAAATCCATATTATTTAAGAATTCTCACATCTGCAGCCCAAAACAATCTAGCTGATAGACTTCTCTCCAGCATAACCATCAGATTAACTGGCCACATCCTAAACTAGTGGTTCTCTACTGCAGGTGGTACCATCACCTTATGTAAGGGGACAGGAGAACGGGAGTCAGTTGTTGACACAGCACATGAGGAGACTGCTACAAGCATTTAACATCTGGAAACTCAGAATGTTCAATATCTCAGAGTGTGAAACTCTCTCTCATGTGAAAAAATTACCTCACCCCAAATGCTTGTGGTTCACCAATTAAGAAATTCAACCCTCTCCCTCTCCCTCTCCCTCTCCCCACGGTCTTCCTCTCCCTCTCTTTCCACGGTCTCCCTCTGATGCCGAGCCAAAGCTGGAGAGTACTGCTACCATCTCGGCTCACTGCAACCTCCCTGCCTGATTCTCCTGCCTCAGCCTGCCGAGTGCCTCAGGCGCGCCGCCACACCTGACTGGTTTTCGTATTTTTTTGGTGGAGACGGGGTTTCGCTGTGTTGGCCGGGCTGGTCTCCAGCTCCTAACCGCGAGTGATCCGCCAGCCTCGGCCTCCCGAGGTGCCGGGATTGCAGACGGAGTCTCGTTCACTCAGTGCTCAATGGTGCCCAGGCTGGAGTGCAGTGGCGTGATCTCGGCTCGCTACAACATCTACCTCCCAGCCGCCTGCCTTGGCCTCCCAAAGAGCCGAGATTGCAGCCTCTGCCTGGCTGCCACCCCGTCTGGGAAGTGAGGAGCGTCTCTGCCTGGCCGCCCATCGTCTGGGATGTGAGGAGCCCCTCTGCCTGGCTGCCCAGTCTGGAAAGTGAGGATCGTCTCTGCCCGGCCGCCATCCCATCTAGGAAGTGAGGAGCGCCTCTTCCCCACCACCATCCCATCTAGGAAGTGAGGAGCGTCTCTGCCCGCCCGCCCATCGTCTGGGATGTGGAGAGCGCCTCTGCCCCGCCGCCCCGTCTGGGATGTGAGGAGCGCCTCTGCCCGGCCGCAACCCCGTCTGGGAGGTGAGGAGCGTCTCTGCCCGGCCGCCCCGTCTGAGAAGTGAGGAGACCCTCTGCCTGGCAACCGCCCCGACTGAGAGGTGAGGAGCCCCTCCGCCCGGCAGCCGCCCTGTCTGAGAAGTGAGGAGCCCCGCCGTCCGGCAGCCACCCCGTCTGGGAAGTGAGGAGCATCTCCGCCCGGCAGCCACCCCGTCCGGGAGGGAGGTGGGGGTCAGCCCCCACCAGGCCAGCCGCCCCGTCCGGGAGGGAGGTGGGGGGGTCAGCCCCCCGCCCGGCCAGCCGCCCTGTCCGGGAGGCGAGGGGCACCTCTGCCCGGCCACCCCTACTGGGAACTGAGGAACCCCTCTGCCTGGCCGGCTGCCCCGTCTGGGAGGGAGGTGGGGGGGTCAGCCCCCCGCCCGGCCAGCTGCCCCGTCTGGGAGGTGAGGGGCGCCTCTGCCCGGCCGCCCCTACTGGGAAGTGAGGAGCCCCTCTGCCCGGCCAGCCGCCCAGTCCGGGAGGAGGTGGGGGCGGACAGCCCCCCGCCTGGCCAGCTGCCCCATCCGGGAGGTGAGGGGCGCTTCTGCCCGGCCGCCCCTACTGGGAAGTGAGGAGCCCCTCTGCCCGGCCACGACCCCATCTGGGAGGTGTACCCAACAGCTCATTGAGAACGGGCCATGATGACAATGGCGGTTTTGTGGAATAGAAAGGGGGGAAGGGTGGGGAAAAGATTGAGAAATCGGATGGTTGCCGTGTCTGTGCAGAGAGAAGTAGACATGGGAGACTTTTCATTTTGTTCTGTACTAAGAAAAATTCTTCTGCCTTGGGATCCTATTGATCTGTGACCTTACCCCCAACCCTGTGCTCTCTGAAACATGTGCTGTGTCCACTCAGGGTTAAATGGATTAAGGGCGGTGCAAGATGTGCTTTGTTAAACAGATGCTTGAAGGCAGCATGCTCGTTGAGAGTCATCACCACTCCCTAATCTTAAGTACCCAGGGACACAAACACTGCGGAAGGCCGCAGGGTCCTCTGCCTAGGAAAACCAGAGACCTTTGTTCACTTGTTTATCTGCTGACATTCCCTCCACTATTGTCCTATGACCCTGCCCAATCCCCCTCTGCGAGAAACACCCAAGAATGATCAATAAAAAAATAAATGAATAAATAAATAAATAAATAAATAAAAAAGAAATTCAACTATACACTTTGTCATTATCAATAACTGCATGGCCTCCAAAATCATCTCTCTCATCTGTACAGCTTACTACTCTAGGGACCACTTCAACAATTTTTCATTCCAACCAGAAATGCCAATCAATGTGTTCCTAACATTTTCCATTTTTTTCCTCTTTACTTTCTTACTTACCCTGGTTAGATTCTTTGGTCCATCACTGTTTTGCAAATACCTTCAATTTCTTTACCCTTCTCTCCTCCATTGTACTTATTCTAGAAGGCCCTCTATCTTGGATAATTTCTACTCTCCTCCTACTGTATGATTTTACCCAAGTAGCTGAAAATGGCTGAAAAAAATACACAGTCATTTAAAACTCATGATTACTGAACTTAAATAACTTGGAAATATCTGGCGATCCTAAACTATTTCCCTAGCTCATTTACTCTTTTCGTCTCCATACTGACCATTTCACATTTTCTCTTTTTCTTGTCAAATATCTAATATCTCCTCTACCTTCCTAACTCTCAGTGGATGACCCTACTTTGTATGTGATTTATTGTCTGTCTCCTCAAAACAGAATGCAAACATAACAAGGGGAGGTATTTTTGCCTTTATCTGCTTTTTATTACATTCCTGGTCATGGGCAGTACAGCTCCTGGGCTGTTTGATACTCAATAAACAGCTAATAAATGAATGAATCAGTTTAAATGTTAATCTATGTCACTGCTATGAAACAAGTATTCATACCAAAAGGCAATGATCTTACATTTTTGTTCACTTTGCTCTGTGCAAACGATACTACACATGTAAAAATACCAAGAACAAATTAAAGAATTCAAAACATTTAAAAAAAACCCAAAACATAGGAAATTCTTAGTCATAAGGGGATGGACTAGGAAGCAACAGGTCACTGCTTTGTTTCTCCTGCCGTAGAAAGTAAAAATTCAATACATAATTTGAGAAAATCTTATTTTTAAAAACATCTTTGGTTTATTTTACTTAGTTCTCTTTGCTTTTTCAGTTGGAGTTGGGAAAGTGAGCCAGGGAAGTGAGGCATTCTGAGGTGAAGAGGCTATTACAACTGCTTCTTACCTGGAAGCCTTATCCATTTCTGTGAGTGTACTTAGGTCAAGCCTGGCCTTTAAATTGAGAGATAACATGCTGGAAAGAAAAACCACTGAAGCTTCTGGAGGATGTGTGGGGATGGTGCAACAATTTGGAAATCTCAAAGTCCCTAAGCATATGGTGCTTTTATTCCCATGGTATATTTTAATTGATGTACTTGGGGGCTGCATGGGAAGTTAGGGAGCTTTGAAAAGTCAGACAGAAATCTCCGATAGTACAGAATTATTTCAGAGACAAAGAGCTGCTTGAGGAAGAGAATCTGCTTCAAATACATGGCCAGTCTCTTCATCAAGACACCAAATTTGGAAATGGTATAGGGCAGAAGGCTGAAGAACAGAATAAATCTCCCATAGTTTAGGAAGTGAAGGAGAAAGAGGCCCAACTAGGCTCTATCCAGCTCCCGATTCTGGGCATTTGAAATCAAAGGTAGGGTTGAGTCTAATTAAAAATGCAATTTAGGGGCAGGCACAGTGGCTCTTGCCTGTAATCCCAGCACTTAGGGAGGCTGAGACGGGCGGATCACGAGGTCAGGAGATCGAGACTATCCTGGCTTACATGGTGAAACCTTGTCTCTACTAAAAATACAAAAAATTAGCCAGGCATGGTGGCACGTGCCTGTAGTCCCAGTTACTCAGGAGGCTGAGGCAGGAGAATTGCTTGAACCTGGGAGGCGGAGGTTGCAGTGAACCGAGATCACACCACTGCACTCCAGCCTGGGCGACAGAGCGAGACTCTGTCTCCCAAAAAAAAAAAAAAAAAAAAAAAAAAAAAAAAAAAAAAAAAAAAAAAGCAATTTAGTCTTGTCCAAGCTCAATTCTTGATGGAATGAAAAGGGAGAAACCTCTCTGGGGCAAAAATAATATAAACTTCCTTCTCTGTGTTATTTTTATTCATGACATCTTTCACATGAGACATTTGGAAAAGCAGAAAAGCATGACAAATGAAAGAAAAAAACAGAAAGGCAGGCTCGCAGAAGATTCAGTTGTTGAAAGTAACAGATAAGGACCTCAAAATATTAAAATGTTAAAGAAAACAGAGAAAAAAATACATAAAAATATGGGGAAATTTCAACAGAAAACTGAAACTGAGAGAATCAAATGAATAATCCTTAACTAAAAAAGACAATATCTGAAATTAAGACTAATTAGATGGACTTAACAGCAAAATGGATAAAGCAGAAGCCAGAACTAGTGAACCTGAAGGCAGATCAATAGAAAATATCTTAATGAAGCACACAAAAAACAGAAAGAACGGAAGGAACAGAACAGAGCATAAAGGAAATGTGAGATACCATCTAACATATACACAATTACAGTCCCAGAAGGAGAGGAGAAAGTGCATGAGGCAAAATAATATCTACAGAGATTATGGCTTAGAATTTTGCAAAACTGATAAAAGACATCAAAGAAAATTGCAAAAGCTCAATGAATCTCAACCAGGATTTTCTGTTCACATAAAGAAAGCGACACGTACGTGAATCACAGTCCAACTATTTGAAATTGAAGTTAAGGACATAATACTGAAAGCAGCCAGAAGGGAAAACATACACATTACATTCAAGAGCTTAAGATTAACAGCTGGCTTCTCAAGAAATATTATGGAAGTTATTATAGAAAACAATGAAATAATACAGTAGAGCTCTGAAAGAAAAAGCTGCCAAGCTAGAATTCTAACCCAGCACAAGTATTCTTCAAAAATGAAGGTAAAAATAAAGACATTTTCAGATCAACAAAATCCTATCAAGAATTTGTCACAACACATTCACATTACAAGAAAACAATAAAGGAAGTTTTTTAGGCTAAAGAAAAATGATTCCAGATAGAAACATGGATCACTAGGGAGAAATAAAAAGCACCAAACGGGTAAATATATGGGTAAATAAAAAGATACTTAAAATTAATGAGTAAAGAAAACATAAAGCAACAATGGAGTAAAAGTGTATTAAAAGATTTATAACACAGATTAAAGTAAACTATGTAACAACAGTCATACAAGGAGTTGTCTAAAGGTTTCTACGTTGTTTGTGAAGTAGTAACATACAAATTATTAAGAAAAAGATATATAAAGACCTAATAGAAAAATGGGCAAGAACCTCGAACCAAAACTTCACAAGACTAGATATCCAAATGGATAGTAAATACATGAAAAGATATTCAACCTCATTATTCATCAGGGAAATGCAAATTAAAATCATGGCAGAACATCACTATACTTCTACCAGAATGGCTACAAGTGAAAAACGCGGACGATAAGTTCTGGTGAGGAGTTGAAGACAGTAGAACTCATACATTATTAGTAGAACTATATATTGGTATAGTCACTTTAGAAAACTCTTTGAAAATATCTTCTAAAGCTGAAAATCCTCTACTATATGGCCCAGAAATTGTACTCCCAGGTATATATCTGAGAGAAATAGTACATAGGACCACCAAAATAAATAGATAAGTATATTTGCACGAACTTTACTCACAGTAGTCAACATCTGGAAATAACCCAAATATTTACCAACAACAGACTGGGTAATTTTTTATTGCTGATATACAATGAAATACTAAACAGCAGTACAAAAAAAAAAAGAGCAAACTGCTGATATATACAAAACATGGGTGAATTTCAAAAAACAAGTGAAAGATGCCATACACAAAAGAGAATATACTGTATGATACCATTTATATGAAGATCAAAAACCGGTAAAAATTCATTAATGGTGAAACAACTTAGGATGATGTTTATTTCATAGTGGTAGGTTACAAACTGGGAAGGGACATGTGAGGACTTTACCCTATGCTGGACATATTCTACACATGAATATGGGTGAAGGTTACATCAGTGTATACATATACAAATATTTATTAGGCTTATACTTAAAAGTAGAATGCTTGCACACTTTGCTATATGTGTATCACCACAGGAAAAAAAAGAAACAGAAAAATTTCAGTCACAAAAGGGAAGTAATTCATATGCAGAGATCTTAACAACTTACGGAAAAACAGAAAATAGTCCATTCTATTGATGTCTACACAGCCTTTTTCTCTACTGGGCCTCTAAAAGTATGACAGTAAAGTTTTGTGATTGTAAAACTTTGATTAGTTACAAAAGTTCCTGATTAT
The DNA here is from genome assembly GCF_000001405.40 of Homo sapiens. Classification (NCBI taxonomy): domain Eukaryota; kingdom Metazoa; phylum Chordata; class Mammalia; order Primates; family Hominidae; genus Homo; species Homo sapiens. The sequence goes on from NC_000001.11 coordinate 227,138,224, forward strand.
TTGTCCATAAATACATTCCTTCATTCACAAAATATGTAAGTAAAATATGTTACATCCTTTATTTTAGAGAAAAAAGCAGAAAAAGGAGACAGTAGTACTGGGGATATATATATGATTAAATTATAAATAGGATGGTCAGGAAAACCTTCACTGAAGGCCTCATTCAATTAGAGACTTGCTTCAAATAGAGAATATTCTAACATTCAAAGGTCGAAGAGTTAAGGAAAACTTAGCAAAGGAGACTGGGAAGGACAGGTTTATGAGGAAAAAGAAAACCAGGAGATAAAGTGCCCCAGAAGCCAAAAAAAAAAAAAGAGAGCGTTATCAGAAGGAATAAAAGGTCCATAGGGTCAAATATTGCTGATAGGTTAAAAGGTGAAGACAGAAATCATCACTGGATTTTACAACACAGGATAGGGAAATAGACTAGGGGAAATAGCATGAAGAGCTGACTTGAGGTGAGTGTCTGTGAATCTGAATTAATATTAGTCAGCACGTTGTGGGTGTTTTAAGCAAGCTGTCTTCAGCTGGATAGTTGAAGATACAAAGTTGTATTCAAACACAGTTGGGGTTCTGCCAAAGGTATTTGACAAAGAGAAAGAGGAACAATAGATTTGAAGGTATATGCCAGGGTATGACTATGGCTGACCAGAGAACGAAAAATGAGGGTATAAATAGCAGAGTTAAACGGTGATAGACTTGTAGGTAACGGTGGCAGTGAAGAAATACTGGAGTTAAGGGGTCAGAGAGAGAGCACTAAAAATTATGAGCAGGAGATTATAAAAGATTTGCTGGAAACTGCGATTAAAGAAGAGTTTTAGGTATTGTAATCTTAAGACATATCTTATTACCATAGGATGGACTGGATGAAACCAGGTGGAGTAAACAATCACTGAAGGTGAAGACTCAAGAAACTCACTCAGAATCTTAAAAAGTTTATGTGTATGTGCATTTTAAAATCACCAAATATGGCAGAAGCAATGCTGCAGAGAATGACAGTGTGAAAGGAGCTAGAGCTCTTAAAGATTGAGCAAATAATATAGGAAAAGTCATTAAAGTGCTATAACGAAGTGAGGAGGGTCCCATTTCCCCATCCCCAAAGGTATTCCCACACATTTTTATAAACATAAATATGTACCCACAGGAGACCAAAGCTATTTTGTTGTTGTTTACTATTAACTGTGTGATTTTACATAAATGGTATTATGCTGTGTTCTGCATACATCTCTACAACTTGATTTTTCACCACTTAAAATAATTTTTTTCAAAGATAAAACAACCACTTATAATAAACAGCTCATAACACTGTGAGTACAATTCAAAAAGTGAAAATATATTTAAAATATATTTACCTTGAAGTTTTCTACTGAGTTCAAGTTTTTCTTGCTCAAGGCGCTTAATTCTTCTTTCATAAGCTTCAGTTGCTAAGTTGTTGTCTAGAGTCCTCTGAACATTAACATCAAGATCCAGTGAGGTGGGACCAGCCGTAACTCTTAAACAGCTCCGATCAGAAAGTACACTGAAGAAAAGAAAAAAAAATGTAGGTTCATACTGTGATAAAAAGCTTGAAGAAAAACGTTAACATTTTTTAAAAATTGTTTTTAACTGACTCCACATTTATGGCAAAAACATTTTTAAATTGCTCATTTAAAACACAGATCTGAATATCTTGCAGTTAGCCAGCTGGAATAATTATAAAAATTTGTTTGCAAAATCACCATAAACTGTTTTTAGAAGCATTTTAAAAAATGAAAACCTAAAATCCCCCAAATTATTATGATTTTAAAAACCCCACAAATTATAAAATTAAGTTTGCTGAAGGGTTACTGGTAGTTTAAAACAATTTGACCACCTAGGTGAAACAGTAGTAGTCAAAAGCACCAACCACGGCCCTCTTTACTAGAATTTGAAATTCAAAAGCAAGTTTCTGTCTTTAATTCAATACAATTTAAATAAAAATGCTGAAACTGCTGGACATTTGGTGGTGAACAAAACAGACAAAAATCCTTGCCCATATAGAGCTTATATTCCAGTGACTGAGACAGAAATAAAGAAAATAATGGAGATATTCATTACATTAGAAAATGTTAAATGCTAAGGAGAAAACATAAAGCAGGAAAGGGAGAAATAAAGTATTGAAGAGGAGGAAATAAAAATTTAGATAAAGAAGTTAGGAAAGCTGTCACTGCTAAAGTAACTTTGGAAAAAGCTAAGTAAGGGTGAGGGGACCAGTTAAGGGAATATCAAAAGAAAGAATGTTCCAAGCAGATGAAACAGAAGTACTAAAGCCCCGAGACAAGAGTATGTCTGGCATGTTCACAGCCCAGAAAGGAGGCCTGTGTGGATGGAGTTGAGTAAACAAGGAAAAATAAACTCAGAAAGATAAAAGTAAGGCAGTCATGTAGGGCCTTGTAAGAAGTTTGATTTGGAGTTAAAATATGAAGCCACTGGAGTTGGGGATGGGTGGACTGGTTCTGAACAGGGGAGTGACATGTTCTGATTATCTTTTAAGAGGATCACCTGAACAGGATCAGAGAACTAAAAGAAAGTTATTTACATAGTAAGTGGGTGGTTAAGACAGATTTTTAAGTAGACGAGAGGAGAGGTCTCAGTTGGAGATGCACGTTTAGGAGTCATCAGCAAATCTTTGGGAGAACACTACAGAGTTTAGATGGAAAAGAGAAGTCCAAAGACTGAGCCATAGGACACTCTGATATTAACAAGCCAGGGAAATCAGGAGGGATCAGGTATGGAGACTGAGAAGGAATGACCAGCAAGGTGAGAGAAACTCAGTCAAGTGCCCTAGAAGACAGGAGAAGGTGGTATTTTAAAAGTATGGAGCTGTGGCAAATAAGATGAGACTAAGCAAATAAGTAAGACTAGGACTGACAAGTGATCATTAGATTTAGCAACATGTTGGTCAACAGTGACATCGATAAAAGTAGTTTGCATGAAGTGATGGGGGCACACACCTGACTGGAATGGATTCAAGAAACAACAGTATGAGAAACATAAACAAAATATAGTCAACAGTTGAAGTAAATTTTCTATAATGTAAAGCAGAGACATGGTTGATAAGAGGTAAAGGAAGAGGAATCCAGATTTTATATTTTGCATTAAGATGGAGAACTGACATTTGTAAGCTGATAGAAATGATCTGATGATGCAGATGACACAAGAAGAAAAAAATTCATGACATGAAAGCAAAACATGCACTAGACTAGCCAGGAAGGGATGGAAGATACTGGCCTTACTAGAGGCTTGCACAGTTCATCCATGAAAAGAACAGAGAATTTGGGTCTAACAGTAAGTAGGCGGTAAATATGGTAACTGGAGCTTGTGGAAGTTGTCTGCGGTTTGCCTCAATCCTTTCAGTGAAAGGAGATGCAAGCTGAAAGTGAGGATGACAGAGGTTTCAAACTCAAGTAGAAAGAAATAGGCCAGATGCAGTGGCTCACATCTGTAATCCCAGCAACAGGGGAGGTTAAGGCCAGAGGACGGCTTGAGGAGTAGGAGGCTGTAGTTATCTATGACTGTGCCACTGCACTCCAGCCTAGACAGCACAGCAAGACTCCATTTCTAAATCGTTTTAAAAATTAGCTGGGCATGGTGGCTTGTGCCTATTGTCCCAGCTACTCAGGAGGCTGAGGCAGGGGGATCATTTGTGCCCAGGAGTCTGAGGCTATAGTGAGCTAGGACTGCACCACTGCATTCCAGCCCTTCTGCTGCCCAGAACAAGACCCCATCTCTTAAAAAAAAAGAAAGTAAAAAATAGTTACTAGGTGAGTGGAAGAGTGAATATACTAGGGTAATACAGTACATTTGTCAGACAAGGGGGACTTGAGGTTGGTAATCATGAATTTAAAGTAGACCAGTAAGAATAGTCAGCTATTTTTTCTAGTCATTTGGAACTGTACAGGTAGAGAATAAAATTGTAATAGTTAATGTTCACTTAGCAAAACAAATATAACAGAATGAGAGACAGTCAAAGGAACTGAAATGGCATACAAGGAGTGATTATAATCATTCTCAATGGAATTTAAACAGGGTAAGGGGGAAATAGGGAATATAAGTGAAGTGAGGGTCAGTGAAAGGATGGTAGAATTAATGGGTTGAAAGTTCTCCTGCTTGACATCTAGAGAATATTCAACAGCGTGAAACTCTTCTAATTACTGCTTCATTGGTAAGGATTAGATTCTGAGCTCTCTGTTCCATTCTTTCCCCTCCAAAACGAGTTAAGATTTTCATGCGTTCTATTCATTTTGTAATGCTTAACTTTCTATTTCCAGCAGTAGGCTCACTCTATTTTTTAAAAAGTTTTAATTCACAAAGTTTTCTCATACATCTTTTACGAACCTCAATTCAATTTAATTTGCTTTAAATTGTCCAAACTATGTTAACTTTTTTTTTTTTTAAGACAGAGTCTCGCTCTGTCACCCAGGCTGCACTGCAATGGCGCAGTCTCGGCTCACTGCAACCTCCACCTCCCAGGTTCAAGTGATTCTCCTGCCTCGGCCTCCCGAGTAGCTGGGATTACAGGCACCTGCCACCACGCCCACCTAAGTTTTGTATTTTTAGTAGAGATGGGGTTTCACCATATTGGCCAGGCTGGTCTCGATCTCCTGACCTCATGATACACCTGTCTTGGCCTCCCAAAGTGTTGGGATTACAGGCGTGAGCCACTGCACTTGGCCCAAACTATGTTAACTTTTCAAACTTACCAGCTACTAGTATATGTAAAACCAACAAATGGCAGATGGTGGCCAGAAAATGCAGTATGTGTTGGTGGGGGCATCGTTTCCTAAAGGAGGAAAAAACATCTGGTAAGAAATAGATAGCTATATGATCTGTAGGCTTGGCTATAAATATAAAATGCCAAAAAGAAATATTTAAAAAAAAATTGTGACTGTTCAATTTTAAAACACTGGTAAGTTTGGTATAGTTGTTTAGTGATATAAAATTTAGACCATGAACACTGCTACTCTAAAATTCTAATTAAAGTAAAATGAAGATTCAAAGTCTGATATTGAGAATACAGTCATTATTATTCATGTATTCTGTATTTGCAAATTTGTGTAGAAGCTAATATTTATTTGTAAACCCCAAATCAATACTTGTGGTAATTTTATGATCATTTGTAGACACGTGCAGAGCAGAGAAAAATTTGAGATGTCCTATGCTCACATTCCCAGCTGAGGTTGAACAGGAGAGGCTCTGCCTTCTCATTTAAGCTCTCATATTATAAACAAGTGTCCTCTACAGGGTCTCTTTGGTGTCATGCATTTCACATTTTTGGGCCCTCTGTATGTGATTCACTGCTTGCAAAGGCTCCCAAGCATAGTGCTGAAGCGCTGTCTAGTGTTCCTAGCGCCAGAGGACAGTGATGTGCCTTTATGGAGAAAATAATGTGCTAGAAAAGCTTCATTCAGGCACGAGTTACAGTGCTGCTGGTGGTGAGTTCAGTGGTGAGTTCAGTGTTAATGAATCAACAACATATGTTATATAAAGTGTCTTTAAAGAGAAGCACACATAAAACAAGACTATATATTGATCAGTTGATCAGAGGCTCACAGAAACCTAACCCTGTATTTCCCTCAGAGCAATGGTTCAATATTAGCTAACAGTGTTCAAGGCAACTATATAGAACATAACCTCCATGAATAATTAGGATCAACTGTACTATGTATTTAATTTGGAATGATTCATAATTTGTTAACAGTAAATATAATTCTATTTATAAAAAATTGGTAAGAGAAGTCAGTTTAATTATTCTTTGTGAAGTTTAGACAGGAAAGTATGAGAAATTTTTATCTGCCTTGAATACAGTACTAGGATGGTTTTACAATTATCAGTTATCAAACAGTGATCACAGCTTATTGTATTGAAATAGTATTCACTGTTTCAGTGAAAAGTTATATAACGTGTACCGATTATGTACCCACAAAAATTAAAAATAAAGATTTTGTTAAGTCATATAACATTAACATAAAAATTTTTAGTACAGGATTAAAGCCATAGTAAATAAAATAACTGAATAAAAATAAAAGCTCAAATTAAGAAGGCTAAAAAGGGGCCGGGAGCAGTGGCTCATGCCTATAATCCCAGCACTTTGGGAGGCTGAGGAGGGCGGATCACAAGGTCAGGAGATCAAGACCATTCTGGCTAACACGGTGAAACCCCGTCTCTACTAAAAACATAAAAGTTAGCCAGGTGTGGTGGCGCACGCCTACAGTTCCAGCTACTCAGGAGGCTGAGGCAGGAGAACGGCGTGAACCCGGAAGGCGGAGCTTGCAATGAGCCGAGATTGTGCCACAGCACTCCAGCCTGGGAGACAGAGCGAGACTCTGTCTCAAAAAAAAAAAAAAAAAAAAAAAAAAAAAAGAGGAAGGCTAAAAAGGCAAAAAACTCAAAAATTTTAAGTTCTTATTTTCCTAAATTTTAATCTCATATAACCTAAAGGGTTATAGCAGAGGTCAATATACTATGTTGGCCTGTTTTGGCATGGCTCACAAGTTAAGAATGGTTGAATTATTTGGCTATTGGACTGGCCGAATAATTGGCTTGAGGTCTGTATTCACCTCAGGCAGGGCTATACCTCAGAGCTATACCACGTCTGTGGACTATTTTCCCTATTGATTTCCTACCAAGTTTGCTATTGTTAGCAGCAACACACTGGGCTTGGGTATTTAGTCCTGGAATCTGCCCTCTGTATCAGCAAAGCTGCTGATTTTTCTATCCAGTTCCATGCTACTAGTACTACTGTCCCAGACCAAGTCAGTAGTGGGGATGGACGTGTGTGGTATATGTGACTTTAAACTAAAGTTCAGCAGTTTTTCACAAATAAATGCTTCTCAATTTATTTCTCTTCAATTGTTGTATCAGGCCCTGACATGGTTGATTTTGATAATTTTGTCCAGTTTTATGGTTTTAGGGAGAAATTTGCCAACCTCTGCACTTTACAATCATAAAATCTGCTTTTTTAAATATCTAATTTGTTCTCTTACGAAGCTTAATGGCATAACTTATCTAAGAGGTAAAACTTTGAATTTTAATTTTGTTCTTAGTCACAAATAACTATGTTCACCTCAGTTAACTTTCTTCTTAATTTGATTTGTGACAGAATAAGCACCAGAAGCCATGATCACTGACTAATAACTGATCATTGTAAAATCATCCTAGCAAAATACTTATAAACCAAAAAATTACTATATAACCATAGTAGAAAGAAACAGAGGGACAGAACTTCTTCACAGTGTCATACTTACAGAATTTTTTAAACAATCATCATCTACATCAAAATTCGATGTATCTGTTGGGCTACTAACTTCTGGAATATAAGGTGCTTCACAGTTCCGAATATTATCCCAATCAATTCCACTGAAAAATGGGTGTTTCTTAAAGTCTTCTATTCCATTTTGACCAAGTCGATGTTCTCTGCTACAAATGAGCCTTCGAATAAGATCCTTAGCATTTTCAGACACATCAGTCACTTGGGCTGGAAACTGAAACCTCTCCTAAACAGAGAAAAACAGAAACAAAATATAAATCAGTGTTTAACATACTAAGTAGTTGGTTGACTTATTTATTTTCTTAAAAATACATTTTATTTTAAATATATCTAATAACTGCATGTTGGTGCAAAGTACTAATACTAAAGGAATACAGGGATGAATGACAGAAGATCATTTTCCTAGGACTTTTAATTTCATATATGACTCAATCATGCATGCGCTATAGAAAGAAGAATACATTGTACCTTAGATATCTTAAACTGCTATCAGAATGAAGAGAAATTACTTCAAAGTAGTGGAATTTGACTCTATTTAAATCAAGATAGATGATTGATAATGGTCATATAAGTTACATACTAATGATTAACTAATAATAAATATTTTTAAAGGACATAATATGTATCTGACACTATTTAAAGTACGTTACTCATTTAACCCTCAAAACAGTCATTTTAGGTGGGTACTCCTACTATGCTAATATTATAGAAGAAATAAAGACACACAGAATTCAAGTAACTTTCTCAACATTACACATCTAGGAAGTGGCAGAACCAGAATTTGAACTGAAGCTGTAATCTGTGCTGTTAAATATATACTACAATATTTTTTTCTAATTCAAATGATGTACATGCTATTTACAACCCTGCTGCTATTTCCAGTCTTTCAACTCTTTATAACTATATGAAACATTATCTTTGCAAACAGGAAGAAGAATATAAACCCTATAAAACTGATTTTTATACATGTAAAGCAACTAATCATAATTGCTTCACTAGAACAAATTAAAAAGAATAGATTATCATTCCCTTCTATCGGATATTCATATTCTAAGTATTTGCAACTGCTCACAATCTTCTAAGACTGCTAATAAAACCTTTCTTCTTATTATTATGAACAGTCTATTTCACTTAGTACTAAATATATTAACGTTTCATTAATTTGTTCTTGTTGTGTGTCTGTGTTGCTTCTAGTGTTCTGTGATCATAAATAACGTTAGAATAGGTATCCTTGTACATATATCTTTGTTCTACTGAGAATGTCATAGGGTAGATTCCTAGACTGAAGTTGCTCAATCAAAACCTCTAACCATTTTTTAAGGCTCTAGGTGCACACCTGTAAACTTCCTGAACAGAAAGGTTACACCAATTTATATTCCTATTAATGTCTTAGAATGCCCATCTCACTGCATTATTTATGGTACAGAGTACTATTTTTCTTTTGATCTTTGCTAATTTGACAAGAAAAAAAAGTATCTCATCCTTATTTTAAATTTGTATTGCACTTATTACCACTAAAGTTGAAAATTTTTTTACACATATTCTAGTCATGATTATACATATACTATAGTAAGCAATGATCTAAATTCTCTACTTACGACCTTTGTTATTCTACTGGGGAGACCACTTAATTTCCTACTTAGCGGCATCTCTAATAAAATACAAGAAAATTAGAACTAATAACTTATGAATAATTTATGGATTTTGACTATTTATGTTGTCCTGTCCCATACTAGGATAGAAATGTGATTGTTCACTGTTTTTAGAAAAATATTTTCTCTTTAAAAATGGTTTTATTATATGTGTTATTTACCACATTAATTTGAACAAAAGTAAAACATACTAACTTTGTGGTTCATGATTTTTCCGTATGTCTCCACCAGCGATTCTGCATAAAATGGTGTTTCTCCGTAAAGCATTTCATACATACAGACCCCCAAAGACCACCAGTCACATTCAGGTCCATATCTCCCTTTTCCATCTTCCATGGCTTGAAGGATTTCAGGAGAGATATAATCTGGAGTTCCTACAGCCACTGAGGACTGAACCTGAAGAAATTTACATTTTTATTAATCTCCTATATTAGAAATAAAATATTTTAAATAGTTACTTAAGATACACAATAGACATTATTATCTCATAAACACATCTTTGTCATTATCTGAAAAATAATAATAATCCTTGTATATATGTTAAATTGTATATTATCCCCACATTAATAGTTTTCAGGATTTCATAACACTATAGAACTTTTATTATAGTGTTACTTAACTGATGACATTGAGAGGAACAATTTAATTTAAACCATCATACCAATTAAGAACAAACTGAATATTTGGTTTAGAACACTCATTATTGATAATTACCTGTCAAACCTATACGTGTAAAAAAAAAAAAATGAAACCGTCAAAATTGTACAATGAGATGGGGGGAAAAAGCTCCTGATATTTAGGCCAACACTATGAGAAGCCTGGAGATTATGTTCAAACTCCTTAATAGAAACCTAAGAAAATACACGTCAATAATGTACAACAAACTACTTACTAATTTAAAAAACTATAAAAGAAGAGGTATATCCTTCAAAATCTAAAGTTCCAATAGAGAAAAAAAGTTGAGTACTTGTTATAGCAGGTTAGGTTTAATTAGAAAACAGGTAATTAAAACCAGGCATGGGAGCTGACATCTGTAATCCCAGCACTTTGGGAAGCCAATGTGGGAGAATCACTTGGGCCCAGGAGTTTGAGACAAGCCTGGGCAACACAGCAAGACCCTATCTCTGTAAAAAAGTGGAAGAAAAAATAAAACAGGTAACTAGAAAAATCCTGGGTATGCATGTTGTAAGGTACTTTGAAGTAAAAGAATATTAGCCCTTTACATGTTTTAGAAGAACTTATCCAAAACATGAACATTCCTAAAGTAGAATACCAGTTAATATTTTGGATTTTCTAGACTACATTTCCAATTCTGAATAATTAGGATAAACTTACATTTTAGCAATACTGAGATTAAATGACTTGAAAACCCTTCCATTACAAACTCTTAAAATGCTAGACAAACACCCTGTCTAACACAGTGAAACCCCATCTCTACTAAAAACACAAAAAAATTAGCCAGGCATGGTGGTGGATGCCTGCAGTCCCAGCTACTCAGGAGGCTGAGGCAGGAGAATGGTGTGAACCCGGGAGGCGGAGCTTGCAGTAAGCCAAGATTGCGCCACTGCACTCCAGCCTGGGCGACAGAGCAAGACTCGGTCTCAAAAGCAAAAAAAAAAAAAAAAAAAAAAAAAAAGCTAGATAAAATATAACAATTATTTGTATAAACATATAAAAGAACTTTTTTACAAAGAGAGATTCTTAGAGGTCAGTAATCAAGAAATGCTTGAGAATCAGGATAATAAGCATTAGAGATGAGTAGGGTTGGGGAATTGTTGGTTTTCATTTCCTAGGTACTCAAATTTTAACATACACAAAAGCGAGTACCTTATGCTTATATGAGGTAAGAACAAAAGAAAAGACCTTATCCTTAGCTTACATGAGGGGGCGAGTTTGAAGACAAAGGCTGCCCTATATACATACCTTTTGCCTTAAAACGTATACTGTAAGAAAAACGGTACATTATAAAAATCTGCCACAAAGCAGAGACGGACAAGACATTTCATCTATCTTGACTAATGTGTGATGAATGAAAAATATTGTTCCTGTAGAAATTCGTAACATTACATCACATAGTCTCAACATTTGGGATTCAAATGCACACCGCTTCTGTGGTTGAAAAGTTCCCAAGCCAAGAAACCGGCATTAACACTGACCCAAGGTTAGTTGCCTCTAGGAAGCAAAACAAATTCAAATCTACTCTGGAGGACACATGCTCAAATTTGGCAGATATAATTCTTAAACATAAAATCTTGCTGAATATGAACTCACAATCCAATAATATAAACCAAATGAGTAAACTGTCTATTATGAGTAACTCAGAAATCCCAACAAACAGAACAATAGATCCCTAACAACAATCAGATCCACTCTATGAAATAAGCATGTTTAAAATTATTAAAGACCTAAAAAAATCAACAAACACAAAAGTTTTTAAAAATCAAACGGAAGTCCTAGAAATGAAAATAGTCACTGAAATAAAATAAACGTAATAAATAGGTAAACAGTGGATTAGATACAGTTGACGAGAATAATAAACCTGAAGAAGAGCTGAAGAAATTACTAGCATCTAATATGAAGACTTAAAAAACGGAAAATTTGGAAGAAAGGCTAAGACGTACAGACCCTAGAATGGACAAGTTCAACATAGTATAAGAGAATGAGATAAAAGAGAGAATAGTGGAAAGCAATATCCAAAGAGACAAAGCTTAAATTTTTTCAAGAATGATATAAGACTCGAATTCCTGGATGCAGGAAGGGCATAAAGTACTTAGAAGAGGTTGAGCGCAGTGGCTCACACCAGTAATCCCACCACTTTGGGAAGCTGAGGCGGGTGTTTCACTTGAGCTCAGAAGTTGGAGACCAGCCTGGGCAACATCGTGAAACCACATCTCTACAAAAAATACAAAAATTAGCTGGACATGGTGGCACATGTCTGTACTACCAGCAACTCGGGAGGCTGAGGTGGGAGGATTGCTTGAGCCTGGGAAGTTGAGGTTGCAGTGAGCAGAGATGGCATCACTGCACTCCAGCCTGGGCGACAAGAGTGAAACCCTGTCTCAAAAAAAAAAAAACAAAAAAAACAAAAAGTACTCAGAAGATAAATAAAACCAGACTCATGTCTATACACATTGGAATTAAACTACAGAATACCAAAGCCAAAGAGATTTTAAAAACATTAAAGAATAGAGATTATCTACTAAGAAATGACAATTAGACCAACAGCTGAATTATTAATAACTAAGAATTGCAGTCAGAAGAAAATGAAGTTGTACCTTCAAAGTGATAAGAAAAAATAATTGTCAATATAGTATTACCTACCTACCTAAATTATGATACAGAAATGATACATTTTCACACAAGACTGAGTAAACTATCGCTAACATTTCCTTTCGGCTAAACAAGCACTAAAGGGTATACTTCGGAAAACAAGAAATTTAACCAAGATGGAAGAATGTGATACTAGAAGCAATTATGAACAAAGATATTAGTAAACTTTACTAATACATTTAAATGGTGGTTAATTGGATAACATAATGAAGAAGAAGGAGGACAAGGACTAGAAAAAGAGGCAGGAGTAACCACCTTAGGGCTGAAAAATAAGTTTACCCCATAAATGTATTCAACTATAATTTGTCAGTTTACAAATAGAAAAATAAAAATTTTTAAAAACCACCCACTTTACCTCCCTGAAAAAAAAAAAAAGAAAAAAAAAAAGAAGTTGGAAATTAAACACTGGAAAAACAAAAACATATTACTGAGGGTGTAAACAGGATTCAAGTATTCTAAATTTCTTAGGTTTTTTAAATTTTTAATTATTATTTTTAATGGTGGTAAAAATAGACATAAAATTTACTATCTTAATGATTTTTAGAAGTGTGCAGTTCAATGGCATAAGTACCTTCACACTGTTGTGCAACCAGTCCCCACCATCCTTCTCTAAAATTTTTTCATCTTGGAAAATTTTAACTCTGTACCCATCAGTAATTCCCCCATTTCCCCTTCCCCTAGACCCTGGAAGCCACCATTGTACTTTGTTTCTTTGAACTTGATTACTATAGTTATCTCACATAAGTGGAATCATAAAATATTTGTACTTTTCTAACTGGCTTATTTCATTAACATAATGTCCTAAGGTTTCATCCATGTTGTAGCACGTGTCAGAATTTCCTTTCTTTTTAAAATTGATTGATATTCCATTGTATGTATACAGCACATTTTGTTTATCCATTCATCTGTCACCCTTTGGCTACTGTGAACAATGCTGCTCTAAAAATGAGTGTACAAATGTATGTTCAACTCCTTGCTTTCACTTCTTTTGGGTATATACCCAGAGGAGGAACTCTGGATCACGTGGTAATTCTATTTTCAATTTTTTGAAGAGCTACCTATACCATTTTCCATATTTTACATTCCCACCAACAGTGCCCAAGGATCCTAATTTGTTCACATCCTTGACAACACTTGTTATTTTCTGTTTTTTGATAGTAGCAATCCTGCTGAGTGTGAGATGGTGTATCCCTGTGGTTTTGTGTTTCTCTAATTATTAGTGATGTTGAGCACCTTTTCAAGTGCTAATTGGCCATTTAAATATCTTCTTTGGAGAAATGTCTATTTAAGTTCCTTGTCCCAGCACTTTGGGAGGCTGAGGTGGGTCAATCACTTGAGGTCAGGAGTTTGAGACCAACCTGGCCAAGAGGTCATAACCCAGTCTCTACAAAAAAAAAAAAAAAAAAAAAATTAGCTGGGTGTGGTGGTGCATGTCTGAAATCCCAACTACTCGGGTGGCTGAGGCAGGATAAGTGAGCCGAGATCACGCCACTGACACCAGCCTAGGCGACAGAGCAAGACTCTGTCTCTAAAATAAAATAAAATACAAATAAATAAATACCTTGTCCATTTTTTAACAGGGTCCTTTGTTCTTTGTTGCTGACTTGTAGGAGTTTTTACATATTTTAGAGACTAACCTGTTATTAGACATATGATTTGCAAATATTTTCTCTCATTCCATGTTGCCTTTTCACTCTGATCGTGCCCTTTGATGTACAGAAGTTTTAATGGAGATATTGCCGAATTTATCTATTTTTTTCTTTCGTTGCCTGTAATTTTGTGTCATCCCCAAGAAATCACTGACAAATCCAAGGTCATAAAAGTATCCCTTCTATTTTTTTTCTAAGAGTTTCACAGTTTTAGTTTTTGTATTTAGGTCTTTGACCGATTTTGAGTTAATTTTTGTTGTGAGTGTTACACGTTGAGTTAATTACAGTGTGAAGTAATCTAAGTTTCTTGTTTTGATAGGGAATGTGGCAGAAAAACCGATAAACTCTAGACAGCAGGTAAACTACAAATGTTTAAAAATGTAAAGATAAACACTAAAATACTTAGAAATGTAACTTCCAAACAAAGAGAAATTTAAAAGCTAAACTTGATCAAGTCAACAGAAGGCAAGAAAGAAGAAAACAAACTCAAGCATACATGCAAAGAAACAAGCAAAACCAATAATAAACTGCACGTAAGATACTAGAAATAAGTATATTAATAATCACAAAATTTATACATGGATTAAATTCACCTGTTAAACAAACCTGTTACACAGGACAACACACAAAACCAAAATGAACAAATGGGAAAAACATCAGCAATAATCTGTTTAAAAGGGATGCACTTAAAACATAAGGACGCAGGAAAGTTAAAAGTAAATGGATGGAAAGGGATATATCAGGCATATGATAAAGAAAAGAAACTTAAGGTAGCTACAGTAATATCAATTAAATATATCCTCATGCCAAAATCATTGTGAGATTTTTTAAAAATTCATTAATATAATATAAAAGAAAATACCCTGGAAGAAATGTCAATTCTGAATAATATATACCTAACAGCAAAGCTACAAAAGAGCTGTGCAAAACATTGATGATTACAAAGAAAAGTTAACACATTTACCATCATAAGGATTTTTAAAAAACGAATAAATAGATCAGAGAAATAAAATGGTTAAGAACACAAAAAAACTGAATGACAAAATTAGCAATTTTAATCTTATGGGCATATACATCTGTACCCAAAAGTTAGAAAAAAAAAGTATTCTTTTCAAATAAACATAGAACATATAAAAACTGGCCTGTTACAAAATCACAAAGCAAATTTCAAAAAATGCCAAAAAAATCTGATACCAAATAGACCCAATCTACAGTAAACTGAAACCAGGAATAACTAACTAAACAAATAAATATAATACTATGAATATTAAAAAGGCATATCACTAAATAGTGGCCCATAGAAGAATTCTAACTTAAGTTGGAAAATATTTAGAATTGAACAGTAGAATGCTCTGTATCAAAACTTACGAAGGAAAAGAGAAGCACAAATAAACAATACTAGGAAAAGGGGGGCAAAATGACACTGTAACAAAGATGTTAAAACTAGGAAGAAGGTGGTCTGAACTACTTTATGGCAATACAATTGAAAACTCAGAGAAAATGGACAATTTTCATTGAAAAGACTATAACGTATTAAAACTCAGGAAGAAAGAGAAAGTCCAACAGACCTATAATCATTAAAAATTTGAATCAATAGTACAAAATCTATCTGCAAAACAAAATAAAATAGAAGAAAACAAAACTTCACCCAGGCTAAGGTGATTTAAAAGTAAATTCTACCAATGACATAAGTTAACAGACAACTGTACTATAAACTGTTCTAGAGCCAAAATGGGTAAGGGGAAAATATGGGTCCTCTGTTTATTTTATAAGGCTAAAATGACCTAAACCTAAAAATCAGACAAGAACAATTTAAGGAAAAAAAATTATACTCCAGTCTGAGATATGACCAATGTCATGTATGAATGCCAGGTAACAATACTATATAAAATAGTAGTAGAGTCAACTAGGAATGTGTTAAAATACTGCAATATAACATCTTGATAAAGTCATATTTACTCAAAGAATGAATGATTTAACAATGGAAAAGCTGTCATTTATCAGATTAACTGATTAAAGGAAAAACAACCTAACATCATCTTGATGGATGCAGAGAAGTAATTTAGTTACAACCAGAATCATAACAAAAAAACTCTGGTAATCAGAAATGAGAAGGGATTTCTTAATTTGATAAGATATATATACCAAAAGCTAACTGCAAACATTAAATTAATTTGAAGCTACAGAAACATTACTGCACCTATTTAACATTGTACTGAAGGTCATTAGACTCCATGGTAAGAGAAAAAAATAGCACATATAAAGATTGTGAAGAAACAAACCCAAAGTTTCTCATAATTTACGGATTACATGATTTATTATATGAAAAATCTAGAAGAATCTATAAACTATTTTAAACCGATAAAAAATTAGCAAGATTGCTAGATTCAGGATGAATATACAAAATCAATTCTAATCCTAAAGAAGAGCAACACACTATTAAACTGCAAATTTAAACAAGTATCATTTATAATACAGGTAACATTAAAAAATCCATAAGTCGTTTAGGAGCAAATCTAACTCATCTAGGTAATGGATTAATAGTAAACATCATGGAACTGTATTAACAGACATAAAACCTGAAACAATAAAAAGAAACACAACATTCATAGATGAGAAGATTCCATGTTATAGACATAAATGTTCCCAAAATTAAGCTAATTTCAAAGCAGGTCTTAAATACATAAGCCAGTGTTTATGAAGGATTGTTCACATGTATGTACATGTATGGATATAAACCAATATGCTAATTCTAACAATCACATAGAAAAATGAAGGGCCAAGAATAGCCAAGATAATTTTAGAGCAAGAAAAAGAATTATAGCAAACACCTCACCATCAGAAATTGACTTCTTAAGGTAAATTGATTCAGCTGGTATGGTTTTGACCGAGATATAACAGAAAAAGTAAGTTGAAACTTAATTTGAAAGTCACAAACTTGGGAAAAGCTCGTAGATTTGAGGCAGCTGTCCAGATAATAAATAATGACCCACACAAAGTCAACAATCATAACATTTCAGGACATTGGGAATAAATAAAACATTCTAAAAGCTTCCAGATATAGAGAGAAAGGCTGTAATAAAAGGACTGAGACTCAGAATGGTGTCAGATGTCTTAACAGCAACACTGTAAGTTAAAAGACAACATAATGCCTTCTAAATTCTAAGAGGAAAATAGTTTCAAATCTAGAATACTATGTCCAGACAAACTATCAATACAATATGAAGGCATTTTTCAGACATGGAAGATTATGAAATATTTACTTCCAATGGAACCTTCCTCAGGCAGCTATCACCACACAGGATCCAGGAAACAGAGTCCAATACTAGAGAACAACATAAATTCCATGAAGACGATGAAAGGTAGTCCTAGGATAGTACCTATGCAGTAGGTCTCTAGAACGAACAGTCCAGATTAGGAGAATGCAAGACTCCAGTATGAATATCTCCATGGGAAAAAAAGGAACTGCTAAATTCCTTTTATTAAGTAATTCAACGTGGTGGAGAGTTTGAGGATAAATTGGTGACAATTACACGGGAAATTAAGCAGAGCAAAGTGGTCACTTACACCAGGAAGAATAAAAAGGTTCTGAAGAAAAGAAATGCAATTTAAAAAAACTATGACACGACGATGAGTATTTGTATTGTCATAATAAAATACCAAACAGGATTTAACGAGGTATTGTGTGATAATTACATTGGGAGGATAGAGAGGATGTGTACTGGATGGGCAAGAGCAGAGCAAAAGACCTGAATCCTCATCTACCATGGTAGGATAGTATGAGTTAGTATCTAAAAATAAATAATCAAGAGACAGCAGCACAAATATGGTTATGGGAAATATGTAAGTAAATGAAATGCTCAAAGCACCACTGAACTTGCGTGGGTGATAGAGCAAGACCCTGCCTCAAAAAATAAGACAATAAAATCTAAAAATTAATTTAAAAATCTGAAATAAAATAAAGTTTCTTCATTATAGTTTTTTTTTTGTTTTTATTTATTTTTATTTTTTATTTATTTATTTTTCTGGAGTCAGGATCTTGCTGCCACCCAGGCTAGAATGCAATGGCACCATCACGGTCACTGCAGCCTTGACCAGGTCCCAAGCTCAAGCGATCCTCCCATCTCATCCTCCTGAGTAACTGGGACTATAGGTGCATGCCACCATGCCTAACTAATTTTTTATATTTTTTTGTAGAGATGAGGTCTTGCTATGTTGCTCAGGCTGGTCTCAAACTCCTGGGCTCAAGCAATTCTCCTGCCTTGGCCTCCCAAAGTCTCAAAGACTTTGAGAGGCCTGCCATAGGCCTCTCAAAGACTTTGAGAGGCCTGCCATAGGCCTCTCAAAGCCTATGGTTTTGAAAATGGAAGTCCAACTTGATATTATGTCCAAGAAAACCATTTTGAGTTCATCAATAAGTATGCTAGAAACAAAACATAAAATATTATCCTATTGTCCAGAAAAATCAGAATGAATGACTGGGAGGACACACCAGACTTTCAAGAACAAATATAATTGGAGGAAACTCAGAGACAGAAATATTACTCATGCATTCTGGAATTTGCATTTCGAATGCATTCAAAAGCAATTTAGAGAGGCAAACATCAGACTACAGGGACTCTATCTCCAACTTTGAGTCCATCGGGCTTGTAATATGCAGGACTGGAGAATCACTAGCTCTCTCCGTGGAGTTATTTTTCCCTGCAGCTCTATCCTCTCTGGAATGGTGGCCCCAAATTCCAGATGCTAAAGCCTCCCTGATTTCAATCTCTGTTTTCTCAACTCAGCAACACCACCATGCTATTTCCCTCTTCCAATGTCATACCTGGCACTACCCACTTCTCACTTTATATTTCCTATATACAGTTATCCTAGAGCAGTATAATTCCATATACATATCTTCCATTGTTTATGTGACTATTGTCATATCCTTTACTTCTACATGTCATAAACCCACATTACAAATAATTACATATTACATTATTTTTGCTTTTAACAGTTAGGTACCTTTTATGTAAATTAAATAAGAAAGACAGTATAGACATTTTATTTACCCACTTATTTATTGCATATGATATTTTTATGCTATAAATCCAAATGTCCAAACAGTATCATTTCCTTTGACATGGAGGACATTCTTTAGCATTCAGGCCTGCTAGAGATTAATTTTTCTCATCTTCCATTTATCTGAAGATGTCTAATTCACTCTCATTTTTGAGGGATATTTTTCTTAATACAGAAACCTCAGTTTACACATTTTTTTCCTTCAGCACTTTAAAGACATCACTCCATGATTTCTCATGACAGGTCAGTAGTCCTTACCATTTCTCCTCTGTACGTAATATGTCTTTCCTTCTGGCTGCTTTTAAATGTTTTAATCTTTAGTTTTCGGCACTTTAACCACATCTGACATGGCCAGATGTGGTTCTCTTTATAGGTTTGAGATATGGTAAAATTCTTAGATCTGAGTTTTTCATCACATTTGGGAAGGTTGAGCCATTACGTACACATTTTTTTTTCCCCACATCTCACTCTCTTCTTCTATATGGATCCCTAAGCCTCTATTTATTTAGTCTCAATATTTTTCTCTGTTTTTCACATTGGCTCATCTCTACTCATCTGTCTTCAAGTTCACTGGCTGTTTCTTCTCCTATCTCTAGTCCACTTTTAACCTCATCCAGTGAATTTTAAATTTCAGTTACTGTACTTTCTAATCGTAAAATGTCCATTTGACTCATTTTTCTGCTGAAATTCCTTATTTGTGTAATCTTTAAGGCTACATTTTCCTTTGTTTTCTTAAATATTTTTATAACTTTTTTTTTTTTTCTTTTTTGAGACGCAGTCTCATTCTGTTGCCCAGGCTGGAGTGCAATGACACCATCTTGGCTCACTGCAACCTCCACCTCCTGGGTTCAAGCGATTCTCCTGCCTCAGCCTCCTGAGTGAGTAGCTGGGATTACAGGCATGTGCCACCATGCCTGGCTAATTTTGTATTTTTAGTATAGACAAGCTTTCACTGTGTTGGCCAGGCAGTCTCAAACTCCTGACCTCAGGTGATCCACCCTCTTTGGCCTCCCAAAGTGCCGGGATTACAGGCGTGAGCCACTGTGACCGACCTATGATCACTTCTTTAATTCTCTGTCTGCTAAGTCCAACATGTGTGCCAGCCAGGCCTCTACTGACTGCTTTTATCTGACTCTGTATCACTATCCACATGCCCATTTTTGTTTGGTTCAGTGATTTTTTTTTTTGAATCCTTGTCATTGTGAATAAGATGTTATAGAGAGTATTGATTCTATTATCTTCTTATGAAGAAAAACAATTCTTATGTAAGCACATAAAAAAATTACTGACTGATCTCCTTGACCATGAGTTAGCTTACAGATACACTCTGTGATTGTAGGTTCATACAAAAATCTAAGATTTGTCATAAGCCCCTCTACTTGGAAGGAAGACTTCCAAACTCTATGGATCTAATCAGGGCTTGGACTTAGGTTGTTAGAGAGTAGGTCTTAGGTGATACAAAGGTGTTAGCTGGCTCTCCAGGGATGAAAATTCAATTTCCCCTAGCACTGTTTCCTGCCTGGGAGATCTGCTTGATCATTAGTATTCTGGTCTGTTTTCAAATGCTATCATCTGCTATTGTCAAGCCTCATATGGTCTTGTGGTACAATGCACAGCCCAACCTTCATGAGGCACTTTATGCCCTCTCTCTGCACAATTCCCTCCTCTCCAATGCCAAGCCCTGCATATTCCAGCTGCTGCAGGTAGTCCAGCTCTGCTTTCACTCTAGCTTTCTGCATCAGAGTCAGGAACTGCCCCAGTCTTTGCGCAATCGTGAGGAATACCTCACGAGTTCATTTATGTCAGGGATAATAGTATTATGCTGCCTGTTGTCCACTGCTGGAAAACAGTAGCTTCAACTATTGTATCCAGTTTTACAGTTCCTTACAGTGGGAGTGCTAATTTGGTACCAATTTAATCCCTCTATCATGGCCAGAGACAGAGGTCACATAATTCTTTTTAACAAAGTTATCACTGTAGGACAAATTTTCCAAAGTTGGCCGGGCACGGTGGCTCACGCCTGTAATCCCAGCACTTTGGGAGGCCGAGGTGGGCAGATAACCTGAGGTCAGGAGTTTGAGACCAGCCTGACCAACATGGTGAAACCCCATCTCTACAAAAAATACAAAAATTAGCCAGGCGTGGTGGTGCTTGCCTGTATCCCAACTACTTGGGAGGCTGAGGCAGAAGAATCACTTGAACTCAGGAGGCGGAGGTTGCAGTGAGCTAAGATGGCGCCTCTGCACTCCAGCCTAGGCAACAGAGACTTTGTCTAAAAAAAAAATAATAAAATTTTTCCAAAGTTAAAATTACTGGTCTAGAGTAATGTGACATTTTCATGGCTTTTGGAATGTATTATACTAAACTGTCCTCCAAAAAGTTTCTGTCAATTAAACTGATATATTTTTGGACCTCTCCTATATGGCCAGAAAAAAATGAAGTTAAAAAAAAAAAAAAACAGAATAAAACTGTGGCATATAAACTTTTTTTTTTCTTTAAAACAGAGACAGAGTATCACTATGTTGCTTAAGCTGGTCTCAAACTCCTGGACTCAAGTGATCCTCTTGCCTCAGCCTCCCAAAGTGTTGGGATTACAAGCGTGAGCCACCATGCCCAGCCTTTTTTTTCTGGGTGGCTCTGGGGGAGTGAGGGGGTGGGAGACAGGACTTCACTGTTGCCCAGGCTGGAGTGCAGTGGTGCAATCTTGGCTCACTGCAACCTCTGCCTCCCATGCTCAGGAGATCCTCCCACCTCAGACTCCTCAGTAGCTGGGACTACAGGCACGCACCACCATGCCCAGCTATTAAGTAAACAAAAAAAACCAACTGACGGGTTTAGGGTTAGCAAAAGTTAAGCAAATGGGAACATGAAACTAAATCAACTTGTGAACTTTCTGAAAAAGGGATTCATTTGTTGAACACTATCCCTTAGAATAACTAAGCAATTTAGGAAAGAAAGACAAAAAAGTAAAAGTGCGGGCAAAGCTGCGTTTTCTTTTTCTATGTGAGACTTAGTTCTTTTACCCCCGGTGAACTTTGAAATATCTAAAGTACAACAGAAGTCACCAACTAAAGAAGGAGCAAACAAGGGTCTCATAAAGGGTATATTTTATCAATCTTAAGATCACTGATATAAGCAGCTGAAATGGCTTGTGACTTTTTAGACAACCCCACTGTAAGTATGCCCAAATGCCTTTGTGGAAGGAGGTGGCGCATAGATAGACAAATGGATGGATGGGTAGATAGTATAAATAGATGGTTTCTAAAACAGATATATCAGACAAATAGCAAGGGAAATGTCTGTGAACAAAATAATTTAGGATTTATCTTTATTTACCGTTCCATCTTCCATCAGCTTCAGACAAGAACCAAAATCTGCTAACCGAATATGTCCATTCATATCCATCAGTATATTGTCAGGTTTAATGTCTCTGAAAAAATAAATAAATTCAATTTTTAGTGGAAAAATAAACAATTCATTGTTTGGTAAGATATTCTTTTTGTCAGAAAAAAATCTCAACTTATTTTAAAAGTAATATTCTAAGAAAATCTATTTAATTACTTTATTAATTCAAATCCTGGTTCTGATTCATATTAAAACTTTCTCAAACACATGTAATTTCAGTATTCTTCTAGAGATAAAAAGTAGTGTGGTAATTTTCATTCTGGTTAAATTAATCTTACTATCTTTCCTTTTGATTTACACAGATTCCAATGTGACTATGGTAGACCTACTTTCTGCATACAGAAGAGTCAACATTACCTGATAACCACAAAAAATACTATCCTCTAGCCCATGAAACTGGACAGGGAAAAATATACTTTCTAGACCTTAAGATAACTGCAGATAGATAAAGTCTCAATTACTGCAGGTCATGACAACACAAAGAAATTGCTTCATAAAGTTGATTTTACAGAAGAACTAAAACAACTGCCTAATAGACTGTCTATATTATTTAAAGCTTTCATTGTCTTTGGATGTTAAGTCAATGGTGTGTAAGATACCCAAATCTAAACTATATCATATACCAGCTTTTGTATTTGTTTTTGCATGTGAATGCAAACCTTAGAAAAATAATCATATATAAAATGGTTCTGTAAAGAAGATTCTCAGGGACTTAACAATATTAAGTTTCTAATCATAGTAAAGGTTGTAATTGTGAATAACTAAGAGATTATACCCACCCAACTCACTCTACTTTTAGAGGGAGAAAAAGAATCTCTGGAGAACCTATATATTTTTTAAAAAATTACATTGCCATGTAAATTACAGGAATATGGGAGGGCTACTTTAACCTGAATAATGCCATTTAAGATCTCTATGCTTCAGTTTTACCACCCATAATAAGGGTAAAATATTATAACAGTATTACTTTGATTACTGAAGCAATTTCTCTGAGTGTGTTGTATATCACGAGTTAGTAAATTATGGCCCACGGCCAAATCTGGTTTGCTGCCTGTTTTTGTAAATAAAGTTTTATTGAAACACAGCCATGCCCATTCATTTAGGTATTGCCTATGTCTGCTTTCACACTACAAAGGCAAAGTGAGTAGCTGTGACACAGACCACATGGCCTACAAAGCCTAACATATTTACTCTCAGGCTGTTTATAGAAAAAGTTTTCAAACCCCTATTGTAGATGATAGATGGTTGCTAAAGAGAGACAGGGTGATTGAAAACAACAATCTGTATAGGGTATTAGCTTTATAATCCTCAACATTTGACTGTATTCTAACCTGTTGAAAAAGATCTGCTGTAGAGGAAACATCAAAGAAGTACAGTTTAGTTCTGGAAGGAAGCTTAGCAATTACTAAGACCATTTTTAGATGAGGAAAAAATATTTTATTCTTTATCTTAAAAATTAAGCTATACAGTCACTACGAATTACTTCTACTGGTATAGTACTTCTTAGATTGTAAAGGAGATTAAAGGAACTGCAAAGACAGGATTTATATGCATCAATAATATCTTTGCTTATTTTATAGATAGTAATTATAAACTATATACATATACATAAAGCATATTATGTGAATATATTTTATTCATAATACTATATAAATAAAATAGAAAATACTAAAAATTAACAAGACATTACAGATAGTACTGAAAAACATAAGTATTCTATTACCATTCCTGATCTCATCCTCTCCCTCCACTACCCAGACATAGCTACTATCCTAAATTTGGTGTTTACTGTATCCATGCATATTTTACACTATTATGCCTATATACAACATCATAAAACTATGTACTTTTTAAAATGTCTTTATAAATGACACCAAACTGTGCATTGCCTTTTGCAACTTGGTTTATTCAAATATTATGCTTCATCAGCTGGGTGTGATAGTTCATGCCTATAATCCCAGCACTTTGGGAGGCCAAAGGAGGCCGAGGAGGGAGGATTACTTGAGCCCAGGAGTTTAAGAACAGCCTGTGCAACACAGTGAGACCCCTTCTCTACAAAAAATAAAAATGAAAAATTAGCTGGGCAGGATGGCACATGCTTGCGATCCCAGCTATTTGGGAGGCTGAAGTGAGAAGATCACCTGAGCCTGGGAGGTCAAGGCTGCAGTGAGCCGTGACTGTGTCACTACACTCCAGCCTGGGTGATGGAATGAGAAACTGTCTCCAAAAGAAAAAAATAAAATAAAATAAATATATATGTGTGTGTGTGTGTGTGTTTCCAAACATATATGTGTGTGTATATGTGTGTGTTTCCAAACATATGTGTGTGTTTCCAAACATATATGTTTCCAAACGTGTGTATGTTTCCAAACATGTTTCCAAACATGTGTATGTTTCCAAACGTGTATGTTTCCAAACATATGTGTTTCCAAACATATGTGTATGTTTCCAAACATAAATGTGTGTATGTTTCCAAACATGTGTGTTTCCAAACATATATGTGTGTATGTTTCCAAACATATGTGTGTGTATGTTTCCAAACATATATGTGTGTATATGTTTCCAAACATATGTGTGTATGTTTCCAAACATATATATGTGTGTGTATATATGTTTCTAAAACATCTATTTTGGGACATATTGTTTTAATTCATTAATTTTAATTAATTTTAATTATATACATATCAAAATTTATCAATTCTCCTGATAACGGAATTTTGATTGTTGCCCATTTTTATTTTGTTAAAACACAGAATGCTGGATGAATATTTTAATAAATGTCTTCTAGTACTCATATATGAATGCTTCTCCAGACTATAGATGTAGAAGTGAAATTTCTGAGATGAAAGATATGGACATCTTCAACTGTGCTAGCATGATTACGAATACAGTTGAGAATCTTTTCATATTATCACTGGTATCATTGGTCATTTTACATTCCTCTTCTATAAAATGCCTGTTAATATCCCTTGCCGTTGTAAAAATTGTGTGTGCACTGTTTTTTGTTTAATCTTCAGGGATTCTATTTACTCGAACTTAGTTCTTCATGATGTGTTACAAATCCCTTCTCCCTGCATGTGGGCTTGTTTTTCCATTGTTTTTAATGTCCTTCTTATTTGTAAAAAAAAAAAATATATATATATATAAAATACTAATGTAGTCTTATAATTTATACTATGATTTCTGTCTTCCCAGACATCATAAGGATGGTGTCCTAATTTTCTCTTGTGTAAGTTTTAAAGTTATGCTTTTCCAGTTTTTAAATCTACCGGGGATTAATTTTTGTGTGTAGTGTGAGATAAAGGGCAGTTACATTTCTTTCTACCCCAGCACCATTTACTGAATGATATCCTTTCACCACTATTATCTAATACCACATACGTCATAAATTTAGTGGGTTTGTTTCAGGACTCTCAAGAAGAGCAAAAATATTACTGTATTACTCTATTTTTTTTCAGTTGACAATCTTTACAGTGAAAGGGAGCCTATTAATAATTGCCAGGATAACAGGCATAAATTGGAACTCTCCCACACAAGCCAAGATGAATGGCCACCCTATCCATATGCCTCTACCTGCACCAATACCACAGTGTCTTAATTATAAAATAATGAGCTTCCTATCGGCAGAGCATATTTTTTAATTGCCATTACTCTTCTAGATCAATGCTGGAATTAGCTTAATATGTTCTATAATACATATTGAAATTTTTATGGGAATCATGATTTTATAGATTAATCTGAAGAGAACTGACATCTTTGCAATGTGACACTTCCCATCTGTATATACACTAAACCTATAAGTCTTTTTTTATATTCTTCAGTTATGAATTATTTTCCACAGAGAACTTACATATCTCATCTATAGGCAACATAGTGAGACTCTGTCTCTATAAAAAAAAATATTAAATCTTAGGCATTGTGGTGCATGCCTGTGGTCCCAGCTACTCAGGAGGCTGAGGTGGAAGGATCACTTGAGCCCAGGAGTTCAAAGCTGTTGTGAGCCATGATCATGCCACTGCACTTCAGCCTAGGTGAGAGCAAGACTCCTATCTCTTTTCAAGTGCGTGCGCATGAGCGCACACACACGTGCACGCACACACAAACGCACACACACACACCCCTAACTAAATTTTTAAAAATTCAGACTCTGGAAACCAGATCCTAGTTTCAAAACATTCAGTAAACTCTCAATAAATCACTAAAATGCAAAGGGCTCAACATTACTCTTATCACTTCACATTTTCTTCCAAATCAATACATAGTCTTCTTGTATAAATAATCTTATGTTATATATTAGCAGCTGAGAGAAAGACAGGTTTTAGGAAATAAAATTTCAGGATCCCATAAGCATGTTGGGGGTAGAGTGAGGGTTGGGATAAGAATGTAACAACTGACAAAGTAAAACATTCAATAAGCATTAATTAAACATTTACAGCATGCAACAGCACTGAATTAAATGCAATACTATGCACTATAGGAGTACATAAAAGTAGAAAACAGAAATCCTTCTTCTTATTCCCTCATCACCCCAAAAATATTTATGGGAGTAAACATGTTTATCTCTGCTCCCTCCAGAACTACAGTAAAATGACAATACAAGAACTAAAAGGTAGAAACTCACAAGTGAATGTAAGAAAAGACAATGGAAGATGATGGGTGTCAACACAATTTTCAAAGATGGAGAACATACATATGATAAATAATGCAGAGCCAAGGAAGCTGAATTATAACTGCCTACAAGGTTGGGAGAAAGGAACTAAATTGACTTGATACATGATTTGATGTACTCGAATACTTGAAAATGTACTGTTAGGCATTTAGTACACATAAAAGGAAATTTTAAGAGTACTGACAAACAACTGAAAACAAATTTGAGCCTATTATTAATTATAGGAAAAATTGTTAGATAAGAAAGGAAAAAATTATAGTATATTTCTTGGCTCAGCAATAAACAATATTTACAAAGTCTCAAAAATGCAACCATTATCTACCAAGAAGATCAAAAATAGTGATAAAAGTATAGTGAGAGAATGCAGGGAGGAAAAGTAGAAAGAGGAATACAAACAGCTAAATCCTCCACTAGCATAGAAGGCAGGCAAAAGAAGTCTTTACAAACTGTCCAAAATTCGCAAATCTAGAAACATCAACATATCAGGACATTAGAGATATGGGGCTAAATAACTTTTAAAAAATAGAATTGAATATAGCTGCCACTAGGGAGCAGGCATAAGAGGTATGCTGGAGAGACTACTTTTCAATATAACCTTTTTTTGTATTAGTTTTTTCTTTACTGTGTTAAGTATTGTTTGATTAAAATTAATTAAAAACCAAAAATACATGTGTAAATGTCTGAATCATTTAATCAAAGAATATGAAAATGTTTTCACTAAGCCACTAAGATCATCTGCAGTCCGCAATATATTTTAGTCCAAACAGTTAATGGTTATCAATATCACAGATAAGCACCATGATGTTAAAATGACAATATTAATTGGTCTCTGTTTATCCAACAATGAGTACAATTATACATTTAATAAAGTATGTAGCCTACTGACTCACTCCACATCCTTACTCATTTTATTCCATGGCTGAAGTCTCTGTTCTTAAAATGGTCACTATTTGGGCAGACGGAAACTCTCCTAACCTTCGAAATAACGAGGCCTCAGGAGGGTGGGCTATTTCTTCTCCCTAGTCATCTGTTGTGTTTGAAAATATTTAAGTTTTATTTTTGTTTTGGGGGTGAGGCAATATAATAGATAATGCTGGTATGAGGCAGAATTTGAAGGATTCATAGGGTAAAAGAGAAAATGGCTTTTCCATCTAGCTGGCCTGAATATTTCACTAAATTACCAGGTGAAAGTAAGGCGTAAAACTTACATAAATTCACATACTTTATCACCTCGAGCAAAAGAAAACATTTGACCAAGACTATAGCTTGGCCTTCTGAGGTTTCCTTTTTCCTTCAGACTTACCTATTATTTTCATTTAAATCTAAATTTATAGTAGTCATAAGAAAAATGTTTGGGGCAAAGTATGATGTGAACTAAGCTGAACTTATACAAGGACCACCCTGGTTCTTTCTGTACTCTAAAGTGTAAACAAAGTGAGGAGAAGCCACACATTCCAATTCCCATTAGTGCTCACTAGGGGCGGGAGTGGGGGTGCCTCAATGCCTCTGCTGACCAACATCTATCAACTGAGTAAAGAAGGCTCTTAATTACTCCATAAGGATGTTCTCAATAGGCAGTAAAACAAGCATAGATACTTCATTCAAACTTGGGGGAGGGGGGCTCAAGAGAGGAGGAATAGCAAGAGCTCTCTAGTGTCACCTGAACAGAAAGAAGGTTACACTTAATTGACAGTACCCACAAACCCAAAAGGTTCCAACATCTTGAAGAAGTAGGATCAAAGAAAAGTAGGTAGATAAACATCTACCTATTCTCTGTACAAATAATTTGATCACTGAGCTAAGATTTTGGCATCTTACAATACTACATAAGAATAAAAACTAGAGGCCTCCTAGAAAATGTTTTGCATTCCATATTTGGTAAAATCTTTTTAAATAATGAAGGTCATAAGTATAAAGTTACCTATGATTATACCTGCTCCAAGAAAATGCAAGTCCTCGTCCTTACATTACCACTGAAATGTATGATCAATTCTTAAAAGGAATTTGAGTGCTGAAAAGAAGTTGTCCAAAAGTTTTTTTTTGGCTTTCCCTTTCCCTATTCATTATGCAGAAAATACTCTTTAAGATGACAAATGACCTTTTCACTGCCAAATCCAGTAGCATCTTTTTAGTTTGAATCCTGTAATGACTTCTCTATGACATCTGACACTGCTGGTTATTCTCCCAACTATACCACTTTCTTCTCTATTTTTTCTCCCATCTAAAATTAATGCTTCTCAGTTTCCTTTCCTGGTTCCTCTTTTCCCAGAAGCATAATTTCCATTCCCCTAATGCTGCCCTTTCTTAATATGCAGCTCTCTGCTCTCCTTTGTACCTCAATGATCTTTTCCTTGGAAGTACCTGTCATTTCTTAGATTTCAGGTTAGTTGGTTGCCCTATGACCTCAAATCTCTGATGAGTTCAAGACAATGTTATAATTTTTGCTTTAAGCAGTCATATGGTTTGTGAAGAAATTAGTAAGAATAAAAAATTTATAGTCTAGTATGTATATCTAGACATTTACAATTTTAAGTGCCTTGGATTCCTTTCTGCAGATCCAAGCTTTCATGTAGTATCATTTCCCTGCAGCCTAAAGAACTTCCTTTAGCATGTCTTACAGTGCAGGTCTTCTGGCAATAAATTCTTCTGTTCTTTTTTTTTTTAGACGGAGTCTCACTCTGTCACCCAGGCTCAAGTGCAGTGGCATGATCTTGGCTCACTGAAACCTCCACCTCCTGGGTTCAAGCAATGCTCCTGCCCTCAGCCTCCTGAGTAGCTGGGATTACAGGTGCCCGCCACTAAGCCTGGCTAATTTTGTATTTTTAGTAGAGGCAGGGTTTCACCATGTTAGTCAGGCTGGTCTCAAACTCCTAACCTCAAGTGATCCGCCTGCCTCAGTGTCCCAAAGTGCAGGGATTATAGGCATGAGCCATCACCCCTGGCTTCTTGTTCTTTTTGTTCTTCTTTTACTTAAAAATATCATATCACATTTATTTTTGAAGGATATTTTCACTGGATATATAGAATTCTTAAGTCTCTCTTTTAGCTTCTTTATTTTCTAATGAGAATTCATCTCTTAATGGAATTGTAGTTCCCCCAAATGTAACTTGTCATTTTTTCCTTGCTGCTTCCAAAATTTGCTCTCTGTCTTTGGATTTCAATAGTTTCACTATAATGAACCTTGACATGGCCTTTTTCATATTTATCTTCCCTGGTGTTTTTTTTTTTTTTTTGAGGCAGAGTCTCGCTCTGTCACCCAGGCTGGAGTGCAATGGTGCGATCTCCGCTCGCTGCAAGCTCCGCCTCCTGGGTTCACGCCATTCTCCTGCCTCAGCCTCCCGAGTAGCTGGGACTACAGGCGCCTGCCACCACG
Source organism: Homo sapiens (assembly GCF_000001405.40). Lineage (NCBI taxonomy): Eukaryota > Metazoa > Chordata > Mammalia > Primates > Hominidae > Homo > Homo sapiens. The sequence goes on from NC_000001.11 coordinate 227,168,654, forward strand.
TCCGGCTAATTTTTTTTGTATTTTTAGTAGAGAAGGGGTTTCACCGTGTTAGCCAGGATGGTCTCGATCTCCTGACCTCGTGATCCATCCGCCTCGGCCTCCCAAAGTGCTAGGATTACAGGCGTGAGCCACTGCACTCGGCCCCCTGGTGTTTCTTGAGCATCTCAAATACATAAAATTATATCTTTCATCAAATTTGAGGCCATTATTTCTTCAGGTATTTTTTCTGGCCCATTCTCTTTCCTCTCCTTCTTGATCTCAAAGTACATGTACATAAAACCTTGTGATATTTTCTAACAGGTCCTTGGACTACTATTATTTTAATCTTTTCCTCTCTGTTACCTTCAATAACTTCTGGCTTATTTAACTTCAAGTCTTTACTTTGTCATCTCCACTAGGCTGTTAATTTTTTGCAGTGAAAATTTTCATTTCAGATTTTGTATTTTTCATTTCTAGAATTTCCATTTGATTTGTTTCTAGTTCTGTGCTGAGATTTCCTATTTTTTCATATATTGTGAACACATTTTATTTACCTTTACTGAGAATAGTTGTTAACAGCCACTTAAAAATCCTAGTCTGCTATTAATAATTTCTACATCTGGGTCATTTCAGGGATACTCTTTTCTCTTGTAAAGGAGTTACATACTCCTTTTTCTTTATACATTGGGTAATTCTGAATGTTCCCTGAACATAATAAATGTTAAATTTCTGAAACTCTGGATTCTTTAATTTTTCTCCAGTTAGCATTTTTTTCTTTCTTTTTTTAATCAGCTGATTAAACACATTTAAACTGCAAACTGTTTCTTGGGAAGAAGTTTCTTATCTTTTGTCTTTAGCTGAGCAGCTCTGAGTGAAGCTATCACTCAGGGGTCATGTGAGCTGTCAGTAGACAGATTTTGGATCCCCTCTCTAACAAACATAGTTTCCCCAAATTCAGCTTTCACAGGCCATAGAGACCAGAGTTCTTCTACTTATCTTCTTGTTATCTTCTCCCATGCCACAATGTACACCATGCCATTTTCACCCAGCCCCAGGCTGAGAGCTGCAAAACATGAGATGTCATTTCATATACCTCCATCTTCTTTGAGGATGTATTCCCAATCAGGTTCTCCCCGCTTCTGTTCACTCTTTAGTGCCTTTAGGATAATGGTCTTTGTGCTATGCTCAGATTTTTAGTTGCTTCTGTGAGGGCCGTAGCCCAGAAGGACCTCATTCAGTCACTAGCCCTCCTCATACATTTGGACCATTATTAATTTGAATTTTCTAAAAGATGTAGCCAATCCTATTTCTAATTAAGGCACCCTGAACTTTTAAGTTTTATGAATACAGAAAACCATATTTTTCAAACATGGCCTCAATAATATCTCTCACTCCACATTTTCATCTAGAACCTTGCCACTCACCCATCAAGAAGATTGTCCCTTCAGCTTGAACCTGGATGGACTCTTGTGACTGTCTCAATCAATACAGTATGATAGAACTTAGGCTGGCTATGACGTCCAAGGCTAGGTCATTAAAATGTCATGCAATTCTGCTTTGTTCTCTAGAGACACTTGCTCTAGAGAACATACTTATCATGTTGTTAAGAAAGTCAAGCAGCCCACATGGGAAGAACAAAAACCCCATGCCCACAGCTCTGGCTGAACTCCCAACTGATGGGCAGCACCAATTGGCTAGCTATGTGTGTGAGCCATCTTGACAGTGATTCTTCCAACCACAGGTGAGCTACTGCAACTCATGCTGCATAGAGAAGATACAATTAGGTGCTGCCTAGTCCTGCCCAAATTTCAGACTCATGAGCAAAAAAAAAAAAGAAAAAAAAAATTGTTGTTGTTTTATATTAGTCACTATAGTGTTTCAGGGTGTATGGTGGACAGAGATGTATTATCTTCTCCCTCAATGATGAGCTTTGCCCCAGATGTCAACAGATAGCTCCCCACTGCCAGGTTCCTTCAAAGTTACAGAGAGCCTCTTTAAACAACTGCCTGTGTTTCTTGGAGAACTTCATATGCATTGAATGACTGATAAGGAAATAAGAAAGACCATGCCATTTCTACTAAACTAGCAACAATTCAGGTGACCACAGACGCTTCAGAACTCCTAGTAGGGCTGACTGAAGCTTTGGCCTCAGTGTAATCTGACTTCTCCTCCACCCAAACCTGCTTTCTCCAATTCCCTTCTACAGGTGTTAACCCCTAATAAATACCCTGCATGACACATTCTGTCTCAGTGCCTGCTTCTGGAGAACATAATGTGTTACACAGCAATTGTTAAGTGGAACAGTAGCCCAACAAATTCCATTTTCTGGAAGAAGCAGCAAAATAACATCTGGCATTCAAAACCACTCTGAGTCAGTGACGTCTTGCAAATAACGTGGCAGCCAGACAACCAGATACTAAGAATTGTCAATAAAAGGAGTGAAAGGAAAGTTCAGGTAAAACATTATTTTCAACTTTGATAATTCATGAAAACTGAGAAATGTTTGGAAGAGATAAAATATCTATTACTGTAAAAACATTATTCAAGTTTTCCATAATTTGAATATTAGTCAAAACATGTACACTAATTAAAGTTTCTAAAATGAATAATTTTCCTTGTCCCTAAACAAAAGTAAATAAGATTTGGGTTAAAAGTTTTATGATTTTAGTTTTAAAATAATAGTTTTAAAAACTTTAAAAGCATTCTATGCTGGGCACAATGGCTCACGCCTATAATCCCAGAACTTTGGGAGGCAAGGCCAGTGGAACACTTGAGTCCAGGAGTTTATGACCAGCGTGAGCAACCTCATCGCTACAAAAACTACAAAAATTAGCCAAGAATAGTGGTCCACGCCTGCGCTAGTGGTCCCAGCTACCCAAGAGGCTGAGGTCAGAGGATCACCTGTGCCCAGGAGGTCAAAGCTGTAGTGAGCCGTGACGATGCCACTACACTCTAGCCTGGGTGACAGAGCAAGATCCTGTCTCAAAAAAAAAGCATTCTAAAACAACGATTACATTGAAAGGGCAACATTCTATGGGTGATTTTTTTTTTAACTTCACTAGAACATCAGTACCAAAAGCATGATTATTACAAATATTACCCCCATAAGACCAAAATGCGGATACGACATTAGTTAATCTATATAGTTTCAATTCTGGCTGGACACTGAATTCAACTATAGAGGGTTATTTTAATTGCATGTACCTTGGCCCCAACCCAGACACCACTAATCAAAATATTGCACAGGGGATTGGTCCCTGACAACCACTAATTTAAGACAGGCATTTCTCTTCCCAGCAACATCACATTAATATCTCCCATTCGGTTCCTTTTTATCATTTATATAGGTTAGGGTAGTGGACTCTTCTAAAACAATACTTTTATTTTCTAATTTTCCTACTCCTCCTTTTTTATACTCATAAAAACAGCATACTGCATTATATTAAAATGAAACTGCTTTTTGAAATTGTCTCTTAATTTTGTCAAAGAAATATTACATCAGTAATAAAAGAAAGTCCACACTGGTAAAATTACATCACCAACAGCCTTTCTGTCAGTCAGAAATTAGAATTCTTTATGGAACATTAATTTGGGGTTCATCCTACATTTGAGAAAACAGTTATTCAAAAAATTCTGTCAGTAAACTTTTCTCAAACTAATCTTTTCCACTGGGTAGTGAAGCTATTATTTAAGAATTATGGGAATAAAAAACTAATGATTCTATAATTCCAGGTACTGCAAAATAATGGTGGTTATACAAATCCTAATCTTTCTCTGCATCTTTCCAAAAACCATCCAGATACAATCAACAAGGAGAACAAGTAAAACAACCCACATACCACATTTAAAATGTAATTCAAAGAAAGACTACTATGAAATTCAAATTATGTGTAATTATGAAAATAAACATTCAAATTCAGCAAATGAGAAAAAGAAGAGAAAAGCGGGGAGTAATGGGGCAATAAAATGCAGATTAAACCACTGCCCACTGAGACGGAAGGAAGAAGTCCTACCATGAGTAGGATAGATAGTATAGTTGGGGGAAACTGGGCGAAAGGTACATGGGACCTTTCTGTACTACCTTTGCAATTTCCTGTGATTCCAAACTTATTTCAAAATAAGGTTTTCTAAGCTAAAAAAAAATCATCTTGAGCAAATTTATAGAATTATTTTATGCTTCTCATTATCCTGTTATATATTAACATGTCTTTACACTAACTCTCTTTAACAAATACTTGTATGTAGATAAATAATATATCACTAAAAGAAAAACCTTCTAAAACTACAGTATAGCCAATAGCATCTGATCTCAGGAATACTCACTGGGAGATTCAGTTAAAGGCTCCTCAGGATCTAATCAAATGGCCAGCCTGAGGAATAACTACATTTAGCTACCTATCAAGTAACTTCTATGCTAAATAGTTCTGTACAAGTACAAATAGTGACAGATAAAAGGAGGAAACAAGTAATTACATTAGTACAAAAATATGAAAACGTATATAATGGCTTTATAGGATAGACCAGAAGTTTCGTTCAATTACCCTGCATTGGCTCCTCCAAATGACAGATACATTCAAACCGATACTATTGCTGTATCTGCCATATGAACATTACACTAAATGAAGATGTCCAAATATCATAGGAAAGCTTGCCTAAAGACCACGGAATTATCTGTATAGTGAAGGCCTAATCTTGCCCAAAGAGAGGTCTGGCTTTTATCCTCAGCTACTGGAAGATGGTCGCTAGGCTCCTGGAATAGCACAACTGATAGGAGTGTCTTTGACTACTAGACAATCTACCAATGTAATTTATGATACATGTAATTTATTTGAGTCATACTATGTTTTGCCTCTGGAAAGGACTGGAGACTAAAGCTATCAGCCCAACATTTGGGAAGGGCTGGAGACTAAAGACAGTCACACAGGCAGTAAGTAATTGAGGCCACCCTAAAAAAACTATAAAAACTAAAGGCTTAGGTGGGCTTCCCTGGCTGGCAATACTCGGTAAGCACTATCATATATGTATGCTGGGCTGTCCTAATTCCACCAAGAAAGAATGATGTAAGCTCCACATGTGGTATTTTTTTTTTAACTCTACCCTATATATTAATACTTCTTCCTCTGGCTGATTTAAATCGGTATCCATGTAATAAAATCGGTATTCCATGTAATAAAATACAACTGTTAAGTATAACAGCATTCAGTGAGTTCTGTGAGTCTTGCAAATTATCAAAACTAAGAGGTGGTTTTGGGAACCCCTCGAACTTCCAATTGGTGTCAGAACTTGGAGTGGTCTAACTGGAAGGTTTCCTCTAAAACTCTGTAGTTGCCCCAAATTCCTTGTAGTTACTGAAATACCAACTGAACTGTAATATAGTAACTATATTTATATTTAAAAATTCCTAATTGTGCACATCCTGAGTTCACCTATACTCTAGTGTAACAGTTTTTAACTATATTTTTAACTATAGATGGTCCCTAACTTACAATGGTTCAAATTATGATTCTTCAACTTTATGATGGGCTTACTGGAACATAGCCCACTGTAAGTCGAGGAGCATCCATATAACATTACCTATTCTTTAATAGTTTCACAATACTATAAAAATAGTTCCTCCATTAGCAATATGAAAAATTCCAATTTTGAAATGTGACTCAGGCCTGTAAGAGACTGAGAGAATTTTGAGTAAGCCTTAGGCCTCAAAATATTTCTATCTCATTGTAAAAGTAATGATTTTACACATTCCAAGAGGATAACTGCCAAATCATACCCACAAATCTAAGCTGAAAGAGAAGAAATCAGCGCAAAGCTCTGGTATAGGCAAAGCACATACCAATCCTTCATGAAATTCTTATGGGATAACAGATGAAAAACTCTCTAGATATGAATTATGTGGTATTTCCCCCCCAACAAATTCTATTAAAATAGGATTGCTCTATTTCCTATATCGGTACACTTTACTCAACCACATTATATAAAATATTATCAACATTAAAGAGATGAGGTTAATAAAAGCTGTAATCAAAAATCTTGACTATGAAACTACATGAGATAAAAAGAGTTATGAAGAAAACCATAAATAAGTTAACTGGTTTTTCATTTTAGTTTTTTGGACTAGGGTAAAGAAAAATTACTTTAAAAATACATTCCATCCTAAGAATCTATTCAATCCAGTATTTAAGATTTAAAACAAAGATAGGAAAGCACGTATATTCCACTAAGTTTCACTAAGTTTCATGTAACCTGCTTGCCCTCAGGGAGAGATTCTACGCAACAGAAAGCTGGTGTGCCTCAAGCATATGACTCGACTTCTGTTCATTATTTCTCCTTGGTTTGGGGTCTTCATTTTAAAATATAATTTCCATTTTGTGATTCTTTATTCCTTTTTATATTCTGCCATTGATTTATTGCATGCATTCTTATTTCTAATTATCTAAATTCATTATGGAACACAGTGAAGATGAAAGGAATAAATAACTAGATAAATAATTTGATTATCAGGAAATATATTTTCGTGTACATTCCATGCAATCATGACTGATATAACCCCTTTTGGAACTTATATAGAATTCATGGTCTAAATTCCAGATATAACAGCAACTGTTCCTAAAATATGACTTGACAACTGTAGTGCTGTGTTGCAGCAACCTATTAACCAACACCCAGAAAGAAGCCCTTGAAACCACAAGGCTGCAGGTCTAGATGAAGAAAACCTCCAGAGAGACATCATAAAATATATCCACTGAGTACAATAGAAAAAAAGTCATAGTCTATGCCTCTGCAAACTTGAAGTCTAATTTAAATATATATATATATAAATAAATAACTGGATAATGGGTAGTATCCTATACTTTAACACAGCATATGATAAACTACCAAGTAATCATTCATTACATGTACTGTTCATATTTTCAGTTCATCTCCAAGGCACTGAGGCTGGTACAGGTACATTATGCACTCATTAAAACTCATTAATACAGGCACATCTGATGAGTTTCTATTTCTTTCTATTATTATCCCTATTAAATTTGAAATTTTCCCATCTTACGCCACTAGTAACCTTTCCAATTTGACTCCTGTATCCTTCAAACATGACCCTAAAAGTCTTTGAAAGCTTATTTGCTATTTGGCATGACAAGACATACAGGGCTCATCTTGTACACTTCCTATCTAGATCTTGAGTCAGCAATTTCTCCAAGTAGCCTGTTTTCCCTGCAGTAGGAAATCGTATGTGAGGACGATAATCTGTCAATAGGGATGCTCACTGCTACGTGCTGGTCACTGTTTCTAGTTATTTTCACCACACAGAGCTGTATGTATGGTGTACTGGGTGTGTGTATGAAATACTGCAGAAGTTCATACTGACATAAAGTGCAGTGGTGCGATCTTGGCTCACTGCAACCTCCGCCTCCCAGGTTCAAGCGATTCTTGAGCCTCAGCTCCTTGAGTAGCTGGGACTACAGGCGTGTGATACCATACCGGGCTAATTTTTGTATCTGTAGTAGAGACAGGGTTTCACCATGTTAGCCAGGCTGGTCTCGAATTCCTGATCTTAAGTGATCTGCCCGCCTTGGCCTCTCAAAGTGCTAATATTACAGGTGTGAGCCACCATGCCCAGCCCACAATGATATCTTCAATTCAAATTCACGACATTAGGGTTTTTAATGATCTCTTCCAGATTACATCAGCATCTCCTTTCTTCTACACCAAGAATTCTGATTCTTAACATAAGGGATAAAATTAGAATACTCCATAATCATTCTGTTTCATTTCACGTTATAAACACAACAATGTCAAAATAACAGTAACTATACTGTCACCACTAATTTGATTACTGCAAACAGTTTGAAAAAAATTTTATATAAATTCTCCCAATTATCACTACCTACTTTTACAGTTATACTACATGCTCATGCCACAGCATATAGCCATTAATCCTGTGCTCACTCCTTTTAACTTTTTTCTGCTTTAGTTCTACAACTGACTATTTAATGAGCAATACCAGTCCTTATACTGATATCTCTATAGCCATGTTAGTCATCTGAAGCTCATTTTCTAGTAGGTTATACTAGAAAATGTATACTATACTAACTAGTATATATTATTACACTATACTAACTAGATTAGTATCTTCTTCAAGAGGAATTCATGGAAACAACATTCCTAAAATTCTTGTATTTGATAACATTTGTACATGTCTTTTATACCTGAAAGTCTGTTTTGTTCACATTTTCTTTTCTAGGGTATTATAAATCTTTATCATAAAGCTTCATCACTGGGAAGTCTAATGATAAAGTAGTTTTCTCTCCCCTCTAATCCACTGGCTCTTTATGCCCCCTACTTTTTTTTTTAACTTTAAAGGTAAATAATTATTCTAGAATTTGTTTATGCCCTACCTCTCTCGATTATCTCATAGCTGTCATATACATTATGTATTCATTCAATATCCCAAAAAACAACTTTTACTTTAAAGCCATATATTTTAAAGATGTAAGAAAAAAAAAATATATATATATACAGTATTTCATATACACTGAGATATTTACTAATTATTATTCTCTTTCTTCTTTCCTAAAAATCCAGGTTGCCTTCTGCTATCTTTGCCCTACATTCTGAAGTGCTTTTTTCAGCATTTCTTGTAAGGAAGGCCTGAAGCAATGAATTCTTTTGGGTTACCTTTATCTGAAAATGTCTCCCCCTCACCCCCACTTCATTACTGAAGAAAATATCCCCAGATACAGAATACTGCATTGATAGTTTTCTTCCTCTCAATACTCTGAAGATGTTAATTACCTTTTAGCCCCCGTGGTCTTGATGAGAAATCTGAGATCATTCCATTTTTTTTTCCCTGTATGTGATATACTGTTTTCCTCTGGTGCTTTCAAGACTTTTTCTCTATCCATTGTATTCTGTACTTTGATTTTGATGAGCTAGGTGTGGTTTTCCCAGAATTTATGTTGTTTTGGGTTTGCTGCAATTTTCTTCCGTGGGGTGGAGGGCAGGGGAGGGTTCTGGTGCAATTCTAAAAGAGCTGTAACACTATGCAATTTTTTATTCTACAAATTCATGTATTTCTCCAAACATGGGAAGTTTGGAGCTATTATTCTTTTCTGTCCTATTGTCTCTATTCTCTCTACCTGGAACTCCAATTACTTGCATGTTACACCTTTTCATTCCTGAGAATCTGCTCATTTTTTCAATCTTTTTGTCTGTTTTTCATGGGATAATTTTTATTGATCTATATCCAAATTGAATTTGAATATACTTTATTCCTATGTAATCTCCTTTGTCCTCTCAAAGACATTTAATTTTTTTTTCCAATACTGTATTTTTCCGTCCTAAAATTTCCATTTGTTTCTTTTATAGTTTTTATTTTATTGCTGAGATACTTCTATCATGTCTTTCACCTGGAAGAAAACAAATGTGTTTTTCTTGAGTTCATGGAACATATTTAAACTAAATGCTTTAAAGTCTTTGTCCAATAATTCTCATACGTGGATCATCTTGAGTTGCTGGTTTAGCTCTGTGTCCCCACCAAAATCTCATCTTGAACTGTACTCCCAGGATTCCCACATGTTGTGGGAGGGACCCAGTGGGAGATAACTGAATCATGGGGGCAGTTTTCCCCATACTGTTTTCATGATAGTGAATACATCTCATGAGATCTGATGGTTTTATCGGGGATTTCCACTTTTATCAGGGTTTCTCATTCTCTCTTTGCCTGCTGCCATCCATGTAAGATGGGACTTGCTACTCCTAGACTTCCACCATGATTGTGAGGCTTCTCCAGCCACGTGGAACTGTAAGTCCAATTAAACCTCTTTCTTTTATAAATTGCCCAGTCTTGGGGTATGTCTTGTCTTTTTTGTTGTTGTTTTTTGAGATGCAGTTTCACTCTTGTTGCCCAGCCTGGAGTGCAATGGCATGATCTCGGCTCACCACAACCTCTACCTCCCGGATTCAAGTGATTCTCCTGACTCAGCCTCCTGGGTAGCTACGACTACAGGCATGTGCCACCACGCCCAGCTAATGTTGTATTTTTAGTAGAGACGGGGTTTCTCCATGTTGGTCAGGCTGGTCTTGAACTCCCAACCTCAGGTGATCCGCCCACCTTGGCCTCCCAAAATGCTGAGATTACAGACATGAGCCACCAGGCCTGGCCAGATATGTCTTTGTTAGCAGCATGAAAATGGACTAAATACAGTTGCCATTAGTTGTTTTTTCTCTTGAGACTAAATCATAATTTCCTGATAGACTGAGTAATTTTGGACTGCACTGTGTATGCTATGAGCATGTACACTTTTGGTTCTTTCTCAAAACTCTGGAAAATGTTGGTGTCTTAGTCTTACCAGGCAGTCTACCTGGTTGAGATCATATGTCCTGACATATCCTACAACATGACTGAATCTTGAAAACATTATGCTAAGTGAAAAAAGCCACTCAGAAAACCGCGTGTTATATGATTTCATTTATAGGCAATGTCTGGAATAGGCAAATCTACAGAGATAGAAGGTAGACTAATGGTTGCTTAAGGCTGGGGAAATAGGGAAACAGGGTGTAGAGACTTAAGGTATAGAGAAGAGTGTCTTTCTGAAATGATGAAAATATTCTAAAATAGATCATAGTAATGGTTGCAAATATCTGTGAATATACCAAAAACCACTGTACACATTAATGAGTGGACTGTATGGTATATGAATTTATCTCAAAAAGCTATTTTAAGGCCGGGCATGGTGGCTCACGCCTGTAATCCCAGCACTTTGGGAGGCCGAGGCGGGCGGATCACAAGGTCAGGAGATTGAGACCATCCTGGCTAACATGGTGAAACTCCGTCTCTACTAAAAATACAAAAAATTAGCCGGGCGTGGTGGTGGGCACCTGTAGTCCCAGCTACTCAGGAGGCTGAGGCAGGAGAATGGCGTCAACCCGGGAGGTGGAGCTTGCAGTGAGCCGAGATTGTGCCACTGCACTCCAGCCTGGGCAACAGAGCGAGCCTCCATCTCAAAAAAAAAAAAAAAAAAAAAAAAAGCTATTTTAAAAGACTATTTACAATTTAATCTCACAATAATTTTTAATGAGGATCCACTGAATACCACTGGCAAGTTATACAAAAAGGTAGACATCTTTCCTCCAAAGGGCAAAAAAGTTTGAAAAAAAAAAAGTCTTAAGAAGTAGTAATATATAAATGACTACTATTAATATTAACTATCAAGGATAATATCTAGTGTTATTATGATTAAAGCTAATAAAGAAAAGTTCACCATTTTTAGATCATTTTTTAAAACTGCCTTTGGACAGGATGCGGAGGTTCACGCCTGTAATCCCAGTACTTTGGGAGGCCATGGAGGGCGGATCACTGGGGTTAGGAGTTCAAGACCAGCCTGGCCAACATGGTGAAACCTGTCTCTACTAAAAATACAAAACTTAGCCGGGCATGGTGGCACAAACCTGTAATCCAAGCTACTCAGGAGGCTGAGGCACGAGACTCGCTTGAACGCAGGAGGCAGATGTTGCAGTGAACCAAGATCATGCCACTGCACTCCAGCCTGGGTGACAGAGTGAGATTCCGTCATAAATCAATCAATCAATCAATCAATCTGCCTTTGAAGGGTTTAAAATAAAGAAGGAATTCTCAATTTTTTCCAAAAAGCTGTTAAATATTCTACTATTTCCACTAAGAACTTTTCAAAAAAAAATTAATATAAAATTTCATTTTATGAAATGACAGGTGATCTAAGAAAAGAAACTGTTATCCTCTCTAATACACAAGCTTAAAGCATTATATATTTTACAACAATAAAGATTCTCTTTAACAGACCAATACGCCAACCAGCAATGACCCTTCTCAATCAAAATGGCTTCTAATAGGGTCCTTCCAGTTTGAAGGCAAAGTGTGCAACATTGTTTAAATGGTGATATTGTAGGAAACTATACCACAAACAGAATCAAGGTAAGATCTAAGTCACTGAAGGACACACAATATCAGTTGGTAACATTTTGGTGCCAGAAGCCAGAATCAACATTCTGACTATCTATGTAAATTATCTACGTAGTGCTGAAAAACACCACAAAAGTTCCTCATCTTCCCATTTTTGTCATCTAAAACTGAAGCGCATGATAATCGAACATAACATTCTAATCAGATGAAACTTAGTTTTTCTTTCTTGTTCTAGTAGGATTCTGTGTCTTAAATCATTAGCATTTTTGAAGTTATAGTTCACAATCTAAATAGCAAGTCTAGTGCTGAGTTTAAACATGGTTAGAAATAACTTGGGGCCTTTTTTTTTTTCAACCTGAAATTAGGCCTTACATTACCACAACCTATTTGGCATAAACTTTAATCAACCTTAATCAGACATACCACATGATGCTGTTAAGTCATTAGAAATAACCTCTACTCCCAAATTTTGTATTTGAACAAAAAAATAATTGAAAAGAAAGGGTACACCCTTAAAATGCAAACTGCCTATGCAGCAAATCAAAAACAGTAATGCTAGGATTCAAACTTTCAGCTGAAATTAAAGTGCATCTATTCACTTTACAGATGCATAGTGCATAGATGCACAAATCTAAGTTTACAGATAATTGAAAAAAAGATATGACTGCCAAAATAGTATTTCAATTAACACAGGGAAAAAAACCCACCATTTTGTTAAAAAGCATAAAGATGGACATATTTTCATAATATTAAGATCTTCATATTGCATTTTTCTATGTATTCAAGTGACATCTTTAACATTAAAATAATGATAAAATATTATTTCAGAACCTCAATGGTCATTTTTTGTACATATTATTTACTTTGGTCCTCCTTCTTTAAGCTATTTCAATTTTTTGAAGTATCTTCTTCCTATGATAAACATGGCTTTTTCCAAGAGATCTTCCTGATTCACTTGTTCATCTACTATTTTCTTTTATTTTATATGGAGACGTAAAAATAGTTTTTGCAGCTTTTTGTTTTAAACCTGTTTTGGTTGTCGCTTACTCTCTATTATAACAGTTAATCTTCAAGTAGCTCCTCTAAAGAGTATTTCCTCCAGTTCTATGGCACCTCTTACCCAAGAAAATAGCTAGAATATCAGGAAAAACTGTACAGCCTAATACGTTCATGATAAATGAATGAATTTACAAAATTAAAATTGAGATGAACATCTGTCCAACTTGGGCACAACTATGAAGTAGAAGTATTTTCTTAAGCTTTTATCATTTCCCCAAAGACAGTAAATTGAAGGTAAAAAGTATATTACTTACATAAAAGCAGGCAATACCCTACAGCCTTCCCTACTTCAACCTCCAACACCCAGGACACTAGCATCCACAGGAAAAACATAATAAATGTTTGCCTGAAATGCATCCATTAAGACATTAATGTAATTAAATATAAGGGGAAAATGATTACTTTTATTTTCCGTAAGACATTGTAGGTATGCTCTCAGCTATCATGATTTTCCTCCTAACCTCTGACTGCTCCTTCTTAGTTTTCTTTATTGGCTACTCTTAATCTATCCAGTCTCTAACACCTGGAGTCCTCATGGCTCATCGGTCCTGCACTCTCTTTATTACCTACTCTGTTTCGCAAAGTGAATTCATCTTATCCCATGATTTGCATAGCATCTACATGTTAATAACACCCAAAAGTTTGAATTACAGATCCCAGCCTTATAGCTGGTAAGAAAAATCACTTCCTTGTAGGCCAAAGAGCCTAACCAAATTTGGCAATCTTGAGGAACTCACCAAATTTATATGCACTGCAGGTGAAATATAAGGTACAGAATTTCTTGGGCTTGGTTTCCAGTCTTTAGAAAAGCAAGTCATAGAGGCCCTTCCTTTTCCTAAAAATTTTTATTTTGAAATAATAGGCTCACAGGAAATTGAAAAATAGTTCAATGAATCCCTTGTACTCTTCCACCAGCTTCCCCCAATGGTAACATATGATAACTGTAGCACAATATAAAACAAAAAAATTGACAATGGTACATTAGTGTTAGACTAGACCTTATTTCAGTTTTCACCCTCTGATAATTAATATTAGGTGTCAGTGTGACTGGATTGAAGGATGCCTAATTGGCTGGTAAAGTATTGTATCTGGGTGTGTTTGTGACAGTGTTACCAGAGGAAACTGACATTTGAGTCAACGGACTGAAAGAGGAAGACCCACCCTCAATGTGGGCAAGCAGGTGTTAGAAGGTGGGATAATTCTGCTTGCTGAGTCTTCTGGCTCTTTCTTCTTCCAGTGCATGAAGCCTGCTTCCGCTTTCCCTGCCCTGGGACATCAGACTCCAGGTTCACCAGCCTTTGGACTTGCACCAGCAGCTTCCCGGGGAATCTCAGGACTTCAGCCACAGACTGAAGGCTGCCATGTCGGCTTCCCTGGTTTTCCGGCTTTCAAACTCGGACTGAGCCATTACTGGCTTCTCTCTTTCCCCAGCTTGCAGATATCCTATCATAGGACTTCACCTTGTAATCGTGTCAGTTAATTCTCCCTAACTGACTCCCTTTTATATATACATATATCCTACTGGTTCTGTCTCTCTGGAGAAGCCTAGTACATGCCATTTTAAAAATGTACATGTGTGTACATGTATAGTTCTGTGCAATTTTATCTTGTGTATAGATTCATGTAACTACCACCACAATCACAATATATAACTGTTCCATTATCACAAAAGAACTCCCTCACACTGACTGCCTCTTTGTATTTCTACTTACTCCCCCATTCATTTTCCCCAGGCCCTGTCCCCTGGAAATTATTCATCTGTTCTCTATCTCTGTAATTTTGTCATTCAAGTATGTTATATAAATGGAAACATACAGTATGTAACATTTTGAGATTTAATTCTTCTCACAAAGCATAACACCCTTGAGGCCCCTCCGGGTTATTGTATATATCAGAAGTTCATTCCTTTTTATTGTTCAGTAGTACTCCACTGCATGGATATACCAGTTTTGTTAACTATTCACCCACTGAAGGATACCTGTGTTGTTTCCGGTATTCTGCTATTACAAATAAAGCCTCTATGAACACACAAGTACAGATTTTTCTGTGAATATAAATCTTGACTTGTCTGGGATAAATGCTCAAGAATGTAACTGACAGGTCAGATCATGTTACATGCTTAACTTCTTTTAAAAAATGTCCAACTGTCTTCCAAAGTAGCTGTGCCATTTTCTATTTCTACCAGCAACATGTAAGAGATCCACTTTCTCCATATCCTTGCTAGCATTTAGTATTAGCTACTTTTTATTTTAACTGTTCAAACAGGTGGGTAATAATATCTCATTATGGTTTTAACTGGCATTTTCGTAAAATTCAATATCAGTATATTGAACATCTTTTCATGTGCTTACTTGCCATCTCTATCTCCTCTTGGGTGAAATGTCTATTGTCTTTTCCCTATTTTGTAATTAGATTGCTTGGGCTTTTTAATTGTATTTTGAGAGTTCTTTATATAGTCTAGATATAAAACCTTTGTAAGGTATGTTGACAACTATTTTCTCCCACTTTGTAGCTTGTCTTTTTATAGTCTTACCAGGGTCTTTCATTGAGCACATAATTTTAATTTTAATGAAGTCCCATTTATTCATTTTTATTGATTTTTTTTGTCATATCTAAAAACTCCTTACCAAGCCCTAGATCCAGAAAATGTTCTCCAATATTTTCTTCCAACAGTTTTATAGTTTTATGTTGTACATTTAAATCCATGACCCATTTTGAATTAATTTTTGTATTTATGAGAGCTTTGGGGAAGTTATTTGGGGTTTTTTTTTTGGTCTCTTATTTGAGCACCATTTGTTCAAGATTATTTTTGCTTTTGCACCTTTCTCAAAATCAGTTGAAAATACCTCTGTTAGCCTACATCTGGGCTTGCTAATGTCGTCCAATGATCTGTGTGTTTATTACATCGCAATTATCTCATGGTCCTGCTTAAGGTGGCAATATAGCATGGCTTAATATCTGGTAGAGTGATTCTTTCCACTTTATTCTCCTTTTTCAAAATCTGTTTAACTACTCCAGTTCTATTGCCTTTCCATATAAAATTTAAAATAAGCTTGTCTCTATCTAAAGGAATCTTGCTAGGATTTTGAGAGACTGCAATAAACCTATAGATTTGCCACCTCATGAAAGAACATGAAAAAAAAATAAAGAATAAAGACTAAGTCTGTAGATCAATTTGGGAAGAACTGACATCTTTAATGCTTAAAGCATTTCAAATCTACTAGCCACTCATTATTTCTACTTCCTCCAAACAATATGCACCAGTATTATTAGCTGCTCTACTAATACCATTTTTCTTCACTCCTCAATACCACTGCATCATTTCCCTGCCTCCTTCAAAAGGGAGAAGGCTACTGGGGTAATTCTCAGTAGAAAATAATAGTAATAGCCCCTTTGAGTGTTTATCTTTATAACATCATACCGTTCTTAGGTTTCTCAATAAAATAACAAGCTGTTATTTTTCCAGCTAGTCATTTAACACTTTAATTAGCATCTTTGGAAATCTTTTCATCTTTACAAGAAATTTTTTTTTTTAAAAAAACAAAGTTCTTGGTTGCTGTACCCTCAATTGAGGTAGGAGTTATTAAGAAATTATTTTAGGCACATAGGAAAAAAAGGGGTCCTTGGAAGATTTTTCGCAGCTCTTATCTAGAATGAAAGCCTTGGGTCTTAGACCCGGGCTGGCAACCTTTGATATGCAAATGTTAGCCATTAGAAACTGGGTCCACCTAACATGGCGATTCCCACCGTTGTCCTCTTGCCCTTGCCCCCACATGTGCCTGGCAGTATGGCTGCCCCTACATATCCCCACGTGTTTGGAACATCATGGTGCCCCGCATTTGCATATTAAAAAGAGAGGGTGGGAGGGCCAGTTTTTTCGCCGGCTACGTGAATGACATGCCTGGTCAAACCAATGCCCTGAGCTCTATGCAAATCAGACACTGCCTCCTCCAGCCTTCCAGTATAGCTGGTTGATACTACCTGAAAGTGGGGTTCTGTCTCTTGGCTTTGGAGCCCCCCTCCCTCTGTCTCTGTAGAGGCGAGCTTTTTCTTTCTTTCCTCCCCCTTCTCTCTTGCCTATTAAACTCCCTGCTCCTTAAAACTACTCCACGTGTGTCCATGTCGTTTTTTTTCTAATTCAACTTAAGAGGAAGAATCTGGTGTTCCTCCACTCATCAGAGCCGTATCACAATGATAAAACATGTTGTTTTGAAATCTAAGTTTTAAAAGATTATGGGGAGACTTCCACTTCCAGTATGTAAGGAGTCCAGAAGTCACCACAGCATCCTAACAAAAAGTAAAAACCTGAACAAACTGAAAAATCAACAACTCTTCTTAGATATGTAAGAGAAGTAAGGTCACAGGGCAAACTGTTGTCCCCAAATTGGACAGACAGGTGGCTATGGAGAATCACAACTTGGCAGTTTAAAAACCCACAGCAGAAACCTTGCAGAGAACCAGTGCCTGGTTAGGAAAACCTAAACTGTGACTGAAGAATTGCTGGAGGTTCAGTGTGGACAAGCCTGAAAGATTAAAAACTCCAAAGGCAGCCCAGTCATAGGGAGGCCGCACATTTATTTTTGAGTTTTACCACTAAGAGCTCAACCAGGTCCTCATAGTGAATACCAGAGAAACATACCCTCATGCTTCCAACAGAGGGAGGAGAAAAGAGAATATCTGCTGCATTCTGAAATATGCCAGAGTATTCTCTTCTTAAGAAGGCCTGCCCTCAGGAGAAACTATTTTAACAGAGCCTAATCTGTTTGGAATTTTTCAGAGCCTAACCTGCTGGGGTATTATCAGAGACTAACCTACCAGAAGGAGGGGCAATACCCAAGTCTGGCACCTTCTAGCCATCCTGTCCCAACTAAGCAGGAAGGCAGGAAGGGAGGTACAGAGGTGGCAGGGGTACTGAGAAGCTGAGAAGCCCTGGTGTTCACTGTGCAGTCTCAAAGCCTCACTAAAGATTGGGACCTAATCATAGGACCACAGAATGGCCCCTTACCAACACATACATGCACACACACGCCCCTTGCCACTACATCACTCAAGGCCCACTTACTGCAATTCCTTTTGCCCAATACATTGAGAAAAGAAAAAGAGCTCAAAGCAGTCTGAGCTATGTGAGGCATGCAAAATTTAGTAGGCCCAGAGAGACATGAATATGGGACTTCAGTCACTGGCCCCTCAAACCCAGGGGCAATTGTTTGAAGGCATTTTACTGGCTACCTGTCTCACCCATCGTCTTCTCGTTCCTGGAGTTTGTGATACAAAGAACGAATGTATAGCTAACCAAGAGCTTCTGATATTTTAATGTAAATTCTTGGTAACAACTTAGGAACTGCCTTTTCTTTTTTCCTTAAAAACCCACTTGTAACACTGCTAATCAGAATGTATATTCAAGGCAAATAGAATCTATGCTCTCTGGTGGCCATCCTCAAGCTTTGGGCTCAAAGTCTATACTTATTTTCTAATCTTGTTATTTAAGGTTAACAACATCATATCTGTCTTTCAACAAAAAATTACAAGGCATACTAAAAACGGGACAGAGACTGGACAGACATCAGAATGAGAGTCAGATATGGCAACAATGTTGCAATTATCAGACCAGGAATTTTAAAAACTATTATTAATATGTTAAAGATTTTATGGTTAAAGTAGGCAACACTCAAGAACAGATAAATAAGATGGAAAGTCTAAGAAAGAATCAGAAATGCTAGAGATCAAAAACACTAACAGAAATAAATAATATTTTTGATGAGCTCATTAGTAGACTAGACACCACTTAGAAAAGAATCTCTGAGCTTGAGAATATAATAGAAACTTCAAAATGAAAAAAGCAAAGAGAAGACTGGAAAAAAAAAAAAAAACAGAACAGAATATCCAAGAACTGTGGGATTACTACAAAAGGTATAAGTTACATGTAATGGGAATACCAGAAGGAAATGGAATGAAGCAATAATGTCTGATAATTCCCCAAAATTTTCCTACATCAAACCACAGAGCCAGGAAATTCAAAAAATATCAAGAAGGATAAATGGCACCCCCCACCCCCCCCCCAAAAAAAAAAAACTATACCTAGGCACACCATTTTCAAACTACAGAATATAAAAAAATAAAGAAAAAAACCCTGAAAGAAGCCAGAGGAAAAAAACACCTTATGCATAGAGGAACAAAGATAAGAATTATATCTGATTCCTTAAAAATCATGCAAGTAAGAAGAGAGTGAAGTGAAATATTTAAAAGAAAAAAAAAGCCTCACCAACCTATGATTTCATATACTGCAGAATTATCCTTCAAAAGTGAAAGAGAAATACATTCTCAGACAAACAAAAACTGAGGGGATTTGTTGCCAGGAAAACTATATTTCAGGAAAAATTGAAAAGTTCTTCAAAAAGAAGAAAAATGATACAAATCAGAAACAGAACTATGTAAAGAGAGGAACAGCATCAGAGAATGAATAAGTGAAGGTAAAATAAAAACTTTTACCTTTTATTTTTAATTAGTCTAAAAGATAACAGTTTGATCAAAAGAATGCCAACAATGTACTCAAATATGAATTATTACTTATGCATGAAATAAATGACAGCAATGATACAAGGGACAAGAACAAGGAATTAGGATTATTCTGTTATTACAAGGTACTTCACTACCTATGAAGCAGTACCATGTCATTTCAAAGTGGGCTGAGATTAGTTGTAAATTTATATTGCAAACTCTAGGGTAACCATTAAGAAAAGTTAAAAAATAGAAGTATAATTGAAATGCTAAAAAGAGAGAGAGGGAAAAAAAAAAAGCAATCATATAAAATGCAGCTTCATTCACAATTCCCAAAACTTAGAAGCAACCAAGATGTCCTTAAGTAGGTAAATGGAAAACTATGGTACATGCCGACAATAGAATGTTACTCACTAAAAAGAAATGAGCTATCAAACCTTAAATATTGCTAAGCGAGAGAAGCCAATCTGAAAAGTCTATAAACTGTACGATTCCAACTATATGATATTCTGGAAAAGGCAAACCTATGAGACAGTAAAAAGATCAGTCATGTCCAGGGGTTAGCGGGAAGGGAGGAATAAAGAGGTGGAACACAGAGCATTTTTAGGGCAGTGAAATTATTCCGCATAATACTATTATGGCGGATACACGTTGTTCTGCATTTGTCAAAGCCTACAGAACGTACAACACCAACAGAGAACACGAATGTAAACATGTAAACTATGGACTTAGGTGATAATGAAGGGTCATTGATGTTAACAAATGTGCCACACTCTGGTAAGGCATGTTGATAGTGGGGGAGGCTGTGCGTGTGTGTGTGTGGTGGGCGGGAGTAGATATAAGGGGAACTCTATACTTTCCACTCAATTTTTCTAAGATCCTAAAACTGCTCTAAATAAGGAAGTTTACTGATTTAAAAAGTATATATGAAAAGGGTATTCACTTAGAAATTGAGCTTTCATTCCTATCCCTGTCCATCCCACTTTCTCTCCACCCTACTCTCTTTAGGCAACCATTTTTACAACTGCCGGTGTATCCCAGTTGTAAAACTTTCCTTAGGAAATGCAAGCAAATTTAGAAATATATGCTTATACCCCTGCATTTCTTAAATAAAATTTAGCACACACAAAAGCTTATGAAAAATACTGCCCAAAGAAAGGAAGGGAAAATCAGAAATGAAAACTAAGTAAGAGTAAGAAATATTCTCAATAGACCTAGACAGAAAAATGTATTTAGAATTATAGAACCAAAGGATGAAACTATCTTATTTATAATAATTTTAATGCCTCAAATTTATAATGCAAAAAGATGTTTCCCTAATTGCAATGGCATATTGTCTATACTGTCAAAACACTTTCATATACACATTTCATCTCACCTTCCCAATAGTCTGGCAAAACAAGCAGAGTAAACATTATTTATTATCCTCCTTTAACACATGGGGAATCTGATAGGTGATGGAATTAAATCTTCTGATTCCTAGTCCAGTGCTTTTTGGCTACTCAATGTTATTAGAAAATATTTTACTTTAATTATTCGTACCATTTGCTATTTTCCATTGCTCTTGTTAAACCTTTGTGCAAATTTTTTCATATGCGAGTTTTTGTGCTGATAGAAGACAAACAACATACTTTTACAAGTCTAGAAATATATTTCCTTAAAAAGAACACAAGAAAAAGGAGAGTATCTCCTTCCTTAAACACAACAGTCTCACTAGTCCCTTGTTGTATTCTCCACATCCCTATATTTTAAGTTCATGAATTATAACACATTTGGAAATTTGATAAATTTCATAAAACTCTAAGACATGAAGTTTACCTTCAAATTTCATTGCCTGAAATTCATTGTAGTTTATTAGCTACCAAGATACAAAGTCTGTGACATTCAAGAGTTCCATGATAAGAACCAAAATCTCTTTACAAATTAATCTCCTACTAAACTCAACATGAACTCTTTTCTCTAGCCAAACTAGTCTATTAAGTATTTTCCAAAACTACTATTTACCTTCTTATGTGCTTTTCTCCTACCATTCACCTATCTTGAATGTCTTCCTATCTGCCTACAGAGTCTTCTCATCCTTCAAAGCCCCTCCATTAAAGTCTTCTATGGAAAACATGATGTTGTGCAAAGAACATAAATCTGGAGACAAGCCTGACTTAGATTTTAATCTAGGCTATGCTACTTACTAACTAATGTCTCTGAAGCTGGGTTTCCTCATCTATAAAATGGGGCAACGTCGATTTTAGATGACATCTGAATCACAGAATTTGTGTTAGAATACAGTGAATAGCACAAAGAGTTAAATAAGGATTAGAACTGATCATTAGAAATAAACTTATTACTCATTTCTTGAGCTCACTGTAATTTGCTTGTATAACTCATTTAGCAATCCACAGTCTGGACTCACTCCATCATCTCTTATACTTTGGCCTTAAATGATTATTTAACTTGTGGTATTTTAAGTTTTATTTCTATCTTAGGTTTTGTGCCTCCAAACAACTGAAACCTTTTCAAAAGCCACAACTATATGCTATACCCACTTACTTACAATTCCACATAGTTTAGCACAATGTTACTTATAAAAGAGGACTCAAAAAATATTTCCTCAGTAAAGCATTTGCTGAAAATAGTCTATCCAGAAAATGAGAATAACATTTTAAGGAGCACATTAACACAATGGAGCATCCACAGAAAGGTAAAAGTAGAGAAAAGGAGGGAGGGAGAAGAGGTGTAGGAATGGGCAGAGTGTGTGGTGGGGGGTTAAGACAAGGAAGGTAGGAAGTGTATACAAATTGTTATAACAGAGAAACTAGAGATGTTTAGATGTTTAACCTAAAGAAGACTTCAGAAAGCATGATAACTAGAAGAGAAATAAATTATATGTGACTCTAAAAGCAAAACTAGAACCAATGACTAAAATAAAAAGAAATTCAAGGCCGGGCACGGTGGCTCATGCCTGTAATCCCAGCACTTTCAGAGGCTGAGGCGGGAAGATCACCTGAGGTAGGGAGTTCGAGACCAACCCGACCAACATGGAGAAAACCCACCTCTACTAAAAGCACAAAAAATTAGCCAGGCTTCATGGCGCATGACTGTAATCCCAGCTACTCAGGAGGCTGAGGCAGAAGAATCGCTTGAACCCAGGAGGCGGAGGCTGCAGTGAGCCAAGATCGCACCACGGCACTCCAGCTTGGGCAACAAGAGCAAAACTCTGTCTCAAAAAAAAGAGAAGAGAAGAAATTCAGCTTAATATAAAATAAAATTTTATAATATTAGAGCTGCCCAACAATGGAATAAATACGATTCATTTAAAAGTACCTTGTAAAATTAGATGTACTTAAGCAGAGCTCAAGGTTGAAATGGTTTTCAGTCCACATAACAGTATCTCTAACAAGCCTGGCAGAATGAAAGATACTACAAATACCTCATATTTACTTTCACCAATCTAGGCATATAATTTTCAGAAGCAGTTATTCCTTCTCAAGAATTACATATAAACTGGGTGAAATCTCTCAATTCCACAAGCCTAAGACTCTATGTTTAGTAACATTCTTCAAATATTCAACGAAATAGTATTTTCTGTAAGTATTTTTAAATGATAGTCCTCAGCTAGGATTTTGGATTACTGTTTAAGCCACAAAATAGCACTTTCGTTTCTCATTCTATAACTGACTCTTGAGACCACAATACCATCTTTAAGGCTGCACTGTGGCAAGAAGTGGTAGCTATGCCTGTAATCCCAACACTTTGGGAGGCTGAGGTGGCAGGATCACTTGAGTCCAGGAGTTCAAGACCAGCCTGAGCAACACAGTGAGACCCCCATCTCTACAAAAATTTAAATTAAAAAAAAAAAACTGCATTGTACAATTTTCAAAGCATTTCCATATCTTTATTTTCAATAAAAACTGTGACAATCAGATACCCACAGAGAAAAGCACACGAATAGGCAAAAGCCAAACAGAGATCTGATAAAATACAAATTGTTTAATTAAAGTAGTCTTCCTTTAATAATGTCTTAGAACTTCAATACTAATTAAATGAAACAGCAATTAAGACACCCACATCTTAAAAAGCAAACACTGAAACAGAAACATTCTACTCCTTGCCACATTCATGTTCTTCTCAGAGATCACTCTCACCACCCAAAACTTAAAAGAAACAGTCACTGCTGTCTTAGAGCATAGTTCTGAGTGTGGTCACTACACCAGCAGCAGCATCACCACCTGGCAACTTGTTAGAGATGGCAATTCCCCAGCCCGACCCAACCCACTGAATCAGCACTTCTGCAGCTGACTCAACAATCTGGGTTTCAACCACCCTTCCTCCATAGGATTCAGATGCATGCCAAAGTTTGAAAATCACTCTTAGAAAATGGTTTAGTTTATTTCTAACTTGGCAGTATCCCTTTACGTACTTCTCCTCAGCATCTTTCTCTTTCTCACATTTTGCACCATCCAAAGATACTCTCATTTGAATGATTAATTCACCAACAACGTTCTGCTGTTTCCTACTTTCCTCTTAAAATGTGAGGGTACCTTTTAAATCATCCAATATATCCTTAATTTATTTCTTATTTTTTGTGTGTCCTTCCAAATTCATGCTGGTATTTTTAAAATTTTTAAATATAAAGTATTAATAGTTTATAATTACTCCATGAACATCAAAATTATCACTTTCATACAAAAAAAATCTCTTTTGACACATACAATCCTTGAAAGTATTTTCTTGAGAAACATAAAATATATAATACAGGACTTATTTAGCAAATGAACCTATGACTTATGGTCTAGAATTCCAGCTAATTTAAATATGTAAGACTCAACTATAAGGAAACTGACCAATGCATACTCCTTTTGAGATGGAATTCATATGTACATTTAAACAAGAGTGGTTTTTTAAGAAGTGATTTCTAGAAATGCTGACTGGAAGTGAGAACTTTTTTTTTTTTTTTTTTTTTTGGAGACAGAGTCTCGCTCTGTCACCCAGGCTGGAGTGCAGTGGCGGGATCTCGGCTCACTGCAAGCTCCGCCTCCCGGGTTCACGCCATTCTCCTGCCTCAGCCTCTCCGAGTAGCTGGGACTACAGGTGCCCGCCACCACGCCCGGCTAATTTTTTTTTGTATTTTTAGTAGAGACGGAGTTTCACCGTGGTCTCGATCTCCTGACCTCGTAATCTGCCCGCCTTGACCTCCCAAAGTGCTGGGATTACAAGCGTGAGCAACCGTGACCGGCCGAGAACTTTTTTTTTCATAGATTTAGGGGGTACAAGTGCAGCTTTGTTACATGGACATATTGTGTGGTTGTGAGTTATGCAATATAGTGTACCCATCACTTGAATAGTGTACCCTGTACCCATAGGTAATTTCTCATCCCTCACCTCCTCCCACCTTTCCTAGTCTCCAATGTCTATTATTCTAGGAGTGACAACTTTTAGATACTATACATGTACATGTATGTATAAGCAGGCACATCGGTTCTGTAATGCTGACAAATAATAACAACAACAAAGCAAAACAACCAAAATCATCTCAAAATAATTTTTTTTGGTTGACGATAAATGTATCCAAGACCATAATTAATAAATCTGGCAAGAAATAGGCCTCTGTTGCTAGATATTACATGGTAACTCACAGCCAGGTACAATGAAGGACTGTTTTACCTGTGTACATAATGTAGCTGATGAACTGAGTCAATTGCTATCACCATCTCAGCCAAGTAAAATCTAGCCATATCTTCAGGCAATCTATCTTCAAATTTGCTGAGTAGAGTAAGCAAATCCCCACCAACATAATAATCCATAACCAGGTACTGTGAATGAAAAAAATAAAATGTACTCAGTAAACTAATAAGGGTGAAAAATCAATATACTGTATCCCAAGGTCAACAGGACTGGGTCAAATATTTATGCAGTTAATTACATATGCTGCTAATTAACAAGAAACTGTGTAAGATGATGATCAGCAGTCATTACAAAACTTCTAAATTTCATACAGCAGTAAAACAAAATTTTTAAAGACTGGGGCAGAGAACAACACAGGGTTACCATTGTTGTATTTTGCAAAGAGCTAATATCATCATTATTATCATCTTCACCTACAACAATGGAACACAGCTTTCCAAGATTTTAGAAGAATGAACATTTGAATCCACCCCCTCCCCCAAAAAAACAATGAAAGAAAAAACTTGGAATACAGGATAGTCCCTACATTGAAAGAAATTCATATTATCATTATGTTTTCCTTATTTCACCTTGGATCAGTAAGAACTTTATTAGAACCAGCATCAGCCTATAGATCAGCATTTAGAAACCACTACTACGTAGAATATAGTAATTATCACCATATGTGTCTCTTCCCATTTCTAATACTGTAAAAATATCAGAATGGGCTTTTCTCAGGTGTATATAATAAACAGAAGCCAACTAATTTTAGATATGGATCCTTATGGGTATGTATGTGGTGTAAAGAAACGATGAGAAGAGTACATCAAACTGTTCACTGAGATTCTGTAGGTTGTTAGATTACAGCTGATGTTATAACTTTATGTTCTACATTGCTTTATAAGCATGTATTACATATACATGTGTATTTGTGTGTACATTATATATTATTTTTAAGTGAGGGAGAAAACTAGACATAGTGGAAAAATGGGTTTTGTAGTCAGAGAAACCTGTATTCAAATACTGACTCCATGTTGTAAGTGGATGTTGAAAAATTAATCTCTGTGACATTTCATTTTCTCATCTACCTAACTACAATAATGATAATGTAGCACTTAGCATGAAGGCTAGTGAGTACAAGACACATGAATGCCTTGAAATTAAGGTTTTATTACAGAATGAAGATATTGTTTCAGGGATATTACTGAGTTGACATTAAGATTTAAAGAGTCTTGAAAAAATTCAAATTCCTTTTATTACTATATGTTAAAATTACAAACATAGGAAATGTGTGTTAAACCAAAGAAACTAATTTCGCATATTTAAAGCCTTGAAAATTAGGGAAGCAGAATATATTTAAAATCCTGTGTCTTTGGCCTACTTGCTGTATTTACTAGGCCCAACGTTTTTGTTTGTTTGTTTGTTTTGAGACAGAGTCTTGCTCTGTCGCCAGGCTGGAGTGCAGTGGCGCAATCTTGGTTCACTGCAACCCCTGCCTCCTGGGTTCAAGTGATTCTCATGCCTCAGCTTCCCAAGTAGCTGGGATTACAGGCACGCACCACCACACCCAGCTAATTTTTGTATTTTTAGTAGAGACGGGGTTTCACCACGTTGCCCAGGATGGTCTTGATCTCCTGACCTGGACGTCCCAAAGTGCTGGGATTACAGGCGTGAGCCACCACGTCGGGGTACCCTAACGTTGAACTGACCCTATCCTGACAATTTACTTTTGATTAAAGTGTGAAGACTATTTTCTTATAGACAGAGTCTATAAGACTAAAAGTCTAAAGTAACAGTTAAATAATCCATTCTTTCTCCTCAATTCAAATGAAATGTCCCTTCGTCATATTTTAAGATCCCAAATATACTTATATCTGTTCCTAATCTATTCTGCTATGGTTACCTATTCCTATATTATTATATCATATTGTTCTGATTGGTTAATTTTATAGTAAAATTGAATATTTGGTACTCCTAATCACAAACTACTTTTAAAATATTACCCAATGTAGCTAAGGTATATTTATACAAGTTTTTAAAAAACATAGACTGAGAGGTAATATTCATAATAGGTCAAGGATATAATCCTAAAATAAAGAGCCCCTTCCAATTGTTAAGAGAGGGACAAACAATCCAACAAAACTAGGCTAAGAATATTAACAGATAATTCACATAAGAGGGAACACAATCAGCCAATTAATACATGCTGAACCTCAATAGTCACTAGGGAAATGAAAGCCAAAGCAACAATCATTGATTTGAGGAATCACTGGTTAAATTACTAAAAAGACCATGGCAGCTTTGGGGATTTTTTTTTTAAAAGAGCTCCAGTCCAATGAAACAATGCTAAAACATCTGAAAACATGCAATAAATGAGTTATGTGTCCCAAAATGAGCATTTCAAGGAACAGATATAATTCTAGAAGTCTTCGTAGGAATATCAGGAAACTCTTTTAATTCTCATGCTGCCATAACAAAGAGATTAACAGTCAATCTTTAGAGCCTCACCTTATAGTTAATCCTCCTTGCTTTCTTTTTACTATTAAACAATACTTTTTTTTTTTTTTTTTTTGAGACAGAGTCTCCCTCTGTTGCCCAGGCTGGAGTGCAGTGGCGTGACCTCAGCTCACTGCAAGCTCCGCCTCCAGGGTTCAGGCCATCCTCCTGCCTCAGCCTCCCCAGTACCTGGGACTACAGGCGCCCACCACCACACCCGGCTAATTTTTTGTATTTTTAGTAGAGACCGGGTTTCACCGTGTTAGCCAGGATGGTCTCGATCTCCTGACCTCATGATCCGCCCGCCTTGGCCTCCCAAAGTGCTGGGATTACAGGCATGAGCCACCGTGCCCGGCCCTAAACAATACTTTTCTTAAAAAAATTACTTTTCTAATAATTTCTGTCTTCACAAATTGGATTCCTATAAAGAATTTAGAGTTCATATGAGTTACTACAATTAATTTAAAATTCAAGTATCTTTCACCTTTTAAACAAGTTACATATGTCAGTGCAAGATATTTTCCTTTTTTTCCTCAACCATAAAGTAACTAATCAGGAAACAATTAATAAGAAAGTACAGAACGAACAAATTTCACTGGTTCATTATATTCTAGTGTTATGTAAGTGATAAAAATTTTATGTGTCAATGTTGATATAACTAAGCAGCTTTGTATTTAATGAGCTTTTCTTAAAGAAAAAAAGATCTAATCACATAATAATATCTACCATTCATTAAATTATGTGCCTTTTTCTGAAACACACAAAAAGTCTACTTGCTATAATTGCAAATTTTTTCATAAACTATTGTAGTAAGTAGGTTAGAAATGAAAGTTATTTGCCACAGCTTTCTAGAACCATATAGCATTATAAATTATGTTCTTTACTTGGCAATTTAAAAGCTATCAGGGTTAAAAGTTACTTTGAAAAACAATTATATATAATAAAATTTCCTTTTTTGGTATCTAAAATTAGCTTTGTCGACATTTTTTAATGATTTTTGCTAATATTGTATAAATGTTCAAAAGGCAACCTTTGATGATAACCAAGACCTCTGACTCTTGAGATGAATGAATATATGATGAAGGCTCCCCTAAAGAAACACTGGCAAGTTACAGGAGATTTGACTACTAGAGTGTTTCATTCCTCCTCCAGTTACGTCTTTAATTCTATTTTAGTAATTATTGAGGGGTATATACAGACTATTTTTCCCTGAAAAATGTCTTTGAAAAAGAAATGTTAATCCTAATGTCAAATACGAAGAATGCAAATAAAACTAAACAAGAGGAGAGAGATAAATCACAGTTCAGGCTTTTTTTGCTATATAAAATTTGGTATTTGGGTACTTTATTTCTATTAATATACCTACAAAATTATATAATTATTTCTATATTTATACCAAAATGTAGACTTTTAAGCAATGCACAAATCTGCAGTGTTAAATTTATCTATTACAGAATACACTGTCATAGTGGATTTTATTCATTATTTGAAAACATTTTGAAAATTATCATGATACATTGCTATAATTTTTCTAGGCAAAGATGTGGGATGTGTTTTAATTTGTTCTTACAAATGTTATTAACAAACCCATGCAGATTATCTTTGCATGATACATTCATCCCTAAAATTTTGTATATTAAGTATAATAAATCCAGTTAAAACATCATTCTATTCAATTTAACAACTATGCATCTAGCACATACAAAAAACTCTATGCTATGGTTTTTACACAATTCTCACTATAACCCACAATAATATATATGGCTTATATGATAATTCAGTATATTATAAAAGAAATGTGTCATGAGACCATATTCACTCTTACTACTTACTTGTCATGAACTCTGTCATTTTCTATTCTATTTAATCTTTAAAAATGTTCCTTATGGCTGGGCATGGTGGCTCATGCCTGTAATCCACACACCTTAGGGGGTCAAGCTGAGAGGATCACTTGAAGCCAAGAGTTCAAGACGAGCCTGAGCAACAAACTGAGACCCCATCTTAACAACAACAACAAAAAAATTAAGTTAGTGGGGCACAGTGGCACACACCTGTAGTCCCAGTTACTCAAGAGGCTGAGGTGGGAGGGCTGCTTGAGCCCAGGAATCAGATACAGCAGTTAGCTCTAATTGGGCAACAGAGCAAGATCCAGCAAACAAAAAAAAAAAAAAGAAAAGAAAGAAAGAAAGAAAGAAAAAAAATGTTGCTTGTAACTAACTTGATTTTATTACCCACTAATGGGTCACAATCTGTAGTTTAAAAAAACATTATTATACTCTATAAGCATGTAAGGGATATAAAAGACTAGTAATGACACTGTTTGAACACCTAGATCTGGCCTGAAATCAGATAAACCCCATGAGCATTATAGAGTTGCATAAACCTTTATTTTTTTTCCTTGTTTCCAGTGGGGTTGGAAAAACCTTTAATTTTATTTTAGGTAAAGATGGTACAGTCCATGTAACATATTTAAATGTGTTTTTTTTTTTTTGAGACCGAGTCTTGCTCTGTCACCCAGGCTGGAGTGCAGTGGCATTATCACTGCAAGCTCTGCCTCCCAGGTTCAGGCTATTCTCCTGCCTCAGCCTCCCGAGTAGCTGGGACTACAGGTGCCCACCACCACGCCCGGCTAATTTTTTTGTATTTTTAGTAGAGACGGGGTTTCACCGTGTTAGCTAGGATGGTCTCAATCTCCTAACCTCATGATCCTCCCGCCTTGGCCTCCCAAAGTGCTGGGATTACAGGCGTGAGCCACCGCATCCGGCCTATTTAAATGTTTCTTAAAGTTGTATCAAAAAAAATCAGAGATACATGTGTTAGTTATGTAATAAAAATAATTTAAAAATGTAAAGTTAGAATGAGATGAGAAAGATTAATTTCAGTGGAAAATTCTGGAAATGATTATTTTAAGATGAATTTGAGCACAATTTTAAAGTACTAGCTGGACTTCAACAGGAACAAGGGAAGAGGAATGGTACTGGTGTTAAAGGTATCATGAAAAACTCCTGAAGACCGTCTATAGAACTTAACCAATGGAAATTAAATGTTTGGATTTAGTTTTGACTTGCTTATTAAAAAGCATAAAGAATTCCAATGAAAAGGTATCAAATTTCCAGGGAGAAAAAAAAACACCACATATCAAGTGAACAACTTACCCTGTATGAAATGCACTTAATTTTCTATATGAAACCTACATTTAAACAATGCTTAAATAAAAATAATGCTAATTCTTCCAACAAAAAAACAGTATATAGAAATACAAAAATGATTCTTACTAAGTTATTGTCATCCTGGAAAGCATAGTGCAAGGTTGTAATCCATTTATTGTCTCCATTCACTAATACATCCCTTTCTTCACGAAAACATGCTGTCTGAAACACAAAAAGAAAATTTTTAGAGCATACTTTATGTAAAACTAGGAAATATACAAAGAATTACTATGTTTATTATATTATTTCTGTTCTGGAAAAGGAATACACCTGATATTATAAGACATTTCAATAACACAAGTTTCAAACCACCCTCAGAAACTGGGCTACTGGAATAGTACCTTTTAAAAATATATTTTATATTAAATAATACTTTTATAGTTCAAAACAATGAGAAAAATGCACAGAATAATTTAAGAACCATGGACCAACCCACCATCCAGATAATATAAATGTCTACATTTTGCCATATTTACTTCTGATCTTTTTAAAGAAATAAGATGTAAATTGTATCCTTCCTACTCCAAACTGTGAACCCATTCTCTTCCCTTTCTCCCCTGCTGTAATAATCTGAAGTCAGTGGATAGTCCAATTATATGACTTGATCACACATGTATATGTCTACAAACAACAGATTTGTGTTTTGAAAATTTTCATGGGCCGGGCGCAGTGGCTCACGCCTATAATCCCAGTACTCTGTGATGCCGAGGTGGGCAGATTGCTTGAGCACAGGAGTTCAAGACCAGCCTGGGCAACATGGTGAAAACCTGTCTCTAACAAAAATACAAAAATTAACAGGGTGTGGTGGCATACACCTGTAATCCCAGCCACTCAGGAGGCTAAGACGGGAGAATTGCTTGAACCCAGGAGGCACAGGTTGCAGTGGGCCAAGATCGCACCACTGCACTCCAACCTGGGTGACAGAGTGAGACCTTGCCTTAAAAAACAAACAAACAAAAAAAAAACGAAAGAAAGAAAGAAAACAAAAACAAAAAAAATCTATGTGAATGGTATAATTTTATCCTTTTGCAATTTGATTTTTTTTTTTTCTCAAGAATGACTGTTCTTCTTTTAACTGCTATGGCGTACCATTGTTTGAATGCACTATAATTTATTTATGCAACCCCCAACCGTGGAAACACAGGTTATTTCCAGTTTTGTATTATTATTATACAATGTTGGAATAAACATATTTGTACAAATGTGCAAGAGTTTCTCCACTGTATACACTTAGAAGTAGAAATGCTAAATGAAAATTTCAACTCCACCATTTAGCCAATTGTCTTTCCTGAGTGCTATACCAATTACTATCTCCACCCAGAATATGAAAGCTCTGCTTTTCCCCACATCCTCAACTATATGTGACATTATTAGACTTTTAAGTGGTTGCCAACATGACGGGTGTGAAATAATATCATTATTCCTTTAATTAACATATTCCTAATTACAGGTGCAGATAAATAGCTTTATATACACTTACTGGACACCTGAACTTTGTCTTTTAATTGTTCACTTCCCTTGTCCATTTTCTCTAATGGATTGTTTTTTCAAATTGATTTTTTAAAGTTGTAGTTTATTCTGAGAATACACTTCCACTACTATAAAAGTATATCCCGAAGAACCTTAGAAATATATGAACAAAAATAAAAAAATAATTGTTTAACCTTTTTTTTTGAGACAGGATCTCACTCTATTGCCCAAGCTGGAGTACAGTGGTACAATCACAGCTCACTGCAGCCCAGGCTCCTGGGCTCAAGTGATCCTCCCACCTTAGCCTCTCGAGTAGCTGGGACTACAGGTGCACACCACTATGCCCAGCTAATTTTTTTTATCTCTTTCTAGAGACGAGGTCTCACTATCTTGCTCAGGTTGGTCTCATACTACTGGGCTCAAGCAATCTTCCAGCCCCCTCAAAGTGCTAGGACTACAGGCATGAGCTACCACACCCAGCCTAAAAATCAATTTTATGTATCATAATTTTGTAATACATTAACTAAAAAGAAACAAAAATAACACTATGACAGAAACTTCAAAGATAACTCTAAGAAAGTAAAAGTCTCCCTGAGTCATGTTCCCATAGTTTCATTGCCCAATTGTTGTGTGCAGAGGTTACCATTATTAACTCTTTGGTCAAAATCCTCTCAGAAAATCTGTGTCTATATAAGCATGCATGTGCACGTGCACACACATACACACACACACACAGATTATATATTCACATGGTATCCCACCTCCCCTATATTTTTTGGTCTTTATACAAATGAGATTATAGTGCTCTGTAAGTTTTTTTTTTTTTTCAAGTAACAATGAATTTGAACATCCTTCCGTATCAGTACACAGAAATCTACCTAATTTTTTCTTAATGGCTACACCATATTCCAGATACACTAAAAACATTATCACACAGTATGCTATATATAATAAGTGATTATTATTTCCCACAAGGAAAATTCAACAGCCATGATCCACAAAACAATTAAATTACTAAAATCTATACAACACTATGCTTTGGTTCTTTTTTCTCGCTCTGTCGCCCAGGCTGGAGTGCAGTGGCGTGATCTCAGCTCACTGCAACCTCTGCCTCCGGGTGTGAGCAATTCTCCTGCCTTAGCCTCCTGAGTAGCTGGGACTACAGGTGAGTGCCACCAGGCCCAGCTAATTTTTTGTATTTTTAGTAGAGATGGGGTTTCACTGCGTTAGCCAGGATGGTCTCGATCTCCTGACCTCGTGATCCGCCCACCTTGGCCTCCCAAAGAGCTGGGATTACAGGCGTGAGCCACCACACCCGGCCGCTCTGGTTCTTTTTAAGGGGAAAACAGAAAGCACTTTACATACTTACTACCAAGTCCTGTTTTATGATTTAACCAACCTGAGGTTATGGTTTACTGCTAACATTTTAGAGAGTTTGTAAAGACTGTCAGAGCCTAGAAGACTACTTTCTCCTGGCTTCATCTCACTATAATAGCAATCCGAAATTTTATAAACATTCTAGTTAGAATTTAATAAACATTCGTTATTTAATTTGACTAATAACTCAAAACTAAAAAAAGCTCCAAAGACTTTAGTCAACAGAACATATTAAACTTTGAGTTCTAATCTATGCTAATCTGTTTAACTAAAAAAATTATTTTTTAAAAATAAAAATAATAGGCCAGGAGTAGTGGCTCATATCTGCAGTCCCACGCTTTGGGAAGTGAGGTGAGAGGATCGCTTGAGGCCTGAAGTTTGAAACCAGCCTGCCTGACAT
The DNA here is from genome assembly GCF_000001405.40 of Homo sapiens. NCBI lineage: Eukaryota > Metazoa > Chordata > Mammalia > Primates > Hominidae > Homo > Homo sapiens. The sequence continues at coordinate 227,202,738 of NC_000001.11, forward strand.
AGCAAGACCCTGTCTCTACAGGCAAAAAAAAAAAAAAAAAAATCAGCCAGGCTGGTGGCATGCACCTCTGTAGTCCTAGCTACTTGGAAGGCTGAGGCAGAAAGATCACATGAGCCTAGGAGTTTGAGGCTGAAGTGAGCTATGATCACACCATCGCACTCTAACCTGGGCCACAGAGCAAGACTGTCTCTTCAAAAACATTAATTAAAATAAGAAAATAAACAATATAAACTCTTTATGATACAAAATTTCAAACGTATACAAGGGTAGAGAAACTAGTATAAAAACCCCCTCCTACTAATGAACTCAACTTCAACAATTATTTTCTTGGTCAATCTTATTTCATTTAGACCCTCACCTACTTACTACCATCCCCTAGCACCACACACACAGGAGCATATACATATTTTTAAGCAAACCCCAGACAGCATATGATTTTATCCATAAATATCTAGCTATTAAATGATTCCTATCAATGCCTTGAATCCTGAGTCTAGATATAAAGCACAGGCTACGTTTTTGCTTCAACATATCACACTGCTCTCAGTTGCTTGTCACAATTGGGAAAGGATGGGTTCTACCGGCATTTAGTGGGTAGAGGCCAGGGATACTGCTAAATATTCTACAATGCACACGACAACCCCTCCAACAAAGCATTATCTGGCCCCAGTTGTCAATGAAGTCCCTGTTGAGAAGCCCTGTTCTAGATCAATATTAACCAAATCATGATGCACATATACCCTGGGTATATATATATTCATAAAGGTGCTCTGTGGATTCAACATGCTTAAAGGCTTTAGTAACATCTACTTCATTACCTTTTTTAAAAAAAACTAAACAATATCTCCCCCCTTTAAAAACAGAATATTTGATATCTAAGAATGTATTAATAACAAACATGTAGGAAGGGCTACTGTAGATCATATCACTTCCTCGGATTCACTCACTTTCTCAACCAAATGTTCATCCAAACATTCAGCTTGCCACAGTGATGTTTTCAACTGTTATACAGTTTTCCTTTTTAAAAAATATTCAGTCTATATTATTTAAATTTTATCCTTAATGGACTATTGGGATAAACAGGAACAGGAATGCCTATCTTGAAACACAAGTTAGTAAGGACTACATACATAAATGGTAATTCTGGAAAGTTGACACAGGATTCTCTTCATCGTATTGATAAGATGCACTCATCAGACTAACAAGCTTATACTGCTCATCAAAATTGCACAGATACTTGGAAAGCATGAGTTAAAAAGAAACAAAATCCACTGATGATTATATCTACTTTGGCTTATCATTTAGTAGGAATAAAGACTTCACTCTTCCATAGAATACTATCACAGAGAAACTCTTTCAAATAATAACTGAATCTTTCTCTAATATTTGAGGGAAAGAACAACATTTTTCATTTTTAAAATCTAAATCAGTGAAATTTTAAATTGCAAAATGTAAGAATTCCAAGTATTACCATGGCATCAATTCACTTTTAAGTCTTCATTTTAATATATATTTCATGGCCAAATCAAACATGAGATGTATCATTTTTAACTTATTTTTCAGTAAAAAGTTTTAAATGTAATTTTAAATATAGAAATAATTTGGTAACATCCGCAACTGCCAAGTGTGTGAGAAAACAGACATGTTTACATACTATGAGTGCAAAGATAATAGTCCAACTTTTATAGAAGATAATTTTATTGGAACAATAGCTATCAAAGTTTTAATGTCTCCCCTCCCCAACTAAAATCCCAGAGTTTGACTAGCAAGGAGTTTAATTTAGGGAGTGGATAAGTTCTAGGTCAAGCATAAAATGATAATCCCTTCATGTAAAAATTATCCTTGAAATCATTTCAACTTCAGTATACACAAGCTGAAGTGCCTCAGGGTAGCCCACACCAATATCTCTAACAGCATTTCATAGTAAAATTTTTTTAAATTTTACATGGCATATACTTTTTGGGTAGCATGACTAGTTTTGAAGCACTAGTTTCTCTCCTGTTTTGAAATTTCTCTTGGCCAAACACATGCAGATAGATAAATGGTAAAATAATGAAATGTATTGACAGTTTGACACTTCATCTTTGTAAGAATTCACACTACCGATAAACTCACAAAAGTTTATCCAGTATATATAAAGATTTTTACAACATGGTTCAAAATAGTAAAAATAAGGAAACAATCTAAATTCCCATAAACTTAAAAAAAAAATCAACCTAATAAAAAATATAGCCATTCAGGCCGGGCACAGTGGCTCGCGCCTGTAATCCCAGCACTGTGGGGGGCTGAGGCAGATGGATCACCTGAGGTTAGGAGTTCAAGACCAGCCTGGCCAACATGGCAAAACTCTGTCTCTACTAAAAATACAAAAATTAGCCGGGTGTGGTGGTGGGAGGTACTTGGGAGGTACTCAGCCAGCTACTTGGGAGGGTGAGGCAGGAGAATCACTTGAACCCTGAAGGAGGAGGCTGCAGTGAGCCAAGATCTAGCCACTGCACTCCAGCCTAGGCAACAGAGTGAGACTCTGTCTCAAAAAAAAAAAAAAAATATATATATATATATATATATACACACACACACACAGAGAGCCATTCAGTATAATGAAGCTATTAACAAAGAATGAGATATTATAAATGTATTAAATACATAGAAGTGAAAAAACAATACATATTTTAGTGAAAAAGCAATATGAAAAATCAGCCTTGTAATATGATTTCATTATAATAAAATTTTCTGTTGAGGATAAATAAGAAACCCTTACTAATGATCTACTTAAGACAGAAGGACTTAGGGGTATTTGAGGGAGAAAAGGGAACTTGCATTTGTTCATTTTTTACTTTGTGTAGTACTTTACTAACAATTATAAAAATAGCCAAACAAGGATAACAACAATAGAAAAACTAATAAAACAATAGGCATAAATCAGCACTGTCACAGATAAACTAAGATATACTGTTACCCTACTTATGAGACCTTATTATCTTCAGTTTATACATGAGAAAATTGAGCCTTAGAAAGGTTTAACTCTCAGCCCAGTGCAGTGGCTCACACCTGTAATCCCAGCACTTTGGGAGGCTGAGGCAGGCAGATCACTTGAGCCTAGGAGTTTGAGACTAGCCTGAGCAATATAGTGAGACCCCATCTCTAAAGAAAATACAAAAATTAGCTGAGTGTGGTGGCATGTGCCTGTAGTCCCAGCTACTCCCAGGCTAAGGTGGGAGGATCCCTTGAGCCCAGGAGGCAGAGGCTGCAGTGAGCCAAGATCCTAACACTGCACTCCAGCCTGGACAACAGAGCAAGACTCTGCCTCAATAAATAAAATGTTTTTAAAAGGTTTTATAAAAAGGTTTAACTCTCAAGACAGTGAGTGTTTCTGTAAACTATACCGCATCTCCTCATGAAATGAGTAAGGACATCTGTTAATGAGCGAAGTCAGTACTCACTGAACAAATGTGAAGACAGAAGTAAAATTTACAGAACAGATTGAGAGCAGTAGTTCATTTGTTAATTTAGGAGGCTGTTGATAAACTAGCAAAGTCTGTAAATGATGAACTTGTAGAGTTATTGGTGATAAACTAGCAAAGTTTGTAAATGATAAATCTGTGAAATTATTGGACATTATATTATTATACCTTTCTGCCCAGGTATAGAAAAGAGAGGAGGCTTCCTAGCACCTTTGAGTAACCCGTATATCATTAATTATATATTTGACATATGGCTTGAAACAGAATAAGGTAAATAAGTTGTACATAAACCTCTGAAAAAATTGTTTTAAAGCATCAACAATACACAAATAAAAAATAAGGAATTTTGCTGCTCATTTGTAATTTATTAAGCATCACTGGTAGGTCTTGTTTTCCAAAGTTGGATAAGTCATGGTCAGAAGGATTTTTAGAAATGTTTTTGTTTTTAAAAAGATCTGCTTATTCAAGAATAGAAATACAATTTCTATTTTAAAGTGAATTCTTCCTTAAAAGTTTCAATGCAGAATTTCTGTCTAAAAGATAAAAGTTTTCTCAAATAGTTTGAGGAGAGTACCTTTCAAATATGGAATCAGTCTTGCATCCCAACAATAAATCACACTTGGGCATGGTATATAATTCTTTTAACATATTGCTAAATTGTATTTGCTAATATTTTGTTAAGGATATTTGCATCTATATGCATGGGGACTACTTATCTTTTTTATTATTTTATTTTATTATTATTATACTTTAAGTTTTAGGGTACATGTGCACAATGTGCAGGTTTGTTACACATGTATACATGTGCCATGTTGGTGTGCTGCACCCATTAACTCGTCATTTAGCATTAGGTATATCTCCTAATGCTATCCCTCCCCCCTCCCCCCACCCCACAACAGTCCCCCGGAGTGTGATGTTCCCCTTCCTGTGTCCATGTGTTCTCATTGTTCAATTCCCACCTATGAGTGAGAACATGCGGTGTTTGGTTTTTTGTCCTTGCGATAGTTTGCTGAGAATGATGGTTTCCAGTTTCATCCATGTCCCTACAAAGGACATGAACTCTTCACTTTTTATGGCTGCATAGTAATTCCATGGTGTATATGTCACACATTTTTTTTTTCTTTTTTTACTGGCATATCTTTTTTTCATCTTTTTTTTTCTTTTTCTTTTTTTTTTATTATACTTTAAGTTTTAGGGTACATGTGCACATTGTGCAGGTTAGTTACATATGTATACATGTGCCATGCTGGTGCGCTGCACCCACTAAATCGTCATCTAGCATTAGGTATATCTCCCAATGCTATCCCTCCCCCCTCCCCCCACCCCACCACAGTCCCCAGAATGTGATATTCCCCTTCCTGTGTCCCTGTGATCTCACTGTTCAAGTCCCACCAATGAGTAAGAATATGCGGTGTTTGGTTTTTTGTTCTTGCGATAGTTTACTAAGAATGATGATTTCCAATTTCATCTATGTCCCTACAAAGGACATGAACTCATCATTTTTTATGGCTGCATAGTATTCCATGGTGTATATGTGCCACATTTTCTTAATCCAGTCTATCATTGTTGGACATCTGGGTTGGTTCCAAGTCTTTGCTATTGTGAATAATGCCGCAATAAACATACGTGTGCATGTGTCTTTATAGCAGCATGATTTATAGTCCTTTGGGTATATACCCAGTAATGGGATGGCTGGGTCAAATGGTATTTCTAGTTCTAGATCCCTGAGGAATCGCCACACTGACTTCCACAATGGTTGAACTAGTTTACAGTCCCACCAACAGTGTAAAAGTGTTCCTATTTCTCCACATCCTCTCCAGCACCTGTTGTTTCCTGACTTTTTAATGATTGCCATTCTAACTGGTGTGAGATGGTATCTCATTGTGGTTTTGATTTGCGTTTCTCTGATGGCCAGTGATGACGAGCATTTTTTCATGTGTTTTTTGGCTGCATAAATGTCTTCTTTTGAGAAGTGTCTGTTCATGTCCTTCACCCACTTTTTGATGGGGTTGTTTTTTTCTTGTAAATTTGTTTGAGTTCATTGTAGATTCTGGATATTAGCCCTTTGAGTAGGTTGCAAAAATGTTCTCCCATTTTGTAGGTTGCCTGTTCACTCTGATGGTAGTTTCTTTTGCTGTGCAGAAGCTCTTTAGTTTAATTAGATCCCATTTGTCAATTTTGTCTTTTGTTGCCATTGCTTTTGGTGTTTTGGACATGAAGTCCTTGCCCATGCCTATGTCCTGAATGGTAATGCCTAGGTTTTCTTCTAGGGTTTTTATGGTTTTAGGTCTAACGTTTAAGTCTTTAATCCATCTTGAATTGATTTTTGTATAAGGTGTAAGGAAGGGATCCAGTTTCAACTTTCTACATATGGCTAGCCAGTTTTCCCAGCACCATTTATTAAATAGGGAATCCTTTCCCCATTGCTTGTTTTTCTCAGGTTTGTCAAAGATCAGATAGTTGTAGATATGTGGCATTATTTCTGAGGGCTCTGTTCTGTTCCACTGATCTATATCTCTGTTTTGGTACCAGTACCATGCTGTTTTGGTTACTGTAGCCTTGTAGTATAGTTTGAAGTCAGGCAGTGTGATGCCTCCAGCTTTGTTCTTTTGGCTTAGGATTGCCTTGGCGATGCGGGCTCTTTTTCGGTTCCATATGAACTTTAAAGTAGTTTTTTCCAATTCTGTGAAGAAAGTCATTGGTAGCTTTATGGGGATGGCATTGAATCTGTAAATTACCATGGGCAGTATGGCCATTTTCACGATATTGATTCTTCCTACCCATGAGCATGGAATGTTCTTCCATTTGTTTGTATACTCTTTTATTTCCTTGAGCAGTGGTTTGTAGTTCTCCTTGAAGAGGTCCTTCACATCCCTTGTAAGTTGGATTCCTAGGTATTTTATTCTCTTTGAAGCAATTGTGAATGGGAGTTCACTCATGATTTGGCTCTCTGTTTGTCTGTTGTTGGTGTATAAGAATGCTTGTGATTTTTGTACATTGATTTTGTATCCTGAGACTTTGCTGAAGTTGTTTATCAGCTTAAGGAGATTTTGAGCTGAGACAATGGGGTTTTCTAGATATATAATCATGTCGTCTGCAAACAGGGACAATTTGACTTCCTCTTTTCCTAATTGAATACCCTTTATTTCCTTCTCCTGCCTAATTGCCCTGGCCAGAACTTCCAACACTATGTTGAATAGGAGTGGTGAGAGAGGGCATCCCTGTCTTGTGCCAGTTTTCAAAGGGAATGCTTCCAGCTTTTGTCCATTCAGTATGATATTGGCTGTGGGTTTGTCATAGATAGCTCTTATTATTTTGAAATACGTCCCATCAATACCTAATTTATTGAGAGTTTTTAGCATGAAGGGTTGTTGAATTTTGTCAAAGGCTTTTTCTGCATCTATTGAGATAATCATGTGGTTTTTGTCTTTGGCTCTGTTTACATGCTGGATTACATTTATTGATTTGCGTATATTGAACCAGCCTTGCATCCCAGGGATGAAGCCCACTTGATCATGGTGGATAAGCTTTTTGATGTGCTGCTGGATTTGTTTTGCCAGTATTTTATTGAGGATTTTTGCATCAATGTTCATCAAGGATATTGGTCTAAAATTCTCTTTTTTGGTTGTGTCTCTGGCCGGCTTTGGTATCAGAATGATGCTGGCCTCATAAAATGAGTTAGGGAGGATTCCCTCTTTTTCTATTGATTGGAATAGTTTCAGAAGGAATGGTACCAGTTCCTCCTTGTACCTCTGGTAGAATTCGGCTGTGAATCCATCTGGTCCTGGACTCTTTTTGGTTGGTAAACTATTGATTATTGCCACAATTTCAGCTCCTGTTATTGGTCTATTCAGAGATTCAACTTCTTCCTGGTTTAGTCTTGGGAGAGTGTCACACATTTTCTTAATCCAGTCTATCGTTGTTGGACATTTGGGTTGGTTCCAAGTCTTTGCTATTGTGAATAGTGCCGCAATAAACATACGTGTGCATGTGTCTTTATAGCAGCATGATTTATAATCCTTTGGGTATATACCCAGTAATGGGATGACTGGGTCAAATGGTATTTCGAGGACTATTTATCTTAAACTTTCTTTGTATGGTCCTTGTCAGGTTTTTCTATCAGCATAATACTGACCTCCAAAATGGGTCTTATACCGTAAGGTCCTGAGGTCCCTAGCTGGTCTACCTTATTCTCTCTACCTTTTGGGTTCTTCTAATGTTTGCTTTATATATAAATGTCCAGAATCTTCAGCTATACTTCACAGGAGAACAGGGAGAAGTGAGTCTATTCCATCTTGTCTCAGAAACAGAATATATAAATACTTGTTAATTGAATAAAATATTTGATTTTAAATTATACTGTTTTATTTTGAATTTTGCCACTTCCAGCTGTAATGAAAGCTAACCCAGTTATTCATCCTTTTCACAATTCTTCCCCAACATATCCAGCTTCATTGAAAAAAGTATAAACTTTAATTCAATTTTTTAAAAGTTCTAACTCTGAAACAGTAAACTGACTACAGTTGTTATTTCTGCTAAACAGAACATAATTATTTACTCTTTTGTAATAACAGGATTTGTTGCTCTAGCTGCTGATGCTGTCACACCTTCAGGGTTTGCATCAGCTGAAGAAAGCCTACCAGTCCAAGGCCATGTCCTTCAGGGGTAGCCCATGTCCACTGACTAGTAGAGGCAGGTGTATAAAGGTCTAGACATTTTGATCCAATGTAGGACACTTCTCAAGAGCCATTTCTGCTACAGAGCTCCCAGTGGAATCAACTGAGGCTGATGGGACAACTGTACAAATCCTATCTCCCTCCCTTCCCTTCTACAGGTAGGGATTTCTCAAAAGAAATCCCAAACAAATATCTGCACAATAAACTCAATCTCGGTATTTACTCCTTGAGAAATCCAACCAGTGACAGTAAGGCAATTCAGTCTTAGGGAAATTAAAAGTAAAAACTAAGGTGTTGAATATAATGGACACTGGCACATATCCCAGTGATACATGTGACATTAAAGCTCCCAGATACTTTGTCAAACAGGATATTACTATACAATAATTACCTCTGGGGGGATGCAGATAAAAAGGAACAATTATACACTATTAGTAGGAATGTAAATTAGTATAATCTTTATGGAAAACAGTACGTCGATTTCTCAGAACTACCATTCCATCCAGCAATCCCACTACTAGGTATCTACCCAAAGGAAAAAAAATCATTATATCAAAAAGATACCTGTACTTATATGTTTATCACAGCACTATTCCCAATAGCAAAGTCACAGACTCAATCTTGCTGTCCATTAACGCAGGACTGAAGAAAATGTGATGTGTGTATACATATATGTATGTATGTATGTATATATGTGTGTACATATACACATAAATAAATATATGAAATCTTATCTTCTGCAGCAAGATGAATGGAACTGGAGATCATTATCCCAAGTGAAAAAAACTCAGAAAGCCAAATACCACATGTTCTCATTTATAAGTGGAAGCTAAACCATGAGTACACATGGACATACAGAGTGGAATAATACATTGCAGACTACAAAAGGTGGGAGGGTGGGAAGGGGGTGAGGGCTGACAAGTTGCCTATTGGGTCCAATGTTCACTATTTGGGTGATGGGTTCACTAGATGGGTATTTCACCACAATGCAATATATGCATGTCAGCAATCTGCACCTGTATCTCCTAAATATATAAAAACAAAAAAAATGTTTAATGAAGAAATAGTATTTTAAAAGTAATAATGACCTCTGGGAGTTAGAGAAAGGATGGACTTGGGTGGTGAAAGAACACTTTGGCTTTATCTGTAATATGCTATTATTTGTTTTACAGAGAATATATTTGTGCTTCACTTCTGAGGGTTTTTGTTTGTTTGTTTTTTTTAGTTTAAAAAAAAAAACTAAAAGCAAAAACTTGGCCAAAATGTTATTAGTTCTGGGTAACAGAACAAAAGTGATTATTAGTTTCTTCTTTGTGTTTTCAAATTTCTCCAAATAAATAAATAATGAAGTATTTACTTTCACTGCCACCATATCTGTCATCATGGAAACACTTTTTGCTTTTCCCTGTATGTTTGTTCATCTTTGGGTTGCTACAAGTACTGACAGATAAAGATTTCTAAAGGCGAATTTGTCATTATTTTCTTACTAATCTTACTAACTTCCAGGGCTATTACTCAGCCTGCTCGTCAGTATCACCTTTTACCAGTTAAAATACTGACAGAATTCTACACCAGTTAAGTTCTGCTTCCCTGAAGCCCCAGAATGCCTATCCCATTCAACCCTTCACCATGATACAGCACAGCAGCGGACCCCCCAGAAGTCCACTCCAAATCTATGTGTGACAGCAGTTCTGACCAGGCCATACCAGCTGCTGGATATTTTTAACATCACTCCAGTCAATCCTTCCCTCAAATCTACATAAAAATGCAGGCAGTTCTTCCATTACTAGATTTTACTACAACTCCTGTAATATAAAACAAAATACAAAGTGACTGCATAATCAGCATTAAACAGAATTTCTAGAGGGCATGTTCAAAACTCCTGCTGACTTTTGCTTGTAGCAGAATACAGATAAATACAGAATAATATAAACAAGTTACGTCACGTTAGAAATCAACCATTACAAAATGTCTTTCTATAGAAGAAAGTAGTTTGCAGACATCCTTTAAATATAGCTGCATAAGCCCCCCATTACAAGGGTTTCCATTTAGTATTCCACTAATATTAAATTAGCATTATGGATTGTAACCTTTATCATAATTATATCACAATTGTGTTGAATTTGTCTTTTATGCCTTAAAAAATGTCACCACAGACAAAATGTTACCAAGTAATATTTAATGAGCTCTATGGAATTTTATAATTCCTGAAAAATATTTCTAAAATATTTATATATTCCAATACATAAGACTCTTACCTCAGCTCTTTTCAGCATTTCCCATTTATTCAATATTTTCATGGCAAACACTTTATCTGCATTTTTTAGTTTTACTACAGCAACCTAGAAAAGATAAAGGAAATATAAATTTTAAAATAATGACAAATAATTTTTTCAGCCATCCATTTTCCTTTTTCCTCTGTAAAAAAATAAATACCAATTATCAATTATGTCAATGCAGTTCAAATTCTAAGATCCTAAATTAAATAATGTTGCCAGATGAAAAAGTTAGTGAACATGTGCCAAACTAATAACTGTATTTGTGAATGCTGTATTAGTTGGTATTTGTGAACGCTGTATTAGTTGGTATTTTTGAACACTGTATTAGTTGGTAATTACACATTAATCCCCCTTTCCAACTTTTCTGCCCTGGAATTCAAACTCAATATCTACTATCACTAAGAAACTGAACAAAATGCTCAACAGGAAAGAACTAGAGCTTATTAAATAATGCATGCAAAATTCCAACACCATGTTACAAGGAAGGCCAGCTGCCAAAACAAATATGTTTTGTGAGGATCAAACAATATGAAATAAACTGAAAACGATCCTATTTTTCATATCACATACTCTTACATACTATACCATAACCCCCAAACCACATACACACATATACATACGCATAGAGAGCAATTAAAACTAACGATTTTACAAAAACTAAACTTTACACATCCCTTCCAAAAAGAAAAAAAAAGGAACATCTATTTCTGTATTTTATATTTCAATTGCAGATCAAAAACTATCAAATACAATAAATAAAATCCCTTTCTCACTCTCAACAAATTGATTACATTTCTATCTCTCTGCTTCAGTTTAACCAGATAATCTGTAAGACCACTTCCAGGCCATTGGACTTGCCATAGGCCACAGGCTAGCCCACAAAAGAGGAAAACAAAGGTTGAACGAGGATGTTTCCAGTTACTGGGGGTTGGTGGGGAGGAAGAGAAATGCTACTCTAATATGCAGAAAGGGAGGTCAAACTATATACAGCAGATCTTCAAACTGCTGTTCAACGGGATATTTCCAAAAACAGAGTATAGGTTTAAATTCAAGTGCAAAAAAAAAAAAACTTAATAGCAAATGTGCATATCAAGGTTATTTAATAAATTTATATTTGGATCAGACTGCAATAAAAGTAACATGACCATATAATTACAGTAAGTGTATACATACTAAATATTTCTTGGTAATTGTTATAAGTGGTTATAATGACTGTGATTATAGTTTTTCATCAATTAAAATGGATGAGAAAGAAAAGGAAGTATCTCAATTTCAAACAATTAAATTGTTCTCCCAATGGGCTCATAAAGAGGGCTGTAATAAAGAATAAGGAAAAACTTGAAACGTTGTTTCACTAAGATCTCTGAAGCGGTGAACACACCACGTGAGCTATTGCTTAGACTCTAAAATCAAACCCTGCACAACTGGGAGTGCACATGGATAGAGGGACAGGAGCACTAAGCTATACAAGACTCAATTTAGGGCGGGGAAAACACACAGAACACTATGACTTACACCCTCTTATTCTGATTGAGGGAAGAATAGCTGAAAGACTCCAAAACTTAGGTGTCTTCCCCTCCCAAGGTCACAGTGTGAGAAAAGTACTAACAGTACTCTACAATTCACCAGTTTTCTGTAAGTATGTATCTGATGATAACTACTAATAACAGTAGTGGTAGTAGTAGTACCCACCCAATACTACTAGTATAAATCTAGTAGAAGGAGGAGTGTGTTCTAAATGCCAGGCACTATGGTAAGAGTTTTATACAGGTCCATAATCCCTTATCTGCAATTCTCAAAGACAAAAGGTTTTCATAACTCATTTGGCAGCATGTAGTGACATCAGGCTATTAATATTCTTGCTTTTTAATCTCACTTAGTATAAAAACAAACATGCTTCACTGAAGAAACGTGAATGTATCTGTTTATGAAGGGCTGCTCCAAACCCCAATGAGAATGTTACATAAAATAGAGTATACAAACTAAATTATCTTTCTAAAATCCAAAAATATTGGAACCAAAACCACCTCTGGAATATGCAACTGTGCAGTAGGAATAATGATGACGCCTAATATTTATTGAACACTCAAACACTTAGCTAGCATTTATTGTGGCTGTTTTGGGGAGTGGTGATAGCATGGATTCTGAAGCCAGACTACTTGGGTTTGAATCCTAGTTTTGTCCTTAGCTGTATAACTCTAGGCAAAAAACTTAACCTTTCAATACTTCAGTGTCCTTGTCATGATCATGGGGTTAATAACAATACTTATATCATTGTGGTAAAGATTTGAAAAATTAATACAAGTATAATCCTTGTACTCGGGATTATTGACCACTAACTATTGAGGTATTGTGGTGTAACTGATCAGGGACAAAATGAGACCCATTCTACACACCTGTGCAGTCATCAGGGATGCCATGCTGCCACAGGGTGAAAAATAATTTCAAGTTTTTCAAGGGTCTGGTGCTTAGTAAGCATTCAATAAGTGTTAGCTATGATTATGTGCCAGGCATTGCACTAAGCACATTACAGCCCAATCTCTTCACTGCCAACTCTACCTCTAATATGTGGCAAAGAATATAACTCTCAATTTCTTCAGTTTAACTACCAAAATAAAAAAATCTTTCATCTCTTTAATTTCTAACTTTCTGTAATTTTAGACTTATGACAAATATATTCACATAGAAATATGGATAGAAATACCCTCAACTGAATATATCTATATACAAATAAAAACTAAGCCACAATATTCACCACAGTGTGGTTTTCAATAGTAAAATATTGAAATGAACTTAAATATTCTACATGATCAATTTGACTAAATATGGTATCTCACAGTATGACAGAAAAATTACTCATACACTTGAAAAAATTACTGAGGAATGTTAATACGGAAAAGTTCACAGTATAATGTTAAACAAATAAGTTTATTAAAGTATGTACACTGTGACTTTTTCTCTCTCTATATATATATATACACACACACACACATAAAATATGTACCATAAATTTCTATGCTTTATCAAAAGATCAGGTATTTCTAAGTGATGCAATTTCTACTTGCTTTTCTACATTTTCTATATAAAACACATAAAATTTGAAGCATGGAATGAGGTAGTATGGGATACCACACATCACATCCTGGTCATGAAATGACCGCTAATTATCAAGGTATTGTGGTATAACTGATCATGGCTAAAATGAGACTACACATGTATGTGGTTATCAGGAATGCCATGCTGCTGCAGGGTGGAAAACATTTTCAAACCTATCTTATAACAGTTTCATGAGCTACCTAAAATCTTTTCTGGAATAAGGTGAGTGTGGTGAAATAAAAGTCAGTTCAGGAAATATTCTTGAATTATTGAATTGATAAATGATGAGAAAAGAATATGAGGCTTACAAAGTAATACAATAAAATCAAACTGATCTTGCTTTTCTCCTTTAACACTGCAAGTCATACTGATATTCATTTCAGTAGCTAAAAATCAAGAAGAGGAGGATTCTCTTAGAACTCTAACCTCAGGTCCTGTATTTTCAAGAACCACAGCTTAACATATAACAGTGTAGTCTGTTAAAATGTCCTTTCTTGTTTAGCTTGATCAAAATTAAAAGTACATTTAGTATGAACTGCAAGACTATAGTTTAACACAGAACAAAGATATATTTTTAAAAACACTAGCAATGTCTTGAAAGACTTCATAGTAAAAACATGATGTTAGAAAACCTGTAATAATAATTCAAGAATTATTTCTGTAAACACTACAGAAATAATCACTAAGTGACAAATGTATACAAATCAGTTCTTAAACACAATGTATTATCATTTGAAGCTACAAACTAGTTACAAATTGCAGTTACAGAATGCTGTAACAGTATTTTATGTTCATTCTTAAGTTACAGGTTGTAGAATACAGAAACAGTTGCCACGGAGTTCTATAAATCTAGTCTTCCTGCATATAGCAAGAATTCATTCACCATATCTCCTCTGTTCCAACCCATTCCAAGCTACTATTACATGGCTCATGTCTGTAATCCCAGCACTTTGGGAAGCCGAGGTGGGTGGATCACCTGAGGTCAGGAGTTCGAGACCAGTCTGGCCAACATAATGAAACCCCATCTCTACTAAAAATACAAAAATTGGCTGGGTGTGGTGGCGGGCGCCTGTAGTCCCAGCTACTAGGGAGGCTGAGGCAGGAGAATTGCTTGAACCCGGGAGACGGAGGTGTGGTGAGCCAAGATCACGCCACTGCACTTCAGCCCGGGCTGAAGTGAGTGAGACTCTGTCTCAAAAAAAAAAAGAAAAGAAAAAAAAGAAAATCTTGCCTGGATTGTCCTACCTGACCTCTCTACTACTTCTGCCCTCTCATCCCACAACCCATCCTCAACACTGAAGCCACAGTTGATCCTCTTGAAATGTAGCTCAGATCATGACACTCCTCTGCTCCACAGCTTCCAATGGTTTCCCATCTGTCTCCAAGTAAAAGTCAAAATCCTTACTATGCCTTATAGGGCCAACATGTTCTGGCCCTCCACCTTCCCTGACCTCGTGCTACTCTCCCCCTGGTTCACTATGCTCCAGCTATAATGATCACCACACTCAATCCCAACTAGCCTTTGCACTTGTTGATCCCTAGGCCTGGAATATTCTAGCCCCACGAAGCCACACAACTTTCTCTCTCACTCCTTCAATGAAATGTCACTTTACCCCTTGACATTTTCTAACCCATTTCTTTGCTTCCCTTTACCATTAGTTGTCATTATTTCATGAACTATGTATTCTATTTAAGTACTTTGTTCATTGTTTGCTTCATTCACTACAATATAAGCTAATGAGGGCAGGGATTTTTTTTTCCTATTTGTTCACTAGTACACACCTAGTAATTGGGAATCTATAGCTACTCAATAAACATTAGCTGAATTAATGATGAATGACTGGTAATCTATGTGGGTGTATATACATGCAAAGTTTACAGCATCAATATTCTCAGCTGCAAGTATACAACTAAACTGACACTAAAACTCAAAAATAAGGTATTATGACAAAAGAGATACAACTGTGTATTTTGTGATTTATTAAACATCTATCAGCTTATTCCAGCTCACTCTGCTCTCTTAACAGGCATCGAAGTCCTGACTTCACAACTTGGCCTTTAATATCTTTTGTCTGTTGCTGCTCATTACTTATTGTCTTTTTCACCTTTTAATTTCCCCTACATATCATCTACTATCATTTATGATTAATAATAATAACAAAAAATAACTCTTATTTATAAAAAGCTTATTCTGTGCCTAGCACTGGGCTAAGCATATTACATATATTACCCCTCATTTAATCCTTACACCAATCTAAAGCAGATTCTACAATCCCCACTTAAATTAGTAAACTAATGTTTGGAGAAGTTAATTAACTTACTCATAGTGACAAAATTAATAAGTAATAGAACCAGAATATGTACCTGGCTGTCTGATAAGAGAGCTAGTATACTTTACTACTCCAAGTACTGAATAGTTATATAAGTACTGAAGAGCTCTTCCCATTCATCATACCTATAATTCTGATACCTATTGACACATGTTAATGGTGATCATTACAAAATGTATAGAAATCACTGTATCTGCATTTTTAAAAACTGTTCTGTGAGCGACCAATTTGTGTTCAAAATATTTATTAAAAATGGGGGAGGGAACTAAATATTATCTTTAATAAGCAAACTAAAAACACTACAAAGAGTTTATTAAACCAGCTAGAGATATCCTTTCTATGGAGACACAATTTATATATTCAGTAGCAATAGTCAAAATACTTTAAAATTGGGACAGCATGGGCATCAACCAATCAGAACAAACACTGGCTATAAAATACAGTATGCCCACACCAGTTTGCCCCTACAGACTGAAGACTAGCACCATCAAAGGTGAATCATGCAATATAACTTCTTACTCTCCCATGAATGCCAGGAGGGCCAAAGTAAAAGATCTTTTAAAGAAGAATGAATGGCTAAAGGTAATTCTCCTTTCAGACCCTAGAACTGGATTATGCAGACACGTAAGGGCCTAGTTATAGTAATTAGAGGAAGCAAGCTAATTAAAAGCTTTTGACACCTGAAGCAGGGGTAGCAGGCCAAAGCAGCAAGCTTTCACAACAAGCTCTGAAGCCCAGAAGCCTTGAAGCTGCCGGAGCAAGGCTGGAGCAGGCAGAAGCGGTGAGCCACCAGGAAACTGTTGACAGGCAACACCCAGGGCGTAAGTTAAAGGTTTTCCTGAAAGCAAAAAGGAAAACCCAGCGTTAAGTTAAGCAGTAACTAACACAATTGAGTTGTAGAGAGAAGGTTCGTAACTCACTGAGCTGCTGAATTTCAATTATATCTTGCTCACTGTTTCCCATGATTTATGCATTTCTTATAAGAGTTACATAAATGATGCGTTTATTTTCATGTTTTTTTTTAAGAAAGAGCATAACTGATAGAAATGCTCCTATCAAATATTCATGCAGAGGTGAGCCTACCCACTGGGCCTATATATCTATTGACAAATTCCTGGTAGAAGACAAAACATCTTGGAGGAAATGATTATCTCTCTAGGGTCTCTTCATTTCTAAACCTACTAGTTCATAAACACTACAGGGTATGTAAGCCCAGCAGAGATATTTTCATCAGGAATGAATAAGCAGTAAAGCTCATAATCCAGCCAATACTACCTTTCTATACAAAATCAATTCTGTCTTGAAATAACAGAGTTAATTACCAGCAACCTGTTGCTTTTATTTTACATATTTTAATCAGTACACACATACAGCAAGAACACACCAAAAAAAAATTTAAAAAGACACCTCACACTAAATCTCAAATATTATCAGTCATGCGTCAAGTGCTCTGACTTGATCCTGGAGGTTTAAATGGCACTGACCTGTGACCAGGCAGGACTTGACAGACTGCTGGACTGCTCTCTGCTGCCACCAACTCCCCAGCCCTGTACCCCATTCTTTAATTCTTCCAAGTATCAGGACAGTAGAGCAAATTTGGCTGTCCTTAAGTAACTGCCTTACATATCCTAATGAGCAACTACAAGTAATTTTTCAAATCCCTTTTTTTCTTCAGTCTCTTTAATGAAAAAAAGTCATGTTATATATATATATATATATATATATATATACACACACACACACACATACATATATGGATATATATAAAATAAGGTTATATATAAGGAAATATATATTATGTAAGGAATAATATATATAAGAATATATATATACTTTGTCTTTTTATTATTGCTTTTTATTTCCATAGCTCAATCTCAGCTGAACCCTCAAATCTACCTGCAGTCCTAACATTAATTCTATCACTCTCAACAGAACTTTACTAATCTTCCAAAATGTCCTGTGCCACCCTGCCACCACAAACTATCCCATTCCTGTCCTATCTACTCTTCACCAGCAATTAATGACCTGGTTGCCTACTTTATAGATAACAGACCTTTTACATTCCCTCATGCCAACTCTAAATGTTTTTGCGCTTCATACCTCTTTTCCTTTTGAACCCTACCACTTTTCAGGGCTAACAGTATCATTTGACATCTTGATCCCAAACCCTCTCCTTCCTTCCCTTCCTGTCCTTATTCCATTAAAAATTTCTTTCCTGCTTTCAATCCCCCTTTCTCCTGGATATCAATTGAAAAACTTTTCCAAGACCATTCCCCATCCAAGAACAAAAATATGAACAAAAACGTCACCCCCATTTTACCTTTTCCTCAAGGAACTGATACCACATCCCTTTCCACAACACATTTCTCCAAAAAGCACATTTTGAAAGAGTAGTACATGCTTGCTTTTTCCACTTGCTCATCATTTGTTTGCTTCTCAACCTCTTTCAAACACCTATTTCAATCTAATTTCTATTTCACTCTACTAGACTGAAACTATTCTCTCAAAGTTCAATAACAACTGTCTAATTTCCAAATAAATTGTTCTCAATTCTCATCTGCTTTACCCTTTCTTCATTACTGGACACTGCTGACAATTAATATACTTCTCTAATCTTTCTTTTGCTGTAACCTGTTAAATATTGTTCCCCAAGGATCTCTACTCCACCTTTTTTACATCTCCTCTCCTTCCTGACTTATATTATCTATTCCAAAGCCTCAGTTAATACCAATATGCTGGCAACTCCTAAATCCCTATCTCTTACTATCTATACCCTTATTTGTAGTTGCCTACTGGTCATCTCTCTAGCATGTTCAGCAAATGTCTTAAATTTAAGAAGTCAACAATCTGTATACCAAACTCACTCAAGTTGCAAATCTCATCATCTATAAATTACATACCTTTAACTTATCACTAACATCCAAAGTTGACTTTTTTGAATGTTTCTCCCACCCACCCTCCCTTCCCACTACCCCTGGCCTAGTTCAAGACCTCATTATTTCAACAGAAAAATAATAGGCTTTTTTTTTTTTTTACCACATTACTATATGCTATACATTATGCTAACTGCTGAGAACACAAAGCTGAATAAAAAGTTTGTTGGGCTCAGAAAACAATACTCCAAAATGAAGGACTCAGCTGCATTAGACACAGAAGTTTTTCTTTGACCTTCTCCTGCTCTGTCTCTCAGTCCCATTCTCCCCCAAGGTAAGCCATAGAAACTAGAATCCCTCTTCTCTAGGTCACAGAAACTAGAACTCCCTTTCCTCAAAGCCAGCCATAAAACCTAAAAATATTACTCTAGTTTTCCCTCAGCCTTTTGGTATAAAAACTGGCTACAAAGAAATTATTGCCAGCCATGGTGGCTCATGCTTATAATCTCAGCACTTTGGGAGGCTGCAGAGGGAAGATTACTTGAGCCCAGGAGTTTGAGACCAGCCAGAGCAACATAGGAAGACCCTATCTCTACCAAAAAAAAAAAAAAAAAAAAAAAAAAATTAATTAGTCAGGGATAGTGGTGCATGCCTGTGATCCCAGCTACTTGGGAGGCTGAGATGGGAGCTTGGTCAAGACTGCAGTGAGCTGTGATTGCACCACTGCACTCCAGCCTGGGTGACAGAATGAGACCTTGTCTTTAAAAAAATAGCTGGGCACGGTGGCTCATGCCTGTAATCCCAGCACTTTGGGAGGCCAAGGAAGGCGGATCACTTAAAGTTAGGAGTTTGAGACCAGCCTGGCCAACTTGATGAAACCCCATCTCTACTGAAAATACAAAAAAATTAGGCAGGCACCTGTAGTCCCAGCTACTCGTGTGGCTGAGGCATGAGGAAGGCTTGAACCCGGGAGGCTGAGGTTGCAGTGAGCCAAGACCACGCCACTGCACTCCAGCCTGGGGGACACAGCGAGACTCTGTCTCAAACAAAGAAACAACAACAACAAAAAAACTATCAGATTTTACCTGTTTCATTGTAGGTCATCACACCCCCGTTCCAGAGAGGGTCCTGCCCCATACCTGGAAGGAAGGAATGCTGCACAGAGAGGCCAAGAAGACTTTAGACACACAGGCCTTGCTGGGTTTCCCCACTCAGTCTGTTAGCATTAGATCATACCCTTTTTCTTCTCCAATCACATTTCTACACAGCTGTCTATACTTTATTGAACCTAAGTATAAGAATGGGCAATTTCCCCTGTATTTTGGGGTCATCATACAGGTTCCCGCGGATACATGTTAAATAAATTTGTATGCCTTTTCTCCTATTAATCTGCCTTGTGCATGTTCATTTTTCAGCAAACTTTCAGAGAGCCAAAGGTTGGACCAATAACAAGGGCTGGACCCTTGGCCCCCACAAGTTCCTGCCCCCCAAATTCTCACAGTCCATTGTGCAAAACACACCTAAACAGTAGTACACAGACAGTACCATAACAGTACTACAGGGAAAGGAGAGATAAAAATCAGGGTCCTATAAAAAGTAAAGAAGAGAGATCCTTGACCCCAAAGTGGGAGTAGAGGAGGAAAGTGTATAGTATGTGAATACGTATGTTAAAAGTTTTTTTAAATGAAGTGGCTGACACCTGAGTCTTACACAGTGAACTCCAGAAAAAAGGGGACTGAAATGGATGTGACTGAGGATGGGATAGTTTGGGAAGTAGGGACAGCATAAGCAAGGCACACAGGCAGGAAATATTTGTGGGGGAGAAGATACACAGGACAATAAGCAGCTTCCTTTCCTAGGAACATAAAGAGCACAACAGGGAGTAGCAAGAAATGGTGCTGAAGGGTCCAAAGAGCAGAGAAGCTGTATGTCATGTTAATAAACTAGAACCTTAAAAATACAGATAACAGGGGAACCATTCTGCGCAGATAGTTTTAGCTAGATCACTCTAGCAGCTCTGTGGAGAATGGTTTTAAGGCAGGGAAAGACATTGGAAAGTTATAGCAGTAATTGAGGTGAGAGGATCTAACTAAGAAAAAGAGGAAGAAACTGAAGAAATACTGAGTCAGTGACTGGTGAGATATGGAGACTAGAGAGTGAGAAATCTAGCACCTCCCTTTGTCCCCTTCTCTAACCAATCCTTGCTCAGCACTATCACTATTACCTTTCTAGAAGAGTTCTAACTATACCACTACAGATGATGTCCAACTTACAATAGTTCAACTGATGATTTTTCAATTTTTCAACTTTACAGATGGTGCAAAAACAACATGAATTCAATAGAAAGCCATATGAGACTCTTTCAGGATGCTGGTCAGTTGCAGCGAGCCACAGCTCTCACGCAGTCATGAGGGCAAACAACCGACACTCTACACTGTACAGTATTGCTAGATGATTGTGCCCCACTGTAGGCTAATAACATAAGTGTTCTGAGCACGTTTAAGGTAGGCTAGGCTACGGTAGGTAGGCTATGATGGTTAGGTATATTAAATGCATCTTCAAGACTTATTTTTAATTTACAGTGGGTTCACTGGGACATAACACTTTCAAAAGACAGGTGGCATCTGTACTCTGCTTTTTTGTATTTTGTTTTTATTTATTTTATGAAGTTTTTGTATTCTGCTTATTAATAGTTTATAGGACTCCAATTCCTGCAGAATAAAGGTCCTTAGCATAGCATACCAAGCCATTCACTGCTTTGCCCAAGTGATGTTTCTTCCTTTTTTTTTTTTTTTGAGATGGAGTTTCGCTCTTGTTGCCCAGGCTGGAGTGCAATGGTGCAGTCTCAGCTCACTGCAACCTCTGCCTCTCAGGTTCAAGCAATTCTCCTGCCTCAGCCTCCCAAGTAGCTGGGATTACAGGTGCGTGCCACCACCCCGGCTAATTTTGTATGTTTAGTAGAGATGGGGTTTCATCATGTTGGCTAGGCTGGTCTCGAACTCCTGACCTCAGGTGATGCGCCCACTTCGGCCTCCCAAAGTGCTGGGATTAGAGGTGTAGCCACCACACCCAGCTGTGACCTTTCAAGCCTCATCTTTCACCACCACCAACAAAAACCTTATATTCCAGTTAGAAGACTGCTCACTGCTCTCTGAATAAATAGAAATGTACTTAAAAGAAAAAAAATAACTCTTTTAATCCTAATATGTTATAGAAAATTTATAAAATTAAAGTGTAAAGAAAAATAGCCACAGGTAACATTATTGTGGATTAGAAAACTAATTTGAAATCATACAACCTTTTCTATGTCTTTTCAACTGGCAAGTCCTCTTCTAGAAATTTATTCTTAGAAAATCATTTGAAGTGTAGTGAAAGCATTAGGTACAAAAACGTTTTATAAGGCATTTATAATATGGAAAAAATAGAGCACATTCTTTCACTCATGCTACAAATACATATTGAGCACCTACTACGCACTAGACACTGTTGTAGGTACTGGGAAACTGCAATGAGCTAACAGAGGGAAAAAAAATCTTTATATTCATGGAGCACACATTCTAGCTTAACAATAAGGAAATGGTTAAGTAAATTATCAAATATCCACATAATGGACTTCTTTGGGGCCATAAGAAATCAGATTTACAAAGAAATATTTCAATACATGGGAAAAAGACTAAATATTTGGTAAGAAAAGTTCATTATATTAATGTTTATAAAACTACATCAATTTTGTTACCTGTGAATAGAAATAAAATTGGAAAAATATCCCTCAAATTACAGAAGTGGGTATCAATCCTGTGTACCTCTCCCCCTTGCTGATTAAACTGCAACCCTACTCAAGGGCATGTAAATTACTGGATTACAGTAGATGATTAATAAGTATTATTTTCATTAGTCAAAAGAGGGAAGCATGAAAGAAAAAAAGAACTCCATTTTCCTGTTTTTAGCCCTTGATTTAAAAAATTACATTTAAAAGCACTGTTCTAAGTAGGGAATAAAACAAATAAGAGAAATTCACTCCCTGGCCTCACAGAGATTGCACTTTATTGGTGAACACAAACATTAAACACATAAATAAGGAATTTAATAGTTGTTAAGTATAAATACCAGGAAGAAGTTGTATAGGTGTTCTCATCTCCCCATTAGAACAATAAAAGTATTTTATATCTTTATTCCCATTTTCATAAACTCATTCATCTCCTGACTTTATTCTTGTATTCAGTTCCTTCACTGATTTCTTTCTGCCGCAATTCTTTCACTGATTTCCAAATATGGGATAATTTTAAAGAAGCAATTGGTCATGACAAATACATTTAGTGAAGCAGGGAATACCTCTGATTTCCTTGAAAACACAATGACTAGTACTAGTGGCCTTAAATATAATGCATTAGTCATTTCAAAGTATCTGAAGGAACTGTATCAAAGGAGATGAGTGCTTGGGCAAAGCATGCTGCTCTACTTCCCTTTTCTGTAAAATTTATCCTGCTACCTTTTTCTTCCTAGAGTTCAAGTTACGAGTATGTGGAAACACCCTGCCTCACAAGCAAGAGAGGCTCCACCCTCTCTCTTGATTCAAGAGGCAAATGTTGAAAAACAAAAATGAGTAATTCCCTTTCACTTCACTTCTGTCCTTGTAATAAACTCAAATGGATTAGGACTCAAGATCTGTCCTCTTGCAATTGGCCTGGATGCCCATATTTCAATACTGTTCTCTGTTCCACTAGCCAATTGGTTTGTAAGGCTGGCTGGAAACCTTAAGTCAGCTAGCTGGATACATATACTTGGAGTCTACTCCGAGATTCCAAGTCAGAACCCAACTTTGCATTTAGGAGAAAATAATTGGAAATCTCCAGTTTGGCTCCAGGTTTAAGTCTTGATCTCTTTTAACAGAAAATCCGGTAATTTTGAACCTGATCTAGCTCTAGTATACTAGTTAAAACCCAGAAGCAAAGAGAAGAGGTTTGAACCTCACCTCCTTACAGCTCAAACAGGATGCAATTATATCATAGTCCATAGATGGAAAGTATCAAAACTTCCAGGATCTATGGTACAAGGAATGAAGACTTTCATCAATGACATGTAGAGGCAGAAACAGGAAAGATTTGAAGTTCTCAAAGGACAGAAACACTGAAGCAGTATAAAGAACCTCAGCTGCGAAGACCAGCCAAGAAATATTCAGTTACTGAAGAATAAGAGCCAGGAACATTGACTTTTGTTGATGTTTTCTTTTTAAGTTAGTATTTAAATAGTCTAAATAGAGTCTGTTTTGAGATGGCAAACTAGACTCATTTACTTCCCTCCCACCTTCAAGCTCATGAGATGACAGACAATATAAGTTGTCAAAAATAAACCATAATAAACTGGAAAGTAGTAAGAGTAACATCAGCTGATTAGATATTTTAAAGAATTCCTGAAATCTAAGGATGAACAGAATAGGGTTAGATGGAGAGAAAAGAAAATGGAGAAACTACACTGCAGAATAAAATTAATGCACAGGTAAGAGCAATTACATAGAGAGTTAAAGCTGAAAATAAAAACTCAAGGAGTCAAGAGAGCTAATAGGGAAACTCAATGTACAGACTCCCAATTTTATTATTTTTGGTAGAAGACACAATTGCATAACTAAAAAAGTATAAAATAAACAAAAAGGAAACTACTAGAAACAAGGTAATTTGTTAAGGTAGCTGGTAACAAAGGTAATTAATATTAATGAAGTAGGATATATAAACAAATGCCTTTCATATTTTTCAAGAAAAAGAAAGAAAAAAACATAGTAGAAAATATCCCGTCAACAGCTACTAAAAAAATCTAGTAAGGAACGTAAGAAACAAGTAAAAAGTTTATAAAACTGGCCATCTCTCTTCTCTGAACTTATAAATCACATTGTAATCCAAAGAGGACTGGACTTCAATTCTCCTTTCATCTGTAAATTTCAAATTATCCCAATGAAAATAACACTTTTTTAAGCAGACAAGTTGAGACTAACATTCATATGAAAAAACAAAAACTTCAACTTCTGTCAGTATGGAAGATCAGATACATTGAATTACTTTCCTATATATCATAAATGTGAGAAACTGTTAAAATAACCATTTAAATACATTTCTGAGTGAGATGAAAGAAACTGGCATGGCATCAAAATTAAGTGCATCTAAGAATACTAATGGATATCCAGGCATCATAGCTGGCCTTCACTCTGATGCTTTCTGCCAAACTTTGGAGACTTTGAATTTTCCCTCTGGTGACCATAAAACTGGTAAAGACAGGAAATAAAGGTTAGACAAGATAGAAGGCGGAAATCTAACACGGGACCATATACAAAAACTGTGTCCTAAAACTAAGTGGATTTACAATAGTTACAGGATACAAGGTCCATATTAAAAAAAAATCAACTGCATGTCTATACACTAGTAAATGATAAATGTTCCATGTGTACTGAACAAGAAACAAGTAGTCATCAGTGATTCAGTATAATGTTCTATGTCAATTATGTTGAGGTTGTTCATATCCTTTATCCATTACTGATTCTTGTCTACTTGTTCTATTGGCTAACAGGAACAGAAAACCAAACACTGCATGTTCTCACTTATAAGTGGGAGCTGAAAAATGAGAACACATGGACTCAGGGAGGGGAACAACACACAGTGAGGCCTATGGGGTGGGGAGGTGGGGGCAGGCCGGGAGAGGGAGACCAGCAGGATAAACAGCTAATGCATGTGGAGCTTAATCACCTAGGTGATGGGTTGACAGGAGCAGCAAACCATCATAGCACGTTTACCTATGTAACAAACCTACAGATATTTCATATAAATGGAATCATACAATATGTGGCTTTTTGTTCTGACTTCTTTCACTCACCATGTTTTCAAGGCTCATTCATATTGTAGCATGTATCAGTACTTCTTCATTCCTGTGTGGCTAGATAATATTCCATCATACAGATATACCACATTTTGTTTATGCATTCATCAGTTGATGGACATTTGAAGTGTTTCCACTTCCTAGCTATTATGATTAAGGGTGCTATGAACATTCATATACAAGTTTTTGTGTGTACCTACATTTTCAATTCTCTTGCGTTTGTACACATGTCGGAGTAGAATTGCTGGATCATATGGTAATTCTATGTTTAACATTTTGAGGAACTCTCTAATTTCTTTACAAAGTGGTTACACTATTTTACATTCTACCAGCAATGCATAAGCTTTCCAATTTCCCTATATCTTCATCAATACTTGTTACTGTCTTGCCTATTACAGCCATCTCAGTGGGTGAGAAGGGGTATCTCACTGTAGTTTTGACTTGCATTTCTCTAATGACCAGTGATGTTGAGCATCTTTTCATGTACATATTGTCCATATGTATAACTTCTTTGGAGAAACAGCTATCCAAATCACTCATCAATTTTTAAATTAGGTTGTGCTTTTATTGCTGAGTTGCAGAGTTCTTTTAACACAGACACTGGGCCCTCATCAGATACATGATTTGCAAATATTTTCTCCCACCCTGTGAGTTGTCTTTTTCCTTCCCTGATGGTGTTTTTTGGAGGCACAAAAGTTTTAAACTCTGATGAAATCTTATTTTTTGTTTTTTCTTTGATGCCTGAGATTTCGTGTCATATTTAAGAACCATTGCCTAAGCCAAGGTCACAAAAATTTACACCTATGTTTCCTTCTAAGAGTTTCATAGTTTTATCTGTTACATTTATGTCTATGATCTATATTGAGTTAATTTTTGAATATGGTATGAAGTAGAGTCCAACTTCATTCTTTCACATGTGGATATCCAGTTGCCCCACACTGTTGGAAAAAAAACTGTTTTACCTCCTTGGTTTCAGCACCCTTGTCAAAAACCAATAGTCCATAAATGTAAAAATTTATTTATGGACTTTCAATTCTTTTCTCTTGATTTATATATGAGCCTTATGCCAGTACCACACAACCTTGATTACCATTGCTTTGTAGTAAGTTTTGAAATCAGGAAGTGTGAGTCCTCCAACTTTGCTCTTTTTCAAAATTGTTTTGGCTATTCTGGAACTCTCAAATTTCTACATAAATTTTAAAATCAGCTTGTCCATTTCTACCAGAAAGGTACCTTGAATTTTTATAGGGATTGCACTGTATCTGTAGATCAATTTGGGTAATACTGCCATCTTAAAAATATTGTCTTCAAATCCATGAATATGCAATGTCTTTTCGTTTGCCTAGGTCTTCTTTTAGCAATATCTTCTGGTTTTTGCCTTCATTTAAAGATACTGCTGCCGGGCATAAAGTCTTAGATTGATGGCTTTTCTTCTTTCAGTAGTTTTAAAATGCCATTTTTCCATTATCTTCAACTTCTATCATTTCTGTTAGAAGTGAACTGTCTTACTGCTTTCTGGAAATTACATGTCCTTTTTCTGCTAGGTATTAACAAATTTTTTATCTTTGGTTTTCAGAAGTTTTACTGATTATGTGTCTGGGTGTAATTTTCATATTTATCCTGTCATGGAGTCTTAAGAACTGATTTGATTGCAACTGAGTTTCTGTCTTACAATGGCAGACTCGTTTCCATTTGTCTTTACACCTAAAGGTGATAGGCCTTCAAGGATCGAAACTGAATACCTAGGATACTTAACAGAGCCCTACTCTTTACTGAAACCTGAACTCCAAGTTATGTTTTTCCTGCCTATGAGATTTCTAGCTGTTCTGCTACTGCCTAGGTAATGGCAACTGCCTGAAAGAGAAAGGTAGGGCTGAATGTTGGGAGTTTACCTCTCTGATTTCATAGTTCTTATACCTTCAAACAGATAAATTTATACTTTAGTCAAGGTTTTCTAGTTGTTTTCAGCAGAACAGCTGGTGTAATATAAGCAAAAGTGTCATAATCAGAATCAGAAGCTCCACATAAATTATTTAATAGTTCAAATTTCTCAAAATATTCCACTGGATTTTGATTGACATTTCATAGAATTTATAGATTAGGGAGAACTGATATCGTTACAAATATGTTGTACTATCTTTGAATAGGGTGTATCTGGTTTTCAAGTCTTTTGAATAATACTGTAACAGAGTTTAAAATTTATTCCATGTAGATCTTATGCATTGTTAGGTTAATTCCCAGATCCTAGAGACATGATTGTTTTTGCTATTGTGAATGACATCTTGTATCATCATCTCTTCTAGTTAATTATTTTGAATACAGAGGAATTCTACTGATTTTTGTAAGATGATCCCTTAACTGAAAATACTCAGTTATCTTATTAACAAAATTTTTATCTATTGCATCTATACATTTTTATGTGTAGGTGGTCTATTAATACTTAAAGATTTATCTCTTCCTGTCCAATCCTGCTAACTGATTTCTATTTCTTTTTTCTTTCTTTCTTTTTTTTTTTTTTTTTTTGAGACAGAGTCTTGCTCTGTTACCAGGCTGGAGTGCAGTGGCGTGGTCTCGGCTCAGTGCAATCTCCGACACCCGGGTTCAAGCGATTCCCCTGCCTCAGCCTCCTGAGTAGCTGGGACTACAGGCACGCACCACCAAGCCTAGCTAATAATTTTTTTTATTATGCTTTAAGTTCTATGGTACATGTGCACAACGTGCAGGTTTGTTACATATGTATACATGTGCCATGTTGATGTGCTGCACCCGTTAACTCGTCATTTACATTAGGTATATCTCCTAATGCTATCCCTCCTCCCTCCCCCCACCCCACGACAGGCCCCAGTGCGTGATGTTCCCCACCCTGTGTCCAAGCGTTCTCGTTGTTTAATTCCCACCTATGAGTGAGAATATGCGGTGTTGTTTTCTGTCCTTGCAATAATTTGCTCAGAATAATGGTTTCCAGCTTCATCCACGTCCCTACAAAGGACATGAACTCATCCTTTTTATGGCTGCATAGTATTCCATGGTGTATACGTGCCACATTTTCTTAATCCAATCTATCATTCATGGACATTTGGGTTGGCTCCAAGTCTTTGCTATTGTGAATAGTGCCACAATAAACATATGTGTGCATGTGTCTTTATAGCAGCATGATTTATAATCCTTTGAGTATATGCCCAGTAATGGGATGGCTGGGTCAAATGGTATTTCTAGTTCTAGATACCTGAGGAATTGCCACACTGTCTTCCACAATGATTGAACTAGTTTACAGTCCCACCAACAGTGTAAAAGCGTTCCTATTTCTCCACATCCTCTCCAGCACCTGTTGTTTCCTGATTTTTTTAATGATTGCCATTCTAACTGGTGTGAGATGGTATCCCATTGTGGTTTTGATTTGCATTTCTCTGATGGCCAGTGATGATGAGCATTTTTTCATGTGTCTGTTGGCTGCATAAATGTCTTCTTTTGAGAAGTGTCTGTTCATATCCTTTGCCCACTTTTTGATGGGGTTGTTTGATTTTTTCTTGTAAATTTGTTTGAGTTCTTTGTAGATTCTGGATATTAGCCCTTTGTCAGATGAGTAGATTGCAAAAATTTTCTCCCATTCTGTAGGCTGCCTTTCACTCTGATGATAGTTTCTTTTGCCATACAGAAGCTCTTTAGTTTAATTAGATCCCATTTGTCAATTTTGGCTTTTGTTGCCATTGCTTTTCGTGTTTTAGTCATGAAGTCCTTGCCCATGCCATGGCCTCAATGGTATTGCCTAGGTTTTCTTCTAGGGTTTTTATGGTTTTAGGTCTAAAATTTAAGTCTTTAATCCATCTTGAATTAATTTTTGTATAAGATGTAAGGAAGGGATCCAGTTTCAGCTTTTTACATATGGCTAGCCGGTTTTCCCAGCACCATTTATTAAATAGGGAATCCTTTCCCCATTTCTTGTTTTTGTCCGGTTTGTCAAAGATCAGATTGTAGATGTGTGGTATTATTTCTAGGGGCTCTATTCTGTTCCATTAGTCTGTATCTCTGTTTTGGTACCAGTACCATGCTGTTTTGGTTACTGTAGCCTTGTGTATAGTTTGAAGTCAGGCAGCGTGATGCCTGCAGCTTTGTCCGTCCAGCTTTGTTCCGTTGCTGGCAAGGAGCTGCGTTCCTTTGGAGGAGAAGAGGTGCTCTGATTTTTAGAATTTTCAGCTCTTCTGCTCTGGTTTCTCCCCATCTTTGTGGTTTTATCTACCTTTGGTCTTTGATGATGGTGATGTACAGATGGGGTTTTGGTGTGGATGTCCTTTCTGTTTGTTAGTCTTCCTTCTAACAGTCAGGACCCTCAGCCGCAGGTCTGTTGGAGTTTGCTGGAGGTCCACTCCAGACCATTTGCCTAGGTATCACCAGCAGAGGCTGCAGAACAGCAAATATTGCAGAACGGCTAATATTGCTGTCTGATCCTTCTTCTGGAAGCTTCGTCTCAGAGGGAAACCCGGCTGTATGAGGTGTCAGTCGGCCCCTACTGGGAGGTGTCTCCCAGTTAGGCTACTCGTGTGTCAGGGACCCACTTGAGGAGGCAGTCTGTCCATTCTCAGATCTCAAACTCCTTGCTGGGAGAAGCACTACTCCCTTCAAAGCTACTCAAGCCTCAGCAATGGCGGACACGCCTCCCCGAGCCTCTCTGCCACCTTGCAGTTCGATCTCAGACTGCTGTGCTAGCAGTGAGCGAGGCTCCATGGGCGTGGGACCCTCCGAGCCAGGTGCGGGATATGATGTCCTGGTGTGCCATGTGCTCAGTTGGAAATGCAGAAATCACCTGTCTTCTGCGTCACTCACGCTGGGAGCTGCAGACTGGAGCTGTTCCTATTCGGCCATCTTAGAACCGCTATTTTTTTATTTTTATTTTTATTTTAGTAGAGATGTTACAGAATTTCACCACGTTGGCCAGGATGGTCTCAATCTCCTGACCTTGTGATCCGCCCACCTTGGCCTCCCAAAGTGCTAGGATTACAGGCATGAGCCACCACGCCCGGCCTCTATTTCTTTTCTTAATGGACTATCTAGGACCTCCAGTAACATATAAAGCTGTAATAGTGTTAACCATCTTTGTCCTGTTCCTGATCTTAGACAGAATGCATCTAAAGTTTCTCCATAAAAGGTTTGCTTTAGGTTATTGGCATAAATCCTTTATCAAGTTAAGGATATTCCCCTTTATTCCTATTTTCTGAGTTCTTGTAACATATACCTATCAAAGTTATGTTTTTCCTTTATTGAAATAATCATGTGATTTTCCTCCCAAGACCCCAACAATTTTTAAATATCCTATTAACCCTTTCAAAGAGCCATTTTGGGCCAGGCACGGTGGCTCACGCCTGTAATCACAGAATTTTGGAGGCTGAGGTGGGCAGATCACCTGAGGTCAGGAGTTTGAGATCAGCCTGGTCAACATGGTGAAACCCCATCTCTACTAAAAATACAAAAATTAGCCAGGCGTGGTGGCGGACCCCTGTAATCCCAGCTACTCAGGAGGCTGAGGCAGGAGAATCACTTGAACCTAGGAGGTGGAAGTTGCAGTTAGCCGAGATCACACTGCTGCACTCCTGCCTGGGTGACAGGACGAGACTCTGTCTCAATTTTAAATAAATAAATACATAAATAAGCTAGAAAAGAATGTGTAGTCTCTGCAGCATGTAGAATTCTCTATTTATCTTTTAGGTTCAGCAAGATAACATGTCCTTAAAATATTTTTTTATGTTGTTCAAGTGGCAACAGTGGTGGAGGTGGGTTCCAGGAACCAGGTATTAGGACTGGACATGGCATCTTCAGGCTCAGGGTATCTGCGGTTTCAGTAAATCCAGGATCCAGAGCCCAAAGAGTGGGTCTGGCCACCTTTTCTGCCTTACGGTGCTGACTAATACCCCAATTTCACACCCTGCAGATAAACTGTTGAGTCTCCATAATGCCAACATGAGCTATGCAAATTAACTAGTGGAAACTTTCCTGGATAGATCCAAGCTGCCTCAGAGAGTACAGTTTGTTAAGAAAATGGGTCTGCCCAAAAAATGCTGATCCAGGAACAGTGGCCAAAATGTCTAACAATTAAAAAGACATCATCAACAGAGTTCATGTAGCTCTTCCTGAACATCTGGGGCCATGAAAACCATTTCTGACCAGGTGTACATTTAGACCAATAAGAACACCAATGTGGAGATGTCTGCTGAAAACTGCTCATCTATTGTGCAGTGTGGAGATGGCTGTATGTAGGCTTTCCTTCTCAAACCTAGAATTTCTGAACCAAGAAAAGCCTGTTCTCTCTCAGGTAGCCTCTATGACTCCCACGTAGCCTGAAGACCCTATTCTATCCACCACGTGAGCACCATTTCAATATGGCTCTCAGCTCCCATGTGACGGAGGCAGACAGACATTCCCAAGTTCAAAATTTGTAAGCCTCACTACACGCCTTCCTACAAAGATGACAAGCACTACAGCAATGGTTATCACAGCAGGCTTGCCCAACCCGTGGCCCACAGGCCGCATGTGGCCCAGAACGGCTTTGAATATGACCCAACACAAATACGTAAACTTTCTTAAAACAGTATGAGATTTTGTGATTTTTTTTTTTTTTTAGCTCATTAGCTATCGTTAGTGTTAGTGTATTTTATCTGTGGCCCAAGACAATTCTTTTTCCAATGTGGCCCAAGGAAGCCAAAAGATTGGACACCTCTGTTTTACAGTAAACCTTCAAGTGTAGAGATCATGGCTGATATTTACAAGAATGGTCCAGCAGATGGAGCCTTCTCTGTGTATGCTGATTTCCAGCAATCAAAGTCTGAAGGGTCCAACATGACACCAAAGAAATGAGGAGAACCTACACCATCTGCAGCCTGGTCTGGGAGAATGAAGACTGCCACCCCCTACTGGCTGACTGTCAATTCCTAGAAAACTGACTAGGGTGACAATGCCTTCTTCGAATTCTCTCAGAAAAAGGCCACTATGGAATCAAATCAGAAATCCTGGTTAGAAATCTCACACACTGATCAGTACTAGAAAAAGTTTTAGTATGTAGTCTGTCCAGCCAGTCCTGCAAAAGTTTTTTCTTAAATATGGCGAGTTGAGTATTTTTTTAAATATGGCAAGTTGAATATAGCAAGTGGGGATGGGTGAGAAGTCCTTTTATTCTTTTAGTTCAGATATAATTCAAGAGTTTAGACAATGGCTAATGTGCTTCAGGGCCTGAAGAACTGGACTAAACCAAACTTTTGTGTATACTATTTGAATTATGTTTTGGGGGTTAGATAGAGTTCCCTAACAAAGGAAATAACTCCAAACCTGGCTACCTCTCAGCCTCCTTGAGGGCTGATTTTCACCGCTGACAAGGCAAAGTGAACCCTTTTAATTTCCTAATAAGGACTTTCACACAGACTAGCATTCTACGCAATGCTTGCTGCTCCAACTCCTACTCCAACCAACCTCCCAACCAGAGCATCTCCAGAGAGTAAAACTCTGTGAGAACCTAAATGGTTTGATTTCAGGTTTTCCAAAAGAATTGCTAGTGGAATTCCTAACAAGGAGGATTTAAATTCCCATATATAATCAGTATCTCTTGGCAAGTACTTTCTTTCTAGATTTGGAATAAGTTAACAGGAGAGATGGTAAGTAGCTTTTTAAATGAAGAAAGCCACTTTCTCCTGGGGTCCCTGAATCAGCTGAGTCTTCCTGTGTTGTATATATATCCTCTCTGTTCTTTTCTGTAGCATAATTCTTTTAATAGAAGCTTTATTTTCTATGTACCTCAGGTGATTCTGTGAATGAACATTTCTAACACTTGTTAGAGCTGCAACTCTGCTAGTTGCAGACTATATATCCCAACAGACTAGCCTAAAACAAAACTGGGTGGTCCCTACTGGATATAGATTTGACTGAATGACAGACTGACCTCTAATCCCTTGGGGAAACTAATTTGGGAGAAACCAGCTTTTGCTGTTTTTAAAAATCACTACTTTACCAATCATCTTAACGTGGAATTGGAATAACTGTGCCATTAAAAGTTTCTCCCTTCAAAAAAAACAAATACCTCTATGTCTTGATTTTTTATCTGCTTATCAATTTATGATATAGGAATATTAAAAGTGCTAATCTTAAACTATTCAAAGTTTTTGTATTTCCTCATACAAGTTCCATCTATCAAGTGTTAGTGTATATATTTTAAAAATAATTTGTAAGACATATGTTCCATAATTATTAAACCTTTTTAAATTATCTTATACCATTTATAATTGATCATAACATACCTACATACAACTACAAAACAAATTATGTTTATACAATGATAAAGTGAACAATATATAACTAAAACTCAGATCAAGAAATAGAACATGCAATAACACAGAACCCTGCCCCTACAGCCCTACCCGATCACAACCCCCACCTTTCCAATGGAGTTAACCATGATCCCGACTTTTGTGACAGAGGCATATCATATAAGGCCGGGCACAGTGGCTCATGCCTGTAATCCCAGCACTTTGGGAGACCGAGGTGTGAGACGAGCCTGGGCAACATGGCAAAACTCCACCTCTACAAAAAATACAAAAGTTAGCCAGTTGTGGTGACACATGCCTGTGGTACCAGCTACTCAGGAAGCTGAGGTATGAGGATCAACTGAGCTCAAGAGGTCGAGGCTACAGTGAGCTGTAATTGTGCCACTGCACTCCAGCCTCGATGACAGAATGAGACCCGGTCTCCACAAAAAAAAAAAAAAAAAAAAAGCGTCTCATATGTATTCTTTCCTATGTTGCTTCATGTCAGGTTTTAGAATCAAGGTCATTCTAGTCTCATAAAATGACTTGGGCAATGGTCCTTCTTCTTCTATTATCTGGGGAAGTTTAAGTTTAGAATTACTTCTTCCTTAAATGATTCATGGAACTTGCATGAATTCAGCTCAATCTGGAAAAGTTATTACATGGTATCTTAAAATGAGTAATACATTTACATGCTTTAAAAAATCAGAACAAAAATAAAAAGGCTCCCACTTATAAGTGTCACTCCCACTCCTGTCTACCCCATTCCCTCGACTACCTATTATTGTTACTGTATAAAAATACAAGTGTAAACAATATTTCTACCTACCTCTGTTTAACAAAAAAAAGACACACTTAAATACTATTCTGCATCTTATTTTATTCACTTTACAATACATTCTGGAGATCGCGCTACATAGGTACAGTGAACTTTCTTGACTGCAGCTACACGGTATTCTATTCTATCACTATACCAATAGTTTATTCAACCGGTTGCCTAATGTCAGATATTTGGGTTGTGTTTCTCTTATTTTTTACACTTGAATTTTGATCCATCTGTGGTTTGTCCTGGAATATGTAAGAGTTTTAACTTGTTCCACAAATGGACTTTTCCAAATGGTTATCCAGTTGTCTCAGGACCATTTATTAAAAGTTTTATTGGCCAGGCGCGGGGGCTCATGCCTGTAATCCCAGCACTTTGGGAGGCCGAGGCGGGCGGATCACCTGAGGTCGGAGTTAGAGACCAGCCTGACCAACATGGAGAAACCCTGTCTCTACTAAGAATACAAAATTAGCCAGGCGTGGTGGTGCATGCCTGTAATCCCAACTACTCGGGAGGCTAAGACAGGAGAATTGCTTGAACCCAGGGGTGGAGGTTGCAGTGGGCTGAGATCGTGCCATTGCACTCTAGCCTGGGAAAGAAGAGCAAAACTCTGTCTCAAAAAAAAAAAAAAAAAAAAAGTTTTATTTCTAGCGGAATACAGTGGCTCATGTCTGTAATCCCAACACTTTGGGAGGCATAGGCAGGAGGATCACTTGAGGCCAGGAGTTCAAGACCAGCCTGGGCAACAAAGTGAGACCCCCATCTCTATTTTTTTTTTTAATTTTTAATTAGCCGGACATGGTGGGGCACACCTGTAGTCCCAGCTACTTATGAGGCTGAGTGGGAAGATAGCTTGAGCCCAGGAGTTTGAGGCTACAGTGAGCTATGATGGCACCACTACACTGGCGAGACCCTGTCTCATTAAAAAAACAAACAAACAAACAAACACGACATCTAAACCAGGTTTCAGCAAACCATGGCCTGAAGGTCAAATCTGGTCCATTACCTGTTTTTAAAAATAAAATTTTATTTGAATACAACCACATCCATCATTCATTTGCAAACTGTCTATGGCTAGTTTTCACACCACAATGACAGAGAAGAGTAGTTGCCACAGAGAACATATGAACTGTGAAATCTAAAATATTTACTGTCACTTTACAGAAAAAGTTTGTTGACCCACAGTCTAAACAGTCCACTTAAAATACAGATTATCAGAATATGTAAAAAATATAAAACCTAACTATATGAAAAAGGTTAATATCATAAGAAAGCTGGCTATACTGAGGCAAATCAGACTATGACAACGAGTACTACCTTGAAGGGAAACATTGCATGATTAAAGGCTCAGTGTATAAGAAAGATGAACAATTGGAACATGTATGCACCAATTAAGTTTCAAAATGCATAAAATAAAAAGAGAGGAAACTACAGGGAAATACAGACATACCCACAATTATATTTGAAAACTTTAAAACCCTCTTCTCAGCACTGACAGAACTAAACAAAAATTAGGAAATTATGGAAGAGCTTAATGACTGCATCAACCGTCTAGAGCTAACTGATGTATAAAACACAACAAACAATAAATGTAGAAAAAACATTCTTTTCAAGTGTACATGGAATGTTCAATGCACACAGTGTATCTAGACAATGTAATATTATTCAGCACTAAAAAGAAAAGAGCTATCAAGCCATTTAAAGATGTAGAGGAACCATAAATTCATATTACTGAGAAAAGCCAATCTGAACAGGCTACATACTGTATCATTCTAACTATTCTGGAAAAGGCAAAAGTATGGAGATTATAAAAAAAGACCAGTGGTGGCCAGGGGTCAGTGGTGAGGGAGAAATGAATAAACAGACAGAGCACAGAAGATTTCTAGGGCAGTGGAAACTACTCTGTTTGATACTACAATGGCAGATACATAACATACATTTGTCAAAACCCACTGAACGTACAACATCAGGAGTGAACCCTAAGGTAAACTACAGACTTTGGGTAATAATAATATGTCAATGTAGTTTCCTGGATTGTAACAAATGTACCATTCTGGTTCAGTGTTTTGGGAGATGAAGATTGGGTAAGTGTGGGAACAGGAGGTATACGGGAACTCTGTATTTTCTGCTCAATTTTGCTGTGAACTTAAAACTGCTCTAAAATATAAAGTCTATTAAAAAATTAATCAAAGTAATCCACTATGTCAACTAACTGAAAGAAAAAATCCATATAATGATTTCAATAGATACAGAAAAAGCATATGACAGAATTCAGCACCTATCAATAACTATATTTTTTAAATGCTCAGCAAACTATTATAGTAACAGAAGACAATATCTTCAATCAGATAAAAGGCACCTACCAAAATATTGCCTAACAATAATTTCACCATACTTAACAGTAAAACACTGAATTCTTCCTCCCTCAGTTCAGGAATAAGGTAAGGATGTCCACCCTTGTGACACCATTTCAACACTGTATTAGAGGTCCGAGCTAGTGCAGTAAGTCAAGACAAAGAAATAGAAAGTCTACAAAGTAAAAAGGATGCGTCCCTATTCTGAAAATCCTATTATCAGACAGCAGGACTGCTTACACAGAAAAACTAAGAAACCAGGGACCAAAATAACAACAAAACTACTAAAAAATAAATGACTTTAGTAGGTAGGAAATAAAGTCTGATACAAAAATCAACTATATTATCTACATATTAGCAGCATAGTGTTTGAATGTAAAAATTTTAAAGATATCATTTATCAGAGTCAAAAAACTTAAATACTTAGGAATAAATTTAAGAAAATATGAAGAAGACCTATACATTAAAACTATAAAACATCCTTGAGAAAATTAAGTTAGACCTTCAAAAAACAAAGAGAAATATCTGCTTCAGAGACTAACAGACTCAACATTATTAAGATATTGGTCCTCCCAAAATTTATCTATGTACTCAGTGCATACTCAATTACATCAGTAGGCTTTTATAAAAATTGATATATTGATTCTAAAATGCAAAAGTCTTCGAATAATTAAAACAATCTTGAAAAAGAACAAAGTAGGACTCCATACACTCAGAGTTCATTACACAATCTCAACATTAGTATAAAGCTATAGGAATCAAGACTGTGGTATTAGCATAAAGGCAGACAATGAGATAAAGAGAATAGAGAGGACAGCAATAGAGCACATGGTCTTTTTACTAAGGTGCTAAAATGACTTAATAAAGGGAAAACAGCCTTTTCAACAAATGGTGCTGAAACAACTGGCTACAAATACAAAAAAAAAAATGAATCTCAATGCCGATATCACATCAGACATGAATTTGAGATGGATCACCAATCTAAATATAGTAGCTAAAAATAGAAGGCTTTTAGAAAAAAAAAACATAGATATCTTTGTGATCTGAGTATAAACAAGGATTTCTTAGAACACAGAAAATACTAACTGTAATAGAAAACAATTGATAAAATTATACCTTCAAAATTGAAAACTTCTGCTCTAAACGATAATTTTTTTAAAAAATGAACAAACCACACAGTCTGAGAAAATATTGCTAAAACATCTGACAAAGAACTCCTACAGCTCAACAATAAAAATACAAACATTTCAATTTCTAAAGACTGAGCAAAAAATTTGAACATATACCTCACAAAGGAAGATATAAAAATGGTTAATAGGCACACAAAAACCCCATGATTATGCTGATATATAACACAAATGCAAACAACAATGAAAATTAAGACCACAGAATACCACTACATACCCACTAGAATGGCTAAAATTAATATTAACAACAAAAAATATTAGGCAAGAACAGGGCATAAGTAGGAATATAAAAATGGTACAATCCAACTGGAAGTAGTATGCCAGTTTCTTTTAAATTTAAACATGCAACTACTGCCTAGCATAGCAGTTCCACTTCTGGTTATTTACCCAAAGAAAACAAAAACATATTTCCATAAAAACCTGTAGGAGAATATTCATATCAGCTTTATTTCTAATAGCCAAAAAATTGGAAACAAATGTTCATCAATAGGAAAATGAATAAACTGTGGAACATTGATAAAATGGTATACTGCTCAGTAATAAAAACGATTAATACATGCAATTGCAAGGATGAGTCTTGGACATTATCCTGAGTGAAAGGTGGACACAAAAGAGTACATACTGTATAATTCCATTTATATGAAATTTTCAAACAGTCAAAATTAATCTACAGTTAAAACTCAGAACAGCGGTTGCCATTTGATGGAAGCTGTGGGGAACCAACGAGGAAGAAAACTTCCCAGGGTGACAGAAATATTCTGTATCTTGATAAGGGTGATCCATTTTCCAAAACCTCAAGGAACTGTATATATACAATTAGGGTATTTCAATGTATGTAAAATTTTCCTCAGAAGATCTAAACAAACAACAAAAAGATTTTGTGCTCCTTGTTCATATGGCTTCACCAGTGAGGTCTTCTTGGCATTATTAAAAAGAAATAACACCAATCTTACACAAATGCTTTCAGAGAATTGAGAAAAAACACTTTCCAAATTGTCTTATGAGCTTAAATAATATCGTTCCAAAATGTAAGATTATAAAATAGACAAAGGCCAATCTGTCTCATGCACATAAACAAAAAAATTATAAACAAAATATCAGCAAATCAAACCCAACTATATATTAAAAGGCCAACTGAATTTCTATAGTACTGTAATATTGGTATATTTGAAAATTATAATATCAATATTAGCCAAATATCATAGTAAAATCATATCAAAACAGATATAGATGGAGCTTTTGATAAAAGTTAGCTCCTATTAATGATAAAAGCTATCTACAGACTAGGGCAAGAAGGAAAAAGAGTAATCATTTTTTTGAAAAGTAGTAGTAGCAAACTTCTTAATCATTAGTAAAATGCTGAACACTTTCTCCTGATTCACAAACCAGACAAGGATGATGCCCACTTTCAGCACTTAAATTCAACATTTTATTAAAGATCTTCTCTATTACAATAATAGAGGAAAAAGAAATAAAAGGAATAAATATTGGGAAGAACAAATGCTATCATTAATTGAAGATCAAGATGAACATATAGAGAATTCAAAAAATTTATGTACAAACTAGAAGAAGTTAATATAATCAAGTTCCTTAAATAAAAGATTAATATTTTTAAAGCCAATTGTATTTCTACCACAGCAAGAAAATAAAAAATAGAATTCTAAAACTATCCTTTACTAGCTTACTAAAAAACATCAGACTCAAAAAAATTAAATAAAAAAAGAATTGGATTGGGGCAGATAAAAAAAAGAAATCAGACCCATAAATTTAGTGAAACATGAACAAGACATCTACATTGAAAAATATTCCTCAAAGAACAAAAACAGAAACACCATTTGACCCAACAATCCCATTACTTGGGTATATACCCAAAGGAATATAAATTGTTCTCTTATAAAGACACAAGCACACATACATTCACTGCAGCACTATTCACAATAGCAAAGACATGGAATCAACCTAAATGCCCAGAATGGTAGACTAGATTTTTAAATGTGGTACATATACACCATGGAATGCTATGCAGCCACAGAAAAAAAATGAGATCATGTCCTTTGCAGGGACATGGATGGAGCCGGAGGCCATTATGCTCTGCAAACTAACACAGGAACAGAAAACCAAATACCCCATGTTCTCACTTGTAAGTGGGAGCTAAATGATGAGTACACATGGACACATAGAAGGGAACAACACACACTGGGACCTGTCAGAGGACAGAGGGTGGGAGGAGGGAGAGGATCAGGAAAAAATAACTGATGGGTACTGAGCTTAATAGGGCGATGAAATAATCTGTACAACAAATGCCCATGACACAAGTTTACTTATTTAACAAACCTGCAAGTGTACCCCTGACCTTAAGAACTGTTTTTAAAAAAGACTTCTACATTGAAAACTGTTTTTAAAAAATTAATAAGTGGCACACATAGGGGCCCAACTTAAAAGTTTCTTTGCAATTAAATGTGAAAAAGGTAGTCTTTAAAACAAACAATAATCAGAAACCACAAAGAATAAAGTGAACTTTGACCTATACCTCAGAAAACACAAAACAGTCAATACCAGAGAGATGAGACATCTAAATGTGAAAGGTTTGTCTTGAAAGATCAAAGAAAGAATTTATTTTAATTATTGGAAAATATGTTCATGACCTTGAGGTTAGAAAAAAACTTCTTAAAAACACAAAAATCACTAATTATAAGTAAAAGTTTAATTAATTGCACTCCATTAACATTAAGAATTTCTGTTCAATACAAGATCTTTGGAGAGAGGGAAATGCCAAGCCACGGAAAAGATTTGTCACACACACACACACACACACACACACACACACACACGTGTGCACATCTCCAACAACAGATTTGAATCTAGAATATGACGATAAGTCAGACAACTCACCCATGCAACTCCTACTTACCCAACCCCAAAATGTGTACTTCATGGAAAGGATATCTAAGTGATGTGAGGTGATATGAAAATGTGTTCAAATGTAGGCGCTATCAAGAAATGCGAAATGAAATAACACAATACGGCCACTCACTCACCAAAAAAAAACTAAAGTAAAAAAAAAAAAAGACCCATGTTAGCGAGGTTATAAAGCAACTGGGACCTTTATACACTGTTGACGGGAATATAAATCATTAACCACTTGGGAAGTTATTTGGCATTATCTGCTAAAGCTAAATAAGCCTACCCTGTGACCCAGCAATTCTAAATTTGTATCAAACACAAATAAGTGCTCATAGCTCCCAAAAGATATGCACAAAAATGTTTCTAACAGCATTATTCATAATGGCCAAAAACCATAAACAACTTGAACACCATTAATAAATAACTTGTGACATATTCATATTAAGAAAAATACTGTGAACCAGTGAAAAACAAGAATGAATTACAAAAGTGTACTGTTGAGCACAAGAAGCCAGAAACCAGAGTATATATTACATAATTCCATTAACATAAAACTCAAAAACAAGCAAAAAAAATCTATGGTGATAGAAGTCAGAATAGTTAACAAGGAAGTGATTATTCACATGGTGGGGGGGGGCAATGGGAGCCTATCAGAATGCTAGAAATGTACTATATCTTGATCTGCTTGATGGTTTATACAAACTCATACAAATGTAAAAATCTGGCTATGGCCAGGGGTGAAGCAAGGTAGCAGAATAGAAGCCTACACCATTCAAGCTCTCCCACACCATGCTGGAACAGCAAATTTTAAAAACTATCTGCAAAGAGAAAAGCACTCTCACAAGAACCAAAACTCAGGTAAGCAATCACAGTACCTGGTTTTAACTTCATATCTTGAAAAAAAGGCATTGAGGAAGACAGGAGAGACAGTCTTGAATCATGGATGCCACCCCTATTTCCTATTCCCTGGCAATGGCCATGAGGTAGAGAGAGAGAATATACTTCAGGGAGGGAAAGCGCAGAGACTCAGTGCTGCCCTGTCACAGCAGAGAATGAAGCCCTGCTGGGCTCAGCCAGTGGCCATGCTTGGAGGGGCATTTGACTAGCTCTAGCCAAAGGGGAGTCACCCATCCCAGCAAGTCAGAACGAGTTTCCCAGCAAGCATCACCACTGCAGGCTGAAGTGCTCTGGGGTCCTAGGTAAACCTGAATGGCAGTCAAGTTGGGTTCTAACAAGGACTCCAATTCCTAGGCAACTCCTAGTGCTTAGAGCCAGTGAACTAGGGTTGCTCATGACCTAGGGAGGCATCAGCTGTCCATCCCCCAACCCAGGCAGTGCAGCTCACAGGAACCAGACTGACTCCTTCCTTCTGCTTAAGAACAGAAGAGCAAAGAGTAAAGAGGACTTTGTCTTGCATCTTTTTTTTTTTTTTTTTTTTTTTGAGACGGAGTCTCACTTTGTCGCCTGGGCTGGAGTACAGTGGTGCCATCTCAGCTCACTGCCAACCTCTGCCTCCCAAGTTCAAGCAATTCTCCTGTCTCAGCCTCCCGAGTAGCTGGGACCACAGGCACGTGCCACCTCACCCAGCTAATTTTTGTATTTGTAGTAGAGACAGGGTTTCACCATGTTGGCCAGGCTGGTCTCAAACTCCTGACCTCAGGTGATCTGCCCACCTTGGCCTCCCAAAGTGCTGAGATTACAGGCGTAAGCCACCATGCCCAGCCCCGACATTGTCTTGCATCTTGGATACTAGCTCAGCCACACTAGAACAGAGCACCAGGCAGAGCCATGAGGCCCCCATTCCAGGCCCTAGCTCCCCAATGATATTTCTAGACACACTCTGGGCCAAAAGGGAACCGGCTGCCTTGAAGAGAAGGATCCAGTCCTGGCAGGACTCATCACCTGCTGACTAAAGAGTTCTTGGGCAATGAATTGCCACTGGGCACCAGCAATACCCAGGGAGTATGCTGTGGGCCTTGAGGTCTGAGACTACTTGCTTCAAAGGAGACCCAGCACATTCCCAGTTGTGGTGGCCACTGTGAAAGACTCCTTCTGTCTGAGAAAAGCAGAGGGAAAAGTAAAGGGAACTTTGTCTTGCTTTCAGGTATCACAGTGGGACAGAACAAAAGGCAGGCTTTTCAGATCCCCAAGTCCAGCCTCTTGGACACCATTTCTGGACCGGCTCTGGGCCAGAGGGGGGCCCACTGCCTGAAGGGTGAGTCCGAGGCCTGGCAGCACTCACCACAAGCTGATGAAAGAGCTCTTGGGCTTTAAGTGAACACTGGTGGTGTGGCCTGGCAGAACTGCTCATGGAACAGTCATGGTGCTGGCCACAGAGAGACGCTCCTCCTCTGCATGTGGAAAGGGGAGAGAAGAGCGGGAAGAACTTTTTGTATTGTGGTTTGAATGCCAGCACAGACGTAGTAAAAATAAAACATCAGGTAGATTGCTAAGGTTTTTAACTAGAATCGCAGGCTACCAGACAGCATCTCTGGACACACCCGGGGCCTGGGGAAACTCACCACCCTGAAGGGAAGGGCCTTGGGCAAGGCCCAGTGCTGTGCTGGCTTCAGGTCTGACCCAGCACAGTCCCAGTGATGGTGGCCACAGGGGTGCTTGTATCACCAAATCCCCAGAGTTCCAGGTGGCTCGATACAGAAAGAAAGACCCAATATGTTTGGAAGAAAGTAAAGTAAAAGAATAAGAGTTTTTGCCTGGTAATCCAGAGAAAACTTTTGGATCTTATCCAAGACCACCAAGACAATACCTATATAAGACTGCAAAAACCACTGTGTTATTGGCCTTTGAACCCAAGTCCCTTCAAATACCTGGAATGCTTTCCCAAGAAAGACAGGTACAAACAAGCCCAGACTGCAAAGTCTACAATAAATACCTAACTCTTCAATGTCCAGACACCGAAAACATCTAAAAGCATCAACACTATCCAAAAAACCTGACCTCACCAAATGAACTAAATAAGGCACTGGGGATCAATCCTAGAGAAACAGAGACACATGACATTTCAGACACAGAATTCAAAATAGCTATTTTGGGCCAAGCACGGTGGCTCACACCTGTAATCCCAGCACCATGGGAGGCCGAGGTGGGTGGATTACTTGAGGTCAGGAGCTCGAGACCAGCCTGGCCAACATGGTGAAACCCCATCTCTACTAAAAATATAAAAATTAGCCAGGGGTGGTGGTGGGTGCCTGTAATCCCAGCTACTCAGCAGGCTGACATGGAAGAATCACAGAACCTGGGAGGCAGAGGTTGCAGTGAGCCAAGATCGTGTCACTGCACTCTAGCCTGGGCAACAGAGCGAGACTTTGTCTCAAAAAAAAGCTATTTTGGCCAGGTGCAGTGGCTCATGCCTGTAATCCCAGCACTTTGGGAGGCCAAGCAGGCAGATCACTTGAGGTCAAAGACCAGCCTGGCCAACATGGTGAAACCCTATCTCTATTTTTAAAAAAATACAAAAATTAGCCAGGCATGATGGTGCACGCCTGTAATCCCAGCTACTCAGAAGGTTGAGGCAAGAGAATGGCTTGAACTTAGGAGGCGGAGGTTGCAGTGAGCTGAGATCGTGCCACTGCACTCTAGCCTGGGTGACAGAGTGACAGTCCATCTTAAAAAACAATAGCTACTTTGAGGAAACTCAAAGAAATTCAAGATAACACAGAGAAGGAATTTGGGATTCTATAAGATAAATTTCACAGATTAAAATAATTAAAAACGGGGCCAGGCGTAGTGGCTCATGCCTGTAATCCCAACACTTTGGGAGGCCAAGGCAGGCGGATCATCTGACGTCAGGAGTTCGAGACCAGCCTGGCCAACACTGTAAAACCC
The DNA here is from genome assembly GCF_000001405.40 of Homo sapiens. Lineage (NCBI taxonomy): Eukaryota > Metazoa > Chordata > Mammalia > Primates > Hominidae > Homo > Homo sapiens. The sequence goes on from NC_000001.11 coordinate 227,247,713, forward strand.
CATCTCTATTAAAAATACAAAAATTAGCCAGGCGTGGTATGCACCTGTAGTCCCAGCTACTCAGGAGGCTGAAGCAGGAGAATCGCTTGAACCTGTGAGATGGAGGCTGCAGTGAGCCGAGATCACACCACTGCACTCCAACCTGGGTGACAGAGTGTGACTCCATCTCAAAATAAATAAATAAACAAACAATAATTTTTAAAAATCAAGCAGAAATTCTAGAGTTGAAAAACTCAACTGACATGTTAAAGAATGTATCAGAGTCTCTTAATAGCAGAACTGATCAAGCAGAAGCAAGAATTAGTGAGCTTGAAAATGGTCTATTTGAAAATACACAGAGGTGACAAAAGAATGAAAAAGAATGAAGCATGTATAAGATCTAGGAAACAACCTCAAAGGGTAAATCTAAGAGTTATTGACCTTAAAGAGAAGGTAGAGAAAATAAGAGTAGAAAGTTTATTAAAGGGATAATAAGAACTTTCCAAATCTAGAGAAAGATATCAATATTCAAGTACAGCATAGTTCTTTAAGTATTAGCTAGAGCAATTAAACAAGAGAAAGAATGAAAGGTGTCCAAATTGGAAAGAAAAAAGTCAAATTATCCTTGTTTGAAGATGATATGGTCTTATATTTTGGAAAACCTAAAGACTCCACACACACACACAAAAAAACTTATTCAAACTGATGAACAAATTCAGTAAAGTTGCAGGATACAAAATCAACATACAAAAATCAGTAGCATTTCTCTATGCCAACAGTGAACAATCTGAAAAAGAAATGAAAAAAGTAATCCCATTTACAATAGCCACAAATAAAATTAAATACCTAGGATTTAAATCAGCCAAAGAAGTAAAAGATGTCTACAGTGAAAACTACAGAACACAAATGCTATGGTCAAATGGCATAAGAATAAAATGCTATTATTTATTTGTCCCCTACAAAAAAATGTAAAAATTCATCAAGTTATCTATGTGTATTTTTTAATTGAAGTATATAAACATACATGTGAGGTATGCACACACACACACATACATCAATATACTGATGAAACACTGATGAAAGAAACTGAAGAGGACACAAAAAACTGAAAAAATATTCAATGTACATGGGTTAGAAGAATCAATACTGTTAAAATATCCATATTGCCCAAAGCAATCTACAGATTCAATGCAATCCCTGTCAAAGTATTAATGACATTCTTTCACAGAAATAGAAAAAATAATCCTAAAATTTATATGGAATTACAAAAGACCCAGAATAGCCAAAGCTATCCCAAGCAAAAAGAACAAAACTGGAAGAATCATATTACCTGACTTCAAATGATACTACAGAGCTACAGTAACCAAACTAGCATGGTACTGACATAAAAACAGACACATAGATTAATGAAACAGAATAAAGAACCCAGAAGGAAATCCACATACATACAGGGAACTAATTTTCAACAACGGTGCCAAGAATGTTAGGGAAAAGACAGTCTCTTCAATAAATGGTGCTGGGAAAACTGGATAACCATATGCAGAAGAAGGAAATTTGATCCCTATCTCTCACCTTACATAAAAAACAAATCAAAATGGATTAAAGATTTAAGTCTAATACCTCAAAGTATAAAACTACTAAAAGAAAACATTGGTGAAAATCTCCAGGACACTGGTCTGCACAAAAATTTCTTAAAACACAGCCAACCAAAGCAAAAATGGACAAATAAGATGACACGAAATTAAAAAGCTTCTGCACAGCAAAGGAAACAATCAACCCACAGTGAAGAGACAGAATCAAACCACAGTGAAGAGACAACCCACAGAATGGGAGGAAATATTTGCAAACTACTCATCTGACAAGGGATTAATAACCAGAATATACAAGGAATTCAAACAACTCTATAGGAAACAATCTGATAATCCAATTTTTAAAATGGGCTAAAGATTTGAATAGACCTTTCTATAAAAAAGACATACGAATGGCAAACAGGCATATGAAAAAAGTGGTCAACATCACTGATCATCAGAGAAATGCAAATCAAAACTACAATGAGGTATCATCTCACCCCAGTTAAAATGACTTTTATCCATAAGGCAGGCAATAACAAATGCTGGTGAGGATGTGGAGAAAAAGGAGATGGGGATGATTAATGAGTACAAAAAAAACAGAATGACGAAGACCTAGTATTTGGTAGCACAAGAGGGGGACTGTAGTCAATAATAATTTAATTGTCCATTCTGAAATAACTAAAAGAGTACAACTGGATTTTTTGTAACACAAAGGACCAATAATAATTTAGTTGTCCATTTTGAAATAACTAAGAGTACAACTGGATTTTCTGTAACACAAAGGATAAATGCTTGAATGTCCATTTTGAAATAACGTGGATATCCAATTTTCCATGATGCAATTATTAAGCATTGCATGCCTGTACCAAAATATCTCACGTACTCCATAAATATATAAACCTACTATGTACCCACAAAAATTAAAAAAAATAATAATAATAAGGCCAGGCATGGTGGCTCACACCTGTTAATCCCAGCACTTTGGGAGGCCAAGATGGGTGCATCACCTGAGGTCAGGAGTTCGAGACCAGCCTGACCAACATGGTGAAACCACATGTCTACTAAAAATACAAAAACTAGCCAGGCATGGTAGTGGGCACTTGTAATCCCAGCTACTCGGGAAGCTGAGGCAGGAGAATCACTTGAACCCGGGTGGCAGTGGTTGCAGTGAGCCAAGATTGCACCACTGCACTCCAGCCTGGGCGACAAGAGCAAAACTCCATCTCAAATAAAAAAATAAAAAATAAAAAAAGAATGCTATGGTCAAATGGCATAACAATAAAATGCTATTGCTTGTTTTGTACCCTAAAAAAATGTAAAAATCCATCGAGTTATATGTGTGTATATTTTTTGAAACTGAAGTGTGTGTGTGTGTGTATGTGTGTGTGTGTATACCATAATATACTTCAATTTTTTTTAATTTTAGGACCTCAAAAAATATATTTTCAGACAAATAAAATCAGATAATTTGTTATCAGCAGACTTACACTGAAGAAATACTAAAGAGGGCCAGGCACAGTGCCTCACAACTGTAATCCCAGCACTTTGGGAGGCTGAGGCAGGAGGACTCCTTGAGCCTTGGAGTTTGAGACCAGCCTAGGCAACGTAGGAAAACCCCGTCACTACAAGAAAATTTACAAATTAGCCAAGCATGCTGGTGCACAGCTATAGTCTTAGCTACCCAGGATGCTGAGGCAGGAGGATCACTTGGGCCCAGGAATTCAAGGCTGCAGTGAGCTATGATCACACCACTGCACTGCAGCCAGAGAGACAAAGCAAAACTTTGTCTCTAAATATTAAAAAGAACTATTAAAGGGAATTTTTAAGTCAAAAGGAAAATGATCCCAAAGGGAAGTACATGAATGTGAAGAGCAGAGAAAATACAAATATGTGGGTAAACCTAAATAAATAGGTACAATATATATGTTGGGGTTTCAAATATAAATGGAACTAAAATATATGACAGCAATGAAAAAAAAAAGGTAGAAATTGGGTAAATGGGAATTGGCAAAATATAAATTTACCAAGGATACATGTGGTAATTGCCAGGGGAACACATAAAAGAAGATAAAATTGGGAGGTATGATTTAAAATATTCCATTAATCGAAGAAGAAGCAAGAAATGAGAGAAAAACAACACAAAATGAGCAAAACAAATATAAAACAAGTAGTAACATCATTACATGTTAACTGATTAAAAAACAAAATCTAATTATATTCTACTGAACAGTAAACATACCATATGCTTATAGAAAGCTAAAACGAAAAGGACAGAATAAGATATTTAATGAAAATACTAATAAAAAAGAGCTGGAGTAGTTCCACTAATATCAGATTAAGGAAAATTTAAATCAAAAAACACTATAGAGATCATGGGAACACTCCATAATAGCGAATGAGTTAATCACCAGGAAGATATAATAACTGTACATTTGTTATCAGCAAAAACTGAAAGAAATAAAGAAATCCTCCCTCAGGAAATGACAGTAAGGATATGGAAGATTTAAACAAGATTTTGAACTTGACCTAACTGATATTTACAGAACACTGCAGAGCAAATTTCAAAGGATTCTAATCACATAGAGTATGCGTTCTAACCACTTTTAAATTACATTATAACTCAATAAGAAAAACTAGAAAATTTTCTAAATGTTTAGAAATTTTTTTAATGAACTTTAAATTCATAGATCAAAAACAAAAATTTAAAATCACACTGTATTTTAAGCAAAAAATATATACATATATATGACATACCAAAATATGTCTGCTATAGCTAAAAATGCTTAGAGGAAAACATATAGCCTTAAACACAGGTTTGAAAAGAAGGGCTAGATATCAATGCTATTTTGAAAAATCAGAAAAAGAATAGCAAGATAAAACCAAAGAAAATATTATAAAGTGCAGAAATTAAAGAACCAGAAAACAAATCTACAATAACAAAATTCAAAAGGCCAAAAGTTAATTCATGGAAAAGATAATAAACTGATAAACCCCTAGCAAGAAAAATAAAAAGAGAGAGAAATGATCAATACAGTAACAAGTTTTAAAAATTAGATGAAATGGATAAACCTAGCAAAACTAATACATACACAGAACAAGTCATTTTATTTCCATTAAAGAAATTAAACATTATTTAAAACTTTTTCACTAGCAACCTCTGGTCTCAGAGGCTTCACCAGTTAAATCTTGTAAGCATATCAGGAAAAAAATAATAACAATCTTCACTAACTCTTCTGGAGAATACTAAAGGAGGGAACATTTCCCTCTTCTTGTAAGACCAGTATAACCAAGATACCAAAATCTGATCAGAACATTCGAAGTAGGAAAATTACAGGCCAATTTATCTGAAGAACACAGGTGCAAAGATCCTATCAACACACAAAAAGCACATGAAGTCCGTTGGTACATATAAAGGGGGTAACATATCACAAGTCAGTTGGGCTTATTTTAGGAATGCAAAGATTGTTTAACATCTGAAAATATAACAGCATAATTCAACACATTAACAAAGTAAAGGAGAAAAACCATGAGTGTCCCAAAAGATGCAGATAAAGTATTAATAAAATTCAACAAAATTCCTATTTGAAAAGTATAACAAGGTATAAGATCAATAAAATTAAATTCTACTTCTAACTACTACCAAGAAAACAATTAAGAAATGAAATTTCACAAACAATTCTAATTAAAATAATATCAAGACTATCACATATCCAGGAATAAATCTGCTGAAAGATGTGGAGGTCTTCTATACTGAATGAACACTACAAAACGGTATTGAGATAAATTTATAAAGCCCTAAATAAATGGAAGAATATACCACGTCTATGGATTAGGTGACTCAGTAGTATTGTTAAAATGCCAATTGTCTGCAAACTGATCTCCAGTTTCAATACAAACTTTACCCAAATTCCTGGAAAAAAGAGAGAGAGAGAGGAGACAAGAGAAGAGAGAGGAGAGAGAGAGGAGGGAGAGAGAGAAAGAGAGCGAGAGAGAGAGCGAGAGAGAGCGCGCGCGCGTGCGCGTGCATGTGTATCTTTACAAGTGAGTCGAAATTGAAAAACTGATTCTAAAATACTATGAAAATATCCTTTAGGAGGACAAGGTGGGCAGATCACTTGAGGTCAGGAATTTGAGACCCGCCTGACCAACACGGCAAAAACCCAACTTGACTAAAAATACAAAAATTAGCTGGGCCTGATGGCGGACGCCTGTAATCCCAGCTACTCGGGAGGCTGAAGCAGGAGAATCACTTGAATCCGGGAGGTGGAGGTTGTAGTGAGCCAAGATCATGCCACTGCGCTCCAGCCTGGGCAACAGAGGGAAACTCCATCTCAAAAATAAATAAATACATACATACATACATACATACATACATACATACATACATTCATACATAAAATAAAATACTATGAAAATATCAGGGGAGGAGAGATGGGAGAGGGGGAGAAAAAGGAAGTCAGAGTATATACACTACCAGGTATCAAGATTCCTTATAAACTAGAATAAGACAGACCAACAGAACAAAAGAAGAGTCTAGAAACACACTCATATTTACATTGACATATGAAGTACATGTGAAAACATGATCTTAGAAAAAATTCCCAGTAGAAATATTTCATTCAACACTTTATTTTCTGAGCTATTATATCAATCACAACAGCACAATCAATCACATCAATCACAACTTAACAAATATTGTTTAACAAGTAACAAGTAACAATACTTGTTAAATTCTCTCACAATTGTGTTCAACAGCTTCCAAAATAATTAGCAGACCTTCTATCAAATCTTAATCTCTTACCTCCCCAAAAGCTCCTCGACCAATCACCTTTAATATTTCAAAGTCTTCTCTATGTAATCGCATTTGTTTCACTTTAGAAGTAAATGGTTTAGCTGAAATGAAAGAGCAATATCAATTATTTTCTTAATAAAATGTGATGCAAATTAGATATAAATAATGGTGTTTCTTAGTTACACAAAAATTCAAATTATGATTTAAGAATTGTCAAAATATTTAAAAATCCCAAACTATATGAGAATAAACAGATTTAATTTCCCTAAGAAAACAATATATTTTCTTTTATTTCTTACATATGAATTACATTTTTGGTGAGAAATGTATGTTTAAACTCCAAATAACATATAAAAGAATGCAAAGCAAGGGGGATGTAAAAATGAGACCAGTTTTAACATTCTATCAGCATTAAATATATATTTTAACACAAAGATATAAAAAATAAAAGCAGATTTCATGGCACCAGAGAGCTCTTCAGCAATTCCCACCAAGTAAACTCATGTTTCTTTCACGCTCATTCATTTGTTCCTTTAAAATGCGTTAGCAAACGTCTACAGTATACAAAGCATGGTGGCAATGACTGGAGTTTTTAAAAATTTGATTATGATATGATACTTTCCTTCAAGAAACTCTTAGTCTTCATTCAAGAAAGACAAGTATGCATATATGCAGACACAAAATTTAATAATGTGATAAAGTTTTAAGTGCTTCAGAATTAGTGAGAATAGAACACTAATTATGTGGATACTAATGCTTCACACAAAGGAGATAACAGATAAATTGAACCTTGAGGACTAAATAGAATCTTGCTGCTTTGCCTGGGTTTGACAATGTAGATATTCCAGGCAAGAGGGAACAATATAAGCAAATGAAGAGAGGCGAGGAAGTGAATTTGGGGTGTTAATGGTAAATAATCCATGGTAAAGAATTGTGAGAAGAAATGCAAAGAAATAAGAGCTAGAAAATGGAAAAGGCTTTGAATTTCATTAAAGGAATTTAGATGTAATCTTATTAATAATTTTAACTGGTAAATTAAAAATGTTTAATGATTAGAGCAATTACATATTCTGCTGCCTCTAAGAGAAGTTTAAACGTGTCTCCTTTCCTCTCCTCAGGTCCCTCTTTATTCTAACACAAAAAGGAACTGATATGATTAAAGGATCATAATACATGGGTGTAGCTGTCTTCTCTCTTCCTTCCATGGAGCCAGAGTGTGATAAGATCAAAGATACATATTTGAGCATTAGGGGAGTGAAACAGATAGGTCATACAGTTTGCTCTGATCTAAAAGTATGCATTTAGCTCTAACTAGCTTCGAAAACGGGTATTCCACACTGCTTAGTCAAGTCCACTAGGGATTTCTGTATTTGTGTTTTGTAAGGAAAGGAAAGAGAGAGAGGATTTCTATCTGGAATTGACACAACAGAGAAGAGAAAGAGAAAAAAATTAGCTGAACGTGGTGGCATATGCCTGTAGTCCTTAGCTACACAGGAGGCTAAGGCAGGAGGATAACTTGAGCCCAGGTATTCGAGGCTGCAATGAGTCATGATCATACCACTGCACTCCTGCCTGGGCAAAACAGCAAGATCCTGTCTCTTAAAAAGCAGTAATAAAAGAATTAATAATAATAAAATTCCATTTGCAACAGCATCCAAAAGAATAAAGTACTTAAAGATAAATTTAACCAATGAGGTGAAAGACTTGTACATTGGAAACTACAGAATATTGCTGATAAAAATTAAAGAAGACTTAAATAAATGAAAAGACATCCAGTATTCTAGATTGGAAGAAGACTTAATATTGTTAATATGACAATGTTACCCAAAGCAATCCACAGATTCAAAGCAATCCCTATCAAAATTACAATGGCATTACAGAAATAGAAAAACTCATCCTAAAATTCATATGGAGAGAGAGAAAAGACAACCCATAGAATGGGAAAAGTATTTGCAAATCATGTATCTACTAAGGAATTAATACCAGAATATACAAAGAACTCCTACAAGTCAACAACAAAAAACCCCAATTCAAAAATGGGCAAAAGTTTTAATAAACATTTCTCCAAAGAAGATAAATAAAAATGAAAAAAGAATGAGTTCATGTCCTTTGCAGGGACATGGATGAAGCTGGAAACCATCATTCTCAACAAACTAACACAGGAACAGAAAACCAAATACCACATGTTCTCACTCATAAGTGGGAGATGAACAATGAGAACATACATGGACACAGGGAGGGGCACATCACACACTGGGGCCTGTTGGGGTGGGGGCCAAGAGGAGGGAAAGCATTAGATAAATAACTAATGCACGCGGGGCTTAAAACACAGATGACAGGTTGATAGGTGTAGCAAACCACCATGGCACATGTATACCTATGTAACAAACCTGCATGTTCTGCACATGTATCCCAGAACTTAAAAGTAAAATAATATATATATGAAGATATATAAAAATGGCCAAAACACATATGAAAAGATACTCAACATCACTAATCATTAAGGAAATGAAAACCAAAACCACAATGAGATACCACTTCACAACCTCTACAATAGCTGAATTTTTTAAATTAATTAAATAAAACAGAAAATAACAAGTGATGAAGAGGATGTGGAGAAACTGGAACCCTCATTCATTGCTAGAGGGGATATAAAATGTTACTGCTGCTTTGTAAAACAGTTGGGTAGTTCCTCAAAAAGCTAAACATAGATTTACCAACATATCCCAGCAATTCCATTCCTATGTACCCAAGAGAATCAAAAGAAGAGATTCAAACAGATATCTGTACAATGATGTTCATGACAGCATTATTCGCAGTAGCCAAAAGGTGGAAATTATCCAAATGTCCATCAAGAGATGAACAGATAAACAAAATGTGATATATATATACAGACACACACACACACACACACACACACACACACACACACACACCAGTATGTTAAGCAGCTTTAAAATGAAGTTAAGGTCTGATACGTGCTATAATGTGGATAAATCTTGAAAACATGCTAAGTAAAGTAAGACAGGCATTAAAAGGCAAATATATTATGTCACTTAAATGAAATATCTAGAATAGGCAAATTCATAGAGACAGAAAGTAGATTAAAGGTTACTAAGGGCTGGGGGACAGGAGAATGAAAACTTATGGCTTAATGGTTACAGAATTTCTCTTTGGATAATGAAAAAGTTTTAGAGACAGCTATGTGATGGTTGTTACATAATATTATAAATATAATTTAATGCCACTGAATTGTACATGTAAAAGTGGTCAAAATGGCAAATTTTGTTATATGTATTTTACCACAATTTTTAAAAATTAGTAAGATATCAAAACCACTGAATTGTATACTTCAAACAGGTGAATTGTTTGGTATGTCAATCATGTCAGTAAAGCTGTTTTAAAACAAAATAGGAAGATGCTGGGCACAGTGGCCTGTAATCCCAGCACTGTAGGAAGCCAAGGCGGGTGAATCACCTGAGGTCAGGAGTTCAAGACCAGCCTGGTCAACATGGTGAAACCCTGTCTCTACCAAAAATACAAAAATTAAATGGGCATGGTAGTAAATGGGCGCCTGTAATCCCAGCTACTTGGGAGGCTGAGGCAGGAGAATCACTAGAACCCAGGAGGCGGAGGTTGCAGTGAGCCAAGATTATGCCACTGCACTCCAGCCTGGGCGATTGAGTGAGACTCTGTCTCAAAAAAAAAAGGAAGAAAACTTTTTTAAAAATCACACGCAAGTTTGACAAGGTGGGTGAAACCTTTTTTAAAAAAAATTACACACAAGTTTGACAAGGTGGGAGATACATACAGACCTACTAGAACTAAAAATGGGGCCGGGTGTGGTGGTTCACGCCTGTATCCCAATACTTTGGGAGGCCAAAGCAGACGGATTGCTTGAGTCTAAGAGTTCAAGACCAGCGTGGGCAACGTGGCAAAACTCTGTCTCTACAAAAATACAAATATAAAAATCGGCCAGACACGGTGGCTTGTGCCTGCAGTCCCAGCTACTCAGGAGACTGAAGTGGGAGGGCCACTTTAGCCCAGGAGATGAAGGCTGCAGTAAGCTTAGAGGGCGCCACTACACTCCAGCCTGGGCAACAGGGTGAAACCCTGTCCGGGAAAAAAAAAAAAAAAAAAGAACTGAAAATGGGAGCCTGACTATCCCCCCAAATAATTGTAACACCAGTCTTCTATACTTAAAAGCAGTTTTGATTTCTACTATATCACAAAATCACAAAACAAAGGCATCCTTAAACCGAAACCTAGCTCCCCCACCCAGACTAAATCAGAAATTCAGAAAAAGTGTGCTGCAGAGCTGACACTTCAGGTAAATTATACCTATTGACTATTCTAATTTGGGGTAAATATGAACACAGAACAATAAATATTAACAATATTAAGTGTCTATACAGGGGTATACAGTTATCTTGTCATATGATGATACCCTAAGTAGTATAAAGAAAATGAATCAAAACAAAGCTAAGGGTTATACAAATCATTACTGAGCACTCCATTCATAATGTCTGGGATAATTTAAAAGATGCCTTAACAAGTTATAGCTGAGAGTTCAGAAATTCAATGATAGAACCAAAAGAATCATGTATCAATTACTTGAATATTTCTTATTTCTATGCTGCATTTGAAAAAAAACTGATTATACGTTCAACTTATTCCTGAAAAAAGTTCATTAGCAATATTTAACAAAAGTGCTTTTATACAAAGATATGTTCTTAAAAATTATATCCACCAAAAAGTTCATTTCAAGCACACTCTATGATTAAAATAATTTTGAATATAAAAGACAAATTGCAAAAGACTTTATATTCATTACAACAATTGAAAAAGATATAATAATCACTACGCTACTGCCCTTGACAAAAATCAAGGGCATATAAGGGACTAATCAGATCTGTTGCGCTGGTAGATAAATGACATGCTATTCTGAATAGATGCTATTAGTGATATTTCACAAAGTACTACATCATCTAATGATAACAATACCTTGACTTTCTTCAGTGCTGTATACTTAAATGACTTCACTTGTGGCACACACTTTCTGAGGTATCTGCCACGCCGCCTCCCTCCCTTTTTCTGAAAATCTCCCCCTCAGTTCTCAGGGGTGGGCCAAGTGCATATTGTGAGGCCCCATTTAACTGGCCAGTGTTAACTGAACCAATATGGAAATCTGACCTAAGCTGGGGGACAAGTAATTTCAAACCTAACTCAGAGTCAGTCTCTGCAGATGATTACAAGAATTAACATACAAACTCAGCAAGTGTTGAGGCAAACATCCTACTATGACTCTAAAAGCAAAAGAGAAAATCAGTTCCACATAATGAAAGAGAAAAACAAAGCAGATGCATAGAGAAAGGCAAAGACAATGAGAAAAGGAAGTGTTCCGATAGCTTCCTTATTCCCGGTGTTCTGGCGATTCCTGACATTTGATTGCATCCCCGCCTTGTATTTCCCGAACAAGCCTGAATCTTACACTAAATACTTGGTTTTTAGCTCACAACTAGACACGGTTAGCTTCCAAACTAATACGTAATTTAGTTATCATAAAATCCATAAGGTACATATTATTAACCCTCATTAATATTATAAGGCCTAAACATAGTATGTGACTTGCTGGCCTAAACTTGACTAGTAAGTCACAGTACTACTATGACACTGCTAGCTCAGAGAAGGACACACCAACTTAGAAGTAATAGCTTAGAAGTAATAGTTTTATGTAAATTATGACAACTTGTCCAAACTTCAAGAATGTGATATAAAAATAAACAAAACAGAATCCTTTAATCATTGTCTTAATGTACTCTAGTTTTAAAAGTACTTCTTGGCAAAACAAAAACAAAAACAAAAAAAATTGATTTGGTACTAAGGACAAACTTTCTGTGTGATAATAATAATCTTAGCAGGCATTATTTTATTGGGAGCCATCTAAGCCAAGTACCATACTAAGAACTTCCCATTTTACAGAAAAAAAAAAAAAAGGTTTAGAAAGATAATATAAATTCCTGAATATTAAATACCTAGTAAGTGGCAAAGACAGGATTAAAACTCAGATCTATCAGGCTCCAAAAGCCTTTCCAACATAACAAGTTGCCTCTTTATTCCCAAAAGGTTTGAAATAAATACAGATGCTGAAATTAAGAGATTCAAAAGTGAAATAATTCTAAGTTAAATAAAAAAGATCTCTGAAACTGAAAAGAACAAAGTATGTTTCTATGTGAGTTCCTAAAACACTGCCTGGGGTTCATTGTTTACTGTTTAATGAACAGATAAATGAATAATTCTAGAAGAAAAAGAACTCAAAGTTCCAATACAAAATGCCTGGTATACCTTGCAAGGTACATCTTTCTCCCTACTCTGTGTAGCCCAAGATCCAACAACAGAGTCTCCTTCAATTCTCCCATCCAACCTCCTTCCTCCCTACAACTACTGGCCAGGTGGTAGGAACATAGATTGCAAGCCACTAGTGATAGCTACCATGGTGTCAGAAAGAAAGTGTCCAATAGAAAGAGAGAGTGGAAAGGCAGAGGCATAAGTGAGAAGAAAAGATGAGAAATGAAGACAGAGTCTGAAGGAGTAAGATAAGGCCTGGAAGAGAACAGAGAGTGCTGGAGCAAGAAATTTTAACCTTCCCTTCACCCATTATTTTCCTTCTTCTCTTTCGTCTCGAATTTCTCCAGTGGGTTTCCATTCTACCATTCTTCTTCTCCCTTATCTGCAATGGAATAACATAAGAATCTGGAACCAACAGTAGGGCAGGAAAAGAGAATAATCCATGCAAAAGGGAGACTAGAAGAGAATAGGGAAGAATGAGAAAAGAGTAGTTAATAAAGCCATGTTAAAACTGTTATCAATTATGCCAGGCTCTGTGTCTAAATTCTGTAATACTGTGACTATACATTAATGAGTTAAAATATACAAAGAACAAAGTTACAGGTGGTATATTTGAGACTTTTTACAATCACAGACACATGAAGGTTAAAAACAGTATTATTCACCTTTAAGCACCAGTATCTTTCATATTAAAATTTTTTAACAGAATAATTGAGTTTTTCTTTTTTTTTGAGACAGAGTCTCGCTCTGTTGCCCAGGCTGGAGTGCAGTGGTGTGATCTCACCTCACTGCAACCTCCACCTCCAGGATTCAAGCAATTCTCATGCCTCAGCCTCTTAAGTAGCTGTAATTACAGGTGCGTGCCACCATGCCCAGCTAATTTTTGTATTTTTAGTAGAGACGGGGTTTCACCATGTTGGCCAGGCTGGTCTTGAACTCCTGACTTCAGGTGATCTGCCTGCCTTGGCCTCCCAAAATGCTGGGGTTACAGGCCTGAGCCACTGCACCTAGCCTGAGTTATTATTAAACAAAGTTTCAAAATAGTCCTTGTGCATATATGGGCTTGACAACACAGTAAGCAGTAACACAGACCCACACATACACAAATACACATAGAAATGCTAAATAAAACAAACAACCATGAGAGATTTTAAATATACAATCAAACTAATGAAGGAGAAGAAAGGAAGAGAAATCCCCAAGAATTAGAAATAAAGAAAAATAATCAAAACTTTAAACACAGGAATAGATGCTGCAAAAGCAAAAGTCCTGGACACAGGCCCTAACAGGTGCCTGTTAGGGATCATTCGATCCACAACGAATGAAGGTATTGCTGGTGGCTTAACAGAGGTAGAGGACTGGAATGATTACCTCTCATTAAAACCAGGACCCTTTCCCCATGTCAGGGAATAATAAAAATTCTGATTCTTGTCCAGTGAAGCAACCTAGGGTGTTGGTGGGGGGCAGCATAAGAGGAAAACATGAGGGTTTGGAGTCTGAATCCATACTGCCCATGTGGTAAAGAAATCCTCTGCCAAGAAATTAATATTAAATCTAGTTCCTATCCCACAGAAGCAAAAGCATTCAGAGGGAAAGGAACTCATCCCAGAAAAATCTACCTCAGTCAAAAGTGAGCTCACAATTGAAAAAAAATTAAACTAAATGAGGAAATAGAACACCAAAATGGGGAAAGTTGGCAATCAAAACAAATGGGAAGATTAGTACCCTCAAGAACTCAAGAGAATAATACAATCTGAAAAATACCATGAAGTGGGTAACAATGATTCAAGAGATAGAAGAAATACAAATAATGAAAGAACAGAGATTTGAAAATTAACCAAGTAAAACAAGAAATGAAAAATACTGCCACTGAAATGTAATGATATATTAACATGTGCATATAGGACAAAATAATGAATTTTTAAGTCACTGATTTACTTCTCTATGCTGTTTAAAGTACTCAAACTTAAAAAAAAAATACTCTGAAGCAATAATTGAAAAACAGGGGAAAGTACAGAGAGAGAATCATACACTCCTCCAAGAATAGTTTAAGGCTATGAATTCCTCCCAAGAAAAAGCACATTTACCTCCAATTTTATATATCATGTAAAATGTTGCTAGATGCCTCATAAACTTTGACTAAGAAATAATGTTCTAAAGGATACTAAGAATATAGCCATGTATTCTGGCCCTTATTAAGTATAAATTTAAACCAAATTATAGACAATCACAGAAAATATCACTGGTTAAAAAATCGGCCTTTTAAGTCATAAGATACCCTGAGAATGTTATTTTCACATCCGCAATCCCAGCATCAATAAACTCTACCTCCTGTGACACACTAGAGGAACAATAAGGAATTAAGATACGGTGTTCTAATTACTGGGTGAACTATAAATATACTACACAGATTTTAAAATATAACTCACCTAAACATTAATCTAACACATTCCCATTACTGCAATAAACTTGCAACTTTAATCACAAAGAGTTAATGAAGGTAACAAAGCAGCTACAGATTTTTAACAATTTTTATGAAATCATTTTTGGCTGGGTGCAGTGGCTCATGCCTGTAATCCTAGCACCCTGTGAGGTAGAGGTGGGCAGATCACTTGAGGTCAGTAGTTCAAGACCAGCCTGGCTAACATGGTGAAATCTCGTCTCTACTAAAAATACAAAAATTAGCCAGGCATGGTGGCACACGCCTGTAATCCCAGCTACTTGGGAGGCTGAGGCAAGAGAATCACTGGAACCCGGGAGCTGAGGCTGCAGAAAGCCAAGATCGTGCCACTGCACTCCAGCCTGGGTGACAGAGCAAGACTCTGTCTCAAACAAACAAACAAACAAAAATCACTTTCTCACACAGAAAAGCTAAAATATTGTAGTTTACATAATATAGTAGTTTATATAATAATTTTTTTAATGGTTACACCTGCATGGTATTTATTAGCCTCCAAACAACTGGAAATTTATTTCAGCCAAGGTTCTCTTAAATCTTCGTTATTTGTGTGTAACTCCAGAGAAAGTTAATTTATATCAATTTACAGCATAGTGGTCATGATCAGGGAAAATGATACTCTTCCACTGACTACAAGTCATTGCAGAGGCAATTTAGAACTTTTCTTTTATGCCCACTATACAAGACAAACCTTGCTGATATCTCATTACCTTGAGAATCAATTTTTTTTTTTTTTTTTTGAAACGGAGTCTCGCTCTGCACCCAGGCTGCAGTGTAATGGCATGATCTTGGCTCACTGCAGTCTCCGCCTCCCAGGTTCAGGTGATTCTTCTGCCTCAGGCTCCCAAGTAGCTGGGATTACAGGAGCCCACCACCATGCCCGGCTAATTTTTGTATTTTTAGTAGAGACGGGGTTTCACCATGTTGGCCAGGCTGGTCTCGAACTCCTGACCTCAGGTGATCCACCCACCTCAGCCTCCCAAAGTGCTGGGACTACAGGCATGAGCCACCGTGCCCAGCCAAGAATCAAATGTAAATGAAGTATCCAGCAGTGGCCTAAAGAATGAGTGTAATCTGGATGGATTTTAGTCTAAATTCATGCCCTGCTCTTTAGTATAGTAACTCCAGATATATGTTCCACAGATGCAATAACTTCTATTCTTTGGTCAGTGCAGAATATAATTTATACTTCCTGAAAGCAACTTTTGTCTATTCATGAAGACAGCTGCTTTTTATTTGCCTTTGTCTTATTTTGAATATATAATCCACAGGTTTATAGACTTTTGCAATGAATACATTTCAACTTGAATTTCATCAGCAAACATTTGAGAGGATGTTATTTCACAGGCAATTTTAAATTCATTTTTGGTCAAGTTAGTAGTAGAGGGCAAAATTTTCTTATAGAAAGCAATTCCAAACATAATGAGCAGATGCTTGCTGGCTCTAATAAATAAGCTATATGCCTTGTCCTTCTCCCTGTATCTGAGGATCATGTACTGCTTTATTGTCCATGTCCCTCAGGCAACAGACACAAGGGATTACTGAAAAGAAAAAGATTCCAGGATCAGATTTGTCATTCCCCAACTCCAAAAGGCCAAAACATTTCAATGGCTATATTTTCAAATAAGATTTATATCCTACAATATCCTTTGAGGTTTTCTTACTAGAATGAAACATACATTTTAGGAGAGTTAATGATTTAGTTGGAGTGGAGAGAAACAAGCAAGTCACGGGATTTTCAAAAAGTATAACAATTCAGTTAAGAGTATACATTAATTAATGTTGCCCTAAGTTTTACCAGTTTTAAAAATTTTTTAATTTCAAGGTAAGAGGCTTTAACATGAGAAATAAAATATATGCCAGTCCATTATGTACATATTCTTAATCTTGGCCATGAGGTCTTCCAAGCTTTAAAGAATCTTCCACTGTTACCTCAGTGACAGAATCTTCTTGCTTTTTTGGAATTGTGTATGCCACTGTAATTCCTTCAGGTAAGTCTGGAACTGGACCTGAAGAATTTTTCAATTCCTCTTCTGAAACCTCAGATACCAGCTCAATACCCCACTCGGTATATTCATGGATTATCTCTTCCTCTTCTTGTATAACCTCATTTGGGCAGTGCTGCTACCTTTTTCTTACATTCTTTCTGCAATTTCTGTCATCACACTGAGGATTTGGCTTCATGGACGCAGCAGGAAAAAAATCCTGCATTGCATTGTATCCAAGGTAAAACTAACAGTACCAAATTTTAACAGAAACTTTAACATGCTGTGTACTAAGATTCCAGCAACCACTTCCACAGTGGTAGGAAGACCAGCAGCACAAACACCAAAGCGTGCTAAAAGTGCACACTTTGGCATCTAACAACCCTGAGGTGTTAGTTTGATTGCCGCTTAGTAGCTGTGAGACCTTGAGAAGTTATTTAGACACAAAAGGCTTCGTTTCCCTACCTGTACAGGTACCTATACCTCATAACCCTCACAGGGTCATGAGGATTTAATAAAACAATTTATGAAAAGTAGTTAAGTACAGTACGTGGGGCATAAAAAAAAGTTTCAAAAATTAGGCCGGGCACAGTAGCTCATGCCTGTAATCCCAGCACTTTGGGAGGGAGGCCAAGGCGGGCGGAATTGTGGCATGCACCTGTAATCCTAGCTCCTCAGGAGGCTGAGGCAGGAGTATCGCTTGAATCCGGGAGGTGGAGGTTGCAGTGACCCAAGATCACGCCACTGCACTCCAGCCTGGTGACGACAGAGCGAGACTCCGTCTTAAAAAAAAAAAAAAAAGATTCAAAAATTATTAACTGATATTACAATTAGAACCTCCCATCTATTTGAACTTGGGTATATTATCCTCTAGACCCTAGTTTCTCCTTCTCTCTGAAACTAGAAATACTAATACATAATTGTAAAAATAAAACATTTTTAAGTGAATGTTTTTCTTCTAAGGAATGTATTTTTAAAAACTGATGGTCCAAAGAAGGTCCTCGTTTGAACTCTAACACTTATAAGCATTCAGGAGACAAGAAAATGCATAATAATATCCCAACAAAAATGGCATCTCTTAAACAGAGAAAGAAAAAAACTCAAGAATTCCGGGGATTAAGTCCGCTTTGTTCACTATTTTAAACCTTGTTACTTTGTAAGTTACTTAAACAAATGAATATCGTATGTGGCAGACTGCCTAGTTACCTAACAACTAATCTTCCCTTCTTCCTCATTGACAGACCCTATTTCTGGGTAGTGGCAATTTGTTTTACCCCAGATGATGAATTATAATTGGTATATGCCAGTATAATTGGTATAAGCCCTTTCCCCTTTTCCATTGTTTGGTCAGGCATCTGTGTGAAACTTGCTTTATATTATTTTGACCAGTAATAGAAAGGGCCTGAGAGCTTCTAGGGTCTTTCCTTAATGAGTAAGAAGAACAAGGAGAAAGCCCTTTCTCGAATGCTCTCTCTCTACTCTATATATTACTATGATGATACGCTCTTTTAGGAGCTGTCTTGCAACCATGAAAGGAAAAACAGAAGAGCTTCAGAGACCTGGCAATCTAACACTGACACTGCTGAGCCAGAGAGCCAACCCTGGGATTGCCTGCCTCAAGACTTATTTAGTAATAAATGTTCTTGTGTTTTCGATCACTGTTAGTTGTATTGTTATGGCCAAGCAAATGCTCTTAAAAAATATTAAGCATGAAGTCAAAATATAATTCTATCCAGTGAAAGATAATCTTACCTGGAAATTTTGCCAAGTTTATCACTAGTTTATAACTTATCTCTGCA
Source organism: Homo sapiens (assembly GCF_000001405.40). Lineage (NCBI taxonomy): Eukaryota > Metazoa > Chordata > Mammalia > Primates > Hominidae > Homo > Homo sapiens. Next base: position 227,266,645 of record NC_000001.11, read on the forward strand.
TCTGTAAATTGAAACTACACGTTTGTGGCACTTTTTCTCAATTAGGCTATCAGAATAGGACTCATAATCTTCAGATTAACTCCATTTAACAAGCTTGACATTTTATGTTTTGCATACCAACTTGTCCAAGACACACAACAAACTATGAAGATAGGTAGCATTACTAGCTTCATTTTAAATGAGGAAACAAAATAATTTAAGTTATGTGACCTAAATAGTCCATTTATTTACGTTTTTAAACTAATTTCTGACAATTTTGTTGGCCCTTAAATACTCAAATAAATGAAGGAACTGGGATTTACAACCAGATCATCTAGCATACAGTCTTTAGCATGAGATCAGAAAGAGCAGGAAAACATTGGTTTAAAGTTGTTGGGGAAGGCATAAAGAAGTAAAGCTTTAAATGTCTATAGAAGGATATTATAAGATTAGGAAAGAAAAGTTAGTCACTCTAACATATCACAAAAAGTTTGGTCCTACTAAGAAAATGCTTAATTTATGCATTTTTATAACAAAATAGATTTTGTTTCTATAAGCTCCTTCAGCCAAGAATTTGCATTTAGTGTTGAATGATAATTTATGAATGAAATCCCTACTATATCCAATTTAGTTCTAATCTGTTACTAAAATACATAACAGAATACATAATTCTACAAAATAAAATCACTTTAGGAATCCAGTGATCTCTTAAAGCTTAGATAAGATCATCTACTAGAAGACCTGTGAGAGGGGAAGGAATAGTATTACTATATTTTAATGTTTTAGGAATGTTTGCTGGCCCTTAAGCATTTAAAAAATGTACAACCCAATCTATATCATGTCATGTATGTAACTCACATAGATGTTATCAGATAAAAGGTGATAGATGCCTGCTAATGAATATCTATACCCATCAGACAGGCGATTTTCCAGTGTATTAGTCTGTTTTCACACTTCTATAAAGATACTACCTGAGACTGGGTAATTTATAAACAAAAGAGGTTTAATTGACTTACAGTTCCACATGGCTGGGGAGGCTTCAGAAAACTTACAATCATGGCAGAAGGTGAAAAGGGAAGCAAGCACCTTCTTCACAAGGCAGCAGGAGAGCAAGCAAGGGCAATGCCACTTTTAAAACCATCAAATCTTGTGAGAACTCCCTCACTATCACAAAACAGCATGGGGGAAATTGGCCCCATGATCCAATCACCTCCCACCAGGTCCCTCCCTCAATACGAGGGGGTAACAATTCGAAATGAGATTCGGGTGGGGACACAGAGCTAAACCATATCACCAGACAAAAGACATGGGAGAAAGAATCTTGGACAATTCATACTAGTAGCACGTATTTATTGTACACCTACCATGTCCCAGGCACTGGAGCTAGTACCATTACTTAATCAAGTATTTTAAAATGGCAAAATTGTAGATAAAATGTAATCTCTGAAAAGTAACATTTTTTTAAGTTCACCTTAAAAGAAAGCCTAATGTGGTATCTGATTGAAGTTAACTATTTCTGAAGTTCAGGTGCAAAAGGAAATGCAGAATAATCATGAAAAATGTTTAAAACACAGGTGTTTTTATTGGAATAAAGCCCCATCCATTTGTTTATGTATTGTTTTCGTTTGCTTTCACGACATAAGGGCTGAGTTGAATAGCTGGCACACAGACGGTGCAGCTCACAAAGCCAAAGTATTTATTGTAGCCTTTACAGAAAAAGTTTGCCAATTCTGTTTTAGTCGGTTTCTTTTCCAATACCAGACTCTATTTTTACTATAATTTATTAGTTTTGATATCTGGTAGGAAAAGACACACGCCCCCACCAGGGTGTATATAAATAAAATAAAATATTGTGATATGGGGAGGAGACAGACATACCCATTAATACACATTTATATGTGTATTTTGTATGTGTATGTATATATGTATACTTTTTTCTGTATATATATAGTGTATATATATATGTGTATATATAGTGTGTGTATAGTGTGTGTATATATATAGTATGTGTATATATATAGTGTGTGTGTATATATATATATACATATATATATATACACACACACACTTTTTTTTTTTAAAGACAGGGTCTTGCTCTGTCATTCAGGCTGGAGTGTACTGGCGTGATCCCGGTTCACTGCAGCCTCAACCTCCTGGGCTGAAACAATCCTTCCACCTCAGCCTCCCAAGTAGCTGCGACTACAGGCACATGCTACTACGCCTGGCTAATTTTTGTATTTTTTGTAGAGACAGGGTTTGCCATGTTGCCCAGGCTGGTCTCAAACTCCTGGGCTCAAGCAATCCATCTACCTTGGCCTCCCAAAGTGCTGGGATTACAGGCACGAGCCACTGGGCTCAGCCCATATTCATATTTTTATTTAAAAAAAAGTCTGGTATTAGAAAAGAGACTAATTCAGGGGTTGGCAAACCTTTTCTGTAAAGGCCACAGTAAATATTGCAGGCTTTGTGAGCTCTTTAGTCTCTGTGCCAACTATTCAACTCAGCCCTTGCATAATCAAAACAAAAACAGTATGTAAACAAATAGGTGGGGCTATGTTCCAATAAATCTGTATTTACAAAAACAAGGCAGTAGGCCAGATTTGTCTTGTGTGTCAGTCTGCTGACCCCTGAACCAATAGAACAATGAAGCAGAAATGGGCTCAGATATAGGTATTTTAAATGAGTGGGAGAAAGATGAACTATTTGGAAAAAAACTTTAATCCATAGCTCACACGACTCAAAAAATAATGCCATAATTAGAGAAACAATTTTTTAAAATCTACAGTAATACTAGGAAAATATAATGGAGCATATTCACATAACATTGAAATGGAAAAAGCTGTTTTAGCAACACAGAGCCTTATAGCCAGAAGTATTAATAATAAAAAGAAGATTTATCTATATGAAAACTTAAGTCTCCTGTAAGGTAAAAGATAACACGAACAAAGTTTAAGAAAAATAAAACAACATTGGAAAAATATATTTGTAACAAATATTTACGTAACAAAAAATTAACACATAGAACATACAGATTTTACAAATCACTAAGAGAAATATTAATATTAGAAAAATAGGCACTGGCAATTCAAAACAAAAGAAAACCATATGGAAAATGTCTAACATCTGGAAGTAAATCAGAGATTTTTATACTAATGTAACAAGTATCAATTACTGACCATGGGATAGGCAAAAAAGACTGATAATACTCTGTTCCTAGGAAACAAGGACTCTCATATCCCAATGTTAGAAGTTTAAACTGGTATCCTTTGAAGTGGAAGAAATATTATATTGCAGTAACTAAATATTTTAAATGTACATTCCTTTTGCCCAAAAACTCCACTTCTGAGTATATGTATAAGCCCTGAAATACTGTATGTTAGAATGAAAAACTGGAAACTACCTAGGAAATACCGAAATGGTATATAAATTACGGGATATCCATGCCACAAAACACTATACCCACATATATCCATACAATGAAACATATGCAGCAAATAAAATGAAGTAGACCCACATGAATTAATAGAAACATCTCTAATGCATACTGTTAAATGAAAAAAGCAGTCACATAAACAATGTTAATTATGCTGTGTATGTAAATTAATGAAAAAGTTGTACACATTTATGCACATAAATACTTAAGTAAATGCATAGGAAGAGGGTCTAAAAGGATACATGTCAAACAATTAAGCAAAGAATCAGAAGTAATTTCTGTGCAAAAGAATGGAAATAAGGAATAGGAAAGACGGCACCTCCACTTTTATTTCTGAAAGCAGAGAACCACCTGATTAAAAATATGGCATCTGGGGTCAGACAAACCTGAGTTCAAGTCTAGATGCCTGTCACTTAACTACATGAACTCATACTAGTTACTTATTTCTTCTAAACCTCACTTGTAAAATGGTGATAATAGTAGAACCTAGGTCATGAGTTGTTTGAATTTTATTTTGTGGAAAAAATACATAACATAAAATATGCCATTTTAACTATTGTTAAGTGTACATCAGTAGCTTTAGTTACATTCATAATGTTGTACAAACATTAGGATCACTATTTCTACAATTTCATCACCCCACACAGAACTCTGTAAACATTAAGCAATAATTCCCCATCCCCTCCCCGACCCACCACCACATCCCATGCCTGGTAACCACTAATCTACATTCTGTCTCTACGGAATTTGCCTATTCTATATACTGAGTATAACCAGAATCATGTATGTCTGGCTTATGTCACTAGGCATGTTTTCAAGGTTCAGTGATGTTGCACAGCATGTGTCAGAAATTCACTCTTCTTATGGCTAAATAATACTCCACTGTATGCTTATGCTACAGTCATTTTATCCAACTACAAGTTAATGAAGACTTGGGGTGTTTACATTTTTTGGCTATTGTGAGTGGCTATTACATGCCAGTGCTATGAACACTGGCATGTAAGTACCTGTTTGAGTCCCTCAATGGGTTAAAAATGGGTTTTTAATTAAATAAGAATATATAATACTTAATGTGATATCTGGTGCATAAAATGGCTCAATAAATGTTAATTATACTGTTTTTTAAATAAACATATATTCATGTACAACTTGTGTATTTTCTTTTAAATAATTATGACTAAATCAGAGCAAGATCTAATGGTGAGCTAATGACACAGCTAAAGAAAGTACGTGGCCAGGAGGCAGATATTATCAGTAGAGAAAATCTGTGAGTGAGAAATTTAGGTAGCAGTCTTTTGTGCACAGTAGAGGGATATGTTAAACACTGGGCAAAAATATTAATCCACTTGGCACATCATTCCTATCATGCTATCAGAACTTAAATTCACTAAAGTAGCTATCCTTATTCCAGTTTCATTCTTCAAGTAAACATCTGATAAAATTTTTCCTGTAGGAAAAAAAAAAGCAGTGGGGAGAACGATACAAATGACTCTGATGGCTGATAGATATATTCTTTATTGGAAATTCCTAACTGGCATTCTAGTTCATCTACTTTGCCTCCTATAAATAAGACTACTGAATATACTTGTATCTCTGATTCTGATCAATAAGGCTGAAATTACGAGCTTAGTAAATTCACCCAAAAAAAGTCTTCAGTATTCATTTAACTCTTCATGTATTTAACTCTTTACTGAGCACCTATTCAATACCAGATATTGTACTAGAAATGGGAAACATTCTGGGTAGTTACCTACTCAATCTTCCCATAGCAACAATCTCATTACATGCCTTCTTTCGAGCATCCTCAGTTATCACACCACTAATAATGTATAAATCAACAACTGGTTCACCATAAATTTTACAAAATAGCTTCCTAGAAGATAAATTACAAAGAAAGAAAAAATAAATATAGGTACTAAGTAAATGTATTTCTATCCAGCTGGTAAGAACACTATTATAAATTAATGTTTAACTCTTTCATATGTTTAAAATATGACAAAAGTGAAAAGCAAAGTTTGGCCACTTTGTTTATCTTTTTAAAAGTTCTTCCAAATTAGATTTTGGAAAAAGAAAGAGAATGTAAAGATAATTTTAAGGTCACCTATAAGAATAAATGTAGGAGAAAAGCCAAGAAAACATTTAAAAAGAAATATTAAGGTCCTTACCCTACTGCTCTTAAAGTGTGTTCTAAAATTATCAGTTCCAATATAGACAATCTAAAAGTAACCTACATATACCACAGATATATCAGAATTGGATATTTTTATGTTCTTTGGATGGGGAAGAAGTTTTCTAAACAGAATGCCAAAAGAAAAACCCTAAAGGAAAAGATTTAACTAAATAAAAGATAGTTTTATTATGTACTGAAGTTTTATTTTTAAAAATACTCTAAGTTAAAAAGAAAAAATACAAATGGGGGAAATATATGTAATCTATGATGGTCAGAGGGTTGCTATCCCTAAAATTCAAGGAGCTCTTACAATATAGTAAGAAAAAAAAGAACACTATAATAGAAAATTGGGCAAATGTGTAAGGTGTTTTTGATTTTAGATTTGGGATCTCACTATGTTGCCCAGGCTGGTGTCAAACTCCTGGTCTCAAGTGACCCTCTGCCTCAGCCTCCCTAATAGCTAGTATTACAGATGTGAGCTACTGCTCCTGGCCCTGTAATTTCAAAAATAAATTATAAGTTGATTTTAAAACATATTTTTAAAGTCATAAACCAAGAGTATAATGAACAGAATAATTATTTTTTTAATGAAGTATATCAAGTAATTGAGAGATATGGTTTCAGAGTCAGAAAAAGTTGACTGCAAAACCTGGCTCCATCATTAAATAAGTTACTTAACCTATCTAATTCTCCATTTCTTTGCAGAGACTAAACTATTTACTAACTCAAACGTATTGGCAAGATAAGTATTTTATACATAAGTGAGATAAAAACTTCAAAGAGGGGTTGGGCACGGTGGCTCACGCCTGTAATCCCAGCACTTTGGGAGGCCAAGGTGGGTGGATCACCTAAGGTGAGATCAGGAGTTTGAGACCAGCCTGGCAAACATGGTGAAACCCCATCTCTACCAAAAATACAAAAATTAGCCAGGCATGGTGGCGCATGCCTGTAATCTCAGCTACTCGGGAGGTTGAGGCAGGAGAACTGCTTGAACCCGGGAGGCAGAGGTTGCAGTGAGTCGAGATTGCACCACTGCACTCCAGCCTGGGTGACAGAATGAGACTCTGTCTCAAAAAAAAGGCCGGGCATGGTGGCTCACGCCTCCAAGGCGGGCAGATCACCTGAGGATTGGGAATTCGAGACCAGCCTGACAACATGGAGAAACCCCATCTCTACTAAAAAAATACAAAATTAGCCGGGCGTGGTGGCGCATGCCTGTAATCCCAGACACTCAGGAGGCTGAGGCTGCGGTGAGCCGAGATGGCACCACTGCACTCCAGCCTGGGCGACAAGAGCGAAACTCTGTCTCAAAAAAAAAAAAACCAACAACAACAACAAAACAACTTTAAAGAGGCAAGACCTGGCTGTAAGATGACTGATAAAAATAGGGAGGAGTTCAACTTATAAGGAAAAGAATGATGCCAGTGGAGACTTCAGAAGAATATTTTAACCTGCTAAAATATGTGGGTGGGACTGAGACAGGTAGCACATGTGATCTGTCCATGGTCCTGAACCTCCATGAAATGTTAGGACAATAGTTCGTTCTAACTGTGAAATACTGATGACACTTCCTCAAAGTTCCGTAGGAATTCTCAGATAAGCACCAAAGGAAAAGAATGGAAGAAACAAGGAAAAAAAAAAAAAAAACACAAATAACCCAAAGCTCTTGGAACAGCTTAGCCAATGAGAGATGACAGGTTTGGGATTGGGAGGTGGTGGTGGGGGGAGGTGTTTCCTGGTTTGATAGTTTTCAAATATTCGTATACACCAAAAAAAAAAAAAAAAAAAAAAAAAAGGAAGAGTATTTCCCCCACCCTGTAAATTTGAGAGAAATAGTCTTACAGAAAGACTATGGAATTACATATATTTGGGTTTGCAGCAATTCCGTAGTATATATCTCCTAAAATGGCTGATAAAAGTTAACAATATACAGTTCATGAATAGGGTAGTAGAGATGCAAGGAGTGAAGGAAAGGAACCCCCCAGTGGCCACATCTCCACAAAAATTCTCCACCTTCCACACCTTATAATAGCTATGATCCAAAAGTAGGCACCTGACCCAAACTATTCCAATCAGATTATCTTTTTCTAAATTAAAAGAAACAGAGACTAGAAGTCACAGGAGAGGATCCTTAGGAAGAGCATAAAAGAAAGTGATTACTTTCATAACTTAAATGTGGAAATTTCAACTGGGCAGTCTCAAACCGAAGAGAAATGAAGTGTTATGTCTTCCAAACAACTAGAGGGGAAAATTAAATCTGGCAAATATACTGAATTAATCTAAAAGACAGTGAGAACATACGGAAAAATAAATATAGAAAAAGCTTTTTAAATGGTAGAAATATATCCAAATAAATCTGTATTTATAATAAATCTAAATGGCCTCCCTGCTCCATTAAAATACAAAGATTTCACACCACAGGAGAAAAATCCAGTTATATGCTGTTTCCAAAAACTATCCAAACACAAGAATACAGAAAGAATGAAAATAAAAGTATGGACAAAGATAAACCAGGTAAATAATATCCAAATAAAGGTATATTATTTATATTAATATGAAGAGAAAGGGGAAACTTTAAGGCAAAAAGCTTCACTACAGATAATGACTGTCATTAGAAAAAGGTGCAATTCATCAGGAAAACACAGAAATTCTACACTTTATATACCTAACTGACCTAGCCTCAATGTATAAAATGGGCAAAAACTGACAAGAGTTACACAGAAAAATTGGCAAACTTGCCATTAAGCTAGGTAATTTTAACACCTGTCTCAGTAATTGATAAGTGAAGCATACAAAAGTTTGAACAATCTAAGTAACAACCTGAATCTAGTAGACACAAATGCAATACAACTACAAGAAGAAATACTATTTTGAAAACCATACAGAACATTTTTAAATCTTAAATACTGGAGTATGATACAAATAAAAAATATTTTAAACTAATGGCTCTTTTAAAAAAGCATTGGAAATTAAGACATAACTCTAAACAATTCACAGGTCAAAAATAAAAATTAGAAAGCAGAGGGCATTTAGAATGGAATAATAATAAAAAGACAACATATCAAAACATATGAGATGCAACTAAGGTGGTATTTAGAAATCTAAAGTCTTAATACTTACATTAGAAAACAATAATGCTAAAAATTAACAAGCTAATCATAGAACTTTAAAAGATGGAAAAGAGAAAAGTAAAAGAAAGACAATACAGATGAGAGTAGATGTTAATAAAATTAAAACAACTATTAAATAGAGAAAATCAACATTACCAAAAATTCACAAGATTGATAAACCTCTAAAAGGAGTGCTGGAAAAAAAGACAGATGACACAAATAAACAATATTAGAAATGAAAAAATGTTCCCCCTCCCCCTCCCCCTCTCCCCCTCCCCACGGTCTCCCACTTTCCATGGTCTCCCTCTGATGCCAAGCGGAGGCTGGACTGTACTGCCGCCATCTCGGCTCACTGCAACCTCCCTGCCTGATTCTCCTGCCTCAGCCTGCCGAGTGCCTGGGATTGCAGGCACGCGCCGCCACGCCTGACTGGTTTTTGTATTTTTTGGTGGAGAAGGGGTTTCGCCATGTTCGCCGGGCTGGTCTCCAGCTCCTAACCGCGAGTGATCTGCCCGCCTGGGCCTCCCGAGGTGCCGGGATTGCAGACGGAGTCTCGCTCACTCAGTGCTCAATGTTGCCCAGGCTGGAGTGCAGTGGCCTGATCTCGGCTCGCTACAACCTCCACCTCCCAGCCACCTGCCTTGGCCTCCCAAAGTGCCGAGATGGCAGCCTCTGCCCAGCCGCCACCCCCTCTGGGAAGTGAGGAGCGTCTCTGCCTGGCTGCCCATCGTCTGGGATGTGAGGAGCCCCTCTGCCCGGCCGCCCAGTCTGGGAAGTGAGGAGCGCCTCTTCCCGGCCGCCATCACGTCTAGGAAGTGAGGAGCGTCTCTGCCCTGCCGCCCATCGTCTGAGATGTGGGGAGCGCCTCTGCCCCGCCGCCCCGTCTGGGATGTGAGGAGCGCCTCTGCCCGGCCGCGACCCCGTCTGGGATCTGAGGAGCGTCTCTGCCCGACTGCCAACCCGTCTGGGAGGTGAGGAGCGTGTCTGGGAGGTGAGGAGCGTCTCTGCCCGGCCGCCCCGTCTGAGAAGTGAGGAGCCCCTCCGCCCAGCAGCCGCCCCGTCTGGGAAGTGAGGAGCGTCTCCGCCTGGCAGCTGCCCCGTCCGGGAGGGAGGTCGGGGGGCAGCCCCCGCTCGGCCAGCCGCCCCGTTCGGGAGGTGGGGGGCAGCCCCCTCCCGGCAGTCACCCCGTCCGGGAGGTGCGGGGCGCCTCTGCCCAGCCGCCGCCCCGTCTGGGAGGTGTGCCCAACAGCTCCTTGAGAGCGGGCCATGATGACGATGGCGGTTTTGTCTAATAGAAAGGGGGGAAATGTGGGGAAAGGAAAGAGAGATCAGATTGTTGCTGTGTCTGTGTAGAAAGAAGTGGACATAGGAGACTCCATTTTGTTCTATACTAAGAAAAATTCTTCTGCCTTGGGATGCTGTTAATCTATAACCTTACCCCCAACCCTGTGCTCTCTGAAACATGTGCTGTGTCCACTCAGGGTTAAACGGATTAAGGGTGGTGCAAGATGTGCTTTGTTAAACAGATGCTTGAAGGCAGCATGCTCGTTAAGAGTCATCACCACTCCCTAATCTCAAGTACCCAGGGACACAAACACTGCGGAAGGCCGCAGGGTCCTCTGCCTAGGAAAACCAGAGACCCTTGTTCACATGTTTATCTGCTAACCTTCCCTCCACTATTGTCCTATGACCCTGCCAAATCCCCCTCTCCGAGAAACACCCAAGAATGATCAATAAATACTAAAAAAAAAAAAAAAAAGAAAAAGAAAAAATGTGTACAATTATGGACATTAAGAGAGTAAACAGAAAAACAATCATTGTGAAAAAATGTACGCCAATAAACTTTAAAATTAAAAGTGGGCAAATTCCTAGAAAAACTCAACTTGCCAAATGACCAACAGAGAACTTAAACAATCCTATCTCTAATAAAGAAATTGAATCCATAATTTAAAATCTTTCAAGAAAACTCCAGAATGAGATGGATTTATCACTAAATTTTTCCAAACGTCTCAATATTAAATGTAGAAATGGCACCATTATTTGAGGGACTACATCTCATCCTTTTTTATGAGGACAGCATAATGTTAATACTTAAAACTTACAAGGACAGTATTACAAGACTACAGACTAATCTCTCTGGCAAACATAATCCAAAAAATATCCTAATCAAAGCATTAGTAAATCAAATCCAGAAATACGTTATCCATCACAATCAAGATGAGTTTAATCCAGGAATTTAAAACTGATTTAATATTCAAACTTCAATGTTAATCACCACATAATGGAATTTAAAAACTGAAAAATCATTAAGATCCTCTCAATGCATGCAAACAATTGATAAAATTCTGTAACAGTTTTTACTAAAAATTTAAAATCTCTTAGAAAACTAGGAATAGATATACTGGATAAAACTTTTGTTTGTTTGTTTCTTTTCAGACAGTCTCACTCTGTCGCCCAGGCTGGAGTGCAGTGGCGCAATCTCGGCTCACTGCAAGCTCCACCTCCATGGTTCACATCATTCTCCTGCCTCAGCCTCCCGAGTAGCTAGGACTACAGGCACCCGCCACGACGCCCGGCTAATTTTTTGTATTTTTAGTAGAGACGGGGTTTCACCATATTAGCCAGGATGGTCTCAATCTCCTGACCTCGTGATCCAGCCACCTCGGCCTTCCTAAGTGCTGGGATTACAGGCGTGAGCCACCGCACCCAGCCACCCTTAGTAGTTTTTAACTTAACTTCTAAGCCAATATTGCCAGAGAAAAGATTCAAACTAGGCCACTAAGACTGACTTTAGAGCCCAGGCTTTCTCCACTACACTACAGCAGTGGTTGTGAAATTTTTCTGTTGTTGTTACACTGTCTCTACAAAGCTTTTGAAAAGCAATGTACTGCCTTGAACACTTTTAAATTATAACTCAAATGTTTAATTATAGGTTTAAATGGATGCAGATGGTGTAATTTCTAACCTATTTCAGATTGCGTATGTGCTTTAAATAGAATTCTATCAAAACCTGGAATTTATGAAAATTTATGGAAAATGTCCACAACATAATCTAATTGGCAAAGCCAGTCCTCACTGTCAAAATGACAAAAGTAAGACTTGTTCTCTAACACTCAACTGAGACTTGAAGGGAATACTAGGAAGTTAAGGTAGAACCCCAATGTTCTGGGATTCCAAAACAGCCTTTAAAATTCCCTTTTGTTTCTTGCATGGGATCAAGTTATTGGGATTAGTACTACAAAATATTGACCTTGTTCAATTTAGTACTTCAATTAGTATTAAACTTTACTGAGAAGTAAACCATACTCCAAATTGTATATCCCTAATTGCGTTTTGGGGTCCTAGGTCATGAGTTCTTAAAAAGAATAGTAGTACTTGAAATAACATATATTATTATAATTATAATCAACTTTAGCTCATCAGGGTAAATTAAAGAGGAGCATGACAGGCAAACATATTTATATTTGACTTATTTTTGTACTTTATTTTGAATATCAGTATGTCTGACATTCTTGGAATTTTTAGCACTGTTAAGGCATTAAGTGATTTAAATTTAAATTAGCCCAATATGAAGATGTGATTTTAGAGAAGCAGAAGTTACATTCTTTTCTTCAGGCTTAAAACCAATAACATCACCATTCAGACTTAACTGGGCAAGTTGTGGTCCTAGCCTTTTTTTTTTTTAAGCTTACTGTCTTGTAATTTTTTTTATTTAATGAAGTGTTTTGTGCAGAAGGTATTTCCTGAAGGTTAAATTAGGATGGAAGACAGATCCGTAGTTCTCTCTTCCATTACATCTTTCTTTTGGTCTTCATGGATGTGAGGATCCTGCTGCCTTGATGGCATTAGTTGGAAACCTGTGTTCTCCTAACTCCATCAACTCTTCATTAGCTCAATTTTGAGATAATGAAAAATTGACTGGAAATTTAAAATTCAAACTACTATCTTTAAATAAATTCTGGTCTCTTTTGAAGATGTATTCTAAAAGAAAGGAAATAAGTTACAGTGATGGAGGTACTGCTTTCATAAAACAGTTTTTTCAGTATTTTGATAATTTCTATACTAATTTTAATAATAGAAAACTTAGTAGACTGCTACTGTTTTATATCCTAAAGTTAAAATAGCATGGAAATATCTGTAAAGGTCTGACCATACCAGAAAATTAAAGTTGAGATATTTAACTATCATTTTCTTACTTCACATATTAAAGTAATATAATTTATATTATAAATTAAGTGGTTTAATTCTTTGTAATTCCAAAAGATATATTTAACTGAAGGCTTTATATTTGGAGACATTACTTTTATTTAATTAAATATGCTGCCTTATCACCCCAGAAATTTGTCAGCAATTTAAGCCTCTTTGTGGAGATACAGTTTTTTGCAGACTTGAAAATAATTTGATTCACACACACACAAAATTTAACATACTGTACTAAGGCCGGGAACGGTGGCTCACACTTGTAATCCCAGCACTTTGGGAAGCCAAGGTGGGCAGATCACTTGAGGTTAGGAGTTCAAGATCAGCCTGGCCAACATGGTGAAACCCCATCTCTAATAAAAATACAAAAAATTAGCCGGATGTGGTGGTGTGTGCCTGTAATCCCAGCTACCTGGAAGGCTGAGGCAGGAGAATAACTTGAACCTGGGAGGTGGAGGTTGCAGTGAACCGAGATTGTGCCACTGTAATCCAGCCTGGGCCACAGAGCAAGACTCCATCTCAAAAAAAAGAAAAAAAGATACAAAGTACTGTACTAAATGGAATTAAAACCTTGTATAAAAAAAGACTTATTTTCTATTAGAATAAGTCTGACTTTAATTTTTAATTCAAATGAATGTGTTATTACATAGCCTGGTATCAACCATTTTGCTTCAGAGTTCTCTGAAAGAAGACGGATAAGAATTTTGCCACTGGTTTGTAAGCTAGTGAAATAAAATACCTGCTTCAATACTTTTTATAGAAGCTCTTTTTCTTTTGCCCTCTTTCAAGAGCAACACATTCTCAAACAGTCCCTTTTGTTTTACACCTAAGAGATCTTCACAACACAAGACAGTACCATGGGAACATATGAGATGGGTGAGAAATATGCCTTTATTTTATAAAAATGGGAGATGGTTCATTGTGAAATGGGAGTGGAAAGAAAATCCACAGAGTTCAGACTGTTCTCAAACAGATGGATTTTAGAAGACTAATTAGGAAAGCTAAAGACCTGAAAATTGATTCCCTTAAAACTATATGCATCCGCATATCCCTTGGAAAGTCTTCACGCACCAAGGATACAGATACCACAGTTTGAAGACTATTACACTAAATTATCTCCTGAGCTTTAGTAGATCTTTTAAAAACTAAAATTGCCAATTTATATTTTAACAAAAAAAATCTGATCTTAATTGACTCTCCGGTATAAATGAATGATAAAAACTTACAAATGGACTGCATTCTGGAAGTTCTGTTTCCTAATAGGGATCGTCTGCAGTATGCAAGAAGGATTGTTTTAGCTGAGACAGAGATCAGTTTCTTAGCCTGCTTCTCTTCTAAGGTAAGCATGCCAAGCCAGGGATCCCAGCACAACAGCTCAGGGGGTCAGAACTGCCTCTCAGGGCCTCTGCCTCTCTGGGATAGACCGGCTGCTACTGGTAGCCAAGACTCCATCAGCAGTTATGCAGTGCCTGTTCCATAGCCCAGATACTGCACCAAGTCAGCTGTCTCTCTCCTCACCACATTCTCCCAAATTCCAATCCTTCACTTCCACAAACACCATGGCCCATGTGAATGTGGAGAATACTGAGCCATGTGAAAATCTAGGCCAAGCCAAACTGAGAAAGTTAGCCTAGCAAAACCCTTTATTGCTGTGGTTTAAAGAAAGAAAAAGGCAGTCCTTTTAATCAATCATTAGAACGCTTTCTCGTGATTGGCTGCTCTGGTTTTACACAAAACCAGGTGGGGTGTGAGTAGGTCATTGCCCTAACCCTCAGAGTCACTTTTTTCCCCCACTCTCACCCCAGACATGCCAGGGAAACTCCAAAGCTCCTCAGAGCACAGCTCCTAAAGGGATTACCAGGCCCAGTTCTCCAACCTGTACAACTGCCAGCCCCATTCCAGGTCCTGTGATTTCAGGCAAGGGCTCTTCTCTTGGATCCCATGGTCCAGTAGACATGAGGCCCTCAAAAGCAGTTGTCCCAGGGCCCCTGGAAGCAGCTCAGAGCCCCCACGCTTGCCAGTCTCCAGCTGGTCAGTCTCCTGTGGCTGGTTCCCCATGCCTGTACTGAGCCAGAGGTAGTGGGACCTGGAGGCCCTGAGCACCAGGCAGCAATTAAGTCTCTGAGAACCCTCCCAACCACTAGCCTGAGTTAGAGCTTTTGCAAGTGCTCCAACTCAGACAATTAAGTTTTAAGACAAAGCATGAGGCTGAGCAGAGGAGTGAGATCAGCACTGCCCAAAGACTCAGGAGTCCTGAACCTCTGCACATGTCCCTTAATAACAAAATGGGAAGGGGAAAACCTACCTGGCTCTGGGTAAAACCAGAGCAGTCAATCAGGAAAAAAGAGTTCTAATAATTAAAAGGAAGAGAAGCCAGGCATGTTGGCTCACGCCTGTAATCCCAGCACTTTGGGAGGCTGAGGCGGGTGGATCACTTGAGGTCGGGAGTTCGCGACCAGCCTGACCAACATGGAGAAACCCCGTCTCTACTAAAAATACAAAATTAGCCGGGCGTGGTGACACATGCCTGTAATCCCAGCTACTTGGGAGCTGAGGCAGGAGAATCACTTGAACCCGGGAGGCAGAGGTTGTGGTGAGTCGAGATTGCGCCATTGCACTCCAGCCTGGGCAACAAAAGCAAAACTCCGTCTCAAAAAAAAAAAAAAAAAAGGGAAAAGAAAAATTTTAAGTGAATTAGAGTAAACATTACCTAGAATGGCAGAATTAATATTCTTAGGGTGAGAACAGAGATTACCTAAAAATTATTTTATGGTTCCTATTCAGTCCTGTTAAAATGTGATTTCATCACTTCCTAGGAGTTTAAACCAAAATTAATTAAGCGGTTGTTTATATAATACTCTAAAATGTCTGCATAGAAAATAAAATAACTTCCAGTGTTTACTGTTACACATGTGGGATGTGAGGACTGTGATAGCAGCTAAGTCAAAAAGACAGCAGAATTCCTCTAGCACACACTGCAGCAGCAACAGGCTCTCTGGTATTACCGGCAGTTATCTAAGATCTTGATTAATATGTTATTTTTTAAATGCAGATAAATAATTTTTCAAGTATTTAAAACAGTAATACTGTTTGCTTAGGAGCAGGTAAAACACAAACAGCAAAGAAGCACAGCTCTACCTTACTCTTTGCTAGTGGTTCTTACATTTATTCAAGTGCAGAACCAGTGAAATAAGCTAGTCAAAAAAGGACAAATACTGTTATGATTCTACTCATGAGGTACTTAAGAGTAGTCAAATTCATAGACAAGAAGTAGAATGACAGTAGCCAGAGGGCAAGGTATGGAAAGTGGGAGTAAAGTCATTTTTAATGAGTACAGTTTCAGTTTAGCAAAACACAAAATGTTCTGAGATGGATGATCAGGATGGTTGCACAACAATGTGTATGTACTTGATGTCACTGAACTATACACTTAAAAAAGATTTAAAATAGTAAATTTTATGTTATATATATTTTAACACAATTTTTTAAATAACTTTTTATAATTCATGGGATGAAAAACTTTAAATTGAGAAAATTCTACCCATTGACTTAATCTTTCCTAAAAATTAAAGATTTCTATTATTCTATTTTAGTGGCAGAACATCACTACTCTAAGGACCATGACTTAAAATACACATATTGATACAACAGTATGTTCCTGGAAAAGTACATATAGTCTCATTTGTACTTTTTGTACATATTTTTGTAAGCAAACATTTATAAATCTGTTGCTATTAAATGCTACAGAAAGTTTTATATAAGCTTTCTATATACACATAAACGAGAGAAATATAAATGAGTGAAAAGTATTGACCCACCAAAAAAATGGCAGGCTTACTCTTCATATCCTATGAAAATACTATGATAATATTTACTAATAGTTTATAAAATTTTATCATAATCATTTACTACTCTCTCCACCTAAAAATAGAAAAAGCAAATGAAAACCAGGTAGGAAGATTCTATTTGTAATGAAAATGTTTATGCTATAATTATATTTATTTTCAAAATGCTTTATAAGTGGGAGCTAAACAAAGGGTACATATGGAGATAAAAATGGAGGAAAAAAACTCGAGACTCCAAAGGAAAGAGGACAGAAGTACGGAGGGTGGAAAAATTACCAATGGATACAATGCCCAGTATTTGGGTGATGAGTACGGAAGCCCAACCCCCCACCATTATGCATGTAATATCCATGTAATAAATAAGCATATGTACCCTTGCATCTAAATTTTTTGTTAATGCTTTATTAGGCCAGGCATGGTGGCTCACGCCTGTAATCTCAGCACTTTGGGAGGCCAGGGCAGGCAGTTCACTTGAGGCCAGGAGTTTGAGATGGGATTTTGCCATGTTGGCCGGGATTTTGCCCAAATTAGCTGGGCATGGTGGCGCATGACTGTAATCCCAGCACTCGGGAGGCTGGGGCACAAGAACTGCTTGAACCCAAGAGGTGGAGTGGGCTGCAGTGAGACAAGATCACACCACTGCACTCCAGTCTGGGCAACACAGACTATATCTCAAAAAATATATATACTTTTTAATTAAGTGCTTTACTAGATTGTTTTAAATAACTAATGAATAAACCATAAACTATCTTCTATTAATGCTTTGTCTTGACACATCAAATGTCATGATGGTATGGTTTGATGAGTATTAAATAGGATATTTTGATATTTTATAACTAAAAATATAAGAATTTGCATTTCCTAAAAAGTAATGATTTAATTTTTTATATTTTATTCTCCTTGAAATGAAAAGCTGAACTTAAAGCAATTCACAACTTATGAACTAGTCATAATCTAGAAATTTAGTTACAAATAACTACTTTGGAATTTGGAATACATTATCTCAAAGATTATGTTATAAATACTGGTTGGTTTTCCAGTGAACCACATGTAAGTCCGTAAGCTTTAAATCTGAGGCCCAGCAGGTGATTATCAAGTATTCTACCCACCACCATCCCCAGGAGAGGGCCTAACCTTAATACTAATAGCACTGGAGAGAATGTACACATTTTCTTAATCTATGATTCCTAAAGAAATACTAAGTTGGTCCCTAAGCCCAAACTTCAGAGCAACATTTGATTGCATTTTTCTCTTGCTGGAAACCCAAGTTCCCCTAACTGTTAGAAATCCACTTTGTTCTAGGCCAGGATTAATTACATCTGTAATCCCAGCATGTTGGGAGGCCAAGGTGGGTGGATCACTTGAGCTCAGGACTTCGAGACCAGCCTGGGCAACATGGCAAAACCCTGTCTCTACCCAAAATAGAAAAAATTAGCCGGGCATGATGGTACACGTCTGTCATCACAGCTACTCAGGAGGCTGAGGTGGGAAGATCGCTTGATTCCAGGAGGAGAAGGCTGCAGTTACCCAAGGTTGTGCCACTGCAATCTGTCACTGGGTGACAGAGTGAGACCCCATCTCACAAAAAAAAAAAAATAATCCCCTTTGTTCTGGATCAAAGCATTCTCTGGTACATACCTCTGGATAGAGAAACATGGTCCAACGTTCTCCAGTCTACCCAGCCAGACACACACCCCACCTGACAAAATTCTTGTTTCTTGTGCAAAACAGGTAGCAATACAAACTATCTACACAGTTTCATTAATGGAGAGTCCAAAACTTATAAAAGGACTAAGCTAACATTAAATGGTCTGGAACTATGATTCTTAATCAGAAGAACACATTGGAATTAACAGGGAAGCATTTTAAAAACTCACATACACTGACTTCCATCCTGAGTTAACTGAGTCATAATCTCTAGAAGTGAGTAGCAATCATATATTTTTTGAAAAAGCCACTAAGTTATTTGGATGCATATATCAAGTTAAGCACCACTTCTTCTGAGGACTTTACATCTTACGTAATTATTTAATAACCACAAATTGCCTATGAAAAGCAAACAAAAATTTACATTATTGGTTCTATCCATATGCCCCTGAAATAACAGACCCAAATTCCATCCATCTAGCCAGGAAATTACTAGGCCAAAACCAAGCCAGGTAATGGCGTCCCATAAGAGGTCACAATGAAGGACTGTCAGTATCTGATACTCTGCTTATCTTGACAGGTTATTCCATACAAATTGTATCCTCTGTGAGTCCTAGATGGTCCTGTCACTAGAAAGAGGATCATTTAGGGTTTACCATGGGATTATCGAATGAGAATAAAATCCACAAAATCTCCACCTGTTTCTCTGTCTCACGCTAGTGTAAAAAAAGGAGCCACCTCATTTCTGAACAATTCAAATTATGTCAGCAAACCCTAGTTAAAACTGTAACTCTGCCTACTCCTGAGTACTTGGATATAGGTAAAGAAAAAAAAAATCACAATCATGCTTTTATTAATCCAGCTGGAGTCAGAGAGAAGAACAGCATCCTGAGTCGGCACAAGGCAGTTGAAGCCCTAGGCCTGGCCCCTTGAAACCATTCTGTCCTCCTAAGCCTCTGAGCCTATAATGGGAAGGACAGCCTGGAAGATTTCTGAAATGCCTTCAGGGCCTTTTTCCCACTGTCTTAATATCGGCACTTACCTACCTTTTCATCATGCTACTCTCTCTAGCAAGTGGTTGCTCCACAGCCCCCTTGGATTCCTCTCCTGAAAACACTTCTTCCTTCTTTACTACTGCACCAGACTGAGATTTTTCCAAAATTTTATGCTGTTTCCCTTTTTATTATAAGCTCCAACTTTAAGTCATTCATTTGCTCCCATATTTGATCACAGGCTGTTAGAAGCAGTCATATCATTCTCGAATGCTTTGGTGCTTAGAAATTTCTTCTGCCAGTTAGTCTAGGTCATCACTCTTAAGATCAGCCTTTCACAAAGTCCTAGAACATGGACACAATGCAGTCAAGTTCTTTGCTAAGGTGTAACAAGGGTGAACTTTGCTCCAGAGTTCCCAGTAAATTCCTCGTCAGCTTGGGCTTTGTTGTCCATTCTTCTATCAGCATTTTTATCAGAGCCACTTAATCAGTCTTTAGTAAGTTCCAAACTTGCCCTGTCTTCCTATCATCTTCTTAGCCCTCCAAACTCTTCCAACCTCCGTACGTTATCCAGTTCCAAAGCCACTTCCACATTTTCAGTTATCTTTATAGCAACATTCCACTCCCGGTACCAATTTTCTGTATTAGTGTATTAGTCCATTTTGAACTGCTATAAAGGAATATCTGAATGGCTGGGTAATTTACAAAGAGATTTATTTTGGCTCACAGTTCTGCAAGCTGTACAAAAAAGCATGGCACCAGCATCTGTTTATGGTGAGGGCTTCAAGAAGCTTTCATTCATAGTATTAGGTTGATGCAAAAGTAATTGCGGTTTTAGATGGAGAAAAGAAGCTGGCATGTCACGTGGCAAGAGCGGGAGCAATGGGGAGTGGGGAGGTATCAGGCTCTTTTTAACAATCAGATATTGGGAGAACAAACACAGTGAGAACTCACACATTAACCACAGGAAGGACACCAAGCCATTCATGAAAATCTGTCTCCATAACCCAAATATCTCCCACTAGACCCCACCTTCAACATTGGGGGTCACATTTCAACATGAGATTTGGTGGGGAAAAACTTCCAAACTACATCAATGCTTGCTGATAAAAGTCATCATCACACATTTTACATGAACACACATTCCTGACAATCTCAATACTCTCTCCTAGGATGGTCTCTCTCCAATGCTCCAAAAGTACTGTTTCGTATTGTGCGGAAAAGAGTTACATCACAGACCTGAGACTGCTATTTCTTAGCAAGGCCTATTTGCAAGGTTGGTCTATGGCTGGCATCTGGGAACTTAGATTTTGGGAGTGTTCTCACAATCCTAACTGGTAAGAATGGCTCACTGTACCTGAACTATTTCTGCAAATAATATAATTTATGCTGAAAATCTACTATCCTTCTGGAAGTCCAGAAGGAATGATAATAATTCAATTAATATTAATAATTCAATTAAAATACCTCTTACCCTGATAATTCTCTTCACAAGTAAAGTTTTAACAAAGTTAGAATTTTGATTTTAGAATTCAATGGAAAGCAATATGATTATGACCAAATTACTTAATACCTTGTTGAATCTTCAACCTTGTTGAATTTCAGTATGTGCTAGGCAGAGGCTAGGCAGAGGGTTCCTACGTGACTAGCCACCAATAAAAAAATAAACTCAGTGCCCAGGGTTTTTAATTGACAAATAATTATACATATTCATGGAGTACACAGTGATGTTTCAATACATAAGACGTATGGTGATCAGATCAGGGTAATTACAATATCCATCATCTCAAACGTTTATCATTTATTTGTGTTGGTAATGTTCAACATCGTCCTTCTAGCTATTCAAAACTGTAGGGCAATGAGTTTCTCTGGCAGACAATACTTCACACTATACATTAAAATTCATTACTGAGGGGATTAAACACATCCTGTATGATTCCAATGGGAGAGGATCCTTGGAAGTATGTGCTTGGTTTCCTCCGGCTTTGCTCCATTAGCCTTTTCCCTTTGTTGATTTTGCTTTGTAGCTTTTCACTGTAATAAACATTAATCTATGAGTATCATTACATGCTTGTCCCATCAGTCCTCCTAGTAAAGCACCTAACATGGGGATGGTCTGTGGGATCCCAAACATACACAAATCTTCTCTTCTCTCACTAAATGTCTAATCACCCATTATTTCCCAATATCCTCAGCTGATTACATTTTATCAACTTCATGAAATAATAAAAGCAATCAGAAGTGAATGGGAGGCAGAGGTGGGAGGATCACTTGAGCCCAGGAGGTCTAAGCTGCAGTGAGCTGTGATCGTGCCACTATACTCCAGCCTGGGCAACAGAGGGAGATCCTGCCTCAAAAAATAAAAAAATGAAAAATCTTAAAATTAAAATGATATCGGCCAGGTGCAGTGGCTCATGCCTGTAAACCTAGAACTTTGGGAGGCCAAGGCAAGTGGATTCCTTAAGGCCGGGAGTTCAAGACCAGCCTAGCCAACATGGCAAAACCCCATCTCTACTAAAAATACAAAAATTAGCCGGGCGTGGTGCACACCTGTGGTCCCAGCTATTGGGGAGGCTGAGGCAGGAGAATTGCTTGAACCCGGGAGGCGGGGGTTGCAGTGAGCCAAGACTGCACCATTTCACTCCAGCCTGGGTGACAGACCAAGACTCGGTCTCAAAAAAAAAATTTTTAAGGCCAGGTGTGGTGGCTCATGCCTGCAATCCCAACACTTTGGAAGGCTGAGGCGGGCAGATCACCTGAGGTCAGGAGTTCGAGACCAGCCTGGCCAACGTGGTGAAACCCCGTCTCTACTAAAAATACAAAATTGGCCAGGTGTGGTGGCAGGTGCCTGTAATCCCAGCTATTTGGGAGGCTGAGGCAGGAGAATCACTTGAACCCCAGAGGTGGAGGCTGCAGTGGGGAGAGATCATGTCATTGTACTCCAGCCTGGGCAAAAAGAGCAAAACTCTTGTTTCAAAAATAATAATAATAATAATTCAAAATAAAAAAATTAAATAAAATGATATCACAAATCTCCATCTCCCCTACTACAGCCCAACTTCAAGGCACTACTCTCTCTCTCACGTGTACTGCTACAAAGGTCCTAACTGGCATGATTTTATTCACATGACAACCACAGTTACCCTTTTAAAGCATAAATCTAGATATCACCCTTCTGCTCAAAACTCTGCACTGGCTTTAACCCTTAGAGGAAAATATAAACTCCTTTCCAGGAGAAACCTCATACCCTACCACTCTCCCCTTCACTCACTCTAATCCAGCCACACTGGTCTTCCTTCTGTTCCTTTTTCCATCTTAAGGACCCAGCACTTACTGTTCCCTCTACCTAGGGTGCTCTTACCCAAGATAGTCACATGGCTGGCACCTTCTCATTTAACATCAGTTCAAACATCAAATCCTCAGAGGTCTTCACTAACCAACTCATCTAAATTACCACCCAAAACACTCTGTCACAGCATCCTCTTATTTTCTTTATAGCTCTTACCATTATCTGAAATAATCTTATTTACATGTCTATTTCCTGACCTCCCCCCAAATTATAATGTAAGCTCCATGAGAGCAGAAACCCTGCCTGTCTCGTTCACTGTTGTATCTCCAGATTTTTATGTCTGTCACATAGGAGGTATGCAATAAATATCTGTTAAAATAAATGAATTAATGTGTGTACTCCACAAACACTGTATCATGGCAAAAAACAACAAATCTTAAGGGTACTTATGTTTCGGCGGAAAATAATTTCCAAGTCTTCTTGCTTTAAAAAGAAATACATGGGATGCCAAAGTGGGAAGACTACTAGGGCTAGGAGTTCCAGACCAGCCTGGGCAACATGGTGAGACCCTGTCTCTACAAAAAAAAAAAAAAAAGCTAGGCATGGTGGTGTGCACCTATAGTCCCAGCTACTGGGAGGCTCACTTGAGCCCAGAAGTTTAAAGCTGCAGTGAGCTATGACTGCAACACTACACTCTAGCTTGGGTGAGTGACAGCAAGACTCTACCTCTAAAAATAAAAACAAATATATATATTCAATGGCTTCCCACTGTCCATAGAGTCAAATTCAAATTAAGTAGTAAGCCTTCTGAAATGGCCCCAATCCACCATTTCAACTTTATTTCCCACTATGCCTCAACTGCACCCAAGTACTATGCTCCAAGCACATGCCTTTGAGCTTCCTTTCCATCTAAAATGCCCCCTTTTCTCTGTTTCACAAAACATTAATTCCTTAAGAGTAAGCTCAAAATGTCACTTCCATGATTGAGCCTTTCTACTCCCCACACCAAAGTAATCTCTCTCTACTGCCCCCTTTATTACATTTAATTCTGTTTAATTCCTTTAGGGAAGGAACCACATGTTGTTCATCTTCATTGCTGCTACACTCCATTATAGACATAATACTTTACTGTACATTTAAAAAATTTATTGAATTGACTTTAAATCTTCTCTTAATGACACCTTCTGCAGATACCAGTAACACAGATATAATAGAATTTATTTGTCCTAGATATACAAGAAATGATCCTGGTATGACATACATAAAAAGACAATAAATAATCCAAGATTCATATTGGTTTCCAAATGAGCACTATAAACAAATTTTATAGGCATTCAGAGGAGGGATATGCCAACAAAGGATGGCATGGCTGAGAAAGGTATCATTTTAATGACTATTTATAATTTTAAAATTAAAATTTAATTATACATATCTATAATGCATCCTTTCCTCTCTTACACACAGTAACACTGGCCCAGAATCCCTAAATCAAAAACACATTATTAGGGAAGGTGTTAGTTACAGGTGGTGGGGTGGGAAGGGGAAACACAAAGTATAGCATAAAGCTTTACTATAGCACTAAAAATTCCTTTCGAAAATGATACAAATAAACTGTAGGCCACAATGCCAACTATAGGGGAGACTGTTTGTTGTCTAGACAGAATCCATTCCGTCTTCCTAAACAGAATCCTAACTTTGTTAAGATCACTGCACTTCCCATACACAGCCCATATACCTCAATAATCTTATTGGCACCAATACCAATTATATTGGTTCAGGAATAGAGAGGAGACCTAATTTTGGTCATTGAGAATGGAGGGAAGACTTTCTAGGTGCTTCCATGAAATAAGAGGGCTACAGGTAGCCTTCCTCCCTCCTCCCCACCTGAACAAAAAATCATGTTGCTCCGGTGCCATCTGATAACCCTGAGGGAAAACAGTGTTAAAAAAGAAGTCTAGGCTGGGCGCGGTGGCTCATGCCTGTAATCCCAGCAGTTTGGGAGGCCGAAGCAGGCGGATCACTTGAGGTCAGGAGTTCAAAACCAGCCTGTCTAACATGGTGAAACCCCGTCTCTACTAAAAATACAAAAATTACCCAGGCATGGTGGCACGCGCCTGTCATCCCAGCTACTCAGGAGGCTGAGGCAGGAGAATCGCTTGAATCCAGGAGGCGGAGGTTGTAGTGAGCCAAAGTCACACCACTGCATTCCAGCCTGGGTGACAGAGTGAGACTCTGTCTCAAAAATTAAAAACAAAAACAAACAAAAAAAACACCCAAATCTATACTACAACAACAGTGAGACTGAAAGACTTTGGATATTTGATAATACTATAGAGCCACTAAACCAAGAAGTCTACCCCACTTTTGCTCTTGATAGGTTAACTAGTAAAACTTTCCATATTCTTCAAACCAGTTTGCATCAGGTTTTCTGTTCCAACCAAAAGCACACTATTAACCCTCAACATTTGTATTGTGTAATCAGCTACCTCTTATTACTGTACTATCATTTAAACTTTTTTTATTCCAATACTGAAGTTAAGACATGTACCACCAGAAATTGACCTGTTTCTTCTACAGAATCATAAATTCAATAAATAAAGTACAATGTTCACAAAATTCAAGTTCATTTTAAAGACAATTTAAAAATAACAAATAGCCCTGAGGTCTATAACAGATAATTTTTTTTTTTTTCAGACGGAGTCTCGCTCTGTTGCCCAGGCTGGAGTGCAGTGGTGCGATCTCGGCTCATTTCAACTTCTGCCTCCCAGGTTCAAGTGATTCTTCTGCCTCAGCCTCCCGAGTAGCTGGGACTACAGGCACACGCCACCATGCCCGGCTTATTTTTGTATTCTTAGTAGAGATGGGGTGTCACCATATTGGCCGGGCTGGTCTCAAACTCCTGACCTAGTGATCCGCCTGTCTTGGCCTCCCAAAGTGCTGGGATTACAGGCGTGAGCCACCAAGCCCAGCCAATAATTTTTAAAGTATCATAGTGTTAAAGAAAAAATATGAAATCAAAAATGATTAATTTTAATTTCAAATGAAAACCACATTTCACTAAATATTTACCTCTAGAGACATAAGCGTTTCCATATTTTTTCCACAGAAAGATAAAAGATAGGTATCATAATGATTATTTTTAAAAATCTTGCTCCAATTATTTCTACACAGAATGGCAGTAAAACTTTTTAAAAATATTTTATTAACAAAAGTCTCAACTACAAAGTTCACTGAATTAAAATCATCTTTATCACTTAGAAGATACAGTGAAAATTCAACAAGGTATTAAGATAATTTGGTCATAATCATTGCTTTCCACTAAATTCTAAAATCAAAATTCTAACTTTGTTAAAACTTTACTTGTGAAGAGAATTATCAGGGTAAGAGGTATTTTAATTGAATTATTATTATGAGGAATATGTCTTACTCACCTACCTTCCACAACTATACAATAGCTAGCACAAGGTAGACATTCAATAATTTATTGAACTTAATTACTGTCATTATTTGAATGACTACCCTTTGACCTTTGGCCCATATTTCTCTCTCCTGAACATTCTACCTGGATGTTTCCACTATCATTCAAACAAAACCAAAACCCTAGAGTTAAATACTTCATCTCTAAATTGCCCTCCTTGTTATATTTTACTATATTCCCCCCAAATCTCTGCAAAATTGTATCTAAAGTTGGAGTTTTAGATGTTATTTCTTCATCATAGCTACTGACTCAATGTTGAGATTTAACTGTATCAAAACATTTTATTCCCTATTTATTTGCTTAACTCCGTTGTTCACTCACCAATTCTTTCATTAATCAAATAAATATTTATTGAGTGCCTACAATACACCAAGCACTTATGTTAGGTATTGGGGAAGAGCTGGTAAGCAAAACAGACACAGTCCCTGCTCTAGTAAGGAAGATCAATAATAATCAAATAATTGCAAATATATATAATTAAAAACAGTGATAAATGCCAGAAAATAGTGACTATGGCATATTCTTAATCACCTTTTAACACTTAAATGTTTACAGTTTCTAAAAATTACCACAAAAAGAGAATTAAACCAAACTAAATCCTCAAGCTTACAGAACTTATAATGTGTTATGAGAACTGGTTATACAATCTGTGACTATTATTATTTATTGCAAAAGATATCTACATCCCAATTGCCATCAGATTCATATACAAAGCTACTATGGTAAAGTCATTAAAAAAAAAAAAAAAGATCTATTGCTGGGTGCAGTGGCTCACGCCTGTAATCCCAGCACTTTGGGGAGGCCTAGGTGGACGGATCACCTGAGGTCGGGAGTTTGAGACCAGCCTAACCAATATGGAGAAACCCCATCTCTACTAAAAATACAAAATCAGCCGGGCATGGTGGCTACTCGGGAGGTTGGCCTGAGGCAGAAGAATCGCCTGAACCTGGGAGGTGGAGGTTGCAGTGAGCCGAGATGGCGCCATTGCACTCCAGCCTGGGCAACAAGAACAAAACTCCGCCTTAGAAAAACAAAATCTATTTCACATTTTCTTCACTACCTTATAAAATAAGGGATAAATGCTGCTTTTAAAAGTGTCTCTAGCTTGTAATAAAATGACATTTAATCATAGATCAGTTTATAATAGCATTATTTGTAACACCAAATAAATGGAAGTAAATTAAATGTTTAAAAAAATTTTAGGCCAGGCACGGTGGCTCACACCTGTAATCCCAGCACTTTGGGAGGCTGAGGCGGGTGGATCACAAGGTCAGAAGATCAAGACCATCCTGGCTAACACAGTGAAACCCCGTCTCTACTAAAAATACAAAAAAATTAGCTGGGCGTGGTGGCAGGCACCTGTAGTCCCAGCTACTCGGGAGGCTGAGGCGGGAGAATGGCATGAACCCGGGAGGCAGAGCTTGCAGTGAGCTGAGATCGCGCCACTGCACTCCAGCCTGGGCGACTGAGCTAGACTTCATCTCAAAAAAAAAAAAATTTAGTATCTAATAAATAACTGTGTATTTATTTAATGAAATAATAAGCAGACTTTGAAGAGCGTAATTATCAAGATTTTACAATAATATAGAAGAAGAGCTTAAGATCACACGATATTAATAATGGTAATGATAACTAACATTCATTGAGGGCCAGGAATTCACTACATGTTGGGCACTGGTCTAGCATTTTACTCCAATATTTTATTTAATGCTCAAAACAACCCCACGAAGCATGTGTAATAACTATTCCCATTTTCAGAGAGAAAGAAACTGAAGCAAAAAGAGGTTAATTGGCCGGGCGCGGTGGCTCACGCCTGTAATCCCAGCACTTTGGGAGGCCGAGGCGGGCGGATCACGAGGTCAGGAGATCGAGACCATCCTGGCTAACAAGGTGAAACCCCGTCTCTACTAAAAATACAAAAAATTAGCCGGGCGTGGTAGCGGGCGCCTGTAGTCCCAGCTACTCGGGAGGCTGAGGCAGGAGAATGGCGTGAACCCGGGAGGCGGAGCTTGCAGTGAGCCGAGATCGCGCCACTGCACTCCAGCCTGGGCGACAGAGCGAGACTCCGTCTCAAAAAAAAAAAAAAAAAAAAAAAAAAAGAGGTTAATTAACTTGCACTAGATCACTTTATCACATTAAGTGAAAAAAAAAAGCAAGGTATAAAAATACCAGAAATGTTCCTATGTAGAAAACTAAGTATGTATATAAAAAATATTCAACGGGTTAGCACAAAAATGACAAATCTGCTATGTTACAGCAGTGAAAATTTTTTTCTGCTTTTTAAAAAAATGTTGAGGCTACATTTAAGTTAAAGAACGTTTTAGTATTACATACTAAGGAAAAATAATTTTAAAGTCAAATTCACAATACATATATATGAAATATAATTTTTTCTTTTTGATACAGGTTCTCACCCAGGCTAGGGTACAGTGGTGTGATCTCAGCTTATTACAACCTACACTGCCCAGGCTCAAGCGATCCTCCCACCTTAGCCTCCAGAGCAACTGGGACTATAGACGCACACCACCACATCTGGCTAATTTTTGTATTTTTGTAGAGATGGGGTTTCACCATGTTGCCCGGCTGGTCTCAAACTCCTAGGTTCAAGTGATCCACCCACCTCAGCCTCTCAAAGTGCTGGGATTACAGGCATGAAACACCATGCCCAGCATGAAATTAAAAAAAATTTAAATTAAGTATAGTTCCAGCAATTCTGGTAATATATTATCTCACTCCCTCACACAGTACACACAATGAAGAGATAACCAAGTTAATGTAGTAGGAAAAGTGTATAAATTAAGTTTAGCTCTAACAAAAAACTCAACCCCAAT
The DNA here is from genome assembly GCF_000001405.40 of Homo sapiens. Taxonomy (NCBI): domain Eukaryota; kingdom Metazoa; phylum Chordata; class Mammalia; order Primates; family Hominidae; genus Homo; species Homo sapiens. Next base: position 227,295,619 of record NC_000001.11, read on the forward strand.
TTAAACAAAATGAAAATATATTTTCCTTTCAAGTAAAAGACATTTGAAGGTCCAATGCTGGTATGGCAGTTTCACAAAGCTGTCAGGAATCCAGGATGCTTCCAGCTCACTGCTGGGCCATCCTTGGAGTATGGCCCTCATGCCCTCATCATCACAGTCCAAGCTCTGAAAACATCACATGTGTTCTGTGCAGCAGACGGGAATAAAGTGGGGAAAGCCTTCCTTTTAATGAAGCTTCTGGTAAGCATCACACATCACTTTGTACATCAATCAGCCAGAACTACTGACGTGACCACACCTAACTGGAAATAAAGCTAGAAAACACAGTCAATCGGGTTTTGTTAATAAAGAAGAGCCCTAACAAAATTCCAACAGCCTTTTCTGCAGAAATGGAAAAGCCAATCATCACAATATGGAACTGCAAGGAGCCCAGAAAAGCCAAAATAACCTGGAAAAACAGTTTAGAGGACTTACCCTTTTCAATTTCAAAACTTACTACAAAACTATAGCAATCCAGGCTGTATGGTACTGGCAGAAGGATAAACATATAGATCAATGGAATAGAACTGAGAGTCTAGAAAAAAATCCAAACATCTAAGGCCAGTTGATCTTCCACAACGATGCTGAGTCCATTCAATACAGAAAGAATAATCTCTTTTCTATATGGCAAATCTGGAACAATTGGAATTTCCACATGGAAAAGAATGAAGTTGGATACCTACTTCAAATCATATATAAAAATTAACTCAAAATGGATTCATAACAAATATAAGAAGTGAAACACAAAACTTTTGGGAAAAAAATAGGCCGGGCATAGTGGCTCACACTTGTAATCCCAGCACTTTGGGAGGCCGAGGTGGGCAGATCACTTGAGGTCAGGAGTTCGAGACCAGCCTGGCCATAATGGTGAAACCCCGCATCTACTAAAAATACAAAAATTAGCTGGGCATGGTGTCACATGCCTGTAATCCCAGCTACTTGGGAGGCTGAAGCAGGAAAATCGCTTGAACTCAGGAGGCGGAGGATGCAGAGAGCCGACATTGTGCCACTGCACTCCAGCCTGGGAAACAGAGAGAGACTCTCCCCACATCAAAAAAAAAAAAAAAAAAACTTTTGGAAAAAAGCAAAGGGTAAACCAATATGACATTGGATTTGGCAATGGGTTCTTAAATATCACACCAAAAGCACAAGAAAAAAAAAAAGGGACAAATTGGATTTCATCAAAATGAAAAACTTGTATATCATTAATGCACATTATCAAGAAAGTGAAAAAGCAACCTACAGAATGGGAGAAAATATGTGTAAATAATATACATGACAAAGAATATCCAGAATGTATGAAGAACTCTAACAACAAAAGATAAATGCAATTTTTAAATAGACAAAGAATAGGCGAGACTATGCATATGGGGAGGCTGGAAATCTAAGAAATTTCTATACCTTCTGCTCAATTTCACTGTGAACCTAAAACTTTTCTAAAAATAGTCTATCTTTTAAAGTGGGCAAAGGGTTAATCAGACATTTCTCCAAAGAAGATATACAAATTGCCAATAAGCACATGAAAAGCTGCTCGTTATCAGTAATTATTAAGGAAGTAGATCAAAGCCACAATGAACCACCTACCACTTCATACCTACTAAAATGACTAATCAAAAAACAGAAAGTACCAAATGTTAGCAAGCATGTAGCAAAACTCAACCTTCATACATTGCTGGTGGGAATGTATGACGGTACCACTGCTTTGAAAAACAGTTTGGCAGTTCCTCAAAAAGTTAAACATAGAATTACTATATGACCCAGAAATATCACTCCTAAGCATATATGCAAAAGAGTTAAAAATAGGGACTCAAACAGATACTTGTATGCCAATGTTCACTGCAGCATTATTCATAATAACCAAAAGGTGGAAACAACGCAAGTATCCATCAACAAATGAACAGATAAACAGAATGTGGTATAGCCATACAATGGAATATTATTCAGCCATAAACAGGAATGAAGTTCTGACACATAATGCCACATGAATGAACCTTACGAATAGCATGCTAAATGAAATATGCCAGACACAAAATAATATTAAATGATTCCACTTATACAAAATATCTACAATATGTAGAAATTCAGAGAGACAGAAAGTAGATCAGAAGTTACCACAAACTGGGGAAAGGAGAGAATGTAGAGTTGTTGGTTAATGGATACAGAGCTTCTGCTTGAGGTGATGAAAAGGTTTTTGAAATAGTGGTGATGTTATACATTTTGAAATGTAATTGACACCACCAAATAATACACTTTAAAGGGGCTAAAATGGCAAATTTTGTTTTATGTGTGTGTGTGTGTATATATACATATACACACACACACACATATATACATATATATACATATATATACATAATATATACATACATAAATATATACATACACCAAAAGAAAGCAGACTGAGAAAAAGCAGTGTGACTATATACAATGTTTTTTTTTATCTGTCTCAAAAAAAATCTCTCTTTCTCAGTGTAGTAGGTAAAAATTTCACACATATGGCATTTTCCAGAATACCTCCCTCCCCAGAGTCGTGCCACAATTCCAAATTCATATATATTGCCAAGGTACTGAAGACAAGCAACAGTTAAAGCACATCCAAGAAATATACACAAACACATAAAAAATAACAAGTGAAATTATGACAAAATAGTACCAGAAATTCAACCACTATTATAATTGCCCTTACTCAACTTGAGGCATTTTTTTTGTAATAATATCCTCAGGTAAATAGTTTCTTTTACTTTTCATAATTTGGCTAAACATGTATATAAACAAGCTAGTGTCATTAGTATGTTGGTGCTATAACCTAAAAACTCAGAAGAAAATTAAGGAGGGCATGGAAATCCTCCCCCTCTACTCCCTTACCCTAAACCTTGCCCTACGCATCACTTCCATTTGGCTGTCCCAGAGTTTTGTCCTTTATAATCAACTGTTAATATAGATTCATACTTCTCCAGCAAAAACATGCTTCTTTTAAGGAAAAAAGCCATTTGAAGCTATATAACAAAAAGCTTGCTGCATTCTGGCAAATGAAAGCCAAGGACTATCTGGCATAAGCAGATACAGACAGCAGCCGCTCAGTGGCTTATAGGTTTCAGTGACAAAAACTGAGAACTTTACAGAGAAGAAAGCACATGAAATATCTCAAACACTGCCTTTTCACTGAATTATAAAGATAATTCAATATCCATAAAAAAGGAAAATTAATCAAAACTAAGCTGAACAAAACACACTGCTCATCTATAACTTCACCTCAATATGCTAGAATAGAATCATATATAGCTCTTTACATTCTAGAGGCTGGTAACTTTCACAAATGGACAGCTGTAGAGTAGCATAAATAGAAATCAAGTGAAACAGTTAAAGTGAAAGTCATTCTATGAAAGAAGAGTAAATTTGAACTAAACATTTTCTTGGCATTTCTTCATAAAGCTTACTGGATTTTCAAAAGAAATTCAGACTCAAATACAGTTTGAGCCATGTGCAGAGAATTTTGGAAAGAAAATGAAACTTGACTTTTTAACTAATATTTAAGCAGCTTTATGTAAAAATTCTTAGGGTTGACGAACACTAAACAATTAGGGTTTTCAAAAACTGAATTTAATTGTCTGTTAAAAAACTAATGCCCTCTCACAGCAATCATCTTTGTATATCTGAGAACTGAAACATAAATGAGAAACACTGTTGCAAAGGAAATACTTCTACAGCTGGAGGGAAAATTCCTTTGTCATTTCCAAATACTAGTTATATTACATCATCTCCTTTTACTTCTTTTTTTAAATGGAATGGTTTACATGTTTTTTAGTAATACACCTAATTGAAAACAAAATATACTAAACTGTCATAAATATTTCATCCTAACCCTATTTTAAGCTGTAAATATATAATGTTATCTAGATACACTGATTAATATCTGCTTTAAATTCTATTGATTCTCAGCAAAGACATTAAATTTAGAAACTAAAATGATTACAGATTTATTATGTAAATTTTTTATGGCTTTGCTACTATTTTGATGTTTTTCCCTTTAGATAAAATGCAAGATAAATTTTTAGGTATGCAATCATGAACAAAATAAATGACCCACAGTCTGGAAAATAAAAACGACCTTGAGCAACAGAAGTAGTCAACAAACTAAACAGAATGATTTCTCATACAAGGAAGCAAAGTATTACATAATTCAATAATAATTTCTTTTGGGGTGTGTTTTTCAATATGCATCTGAATGTAAAGAGTCATAATGTTAAAGTAAATAAAGACGTCATTCTCGTCCTCTGAAAACCTGACTCAGGAGTAGTTAGAAAGCGGACCAGTTTTCTCAGAGTCCTACAGTTCAGCAATCCCCTGAAACAAACTTCTCTTAACCTTGCCCTAAAACAGACATGTAGGGAAGAGCTGGTCAGTTCTTTAGATTTTCAAGGGATTTTCTCTAGGAGAAGTTGAAATTCATTACAAGAGGAATTTCATTTAATATAAGGCACCTCTCATTATTAAAAAGTCAAAAACAACAGATGTTGCTGTGGATGTGGTGAAAAGCGAACACTTATAGACTGCTACTGGGAACGTAAGTTAGTACAACCTCTATGGAAAACTGTATGGAGATTTTTTAAAGAACTAAAAGTATATCTACCATTTGATCCAGCAATCCCACTGCTGGGTATCTACTCAAAGGAAAATAAGTCATTACATCAAAAACACACCTGCACACATATGTTTATTGCAACACAATTCACAATTGTAAAGATATGGAACCAACCTAAGTGCCCATCAACCAATGTAGGGATAAAGAATATATGGTATATATATACACACATACCATGGAATACTACTCAGCCATAAAAAGAACAAAATAATGTCTTTTGCAACAACTTGGATGGAGCTGGAGGCCATTATTCTAAGTGAAGTAACTCAGGAATGGAAAACCAAATACCGTATGTTCTCACTTATAAGTGGGAGCTAAGCTATGGGTACACAAAGGCAGACAGAGTAGTATAATGGAGGTGGAGACTCAGAAGGGAGAAGGAAGAAAGGGGGTAAGGGATAAAAAACTATATATTGGGTAAAATGTACAGTACTCAGGTGACGAGTGTACTAAAATCTTGGACTTCACCACTATACAATTCATCCATGTAACCAAAAACCTCTTGTACTCCAAAAGCTATGAGAATTTACACACACGCACACACGGCATTTCTTTGCATTTACAAGTATCAACTTGAACATCAGAAGAGCGGGTAAGCGCTGCTAAACCAAAGCTACCTTTGCAGTTGTATAGTTGACACGTATTCTGATGCCTCCTCATAGCACCTGGCAGCTCCTTAGTTTTAAGAAATAATAATCATATCCATCCTTTGCGTCATTTACATCATTTGTGTGATTTGTCTTCACTGCTCTGTTAGTGTTCTTTTGCTGTGTGTTCACAGAAGTATCTGTGTATCACTAACGAATTTAACCTACATAGGTTTTTTAGGAATCAACTAAACTCCTAAGACAAAGACTATAAATTGCCATCATAAGAACAGAGAAATAACTGAAGAAGAAAAAGACTGATCTGCTCAAAGAATATACTCATAAATTCTAACACAAATTTCCCATTCCCTCTATCCAGTTTTGAGCTCCTCGATTACAGGACTTAGAAATACCTCAAAAAGAAAAACACAAGTTTGAAAATAAGATCAGTGAAGTAGGAGTAAAGGATGTAGACATTTTTTTTTTTTTTTTGAGACGAAGTCTCACTCTGTCGCCAAGCTAGAGTGCGGTGGCGCGATCTCGGCTTACTGCAACCTCTGCCTCCTGGGTTCAAGCGATTCTCCTGCCTCAGCCTCCAGGGTAGCTGGGACTACAGGCATGTGCCACCATGCCCAGCTAATTTTTGTATTTTTAGTACAGACAGGGTTTCACTATGTTGGCTAGGATGGTCTCAATCTCTTGACCTCGTGATCTGCCCACCTCGGCCTCCCAAAATGCTGGGATTACAGGCATGAGCCACTGTGCCCAGCCGGATTTAGACTTTTTAATTCTGTAAAAACTACAGCTGTTTTTAAAATTTTCATTTTTATCAGTTATTCATAAATACACATTCAATCATCACTTAAGATTTAGGAAAAACATTACGCCCCGTACCTACTATCACTTCCACCAAAAAAAAAATTCCCTTTCCATACCATCCTCCCAATATGGTTACAGCATAATTTTAGTTAGATAAATATTAAGTGTTTCCATTACTATAACCATATAAGTTATTACTTTTCCTTTCCTAATTTCTATTTTTCTTATTGTTTTCTCATTTGCTTCATTTCCTAAGCAACCTTAAACCCTCCCCAGATTTTCTAATCTCCTCTCAAGATGTTCATCCATATCAGATACTTAAGTCTGTCCTGAAACCTTCTGAACTGCATCCTGTCTGTTATGGTTCACCTCTATGCTTGGTGCAAAGTTGTCATTTTGTATTCTCCCTTCATTACAGTCTTAGGAAATCCTTTCTACTCTCTCCTGCATTGTATCTCCTGCTTCCTATATCCTGTTACTTCCTCATCTTCATTCACTCCTTTACCTAGTTGCAGCTAAGGCAATCAACTCATTCCAGTTTGCCTAAGACTGTGCTGGTTTTAGTAGAAGTCCCACATCCTGGGAAGCTCCTTATCCTAAGTAAACCATTTGTAGCCCACAGGTTACAGAATTTTTAACACCTTCATGCCTAAAAATGTCCTTATCCCGCCCTCATACTTAAGAATTTGTCTGGATATAGAATTTCAGTTTAGAAACTGTTTTCCTTCAAAATATGAACACTGTCTTCTAGCTTCTAGAGTTGCTGCTGAAAAGGCCAAAGAGTTTCTGATTCTTATCCTTTGTATTCACACTCTTTGGAACCTTTTGGGGTCTCTTGTTTGTCCCCAGAGTTTTAGGAATTGCAAAATATATTGATTCTGAACCTTGATGCGAATCTATTTTCATCCACTGACCTAGGTACTTGGTAGGCCCCTTCTATCTAGGAACTCGTGTCCTTTGGTTCTACAACATTTTCTTGTATTGATGATTTTTTTCCCCCTCTGTTCTTTCAAAGTGCTCTTTTAGAATTCCTATCATTCATCAGATTATTATTCAGGCCTCCTCAATTGGTCCTCTAATTTTCTCCTCTATCTCCTCTTTTCTATCTCTCTGTGGCTTTTTGCTCCACTTTTCTACTTTCCAATCTTGTACTGAGGTTTCCATTTTAGCTATCATAATAATTTCAAAGAACTTTTTTCATTCTCTTTTGCTCCTTTTTATGGCATCCTGACTTCATGATTGCAGGATTTTCTCTCATCTCTGGAAAATACTGATAGTTTTATGTGATTTGGTTTTTTTGGGTTTTTTTTTTTTTTCGAAGTTATGCTTTCCCTGAAAAGTATGTTTCATGTGGGTTGCTTTCTTTGTTTGGGACTGTACCCTATAGAGGCTTTGAGGATCCTCAGATGTCTGGCAATTCTATTTTCCATTCATATTTAATTACGAGAACTAAAACATGATGTGAAGCTCCAAATCCTTGGGTGAAACCCCCTGATAACAAATCTCACTGTAGTGTGACTGCCTGAGCCCTTTACTGAGAAGCCTCTGATATCTGCATCTCTAAGTTCTTTCTTCTTGGGGAGAGTCAGATTCTCCAGACAAGACTCTTCTAATCTTCTAATCTCCTGTCCTAATCCCAGTTGCCAGCATTCTGGGAGCAGAAGTAAATACAAATTTACTTAATCTCCTTATTTTCAATATGAAATGTCCACCATAAACTATGCCTATGTTGCCCAATCCAGAAAACCTCTGTTGTACTAAGAACATCCAACATTTGTTTGAGGAGAGGGATAAAGTAACCCAATGGCACTCAACAGGGGAATTGCTCTAGAGTTTCTACTGCTTCTAAACCAGCCTCAATCAATCCTCTGTACTTTAGCCCTACCCATACCTCAACTTCCAGAGGTTCCTAAAGATAGCAATTTCTAAAACTTCTGAAGATTCTGCCAAGTAAACTGAACAGGTCCTCAGCTTTCACCACTGCTAATTTGGAATCTGACTTTCTCAGACCTCCTAAGTCATTACCACTCATCTACCTGCTTTTCAGCTTCCAAAATTTTGTTTCTATAGTCTCTTCTACCACTCTTATCATCCTTAAAGGTTTATGACTCTTTAAAAAAATTATTTTATTATAGTGTTAGTGAATTGCAGAAGGAAATGAAGTTATATTTGTATGCTCAATCCATCATCACCAGACTCTAAAGTTTATGATGGACATTGTGCAAATAAAGTTAAATGCAGAGTTAATCTAAGAACTTTTACCTTGAAAAATTTGAGATTATCTGCATTTTACCTCATTCTTTTAAATAGCAGCACCCTCTTCTCCTTACCTCACCACCATGAAGTACTTGTTTACAAATTGCCAACTGCTAGGGGATAATAAATGACTACTCATATAAGAAATCACTTTTGACCACATGTGGTGGCGCCTGTAATCACGCCGGTAATCCTGGCACTTTGGGAAGCCGAGGTGGGCGCATCACTTGAGGCCAGGAGTTCCAGGCCAGCCTGGTCAACATGGCGATACCCCCTCTACAAAAAAATACAAAAATCAGCCAGGCATAGTAGCACATGTCTGCAGTCCCAGCTACTCAGGAGGCTGAGGCAGAAGAATTGCTTAAACCCAGGAGGTAGAGGTTGCAGTGAGCCCAGATCACACCACTGCACTCCAGCCTGGGCAACAAAGCAAGATTCTATCTCAAAAAAAAAACAAAAAAAGAAAAACACAAAAACCACTTTTGAATTTTTATTATCACTATTTCTAATTATTAAATAATTTTAAAAGGAAAAAATTACTTTGAAATAAAATAGGGTAAATCAAAGAAGAAACAAGTCCCTGGCATTAAAAATATGAGTTTCATACAATGTTTCAAGATTAGAGCTACTGCTTCTAGCCCTGCATATAACAAGTATAACGGCATAATTCATTCAACCTACATTACCAAATGTCTCCTATGGGGTGCAGTGAAAGAGGAGTTTCCAAACAATTTAACCAATATGTGAAAAGTCATGAATAATCAAAGTTATGGTTTAATTAGTAAAAGAGTCAAATTCATTTATAGCTGGAGTAAAAGATGAGTGTGGGACAAAAGAATAGCACAAGAGAATTTTAGGGATGATGGAACTGCTCTGTACCTTGACTATGGTAGTGGTCACATGACTTTACATTTGTTAAAACTCACAATATACACACCAAAATAAGTGAATTTTACTATAGGTAAATTTCTTAAAGAACTTTAAATAATTTTTAAGATGACAGTGGAAAATAAATATAAAATTGCACACACACACATACATACATAATAAGTGGCCATTCCCTTCTCCTTCCTAAACAATTCAGCCCTAAAGATTAGATGACAATATACACCAATGTTAATTTCTTCATTTTAATAGTTGTATTGTGGTTAGGTAGAAGAATGCAGAAAATATATGGGGATGACAGAGCATTAGGTAGGCTACTTACTCTCAAATGGTTCCAGAGGAAAAAAATTATACTATACTTGCAATGTTTCTGTAAACTCGAGATTATTTCAAAATTTTTTTAAGTGAAGAAAAAGCCAGGCATGGTGGCTCATGCCTGTAATCCCAGCACTTTGGGAAGCTGAGGCAAACATTTTTTTATCTTAAATCCATTACTCTGTATAGATTACTCTTATTCTTTACATTAATCCCAAAATGGATAGGATAAAAGTAACTCACATTTGTATAATGTCTGCATTGTGGTTTGTTGTCTCAAGAAACCTCGTCTTCATTTCTTGTTGTTTACTCTTTCATTTTTCTTGCTGTCAGAGAAGTCTCTTAAGGTTGGTCTTTCAAAGATTACTAGGTCCTCTCATACCTTTAGATGTCATTCTTATTAAGCTGACTTTATTCTCTTTCAACGAAGTTCATATACTTCAAGGATTATGAAAATTATTTTCTTCATCACCATCATCAAATTTGACACCACTTTTTCAGCCATTAAAATATCATAGCATCTGCCGGGAGTGGTGGCTCACGCCTGTAATCTCAGCACTTTGGGAGGCCAAGGTGGGTGGATAACCCGAGGTCAGGAGTTTGAGACCAGCCTGGCCAACATAGTGAAACCCCATCTCTACTAAAAATACAAAAATTGGCCAGGCATGGTGGTGGATGCCTATAATCCCAGCTACTCGGGAGGCTGAGGCGGGAGAATCACTTGAACCCAGAAGGCGGAGGCTGCAGTGAGCCAAGATCGTGCCATTGCACTCCAGCCTGGGTGACAGAGCGAGACTCCATCTCAAAAAACTAAATAAATAAATAAAGTGAAGAAAAAGAGAAGTAAACAGGATCATATTAAAAATTCTGTATGGCATGCTAAAGAGGAGTTCAAATGTCATTCTGAAAGCTTTCAGTAGTCACTGAAGTATATTAAGCAGGATGTTGACATGATCAAAGGATCATGTTCTAAGTGGTTTTTTTTTTTTTTTTTTGCTTCCTTCTACAAAGGTCTTGGATGTGTAGAATTCACAGTATTTTCAAGTTAGAGGTACATGTAATAAGGAAGTTGTTATTGCTTAGTATTTAATGGAAAAACAAACATGATTAATAAGATCAGTAAGATCCAGGAACGTAACCCATTTGTACATGTTTAATACAGAGAAGTCAACTGAGCCAGATGCACACAGAGGTTGAATAAAACCAGAACTCATGAGCTACTACACTTAACTGGGATTACCAGAGGTACATAGGCAAAAGAGACAAATATGATGATCACACTTAATCACAGCCTCAAGCAACATAACACAGCAAAGGACTCTTAGAAGAAACTGTCAACTTAGCATGTATTAGTCAGAAATGGGTAACACATTACGAACGCATGCAACAAAAAGGCAGAAACAGATACTACAGTAGACCTGAAAATATTATTGTAGTTTTAACCATAAACTCTAGGAGAATCTCTATAAGTAGAGAGTATGGAAAAGCTTTATGATATCATATGTCAGCTTCACTACATACCCGAACTTAGTCTGTTGTTAAATGTTTGTTAGTTATGCTTTTAGCTCAGGGCCAGATCACAGGTAGCTAGCAATACAATCTCAAAAAGGGGCTTTAGTCACTGTTTCATTGCGGGGGCTTTTCCTAATCTTTTCAAACAAGTATTTTTTAAATCTCAGGGCATACCACTTCTAAGTAGATGCTTGAGTGCTTTTAATAGTATCTGAGTCAACTTGGGGCATTGCATTAGCCACTCTAAGTAAACGATGATACTTAAGGATGGGATTCTTGCTGTAGCAAGATAACTATACTGCTTTTACAAAACTTTCATAAAATCTAATTAGCATTGTTCTATTTCACAGCCATGACAATATCGATCCCAAATTCTGTACCAATGGTTAGAGAGGTAACTGGATTAGAACATAATAAAGCTTTACTGGAAAAAAACAAAATCACTAGCTTAGCAGGTGCATCTTTGCAAACCAAGAAGTGCACATATAAACTCCTCGAAGTCATGTATCAAGTCTCACTGTCCTTTCTTTGTAAAGATATATACACCCCATGCAAAACTCCACACCAACTTAATATTGCTTAGATGACATAAACAGATACGCTAAAAAATATGGAAAGGATAAAGGCAAACCTTCAAACCTTTGCCTTTGTTTGGAAATTGATATAAATTGTGACAATTTATGTGTTAGAAGACTTTATTAACCACTTTCTGTCACACAACCAGTTTAAAGGCTCTCACACTACCTACGGTTAAGTATATACCAGCATTTCCCAAACTCTGTCAGCTGTTCTTCATAAGGAGTTCCAATGTTAAATTACTCAGGCAAATTCTAGGTAAAACAAAGTTTAAATGGTTTCTACAGCAAACTTTTTGAAACTTTTTCTATGATAATGTGCTTTGTAATATCCAAAGAGGCATACAAAAAGCACTATTTTCCAATCTTACACAGCCACTGAACTCTTAATTTTCAGAATATTCATTTATATCTCTAGAAATATAATTTAGGAAACACTAGTGTACATTAAGTTTCTACATACCACACCACACGTTTGTGTCGTACTGTCAGGTCACAAATACATTTACGGGTGCTGCATAATCTTCAATACATAAAAAGTCCTAAATGAACAACACATCAATAATTTTTCATGATGATTTTAACCCTCTGCGTTGAGGTCCAGAACTCTACCACTGATGTGCAGATTGGAGATATATAAATATAAAAATAAAATGTAATTAGTCATCTCATATTTGTTGTTGTTGGTGGATGAATGAGCATTAACTTGATACTTACTGAAGAATAATTATATAACAACAAAATGTTCCAATGCAAAAAGCTTATCCTGTAAGATTTTTTTGCATAGTCACACAGAAATATTGGCATCTTCAATCCCAATATAATAAAATACTATCAGTAAGATACAAATGTATGTTAATAGTAAAATAGTTATTTACATCCTTATATTAGTATAGCTATGCATTTCAGTTATTATTTACCAATAAATGGCATTTTAATTATTCCTTTATCAAAATTTTAAAAAGCAAAATGGGAGGACGGGCATGGTGGCTCATGCCTAAAATCCCAGCACTTTGGGAGACCTAGCCCGGTGGATTGCCTGAGTTCAGGAGTTCAAGATGAACCTGGGCAACATGGTGAAACCTTGTGTCTACTAAAATACAAGAAAAAAATTAGCCAGGCATGGCAGCGTGCACCTGTAGTCCCAGCTCCTTGGGAGGCTGAGGCAGAAGAATTGCCTGACCTCGGGAGGTAGAGGCTGCAGTGAGCTAAGATCACGCCACTGCACTCCAGCCTGGGCAACACAGTGAGACTGTATCTCAAAAAAAAAAAAAAAAAAACAGAATGGGAAGCAAGCTGACAAAATACAACCATAAATCACCAGAAAAGGAAGAATCCTAAACCAACTTTTAACTTTTTAGAAAAATAAACTATTAGTCTTATGTCCATTTTTCATAAAGAGACATAGGGAGGTTAAATAACTAAATCACCCAGTTAATAATCAAAGCAGTCAGTCTTAATCCAAAACCCCTTGCTCTTTTCCAGTATATTGGTTTAGAACAGAAACATTTCAGGTTAGGTGTTCTACTTGTAGATATTCACCATGGAAACTCTAAGGAAACTGGATTAAGTGTTATCACTATGAATAGACCAAATTAAACAGAAGGTGTTTTTGTCTTTGATTAAGCCTACAGTGACGTTTAAGCAATCTGAAATAAAACTGAAAGTTAACACATGATTGCACATGACTGAAATAATTCACAATCTTTTCAAAAGATTGTTTTCATCCATATAAGTAGTACTTTGCAGTATAATTAGATCAGGAGTGGGAAGAATGGCACTGGTGAGGAAGAGTTAAAGAGAAAAATAAATCTAAATCAGAAAAAAGAAAAAAGGCCAGGTGCGGCTGCTCACATCTGTAATCCCAGCACTTTGGGGAGGCCAAGGTCAGAGAATTGCTTGAGGCTAGGAGTTCAAGACCAGCGTGGACAACATAGTGAGACCCTATCTCTACCAAAAAAAAAAAAAAAAAAATAAGCAAGAAAACTAATTTTATTCCCCTATATGCTGTCTGTCTTTAAACAATGAAACTAGATTGTCCTCTATGATTATTATCTGGCCTCCCAAAAACTCTGAACAAAAGTTAATAGTAACCACAGCTTTAATTGTTCACACAATGCCAAAATAGCACCAATTATGTTTTCTCCTTAATAAAAGTATATATTTTCTAGTTTCCTTAACAGTATATATAAATAGTTGCTGGCACTAGAAACACAGCGCTTCATGGATGTAATAAATAGTAGTAAAGTTCCCACACTAGTCCAAAAGTCTGAAACCAATGGCCTAGCCAAAATGTGTTACACTGCAAAAAACAATACTTAACACTGTAACAGGATTTTAAAACTATGAGTCCATGATATTTTCCTCTTAAAAATCACAAAGTAATGAATGTAATCTCTTCAGATAGACAATAGTTTTGCAACATCTACAGTAATGAAAGCTGTAAAAAATAAAGTGACAATTTCTGTATTTAATGTAAATGCCTACACATAAAGAAAAGTAAGCTTAATTAGAGCAGGAAAAGGTCATAATTAAGAGATCTCTCAGTAATTTCAAGGACTTTAGGGGTTGACAGCAGTGGTTCATTATGATGTCAAATTTCACTCTACTTTTTAGGGTGCTTTTCTTAGATGTAATTTTACCAACAGCATCACTCATGTTATTTCACCATGATTAAATTTATCTTTCAGTGCACATGACTTTCACACAGAAAATGAAGTTCACAGCCACTAAGTAAAATATAACCTATTCAGATTTGGATTCTCTCTCCAATCCACACGATATCCCAAATTTCTCTCAAAATTTCTTTCTAACCCTGCTACTCAGGAAGTTACAAGGAAAACCATGACCTTATACTGGAAGAACATTTCCCAAAGCGTATTCTGTGAAACACTGGTTGCCAGCCATCCTCCAGACGCTCTGAAAAAAAGCCTATTCCATAGTCAGATAAACTTCATAAATTCTAGGATAATCTGCTGTATTTTTAACATTAAATGTTGTCTAAAATCTTTTCCCAAACTGATTTATTCATATAAACCTTTCCCCTTGCTCAAGCATCTATTAAATATCCCATGGATTTCCAGAACACACTTTGAAACTAGGGAGGGAGGTTAGAGTGAAGAGGCCCTAATCCCAAAAGAGAAGCAAACAGTTCCATGAGGAAGAGTAAAGGCAAACAGTGGGATTGGAAAGGGGGAGCCAGGTCTTTGTGCCCCGTTAACATGAAAGCTAAAGTGCTGCTCTCATACAGTGATAGATAAAGAAACACTAGCCAATAGAAGATTAGCCATTCCCTACGTACTGATTAGAAAAAGAGATGGCAGTCATAGGAAGGAAGTGTGTAGAAGCTAGCTAGAAAGAATAATCCTGGAGTTCTACTCACCATTAATGGAGAAGAAAAGGAAGTCCCCCAGATTTGGAAAGGAGTTTTTTTTTTTGTTTTTTGTTTTTTTTTTTGAGACAGAGTCTTGCTCTGTCGCCCAGACTGGAGTGCAGTGGCGCGATCTCGGCTCACTGCAAGCTCTGACTCCTGGGTTCACGCCATTCTCCCACCTCAGCCTCCTGAGTAGCTGGGACTACAGGCACCCGTCACCGCGCCCGGCTAATTTTTTTTTTTGAATTTTTAGTAGAGACGCGGTTTCACCATGTTAGCCAGGATGGTCTCAATCTCCTGACCTCGTGATCCGCCCACCTCGGCCTCCCAAAGTGCTGGGATTACAGGCGTAAACCACCGCACCCGGCCAAGGAGTTTTTATATACAACAAAAAACTTGTGTCTGGGATAATCCATACTTACAGTGTGGGTAATTCAAAAACAAAAATCACACGAAGTGCAGATGATCACACTTGCAATTCCAACACTTTGGAAGCCCAAGGCAGGCGGATCACTTGAGGGCAGGAGTTTGAGACCAGTCAGGACAACATAATGAGACCCCCCATCTCCACACACACAAAAATTTTTTAATTAGCTGGGCATGGTGGCACATGCTTGTAGCTCCAGCTACTTGGTAAGCTGAGACAGGAGGATCCTGAGCCCAGGAGGTTGAGGCTGTAGTGAGCCATGATGGTCTCTCATAACAATTATTATGCAAAGACTTCTTGACTCATCAAGACAGGGCAAAAGGAGCTAAGCAATTCTTGGTCCTCGATACCTAAAACTGGCAGTTTCCTGAGCAACAAATGATGAGAAAAAATCTGATAGAACTAGCAAATCCTCACCTACATCTACCCTAGAGTTCAGCTGAAGTGATGAGAAGCTAAAACCAAGAAACTACTACCTTTGTTTATAGGTCATATGGTTATCACTCAAACTCAAAAACGTATATACCTCTGACAATCAATCAAAGTCAATGCCCATTAGCCCAAACTCAGAAACGGAAAAAAACAAAGGAAGAGACAATAAACCATTGAAAGAAATACAAGAGTGAAATTAACTCCCCTGCCCATTAAGTTCTTTTAAATTAAAAATACCCAATCATAAAAAAAAAAAATACCCTATCATTCAACAAGTCAGACTGAAGTAGCAACTCAGGAACACAGTATTCATTCTCATTCTCTGTCTCCCTCTCCCTACTCATTCTCTTTTTCTCCCTCCCCCATGTCTCCTCTTCCCATCTATTTCCAAGTCTGTATCTTGCCCATACCTTACACTCTTTCCCTTCACTAGGTTCTTGAGTAAGTCCCTAATCTATCGTGTGTCCTTTTTGAAAAAATGAACTGTCTATATTTTCACTGTTTAACAGTCAACATAGCATAGCTGCACCTACACTGAAGTATTTCAAACTATTTTTATCTCAACCTATAGTAAGAAATATGGGAATAAGGACTACAGGAAAACACAATGTTTTGCACAACAATACTTATTCCTTCTATATTTGATGTACTTTATATTTTCTATTCTAGTCTTTAATTTTTTTTAAATGCTGGTTAGACTTAGTAATTGGTTTTAAAACCTATCACAACCAGCAGGAGAAAAACAATGAGCTACATACGTAACATACTGTCAATAAATGTACCAAATGAGAAAAAGGTCAGAGAATAAATTTTTGACTGCCATAAAAGAGTGGTACAATAAAATATTTATTTGAGCTAAATTATTTTATCCTAAAATAGCCTGAGCTTACTGTGTAATAGTATTCAAGTCCTAGGAATTATGGGACATTTCATAAAATTTCCAACATACTGCACTATTTGTTTTTATATACTGCTATACTAAGGTATGCCTTACATTTCCATATAAAATAAATATATGTCTAAAATTCCTAAAGTGTTAATCCTGACATCCTGTTTTCACTCATGAAGCAATACATTCCTTTTTTAAAAAAGCTGGGTGTGGTGGTGCATGCCTGTAATCCCAGCTCTTTAAGAGGCTGAGGTGGGAGGATCTCTTGAGCCCAGGAGTTCAAGACCAGCCTAGGTAACACAGTAAGACCCTTGACATGGTTTGGATTTGTGCCGTCACCCAAATCTCATGTCAAACTGTAATCCCAGTGTTGGAGGAGGGACCTGGCGGGAGGTGACTGGATCATGGGGGCAGACTTCCCCTTTGTGTTGTGATAGTGAGTGAGTTCTCACAAGATCTGGTTGTTTAAAAGCGTGTAGCATCTCCCCCTTCTCTCTCTTCCTCCCACTCCAGCCATGCAGGACGGGGTCGGCTTCTCCTTTGCCTTTTACCATGATTGCAAGTTTCCTGAGGCCTCCCCTGCATGCCTCCTTGTAGCCTGCGGAACTGTGAGCCAATCAAACCTCTTTTCTCTATAAATTACTCAGTCTTAGGTAGTTCTTTATAGCAATGCGAGAACAGACTAACAAAACCCTGTCTCTAAAATAAAGCAATACATAAAATAAAAAGAGTAATGTTCCTAAAAACAATTATAATACAACCCTGTCTCTAAAATAAATCAATACATAATATAAAAGGGTGATGTTCCTAAAAACAAAAAAATTACTAATGAACATCAAGTATTTCAAAGACTTTAGGGGTTAACAGCACTAGTTCATTATACCTAAGTTCACTCTACTTTATAGGGAATTTTTCCTAGATGTAATTTTATCAACAGCATCACTCCTATGCTATTCCATCATGAATGCCAGTAACCAGTATCATCTGGCAACTACCTCTAAGTGTAATTTCTCTTAAAAAGAGAGAGACAAACAGAAATGTTATAATAATAGCCATTACATCTATTGAACACACTTCTACCATGTGCCAGCATTGTACTAGATAAAATAATTGTAATTACTCATTATCATTCCTAGAATAGAATATTAGGTGGCTAGTATAAAGGAAACAAGTACCCAACCAATATTGCTGATTATTCTAGTTGAGAACTTAAATAAAATAAATGTAATCATCTGTATTAAGTGAACATTTTGATAATTCGGACTGATTAATTAATAAATTCTACTCAGGAAAAGCTAACAATGAGGAACAGCATATGTGAAGAACAAAAGTGTCCTAGAAAAGATACATATCCATCAACACCTCACTTAATTAACACTCGTGTCATAAAAAAAAAGTGAACAGCTTTAAAACTATACTAATAAAAAGAAAAGCTTAAAGCATAGTACCTGCTGATATGCTCTAGGTACAAATTTATTAAACAGACTATTTTCTATGTATATACAAAATCTGAATAAGCTATAAAATTAGTTATTTAGTGATAATTTCTGTATGTTACAAAGTCCAAAATTCAAAAAGCATCAAAATAGTTATCCATGTACAGACAGCCTTGCATATTTATTTTGTATTAATATTATCTTACATTTATTAAGTAAATTGGTAAATAATTCCCCAAAATTCCAATTTCCCATTTCAAAGTAGGGGGTGGCCGATTTAACGAATGATATACTAATTCAGTCATTACTAGCAAATTAGTTTACAATGTGGAAGTTATTTTTACTTCTACAACTCCACTGTAATTTATTCTAGAGTTATGCTGACATCGACTATTACTGTATACACAAACATACAAACCATAATCATTTCAACAACTTAAAACTAAGCAGACAAAAAACATAGTCTTTCAAATACTATTTACTATAAATGAAAAATAATACATCTTATTAAATTTAAATGTGATCTATAGTCTTAAGGCACTTTTATTCCCTTGCTCTAGTGATCATTGGCTTAATCCTCTCTTTCTCTTTCCACTTATTTCCTCCCTCAAGCCATCAGCACCAAAAGCAAGAAAGGCTGTCAAAGAAAAACAACATATCTGACTTTGAATTGTCAGTTTTCTTATTGTTTTGATACTGCTATGAACAAAACATTAACTGTACCAATATAAAAATAAAATGGACTAAAACTAGGAATAAAATGAAATTGATAGAAATGAAGCTGAATACAGCCGGTAAGAATCTTGGCTGACTGTACTTTAAGAGTAATCTATCATCAGCATAAAGATAAGTAGCATCTAGCTGACACTTTCATTAATATAAATAACGAACACAAATATGTAACAACTTGTGTTATTAATACTGCGTTCCTGTTGCAAATAGTCTTTTAAAGATTTAAATAAAAGACAATATTTTTTCAATTATTAAAAATTAAACTTAAAATTACACCATTTAAGGCAAATCTAAATTACCAAATTTAACCCCAACAACAATCCCTGTAAATTTCCACCAGAGTCCCAAAAAATAATGTTTAGAACACTGAACTGAGGTCAATTCACAATTTGGAAATATTCTTAGTCTTAACTGATTTTCACATATTGTTAAGTAATTAAAATAAAATAGGACATTTCCCCAAAATGCAGTTATCAATTCATATGAAGAACATCTGATCTATTTCAATTCTTAAATAGACTGGCACTCTTAACCTAAATTCTCAAATAACTTAAAGACAGCAAATACCACTACTCACTACGCAACTCCTGACAGCCTTTTCCATTCTTAACTTTCTTTTTACTCTTTATCCAGACTTCCATACTAATAAAAATAATACTCAGCCAAATACTTATTTGATATTTGGCTTATATAAAAATATACATAAATGAGGTGTTCTTATACATATATAAGAAACAACATCCAAGAAAACATATTTAATGGAAAATATATATAAATTATTCTGATAATACAGCGAAATATCTCATAACATAAAACTACTTACCTAAACTCTAATAATCAGAAGGCAATGGAGGATACAGTTTTCTCTTTATCATAAATCATTTAAAATTATATTTACTACTGGTACATAGAGTTCTCCCATAGCTTCGCAGATAGGAAAGAATACTAAATGACAAAAATCACAGACTAGAGTGTCATTAAGGAACCATAACTTAAGAACTCAAGTTCCAACTCTAAAAGTACCAAAACCCTTTAAGTCTTAAAAAAAAAAATTAACACTACAGAATTTCTCAATTTGTGAAACATGGGATGTAAAACTACATATGCTTTACAAAATACTTTATTCAACAAATAAAAGACGTATACTCACAAAACCAGTACCAAAGCCAAAATTGTCTCACTCTTAAGTGAGAAGTTACTTGAAAGATGGTTTAGATTTCTTACATTCCCAGGATGAGTCTGGCAGTCTGTTTTGAAAAGTTATTCTATTCACATTTACATATTTTTTTAAACCTTATGACATCACATTGCTAGAAACCTTCTTATACTGGCAAATTGAATAATTAAAGTTATTACGTGTAGACATTCTTGTATCAGTGGTTTACCTGAGAAACTAACTTTGAATAAATTTCAAATCCAAAAAAAAAAAAAAAAAAAGACACAATCAGCACTTGACTTTTACTTCAGGAAAATAAAGTTTTACTTGGGAACAGATATTTTAGCATAAGAACTTAGCATAAGAACAAACTAAAATGATTAGTATTCCAAAGGTACAAAATCATATTTGGCCAAAATCCTTCAAAAGCCAACGTACCACTACTACAGACAGATCTGGGTGACGATGCGTGCTTATTGCAACAGTGAACTTCTGGACCTTAGAATGTGCCCTGTATGTAACAGCAGACGCTGAAGAACTTGAGCCAAGCCTTCAAGCTTGAAGGTCATGGAGCGTTTGCTCACATCATTGATCTATTCCACTACAGTAGGTCTTCTAAATCACATCTATATTTAGAAGAATGAAGCCAAAAACCTAACCAGTTTAGATTTAAATTAACTTTCGAGTAAAATCTAACTCTCAAGTGGAAGCTGCCCCCAAACATTCTCTAACTACTATCACAAGATTTTTAAACTATGTCATTTAATCTTACAAACATAATTTTTGGAAAGTCCATGTTTAGCAGTTTCCTTTCCTTGTACTATGTAGAGATGAAATAAAACCCACTGATCACCACCTTCAGCTTTCTGTTGACCTAAGGCAAACACAGATATTTTAATATCTCCTCCTATTTTGAGAATAATTTCCATAGTCTGAATGTTTCCACCAATAAATACCTTTCAAATGAAGGACTATTATAGTGCCATGTATTAGGCAACTGTAACCAATAATCCACTTTTGCCCATCACAGAATTGATTTAAAATCTCTTACTGTTGACCTAAAAACATAAGTTCTTCATAGCCAAGTTCCACATTAGCTAGGCCTTAAATCAAGGCAACAATTGAGCAGCACAATTCTACTCCTGGGAAAATATTTACCAAAAACTAGCGGAAAATCTTGAATAACTAGTGTCTGTTTTTTTATTGTATTTTTTCTTTGAACGGAGTAGAGTTTACTCATAACTCTCTATACCAATTAAATCATAATGACCAGCTAAAGATTAACAGTTTCTTTAAAAATTACAAACTTACCCCATTCTAGGTATTCGAGAATGTTCTTCTCTCTTCTCAATGGAGAATTATTGCATTCATCATAAAGGCAGATGAGTATATCCAGTAATGTCTCCACACTGAAGCACTGCCCATTGGTCTGAGCGGGCCCGTCCAAAATAAACTGCTCCAACTGCCTCAAACGCACTTCTCCAGACATGTTTGCTTCGATTTCTGCTGGTTTTCCTTTAAATTATTATGATGACTTTTACTATTATCTGAACCTAAATTTTAAAAGGTATGGTTTTAAAAATAAACCACTTGTTATTCAAACAACTGTCATGCAATGCTGGTGCTGAATTAAACATCCAACACACCAGTAACCTCACTTAACTGAAGCGTCTTCAATTTCACCCATATACATATATTTTGAGGGTAAATTACCATAAAATATATACTTAATGCATTTTTAAAAGAATACAATTAAGTCGTATATTTAAATAAAATAATAATTAAAAGTACAACGAACTAGAGAGTCAACACTTCTTTAAAAAAAAAAAAAAAAACTCTTCTCCTTCATTCAAAATTCAACTCGTGCAACGTAATCCTGAAACGAATCCGGTTGCATCATTAATGAATAAAGTCCGATTTGCATCAGCAATTCACTTCCCGGGAAGAAGAAAAACAGAAAAGGGAGGAAAAAAACAGAATGCATAGAAGGGGGAGGGAAAACCAAAAATGTTGCTGCAAATCCTCCCAACCACCACTTGGATAATGCATCAGCGGCAATTTCTCCAGCGGGAAAGGGAGGGGGCGAGGTCCCTGAAGCAGCCCCTCGGCTCGGAGCACGCCAAGTCTTGCCCGGAGGCGGCTTTTCGTTTCTCCTCCCGAGGTCCTTCTTTCTTTAAGGCTTTGCAGTCAGTCCTATTTTCAACGGATTCCGGTGAAAACTCTTCATTTTCCTCCCGGCTTCACCCTAGGGCCTGACCGGCGGCGCGGCCGGGGGTGGAAGGCGGGCTGCGGGCGGCACTGGCACCGGGCTCCGGAGAAGCGGCTACTTGGCCGCCCGAGCCCACTCCATGTCGGTGGTCGCTCGTGGGCCGAGCCGCGCCGCGCCGCGCCGGGCAGAGAGCCCGGTCTCCCCGACACCCGCACCGGGCCGCCGCGCCGGAGGCTCCCGACGCCCCAGGCGGGGGGGTGCTTCTCTGAATTCAAAGGACACAAGCAGCAGCAGCTGCGGCGGCGGCGCGGGCGGCTCTGGCAGCTACTTCTCCCCCTTCTTCACACCCCTGGGCTAAGGGCATCTTTCCACAGCGAGGAGGGAGGCGGCCCGGCGCAGGAGGAGGGGTCGCTTCCGCGGCTGAGGAGACTAGAGGCTGCGGCAGCCCGGCTCCCAACCACTCCCTTCCTCTCCCTTCCAGCCCTCCCCCGCCTTCCCTCTCCTCTCGCGCTCGCGCCCTGGGCTCAGCGAGGCTCCTCCAGTCCCGCCGCACAGAGGCGGAGGCTTGCGGACGAGTCTGGATCCAATATGGCGGCCTGGCCCCCCGGCCCCGGCACACGCGCGCGCACACGCCCTCCACTCCCCGCCCCCGCCCTGCCCGAGCCTCAGCCCCAGCCGGCGGCCAAGCCGGGCGGGGTCCGGCCGGCGCGCCCAGCGGAGGCCCCCAAGGGGGCGCGGGCTCGGGGCCCGAGTGGCTGCGCCAGCCCGAGGGGAGGGGTGTGGACTGCCTAGGCGGCGAGGCTGCGGCTGCCGCAGCGTGGAATGCGGAGCTGCGGGAGGGCTGAGGGAGGCCCGGGCGGCGGTGGCGGAGCATATGGAGGCGGGATGACCGGGCCGCGCCGGGAGCTGCGGCGGGACTGGGCGCAGGCTGGGAACTGCGCCACCGCCGCGCCGTGGCCCCGGCTCCCCGAGGCTTCTGGTGCAGATCGCGAAGGGGGGCTCCTGCTCGTCCTCGGAGACATCACCTGTCTGGCGCGTTTGTTAAGGGCGCCCAGAAGCAGAGGGCTTTAGGCTTCCGACAGAGCTGGAGGAGACGGTGCCTTTCAGCCCCTTACCTGCTCCCCACCGGCCCCCCAGATTCGGTTCGCGCACACTCCAGAGTAATCGTTTCTTAGGTGTCTAATTACAGCACTTCGTGTGTCATTTCCCAGGACAAAAACAATGACAGACTTGTCCGAGCTACCATCGAAGTCTTGGGTCTGCACGCAAAGGATGGAATCCCCCATCTCCATTCCCAAAAGTTTCCCTACGGGAGCCTGGTGTTGTCTCCTCCGGAACTGTCCTCGCGGCTGCCTGTTTTTCCCTAGCCATGGTTACTGCCTGCGGGGGATTCAGCCTGTGAAGGCAGTCAAGGCAGTTCACCACTGTCATCAAACCTACACCCCTGTGTGCATGCGCACACACACTTGTAACCCAGTGGCACAATGCAGGAATTAGGGAAGCAAAGGCAAATCGCTGAATAGCTAGGGCACCTGATCCCTGTAGGGCCCTTCCAGGTTTTTGTGAATCTCGGTTTTAGGAGAGCTCCCTTTATAAAATTCTCATGGAAGATGCCACATTTAAATTAACACCACAAAACTAGGTCATTGCAGTTCTGTTACTTTCTCTCAAAATTGCCATCTCCTTTATGGTCGTTCTCTAAAATACAATTATTTTATATTCCTTCCCCACACCTGTGAGGCGGTTGTGTTTCTATGTTCATGTCCACAATTGCATCTTACATCTTGATAATATGGAAGCTGAGGAAGAATTAGAAATGAGGGCCTAGACGTAAAATGAAGGCTAACAGAAGTCGATTCAAGTTGTGATTCATGAAATAGTGTGAATCTTTTATGAAATCTACAACGTCTACACTTGCCTGGCTTAAGAACAGCATTATTTTCAATGCGGTCTTGACATGAATGATACTTAGATTCAAACAAAAGGTCAGTCATTTCCAGCCATGACATCTTTATATGGGTGTGTGTTGTCTAATTCTAAAAGTAGTAGAAAAGTTTAATCCTAACACAGATAATAAGCAATATTTTGGTGTTTATTATTCAAGTCTTTTTCCTATGCACTTTAACAAAAATGATACATAATAAAAGAGTTTTATAGCCTCTTGCTTGCAATTAGCAATATATTATGGACATTTTTTCAGTTCAACAAACATTCTTCAACAACATGGATTTTAATGGTGAAGCCAATTTTAACAGTTTCATTTGACCATAAGATGCGGTAGCAAAGAAGGAAGCAATTTCTTCTGCTTTTTCAAGTACGGTTAACTAAAGAAATGGCTCCAAGATACCTGCTTTTCCAACTTACAAATAACTAGAAAGAAGTTTAAAGGAGAACCTAAAACATGTTAGGTCTCACTAAATGCTAATTGACAATGGAAGTATATGAGATGTAGATACTTTTTTTTTTTTTAACAAAAGAGTCAAGCTGTCAGTTCTTTACCTATTCTATTAGCGCTTGGGTACCACCCACAGTCCAGGGTATTGATGGTTGCTAAATAACCCTTTCCACATTATTTAGAAAGTAGAGAGCAGAATTTATTTTTATTTTAAAAAACACACACACAAAGAGAAGGAAGGAGCTTGAACCCAATCAATTTTGCTTGAATAATTCAAGCTCAGAGACTTAATAATTAACTAGACACTAAACACATTGTGCGGGTGTTATTTTAAATGTTCCGGTTGAAGTGTGAACATGCTTGTTAATGAAACCGGTCTTAAGCCAAAGAAAGGCACAGCCCAGCAGCTGTACAGTGCTTGAAGTGTTCCTGCAAAACAAGAGTGCCACAGGCTGCCTCGCAGGGTATTCTTTGGGGAAAAATAGTCTGGAGGAGGTCTTCTTTGTGAAATTCTGCTTGGGGGCCTGGAGATTAGATGTATACCACTGCAAACACCCAATTTGTTTGAAATAATCAGAGAATGTTTTATGAAGATGCTGGGAATTAATCTGACCATTCAGAAAAGAAAGAGGACAGGAGAAGACAAGAAGGTAGGAAGGTGGAAAGAAGAAGGCAGGACAGAAATCATTAAGCCTAGTCCCCAATACAA